>NC_000018.10:60787528-62037528 GCF_000001405.40 Homo sapiens
ATCCATTAGCAGTCTAGCAGCACATGATTAATGGAGGGAATACTCAAGGTAATATATGAAGTGCAAAAATAATATAGTCAACGTAGTCATCTTTGATTGATACTAAAGACTAGTGACAATTCGTGTTACAGTGTATCTTTTGTCTATACCTTTAATGAACCCCGACACTGGAATATACTTCTTTCAATACGGAACAGACAAACTGAAAACACTAACACATTCCTGTAATATTTATTTTACTCTTGTTGCCCCACATCTCATCGTCGCATTTTCATTTCAGCCTTAGCTCTGGTGAGCTGTGGTGGCTCATGCTGACATCGCTTCACCCAAAGGCATGCCACGCCATCTATTTTTCTGCCTCAAAGCTGTTTGAGGAGCCACAGCATCCCTCTTAGATTACACAAGCACAACCTATAAATGCAAGATGATAGGGGTTGGAGGGTAAAGTTACTGACTCAGGTGACTTTCAACTGATGGTAATAGAAGGCAGAGGTAAATTTGATACCCGCCTCTACTTTGTAAGGAAAATTCTAGAAAATTCCTCATGTTTCTCAGAGATCCCATCTAAATTGAGCCCATTGCCTGCAGCAAGGAACTTGATAACTATAAGTGACTTTTCCTCTTTTTCTTGTTTTTGCTTTGTCTTAGACCATTTTCTATTGCTATAACAGAATAACTGAGACTGGGTAATTTATTTAAAATAAAAATTTTTTTTTTAGCTCACAATTCTGGAGACTGGGAACAAGCAACTGCATCTGATGGGGGCCTCATGCTGCTTTACAGCATGGTGGAAGAGCAGAAGGCAGGAACAGGGCATGCACAAGACAGAAAAGGGGGGGCCAGATTCTCAAGATAGCTAACCCATTCCTGCAAGAAAGACATTAATCCCTCTTAATTACTTAATCACTTCTTAAAGATTCCACCTTCTAACACTGCTGCAATAACAATCAAATTTCAACATGAATTTTGGAAAAGTAAAACCATATTCAAACCGTACCTCTCCCTCCCTGACTCCATTTTTACTTGCTTGGGATCATCTACCAAATAAACTGTTTCAGGCTCTATTTTGGGGGGTGCTCCAACTCAGACGCTTACCAAAAATTGGATGGATATCCATTGAAACTAGTCCTGGACTACTCAAAAGGTACAAAGCTTATAACTTTGGTATATTGTAATTTGAATAAATAGTATCAGTCCTCATAATTTTTTCATATATATGGAAAATCGATATATGATAGGAGAGGTGACAGCTTATTTGTTAGGGGGAAAACATTTTGGAAGTAACAATACATAACTCAATTATGTAGTACCTCATATTCATTTTACTTGGTCTTATGTAAATAAAGAAAATAAACTCTTAAAATATCTGAGAGATTAAAATGTAGAAGCCAATCTTGGCTGAAGCTAGTTTTTATTTTTTTCATATAATACACTCAAGGATGAATTTTATTTCAGTATGGAAAGTGTGATTGGCTAACATCTACACCATTCAAACCAGACTTTTAAACCTTTTAGTATGACAAATTTCTGAGATATATAGAATATAAAGAATAATATAATAAATCCCCATGTAGCCAGCACCCAATTTCAACTATTATCAACATTTAACCATTCTTATTTTATTTATTCTCTTACTTTTTTCTTGAGTATTTTAAAGTACTTCTAAGGCATAGTTTTATCCATAAGTGGTTCAGTATGCATCTCCACCAAATAAAGATATTATTTTTAACATAACCATGATACTATTATCATACCTTAAAAATTAACATTAATAATATTATCTAAGACCCCGTCATTTTAAAATGTTCTCCAACTATCTTAAATTTTTATTTTTATTTAATGAATTTTAATCAAGGTCTCTTAAATCTTTTGTGATTTATTGTAGTTCTTTCACTTTAAAAATGTATTGATGTTTAATTGATACGATAAAATGCACAGATCATTAATTGTAGAGTCTCATGAGTTTTATAAGTATACACCTCAATATAACCACTACCTCAAACAATGTGCAGAATATTTTAATCACCTTATAATGTTCTCTAATGTTTTGTTGTAGGCCATCCCACCCCACCACAACTAACGAGACAACCACTGTTAAAATTACTACCATCATAGCTTAGTTCCACTATTTCAGAACTACATATAAATGAAATAAAAAGATGTATACTTTTTTGTGACTGGATTTTTTCTTTAAACATAATGTTAATGAGATTTGTTCATGTTGTTGTTTGTATTAGTATTACTACTGGAGAATAGTATGCTATTAAATAAATATGTCACCATTTGTTTTACTATTCACCTCTTGATAAGTGGCTTCCACTTTTCTTTGGTGAAATAAAGCTACATTTGATCATTCTTGTACAGGTATTTTTGTGGACTTCGGATCATATTTTTCCAATTTCCCCTGAACAATACCTAGCAGAAAAGTTTCTAGGTCATATGGTAAATATAGGTCTTAATTTTATTTAGAAAAAAAACACAAAACTATTTTTGTGAAGTAGATGTATGCTTTTGAACTTATGCCACCAATGCCTAAGAGTTCTGGCCATATAACCTCATCAAATTTGGTGTTTCACCTTTAAAAAATTTTGGCCATTCTAATGGGGGTCTAGTGGCATTATATATATTTTTAAATAGTTATTTCTGAGGTTACTAGTGATGTTGAGTGTCTTTTTGTGTATTTATTGATCATTTTAGCTTTTTTCTAAATTATCTATTGAATTTTTTTGTCCATATTTATCATATCTGTCTTATTAATTTGATACAGAAGTTGTTTATATATATTTGGTATAAGCCCTTACTGAGATATTTGTATTGCAAAAATTGCCACCAGTTTGTGTCTTGCCTATTCATTTTCTTAATTTTGAGAGTAAATGTGTTAAACTTTGATGAAATATAATTTATGAACGTTTTCTTCATTAATTATAGTGCTTTATGCCTTGCTTTGAAAATACTTGTCTATTTTCAGTCACAAAAATAGTCTTGTATATCTTTAAATAAATTTTGTAATTTCAGCTTTTATATTTAGATCTGTGGTCTGAAATTAAATTTTAGTACATAGTGTAAGATAAAAATTGAAGTTTTTTTTTAAATAGCCAGTTTCTTCATAACCATTGGTTGAAAAGACTGTCTTCTCTCCGACTGAATTATCTTTTTGTCGCTGTAAAAATCAATTGAATGGATATACGTGGGTTTATTTCTGAACTCTCATTTCTGTTGCATTGATCTATTTGTCTCCATGTATACTAGTACTTAAATTGTTTTAATCACTGTTAATGTATATTAGTCTTTGAAATGGGGTTGTTCAATTTCTCAGTTTTTAATATTAATATTATTTTTGGCCATTTAAGGTCTTTTTAAAATTTTCTTTTGACTGCTTTTTATTATTTGGCTATTTTCATGTCCATATTAATGTGAAATTAGCTTGTTAATTCCTACCAAAAAATACCTACCAAAAATTTTATTGGGGTTTCAGTGAATATAAACAGATCAATTTAGGTAGAATTGATATCTGAATATTAATATTGAATCTTTTTGTCCATGAACATGGTATATCAGTTTATTCAGGTCTTTTAAAATTTATTTTAGCCGTGTTTTGTAGTTTCCAGTATTTGCGTGTCTTGCACACATTTATTAACTTTAAAAATATTTAGTGTTTTGCTATTTATAAATTATGTTTTATTGTATTTTTCAATTAATTGTTGATTGTATATTATACTACAGTTGATTTTTGTACATTGGGCTAGTGTACTGCAACCTTGCCAAATTCACTTATTTATTCTAGTGTAGTTTTATTTGTTTTTGTAAATTGCTTTGGATTTCCCAACATAACCACAAATGCATATGCAATTTTCATTGTTCTCAGATGTTATTAACATAAATGAACAAAGAACAGAGAAATCACATTGATTTATTATTGTTAAATGATTAAATAATGTAGAGAATATTTTTCCAAAGGTATTTTCTTTTAAAGCACTACACAGATATTTGCCAGATTTTAAATATAAATTCAAATGAGCATTGGTGTAGTGCTAACTTAATTGCTTTGGATGGCATTTTAATTATTTGTATTTTCTATTTATTCCCAATTGAATAATAGTAATGTTATTTCATTGCCAGTCATAAAATATAAGGACTAGACAATGACTTGTATAAAAAAGAGCATATTCTCCACCCAGACTCACACTGACAGAATGTTGAAGCACGCATCATGCATTATTTCAGTTGTCAATAATTTCTACAGAGCTTCTTCTGTGTCAGAAATAAACTATCTGATTTGAAATATTGAACAGCTACCAGAGGAAGTTTCTCATTAGTTGTTGATTCACATAAATATTGGAAAATAAAAAATTGGTCCTGTAGAGATTATGTAATTTCCTTCTTGAAAGATGTTAGATGACATTAACATGAATTGCTTTGAGCTTGTCATAAATCCTAGCTATCAAGCCTTTAAGTCAAAGAAATACACATTCCCTGTCATTACTTGGGCCAAGTTGCTCCTTTTAAAAAGTACATCTCCAGATAAATCTTGCTAGTGTCAAGTTTTGTCTTGATTATCAAGTAAGCCAAGTCACAATGTGTCCTCTATGACCAATGTCCCAGCAAGAAGTGTATGTGAGGTTCACTATTAATCTTTCTGTTATTGAAAGAATGACATTGATGTAACATTGAGAATTACTGGCTTCAGAAAGGAAAACAAAAACAATATTTCAAACACTTTTTAGTGCTCTGAATTTTATTCATTCTGTGGTGATATTATTTCAAACTATTCCCAATTTGAGGGTACTCACAAGGGAGAGATACAACCAAAGATGTAAATTTTCCTATGTTAAATTATGAAAGACATGCAGACTATCTGCTGCCCGCTTGATGTGGAAGGATATGTGGGCAATTAATTTCTAGAAGTGTGAAAAAAAAATCATCCTATTCCAGTACTGTAGAAAGTAAAACAGGACAGAAATTTTGCATGTTATTTTTTAAACAATGTTAACAATTAGCATCATCTACAATGGTAAAGCAAACAAAGGGATAGTAAATTGTTTTCCCTCTTTCTCTCCCAGGAGAAAGACCGTTTTAGTAGTGCTTGTTACATGAAAAAAACAGCAGATGTATCATGAATGGAAAAATGATTAATAGCTGGATTAATACATAAGAGACCTAAAGTCTGGCTTAATATTTTTTTCTTATATTTGAGAGATGAAGTTTATCTAAATTATGAAGACTAACAATAGAATGAACTAGACACTCCTCAGCTTAACAAATAGAACATTACTAATAATTTATGAGCTCCCCGTGAGCCCTTTGCGATTCAATACCTAGCCTCTCTTCCTGAATTTCAGATTCATACTTCTCCTGCTGTAGACATATTTATCTATTCCTAAAAATGTATTATTCAATCTTGAAGTGTTTTGAACTTCATATAAATGTTAGACTTGCTGTGAATCATTCTGCACACTTTTCAAAGATTTTGTGAGATTTATTTGTCTCAATACATGCAGCTGTGTTTGATTTGTTGTTACTGTTGCATAGTATTCTAAAACTTGAATCTGGCCAGGCGTGGTGGCTCACATCTGTAATCCCAGCACTTTGGGGGACCCAGGCAGTGGTTCACCTGAGGTCAGGAGCTCGAGACAAACCTGGCCAAAATGGGAAAACCCCATCTCTACTAAAAATACAAAAATTAGCTGGGCTTGGTGGTGCACGCTTGTAGTCTGAGCTATTCAGGAGGCTGAGGCAGGAGAATTGCTCGAACCTGGGAGGTGGAAGTTGCAGTGAGCCGAGATCTCACCACTGCACTCCAGACTGGGTGACAGAGTGAGACTCCACCTCAAAAATAAATAAATAAATATTAAAAAAAGAAAAAAAACTTGAATCCATAATAATGTCTTCATCTCCCCTTCTTCAGTGGGCATGTTAGTTGTTTCTTGTTTTCTTGCTACTACAAAGCAAGCTATACACATTTCATTCTATTTCTCCTGTAGAACATGTGCAAGAATTGCATTCAGGTATAAAATTTTTGGTCATTGTACACTTTACTGCCTCACATTAATTAGTTTCCAAAATGGGGGCGAAGGCTATGAACAGACAATTCTCAAAAGAAGACATTCATGCAGCCAACAAACATATGAAAGAAAAGCTCATCCTCACTGTTCATTAGGGAAATACAGATCAAAACCACAATGAGATACCATCTCATGCCAGTTAGAATGGTGATCATTAAAAAGTAAGGAAACAACGGATGCTGGAGAGAATGTGGAGAAATAGGAATGCTTTTACACTGCTGGTGGGAGTGTAAACTAGTTCAACCATTGTGGAAGACAGTGTGGCAATTCCTCAAGGATCTAGAACCAGAATTACCATTTGACCCA
Organism: Homo sapiens; assembly: GCF_000001405.40. NCBI lineage: Eukaryota > Metazoa > Chordata > Mammalia > Primates > Hominidae > Homo > Homo sapiens. Next base: position 60,793,897 of record NC_000018.10, read on the forward strand.
GCAATATACTGGCTATGTGCCCAAAGGGTTATAAATCATGCTGCTATAAAGACTCATGCACACGTATGCTTATTGCAGCACCATTCACAATAGCAAAGACTTGGAACCAACCCAAATGCCCATCAATGATAGACTGGATAAAGAAAATGTGGCACATATACACCATGGAATACTATGCAGCCATAAAAAGGATGAGTTCATGTCCTTTGCAGAAAAATGGATGAAGCTGGAAACCAACATTCTCAGCACACTAACACAGGAACAGAAAACCAAACACCACATGTTCTCACTCATAAGTGGGAGCTGAAAAATGAGAACACATGGACACAGGGAGGGGAACATCACACACCAGGGCCTGTTGGGGGGTGGGGGCCTAGGGGAGGGATAGCATTAGCAGCAATACCCAATGTAGATGATGGGTTGATGGGTGCAGCAAACCACCATGGCATGTGTATACCTATGTAACAAACCTACACGTTCTGCACATGTATCCTATAACTTAAAGTATAATTTTAAAAAATGACATTCTCATGGTTTATTAATCCAATAACTATATTTCATAAATATATAAAGAAAACAAAGCGAGCTTGACATGAAAAAAAGTTTCTAGAGCTACTAAAAAAGTTACATTTATGAAATAATTGATAAAATATTCCTCTAGGTTGTACAAGGATGGGGACAGGGACCAGGGACAAGACATGGTATTTGGTATTAATGAGACTTGGCTTCTTTCTCTCTCATTTCATCAAAGGCTGGATTCTCCTCGGTTTTCATGTCACTATTTTCTGCAGGTCGATCTTCTTTAGTTTCTTGGTTAGCCATGTCACCCTGTTCTCCCTTTGCACCGTTTTTTTTCCCTTTTGTTTGTACTTTTTTGTCTGAAGATTTATTCTCTCTTGTTTTCATTTTTGGCTTCATTTCCACTTTTGCAGCAGCAGGTTTAACAGACAACCGCGCTGATGTCCTCTTGGGCTCTTCCTTCACCACCTCTTCTGCTGAGCTGACCATCCTCTTGGGCACCTTAGTGGGAGGGAGGGAGCTTGCTGGGTGCCTGCAAGACATGAGATGCTGAGAGCCTCTGCGAAGCTGGGCTGCCTGGCCACTGCTGCTCCTCCCACTGCCTGAGGTGCTGAGCAAATTTTCTGTAGAAACGTAGTCTCTGCCACTTTGCCCAGGCTGGTCTCAACTCCTAGCCCTTAAGCATTTTTCCGACTTTGGCTTCCCAAAGTGTTTGGATTACAGGCACTCTGCCATATTTGTTGATTGACTGATTTTTTTCCTTGGAAGTAGTCACATTTTACTGATCTTTTGTAAGTGAACTGTGTAAACTCTGGGCGTGGATTTTGCTAGAGAATACTGAAACTTCTGTTTTACTAGATAATCCAGTTAGGTTCAGATCACGACTTTTTTTTTTTTTTTCCTTTTCTGCAGTGGTTTAACGCTCAGTTAGGTTCACCAACCTTTCTTCTACTGGTTTGGAGAGGCCTCCTTTATGTGTAGATCGGTCATGAGACTGAGCCTTCTGTAGGTTCATACACAGGATTAAAGCAAATGACTTGCTCTCATTTGGGCTTGCCCCACGTTCCATCTAATCCAACTTTGTCAGGTACCTCTGTCCAAAATGACAATCTTTTCACAGATATTTAGCCAGATCTTTTCATCGCGATTGCCTGCTTCCCATGACAAGAGCTCACACTGCAGGCAAAATTGTATTATGACTCAACAACAGGAGCAACCTAAGTGCACAGTGAGAAATAAATGGACAAAGAAAATGCGATATATATAAATCAGAAAAAAAGTTAGGAAATTCTGTCATTTGTGACAAAATGGATGAACCTAGAGGACATGTTAAGTGAAATAAGCCAGGCACAGAAAGACAAATATATAATCACACTTACATGTAGAATCTTAAAAAGCCAAACTTATAGAAGCAGAGAATAGAATGGTGGCTGACATGGGTTACGGGTTGAGGGAAATGGAGAGATGTTGGTCAAATGGAACAAAGTTTCAGTTATGCAGGATTAATGAATTCTGGAGCTCTAATATACAGCATGTTGACTACAGTTAATAGTACTGTATTGTACACTTTAGCTAAAAGAGTAGATCTTAAATTTTCTTACTACACACACACACACAAAGTGTAACTATATGAGATGTAAGTATGAAATTTTTGTTTGTCAATTATACTTCAACAAAGCTAGAAAAAAATATGCAAGAAATACTATAAGACATTCTAATGAAAAATTTAAAAGACATAAGTAAATAATGAGGTATACTATGATCAAAAATTGTAAGACACACTATTGTTAAGAAGACAATTTGCCCAAATGATTTATAGATTCAATGAAATTCCAGTAAAATTTTCTGCATGCCTTTTTTTGTAAAAATTGGCAGGCTGATTCTCAACTTGCATTAAATAAAAATAAAGTATATTATTCAAAGCAACTTTGAGAAAGAATAAAAGAATTGGAATATATCAGCTATCTGATTTCAAGACTTGCTGTTAAGTTACCTAATCAAGACCATGTGGAATTAGGAGAAATACACATATATAGATTAATAAAACATAATAGAATGTTCATAAATAGAAGGATATATTTATGAACACTGATTTTTTTACAAAATTGCCATGGCACTGAATGTGAAAAAAAACTCTTTTCTACTAATAATACTGTAACAAATACATTTCTATATGCATCAACTTTTATACAATATCTAAAATGTAACTGGAAATACATCACAAATTTAAATATAGAAGCTAATAGTATAAATATTCCTGAAGAAACCACAGGGGAAATTTTTGCAACATTGGATTAGTAATATTCTCTTAGATGGGTCACAAAAAGCATGAACTATGAAAAACTTAATAAAAATTGGACTTTAAAAATTATGTTATTTTTATCTTCAAAAGACAACATTAAAAAATCAAAATGGCCCTTCTCAGGAGGGGAAAATATTCAATATTTTTTTCTTATGATAAACCTGAATTTAAAATATACAAATAATTCTTACAACTCAATATTAAGAAAAACATTTAATAAATAATGGAGAAAAGATTCAAACAGATATTTCACAAGGTATAAAAATGGCTAACAAGCACATGGAAAAAGTGTTCAAAATTATTAGTTAAAAAGGAAATGTAAATAAAAGTCATAATGAAATATCACTTCCTGCTCCCCGGAAAGGCTAAAACTTAACTTTGAAAGACTAAAACATTCAACTGATGTTCTGCATATAGAGCCACTGGAATTCTTTTCTCTTCTTTTTTTATTTTTATTTTTTTATTATGCTTTAAGTTCTAGGGTACATGTGCACAATGTGCAGGTTTGTTACATATGTATACACGTGCCGTGTTGGTTTGCTGCACCCATTAACTCGTCATTTACATTAGGTATTTCTCCTATTGCTATCCCTCCCCCATCCCCCCAACCCCATGACAGGCCTCAGTGTGTGATGTTCCCCACCCTGTGTCCAAGTGTCACGTTGTTCAATTCCCACCTATGAGTGAGAACATGCAGTGTTTGGTTTTCTGTCCTTGCGATAGTTTGCTCAGAATGATGGTTTCCAGCTTCATCCATGTCCCTACAAAGGATATGAACTCATCCTTTTTTATGGCTGCATAGTATTCCATGGTGTATATGTGCCACATTTTCTTAATCCAGTCTATCATTGATGGACATTTGGGTTGGTTCCAAGTCTTTGCTATTGTGAATAGTGCTGCAATAAACATACATGTGCATGTGTATTTATACCAGCATGATTTATAATCCTTTGGGTATATATCCAGTAATGGGATGGCTGGGTCAAGTGGTATTTCAAGTTCTGGATCCCTATGGAATTTCCACACTGTCTTCCACAGTGGTTGAACTAGTTCACACTCCCACCAACAGTGTAAAAGCATTCCTATTTCTCCACATCCTCTCCAGCACCTGTTGTTTCCTAAGTTTTTAATGATCACCATTCTAACTGGTGTGAGATGGTATCTCATAATGGTTTTGATTTGCATTTCTCTGAGGGCCAGTGATGACGAGCATTTTTTCATGTGTCTGTTGGCTGCATAAATGTCTTCTTTTAAAAATTGTCTGTTCATATTTTTTGCCCACTTTTTGATGGGGTTCTTTGATTTTTTTTCTTGTAAATTTGTTTAAGGTCTTTGTAGATTCTGGATATTAGCCCTTTGTCAGATGGGTAGATGGCAAAATTTTTCTCCCATTCTTTGGTTGCCTGTTCACTCTGATGGTAGTTTCTTTTGCTGTGCAGAAGCTCTTTAGTTTAATTAGATCCCATTTGTCAATTTTGGCTTTTGTTACCATTGCTTTTGGTGTTTTAGCCATGAAGTCCTTGCCCATGCCTATGTCCTGAATGGTATTGCCTAGGTTTTCTTCTAGGGTTTTTATGGTTTTAGGTCTAATGTTTAAGTCTTTAATCCACCTTGAATAAATTTTTGTATAAGGTGTAAGAAGGAAGGGATCCAGTTTCAGCTTTCTACATATGGCTAGCCAGTTTTCCCAGCACCATTTATTAAATAGGGAATCCTTTCTCCATTGCTTGTTTTTGTCAGGTTTATCAAAGAGCAGATGGTTGTAGATGTGTGGTATTATTTCTGAGGGCTCTATTCTGTTCCATTGGTCTATATCTCTGTTTTGGTACCAGTACCATGCTGTTTTGGTTACTGTAGGCTTGTAGTATAGTTTGAAGTCAGGTAGCGTAATGCCTCCAGCTTTGTTCTTTTTGCTTAGGATTGTCTTGGCAATGTGGGCTCTTTTTTGGTTCCATATGAACTTTAAAGTAGTTTTTTCCAATTCTGTGAAGAAAGTCTTTGGTAGCTTGATGGGGATGGCATTGAATCTATAAATTACCTTGGACAGTATGGCCATTTTCACAATATTGACTCTTCCTGTCCATGAACATGGAATGTTCTTCCATTTGTTTGTGTCCTCTTATTTTGTTGAGCAGTGGTTTGTAGTTCTCCTTGAAGAGGTCCTTCACATCCCTTGTAAGTTGGATTTCTAGGTATTTTATTCTCTTTGAAGCAATTGTGAATGGGAGTTCACTCATGATTTGGCTCTCTGTTTGTCCTTTATTGGTGTATAAGAATGCTTGTGATTTTTGCACATTGATTTTGTATCCTGAGACTTTGCTGACGTTGCTTATCAGCTTAAGGAGATTTTGGGCTGAGACGATGGGTTTTCTAAATATACAATCATGTCTTCTACAAACGGGGACAATTTGACTTCCTCTTTTCCTAATTGAATACCCTTTATTTCTTTCCCTCGCCTGATTGCCCTGGCCAGAATTTCCAACACTATGTTGAATAGGAGTGGTGAGAGAGGGCATCCCTGTCTTGTGCCAGTTTTCAAAGGGAATGCTTCCAGTTTTTGCACATTCAGTATGATATTGGCTGTGGGTTTGTCATAAATAGCTCTTATTATTTTGAGATACGTCCCATCAATACCTAGTTTATTGAGAGTTGTTAGCACGAAGCGTTGTTGAATTTTGTCAACAGCCTTTTCTGCATCTATTGAGATACTCATGTGGTTTTTGTCTTTGGTTCTGTTCATACAATGGGTTACGTTTATTAATTGCATATGTTGAACCAGCCTTGCATCCCAGGAATGAAGCCAACTTGATCATGGTGGATAAGCTTTTGAATGTTCGGCTGGATTTGGTTTGCCAGTATTTTACTGAGGATTTTTGCATCAGTGTTAAGCAGGGATATTGGTCTAAAATTCTCTATTTTTGTTTTGTCCCTGCCAGGCTTTGGTATCAGGATGATGCTGGCCTCACAAAATGAGTTAGGGAGGATTCCCTCTTTTTCAATCTATTGGAATAGTTTCAGAAGGAATGATACCAGCTACTCTTTATTATCTGACGGTAGTATTTCTGTGGGATCAGTGGTGATATTCCCTTTATCATTTTTTATTGTGTCTATTTGATTGTTTCCCTTTTCTTCTTTATTAGGCTTGCTAGCAGTCTATCAATTTTGTTTATCTTTTCAAAAAACCAGCTCCTGGATTCATAAATTTTTTGAAGGGTTTTTTCCGTCTCTATCTCCTTCAGTTCTGCTCTTATCTTAGTTATTTCTTGCCTTCTGCCAGATTTTGAGTTTGCTTGCTCTTGCTTCTCTTGTTCTTTTAATTGTGATGTTAGGATGTCAATTTTAGATCTTTCCTGCTTTCTCTTGTGGGCATTTAGTGCTATAAATTTCCCTCTACACACTGCTTTAAATGTGTCCCAGAGATTCTGGTATGTTGTGTCTTTGTTCTCATTGGTTTCAAAGAACATCTTTATTTCTGCCTTCATTTCATTATTTACCCAGTAGTCATTCAGGAGCAGGTTGTTTAGTTTCCATGTAGTTGTGCAGTTTTGAGTGAGTTTCTTAATCCTGAGTTCTAATTTGATTGCACTGTGGTCTGAGAGAGAGTTTGTTGTGATTTCTGTTCTTTTACATTTGCTGAGGAGTGCTTTACTTCCAGCTATTTGGTCAATTTTGGAATAAGTGCAATGTGGTGCTGAGAAGAATGTATATTCTGTTGATTTGGGGTGGAGAGTTCTGTAAATGTCTATTAAGTCTGCTTGGTATGGAGCTGAGTTCAAGCGCTGGATATCCTTGTTAACCTTCTGTCTCATTGATCTGTCTAATATTGCCAGTGGGGTGTTAAAGTCTCCCATTATTATTGTGTGGGAGGTTAAGTCTCTTTTTAGCTCTCTCAGGACTTGCTTTATGAATCTGGGTGCTCCTGTATTGGCTACATATATATTTAGGATAGTTAGCTCTTCTTGTTGAATTGATCCCTTTACCATTATGTAAGGACCTTCTTTGTCTCTTTTGATCTTTTTTGGTTTAAAGTCTCTATTATCAGACACTAGGATTGCAACCCCTGCTTTTTTTTGCTTTCCATTTGCTTGGTAGATCTTCCTCCATCCCTTTATTTTGAGCCTATGTGTGTCTCTGCACGTGAGATGGGTCTCCTTAATAGAGCACACTGATGGGTCTTGACTCTTTATCCAATTTGCCAGTCTGTGTCTTTTATTGGGGGTGTTTAGCCCATTTACATTTAAGGTTAATATTGTTATGTGTGAATTTGCTTCTGTCATTATGATGTTAGCTGGTTATTTTGCCCATTACTTGATGCAGTTTCTTCCTAGCATCGATGGTCTTTACAATTTGGCATGTTTTTGCAGTAGAGCCACTGGAATTCTTAAACACTGCAGGTGGAAATGTAAAATGGTACTACTACTTTAGAAAATCATTTGCCAGATTCTTAAAAATTTAAGCTCACATTTATTATGTACCACTCTCCAAATCCTTATGTGGACTGAAAGAAGCTAGATACATAAAATTGTGCATACTTTACAATTCCATTAATACAAAATTCTACAAAAGAAAAAATAGTTTATAATGAGAAATGTGGATCAGTTGTTGTGTGGGGCTGGGTTTTACTCTTATGATGGATATATTCACTATTTTGATTGTAGTAGTGGTTTCATAGGTGTGTACAACTATCAAAGTTCATTATATCGTATACTTTTAATGGATGTGGTTTAAAATAAATACATTTATTTCTCAATAAATTAATAACAAATATAATATGTATGTCAGTTCAAAACAACTTTATAAGTTAATATTTCAAAGTGCAAATCTCACATTTCAGTAATGTTTTGTAGGATTAATTCTTAAAATGTGGAGCCGTTAGGCGGGATTGGCCCTTATCATTTTATCAGACTCTGTCTTAATTTGTTTTCACCTCCATAGGACATCACATACACATGCATGCTTCATTATCCCTATTCAATCTATTGCCTTCACCTAGAATCTTCTTCCTTTCTCTGTATGTCCTTAGAATTGCCACTCATTCTTTAAGAACTGGCTATTGGGCATCCTCTTTCCAATCTTTTCCTTTATACTACTTGAATGCTAATAGCTCCTGCCTATAAAATCTTTGATTCTTTGTGTGTCCCTCTCTCATTGCGTTTTTTCTTTGCATGTATTCTAGGGGTCATTGTGTGAACATCAGTCTTCCTCACTAGACTCTAAGATTATCGAAATCTAATTCCCTTAGGCCTTCAAACAAGGCCTATAACCTAAGACGCAGATGTTAAAAGTACATTAGAATGGAATTAAACTTAATCAGATACAAATTTAGCTAATTTTTAAATAGGCCATTTTTTTTTCCATTATAAGCCCCTCTCTATTTTCTTCACAGGGAAACCATGGGCAGCAGTGTATGCTGTTAAGGCTAAACAGAAATATCCATGGAGAAGGAGACTTCAGAGAGAAAGTTCACATACAATTTACATGACAGAAGACATTTTTTTCTTCACTCAATTAAGAGGAACTATTCTTAGTTTTAGCCTAACTTAATTCAGTTCTGAATAATAGGGGCTTACCAAAAAGTTAAACTATTTGCTCATTAATTAGTGTAGAGACATTCAGTCTTCTTAGAATTTCTGTAATTTCTTTTTAAATTTCAGAAGTGCTTTATAAACATTTCAGTTTTGCTAATGTATGGATGTTTGTCAATGAAAAATTTCACCACAGTTAAACATGAAAGGAAGACTTTATACAAGGCTATCACAATAGAGGGGAGAAACCAGAATCCAGTCTGAGCTTTTAGGAGTTAAAGTAAGAAAATCATATGACAGTTTTTGGCTAATTGGCCTTATCCAAATGAAAGTAAAGCATTCCTATATACAAATAATAGAGAAGCAGAGAGCCAAATCAAGAGTGAACTCCCATTCACAATTGCTACAAAGAGAATAAAATACCTAGGAATACAACTTAAAAGAGATGGGAAGGACCTCTTCAAGGAGAACTACAAATCACTGCTTAACAAAATAAGAGAGGACACAAACAAATGGAAAAAAATTCCATGCTCATGGATAGGAAGAATCAATACCATGAAAATGGCCATATTGCCCAAAGTAATTTATAGATTCAATGCTACCATTGACTTTCTTTGCAGAATTAGAAAAAAAAACTACTTTAAATTTCATATGGAACCAAAAAAGAGCCTATATAGCCAAGACAATCCTAAGCAAAAAGGACAAAGCTGAAGGCATCACGCTACCTGACTTTAAACTATGCTACAAGTCTACAGTAATCAAAACCGCATGGTACTGGTACCAAAACAGATATATAGACCAATGGAACAGAACAGGGGCCTCAGAAATAATACCACACATCTACAACCATCTGATCTTTGGCAAACCTGACAAAAACAAGCAATGGAGAAGGATTCCCTATTTAATAAATGGTGCTGGGAAAACTGGCTAGCCATATGCAGAAAACAGAAATTGAACCCCTTCCTTACACCTTATAAAAAAATTAACTCAAGATGGATTAAAGACTTAAATGTAAAACCTAAAACCATAAAAACCCTAGAAGAAAACCTAGGCAATGCCATTCAGGACATAGGCAGGGGCAAAGACTTCATGGCTAAAACGCCAAAATCAATTGCAGCAAAAGCCAGAATTGACAAATAGGATCTAATTAAATTAAAGAGCTTCCGCACAGCAAAAGAAACTATCATCAGAGTGAACAGGCAACCTACAGAACGGGAGAAAATTTTTGCAATCTATCCATCTGACAAAGGTCTAATATCCAGAATCTGCAAGGAACTTAAACAAATTTACAAGAAAAAACAACCCCATCAAAAAGTGGGTGAAGGATATGAACAGACACTTCTCAAAAGAAGACATTTATGTGGCCAACAAACATATGAAAAAAAGCTCATCATCACTGGTCATTAGAGAAATGCAAATCAAAACCACAATGAGATACCATCTCACACGATTTAGAATGGTGATCATTAAAAAGTCAGGAAACAACAGATGCTGGCGAGGCTGTGGAAAAATAGGAATGCTCTTACACTCTTTGTGGGAGTGTAAATTAGGTCAACCTTTGTGGAAGACAGTGTGGCAATTCCTCAAGGATCTAGAACCAGAATTACCATTTGACCCAGCAACCCCATTACTGGGTCTATACCCAAAGAATTATAAATCATTCTACTATAAAGACACATGCACACATATGTTTATTGCAGCACCATTCACAATAGCAAAGACTTGGAACCAACTCAAATGCCCATCAATGATAGACTGGATAAAGAAAATGTGGCACATAAACACCATGGAATACTATGCAGCCATTAAAAAGAATGAGTTCATATCCATTGCAGGGACATAGATGAAGCTGGAAACCATCACTGTTAGCAAACTAACACAGGAACAGAAATCCAAATACCACATGTTCTCACTCATATGTGGAAGTTGAACAAGGAGAACACATGGATACAGGAAGGGGGACATCACACACTGGGGCCTGTCAGGGGGTGGGGACAAGGGGAGGGAGAGCATTAGGACAAATACCTAATGCAAGTGGGGCTTAAAATCTAGATGATGGGTTGATAGGTGCAGCAAACCACCATGGCACATGTATACTTACGTAACAAACCTGCATGTTCTGCACATGTGTCCCAGAACTGAAAGTAAAATAAGAAAAAAAAAAAAAAGAAGTAAACTTTCTTTGTATCTTCATGACAGAAGGAAGTTTTACACCTAGCCCTACGTGCCCACCAGAAATAGGACCCTATACTCCCAGGGACACTAGAAAATAGGAGTGCTATTTCCCTTAATGATTACATTTCAAAAGGATAGATCTCAGGTCTTTGTAAAAACTGTCAACAGACTTTTAAAAGGATCTACATCTGAAAGGGGAAAAGAAAGATTTTACAATTACAACTTTTTTAATGTAAATGATCTAAGGAAAGTGAGTAAAGCGACCCTGTGGTTAGGCCATCTGGATTCTGTAACGCTTGCATGAGAAGCAGTTCAGGGACTTAGAGGCAGGAATCAGCCTGTGTATAATCTACCTGAGGGAAATGTTAAGGCTTTCTTGGTTTTCTTCATCACTACCTTCTTTTGCTAATTATTTCATGTTTCTAACATTCAGCCTTTGGCCTTGGCTTTGCCGCAACACCATGTAAATTGTCCTCAAGCAGACAACTGGTCTCTTGATTTGCAAATACAGGGGCTTTGATGATATGTCATTTTGCACTCTGCCAAGCTGAATGTGAACGACAATATATGGTTTTCTTCCAAAGCCTCAAGGCCAGAGCAAGGACATAATAACTTCAAGTGGCCCTGCTACAGTTGTACAATAGTACTTTAATATGCATTTTTTTCCAACTGATCAAGGAACTGCATCTTTCCTCTAATAGGAATGAAAATAGAATCAATAATGCTTGCTGTAATCTAACTTAGATCTTTACCATACTGTTTGTCAAAAACCATGCAGCACACATATTATTTTGGGAGCAGAGAGGTTGAATTTAATCAGTGCCTTTTGTTTTCTTGCTACTTGCTTTGATTGCAGCAGTTTAGCTGTTTTGCTCTGTTTAGTCATTATCTGTTCCTCCCCCTCCTTCCTTCCTTCTCTTTGTTTCATTAGCATCTTTATTGTATAATTTCTTTATTGTTTGAGCTGTGGTTCTCAGTGTTTAAATGATTGTTTTGTTTCTAAATTCCCTTTTTTCATCAGAAACTTATTTTAAACAAAAGTAGTTTGAACAAATCTGACATACGCCCTTGAATTATATTTATTTATATATCTGTGAGAGAATTCATGTCATAGTTTTGGATGACTTGGATACATATGTAAATTAGCATAATGCCCTTTAGGTAGTGTGTACTACATTGATTGTACCAGTTAATGGCTTCACTGTCTCCATGAGCCTTGTAAGGGACTGCTGCTTCTCTTATCAAGAGGTATAGTCTATTTTTCCACTTTTGAATTTGTGCTGGTCCTGTGACTTGCATTGGTCAACAGAATGAAGCAGAGGAGGCTTTTGCCAGTTTCAAGACTAGAAACTTTAGTGGATGCCTGCACATTCCAGAGAATAAGCCTGGACTAACCAATGGGAAGATTAGAGAACATGCTGAAAAGATGTAAGTTCTCAGTTGAGGATATCCTACGTCAACCAGCTCTCAGGCAACCCACAAACTGACTACAAGTGCATGCTCACATCTAGTCAAGATCAACCACATCTTTTCATACTAGCAGAAGATCTTCATTGAGCCATAGACTGAAAGCAAAAATAAATTTATATGTTTCCACAATACCAGTAAGATATTGCCATTGTTATGTTACAAAGCACCATTTGGGTATTAAGTATATACTTTTCTCCATGTATATACTTTTCCCCATCATATACTTTTCCCCATGTATATACTTTTCCCCATCATATACTTTTCCCCATCATGTACACTTTTCTCTATCATATACTTTTCCCCATCATATATACTTTTCTCCGTCATATACTTTTCCCCACCATATATAAAAGTATATAGTTTTAAAGTATATAATTTTCCCCATCATATACTTTTCCCCAACAAATCATATTTTAAACATTTGTTGAGTGCCATAATATATACCAAGATACTGAGGGAAGTACTAGTGGCATAGAAACAAATGTCAACAACTCTCTCAACATGACATGCTCATGTGGAAGACAGACAGAAAAATCAGTCTGTATTACAATATAGTGTGATATATCAGATTTTTTAAAGCAATGAAAGTCAACTGACAAAGTTTTCCTAAAGACATGGTCCCAGAATATCATGGCTTCCAATAGAACCAAGATATTGCAATTGTTCATGTTTTACATTCTGCCACAGTGTCTGCATACTGAATTTGTGACATAGGGATATAAAAGCAAAGAAAATGAAGTGGGATGGAAAGAAAATGATTACTTTATACTTAACTAAACTAAATGGGGATAAAATTGATAACCTTTATGGTTTGAATTCATAAGTCCATTTTACCCTCAATTTAGTTTTATGTCTTCAAAAGCTCCTGTCCAATTTTACAGATTTCATAAAAGAAATAATTTTCTTTTGAAATTTCAGAATTGCTTTTTGGTTCAATTAAACCTTGATGCCAGGGCAACTGAAGCTGTTACCAGTTGACTGTCCTGCATATCTTGGCCAAGTGAATACATTCTGCATTTTTCCTTTATCTGCCTTGGAAGAATTATTCATTGATTGAACTCACATTTCTAGGAACACAGATGGAAAATGGTTTTAAAAATGTACCCTTTAAAAGAGTGTTCTATTTTCTTTTCTCATTAAATGTCTTTGTATAGTCAACTATTTCTTCCAACAAACCACAGCTATGCCCTGGTGGCTCCTTATCATCCTAGGTTCTTTTACTCTCCCATAATATTCTTTTCTCTATACCTGAGTTTGCTATGTCAGAAATACCTCTGCCATCCTCATAGTTGGAATAATATATTTATGCTCTTTCCTATGCCAAATGAAAAATATAAAAGGCAATACATGTCACTGAGTGAAATGCTGATTTTCCTTTCTTCCCTCCCTTCTTCATTTCTTTCCTTCCTTCCTTCCTTCCTTCACTGTCCTTTTTTCCTTTTTGTTCCCTTCCTTCATTTTTTAAGAATACACAGTTATTATTTATACATTGTTTATCAGCATGACTTTGTAGAGAATTTATTCTTGAACTTATTTTATATTTTGTGTCCATACAGATTATATATATTTGACTTAAAGTTTGCTAAGTAAAAAGAGAAGCAATTTGAAGTCATCCATTTGTATTTTTAATCCAGGCTGCATCATGTTCTTGCTAAGAAATAAGTCAAATAACCTGAATGATTCTCACCATATTATGCATAAAAGAAGGTAAATAATCTTACATTAGAAGCGTGATGTAAAAGTCAATCTAATTGTGTATATGTTAAAATAAAACCTTTCTGAATAGGTGACACTCTGAAAAACATTGTAGAATTGTTTAGAGATGTTGACACAGCAAAAAGTATAGTAAGTTCCTAAAATGTATTGAAGTAGAGAACAGCTTTTCTTGGACTTAAATTTTAAATGAACCTTGAAGTGTTATTAAAAATGTTAATTTTAAGAAGGAAGAGCCTTTCCAGGAAGAAATTTTCCAAATATCTGGGTTCCTAATGACTACTTCTTAAGTCTTGTGAATACTCGAAATAGAAACTCTTGCATTTTTATGATTAATCAACCTCTTATGTTCTAAGCCTGAGATCATATTTATCTATTTATCTATATATCTATCATCTATCTATCTCACTACATACACACACACACACTTCAGTAGGTAGCAGCAAAGGCTTTCTCTTTCACTGTGTTATTTTAACTTTCATAAGAGAAAAGTTGCCTTACTATAGAAAGAATATATTCCCAATTCCATGTTCACAGCTTTTCTTTAATTATCATCTTTCTTAACCACATTTTTCACTTCATAAACTTGGCATACATGTTATATAAGAAAGTTTAAAGTATGATCTGAAGTGCAAAGTAATATATATTTCAAAAAGATATTAAGTAGGCACAAAGATTAATTTGTTTTTTGTTAATCTCATCCTCTATTTTTCTCTTCATTAACACTTATTTCTGTGCCCTTTGGTAACTGGGAAAGACATAGTGAGTAAATTGTAAGGGGAAAAATCCTCATTACTTCATGAAAACATGCGTCATAAGGTCAAATTAAGGATTCAACATAACCCTTCCCTGTTAGTCGCGCTACTTATATGTTATTTATTGCAAAGGTAAAAGATACAGTTTATTTTCCAACTTGTAGCATTAAACATTTTAAATATTAAAGATGATAGAAAAACTTGGTTTGCATTTTCCTTTTGTGGACTCCAGAGGGCAGCATGCATTCTTTCAATGTCATAAAAGGTTAATAATAGCTATCCATCTATCTTTTTGTCTGTCTGTCTTTCTATCTATCTATCTATCTATCTATCTATCTATCTCTTCCATTGACTTTATATCTGTATTTCTGGGTAGAGACAAGTAGATCCCTGCTAAAAAGAAGAAATGAGAGAAATTATATATATATATATATATATATATATATATATATATATATATATATATTTAAATTATTAGATACTTTCTTTGCATTTCCAAAAGAAAAAACACAATGTGGTTAACTAAGCAGAACATATCCTTCTGGACCTTCCAAAAGTACTAAATATAAAATAACATTATTTTACTTTCATTTTAAAAACTATTTAATTTTATAAATAATTAAGCTTTTGAATAGATGCTGAAAATTACTCCATTCTTTATATAACCAACAAAACAAGACTAGAAAAGTAAAACTGACTTTCACCAGGACAAACAATGAATTTTCCTAAGAATAAAGGATGATATGGTAGCACATTCTGGACAACTTTTAGATGTCTGAATATATAGCAAGGGAAACTTAGATACTCCCTGTGTAAAGGGCTATCTTGTGCATTTACTTGTCTAGACTTTTAATAAATCAAGACCAGTCAGTGACCATTTATAAAGTGCTGGCATTATTCTAATTATAGAAGAAGTGTGTGATATATAACTGTAGGGGATGTGGAAAGACAAGCCTGTGTTTTTCAACTAATGATGCTTTTAATGACCTCTCCTCACAAGCTACTCAATGAACAATTTAGAAGAAGGTAAAGGTAATAAAGAGAGCTTTATTCTACTTACTTCTCTCTTAATTTCATCTTTTGGTTTGTTTTAATCAAGAAAAAATGGGACAAAATAATCATTTCACAGATAAAGCTTTAGTTAATGGTAGAGGAAAGAATATCAATCTGGAATTGAGCATTGAAAATTTGAAGCACCTGGGGGAGATTCTGCTTACAGAGAGAATGGGGACAATAAATGAGGACCATGGAAAAGGTAAAAGTGGCATTTTACTAATAATTATACATGAAATTACAGCGATTACATTTATTTTCCACTAAATTAAAACAAAACAAAGTTGCGACTAATGTTTAAAAATGCAAGAAAAGGAAAATGCAGTATTTTGATATGATATGCACACCTGCTTATATTTGTCTCTGGTTGTTTGCAGGACCTGGTCACATAAACTTTCACAATGGTATTTTTTTTTTTTTTAATGGAAGGGAAGCCCAAGTTCCTTATTTCTACTTGCAAGAAAATTAACACTTGGGAGAAAGTGCAGAATGATTGAAAGATGATCTTAACAAATCATTACATTTTTCTTTTTGGTCTTAACAAGTAGAAATAAAGCTACATCTATGGGATTCTTTAACATGAGCACTGTAATTTACATGCAAAATAAATTCAGGTGGAGCTATTCAGGGAGACTAGGTATAGCAGGATCACCATTTGTCAGAGATTATTACTCTAGAAGGCTCCCTAGGAGAAGCATAAATTTGTCCTGAAATAACACATTGCGTAATAACAGCAAGGAGCTTGTCTCTGCACTTCTCAAAGGCTGCACACCTGTGCAGAGAGACCTTCCCACTGAGCCTATCAAGCTAACCTGCTCATTCATGTGGCAATCCCAGCCCTTAGTTAGGAACTACTGAAGCAATCACAGAACCATCAATTTACCCACTAACATGTTGTCTTTGAAACATAACGGGGATAGATCTATTTCATTTGAAACCCTAAATGCTTTAAGAAAGACTGGGTTAGTAGGAAGATACCAAACACTGGATTTAAGTAATCCTAAATTTAAAAAAAAAATCTCAATAGTTTGGCTCATTCATTAACTATGAAGATCAGTGTCCTCATATCTAAATGGAGAATAATAAAGTCCTCATCAGAGGATTATTGTGATGATGATAATTGCTTTAGGCAAAGTGTCTAGCGCAGTGCCTGGAATAATTGAGCATCTCTGCTTGTGTTGGAATCAGGGGGCCTATAATATTACAAACTCAGATCTCGTCCTTCATGTAAGATGACAAACCATCCGCAGCATAACCCCAAGCTCTGAATAGTAGCACTGACCCATTTGTGTTATGTGTCCCTGCCCACATTTAACTTATGGATTCTGGTCATCCAAGGCTCGGTGAGATATAGAATGGTTCTGGGTACTCTAGCCATGAGACTGTTAACGAGCTAAGTGGCCATAAATGGAGTTACACTGTGTGCTCATTCAGGACCAAGTTCCAAATAGCAACTTTCTGTCTAGCTAGTCCTTCAGCCACTTGTAAGGAAACTTTAATGCAAAGATATCCTTTTGAAAGTAGGAGCAAACCTTTTTATTATTGAATACTGATTTAGTTAATTGAATTATTAAGCCTTTGGAACTTCATCCATTTATAGTTCCACTGTCATTTTGTTGTTTTGGAAGAGTGATATGAGGGAGCACACTCATTTACCAAGCCTACACTAATAGTTGGTAAATGTGGTTGTGCTTAAATTTAAATGGAAAGCTAAACTCAGCAATTTAATTCAAATAACGAGCTACCAATTATTTTCAGGATCTTAGAGCTCCTTTTGGTTATAAATTGCTGTTTGCAGATAGCAACTAGTCAATCATTTCACCACAAAGCCTCTTATTAAGTAAAATTGTTTTAATCGTTAAAAGTGTTTGGAGTTTCAGAAAGTCAGACAGCACAAAAATACCTAATAATACACTCTAAGCCACCTACAATGAATTTCAACTTTATCTGGCTCCAAAGAGAAAATGACTAAAATATTTTTGGTGGATGAGTATCAGTGGATTTCCACTGCATGTATTATTTCAAACAGGGATAAGTGTATGATTAAGCAGAAAAAGAACTAATTGATTTGATTAAAAGTATTTTTAATAGAAAACCTTAAATAGACATCCTGTAGAGGAACATGGTAAGACTCTCTAACGTACCATAATCTATAAGGCATATACAAATATATACATAGCTATATATTCATAGCTATACATGCATGGAGCTAACATAATAGGCCTCTCATAGAGAAATAATTAACACTGCAAAATATGATTTTGACCCTCATTAGAGCATCTTCCTTAAATAAATAAGAGCTGTTTTCTTTATAAAATATTGTTTTTATTATCCACCTAAAAATTCCACCAGTCAGCAGTGGGATTTGGTTCATCACAAACAAACTTGAAAATAATTTTTTTAAAAACATAAATTACTTAGAGAAGATGCCCTAATTCCAAAAAAAATCAGTAGGCACATTTTCTAGAATTAGTTTTTGCTAACGTAAAAATTCACCAGTTCAAGACAAGAGAGGGTTTTAAAGCTATTTAGTGTATGTTCACATTCTATACATTCAACCATACTGGGGTCAAAATTGCCAATGTGCATAACATCAGACTGTCATAGTTCATTCTATTAAACTAAAAGCCTACAAAAGACACAATTTGCTCACATAAACAGGCTAAAGTTAAGTCCATTATGAGACAACAAAGAGCTCATCTTCTTGAAGAGATTGGAAAAGTTCAAATATAAAGCATAAAAATTTCAAAGGAATGTTAGGATCCACCCATGTAACTAATTCTTATTCTAGGCTAGATGCTAAGCTCTTTATGAGGAGCCAGTAAGTAATTGCATTATTAAAAACATGTTTTTTAAAATATTTCTTATTTTTATTTATTTATGCAAAGACAGTATCGGCAATAGGTAATGAAGACATGTTTTTAAGTTTAAAATTAATTTCCCATTTTGAAAGGTTCAGGACTTTGTCTCTTCTTTCTACCTTACCCTTTTAAGTACTTCACCCCAACAAAGTAGCAAAAAAGTGTATTCCTTTAGTTTTTCTTAATGTTATATTGGGATACCTACAATTGGCTCTTTAAAATTTAGTTACCATTTATAGTTAAGCTAGAGAGTTAATTACAGAATGATACATATAAGAATGTTATAGCACCTCAAAAAGTACAAATAATTTTTAAAAGTAAAATTTCAGGGCACTTCCAAATTCTGAGGTATAATAAAGTCCTCCTGGGGATTCTTAAGTTGAAAGACACTTCCCTTCACATTCAGAATAAAAATTACTAGGAATTATAGAGCACGATGCACACTGGTAATATGGCCCATAGTAGCTACATTAGGTGAGGGATAAATGGAGTCTCCATGTTTTAGAGACAACATAATTGGGAGAAAGGCCAGGAAGCCTCTGTAAACTCATATCTATGGCTGGTCAAATGATACTGATAAAACTGTTTCCCTTAAAAAGGTATTATCCCTTTGCTTCCTTTCCAGGGATTAGCCCTTGAAGTTCTTATACAGCTACTTCCCTTCTTTACATCACCAGTTCTAGGAGCAAACCTCCTGAAAGAATGGTAATACCGACTGGAAAAGCAAGACTGTGGGTGCAGCAAAGGGACCCTGATGCTCTAGTTGTTTGTCATTTACAATGTACAATGAAGAGAGCAGCTAATCTAGAAACACTGTTAACTCTGCCTCTAGCACATTCTTGGGATATGTGTATTAAGCAACTTTCGTGGTTTAGAAATACCTAAACTACATATGTTGATTCTTCTGGACATACAGCCAACTAGCAGACACTCTCTAGGTGCTGAAAATATAACACTGAACAAAAGTCAATGTTGACATGAAATTATTCTAATGATGAAAATAGACAATGGACACAGAATGAATTATGTCATATAATAGCACATGGTGTTAAGTGCTATGAGAAAAAAAATAAAACCGCATAAGGGTAAAGAGAGTGGTGAGATTGCTCTTTCAGACAAAGTGGGCAGGGAAAGCCTCTCTAAGGTGAATTTTGACTACTAAATTAAAGAACGTGAGGGAAACCATCTAGCTAATATTTAGGGGAAGGGCATTCCAAGTCTGTACACAATGGCAAATGCAATGGTCCCAATGTGGAAATATGGTTGGCATTGTGACAGAACCTGAAGGCCAGTGTGGGTAGGCATAGCGTAATTAAAGGAAAGTGCAGTAGAAATGAAATACATGAGCAATAAATGTGCCAGGTTGTATAAGGACTTGGATTTTATTTTGTGATGGGAAAGCATTTTTGAATTTATCAAGAAGAGAAAGATGATCTGACAGATTGTTAAAGGATCAGTATGACTGTTGTGGTTTAAATTTATAGAAAGATCAGTCAGCAATATTTGTCACTTTTCTGCAGCCAAGTTCAACTACAAAGGTTCATGGAATTATTCTGATTTAATTGGTGTTGGAATTTCACCAGGCAAGAGAGTTGATGATAAAGGTACTTTTTAAAATTGTAATTGTAGAGTTTAATGTCATTAAACTTAATGTCATTAAGAACACATTGTTGTACAAGGATCACCACTATCCATCTCCAGAACTTTTCCCCTTCCCAAACTAAAACTCTACTCATTAAATTGAAACTTCCCACTCTTCCCTCCCCCAACCCCTGGCAACCACCATTCTACTTTCCATCTCTGTAAATTTGACTAGTCTAGATACCTCATATAAGTAGAATAATACAATATTTTTCCTTTTCATTTGGCTTATGTTGGCTTATTTCACTTAGCATAATGTCTTCAAGGTTTATCTATGTTGTGCATGTGCCAGAATTTTATTCATTTTTAAGGTGAATAATATTCCATTGTGTGTATATACCACACTGTATTCATCCATTCATCCACTGATGAACAGTGGGTTGTTTCTATTTTTTTGGCCATTGTCAATAATGCTCCTATGAATATGAGTGTACAAATACCTGTTTAAGTCTCTGCTTTCACTTCTTTTGAGCATATACCCAGAAGTGTAATTGCTGGATCGTATGGTAATTCTAGTTTAATTTTGGAAGAACAGCCATCTTTTCCCACAAGGACTGCACCATTTTACATTTTCTACCACTGGTGCACAAGGGTTATAATTTCTCCACATTATTGCCAACACGTGTCATTTTCTGTTTTATTTTTTAAAATAGCAATTCTAAAGTGTATGAAGTAGTATTTCTTAGTGCTTTTATTGATTTGCATTTCCTTGATGATTAGCATGATTTCGTACGTTTATTGGACATTTATATACCTCTTTTGTAGAAATGTCTATTTAAGTATTTTGCCCATAAGACACAACAACAACAACAAAAAGAAAACTACAAGGCAATATCTCTGACGAACATAGATGCAAAAATCCTCAACAGAATACTAGCAAATCAAATCCAGCAGGACATCAAAAAGCTAATCCATCATGATCAAGTAGGCTTTATTCCTGGAATACAAGGTTGTTTCAACATAAACAAATCAATAAATTTGATTCACCACATAAAATAATCAAAAACAAAAAATACATAATCATCTCAATTAATGTGAAAAAAGGCTTTTGATAAAACCTTTTCATAATAAAAACCCTCAACAAATTAGGCATTGAAAGAACATACCTCAAAATAACAAGAACCATCAATGATAAACGTACAGCCGTAATACTGAATGGGAAAAAGCTGGAAGCATTCCCCTTAAGAAACTGAACAAGGCAAGGATGCCTACCTTTATGACTTCAAAATAGTACTGGAAATTCTAGCCCAGAGAAATAAATAAAAGGCATACAAATAGGAAAAGAAGTCAAACTGTTTATATTCACTGATAATATTATTCTGTACCTAGAAAACCCTAAAGACTCCATCAAAAGGCTCCTAGAATTGATAAATGACCTCAGTAGAGTTTCAGAATACAAAATCAATGTAGAAAAACCAGTCGCATTTCTATACACCAATAACATTCAAGCAGAGAGCCTAATTGAGAATTCAGTATTGTCTGTGATGATCAGAAATAATAACCTGGAATACCTAGAAATACAGCTAATCAAGAAGGTAAATGATCTCTACAAGGAGAACTTCAAAACACTGCTGCAAGAAATCATAGATAACCAAAACAAATGGAAAACGATTTCATGCTCATGGAATGGAAGAATCAGTATCTATAAAATGGTCATACTGCCCAAAGCAATCTATAAATTCAATGCTATTCCTATCAAACTTCCAACATCATTTTTCACAGAATTAGAAAAATATGTTCTAGAATTCATAGAGATCCAAAAAAGAGCCTGAATAGCCAAAGCAATCCTAAGCAGGAAGAACAAAGCCGGAGGCATCACATTACCTGACATCAGACTATTCTATAAGGCTACAGTAACCAAAATAGCATAGTAATGATACAAAAACACACATATTGACCAAAGGAACAGGTTAGAGAATGCAGAACTAAAGCCAGACACATACAGCCATCTGACCTTTGACAAAGTTGACAAAAATAAGTGATGGGTAAAGGACTCCCTATTCAATAAATGGTGCTGTCATTACTGGCTAGCCCTATGCAGAACAAAACTGGACCCTTACCTTTCACTATATACAAGAATTAAATCAAGATGGATTAAAGATTTAAATATATTACTTCAAACTATAAGAACCCTAGAAGAAAAGTGACAAAATACCCTTGTGGACATTGTCTTTGGGAATTTTGTCAAATGCTCTTTCTGAATCAATTGAGATGATTATGTAATTTTTGTTCTTCATTCTTTTAATGTGGTACATCATACCTATGGATTTTTGTATATTAAATAATCTTTGTATTTATATACTAAGTGAGAATAAATCCCACTTAGCCAAATGTATAATCCTTTTAATGTGCTGCTGAATTCTGTTTGCTAGTATTTTGTTGGAGACTTTTCCATCAATATTCATAAAGGACATTGGTCTGTAGTTTTATTTTCTTTTAGTGTTTTTGTGCCCTTTAGTATCAGCATAATGCTGTCTTCATAAAATGCATTAGGCAGCATTACCTTCTCTTTCATTTTGTGGAAGAGTTTGAGAGAGATTGGTGTTATTACTTAAAGGATTGTTAAAACTGAGCAGTGAAGCACATCTGGTCCTGGGCTTGTCTTTGCTGGGAGGTTTATAATTACTGTCTCAATACCTTTATTTCCTATAATTCTGTTCAGGTTTTCTATTTCTTTTTGAGTCAGTTTTTATAGGATGTGTTTTTAGTATTTTGCTCATTTCATCTATGTAACCTACATGAAATGAACAAACTTGTTCATTTGTTTGCATAATTTGTTGGCATACAATTGTTCATTATACTCTTTTGTACTTTTGTAAAATTTTGGCAATATGCTCAATTTATTATTTTAGTTATTTGAGTTTTCTCTTTTTTCTTAGATAATCCAGCTAAATTTTGTCAATTTTATTGATTTTGTGAAGAACCAGCTGTTGGTTTCATTAATTTTATCCATTCTTTTCCTATTTATCTCTTCTAATTTTTATCATTTCTTTTTTTTTCCTCTCTCTATTTTCTTAAGGCTTAAAGTTATATTGTTTGAGAGCTTTTTTCTTTTTAATTAAGCATTTATAGCTGTGAATGTTCCTTTTAACACTGCTTTTGCTGCATGCCATAAGTTTTGTTATGTTGTGTTTTCACAATATTTATCTCAAGCTATTTTCTAATTTTTTGTGCGATTTATTCTTTGGCTTATTGTTTGTTTAAGAATGTGTCATTTAATTTCCACATATTTTTTAATTTTCCAGTTTTCCTTCTGCTATTTATTTTTTAGTTTCTTTTCATTGTGAATGTGAAAAATATATTTTATATAATTTCAATATTTTTAACATTTTAAGTCATTTTATAGCCCAACATATGAATTATCTTGGGAAGTATTTCATACACACCTGAGAAAAATGTATATTACTTTGTTAGATGCAGTGTTCTTAAATGTCTGTTAGATCCAATTAATCTATAGTGTTATTTGAGTCCTCTATTGTGTTATTAATCTACTATCTGATTGTTCTAGGAGAACTTTTAATCATGAACCATAAAATATAAGTTGGATAAGAAGGGACATAAAGATATGAAAGAGATAAAAGGAAAAAAATTTATTCTGGAATGATGGAACAATTGTTAGAATCCAGTTACTAGAGATACAAAATGGAAAGGCAGCACACAGTTGTTGAAATCAGGGTGGCTGAAATATAGCTCATGTCAAGTTCTCATTACTGGTCGAGTGCAGGGAGTGACCATGTGAGTGGTAAGTTGGCATAGGCAGGACAATGTGGAGGAAGTGAGAAGGCTAAGAAACTGATAATTGGATTGGATTGATGATCCTATGGAGTTAATCAGAATGAGGGCTAGAAAATGGTGAGAATAAATGCATTGAACCAAAATGCTAATATCTTCAAGGGGATATGGGGAATGTCAGGGAAGAAAATAGATTACAACACTCTGAGAAGTACGTGAAGAAGTCTGATTCCATAGGCTTCAAGGGAACTTGCTCTTATAGGATGACCTAGAAATGATAATGAGAAGCCCACATCCAGGAATATTGGTATAAGATGTATGTGAGAGGAAATTACCATTATTTGAGAGGACAGCAAGAGCGATTATATCTCTAGAAAATAAATAGATTTCAATTACTGCAAAAACTTTTGTCAAAGAGATGGAAAAAATAAAAGATGCTTATGAGTTGATTGTAAGTTGCAAAGAGTCCAGTAGAAGGATTTGCGTGTGCCAGTGTGAGAGGGTGAGAAAGGAATGCATGAGGATGCACAGAGCATGGCATAGGGGGTTAGAGCAGGAATGGGGAGGACTATCTAGAATGCATGTATTTCTTACTGAGTAGAGGCAAACATAAAGGTAGAGCATGATATAATGATTCTTTTTTTTATACACTTTAAGTTTTAGGGTACATGTACACAATGTGCAGGTTTGTTACATATATATACATGTGCCATGTTGGTGTGCTGCACCCATTAACTTGTCATTTAACATTAGGTATATCTCTTAATGCTATCCCTTCTCCCTCCCCCCACCCCACAACAGGCCCTGGTGTGTGATGTTCCCCTTCCTGTGTCCATGTGTTCTCATTGTTCAATTCCCACCTATGAGTGAGAACATGCGGTGTTTGGTTTTTTGTCCTTGCGACAGTTAGCTGAGAATGATGGTTTCCAGCTTCATCCATGTCCCTACAAAGGACATGAACTCATCATTTTTTACAGCTGCATAGTATTCCATGGTGTATATGTGCCACATTTTTTTAATCCATTGGACATTTGGGTTGGTTACAAGTTTTTGCTATTGTGAATAGTGCCGCAATAAACATATGTGTGCATGTGTCTTTATAGCAGCATGATTTATAATCCTTTGGGTATATACCCAGTAAGGGATGGTTGGGTCAAATGGTATTTCTAGTTCTAGATCCCTGAGGGATCACCACACTGACTTCCACAATGGTTGAACTAGTTTACAGTCCCACCAACAGTGTAAAAGTGTTCCTATTTCTCCACATCCTCTCCAGCAGCTGTTGTTTCCTGACTTTTTAATGATCGCCATTCTAACTCGTGTGAGATGGTATCTCATTGTGGTTTTGATTTGCATTTCTCTGATGGCCAGTGATGATGAGCATAATGATTCTAAGAGTGGAAGCACAAAATCATTTCTCATGTAGCTCACTTCTTTCAAAACAATGGTCTGTGTTTGTTTTCTTGTAATGTTTGTCTAGTTTCGTATCAGGGTAAAATAGGACGAAAAGAGTAACAGTGGAGCATTTGTACAGGCAAGGGTGGTCTCACCAGAAGCAGGTGAACTTTACAAGCCTACCCTTTTAACTATGTTCTGTGAGAATCTATATAAGACAGATTCCTAAAGGAAAAAGTATTGGGTAAAAATGTATAAGCATATTCTAAAATGTGACTATTATTTCTCTAAAAATATGTCTTTTGATAATTATGTAACTTGGCTAAAGCAAAAATGAAGAAAAACCACCACAAATCCCGCCATTCAGAAAATAAGTTCCTTAAATAATAGATACATTTTTAAAAGATCTATTTACAAGCTGACATAAAAAGAGAATGTTTTATAAAATATTGTAATATTTCTTCACAGGTTATAGTTTTTAAAAGCTACATGTTACTTCATCATTTTAAAATAAAAGGATTGTGAAATAAAACAGAGGAAGCTAAAACTTATAATAAATATTTTATATGTAGATTATTTCCTAAAAGATTCCACTAGGTAATGAAAATGATTAACACAAACGTTATAATCGTGGATTCACTATATTTTAGGTACATGTTTGAATTTTAGACACTGTTTACTTGCTACAAAGAATGATGAAAAATTTAATTTTTTAACAATTTTTTCCTCCTCAGTTACCCCAAATCTCTATTTATTATATTATTTTTCATATTAAGGTTTGCAATATTTATATGTTCTGTCAACACATTTCAGAGTTATTTCCTCTTATTTTCATATTTATATAGACAACGCTAATTATTTGTCTTTTTTTCACCAAAGCTTGTCAATTCCTGAGTCATTTGGATTTGTATAATGGATGGCTGGATGTTATCATCAAGTGATATTTTTAAAAAATGTTCAGAAAAATTGAATTCTCCAAGTCCTTGCATAATTCTGAATGTATGCTTTTTCTTCGTATAGAATAGAACCTTGCCTGGATGTTACATTCTGAGGACATTTTCTTTTATTCAGTACTTTGTAGGCATTACTCTAACATAGTCTAATACTGGAGGTCCCCATAGAGAAAGATAATGCCAAACATATTTTTCCCCCTCTGGGGCTGACTAGGATTTTCTGCCTAGAATTTGTTTCCATCACTTTAATAGCTTACCTAGGATATGACTTGGTGTCAATTGCTATGTGACTATTATTTTCTCGGGATAAGAGTCATTTCAAACTCTAGGTTCACAATTTTTTCAATGAGGTGAATTTTTGTTACTATCACTTTAACAATTTATTAGATGTTGAGTGAAAAAATAATATTTTTCTTTACTTTCTTCTTTTTAAATTTATTTTTATTTCAATAGGTTTTGGGGGAATAGGTGGTGTTTGGTTACATGAATAAGTTCTTTAGCAGTGATTTCTGAGATTTTGGTGCACTCATCACCCAAGCAGTGTACACTGTACTCAGTGTGTAGTCTTTTATCCTTCACCCTCTCCCACCGTTTTCTCTGAGTCCACAAAGTCTACTGTATCACTTTTATGCCTTTCTGTCCCCTAGCTGAGCTCCCACTTGTGAGTGAGAACATATGATGTTCAGTTTTCCATTCCCACGCTACTTCATTTAGAATAGTCTACAACTACAACTAGGTTGCTGCGAGTGTCATTATTTTATTCCTTTTTATGGATGAGTAGTATTCCACGGTGTATGTATGTGTGTCTATATATACATACATATATTCTATATAATATATACATGTGTATACATATGTATACACACGTGCATATATATGTACATATATACACATATGTATTACATATATCATATACATATATGTATATGTATTATATACACACATATGCATATGTATACATATGTGTGTATATATAATGTGTGTATTATATTTACACACATACATATGTGTATATATACATATGTATGGTGTATATATAGATAATATATCTATAAATATAGATAATATATCTATATATATAAATATAGATATATATATCTCACATGTTCTTTATCCACTCATTGATTGATGGGCGTTTGAGCTAGTTCTATATTTTTGCAACTGAAAATTGTGCTGCTATAAACATGCGTGTGCAAGTGTCTTTTTTATAGGACTTCTTTTTCTTTGGGTAGGTATCCAGTAGTGGGATTGCTAGAATGAATAGTAGTTCTACTTTAGTTCTTTAAAGAATCTCCATAGTCTTCCATAATGGTTGTACTAGTTTACATTCCCACTAGCAGTGTAAAAGTGTTCCCTTTTCACTACATCCACGACGACATCTATTATTTCTTTGTTTTTTGATTATGACCATTCTTGCAGGAATAAGGCGGTATCGTATATTTGTTTTCATTTGCACTTCCCTGATCATCAGTGGTGTTCAGCATTTTTCCATATGCTTGTTGGCCATCTGTGTATCTTCTTTGGAGAATTGTCTATTCATGTTCTTAGCTGACTTTTTGATGGGATTGTTTGTATTTTTCTTTTACTGATTTGTTTGAGTTCGTTGTAGATTCTGGATATTAGTCCTTTGTTAGATGTGCATATTGTGCAGATTTTCTCCCACTCTGTGGGTTGTCTGTTAACTCTGGTGATTATCTCTTTTGCTGTGCAGAAGCTTTTTAGTTTAATTAAGTCCCATCTACTTAACTTTGTTTTTGTTGCATTTGCTTTTAGGTTCTTGGTCACGAAGTCGTTTTCTAAGACAATGTCTAGAAGAGGTTTTCCAAAGTTATCTTTGGAAAGTATTTTTATTGTTTCAGGGCTTAGATTTAAGTCTTTGATCCATCTTGAGTTGATTTTTGTATAAGGTGAGAGATGAGGATCCAGTTTCATTCTCCTACATGTGGCTTGCCAATTATCCCAGCACTATTTGTTGAATAGGCTGCCCTTTCCCCACTTTATGTTTTTGTTTGCTTTGTTGAAGATCAGTTGGCTGTAAGTATTTGGCTTTATTTCTGGGTTCTCTGCTTTGTTTCATTGATCTATGTGCCTATTTTTATCCCAGTACCATGCTGTTTTGGTGACTATAACCTTATAGTTTGAAGTTGGATAATGTCGTGCCTCCAGATTTGTTCTTTTTGTTTGGTCCTGATTTGGCGATGTAGGCTCTTTTATGGTTCCATATGAATATTAGGATTGTTTTTTCAAGTTCTGTGAATAATGATGGCGGTATTTTAACAAGAATTTCCTTGAATTTGTCGAATGCTTTTGGCAGTATGGTCATTTTCACAGTATTGACTCTATCCGTTCATGATCATGGGATGTGTTTCCATTTGTTTGCGTCATCTATGATTTCTTTCAGCAGTGTTTTGTAGTTTTCCTGTAGAAGTCTTTCACCTCCTTGGTTAGGTATATTCCTAAGTATTTTATTGTTTTTGCAGCTGAAAAATAATACTTTTAAACTGTATGCATAGTACACAGTTTGACCCAGATTAAGAATGAAAATGCTTCTATTAGCCATATATATGTCCTCTGTGTGCCCCTGAATCTCCCTCCTTTCTCCCTCTTAGGAATAACCACTGCCACGAATTTTGTGTTAGTCATCTCTGTGACTTAAAAAATACTATTTTACTTCATATTGTTTCCCCTTAACAATATGAGGTTTAACTCTGCATGTTTTAAGTTTACCTAAATGATAATACCTTATGTTTTCTTCAACTTATACTTTTATTCAGTATTATTTTTCAGTGATCCAGCCATGGCATTAAATGTGACTATATTTAATTTCACTATTCTAAAATTAATAATATTTTATTTATTTTCAGTTAGAAACTATTAGGAACAACACTGCTGTGAATTATCTGATACAGAGCTTCAGACACACGAATACAGTTTATCTAAACCCAAGTGTAGAATTGCTGAATCATAGATTTTAGACGTCTTCAACTTTACTGTCTAATGCCAAATTATTTTCCAAATTGGTTGTAAAAATTCACACTCTCAGTAACTTGTATAAGAGTTCAGGTTACTATACATCATAACTCCCACTTGTAATCTTCAAATTTTAACTGTTATCATTTTGTCAGCTGTGAAGCCATAGCTGATCATATTTACAATTTGCAATTCCCTGAGCTTGCGGTTGGCATCAGCCCTTAAAAGTGTTATTTTCTGTAGAATGCTTATTCATTCAGAAATATTCTGAATGAACAATCCTTTCATCTATGCAATTATAGCTTGTCTGATCTTCTAAATTTAAAATAAAAAATACTAACTTGGAAAAATAAAACAAGGAGCTTCTCACAGTAAAATTAAATATCAATGCAGTAAACAGTCAACCTATTAGAATGGTAGAAAACATTCACAAACTATGTCTGACATAGGTCTAATATCCAGAATCTATAAGAAACTTAAATCAACAAGCAAAAAACAAAATAATCCCCTTAAAAATGGGCAAAGGACATGAACAAATACTTCTCAAGGGACACACACATGGCCAGCAAACATACGAAAAAGTGCTCATTATCACTAATCATCAGAGATATGCATATCAAAAACACAGTCAGAACGGTTGGTATTAAAAAGTTAAAGAATAACAGATGCTGGCAAGGCTACAGAAAAAAGGTAACACTTATACACAGTTGGTGGAAATGTAAATTCGTTCATCCACTATGGAAAGCAGTTTAGAGATTTCTGAAATAACTCAAAACAGAACTATCACTCAACCCAGCAATCATATCACTGTGTATAAATCCAGAAGAAAATAAATTTGTTTAACCAAAAGACACCTGCACTAATATGTTTGTCACAGCACTATTCACAATAGTAAAGACATGGAATCAATCTAAATGCCTATCAATGGCAGATTGAATCAAGAAAATGTGGTACATATATACCATCAAATATTATGCAATCATAAAAAGGAATGAAATCATGTCCCCCAGCAACACTGATGTAGCTGGGGACTATTATCCTAAGCGAGTTAATGCAGAAACAGAAAACCAATTACCACATGTTCTCACTTACTGGGAGCTAAACATTGAGTATACATAGACATAAAGATGGGAACAATAGATACTGAGGACTACTAGGCAGTGAGGGCGTAGACTAAAAACTACCTTTCAGTCACTATGCTCACCACCTGGGTGAAGGGATCATCCATATTCCAAACCTTACCATCACACAATATACCCATGTAAAAACCTACACTTGTACTCCTTGAATCTAAAATAGAATTTGAAATTAAATCAAAGAGAGATAACAATTATTTTACAGCACTACTGTACCAAATGTGGTGTGATTGGAAATAGGTGTAGGTAGGTAAAAGCAGGTGGAAAATAGTGTACTTCACTGATTTGAGATTTTTCTCCAACACAGCTTTCTAACACGGGGAATCTCCTTTGGCATGATAGCTCCTTTTACACAAGGCCATCACAGTACTAATCATGGTACTCTGTTTCTGTTTATAATTTAAACTCCTTGAAAGAGATGTTCTTACAAGAGAAGCTGATATACTCTTCATATCTCAACAACTGGCACAACTTCTCCCGTGTACTAGGCTCTAAATTAATACTTGTTAAATATATTTTTAAAACACAGTAAAAAAACTTGCTGTAAACAAACTCTATATTGTAATTGCTACATACCGCTTCTAGGGAATGAGGTGTAAAAGCATAAACATCTCATCGTAAGCATTTGTTTATTTTCATTCATATTTTTAGTAGCAATTTTATATTGTAAAAACCAGTGAGTACAATTTCACAACCCTTCTCTCAAGGAGAAAGGGGAAACTTACTAGAATAATAGACAAGTTGAAAATAGTTTAAGTCTCATTTGTTGTCGTTTATCAAAGGACCTGAGGGATAAATGGGTCTTCAACAACTTCAACGAAATCCTCATAAAATGGAAAATAGTAAAAATCTTCAATCAAACTGCCTAAATAAGTACCCCCAACTACACTCTTTGCAGCTGATGAACCCAGTTGAGATTGAGGAAGCTCGTGCAAAATTTCCGGAAAAGATCATTTTAGTTATACTTTGAAAGATTAGTAGAAGGTAATTTTATCAGTAGTCTATGAAAAGATAGTCCAATAATTCCAAGAATGTGGGAGAAAGTGTCATGTATTCAAGGATTTTACACTGAAGAAAATGGTGGACCACTGACTAATTTTAAACAGGTATTGAGGAATGTCATGATCAGATTTGTGATTTAAGAGGCATTGCCCTGGAATCAGCATCAAAATATTTAAGAGATATGTAGAAAATAGAAGGAAGAAAACAATTTAGAAAGTTATTAGAGTAGTTCCGGTGGCAAATAGTTCAAAGGGACTCGACTAGAACAATTACAGGGATGAAAGTGAGGGGTACGCATAACTGAGAGATTAATAAACTGAAAATGATTTGCTTCATTATTAATGTTTAGGTGAAAGAGAGTCATAAGAATCAAAAACAACTCATAGGTTTTGGCTATCTACCATTCCTCCCTGAGGAATTTCATTTTTGGCTTAATGGGGAAAAATATATAAACAACTTTCCATTTTATAATACCTGGTAAGTATACTGATAATGATTTTCAGAACAATTTTCACAAGAGTTTAATGCACAAGCGAATGAAGTAATTACTTTTGAAAAAATGAGAGTGTTTTCAATTTTGAATGTGTTGAGTTTGAGTTTTTTTGTGTAATGTCTATTGAAAGTTTTAGTTGATAAATAAAGGAGAAGAATATAAAACTTAGAAATATGTCATTGTACATGAAAAATAACATATTCCAACCTGCATGAGTTTGTAATATGAAAAATAAATTATAGATTATGTTTATGTATTGGAAAACTGATTATTACAGAGTTGCCAACTCTTCCAAACTCAATCTGGACAGCATATGTAATTTATTGATGCTTCCAAAATGTATATGGAAATACACATTTAGAAATGGTTTTCTAAATGGTTTCTAACAAAGGACAAGAAGAGGAAAGATACTCTCAAAGGAGAATAACAAGGTGGAAGGCTTTCTCTATAAGGTATAAGAAATATTACTTAGCTGGAGTAATTATGAATTTCAAACTGGTTCAAGGAAAGACAAATAGAAAAATTGATTTATTAGAATGTTGGCACTGAAGATCAGTAGGGATAGAAAATAATTTTTAAGTAATTGTGCTAGGTCAACACATAAAAAATAATGCAAACCCTTATATTAGTTTTCTATTGCTGCTGAAGAAAATTCCAAAAACTTAGAAGCCTAATACAATAGCCATTTATTAGCTCAGAGCTCTATAAGCCAGAAATCTAGCACAGCGTGCCTGGGTCCTTTACTCAGGGTACCATACAGCTGAAATCAAGTTGTAGATTGGACTGAGTTCTTTTCTGGAGCTCTGGGAAAACATATAATTCCAAGTTTATTCTTATTGCTGAGAAAATTCAGGTTTATTTTGCAGCTATAGGACTGAAGTTCTCATTTCCATGCTTTCTGGTCTCAACTCCTAGAAGCTACCCACATTCCATGCCACATGGCTCCCTCTATCTTCAATGTGAGTAATAGAGAATCCTGCTCAGGCTGAACGTCTCTGACTTCCCTGTTACTGATCTATAGATCCAGGATTAAAAGGTTTGTGATTAGGTCAGATTACCTGCATAATATCCCTAGCTTAAACTCAACTGATTTGGCACCTTAATTATATCTGCAATAATCCTTTACAGCAATACCTAGATTAATGTTCCACGGAATAACTAGAAGATATATGTACACTAGGAGCTAAGAACTTAGGGGTCATCTAAGAATCCTGACTACCATTGTCCCAACCCCTGCATATTCAATTATCATTTACAAAAGAATTGTAGAGGCCCATGTAATAGGAAAAATACCAACACTTTTTGCCAAATACACAGACACATATATTTTATAATTTTGGCATATATAAAGAAATTAAATAGGACACAAAGGATTGGCACACTAATGGGAAAAATGGTGAATTAGACTACTTTATAAATAAGAATCATTGGGGTAGCAGAGTGGAGAGGGGAATATGTAGGTCAAATGATACAAAGTACCAAATATGTAGGATGAACAAATCTAGAGAGATAATATATAGCATGAGAGATATAGTTAATAAAATTATATTGCATTGGGGATATTTGTTAAATAAGTAAATTTAAGCTTCTGTTGTTACAAAAAAGTAATTATGTGAGATAACAGATATGTTAATTTGCTTCACTATCGTAACCATTTTACTACCTATATGTATCTCAAAGCATCATGTTATAAACCTCAAACATACACAGTAAAATTAATTTTAAAAAAGAAGTTCATCAAAGCATGCCATTTAGAGAGTAAAAAGGCAAGCCATGGAGTAAGTAGCAGAAGATATTGGCAAGACATACACATCCAACAAAGGATACATATCCAGTATATAAAAATAAAGTGCTTGAAATCAATAAGAAAAATACAATAACCTAAGAGAAAAAGGCAAGTGACTTAAATAGAGACTTCAGAAAGAGGGTATTCAGATGTCTACTCATCATATTAAAGATACTCAATTATTAGTTATCAGGAAAATTTAGTCAAAACCTACAATGGTATATCATCACACAACCACCACGATCCTTAAAATTATAAAGATTGACAATGCTAAATTTTAACAAGAATATGGACCAGCAGGATCTCATGCACAATGCTGTGTGAGCATAAATTATTGCAGCCATGTTAAACTGTTTGGCATTACCTTTTGCCTTAGCAGTGTCATTCCTATGCATATAGAGAGCAAAACATGTGCACCTAGAAAATGTATAAGCATATTCTTAGTAACATTATTCATAACAGCCAAAAATGCAAAAGCCCCAAATGTCCAGCAAGAGTAGAATAGATAAATTTCCTTGGCAGAGTCAAACAATGTAGACGCTATGCAACAGTGAAAACAGATGAACCATAGACACATGCAACAACATGGATGAATTTCATAATCTAATGCAGAATAAAATCATCCTGGCAAAAATAATATTTTTTTAGTCTATTTTTATAAACTTTAAAATATGCAAAAGTAAATATTGTGTTCGAAGTTAGAATTGCATTTAACTTTGGGGAGGAGAGGTGGTACTACTTGGGCCTCAGAGGGTTTCTGTGCTGTGGATAATATTCTATTTCTTTATCAAGATGGTAGTCAAATAAGTGCTTCCTTTGTGATAATACTTTAATAAGCCATATATTTATATTTTCTGCATTTTCTGTTTAATATTGCAATCACAAAAAAGGTAGAAATACCAGGCCCAAATGGTTTTCTAAATGGTTTCTAACATACATTCAAGAATACATTTTAAGAAACTCTTACATGGTGCTGAAAAAGGAACTAGTTCCCTACCATATAAAACTAATTAAGAATCATATACTGTTGTAAATACAGATGAAAAAAATCCTTAATAAAATATTGACAAACAAAATCCCAAAAATACACACAACACATGCTAAGCTGGGTTTATTTTGGGATCACAAAGTTGTTTTAACTTTAGGAAACTGTTCAATGTATTTCATGACATTAACAGATTAAAGACTTAAAACCATATGATGATTTCAGTAGTTATATACAAACAATTTCCTAATGGCATTAGGAATGATGTTTTTATGTTTTGAAACTTGGTTTTCCTTACTGTAAAATGAGAAGAAAAAATTTAGAAATGTAAATTATTTTTTAGAAGATAGAAAATAACAATATACAATATATTGGATCCTCAGATACTTTATTCTGACATTTATGGGGAACTTAAAGAAAGCAACAAATTTACTATGTTTAAGCAAATCCATTTCAATTTCAGTTTTAATCCTAGCTCAGCGAGAATTCTTAAATTATGTATTGAACTTTATTCAATGTTTTTTATTACAAAACTCATAATTTTAAATAAAATTTTCTTTTAAATTATGACAATAAATATGATATTTTGGGATAAGTCAGTAGACATGATCATTCATTAATAATTATTCACACTGGAGGATTAATTTCAAAAGTCATAACTTTGCTAATGCTGAACTTTGACTTAACATATGCATTTGTATCTAATCCATATATTTCTATTGAAGTTAATAATTACTTTTATCTAGATCCAGCTGGAAAATTATCAGTCACAATTTAAACTTCTATGAACAGAAAACCCAGTTCATTTTTCTTTAAATGTGCACATACTTATATAGACAACATAGGACTCATACTCATGGCGTTAAGAGAAATCTCATCTTTCAAAACATACCGTGGTAGGCTTTAGTCTATATAAAAAAGGAAGCTGCAGTATACTATAGATGCTTTTTAGCTTCAGTTATCAAATATTGTTTTTCACTGAACAAAACTACTTTGTACAAGTCTACTTGTTAATTCCAAAGAAGAATAAAAGTGAATAAATAAATAAATAATTTGAATCTTTTTTTTTTTTTTTTTTTTTTTTTTTTTTTTTTTTTGAGGCAGTCTCGCTCAGTCGCCCAAGCTGGCTCACTGCAAGCTCCGTCTCCCGGGTTCATGCCATTCTCCTGCCTCAGCCTCCTGAGTAGCTGGGCCTACAGGCGCCTGCCACCACACCCAGCTAATTTTTTTGTATTTTTTTTTTTTTTTAGTAGAGATGGGGTTTCGCCATGTTAGCCAGGATGGTCGCGATCTCCTGACCTCGTGATCCGCCCGCCTCGGCCTCCCAAAGTGCTGGGATTACAGGCGTGAGCCACCGCGCCCGGCCTAATTTGAATCTTTCAAATGCACTTCCTGACGTGTCTAGCTTCAAATTAGATGATGTT
This sequence comes from Homo sapiens, assembly GCF_000001405.40. Lineage (NCBI taxonomy): Eukaryota > Metazoa > Chordata > Mammalia > Primates > Hominidae > Homo > Homo sapiens. Next base: position 60,829,787 of record NC_000018.10, read on the forward strand.
TTATGATTTCTACAATCGCGTCTACGGATGGGGGTCAGGAAGTGACAGATTTTTTTTTAAAACTGACTCCAGAACGTTTTACTTTTTGAAATGTTTGGCACACAAAATATGTCTCTTCTTTCATTTCTAATCAATATTTATTTTATATTCCATTGGTAAATTTAGCATATTTCTTTTTTTATACTATTTTTTTAATTTTTAGAGACCTCTGATTAATGAAAGAGACCGGTAGGTGATGTAATTCTGAACAAGTGTACAGCAATGGCAGAGCATCGGCTTCCACCCAGAGCCCCTATGATCATCCTAAGCATTGATTTTATAATGTGTTCTCCACATTCATTCGGCCTGAACTGGCCCATCTGTAGGATTTTAAGTGACTTACAATTTGCACTGCTGATATGAAAAAAAACTTGGAAAATTAGAATTAGTCTTTCTCATGTTATCAGGCTTTCCTATAGCATTATATTTATGAACCTGAACTCTGGAATATGATGAATCTAAATTTAAATGCTGGTTCTTCTGAGAGTTACTTCATCTTTCAAATTTTAACTGTAAAACAATGAAAATAGTAGCTAGTTCATGAGTTCATTATGTGAATTAAATGGGATACTTCATATAAGACACTTAGCCCAGTAACTCACAATTAATATTAGCTGTAAGTATTGTCTCATAGATGGAAGCAAGCAACACCAAGGGTCCTGGGTGTTTATGTTCTGAGAGCCAAGGCAAAAGTTCACAGACTCAGTGAACAGACAACATGAGTAATAAGAGTAAATCAACTAAGAAAGGAGAAGGTAACAGACGCATACAAAAGTGGATACACAGAGAAAAACATGTAGATGAGCAATTAAAAAAAGTGAGACTTTCTAAAATCTGGTTAGTTTTCTGATTTTATATTGAAGAATAATTTGCTTACAGTAAAGTACATAAATCCTAAATGTTGAGCTCAATGAATTTTTTATATGTATCTACCTCTATAACTACTATACAAATTAGAATATAAGACATTTATAGCCCCCTAGAAGGCTCTCTCATGGTTCATCTCAGTCAACAACCACCCTCCAAAGGTAATCACTAGTGTGAGCCCTGTCTTGAACTACATACAAATGAAATGATACCATATGCATTCTTTAGTGTCTGACTTCTTTCATTCAACATAATACCTATGAAAAATATTTATGCTGTCTTTTTTCTCTTATTGTAAGAATGTACCACAATTCATTTATCCCAATATTGGACTTTTAGACTGCTCCATTTTGGGGCTATTATAAATAAAACTTCTGTAAGTTGTTATAAAGTTTGCATGCACATCTTTTAATAGAAATAAACACTCATTGGTATTTGATATATACCTAAGAGTGGAATTGCTGAGTTATAAAATCGATAAAAAGACATATTCATTTGGCTTTAGTTAGACATTGCCAGATAATTTCATATGTAGTAGACAGAATTTACTCTCCCACCTACCAATATCAAATCTCCAGTTGAGCCACACCCTCCCTTGGCAACACTTAATACTGGCCATTGTTTGATTTTTTAGCCAATTTGATAGGAGTTTAAATTATATTTATTGTGATTTTAATTAGCATTTCCTTGGGGGCTAATAAACTTGAGCACCATTTTATATGCACCTTGGCTAGTTGGATTTTTTTTCCCCTGAGGTGACGTTGAAGCATTGTGCTCATTTTTTTTTAAGAAACTGAATTGCGTATTTACTTATGTATGTGTTTATCCTTCACATTAACAGACCATCATTCATCTCAAATTTCATTTATGATATAAGGTCAGAATCAGAGTTCACATTTTTTAAATTCCTACACAAATATCCTTTTTACATAACACCACTTATTGCATTGCACTGGTGCCTTTGCTATATATTAGGTGTGCAGGTCTGTTTCTGGGTTCTTCATGCTAATCTATTGAGTGATTTTTCTTTTCTTGTACCAATATGCTTATGTGTCTTTATTTTTGAATCTTTACAGTAAACATACTTGATGATATAAATCCTCCGAATGTTTTTCTTCCTCAAGATTATCTAGGCTACTCTAGTTCTCTTGGATTTTGACCCAGATTTTACATTCAGTCAGGTACATTCTCTAAATTATTCTTTCCCTCTGTAACACTGACAAAAGAGTAATTCTTGAGAGCTGTAAACTATAATGAAAATTTCCTAAGTTATTATTTAAGTCCCTTAAAATATGTTTCAAACCTATTACACAAACTTATTTTCCAGTTACTCCTCTGTATTAACCTCTCACTGTCCCCAAGTGTTTATTTAAATTTCCTGCATCTGTCATTTGACAGCTGTTTCCCCAGCTGGAATGGTCCTGCAAGTCCTTTCTGCACATCCATATTTTATTTCTGTTTCTGGAAGTTTCTATTTCCAAATTCAAAACCCACTTTCCCAAAGCAGCTTTCTTCCCTCCCTCTAACCTTCACTGAACTCTGTGTCATCTGACCTCCCACTATAGTTATTTCTTGAACTGAAAATATTTTGAACTAGTCACATATAGCCTTCTGTTTTTAGTTATTCTTTCATGGGGCGACTTTTGGCAGAAGCCTTAACTTCAAATATTTTTTACCCTTCACAACCCTTAACATGCTTCTCGTACATGGAAGATGCTAAATAAATGACTAAATGACCAACATTGATTGACTGAAGAGCTTTTAAAATGAGAATACTGGAATCAACACTTGCACCATAGTATAAGAAACCGCATTGCGAAGTTAAAATATATTTGGCTACTTGGGAATTTGACTTTTACTTATTGCCTGCTAGAACCTGGGTTGTACCATTAATCTGTACATCCCTGCCTTGTTATAACTTGTTTTCTCACATATATGTGGTTGAAAAAAATAGGAATTTTATGAAGAAACTATGTTTTATGTAACACCGCAGGAAAGGGTCTTTTGCATTATAAACTATTCTAATATAAAGTAGCACCTTCAAACCATTTAAAAATATAGAGAGGATACAGAAGAGATACTTCAGGGATTTGGTTTAAATTTGCTGCATCTGCTTTTAGGAAAAATGAATTACAAAGTGTGAATAGGTCCCTTGAAATTAATTGAGTTTTTTGAAAAAAATCTAAACAGCTTTATTTACAATCCCTTTTCTGACTATATACCCAAAGGAGATGAAATCCTACTTTGTAAAGATATTTGCACTTTCATGTTCATTGCAATATCATTCTCAACAGCCAATACAAGGGGAAAAAAACCCCTACATGCCCACCAATGGATGAATGAAGAAAATGTGGCATATATATGTACACACAATGAAGTATTACTCATCCTTAAAAAAGTAGATCCTACCATTTGCTACAACATGGATAAGCCTAGAGGACATAATGATAAGTGAAATAAGTCACACATCGATAGAAAAATATTACAGGATCACACTTACATGTGAAATTTTAAAAAGAGGTGAAACACACAGAGATAGAGAATGAAACAATACTGTGCAGTGGAGGAAGAAGGAATAGAAAGACATAGGGCAAAGGACACAAACTAGCAAATATGTAGAATGAGCAAATCTAGAAACCTAAGGTACAACATGAAGACTAAAGTTAGTACAATTGTACTGAGTTAGGGATTTTTGTTAAATAAATAGATTTTAGCTGTTCTTGTTAACACAAAAAAAGTTACTACTATATGTGAGATGATAGTCATGTTAACCTTCTTTACTAATCATTGCACTATATATATATATGCCTATAGATACAGTGTGTGTGTATATATATACCTATAGATATAATGTGTATATATATACACACACACAGACACACACACACACCCCTATATATCTGTATGTATTTCATAATACCATGTTGTAAACTTCAAATATACACAATAAAATTCATTTTAAAAACTACATAGAAGTGCAGTATAATTATCTTTTTTCCTTTCTAGTAAGTCCACAGTCCTCATGATTCAACAGGATAAGTGCTAATTCTAAAAATATACTTTAATTAATAAGGCTCTCTTAAAATTTACTTTCATTAAGATTAGACCACACATATCTGAACAGTACTATGCATTAGAACCAAATAATATGGTTTAAAAATAGGCATTGTCTTCTGTCTTATGAGGAAAATATAAGATTGAATAAGGATCATCTACTCATTGTCAAATAACCCAAGTAAATAGCTACATTAAGAATGATTGTAATGTCATGTATCCTCAGGTAAATAAGATTCACTTAAGGTCAAAGGATTATATGTGGCAATGTTTTGTTTTTTTGCTTTTCTGGAACTTATTGCTAAAAAAAATCCCCACATAGCTGAGTAATAAGTAAAGTTTTATTAAAGTTATTTTAACTAGCACTTGGAAAAATATATCTTAAATATATTTTTTAACAAAGTAATATTTGGCAATTCTTAAAAATTTTATTATAACTTTGCCATAAAAGCTTTTACAATAACAAGACTTAAGAACTGACTTAAAAGAGAAATCAGGGTGAACAAACCCTGGTCTTAAAGATGAGAGGCTTAGTCACCTGTCAGTAAAGAAAATATTTAACTTGGCATTTCCCCCCCAAAATGTGGGAATTTAAAAACATAAACAAACCAATTTGAGGAAATAATAGACCAAGATTCATAAACAAGAATATGCATGATACACAGAAGTATTATTAAAAATCTTAGTTGGTTGATTAATCCACAAGGTCACACATTTAATACTCAAAAAGTTTGCAAAAATCTCACATTTTGCTTTTATTGCAATTGTGTCTTTACTATGATTGCTCAAGAATATATGACTATTCTTGCTAGCCTCTAATTACAATGGAAAAATGTAATTAGATAGTGGAATTGAATCACATCAGTTTTTGTAGCCATTCTTCAGGTCAACTGAGGTCTAATATGACAATAGATGCAGTACACTTGAATTGACACACAACTTTTTCTAGTCCTGTATATACTTAATCTTATAGAACTGGATTATGTGTAGGACATGGAGGATAAACAATTAAGTTTACTTATTGAACACCTACGGGGTTAGATGTTTTAGAGGATAAGGCACAATAAGCCACATATAATTTAAGGAAGAGCAAGATGACAAAAAGGAATAGAACAATACACTAAAATGTACTACCTAGCAGAATGAGATAAGTGGCATAATAGAGACACAAATCAAATTCAAGGAGAGGTATAGGAAGAAAGACAGCATACAGAGAGAAAGAGAATATGTAGCTCAAAGTGTCTTGGGGAAACTGATATAGAAAAAGAGGGTTTTGTTTTGTTTTAATAAGGATAAGATCATGGCAGGGTACAGTGAAGGAGAAGAATGTTGCTTCTGTAGCTCTATGTTCACGAGGATTTGATTCTGGTTTGTATGTAAATATAGTGCAAGGCTACTTATTAATTAATTATCAGTAAGAAAACATACAAACTAGGCTATGGGATGGTTGGCAAGCTGATTAGTAAACTGACTCTCTGATGTTATTTTATAGCTTAACCATTGATTTTAATGTGATGCTATTTATTGTTCAAAAATATTGTTTCACTGCCTAAAATTAGACTTTTGGTCTTGTTGACTTTTGTTATACATGATACCTTTGACCCCTACAAAAGTGGAAATTCCAAAAGCTTTTATTATTTATTTATTTGCTTTGCAAAACAATGTCTAGGCCAGAGCTAAAAAAAAACCACAAAATTTATGGAAGTAACATGCCTAGAAAAACATAATGTCAGTGTAGTAAACATCCAAGAGATTCTTAGCATTATTAAAGTGGGGATGGTTAGGGGGCGGGGGTCAGTTATTGAAGTGGCATGGGGGTTTATTTCACCTTTCTCATCACTATGAGTGTTTCTTATCTGTAATTATTGAAAATAAGTCAGAGAGTAATGGGGACACTTGAAGAAGATTGGTTGACATAAATAAAATTGCCGAAGTTTGTTTCTTATTTTAAGTATAAAATCTACCCCATCAATGTATATAAATAATCAGTGTGAGGTTGCAGTAAAGTTTAATGATGTAAGTTCTTTCTTTGCTTTCCTTTACTATACATTATCTTTCTAAGAAATACTTTTCTTCTTTTGTATAAGAGATGACAAGCTTTTTTTTTTATTCCATATGATGAATGAAAGGATTGATGAAACATCTATTATCGGCAGACATGGTGCTGGGCACTGTGGCTAAAAATGTCCTCAAAAAAGTTCATGCCATCATATGGTTCACTTTGGCTGTGATTTTGTTTGATTAGCCTATACAGTCATAATAACTAGAAGAAAAAATGTACTCTGTTAAAATATTCTCCTATACAAAGAGTTTAGAATATACTTAATAAAACAATGAACTGTAAATGTTACTGAATTATGGCTCAAACACTGTGCTAGATAAATAAGATGGATTCCCCTCCTTTCAGGGAGTCTATTATTTACCACCTTGTTATAACCTGAGTCAATTAAAAATGAAATAGAGCAACAAAAAGGTCCACTGTATTTCACAATGTATTGTTAATGGTGCCCCTTAAGTGTTGGGCAGCACTGACTAAGCTCATGGGTTAGTACAACCAAAAGCGAATTAGGTTTAAGTATTATTTGATGTGGCCAATTTGTAACAAAGGAAAATCTCTGTTTTGGAAAGTGGCCATAAATTGACAGTTGCACATAAAATTGTAGGTTTTAGGGATATATATCTGATCTACAGAATTAAAGTCCTAACAGGCTTGCATCTGGGTTGGGAAATAGGATCACAAACAGTAATGTCAGGTAAAGGTGGTGCCACTGAGAACCCATAACCAATGAGTGATCCATCTCCCAGAAAACAGGACCTGACACCATTTGAAGGAAATATGTTTTCAACATAACTTTTTTCTTCACTATTATTCTACTCCTCAAGCAAAAGATGACAGCCTACCACTTTCAAAACATTTCTTTTAATGACTACTTATTTGAACGAAATCTTAACATACTGAATTCTGTAATTGTTCAACTTCCTCACTAAAATTGCCTAACTTTATTTCTGCACAAATATGCCTGTTGTTTTGAAAAAAATGTATGCCACTAATATCACTAATTATATACTTATTACAATATTGTCTGCCAAGATAATGAAGAAAATTGTACACAGAATACTCTTAAATTACATATTAGTGAACAATAATTTTTTTTCTATCAGTCATGATTTTTCCCAGTGCACCATGCAATTCGTGGCTCCACTCATTCCTCTGAATTGTTTTTGCTATCACTCATGCATTCAAGTTTGCCAGCAAGTATTACATATACTTTGATTAGGAAGAAAGGACAGCTTTTCTCATATTTAATGTGTACTATTGGCAAATACATTGAAAAAGTCACTATTAATTAACTTGTTAAGGCTATTCAAGGGCAGAGAGAAGCCATGCAGTCAGCTAGAAGGACAAGGCATTATTTCAGTTTACCTATCAAGATGATAATGAAAGACAGTAAGATCATTAAATGAAAAATAAATATAACAGGTAATTCCCATTATGTAGGAATTTTACATAACCCTTTGTCCAGATACCCAAAGCATGAAGTCATCCTCTGGGATTATCTTCTAGAGGTCTGCCATAATTTGCCTGACCCACACTATATACTCCTCTCAAAATAAAATTAGGGCATGCACCCTCCTGAACAGTACAGCTGTCATCAGCTCCAAATCCTATGGACACATTAGATTAGTAATAGGTTTAATAAGGAAAAGGAAAATTAATAGGCTCTTGACATTCTACAACATACTATAATGATAAGTGGCATACCACAATGTCCTCCTTTCTCAGTATTCACACAATCTCTTATTCTATTCATATCTTTCAGCCTTGGCCTTGATTTCTTTTTTTCTTCCCCCATAAGATCCTGTGGAGTTCTTGAAAGTAGGATGTGCTTTAGTCATCCGCATAATCTCTCCAGTGCCCAGACAGGGACAAGCACAGGGTGGGTGTTGGATAAATACCTACTGGTTCTCTGCTCACTGGAATTTGGCTGTTTTCTGTTGACATGGATTTCTCCCTATAGCCTCTACAGCAAGTTTTCTTTCTACATGGCACATATCTTTCAGTCTTATGGATTTCACATACAAACGGACTTCTGCCTTCAAGCTAGCATCTCTTTTCCCCAAGATTTGCGGTAGTTAAGCACTTGGGATTGTTTCCTCCTGTAACAGCAAGCACAGCTCTACGGTGCCTTTGCTCTCCTCCTCTCTGTTCTGAGGCCTATGATTTTGCTGCTAAGCAGAATTATTGTGTCTTGTGTGTTTGGGCCTTTCCATTGGACTTTTAACACTTTTAATGACTGTTGTAGATATCTATTTGAAAATATTCCATGGGAAAGAGCAAAGCCTATTGGTATTTCAGAGTTTTCACTTCTTGTCTCAACCAGCTGATAATTGTGGAGCTTTATAAAACAGTACATAAGAAATAAATTATTTCTAATAATTGATATGGACCAACATAAAATTAAGCCCTAGAAATCAATAAGAGGTCTAAAGAAGACACTTCACCATCTTCTTCCCAAGCCCCACCTATTTCAGGAGCCCAGCAAAAATTGGAGGAGACCCTTTCCTACACAAGGGAAATAATGGAGGAAAATTGCTGCCTGCATTTGTATAGGAAGGCAAGATATTTACTTCATATTGGACCATGATTTGGGCTGGTTTTCTGGCTTTGTAGTCATCATAGAGGACAATATACATTGTTTTTAACTGTCCAGAATATAAAAGTCTTTTCTATATTTCGGGACCCCCCTCCCTGTGTATGTTTTGTTGTGAGGAAGAAAACACCTCCAACTATAAAAGATGAAAATGCTGGTTTCTTGCCCTCCATTCCTCCTTGAATCTAGAGTACAAATGTATGATCTAGGCCCAGTTGAATGCTTTCTTACCAGATTGGTATCGGCAGGTAGGAATATAAATCACTAAGAATGGTGTTTTAGTTATATATTGCCACATAACAAATGACACCATCACTTACTGGCTTAAAGCAACATTTGTTACTGAGTTTTGGAGGGTAATGAATCTGGGCACAGTGTAACTGAATCTTCTCTTTCAAGTTTGTCTCAAGGATGCAGTCAGGGTGTTGGCTGGGGCAACAGTTTGAATGAATGGAAAGGATCTGTCTCATGCTTCCTCATATAGTTGTTGCCAGGATTCAGTTACTCATAGGCAGTTGGACCTTGGGCCTCAGCTCCTTCCTTCCTTTTTGCTGGAGGCTGCTCTCAGCTCCTGACCACATGGGCATATTCATAGGTCAGCTACCACATCAGGATTTGTTTCATCATTGTTAGCAAACAAGAAGAGCCAAATAGAGAATGCAAGCAAGACAGAATACACATCTTTAATAACTTCATTGCAGAAGTCACATCCCTTAACTTTTGACATATTCTATTAGAAGCAAGTCACTAAGTTCAGCTTACACCAGGGAGAAGGGATTACATAAGGATGTGAATACAAAGAGGTGGGGATTATTGGGAACCTTTTAGAACCACCTGTCATGGAAAGTATGAAATCCGCTCTAGAGAAAGTGGCAGCAAAGGCAGTAGCTTCATCCAGCATCAAGAATTCAAAAGTGCAGAAGTTCTACCAGCAGTGATAATAGCATTTTTTTTCCTGAGAAATCATTTCTGAGATGTGACTTTGGGTATTGTTCTGAGGTGAGTAGATTTCAACTCTGATTCTTTGGCCAACCCCCAAATTCTGTAAGCTACTAGATGCCCTTATGTAAATTCCTTTTATCTACTTAGAATAACCTATTTATTTCTGTTGCTTATAAATAAGAAGCTTCACAGAGAGAGTGAAGCAAGGGAACCACAGAATGAGGATGGAGATTTAGTCCTCTGCACATCTGTACACCTGGTACAGGCCTAGGAAATGGTAGGCACTCAATATATATTTATTAAATTATTGAATAAGACAAAATACATAAAATTCAGAGGGCAAATAGTTCTGAAATTTATTTGGAGGTCCAAGTGAAAGGTTGAATGTGGTTTAGAAATTAGTCAGGGCAAGGAGTTTAGAGTGTATGCCTTAGGAAAAGGGAACATCAAACAGAGTGGTCCAAGATCATGATACATGATGCTTGGCGGGCCTCTCTTAAGCGCCTGAGGCACTGGACAATTCCCTCGAAAATTGCATGATGCCAGTAGAGGCAAAATTCAATTGAATGAAAAAGACTTGAACAGGAAATCAGAAAAAGTACACTGAATGAGAAAGAGATGGCAGGCAGGTTTTAGCAGGGTGCCCATTAAAAAGGAATCTCAGAGATAATCAGATCTTTTCCTAAAACCTGGACACAGACCACCTTTAACCATTTTAAAAGCTTTAAATTTCATTCATAGTAATGATATAACAGTGACTATTTATCTTAGTTGAATTCAAATGCAAGTAGTTTATTTGGGAGATAATCTCCGAAAACAGCCTAAGAGGAAGAGTGAGGTGAGACAGGGAAGGAAAAAAAGGCAATAAGGGATGCCATATTGTGTCAGTTTCTAGGTGGGCAACTGAATGCTTAATCCAACAAGCGAACTCTGGGGGCCAGTGTAGAACACATAGAGTGTTATTCCACTTGCAGGGATGTTTATACAGTAACCCCTATTGGTCGCTGTTTGAAGGTTGCCCCAGAGGACACAAAGCAGGCTCAGGGAGCCAGAGAGTGAGCCATAGGTGATGAGCTACATAGGCACCAACAGTTTCTCATGACTTAAGTGAATATGCAAGGCCAAATAAATTTCATCTTGCAGCAACCATGATAATTAAACATTGTCATATTAATTTTGAAGATGAGAAAAACTACAGCTCAAAAACAAAGTCTATTGGAGCCAAATTTTGTCTAATTCTAAAGGCTTTATGGAAGTAAAGTGGCCCATCTGGATGTAATGGAGACAGACACAGCGAGAGAGATAAGACACTGTCATTGGCATGCCGTAAATGCAGAACATTGAGGAAAGAATTTTAAAAGCACTTCAGTGTACCAAGTACATATTTGATCTCTCTGAAAGAAAGTTCAACACTTGGAGGCAAAGTCTTACTATGGGAAAATCAATCCGTGGATTCTCATGGTCTTAATGATTCACATTTCTTCTGTTCACATGTAATATTTATGTTTTCAGAATGAGAAAAAAACATAAAGTTAGCTGAGAGAGATGAATTAAATTGGAGAAAGAGAAAAGTTGAAGTTATTTTGAGGATAATACTGGGTTAAATAGTGTTCCTCTAAAATTCAAGTCCATCTGGAACCTGAGAATTTGACCTGATATAAAAACAGGGTATTTCCTGATGTAATTAGTTAAGATGAGGTCAAACTAGATTAAGGTGAGCCCTACAACCAATGCTGTTGTCTTTATAAAAACAAACAAACAAACAACAAATAAAGACATAAGAGAAGAGTGCCATGTGAAGATAGAACAGAGATTGGACTGATGCAGCTACCAGCCAAAAAGCCACCAGAAACTAGGGAGAAACATGGGCTAACTGCCCCAAATAAAAAGCACAGGGTGACAAGCTGGATAAAGAACCAAGTCCCATTTATATACTGTTTTCAAGAGACCCATCTTACATGCAATGACACACAGAGGCTCAAAATAAAGGGATAAAGAGAAAATCTACCAAGCAAATAGAAAACAGAAGAAAAGCAGGGTTTGCAATCCTAGTTTCAGACAAAATCAACTTTAAGCCAACAAAAATCAAAAAGACAAAGAAATCCATTACATAATGGTAAAGGGTTCAATTCAGCAAGAAGACCAAGAAGGCCTAACTATCCTAAATATATATGCACCTAATACAGGAGCACCCATGCTCATAAAGCAAGCTCTTAGAGACTTTCAAAAAGACTTAGACTGCTATACAATAATAGTGTGATACTTTAACTCCCCACTGAAAATATTAGGCAGATCATTGAGACAGAAAAATTAACAAAGATATTCAGGACCTGATCCCAGTACTGGATTCAATGGACCTCACAGACATCTACAGAACTCTCCTCCCTAAAACAACTGAATATACATTCTTCTCATAGCCACATGGCATATACTCTAAAATCGATCACATAATCAGAAATAAAATGCTCCTCAGCAAAGAACTGAAACTAAAAGAACTGAAATTGTAACAAAGGATCTCTCAGACCACAGCACAATCAAATTAGAAATAAAGATTAGGAAATTCACTCAAAACCTGCAATTACATGGAAATTGAGTAACCTACTCCTGAATGAATTTTGGGTAAATAATGACATTAAGGCAGAAATCAAGAAGTTCTTTGAAACTAATGAGAACAAAGATACAACATATCAGAATCTCTGGGACATAGCTAAGGCAGTGTTAAGAGGAAAATTTATAGTACTAAAGGCCCACATCAAAAAGTTAGAACAATCTCAATTTAACAACCTAACCTCACAACTAAAAAAACTAGAGAACTAAGAGAAAATCAGTCCCAAAGCTAGCAGAAGACAAGAAATAACCAAAATCAGAGTTGAACTGAAGATTGAGACATAAAGAACCATTCAAAAGATCAAAAATACAGGAGCTGTTTTTTGAAAAAATAAAATTGACTGCTAGATGGACTAATAAATAAGAAAAGAGAGAAGATCCAAATAAACACAATCAGAAACAACAAGGGAGACATTACCACTGACCACACAGAAATACTAATAGCCACCAGAAATATTATGAACAACTCTATACACAGAAACTAGAAAATCAAGAAGAAATGGATAAATTACTGGACACATACACACTTCCAAAACTGAACGAGGAAGAAATTGAATTCCTGAACAGACCAATAACAAGCTCTGAAATTGAGTCGGTACTACATAGCCTAACAACTAAAAAAAAAGCACAGGAGCAGATGGATTCACAGCTGAATTCTACCAGATGTACAAAGAAGAGCTGGTACCACTGCTGCCAAAATTATTCCAAAAAAAATTGAGGAGACTCCTCCCTAACTCATTCTTTGAGGCCAGGATCATTCTGATACCAAAACCTGGCAGAAACACAATAAAGAAAGACAACTTCAGGCCAATACCCTTGATGAACATTGATGCAAAAATTCTCAACAAAATACTGGCAAACCAAATTTAGCAGCAAATAAAAAAGCTAATCCACCATGATGAAGCAGGCTTTATTCCTGGGATGCAAGTTTGGGTCAACATACACAATTCAATAAATGTGATTCATCACATAAACTAAAGACAAAAACCACATTATTATCTCGAAAGACTTTCAATAAAATTCAAAATATTTTCATACTAAAAACTCCCAATAAACTAGTTACTGAAGGAACATACCTCAAAATAGTAAGAGCCATCTATGACAAAACCATAGCCAACATTATACTGACAGGGAAAAAGCTGGAAGTATTCCTTTTGGAAAACAGCATAGGACAAAGATGCCCTCTCTAACCACTCCTATTCCACATAGTGTTGGAAGTTCTGGCCAGAGCAATCAGTCAAGAGAAAGAAATAAAGGGCACTCAAATAGGAAGAGAAGAAGTCAAACTATCCCTGTTTGCAGACAACATGATTCTATATCTAGAAAGCCCAAAAGTCTTTGTCCAAAAGTTCCTTCAGCTGATAAACAACTTCAGTAAAGCCTCAGGATACAAAATCAATGTGCAAAAATTGATAGCATTCTTATACACCAACAACAGTCAATCTGAGAGCCAAATCAGGAATGCAATCCCATTCACAATTGACACTCACACACACACTTAGGAATATGGCTAACCAGGGAGGTGGAAGATCTCCACAAGGAGTAAAAAACACTACTCATATAAATTAGAGATGACACAAAAAATGGAAAAACATTCTGTGCTCATGGGTAGGAAGAATCAATATTGTTAAAATGGCCATACTGCCCAAAGCAATTTAATGTTATTTCTATTTTAAAAAATTACATTTTTCACAGAACTAGAAGAAACCATTTTCAAATTCATATGGAACCAAAAAAGAGCCCAAATAGCCAAGATAATCCTAAGTGAAGAGAACAAAGCTGGAGGCATCATGCTACCCAACTTCAAACTACGCTACAGGATTACAATATTCAAAACAGCATGGTACTGGTACGAAAAGAGACCAATGGAACAGAATAGGGAACCCAGAAATAAGGCCACACACTTACAACTATGTGATCTTCAGCAAACCTGACTAAAACAAGCAATGGGGAAAGGACTCCATATTCAATAAATGATTCTGGGATAACTTGCTCACCATATGCAGAAGATTGAAACTGGACCCCTTCCTTACACTAGATACAAAAATTAATTCAAGATGAACGAAATACTTAAATGTAAAACCCAAAATGATAAAAGCCCTGGAAGACAACATAGGCAATATTATTCTGCACATAGAAACAGGCAAATATTTCATGATGAAGATGACAAAAGCAATTACAACAAAAGCAAAAATTGAAAAATGAGATCCAATTAAAGAGCTACTGCACAGCAAATGAAACTGTCCACATTGTGAACAGACAAACTACAGAATGAGGGACAAAATTTGGAAACTATGCATCTGACAAGGGGCTAACATCTAGCACCTATAAGGAACTTAGACAAATGTACAAGAAAACAAAAAAAAACACATTAAAAAATTGCGCAAAGGACACAAACACTTTTAGAAAGAAGACATACATGATGTTAACAATCATATGAAAAAAAGCTCAACACCACAGATCATAAGAGAAATGCAAATCAAAGCTACAAGGAGATACCATTTCACACCAGTCAGAAGGACTATCACTAAAAAGTCAAAAAATTCAGATGCTGGCAAAGTTGTGGCAAAAAAGGAATACTTATACACTGTTGGTGGGAAATTAAATTCGTTCAACTGTTGCGGAATACTGTGTGGAAATTCCTCAATGACCTAAAAACAGAAATACCATTTGACCCAGCAATCCTATTACTGAGTATATACCCAAAGGAATATAAATTGTTCTGTCATAAAGACCCAGGCACATGTATGTTCATTGCAGCACTATTCACAATATCAAAGACATGGAAACAAACTAAATGTCCATCAATGGTAGACTGGCTAAAGAAAATGTGGTACATACATATACCTTGGAATACTATACAGCCATAAAAAAGAATGAGATCATGTCCTTTGCAGGAATACGTATGGAGCTGGAGTCCATTATCCTTAGCAAACGAACACACTTCTCACTTATAAGTGGGAGCTAATTGATGAGAACATATGAACACATAGAAGGGAACAAAACATACTTGGGCCTATTGGACGGTGGAGTTTGGGAGGAGGGAGAGGGTCAGGAAAAATAACTAATGGTTATTAGGCTTAATACCAGGGTGACGAAATAATCTATACACAAACCCCTAAGACACAAGTTTACTTAAATAACAAACCTACACATGTACCCCTGACCTTAAAATAAAAGTTAAATTAAAAAGAAATTTGGGAGTAGACATCCAGGGAAAATACTCAGTCTAGGAATAAACAATGAACTTTATAAATATATAATATATAAACAATAAATAAACAATATAACTTTCATGTACCTGAACCTCACTTATGCAATATAAGATTTAAGGAAGACCAACCCTCTGAAACTTCTTTCTATACTGCTGATATTTTCAAACCAGACAATCACTGAAACATAGAGATGTTAGGACAGAGATTTTTGTGCAGAACATAAATACTGCAGTGCTTTTTTTTTTTTTTTAAAGAAAGGGGATTCCAGTCCATAATGTGAAGATATTACTATTAAATAATAGTCAAATTCCCTATATGCTATATATGCTTTCAAAATTAAATGTGTTGAAATGTTTATGTTAAAAAAGCAAAGTCACAACATGATTATTTAGTTTGAATGAAAACGCATCTCTATTTCAGTCACTACATAACATTTTCATACTTTAGTATATAATTGAGAGTTTTTTGTTACACAAGAAGGTTCACAACTGGAGAAGAAAATGACATTTCTGAAATTCTTCTGGACGAGAGACATATGTTACAGTTCCTTCCAGCTGCATTGAGTGTATTAAGAACAAGAACATTTCAATTAGAAAACAAGCACCCAAACATTTTTATTCTTTAAAAAGGAAGGCATTTTTAAAGGAAAAAGAGTTAAGTACTTTTTCTTACCTCTAGTTATTTAGGCTTTTAAAATTCTTCAGCAGAGTAACTATTTCATGATTGTATTTCTCCTAGGTAATGGTCCTCTTGTATGAAGATAAAAATCAAAGTAAAGGTAATTTATTGTCTACTAAAATGTTCAGCTCTGTCAGCATCCAAAATATGAGATCGTATATATGAGCCCAAATTCAAATTATAAAGATTAATTTTATTAAAATGCAGCAACAAGCAGAAATTTTCCCCGATACAATAAATCTTTCAGATGGATTAGAGACCTTGAATTGCAACCTGTGATGTTATCCTGCCCTCTTAAACATGATTATAAAAGCTACAGTTAATGTACTTGTTCATAGGCATTCCCATTTCTTACTTCCGAAAATGTACCACAAAATATTTTTCTTCAAATTCTCAGGAATTAAAGTATGAAATAAACAACTGAAAGAAACTCATAATTAAAAATGATTTATGTTTGTAAGTATACATATATATATATATATATATATATGTTTTTACAAATATGTTAACCAAATTATATGTTAGAAATGTTTCTAAGTAAAGTCCTATAAAGCAGAACCTCAGTTTTAAACAATTAAGATGGGTGATAAAAATCATGGCCTGCTGAGTCTCTCTATAATCACCAGAAATGCAGCTAGTCTTCAGAGCCCACGGCAAAAATTCTGTCCTCACAGGAGGAGCTAACGCCAGGCCAGCCGCTTCCTGTCTGCGTGGACATTTGTTCTTCCTCAAAGACAAGATCTTGCAAGTGTCTTTTCACTTCATTATACCCACAGCGTCAAAGCCATCAGGAAATGCTCAGACTCACCAACCACCTGTAATGGAGGCATCTGGACTAAGGTCTGGTCCTGTTGGGTTTGTGACCACATACTGATTGCTGTGATTTGAGTTTGCTTTTTGATTATAATTAATGTTAAGAATAAACCCTTGAGGACTAGCCAAACACCGCATATTCTCACTCATAGGTGGGAACTGAACAATGAGAACACATGGACACAGGAAGGGGAACATCACACTCTGGGGACTGTTGTGGGGTGGGGGGAGAGGGGAGGGATAGCATTAGGAGATATACCTAATGCTAAATGACGAGTTAATGGGTGCAGCACACCAGCATGGCACATGTATACATATGTAACTAACCTGCACATTGTGCACATGTACCCTAAAACTTAAAGTATAATAATAATAAAATAAAATAAAAAAAAAGAAAGTGTGTTTTCTTTGGCTTTCAACACTGTCTCTTATAACTGAGATAAAGCCTTACTTTCTTTTCTCTCCTCTAAAGCAGCGTTTCCAATTTCTAAATGTTTGCATTTTTAAGTTTTCTACCCACTGCTTTTGTTCCTCACTGCTTAAGGACCTTTATCTAATGTCCCTCTCAATACATCTTGAGATAATTTTAGTCACCAAACCTATGCCTTTTTGTTACCTATTTGAAACAAGTTGCCTGCACTTATTGTAGATTTTTTTTTCCCCCATGAATAGTCAATACAGGGAAAGCTTTTCTTAACTTTTCTAACAATCAGTGCTATACATTTTGGCCATACTATATAGTGGGCTACCTCCAATGGTTCCAAACTTCTCAAACAATTTATGCAATTCTGTTGTAGGGTGAACCTCCAAATTGGGTTTCAGCTCAGAATGCCAGTGGGTTCTTGGCTTGTGCAGGAAGTAATTCAAGAATGATTCGACAGGGAAAAGTGAAAGCAAGTCTATTAAAAAACTAAAGGAATAAAAAGATGGCTACTCCAAAGGCAGAGTACCCCTGAGGGCTATTGTTTGGCTGTTTTTATGGCTATTTCTTGATTATATGCTAAACAAGCGGTAGGTTGTTCATGAGTTTTCTGGGAAAGGGGCAGGGGATTCCCAAAACTGAGGACTCCCTTCCTTGTCAGACCATATAGGGTAACTTCCAGATCTTGTCACGGCATTTGTAAACTTTCAAGGCACTGGTGGGAGTTTTCTTTACCATGCTAATGTATTATAATTAGTGTATAATGAGCAGTGAGGACAGCTAGAGGTTGCTTTTGTCACCATCTTGGTTTTTGTGGGTTTTGGACAGCTTCTTTACCACATCCTGTTTTATCATATGGGGGTCTTTGTGACCCGTTTCTTGAGAAACAAGTCCTGTGGAACTCCTATCTCAATTATAATCAAGATAAGTGGAGCTATGTAGGGTTTCGTGTGTGGCTGATACTGGGTATGGCTTTAAACCTGTTAGGCAGATTTTTAAAATCTATAAAATGGGGATTCAAAACTGTAATGCCTTTCATCAATGGGGACAAAGGTGTATAGAATCTGATAGCAGCTAGCACAGGGATGCAGTCCTGCCGGGACTGACTACCTTCCCACAGCTTAGGTCAACCGCTTACGCTCTCCATCTGCTTGTTCTTTCTCCTGCTGGGTTTTGGTGCCCTCTTTCCTTAGCATAACCATTAATTGTTGCCATTTCTTTGTCATTCATCCCTTTCTTCACTTCTTTCTAAAGAGATCCTAAGCACCAAATACAGTACAACAACAGTGCTAATAACAGTAACTTATTTTCAAGATTTCCCCCTAAATGCCAGCATTCCACTAGGCCCCTTCTCCTAAAGATAAATTATTTGGTAAAAAGTGATGTAGAATGGTAATTGAAGTAAAATTATAGATCTACCACATGAGATTGTAGGTGCAATTTGGAACAGATTCTTTCTGGGTTAGGCATGATTTTATACACTGCGAGGCCGAGTCATATTAGATCTTCATTAGGATCATAATATACTTTCTCCTTTATCTGAGCAAAGCTTCTTTTTGTGACACTTATAGTAACTGCCTCTCTATTCACATATTAATACAAATTTAAATATTTTTTGGAGCTCAAAATGTAAATGATTCATGTAGACGAGGGGTCCCCAACCACCTAGTCATCCATGACCTGTTAGGAACTGGTTGCGCAGCAGGAGGTGAGTGGCAGTTGAATGAGCAGTGCTGCCTGAACTCTGCCTCCTGTCAGACCAGTGCAACATTAGATTCTCATAGCATTAGATTCCTTACACTAAGGAAAGAGGGCGCCTATTGTGAACTGCAAATTCAAAGGATCTAGGGTGCACTCTCCTTATGAAAATCTAACTAATATGCCTGATAATCCCCGGTGGAACAGCTTCATCCTGGAAACCATCCCCCCACGAAACTGGTCCCTGGTGACAAAAAGGTTGGGGACAACAACTGTAGACTATACAATAAATGTCTGACCAAGAAGGCCCTAAAGTTCCTATCAGTTTCACTAAACCTTACACAGGTTTATTCCAGACTATAGGCCCCCTGGCCTTCTTTTCCTTACAGCATTGACTTTAGACTAAACTTTTTTTTTTTTTTTTTTTTTGAGACAGAGTCTCTCTCTGTCACCCGGGATGGAGTGTAGTGGCGTGATCTGGGCTTACTGCAACCTCCGCTTCCCAGGTTCAAGCGAATCTTCTGCCTCAGCCTCCCGAGTAGCTGGGACTACAGGCATGCACCACCATGCCTGACTAATTTTTGTATTTTTAGTAGAGATGGGGTTTCACCATATTGGCCAGGCTGGTCTCGAACTCCTGACCTCATGATCTGCCCGCCTCAGCCTCCCAAAGCACTGGGATTACAGGTGTGAGCCGCTGCACCCGGCCTAGAATAAACTTTTTTTTATTTTTATTTTTTTTGAGATGGAGTCTCATTCTGTCACCCAGGCTGGAGTGTGGTGCAATCTCGGCTCACTGCAAGCTTCGCCTCCCAGGTTCACACCATTCTCCTGCCTCAGCCTCCTGAGTAGCTGGGACTACAGGCGCCCGCCATCACGCCTGGCTGATCTTTTTGTGTTTTTAGTAGAGACGGGGTTTCACCATGTTAACCCGGATGGTCTCGATCTCCTAATCTTGTGATCCGCCTGCCTCGGCCTCTCAAAGTGCTGGGATTAGAGGTGTGAGCCACCGTGCCCGGCCAGAATAAACTTTTAATAGTAAATTCTCTGCCTATTTAAGATGTAAATCTTCTACAACCCAAGAGTGTCTTTCTCTTGAACCTGGGAGCTAACTCTTTGAAATGCAATCATCAGAAATCATTGGGCCCCTGTCTCAGTGGGAGAATGAGTGCCAAACTTCCCTAAGTGACAATAAGCAAACCAAGGTAGCCTAATCACACTGACCAAACTTCACACTGACCAAACTACCCACTTAGGCGATCTAGTCCTTTCCTATCAGCTCACTCCAGTGCTTACAAGCACTCCTGTCTTTTCTTTCAGTGGAGCTGAGTTCAGCCTCTTTTCCCTGTTAAAACAATATTGATCCCTCTTGCAATACCCTTGAATAAAATCTTTCATGCCTGTTTAACTCCATCTGGTACAATTTTTCTTTAACTTGTGAAAAGGAAATAATATGGAAAAAGTTAGAATATGCTAGAATATATCATGGCTTTGTTTTCTTTGCTGTAAGTACATTTATAAGCATTCTTGTCATTGAACCAGCAAAAGGGATAATGATGGAAATGACTGAATTAGCATTGATTTGGACATCAGGATAGATGAGGCAGACAAGCACTCAGAACAAATGGTACTTGCATGGTTTGACAAGCTTTTCTACTGGATTAAATATATGACCATTCGAGGAGTTCTTGCAGTCATACAGTAAGATTCTGCAGCAAGGTGCTATGCAAGGCAAAGAAAATGCAGCTGCGACATGATGAGTGATTGCTCCAGTCTTTCGCACAACCCCCTCCTCGAACAAAAAAGGGGCTGAAGATTTTGGTGAGTAGAAGAAAGGTTAAAGACTGTCTGTATTAGTCAGTTTTCACACTGCTAATAAAGACATATCCGAGACTGGGTAATTTATAATGGAAAGGGGTTTAATGAACTCACAGTTTTACATGGCTAGGGAGGCCTCGCAATCATGGTGGAAGGCCGGCAAGGAGCAAAGTCATGTCTTACATGGTGGCAGGCAAGAATGTGTGCAGGGGAACTCCCCTTTTTAAAACCATCAGATCTCATGAGAATTATCACTATCATGAGAACAGCATGGGAAAGACCCACCCCCATGATTCAATTACCTCCCACGACACATGGGAATCATGGGAGCTACAATTCAAGATGAGATTTGGGTGGGGACACAGCCAAACCATATCATTGTCCTATAATGGTATATAGTTTTCTTAATCTTGTATATGATTGGTTGCATACAGCACACTTTTCACTATCTTTTTATGTGATTTTGTTTTAGCACATATTGATTGAAAAATACTGCAACTTCATGAAAACATGACAAATATTTTTTATAAATAGATTATTTTGATGTATCAGATTATGGAGGGTTATTTCTGTATTCCTACCAAATTTTATTATAGTTGCCAAAGATTTTTATCTGGGGCTTTTCTGATGTCTTCGGACATATTAGTCTAAATAAATGATTTATTGTAGTGCATCAGGTTTGTATACATATGTAACAGGACTACTTTTAAGCTTCCAGAATCCACTTTCAGAAAAAAAAAAGGTCAAGCCATATCTTCACAGGATTGTCAATCCAGAGGTAAGGCCTCCGTCCACTCAGAAACACCCAGCTGATGGAGGCACAAGGAGAGAACAAACACAAGCCCTTAGCTTTCCAAAGATAATAAAAGTGAATATTTTAAAAGGCAGGCTTTAAGCCAAATAGTAACTGATATTATCCACAATTTCATTAGCCAACTCCTAACTTCATATAACAGTACTTTACAGAAGCTCCTGTTATGAAAACTGATTATATTTGTTTTTCTTTAAGTATGCAGATGCAGTTAAGGGTCATGCATGGAGTTTATTATGCTAATTTTCTATCACTTCTAAGAATCCAAGTTTAGCCACGTGCAGTTCATAGTTGGCATTGCCAAAAGACAAAATGTCACTTAGAAAAAGCGAGAAGCCCTTTGTTCCTTAAAAATTAAAGTAATATGAAATGTAAAATATCACAGTACTGTTGAGAAAAAAATTAGCAAAATTCCTGGAATCAATCAGCCAAAGATAATTGAGTTATTAAGAAACCATTTGAATATGTATAGATGAAAAGCCAAATTTTGTTCCATCTACAAAAGCTTTGCAGTGTATCTGAGACATCTAAATTGCTTTTATTAATATATATATAAAATGTATTATTTTTGGAAGTATGATGGACTAATTGCCTAACAAAGTAAGTGAGTCCTACGAGCATGCTATGCAAATGATTTTATAAAAGGTCATTTTTATTAGCAACTGTGGTCAAATCAAATATGCATTTTCTGAAATGATGTGGCACATAATGTGCTGATGCATTCAAAGACTGTGGATCTTAAACCCAAGAAAGCCTATTTTAGGAGGCTAAGTATAAATTAAACAAATCTCAGTTATTTGTAATATACTAAGCATTCACTTCACACATGTTTATTGATGACGTACTGAGTGGTCAGCCTTGGAGAGGGCACAGTTACCTCCCTTTCTTATTCAGGACTTTTAAGGCACAGAGTGCTTTATTTCCAGACCATCTAGTGCCTGCTCAATAAGTAACTGCTACTGTGCCTGAAGAAATATTTGTAGAACATATACTAGGTATAGGACACTGTTCTAAAATTTCATAATACAATGGTGAAAAAGATAAGCAAGTTTCCTACTCGCTGGAAACCAACCTCCAGTAGGAAAGACAAACCATAAATAAACAAAGAAATAAATGGGATCTTTTCAGACAGCTTTGAAGCAAGGTAGAAGGGTAGAATGACCTTTGTTTCAGTGGCATTGAGTTCAGTTTCCCTCCCCTGTTGCAATAGTCTTGACCCCTATCACAATAACTGTGAAAACATCTTCCTTGCCTCTGTGTGGAAAACATTTAATAGAAGGATTGAGAAAAACTTCTTGGAGCTAAAACCAACCAACCAGGAGCCAAACAAAAATTTCATTTCAAACAGAAAGAGCTGATGCAAAAGCCCCTTGCCCTGAGGCCATTTTTAATGTAAATATTTTCCATAGGTAAATAAAAATGCTGCAGACCTCATGTGTTTCCTATTGCTCATCAAAAGAAGATGTCCAAAACCAGTGACCAATGGACTAGAGTTGGACAGCAAATATGCTTCATTTGGCCAGCACAGGAGTTGGTTGTTGTTTTGCCTGTTAGTTTTGTTTTATTATTTCAGACCAACAATCAAAAGTTGTGAAATTTCAAACTAAAATCCAGATTTCTGACTTCTCTTTAGAAATCCGAACACCTGGAGTCTTGGGATCAGAATTGCAGCACAGCAGGCATCAGCTGGAGCTGGTGGCCATTGTGCATCTTAGATGAGGTGTGAAGCTTAGGATCACATTGGCAGTTATTTTGTCACTTTCTTCTCTGGCACCAGCACTGAGGCCAAAGTTCAGTTGCCATTTCTCTTTGTTTTCATGCCATTGGTTTTCCCTGTAACTATATTTCCATCAAAGTAAGGAAAGAAAAGTTAGGTTTACAGAATTACGTGTTTCAAGAAAAATGGTGGCAAAATATATAAACCAGTCCTTATGTCAGCTGAATACAATTCAGCCATTCATTTATATTTTTTCCTGGTCCTATTAGGCATATGAGTTTGAGATACTTGAACTAGGGTGTTAAAAATCAAGAGCATGGCATGTTAATGACCTTGATTGTGATGATTATTTCACAAGGTTTATCTATCTACCTATCTAAAACTATTATGTTGTACACCTTAAATGCAATTTTAAACAGTCTATACCTTCACAAAGTTGGGGAAAATCGAGATGATTTAAAATTGCTTTGTAGAAAAATAAAATAGAATAATTGCATTTGTTAGGCTGCTACTGTGGGACAAGCATGGGTGTCTGGATGATTTGAACTTGAGTCTCAGTTTCAACATTTAACTAGCATTATCATGAGCCAGTAAAATACTCCTCTCTTCTTCAGTTTCCTCATCTGTAAATAGATTGATTTGGATATATAATAATCAGTCTTGTCACATTATTCTCAGAATTAAATGAGTTAACCTGCAAGTACATAGTACATGAGAGACAATTAATGTAAAATACTCCTAATTACATGTACAATTTGTGGTCTGGCAGATAAGCAATCAGAAGAATGACTCACCACACCTGAGTTGTGTCAGGGGTTCTCATAAGGTTGTTAGGAAGGGAAGAGACTGGGGAAAGCATAACATCCTTCAGCGCATAGTGTGTGCTCTCTCTGAGCTGTCTTCTTTACTCTCATTATTATTAGAACAATATTTTAATGTTGTAGGTTAACTCTGTTTTACAGACAGGAAAGAGGAGGCATAAGAAAGGTAACTTGCCAAAGTCACACAGGAATAGGAGAAAGAGAGATGCACAGATGCAAACCTTTCATAGCCCCTTCCCGTTTTACCACCTCCAGCTAGAATAAATGTAGAGCTAATCTATAACCCCCTTGAACCATAGAAATAAAAGCATTTCTAGACCGCTGTCTTTGTCATACTTGGGCATGCATAAGAATCACTTGCAGAGCTCATTAAAAATCTCCTACCACCCGGGACTGTCATTCAGTGGACGGTCCATCCATTTCATTTTGAGAGGCACCAATGAATTGTCTTTCTGGTCTCATAAACTAGTATTTAATTGAAAATAGTAGAATACGTTGAAGAATTCCAAATGGTACCTTAAGGTAAGACACTGAATAAGAATGAATAGAACACAAGCTTCTAATGTCCTGGACATTTTAAAATTGTCTCAGGTAGTCTTTTAATTAGGGTAGTGTTCAGAGGACAGACAAGATTTAGAGTGAAATTTAACTGAAATAATTAAATCTCAATGAAAAATCTGGATCATGCTTTGTTCATTGTCTGTAGTAAGACATTTGTAGGTAGTTTATTCAAGTATAGAATGAATATGTTTAATTTCATACTAAAATATTAATACTTAGAATATTTCTTAATTATACCTTACATACAAACCATTCACATTTAAACATGAATAATTTTGACATACTTCAACCTGAAATGAGAGTCTTTCCTGTATCCACTACCAGTTTCATTGTATCTTTCCTGGTGAAAACACTGAGAAGACTCATTATAGAAAACAGAATACACTGCAGGAAATTACTATGGATACAAAGAGAAATAAAACTGAGTCTCTATCTTCTTCCTTATTTTTTAGATAAAAGTAATTGTAGGACCTAAAATTTAAGTGCTGCTGTGACATCTTTGAGTTACTTGGCACCAAAGGCCTATTCATGAGCTCCCGGCTCTTGCCAAATATTCCCGTCACTCCCCACCCAGGTAGTCTTCCTATCAGCCAGACCAGTTGTCCCTGACCTTGTTCTCGACCTCACGGGTTTTACTTCCCTGTCAGCCCACAAAATTATTCAAACAACCGATTGCATTCTCCTGTGAGAACCAGAGGACACCCACTCACCAGTTACTACAAAGCCTGCCTCCCACAGCCCTGTTGTTTCCCTTTGCTTCTGAGTATACACCCCTGTGTTACCATGTGTTGTGTGAAATGTCCTCCTACCTCGGGACATTACGAGTATAGCTAATGAATATAATGCTGCCAATATCATCTGTGTGGTGCTGGGTTTTGCGTGTTTGGCTTTCTTATATTATTTAGGGCAAGAATCTCTCCCTCACCAATAGGGTGAATAGGGTAGACAAGACATAGAACACCTAGAAACCTCAAAGTCTTCAAGCATTTACCTACTGTTTAAATGTCTTTTCTCTCTGTGATTAGCCTGATGTGAAACTTTATTTTTACCTAGTGTGGAACATAAGAAATAATGATTTCTCTTTGAAGTCAAAACACCTGAATTTGAATTCTACTTCTGCTATTTCCTCACAGTGCTTGGGAAAAGTTACTAAGCTTTAGATTTCTCATCAATAAAATGTCATTTTTCTGACAGTGTTGTGAAGAAAGTTATGTATGATACTATACATTAAATATTTAGTGCACGTCTTTGGTTGGTAGGATTAGATAATAAACATCAAACACTTAGCATAGTTCCTACAGCCAAGTAAGAGGTAAAAAACCAGTAAGTATTTTTTCTTTTTTCTTTTTTTTTTTCCTTTTGAGACAAGGTCTCATTCTGTTGCCCTAGCTAGAATGCAGTGGCACGATGATGGCTCACTGCAGCCTTGACCTCCTGGGCTCAAGCGTTCCTCCCACCTCAGCCTCCTAAGTAGCTGGCACTACAGGTACGTACCACCACACTCGGCTAAATTTTTTTTTTTTTTTTTTTTTTTTGTAGACACAGGGTTTTGCCATGTTGCTAGGCTGGTCTCCAATTCCTGGACTCAAATTGGTCTGCCTCAGCCTCCCAAAGTGCTGGGATTACAGATATAAGCCATGGCACTGGCCCAAAGCCAGTAAGAATTTTTTCAGGACAAACTGGAAAGTGTAACCAAGATGAAAATGAATGCCAGTCATTGTGCATCACTGTCCTGGCTCAGGCAGGTGTGAGCATTACTTGGCATTTGGGCTTTCTAAAGCTCGGAGCCCATGGGAACTGGAGGAGGAAGTTCCCACCAAGCAAAGTGGTTCAGGCACCTAGGAAGACTTCGGGTTGCCAAGACAAGGAGAGCAGATGGGTAGTGCTGGTTAAAAAACGAGGGCCCTGGGTCAATTTCAGAAGAGTTAGATACCAAGATGTCTAATATGGAGACCACGAAGGTCATGTGCATGGCTATGAGGATCGACACCAGGTCAACCAAAGACAATCCATCTGAAAGCTGTTGGCCCAAAAATCTGCTTACCTAATAATAAACCAACCCATATATTCCTTAATCCATTACATATTTGATACATTAAATGTTTTTAAGTAGTCTTCCTTCATTGTTACTCTGTCTTTGGCTTTTTTTAAATATATAGCCATAAATGAATGTAATATATTATAGCTAAAATAATCCAGAAACCTAGGAGACTATTTTCAAATTTCCACTGTGATGATTAATACTCGGTGCACAGCTTTGGCTATAAAGGTGCTTTTTAAATTCCTGTATTCAGAATCATTTCTTTTTCTTTTTAATTATACTTTAACTTTTAGGGTACGTGTGCACAACGTGCAGGTTTGTTACCTATGTGTACATGTGCCATGTTGGTGTGCTGCACCCATTAACTCGTCATTTAACATTAGGTATATCTCCTCATGCTATCCCTCCCTCCTCCCCTCTCCCCCCACCGCACAACAGGCCCCAGTGTGTGATGTTCCCCTTCCTGTGTCCATGAGTTCTCATTGTTCAATTCCCACCTATGAGAGAACATGTGGTGTTTGGTTTTTTGTCCTTGCAATAGTTTGCTGAGAATGATGGTTTCCAGCTTCATCCATGTCCCTACAAAGGACATGAACTCATCATTTTAAAGACACATGAAAAAATGCTCATCATCACTGGCCATCAGCGAAATGCAAATCAAAACCACAATGAGATACCATCTCACACCAGTTAGAATGGCGATCATTAAAAAGTCAGGAAACAACAGGTGCTGGAGAGGATGTGGAGAAATAGGAAAACTTTTACACTGTTGGTGGGACTGTAAACTAGAACGATTTCTTAAATTCTGAGAAATGGCATTACTAGGTCAATAATTAGGAAGACTTTTACATTTTTAAATTTAAGATTGTTTTCCACAGTAATTCAATTTGCATTCCCATTAGTAATATATAATATTACTTGCTTAACCAAATTTGAACAGATTTCTTAATATTACTTTAAATGTTTTTTGTTAAATTGATTTCCTTTGTTATTAATAAGTGGGTGGATTTTTAAATTTACTTTTATAATAAATGTAGTTTCTCATTTATGAATTGGCTGCCCAGGTTGTTCGATTTTTTATTAGCTTAAAGGGTCTTAGTGTTTTGGCATCAATAGGAATAGACTCTTTTTATAATAAAAGATACTATATTTGTTTCAAATAGTTTCTTCAGTTTATTGTTTATCTTTTGTTTTCAATTCTGTATTTTTGTCTTTTTGAAATAAAAATCATACACAAGTTTTAAAGGGTTATGCAGCCAAATAGTCCACTTTTTTCTATGTGTGCTTGCTGTCACTTTTAAACTAAGAAAGTCTACCATCTGGAGATCTGACAAATACTTGATATATTATTCATTTCCTTATGATTTAGTTTTTAAACTTCTTTAATACATTAGAAATCTATTTTTTTCGGGTTTTGTGAGGTTGAGGGTTCTAATTTCTGGCTTGGTATTTATCAGATAAAGGATCTTAATTTATAACTCTAAATTCTTTTATCTTTTTAATCCCTAGAGTCATCACTTTCCCCATGGCTAAGTATGAAAAGAGATAAAAGGTTAGAGATGTGAATGTGAAAGACTGATTGTTGTTTTCCTAATTAACGTGGACCGAGAGTCTGTGAGAGAGAATGACTTTCTTTGAATGTTTTCACAGTCCCCTTAATAACATGACTTTTGCTTGTTTGTATCAAATTAAGGCAGAAATGACTTAGATAGATTGGCCCAAACATACTTAAAGTACTCATAATTAGGCAAAATAAAGGAACATAGAGACTCTCAAGTTTTGCTAGAATCTATCACCTGTGAAAGGTAAATATAAATACATGACTTTTAGATTATTAGAAAAAGTAGAAGCACACTTCTTTTTAAGAGAAACTGTATATGGAATTTTGGGAGAAAATAGACTTTATCTGGCCAAATGTGGGGCATTTGGCTGTGAGACTGGACAGAAAGTCATCTTAACAACGGGTTTTGGCATGAATTAAGCAGAGCTGCAAAGAACAGGTTTCTGTTGCCACTCTTTGTAAGGTCCACAGGACTGCAGTTTTAGGCAAAACAATCCATCGGAACCAATGAGGGAGGACTCATGCAGAAGTTCAAGTTCAAAGAGGGGTCCCAAATGCCTTCACAGTGTATGGAGAAGATACAGAAGGCCAGGGCCTTGACCATAAACCATACTAGTCCCCCAAGCTCTTTCTCCAGTGGCTTCTGCTTGTATCTTTTGGCAGAAAAGTAAATGAGGGTTGAGAACAGAGAGGGAGATAGCAGAACTGGGAAGCCAAGACACATACAGCATTGCTAAGTAGTATAAAAGGAACAGAAAGAGGGGAAGAATGAGGCTAGGACACTTAGGGAGACTTGTTTATCATTTTAAACATGTTTTTGTTCATCTACTTGTTTTCTTGCTTATTTGCTTGTGTATTTGTTTATCTGTACCTATGTACCAAGTATTATGTTCGGAACCAAAGATAAATAAGCCTAAATATTCTGAACCTTCATCCATTCACTGAGTATTCACTGAGGTTCTACTATGGGCCATCATCCTTTTTAAGAGTTTGAGGTACATGCAAGAACAAAACAGACATGGTCTTCTCTCTTATAGGAGCTCTACTTATCTCTCTCTGTCTTAAAATATTTAAAACATAGAAACATAAATGAAAACATATCACATATTCCTGTATTATCTCCAGGTTTCACAAATGTTAAAATTTTCATATTTGTTTCAAGTATTATTTTTAAAAGTTAAATCTTTTATTTCATTATAGCTACAGTTAGAGCTGCTTTAACCACTCTCTAATTTCATGTTCCTTCTGCTCTTCAGGGAAGTAATTAATTGTCTTGACATTGGCAGTCTTCCAATTTTTAAAAGTATATTACTACACACATACTTGTTCATGAAAAACTTGTAGTGCAATTTTATAATTTGAAGATTTTGAAATGATGTTTTAGGTATGAAATGACAACTCGTTTTTTATACTTCACATCAGGATTTCAGATAATTCATACACATTTATTAAATATCCTCTATGCCACAGGAAATACTCTAAGTGCTAGAAGAAAACAGTGAAGAAAACAAACTAAAGTCTTTGCACTCATGAAGCTTATATTCTAATAGGATAATAGACAATGAACAACAAAATATGAAATATTCGATTAAGGCTGCTGTTACAAACTGAATTTTGTACCTCCCAATATACATATGTTGAAGGTCTAACCCTCAAAGTGACAAATATTTAGAGAGAGAAACTTTAGGGAGGGAATAAGATTAAGAGAGGTCATTAGGTAGGGTTTTGATCCCACAGGACATGTGTGCTTATAAAGAGACACCACCAGATAGTTCTCTGAGATTGAGAGGCCTTGTGAGGACACAGCAAGGTGCCACTCATCTGCAAGCCAGGAAGACAGCTCTCACCAGGAATCCAATCTGCTGACACCTTGATAGGGACTTAGAACCTCCAGATGAGTGAGGATGTATATTTCTGTTGTTTAAGCCACCATCCTGTGGTGTTTTTTTATGGAAGCCAAGCTGACTAATGCAGCGGCTTTATAACTGATAAGTGCTAACAAGAAAAATTAAGAAAAGGGAGAGGAAGTAATAGGGTTCAGATCAGAAGCTGAGATGAAGCATCCAGGGAGGTATTAACCAAGAAGCTAATCTTGAGGAAAGCTCTGAAGAAAATAAAGGAGCTGGTCATTTGGCTACATGAGCAAACACAGAACTGCAAGTTCAAAGACTGAGGCAGAAGCATCCCTGGTGCATTCTAGGAAGAGGAGGAGGTCCAGATGGCTGGAGTACAGGGAAAGAGAGGAAGGGAGGGAAGAGATGGGGCCTGAGAATAACAGAAGCCAGATCATGTAGAAACCAAGGGAGAGTAAGAAGAAGAATGATAGCATCCAACATTCATTTGAACAAATCGCTGTGAGCAGTCCTGTTGAGAAAAGACAGAAAGAACCAAGGGCAGCAGCAGGGAAACCTCTTGTAAAAACTCATTTCAGTAACAAAAGCAAAAGATAATGGTGGTTTCAATCAGACAGGTGGCAGTGGCAGTGGGGTGATGGGAAGTGATCAGGTTGGAGATCAATTTTGAAAGATCTAAGCAACTGTCAGAATCATCTTGGCAGTAAAAGAAGTGAGGAAGACTGCATGGGGAACAGCTTTGAGCTCCCAGGAGCCAAAGTCCAAGACTTGCAGATGAGATGTTGACTAAATGGGTTGTGAGACAGAGGGGTCTGGAATTTAGGGGAAAGATCTGGGCTGGAGGTGTAACTTTAAAGTCATTAGCACCAGGTTGACATTTAGAGCCACAAAAATTGATAAGGTCACTTAAAAAGTAAATGTTGCTTGCAAAGAGAAGTCCAAAGGAAATTTTAGAGATGACCATCAACCAGCAAAGAAGACTGAGAGATTGGCCAGAAATTTAGGAGGAGAACCAGGTGTCATAGCTGGATGTTAAATGAAGAAAAAAGTTTCAAAGGGAAGTCATCAGATGCATCAAATTTATCAATGTTGATGCATGTAGATCAAGGCCATTTATTTATTTTCCATATATTCTATCATATGAACATAGCCATTTTTATTTATATACTCCTATAATAATACATACTTTGGTTATTTATGATGTTTCACTTTTATCCGTCATGTAGCAATGATTATCTGTGTTCATGAATGACAGATGCTTTAGGGTATAAGTAGATGAAAAAATGTTGAGTTGTGGAATATACATCCTCAACTTTTCTAGCTGTTGCTAAATAGCTTTTCAAAGGGATTGTGCCAATGTATACAGCTACCAGTAGTGTTTGAGAGCTCACATTCTCTCTCATGCTTGTTGTTCTCAATTTATTTTTGACAGATGAATGTGAATTTTTAAAACACTTTTAAACATTTTTAACAGCTTTACTGAGGTATGATTGATATGAAAAGAACTGTCCATATGTAAAGTGTACAATTTGATGAGTTTGGACATATGCAAACACTCATGATACTGTCACCACAATCAAGGTAATAAACATATCCATAG
The DNA here is from genome assembly GCF_000001405.40 of Homo sapiens. Taxonomy (NCBI): domain Eukaryota; kingdom Metazoa; phylum Chordata; class Mammalia; order Primates; family Hominidae; genus Homo; species Homo sapiens. The sequence continues at coordinate 60,861,556 of NC_000018.10, forward strand.
GTTTCCCTGTGTTCCTTTATTTTTGATTTTTGTTTTTAATTTTTCTTTTTGTGGTAAGAACACTTGAAATCCATCCTTAACACATTTTGAAGTACAATAAGTAGTATTGTTGGTGATAGGCACAACATTGTACAGTAGCTCTCTGGAATCTATTCATCTTGCATATTTGACACTTTATACACATTAAGCAATTCCCTATTTTCCTCCCCACTCAGCAGGTGGTAACCACTACTGCATTCTCTGTGTCTTTAAGTTTGAGTACTTTAGACACTTCATATTAGTGGAATTGTGCAGTATTTGTCTTTCTGTGTCTTTCTGTGACTGACTTATTTCATTCAGTGTAATGTCTGCCAGGCCCATCCATGTTGTCACAAACTGCCTTCATAGCAAAGGAATTAATCAACAGAATAAAAAGCAACATATGAAAAGGGCGAAAATATTTACAAACCATATACTGCTAAGGAGTTATATTTCCAAAATATATGACATTTAAACAACTCAATAGCTGAAAAAAACAAAACAAAACGAATAACCCAAATAAAAATGGGCCAAAGAACTTGAACAGACATTTCTTTAAAGAAGACATATAAATGGTCAACAGATATATTTTTTTAAATGTTAAGCACTACTAATTACAAGGAAAATGCAAATCAAAACTACAATGAGATATCACTTCACATCCGTTAGGATTGTTACTATGTAAAAGAAAAACAAGCATTGACAAAGATGCGAAACAAATTGAAATCTTGTACACCGTTGGTGGGAATGTAAAATGGTGTGGCAACTATGGATAACAGTTTGGAGATTTCTCAAAAAATTAAAATAGAAATATCATATGACCCCGCAATCCCACTTCTGGTTATATATGCAAAATAACTGAAGTCAGTATGTATGAGAGATATCTGTACTCCCATGCTCATTGAAGCATTATTCACAATTACCAAGATATGAAAACAACTCAAGTGTCCATAGACTAATGACTAAAGACAATGTGATATGTATATATACACAGTAAAATATTATTCACCCTTAAAAAGAAGGTAACATATTGTTTTAATTGGCATTTTCCTGAGAGTCCTAATGAAATTATTCCCATATAAAATGCTTATTCATAACCTTGGCCCATTTTTCAACTGGGTTGTTTACCATTCTTATTAATTTGCCAAAGTTTCTTATGTATGCTGGATACTAACTCTTCACTGGTTAAATGTATTGCAAATGATCGTTTCTTTCAGTATATGGCTTATATTTTATCTTTGTTTATAGTAGTTTTAATTATACTTATTAAAAACTTTAATGTATAGAGCATAGTTGAGAGAAATTAGTTTTATAAGGAGAAGATGGAAGATTTGGAGATAAATTTTAAATTTGATAAGAAGTAGAGTGAGTTTTCCACTTGTTAGGCTATTATGTCAAATAATCAATTATTCAGTGCGAATAATCAATTCATGAAAAGAGCATTCTGACCAGCTGTATTTTGACAGTAGAAGGCTAGGGGGTGAAGTTCTTTTGTGGAGAGAGGAAAAAAAAAAAAAAAACACCCAGTAACTTGAAGGAATTCTGAATAACACTGGGCATGCAGTAGAGGTGGTAGAATGTGGCTTTACAGTAGCACTTGTTTGATTTTTCCAAGCTAGTCTTGGCATCTCAAATGAAAGCATAGAAATAGCACACAAAGATTTTCATAGCACTGAGGTTTCCTAGGAGGCTCTGAATAGCCGAGGCCCAAAAGAACAAGGAGGTTTACATGGAAGTGGAGAAGGGATCTCCTGGAAATAGCACAAACAAGTAAGGGTACTGCTGCCCTACCAGACTGAATCGTATCCTCCCAAAATGCATATGTTGAAGCTCTAGCCCCCAATGTGACTTATTTGAAGATAGGGCCTAAAATGACATAATTAGTGTTAAATGAGGTCATAAGGGTACTAGGGACCTGATGTGACAGTGTTCTTAGAAGAAAAAGAAGAGACGCAAGGGAGCACTCCTCCCCTACCTCTCAGCCCTGCAACCGAAGAAGAGAGCCCTCTCCAGATACAGATCCTGCTGGCACCTTGATCCTGGAATTCCAGTCTCCAGAACTATTAGAAAATAAATTTATGTTATTTAGGCCATGCAGTCTATGGCATTTTTTAAGACAGCCTGAATGGACCAAGACATGGGGTAAGGGAAAATGAGCCACCTCCATCTGAGAGGCCTCAGCAAGAATTGTATATCAAAGGAACAGTGAGGTTTCTGTAAAGGGAAAGAGAGAGGCAGTTTTCTGTAAGAAGCTGAAGATGTAGGTCAGTTTGCTTCCCAGGAAAATGAAACTGAGATAACATAGTTTACTTTACTCTACAAAATGTCTCACAATTACTGTTAATATATTTTTATTTTGGAACACCATGTTGTTAAAATATAAATCGTAATATTTATAATAGCAATGCTAAAAAATTTTCATGTTTGGAATTTTTGTATTTCTAGTAGTTTATTTGTTTTTCCACTGGGTTTCTTAAAATGACTTTTTACATTGTATTTCTACATGACAACATGTGAGCATTTCTGGATGTCATTTCTGCTATTTTCAAGTATGTAACATATTGTGGAAATAGATTTTTGGGGGTTCCAATAAATAGAAAGTCTAATGCAATTAAAAATTTTACCATATTTTGTTTTCTTATCACTAATTTTTGGCAATTTATGTGTTATATAGTAATTTTAATAGAATGAATATCTCTTATAAGTCTGGTGATTATTACATCTTGAAGAAAATGTGTAGACTTACTTTAGGCACTTCTTTAACTTTTTTTTCAACATAAATATTCATTTTGCTTTTTAAACCAATTGTGATATATGCATAAAAATAAACATACAATTAATAAAAATCTGTATAAAATTCAAAACTATCACAACTACCATATTAGCTATCAGTGTTCCTGAAAGTGTTTAACCGAGTTGTATATATGCTGCTGTGATACATGCTAGCTGCCAAGAATGCTAACTCGTTACATACTCAGTGGTTCTACAGATATGTTTAAAAGAGAAAATTATTGTGTACACTACTTTTTGTCAATATGGAAACTGAAACAGATGACATTACTATCTATGCCAAACCAATCTGAGAACAATCCTTGTACTTACAGAGGTCACAAAACAGCCTTATTCACTTATTTAAATTTTCATCAGCATTCCCATTATTTCTGACCTAGACACTTATATCTTGAGATGTTCCTAAAAGTTAGTTTTACTACGTTTTCTTTACTCTTAACAACGATACTCCTACAACGCTATTCATCTCTTCATAATAAGATAACTTCTATTATTTTTACCATAATTACAATATTGTAGTTTAGAAAGAGCAACTAGTATAAGATCTAGAAAAGAAATATGCATACAACCTCTGAGCATGTATCAGGAATATTTCACTTTGCTAGTGGTTTTAGAATAAGAAATCTCAGTGGTACATCATCCTACAATGGCCTCTAATGAGATCCATGGCTATAAAAGTATAATAAGTTCTAATAATTTTATGTAGAGATGTTTTTCTCATTTAGGAGTTTGGTTTTTACTATCAATCACAATGTAAATACATCCTCTATGATAAATCTAGTTGCTCTTGAAGACTTTTAATATTTATCTGCCTGCCTTGTAAATACCTTATTAAAAGCAAGAGCAAAAAGATGATCTTGGAAATAAATCTATTTTAATGTGATATTTTTTCATAATATAAAAATTTGAGAACTTTAAACTCCAAATAAGTAAAGACTTAAGAAAAAGTAATTTAGAACAGAGTAAGAAAGAATAGTAAATAGGTTACACTAATCATAGAAGCAATATTAATTTTAAAAATTTGGGATGTATTTACTTATTCATTTATTTTTATTTATTGATTGATTTCTTCTGAGACAGGTTCTCCTCTGTCTCTCAGGCTGGAGTACAGTGGTGTGATCACGGCTCACTGTAGCCTTGTCCTCAACCTCCGGGGTTCAAGTGATTCTCCCACCTCAGCCCTCCTGAGTAACTGGGACCAGAAGTGAAAGCCACTACGCTCAGCTAACTTTTTGTATTTTTTGTACAGATAGGGTTTTGCCGTTGCCCAAACTGGTCTGGAACTCCAGGGTTCAACGGATCCTCCCACCTTGCCCTCCCAAAGTGTTAGTATTATGGGAGTGAGCCACTATGCCTGGCCAGGATTTATTTTTATAAAAAAATAAAAGAGTAAAGAACCACAGATAAAACATTAATTGAATTGTGTATCCACAAGCATCCCAAACAGAAAACAATTCAAAGTTTTCACTATTCGTGTTTTTTGTTTTTGTTTTCCTCATATCTTCATTTCAGGCTTTTTTTCTTGTTCTCTTTCAATGGACTAGTAGTGATGTAATTAGCGCTCATGGCTTTTTATCAGCAACAGGAATTCCTTTTCACTCCTTTTTGTTTATGTTTCATTTTGCAGGTTGCAGCAAGGTTTTTTGGCTCTTTACAAAGGGCCTGTCAAAAGCCAAGAGAGCAAAAGACAATGTGGAGATTACAGGCAGGAGACAAGGGCCAAATTTGTTAATAGAACATTTGTGTCTTGCTGAGCTGGCTGCCCTTGGGGTGGATGTAGCTAGTGAACCTTGGGTCTACAAAGCAGATGTTCCCTTTCCAGAGAGACAAGACCACATACTTCCTACTGTTCTGAAAATGAAGATGGGGGATGTCAGAAGACAAGCCCAACAAGCTTTCATATGTTTCTCATTGCCTTTGCCCACATCTTAAATATGCTAGAGGGCCCAATGGACATGCCCTTTTATTTCACCACCCCCTACAGAACTGAGGTAAATATGGCTACATGAAACTAACTTTAGTGTTAGAGTTCATTTTCTCACATCACTCAGTAATTATAACCTCGAGGGCAGTCCTTCAAGTTAAGAAAGAGCAAACGCTAATCTCAATTTTAAAATTGACAATGATCTTCCAGTTAATATTATTATCACTTCTAAAAAGCATGAGGCTATATCTTTGCAGTACCCAACTAGATGTAAGGTGCTTAAGTAATGAGGATGCTGAAATGATTAGTTTTTTGGTACATATCAAAAGCAGTGCTCTCGGCGGGGCGCGGTGCCTCACGCCTGTAATCCCAGCACTTTGGGAGGCCAAGGCGGGCGGATCACGAGGTAAGGAGATCAAGACCATCCTGGCTAACACAGTGAAACCCCGTCTCTACTAAAAATACAAAAAAAATAGGCAGGCGTGGTGGTGGGCGCCTGTATTCCCAGCTACTCGGGAGGCTGAGGCAGGAGAATGGCGTGAACCCGGGAGGCGGAGTTTGCAGTGAGCCGAGATCGCGCCACTGCAATCCAGCCTGGGTGACAGAGTGAGACTCCGTCTCAAAAAAAAAAAAAAAAAGTAGTATTCTCATTGTCCGTGTTAATTTCCTTGTTGCTTTGGGACTACCAGTGGGATATTTTCAGAACTTTCCAGCCCAAGCTAAATAACCTGTCATTTTTATGCAATTGAGGAGAATTTTACTCTATGTTTTCCATAAATATTTTCCTGAATTTTCTTATTCTACAGTGAAAGTCCAATATTTTTAATGATTCCAAATGTAATTTTTAAAAATATATTTAAAGCACAGTGTTTAACTCAAATTTGTAGTTGTCTTACTTTCACTGAGAAGCAACATTTTATTATCCTAAGAAAAGAAATTGTAGGCATTTACTTTGATACAGTTCAAGGCCAGAAAAGAAAGGAGAGTGATCTGACTTTCCACACTGTAGGACGTAGGCCAATAGAGCTACCCACAACCATATATCCCAATATATTAGTCAACTCATAAAAATTATTCAACTCATCAACAAAAGTGCTCACCAACGCCAACTGATAAATTTGTCATGTGAGAAAAATCACTGGGATCATCTTTCCTCCTGGTGCATTGTGAATTTTTCCCTAGGATTTTAGAAAGTACCCTCTTCAAGTACTGATAGAATTATCATATAGCGAAAGTAGACATTAATTGAAATCTCATAAATATATTCCATTTTTGGCATGACATTTTTTAATAAAAGATTAATAAAGCTACCCATAAGTATCCAGAAAAACTAGCTCTGTATGTTTTCCAAACCTAGCTTATTTTGTTTCTTTTTAATTATATTTTTAAATATGTCACTTACTGACAGTATTCAAGAAAAAGTAGCGACCAGTATGAAAAAACTTTTACCTGGATCACCATAGCATTTTGTGTATTTTATACTAAATACAAGTATCATCTTTAAAATATGTTATTTGGTAGTCATTTGGTAGCTACAGGGTAAAATTAAGTGTAATTTTCCCAGCTCAGCTTTTCACAACTTGCTACTAAGATAAGAGAACTGGCAAAGCATGGAAAGTGATTACCAACATTTCCATGATTGGCAGGATGTTACAGCTCTGTTCAGTGTTCCTCGGGTGGCTGGCTTTTGGTTTAACCCAGCTGATGGAGTGCTCATGCTCTATTTCCCCACAGTTGCCACCAGGCTTACTCTTCTTTAGGAAGTCAAGTTCACTGCCAAGCAGAAAATGAGGAATCCATCTTGCTCTATGTGGGTACAGCTACTTCTCCATACCCATCAGCAATTTTCCTTTACTCTCAGTTGAAGAGTAAAACTTCCAGAGAGTAAATTTTTTATGAAATAAGCATAGGAAGTAATATTGACATATTGCATTACAATAGTAGTCCTCATAAGTAATGAGCTTTTGGTGGTGACAAGAATAAGAGAAGCTCTGAGAAGAGTGCCCGTTTTTTCTTTTTTTTTTTTAATTCCCTTGTTCAGAATAAAAAAAAGATTTAGAAACTGGGAACTGACAATCTTATCATAGTCCAGTAGAGCTTACACTTGATAAAATCCTAATAATAGACATTAAAATTATGCTAATAGCTGTGCATATTAACTGGATGTCTGGCCAAACCTCTGCAAGGGGATTTTCATTCAGCAATGAAATGTCGAGAAAAAGAGATGAAAGCCAAAATAAATAGTTTGTCCATTGGCATGTGGTGAGTCTCGACAAAAGCACCTATCTGAAGATGAGAAAACAAAACAACAATAACCACAAAATAAACAACAAAGGAACCTGTGTAAGGACACAGGAGAAAAGAAGTGGCAATCATCATCCTAAAAGTAGAGAAGATAATACCAAGAACAAGAAATAATAATATTAAAACGAAATTACAATCGCTTTTGTAGACACATAGGGTACAAAAAATGCATGAATTCTATGATGCACATGTGAAAGGAGCATGACAACAGGCTGGTGTGGATATAAAACAGGATGAATTGAAATGGGCAACTGCTGAGAAAAGTAGGATTAGCAGAAAACTCAAATGCAATGAAAGTGTAAATGCATATTAAGAGCAGCAGACAGTAAAATTGATTAAAAAATCAAATCAGTGATGAAACGAAAACTTCAATTATTTTTCCAGAATGCAACAAAAATGACCAAGAGATTTAAAGAAGGGGACACAAGGAAAAAATAAGGTAATAAATGTGGAAGACAAAGTATAGAAGAATAACTTAGGTGTCTTAAGAAGGGAAAACCAATTTGTACATAAGTAAAATCTGAAACAAACAAGCAAACAAAAATATGAGTAAGTCAACTGAAAAGTCACACTACCATGTTACACATTAAATCAATGAAGAGTCCCACACCTAGACACCCTTGGCAAAATTTTGAATTAAATGGTGAAAGAAAAATATTAAAAGAACACCCGAAAAACTGGCTGCCTTCATATTTTTCCTCTGCACTAAAGTGCCAGAAAATGTTGGCATATTATCCAAAATGTTTTTAAAGGAAAAGGCTATAATCAAAGAATTTCTTAAGTAGCTAAATCGTCTTTCATTTGTGAAGCTAACAAAAGACATCCTCTCATAGGCAAAATGTGCAAAATATATGAATCACCTGTCCATCTTAGAAACAAATAATGTAAAGGTATATTTCAGATCAGACAACAATCAGAATTAGGAATTTAAGAAGGTGTAAATAGTGGTACATACAGTAGAGATGAATTTGCATTTATTTTCCCCTTCTACAGAAAATGACAAGAGAAACTTATTAGAAATATGGACAAAGATTTAAGCATAAAGAAATGCATTATAGTATAATTATAGCATAACTGTTAAAATCACTGAATATTCAGCAATAGAATAACATGCAACAGGGTAAGTTTATGCTTAATTCTAATGGTAGGGTTTAATTTTATAATGAAATATTTACTAAGAAGCAGAGTATGAAAGAAATAATCCATGAATTAACAGTGTAAAGAAAAAGCCCATGTAACTTTTATCTGTAACATTTTATATCTTTAAAAAGAGATCTGAAGTAAATATTAGAAATATTGCTTTTTGAAATTTAGGGGTAATGGATACATAAGTCTAATTGTTATTGTACTATATGTAGTTTCTGTCATTTGTTTTTCAAAAGAAAAAAGATCATAGGCAATAGATTGTAAGAAAAATTTATGAAACTTGTTATATTTGGATACTGATACTATGGTTCTTTGTTTCTCTCACTACTTGATACTTTTCATTAGTTTTTTCATACTCCCTACAGAAAGAAATACACTCTCAAAAATGAAAAAAAAAATCCATCATAGTATATTAGAAAAAACAGGCTTAGAAATAAGACCATTTCAAAACATCCTAATACCCACCAATTATTAGTTAAATGAAACTTAATCTCCTTACCTATCAATTTTTTCACTTATAAAATAGAAGCATTAATTTCTGCTTTCTACAATTATTATGAGGATTAAGTAATAATTGTAGCAATACATCTTTGAAGCAATACATCTCAATGACAAAGATTTCTTTGAATGACTATCTTTTTTTGAGAGAGAAATTACTTTAACTGTAGATTGGTTTGGTCTGTGGCTCAGAAGCAGAACAACTGTTCTTTCAGTTATAGTTGTGGTTAAGCCAATGAATGAAGCTCTCCTTAACAGAGAGCATTGCCATTTTACTGGGAAGACAGAGTAAAACATCAATTTCATTCTGTGACTTTGGCCATATTAAGGAGAGCAATAAGGGCAGAAGCTGAAATTTTATTGTAGAGGGGGGAGCCCTTGCTTATTCATTAAGGTGGGACAGGGTCAAGTCCAAAAAAAAAAAAAAAAAAAAAAAAAGAAAGAAAGAAAGAAAATAAACAATCAATAGAGGAAGCGGGCAGTGAGGTGTTCTAACTTGTCTGGGCAGGCAAGTGGCCAGATCCAGAGAGGCAGCAAGTAACTATCTAGTCATCCAAAGCAGGTCTTCTTTGTCCCCAAAACTCAGCTGGACTACATTTCCCAGCCTTTCTGGCAGTGGGATTTGCCAACTCAGCTTAGTTGGACTGAGCTCTGGCTAATAGAATATACATAGAATGATGTGCATTTCAAAACGATGTGCTTCCAAGCATGATCCTTTATTATCTTTCCTTTCACTAACTTAATGCAGATATCCACAGCAACACTTGAGGGCAAATGTTGATAACAGGAGAACCACAGATGGAAGGAGCTTGGCCCTGATTATTGCAGAGACAAGGCATTTCTACCAAGGAGCACTCACTTTGGGTTTTCCATGAGTGCAAAATAAACTTTTACATTATAATGGCTAAACTGCCCTAACGAATCCAGGCTTCCTCATACCTGAAAGCAGCAAGGCGAGTGTGATATTTTGTATGTGTGTGTATGTGTGTGTGTTTTCACCCACAATTCTTGGCTTGTAACTCCCATAGACCTTGCTACAGTAAACAGAACAGCTCAGACATTTTCCTGCCCTCCTTTCACCTGCCCATGACAGGACTCTAATCATAATATGCGTCATAAGACCCTTATCCAAGACAGAGTTCTACCCCATAAGCTGGAGGAAAAAAATGCTACACAATGAATCCCAGAAGGATCTAAACAGATAAGCCTGGCTGGGTTTAGATGAAACCCTTTTTGTCTAATCACATTTCTACATGGCTATCTATGCTTCAATCATGCCTATCCAATTAAGTCTCCATAAAAAGGCTCAAGAGGGTTCAGGAGAGCTGAACATGTGGGGTCTCATAGGACACTGAATAGGAACTCATCCACATGTGGGGAGGGTGGCGCACCCCAACTCCATGAGGACAGACACTCCTGCACTTAGAACCTTTCCTGATCTCACCCTATGGATCTCTTCATCTGGTGGTTTATTTGTATCCTTAAAATATCCTTTGTAATAAATTAGTAAAGTATTTCCCTGAGTTCTGTGAGCTCCTCTAGAAAATTAATCAAACCCAAAGAGGGGGTCATGGGAAACTCATTTTCAATGAGTTTTCAATGAACCCAAATCTTCAAATTGGGAAACTCAATTTGAAGATGGTTGGTCAGAATTTCCAGAGACCTGGAGTGTGACTGATGTCTAATGATGTCTAAAGGGGTCAGTTTTGGGGACTGAGCCCCCGTCTGTGGGATCTGGCAGTATCCTCAGGTAGATAGTGTTGGAATTGAACTGGGGGACACCCAGTTGGTGTCCACTGCAGAATTAATTGCTCACTTGATAGTGGGGAGAAACTTTCCGCCCAGATTTAGTCACAGAAATCTTGTGTTGACTATCACGTTGAGTGAAATAATAGGAAAAAGTACTTTCGAGTGCATCTGAGTTTCTCCAAACAGTGAAGATACAAAGAATGAGGGCCAAAAACCCGTGAGTACAATTATAGAGATCAAACATAACGGGAGCCCTCACAAGGGTCTCAGAAACAAATGATTTTGAATCAGGGCAGTAGAATGTGAGGAAGGTATTGGTGCATAGCAGCAGACATGGAGCGAAGATTTGTTGATTTAATTGTCTTGCATTGATCTTAAGACAGCATTAGCAGCAAAGACAGAACTGGAAATCAAAGGAAGTGTTATGTGAGATCTTATTTCATTGGCATAGAAATATGTCCTCATGGTCCCCATTATTTCAGAAACAAATGAAGAAGCTATACAACACTGCCTTTGATTCCATATTTCCCTTGTAGTTACCATGCAGTTTCACCGTTCTTCTCTCCAGCCAAACCTCAGGATAGAGGAAATTGTTTACAAATGCCATTTCCCATCATTTCTCCAGGAAATGATTCCTCATCACATGCCGACACGGTATCTGCTACTACCATTCCACTACAACCTTTCCTGCAAAGGTGACCAATGACCTTTATAAAGGCAAATCCAGGAGAAAGTGTTCAGACCTCAAGTTTCTTTCTTTCTGTCTCATTTTTTTTTTTTTTTTGTATAATGGAGAGAATTGTAGTGCATTCTTGATAGATTTGTTATAAGGATCAAATGAGATAATGCAGTATTGGTTAGATTGATGATGCCTGGCACATACTAAAAGCTCTATTACTTTTATTACATTTTCATGCTTTTACCCTTTTTATTAGTTTTGTGTTATGCTTTTTGTTAAAAGATATTTAACAAAATATCTTTTGGCCACACTGGATTTCTCTCTGCTACTTGATGGGCAAAGTTTTATTCATTCCCCTTGCCCCCACCTTGACACCGTCTGTATGTTCTTTTTTTTCAGCTTGAAATGTTTATTCCAATCTCCTTGACTGTTTTCTTTTTATCCTTCACTTTGAAGAGGTTTTTTTTTTTTATTACTACCTTACCTAAAGTAGATCCTCATTTTAATTTTTTATGGTGTCCCGTTTTTCTTTTCCTTCATGGCACATAAAACAATTTGTAATTGTTTTGAAACACACACACTCACATCCTTCTATTTAGTGCTTTTCTCTCTCCTTGAACTATAGGCTTTATGAAGTTAAGGTCTATGGAGGTTTTGTTCACCTAGGACCTAACACAGTGCCAGGAACATATTAGGTTGTCAATAAATATTTATTTATGAAGAATGAATAAATTAAGTAATGTAAGTGCTTTTAGTACTGGGTTACATTTCAAAGACTATATAGTCAGTGATGTAGAGAGGAAGAAGTAGGCAACAGACAGCACTTTATATGAATGCATTAATAGAATGTAAACATTTAGTATTGAGGTATGTTAATTTTTTGTAGTAGTTAATAGCTAATTCATATTCAGATAATTATGACGTTTTTATGTAACATAAAGTGTATGCATATAAGATTAAAGTTATCCTATAGTCTTCACAGAATCTTTGTTAGCTCTAGAAATGGTTTCTGCTTAAAATGATAAAAGCTTCTTGAAGCTAAATCTCAAAATGATGCCTAGGACAAAGAAATGAAAAAGTAAATGTTCCACACACTGATTAATTAATTAATTAGTTAACAGTTTCCTTGAAGTGGTTAGGTAGCTGTAATTGCTACATTTCTAAGTGACTTGTCTCTAATTCCACAGTTTGATGGAAGCAATTCTGCCAAGTGAAATTGGCTGCAATTTCTGGCTAAGCTCAGCTTACTTTGATATTTTTGGCTTTTCCCCAAAATATTTATAGTTTTCTTTTCACATCCAGTGATTTACTATTCAACCATGGTTCACAGAGGTTAAAAGCACCAACCTTGGTACATATACAGTGTTGCTGTCACTGTCTTGAACAAAATGTTTTCATTCCATGGGTATGGCAAAGAATTGCCAAGCATCAATTACATGCCCTCTCCTACTGTCATTCCAAACCTATTTTTACTGAGAGTATATTATATACCAGATATTAGAGATGACTTTAGTGGGGTCATGGAGAGAGGGATAACAAATGTGTCTCCATGGCACACAAAGACTTTGCTACTTTTTAAAATGGCTTACACTACAGACGCCTCCCGACTGCCTCTTGAGTTGTTGATTCTATGGCATTAAGAGAGAAGAGTCCAGAATGTTTCTGGTATATTACATGAAAAATTAAGTAGCACTGTGATTACCACTATTGATTAAAATAGGAAATTCTCTCCCAAAGGATATATATCTGTCTTAGGGAGTATAATGGGAATTGTGTGATAAAAGATCACCTTTACGAGATAAGAGCCTTGAGGTGAGGGATTACATTTCAACTGAACACAATATCAACAGGTTTAGGTCTGCTATGGACATGTACATGTAGTCCCTCAAACAAGGAATTGCAAGAATGATGAAGATTGTCTTTGTATGCGCCCCCTTCCCTTTTGCGATCTTCTCTCAACCCATTTCCTTTGCCCAAGAGATTCACAGTACCCAGATACGTCTCTCTCTCTATCAAAAGCCTGAACAATCTGTCGTGCAGACACTTAAAATACATCCTCCCCATTGTCGTCATCTTCTATCTTGGGATTTTCCATCCTGTTAAATAGTAAACAGGATGGAAAATGTTAAAAAACAACAGTTGACTAGTCAGTTAACGGGCTGTCTAGGTTATAAGTCCCAATCCTAAGTGGAGAGGGAAAAATGAAGATTCCTAATGCCAAATCTTTATTTTATTCTAATCCTTAAATTTCTCTTCTATTTTCTATCAATACTAACAGCTTAAGTTTCTTTTGCCCATTTGTTTCATGTGTCCCACAGTAGCAATCTAGACCTTTTAAAAAATAGATTAGGAATCTATTATATTCCACTAATTTTTTTATCTCATTACCCCTTTCAAAGTTATAATCTATTTATTGCTTATCTCTCCTCATTTCCATTTATTTTCTAATGAATCACATCCAAGCTCTTTTTATTCAATTGCTGATCGCAAACTATACTTCCCAGTTTAAAATTTTTAAAGATGGTTAAACATCTCCCCTCATTCATTTGTTCACTTAGTAATTCATTCACTTAATATTTTTGGGGCATTGGTGTGCCGGAAACTAGAGTTGGTGCTGGGGATGTCATAACTCTGATCCTATTCTAGTGAGTGAAGGAGTTCATAAAGTGTAGAGTATTAATAATAAAAAAGAGAAGGCAAACATTGACCTGGTTTGAGATTTTTTTAAAACCAAGTAAGAAGTCAGAATACATTTTAAACTTAAAAGAGGTGCATGGATATTTGAGCAACGGCAATGTCAGTTAATTCATATTGGTGAATTCCTGTGCAATCTTGCTTACGTTGAAAGAGAAAGTTTTGTTCTATTTTGTTTTGTTTTCTTGTTATAAGTATATAAAGGGGAGAAAGAGAAAGCAGCAGCCGTAAATTTCCTGTCTCATAAAAAAAAAAAAAATCCAGTATCCTGCACTAACATGGTTAGATTGGTGGACTGAAGTTTAGGCTTCCAAACAAAAAATCTCTACCATTGGCAGGGCGTGGTGGCTCACGCCTGTAATCCTAGCACTGTGGGAAGCCGAGGTGGGCGGATCACGAGGTCAGGAGTGCCTGGGCAACACGGTGAAACCCCGTCTCTACTAAAACTACAAAATTTGGCTAGGGATGATGGCGTGTGCCTGTAATCCCAGCTGCTTGGGAGGCTGAGGCAGGAGAATTGCTTGAACCATGACCTGGGAGGCGGAGGTTGCAGTAAGCCAAGATCGCGCCATTGCACTCCAGCCTGAGCCAAATAATAATAATAATAATAATAATAATAATAATAATAATAATAATCATCATCATCATCATCATCATCATCATCATCATCTCTACCATTGATACTTTTATGGCTCCGATTGAACTGTGGATGAGAGCAAGTTCCCAAGGTCCCAGGCAGCGTGTGAAACCTCTCCCTAGAGCCCTAGAGTGCAATACAGGATACCGATCTAAAGTCTTAGCCTGTCTTATGCCTGGTCTCCTGCTGACAATAACAGCATGCCTCTGGGAGCCACATAACTACATCTATAGAAGAAACCAGGGAGTCATTCTGAAGGTCAAGGCCAGCAAACTCACAGAAACTATTGAGGAGCACGGCAGGGAATGATTGCAAGTTGATGGTGAGTGTGCTTTTCCAGGCATGTAGAAAGGTTTTAGTACTGCAGGTGCAATTACCACTTAGCAAAGAATCAGCACCCTCTTACTGAAATTAGAACACAAAATGAGTCAGGCTAGTGGACAAATTGCGGTACATGGCCCCGCTGTGTTAGTGACCTACATTCACTCTCCAAACTTAGTATGAAGCTGTTTTCTGGAGGTAGCAATTTAGTGGAAGGTGGCAAGGAAGATAATGCATTCAAGGGAGGAATAGGGAGCATTCAGCTTTATGATATCTCTTCAGATGTCAAAAAGCCATTTGGGGATACAGTACAATCAACTTCCGTCTTTTAACTTTATATTATTGGGAGAAGTCAAGTGTGCAAGGATGTGGGTGAGGAATTGGAGCCCCTATTAAGATAACAGGAAGGGCATGGCAGAGTAACACATTTAGAACTTTAAATGCCATTAAAAATGGGTGTGAGGAGCATCTAAATGTTCAACACAGAAAATGAAAATGTCTAGTATCAAGAATGCATTTTATGAATAATATGATGTTAAATTTTTAATGGTTAGACTTATAAAGAGCTCATAAGTCCAGGAAATTTTTACTTTTCTTAGTCTTCATCTGAATTCCCTTATAAATGGAAATAAGCAGAAAAATTGATTACAAGAGAATTATAAAATGAACTGTAGCTAGGAAAAATGATTAAAATTTTTTTGTCAATTGACTTGTTTACTTGTCTAGACCTTACATATATGCTTCTTCTATGTATAACATTTTGATTTTATTCATTTTTATTTTGTGGGGCTAGGAGGTCTTATAACTAGTATGAACATAGGTACAAAATAAATGTAAAATGAAGATAAAGGGTGGGCACAGTGGTTCATGCCTGTAATCCCAACACTTTAGGAGGTGGAAGCAGGCGGATCACCTGAGGTCAGGAGTTCAAGACCAGCCTGGCCTACATGGTGAAACCCCATCTCCTACTAAAAATACAAAAATTAGCTGGGTGGGGTAGCAGGTGGCTGTAATCCCAGCTACTCAGGAGGCTGAGGCAGGAGAATTGCTTGAACCCGGGAGGCAGAGGTTCCAATGAGTTGAGATCTTGCCATTGCACTCCAGCCTGGGCGACAAGAGTCAGACTCTGTCTCAAAAAAAAGAAAAGAAGGTAAAAACACTGAAAAGTAAAGATACTCAAGTTCATGTGTAACTGGAAGTATTTTTTAAAAATTGTTTACTACCACAAGGAAAAAATTAAAGTATATATTTCACCTAATTAAAAAATAATTGGCAGCCTAGGCAACATAGTGAGACAGTGAGACCCCATTTCTTAAAAAAAAAAAAATATATATATATATATATATATATATATATATATATAGCGCCAGGTGCACACCTGGTAGCAGTCCCAGCTACCCAGGCAGCTGAGGTAGGAGAATCGCTTGGGCCCAGGAGTTGAAAGCTGCAGTGAGCTATGAGTACACCACTGCACTCCATCCTGGGTGACAGAGTGAAACCCTGTCTCTTAAAAATTAATAATAATCATAATTGATATTAACAGACTGATGATTTTCTGAAACTAGTCTATTTTTCAGAGCATGGAATAAGATTAAATTTTACCTGTTAAACTCATTCAATAAAGTCACTAAGCACCATTAAAAACCATTTTAGAGACCCTTTAAAAATATTCTAGTCTTTTCTGATACTAAAAATTTAAAAACTCTTTTGAGAACAAGGAAATGTTGAGAAATGCGAGCAAGAGGTGTATTCAAGGGTCTATGACAGCAATTAAAAGGGCTCATTTTTATAACACATCTTTATTGATACTGTGCTCAGTTTTGACTTTAGAAATCTAGGCCTTAGGATGTCCACATCCACCAAGAAGGTCAACTTTTAAGAAGCAAAATATGGCAAACACTGTAAAATCCTCCAGGCTTTAATGAGCAGGGGCACTAAGAAAAAATATATGTGTATATATACACACATACAATTTGGCTATGTATGAGATATGAGATCGGCTAGAGTTGCAAAATTTACAGCCTAATTTAGGGATCTTAAAGAGGGCAAAATCTGTGAGAAAATTAAAGAAATAACTCGAGTTAACTCTTTTAGGATACAAGTAGTGAGAGCTGGAGCAACTAGAAGAGAACAGAAGCTTGAATGGTATGGTATGGTATGGTGTGGGGTGTGTGTGTGTGTGTGTGTGTGTGTGTGTGTGTGCGATGCTCTTTTTGTTGTTTCTTTACATTTGTGGTTGAAGTGTGAGCGTGTATATACATAGAGAAGATGGAGACCAGGGAGAAGGAGATACTGAAAACGAAAATAAAAATGCAAATAATTAAAGTCATACAATCCTGGAGGGCAAAGATGTAATGCTATCAAGACCAGGGGTTGAAACATTCATGTTGTCTTGGGGGTGGAACAGTCTGCGGGCAGAGGTTGATCTTTCCTCAGACTAAGGGAGTCATCCTTCCTCTGCTCCTGGGAAGGGGTGGTAAGTCGGTTAGGGCAGTGTGCAGGATGGGGAGGAGCCTCAAAGGAAACAGGCATAAATACAGGGGAAGATTTGGAGTAGAGAGGAATGAGTTGATGAGGTTCATGTGTGATAATCTAAATTCTCTTTTTTCAAGAAGTCAGGGATGTTGAAACTGCCTCTTACTGTGGACTAGAATAAAGAATCGATTTCCCCCCCACCCCCTTTTTTTTTTTTTTTTTGAGATGGAGTCTCACTCTGTCCCCCAGGCTGGAATACAGTGGTATGATCTCGGCTCACTGCAGCTTCTACCTCCTGGGTTCAAGTGATTCTTGTGCCTCAGCCTCCTGAGTATCTGGGATTATAGGCACCTGCTACCCTGCTAGGCTAATTTTTGTATTTTTCAGTAGAGAGGGCGTTTCGCCATATTGGCCAGACTGGTCTCAAAATTCTGGCCTCAAGTGATCCGCCCACCTCCCAAAGTGTTGGGATTACAGGCAAGAGCCATCATGCCTGGTCTAAAGGATCAATTTTGATCTAACTAACTCATTGGCAATCTAAGAGACATAAGAGAGAGAGGCTAGTTAGATAAACACTAGATTTGTTTTCATTATTATTTATAACACTACTTTCTTCTTTGGTACATTTCATAAACTACATTGAGTTTTAAAGTCTTCCTCAACCTTATGATGTCTTTCATGTCCCCATAATTTATTTCAAACAATAAATCAGTACGTTAAGTGGAAAAAATATATTTGAGTTAATTTTTCAATGAAACATGTTCAAAGTGTAGGAGAAAAGAGAAGAAACTAATGTTTATTGCCTTTTTTTCAGTAGGAGAGATAAGATTCTGGACTAAATTAAAATGACAAAATATGATGAGAAAAAATATTAACTTGTTGGAGAATGCTTATTTTTAATAGGATATTTTAATAAATTGAAAAATAATTTCTTAAATGTGTATTGTTCAACTAACCCAAAAGTCATACGAATATATTTTACTCATAAGAACTTGCCTGTCAAGAAGTTTAACTTGTCAAAAAGTTTAACTTCTTAAGTAATAGCTCTTAAAGTTTGTATTGTGTACATGCAAGTAACATCATTTGATCAAGTAATTTTTTATGTTTTAGATAAAAAGTATACATTTGTTTGAAATAATCCCAAATAGAGGTATATCTTCTAACACCTTCACTGTCAAGCAAAAATTCTGATTTCTTAGAATAGTAAACTTATTTATGAACTGCCTCAATTTATAACTAGCTTTTAACAATTCAAATGCTCTTTCTTAGAAAATTTTGAGAATGAAAATTCTCTGTTATCCTTTTGTAATAAATGAAGAGATGCTGATATTGGCTAAGTAGTTTTCTTAAGGTTATACAATTACTTAGAATAAACAAAAATGTGGGAACTTTTGTTACTTTTTATTTAGTCCTTTATCCGTCTATTCATATCATGATTCTTGCTTATGTAATTACTTTGAATCCTTAGTAACTGTCTTTTTCTCAAGGAAATGTCTATGTCTCTTGGAGGACTCTGTAATAGTATAATAAACTTCAGTGGCTCATTGGTGAACTGAAATAGATCATTTTGCATATGTGGTGTTTTTCTACACTTGTGACTTGGAAACAAGAAGGGCCAGGTGTGGGGATATAAAGGAAGTTAGAAAATCATAATAGCATATGCTCTCAAAATTAATGAGGATCTCTTTTTTTTGGTCTCAGATTTGTACTAAACTTTTAAAACATTTTAAGCGAAATTTGTTGCTTTAAAGATAGTTTTTACAGACTTGTTTAAATTAAAAAAAAAAAAAAAAAAGCAATGCTTTACTTCAAGAGAAGCAGACCCAGTAGACTTTCAGAGGCCACCAGCTTGTAAGCTGTAACTGGGCCTAAGGCCAATTGACTTAGGGGCCTTCATTAGTCCTGTACTGGGAACACCCATGGTTAGAGGTAGTGGTGTGTAGTCACGAGACCCCTGACTATATACTTGCGTTTTAGTTTCCTAGGGGTCTTTTAACAAAGTACCACAAACTGAGTGACTGACAACAACAGAAATTTATTGTCTCATAGTTTTGGAGGCTAAAAGTCTGAGATTAAGTGCTGGCAGGGTTGCTTCCTTCTGAGGGATCTGGGGGGTGAGATCTGTTTTAGGCCTCTGTCCTTAGCTTGCAGATGGCCATTTCTCTATGTCTGCTGACATCACCTTTCCTTTGTGCGGGTTCCTGTGTCCAGTTCTCCTTTCTATAAAGTCACCAGTCACACAGGATTCGGGCCCACCCTAATGACCCCTCTTTAATGTTTTTAACCTCAGCTAAAGACCTTATTTTCAAATAAGGTTATATTCTAAAGGTAAGGCTTGAACATATGAATTTAGGGTGTGGAGAATGAAATTCAATCCATAACAACTTGATAATACTAGAAACACTGGCTTATGTCTATTATTCCAAGTTATCAAAGTGGCTTGAGAGAGGAAACAAAAACGCTGACATATAGAAGAGAGAGAGAGAGAGCGTGAGAAAGATTTTGAGATAAATCCATATTTATTGAACTATAGTAAGACACTTGAAGCAGAAGATAAATCAGGAAATGACAACACAGGCACCTTATTTGGAAATGTAAAGATAGCCAAAAGAAGAACTAAACCTGGAAACCATTAAAAGTAGTTTCCTCTGAGGTCTTGGGTCTGAGTTCTTGAGATAGGGGCACATATCCATTATTGTCATTAGAGATCTTGTTGGGTTATTTCACTTTTTAGAAGTATGTGTGTGTGTATATATATATGTATATGTATATGTATATATATATTGAAAATTTGTAATTTAAAAATTAAACCAAACTTTTAAATCCCTGATGATTTTGAGATCAATTGGCAATATTAAAAAAATGAGAATATTCTTGGAAGATGAAGTAAGATGACTTCCCCTGATAAAAACTTCTATGATGTCCCTAGGCAGGTAGTTGGCAATTGATAGTGAAAGATGGGATATCATAGGACCAGGGAATAAAACTGCCTTTTTTCACTGACAAAAGTAGCGCCTGGTAGGGAAGTATTGTGAGACAGAGTATAAAACTGAAAATATAGTTTCAGGATTAGAGAATAGAAAATGAGGCTGGGAGTATCCAAGATTTTTTTCTCAGATACATCACTCACTTGTTTTATGATTTTGAAAAAAAAAGATGCTTAACCTTTATATCTCATTGCAAAAATTTTTCACTGTCTGTATAATGAGAGAAATACTCCTACTTTCTTTGATTTATAATTTGTTTTCTTCTCAACCATTTTATTTTTAAGTGGTCTATATTATATATATATACACACACACAAATATACATATATGTGTGCATATTTTTATATATGTATACACACATATTTTGCTGTCAGATGTAATAACATTTTATTGCCATATTAAATAAATTTTCTTTCAAAAGACTTCTAAAGATCAGAAAAACTCACCCTACTTCTGACTTGACATGGCAAGGTTCCTGTTCTCTGAGTTGTGAATAAAAGGTGAAAACTTATGGCCCACTACCAGGAATTAAAGAGCAACCTACTAGTTCTGGATATGAAAGTGCGGCTTATGAAACAATGTGCAATGACTCTGATTCTAACTGCTAATCAGTTTAAGTGAGTTCCATGTTGATGGTGAAGAAAAACAAAACAAACAAACAAACAAATGTGCCTGTGCTCAATGAGATTCTACAAAGCCTATTCCTGCAGAGAATTCAGAAATTGAATTTGGAGAAACTCTTTTCAAGTTTTAATGAGCCACCTGCCTCCAGCTATAAAACCCAAAGAGGAAGGAGAGGGAATCTGCAACAGGCGATTTGTAGCATTGTACAGCAGGGTCTTTCTGGTGAGGTTATTTTTTTTTCATAATGTCACTGGCTTTTCAGGGAACATGAAGTTATGTCTTGAGTTAGTTAATATTCGATCATTGTTTTAAGTGTTATCACTTATTTTTAATGCATCTTCAACTTAAATATAAAAAATAGAAAACTGTATTTTTATAAAATAGTCATTAAATATTTACTAAATCTTAGTCACCATAGTAGGTGTTGTAGACACCCCCCTCAAAAAAAAGGCAATTAAGATATGGTGGAAGGTCTTTTCAGGCAGGGAAAACCATCATTATGAATCATTGAAGAGAAAAAAAGAACACACAAGGCTCAAATACACTATCCACTTTATGAACATACGGATTGCAAATTTTGTTTTGTATTGTTTTGTTTTGCTATATGTAGGAGCATTCTGACCAAACTGCCATGGGCCCTTTGGAAAGGGAAAAAGAGAAAGCAGGATGTCTATTTCCTTGATGTAAAGAGTGAGCTCATCTTCCAGGATGCAGCTATACTAGGCTTTTGCCATCCTGCTATTTTTCAGCTTTCTTAATTGTCTCCATTCTCAGCATAACAGTAAGCCAACCTTCTCTCATTAATAAGAAGGCAAGTATCAATGTTAAAAAATATAGATAAGCCTCTTTAATTTGGGGAAAAATAAAAAAAAAAGAAAACTAAGGTGACTTTTTATAAACTCAATTTTTAATGGAGCTTTATGACTTTAAAGTACCTCCCAGTAAAAGTAACTTATTCTTTGCTTTGGCCTACAGTTACCACCGATGCTCCTCATAACTTCTTCTAACCAAATTAGGGAGTAAGTTCATTTCAGGAGTTTTTCTTTTTGTTATTTTATTGTTTTTGTTTGTTTGTTCTGGGCAAAAGAGTGACATGATCTGGGGTATTCTTTGGAAATATGACTCTGGAAATGAAGAGAAGAAACTGATGGCAGTGAAACTCTTAGGTAATTAGATATTTAGGCAATCTGAGCAAGGTAAGTGATTATAGCCTGATCAAATAGGAGCAAATATAGTACACATCATAGGTGAAAAATCATCGGAATCACATTTGATTTATCCTGTTGCATTTTCTAAAGCACCCAGAAAAGACACACCCCAATACATAGAAGTGTTACTAACACAGGCTGGTTGAGTAAATGAATGCACACCCATGAGAGGAAAAATGCTTGCATACATGACTGAATGAGTCAAAACGCATAGGATATGGGGGATGAGCAGCAGTGAGACAATGATAAAACCAGTTTTAAGCCTGAGTGGCTGTCAGTGTTAGAAGAAGTCACACATCAGAGAAACTATACATTCATTATTAAGACCTGTTCTCATCAACTTTACAATTTGTTGATCATCCTAGATAAGATATTCAATTCTTGGCACTCAAGACCATAGTGCATAAAGAGCCTGCTGCATAGATGAGGTACCCGAAGGATGTATGTAGTTAAATCTGGCAATGTATAGGCGCAATCATGAGATTTCCTGGGGAAAGAATGAAGAGAGAAGACAGGAGTGAAAGGAAGGAAATGGAAGTAAGAGGATGGGAAGGAATGGAAAGGGCAGAAGCTTGAAGAACAATGTCTGTGATGGGTAAGAGTTATATGACTAGTGACAATGTTGGACATTGTCAAAAAATTTCTTTTCTAACACATCTTAATTATTTTTAAAAATCCCAGGATTTTGGGAGGCCAAGGCAGGAGGATCACTTAAGTCCAGGAGTTGGAGACCAGCCTGGACAACACAGGGAGGCACCATCTCTACAACAACAACAACAAAAACCTAGCCAGGCACAGGTTGTGGTTCCAGCTACTCAGAAGGATTCCGTGAGCCTGGCAGATGGAGGCTGCAGTGAGCCTTGATTGCAACACGGCACTTCAGCCTGCGGGACGGAGCGAGATCTTGACACACACACACACACACACACACACAAACACACACATACACACACAAATAATAAATATTTTTAAAAATAAAAGACTGTTTCTCCAATGTGAAACTACAAAATTGGAATGCTTTTCCTTCCTTTCTCCTAAGAAACATCTCTCATTCTCTTGCTTTGAATGCTTTGTAAACAGAAATGTTTGAACTAATGAGATGATTGATCATTTTAAAGGCAAATTAATAAAATTTCAATTATCAGGCAGAATGATTTTTAAAAAGTAACATCGACCAAAAATGATCTATTCCTCAAAATTATTGAGCTGTTATAGCATATGCCCTTCTTTCACAGCAAGTGTTTTAAAATTTATTTTTAACTTTTAAGTTCAAGAGTACATGTGCAGGTTTGTTACATAGGTAAACTTATGTCATGAGGGTTTGCTGTACACATTATTTTATCTCCCAGGTATTAAGCCTAGTACCCATTAGTTATTGTTCTTGATCCTCTCCCTCCTCCCAATCTCCACCCTCCAAAAGGCTCCAGTGTGTGTTGTTACACTTTATGTGTCCATGTGTTCTCATCAGTTAGCTCCCACTTATAAGTGAGAGCATGCAGTATGTGCTTTTTTCTTTCTGTGTCAGATTGCTAAGGATAATGGCGTCCAGCTCCATCCATGTCCCTGCAAAAGACATGCTCTTGTTCTTATTTATGGTTATGTAGTATTCCATGGTTTATATATACCCAATTTTCTTTATCCAGTCTATCATTTATGGGCATTTAGGTTGATTCCGTATCTTTGCTATTGTGAATAGTGCTGCAATGAACATACATGTGCATGTGTTTTTAAAATAGAATAATTTATATTCCTTTGGGTATATATCCAGTAATGTGATTGCTGGGCCAAATAGTATTTCTGTCTTTAGGTCTTTGAGGTATCACCACACTGTCTCACACAATGGGTAAGCATGGGCAAAGATTTTATGAAGAAGATGCCAAAAGCAACTGCAACAAAAATTGACAAATGGGACCTAATTAAATTAAAGAGCTTCTGACAGCAGAAGAAACTATCAACAGTGTGAACAGACAACCTATAGAATAGAAGAAAAGTTTTGCAAACTGTGTGTCTGATAGAGGTCTAATATCCAAACTCTATAAGGAACTTAAATTTACAAGAAATAAACAACCCTATTAAATAGTGGGTAAAGGACATGAACAGACACTTTTCAAAAGAAAACATACATGCGGCCAACAATTATATATGTAAAAAAGCTCAACATCACTGATCATAGAGAAATGCAAATCAAAACCACAATGAGATACCATCTCACACCAGTCAGAGTGGCTATTAAAAAGTCAAAAAATTACAGATGTTGGCAAGGTTGTGGAGAAAAGGGAACACTTATACATTGATGGTGGGTGTATAAATTAGTTCATAACTTACTTTCATATACATTATATTAAAATTTGAAACCTAAGCTATTATTTGGCAATACAAATCTCAGATCTCTCTAAAAGTCTAAGCCACATTATTTCCTTTAACGGAAGGGTAAAATATTATAAATTTATTTTGGTTTAGGAGATTATTGCAATTAAGGTATTCAAGATTTTATAAATTAAATTATTATATAATGAAGAGAGAATGTTTCATAATAAGATACATTATTTTCATATTGTTTTCCTATATTATGTATATACATAAAGATCAGCAGTTAAAAATATAAAGTAAACAGAATGGGGAGTGGATCTTCAAGAAACTTATATATTAAAAGGTAAAACCATTTGGGAAATGCTGTGTCCTCGTTAGTAAAGGCCAGCCATTATCACATCATGGTGCACACACACATGAAATAATAAATATCCGTGGGAGACCAGATCCTAGTTACCACCAAGGTAGATGATAGGAAAGTGCTTTATGTTTTTAAAAGTAGCTCAGGCACTGGCTCTTCTATCTGATCCAATCTCCCCGCAATCCTGAGCTCTGCTTGGTCACTACTGCTTTTCTGCCTTTTATGCTTCCATATAAAAATGTTCATTTTTTATTATAATCGAGGAATTAACTTCAAGGATTAGATTGTCTGCAGAGTGTCTAATCCAGGGACATGAATAGTGCGTACATAATTTAAAAGGAAGAAATATAATGTGAAGCTCTAGTGTCTCATTCTTTGAACAAACAAAACAAAGCTAAATAAGGATCTTAGAACATTAGAGGAAAAGATGAGAGATTGGATAATGAATACTTACCTCCCCACCTCTGCCAACATATTTTGTAGCTGAGGTCTCAAAAGGCAAAGAGGCTTGCTAAAGCCACCGAGCTAGATAATGGCAAAACCAGCTCGGAATGCTTTTGGGGTGTGTGTGTGTGTGTGTGTGTGTGTGTGTGTTCAGGGGCAGGCATATTTTAGGTTTGGTGAAATATGTAAGGGAAGGGAATGAAGATGTACAAGCTACACAGCACAACTTTCAAATTATAAAAATAAAGCAAATCCAAATACTCATTTTCTCAATGCTTTAAGTCTTTTGATCTTAAGCTCACTACTATTTAAACTGAATTCCAATCCTCAGTGTGTAAAAATGTAATCAAAGCAGTATGCATTTCTGTGAGATTTATAGTCCTGTTCCGCCATTAGAATCCTAGACTGTGTAGAAAAAAGTATAGTGGAATAACCCATATTTTTTTTGAAACAAACAGACCAAAGAAAGGATAAACTCTGCACTTTGTTCACTTGCTTATCTCACATGTGTTTTATGCTTTTTTTTTCTTTTTTTCTTTTTTTTTGGTGTGGGAATACTCAGCAGATAGAATCAGTATCCCTGTGACACACTGTGCATTTGCATACTGAGGAAGGAAATTTGGAACTGGAGACAAGCCATAGGGGCAAACAAGCCATTAGAGTGCCGGAATCCCATTTTCAGGTAAAGAACCTTGCTAATGAAGAGAACTACATGGGATGCCAACAATAACTTAAATAGAATCTTCCAAAAATCCACTCTAAATTTAACTTTCTATATAAAGCCTTCTTCAAAATTTTCCATAACCTATTAAAACATCTTAATGAATATCATATTGAGATGGAAAGAGGTCATTACACTGTGTGGAAAATTTGCATTAATAGTGAAAAAGGTATTGGTCTCTTACTCCTTAGTAACTGCGAGTGATTTCTTATAATTTTTTTCCCAGTTTTAAGGTGACCTTGTTCTTTTTCTTCCTAATTTATAGTCCCAAGAGGAGGATAGTCCAAAAAAATGGTTATAAAAAATGCTAGTTTTATCAATGTGCTTACTGTTGAACTAACATTCAAAAGGAGACAAACTCCTTTTACTCTGTAGACTATTCTAAATGGGGTGATATTGACCTTGGGGGATTACCTTGTTTCAGCAAAAACTACAGCCATTATGTGTGACATTTGTGGCGTGTTTAGCGTGTGCCAGGTTCTGTTCTAAGTGCTGTGCATAAATTAACCCACTTATAACTTGTAACAACCCTGTGAGGTCAATGCTAGTATTGTCCCCATGCTACATGTATTGGTCTGTTCTCATGCTGCTATGAAAAAATACCTGAGACTGGGTAATTTATAAAGAAGAGAGGTTTAATTGATTCCTAAGGCTGGGGAGGCCTTAGGAAACTTACAATCATGGCAGAAGGCACTACATCACAGGGCAGCAGAAGAGAGAATGAATGCCAGCAGGGGAAATGCCAGACGCTTATAAAACCATCAGATCTAATGAAAACTCACTCACTATCATGAGAACGGCATGGGGGAAGCCATCACCATGATCCAATTAGCTCCCAGCGGGTCCCTCAAACAACATGTGGGAATTACGGAGATTACAATTCAACATGAGATTTGGGTGAGGATGCAGTCAAACCACATGACTACACATGAGGAAATTGGGGCAGAGGGAGATCAAATAACTTGTCCATGGTCACGTGACTACTGTCTGGTAAAGCAGGATTAGAATTGAGGCAATTTGACTGTTTTCATAAGAACACGCTAGAATTTAGCTTCTCTTATTGAACAAAATGTAGGTCCCATTGTCCAAGTTGCCATTTTCTCCCAGGTAACCATAAGACATCTGTGAAGAATTTAGCAGCTCAATGGAGTTTATGAATTCTCAAGTACTGAATATTAGAGTTTAAATGTATTCTAGGAATAAGTCTGAAGGCCTCATTTTGTAGCTGAAGATTCTGAGAACAGTTAAGAAGTTAACATATAAAAGAACTAAAAGTAACATGGAGAACTAGAAGTTGTACTCAGGTCATCTAAATGCTTTTAATCATTTTCCTTTTAGCATGTGTTGAAGCTTAGAACACTACAAGAGAAGGCTATAAGCATTCGTATGTTATCACATGTTTGGAAAACTCACTTTTACTGATACAAATAATTTCAATAAATGTAAAGCACTGTACACCAGGCAATAGGTTATTTATTTTTATATACAATGACTGACTTATTAAAATTTTTAATCATTTTACAGATGACATAGCTACAACACAAATATTACAGAATGGTTTCTGATCTCATTTAATTCAGAGACTGGCTTTTCTACTTCTTAGCAACCTGATGTAATGGATGCTGCACTGTCCACTGAGATCCCCCTTCTGCTTCTAGCTTTTCCCTCTGAGAGCTGCCTAAACTAAATGGAGCTTTTTTTTTTTTTTTTTTTTTTTGAGACAGAGTCTTGCTCCATTGCCCAGGCTGGAGTACAGGGGACCGATCTCAGCTCACTGCAAGCACTGCCTCCCAGGTTCACGCCATTCTCCTGCCTCAGCCTCCTGAGTAGCTGGGACTACAGGCACCCACCACCACACACGGCTAATTTTTTGTATTTTTATACAGACAGGGTTTCACCGTGTTAGCCAGGATGGTCTCAATCTCCTGACCTCATGATCCGCCCACCTCAGCCTCCCAAAGTATTGGAATTACAGGTGTGAGCCACTGCACCTGGCACTAAATGGAGGTTTTACACCCAAGGCCATGTCCCCTTCCCAAGGGCAGCTCCTATTCAATGGATATACGGACCAATTTTCAAGGGTTATCTCAGCTTTCAGGAACTCAATGTGATGGTGGGGTTGGCAGAGGCCATACAGTGACTACACAACCATCCAACTTCTCGTTTGCTTATCTTGCTTCTTTTACTTTCCTTCACAGGTGTTAATCCCAGAAGCCTTCCCCAGCAAACATCCTGCAGGCTTATCTCTACCTCAGAGTCTGCTTTCATTGAAACTGGACATGTGACATTTAACTATGTGTTTCTTGGAATTAAGAAATCCTTACCAAGCTCTAAGGATAGATCTATTCATAGGTGCAGTGACCATAAATATAAATGCATATAAATGTATATTTATAAATACAGATATAAATAAATATCTCTCTCTGCTCATCCATCCCTTGCCCCAAGGACACATAGGCTCATGATCTGAATGTCATTCCTTGGAAGAGATGTGCTTGGCAATGGCATTTCATGCTTGTTCTGATTACAATTTGACATTGCTGTCCCCATGTTTTAATACTTCAGTTGTACTTTGAAGTTGTGAGGGAGCTGGTTCAGTTTGAAAACATAATGTGCCCAATGTTAGTTTCCTGGGGCTGCCATAACAATACATCACACATTGTGTGGCTTAAGACAACAGAAATCTTCTGGAGACTGGAAGCCTGAAATCAAGGTGTTGAGATGGGCATGCTACCTCTGAAGACTCTCAGGAAGAATCCTTCCAGCTTTGGTGGTCCCAGGTGTTCCTTCGCTTGTGGCAGCAAAATTCCAATATCTGCCTCCATCTTTACGTTGGCTTCTTTCTATATCTCTCTGTATCTTCTCTTCTTAAAAGGATACTAGTCATTGGATTTAGGGCCCAGGCTAAATCAAGGATGGTTTCAACTCAAGATTATTAACTAATAATGCCCATAAAGACCTTACTTCCAAATAAGATCACATTCTGAGGTTCTGAGTAGACATGAATTTGGTGGGACTCTACTTAATCCACTACATGCACGAATATTCACTACAGCACCCCCTCACTCTTCTCCCATCATCCCTCCCTGCCCTGCTCCCTAACTGTTCCTGTTGAGAGCATGTTCAGTTTTCCACACGGGCTTCTCCTCCAATACTATCACATCAGAATTTGGGATTTACTTCTCATTAATTTTTGTATCCCTAAAACCCAGTTCACAGAGGTGTATTAGCCAGGGTTCTATGTGAGAACCGAACTAATAGAATGATAAAGTAGGACATAAAGAGATTTATTGCAAGAAATTGGCTCTCACAATTGTGGGGGCTGGCAAGTCTGAAATTTGTAGGGCAAGTTGGTAGGCTGCAAACTCCCAGGCAGCAGTTGGCACTGTGGCACACAGCTGCGAGTTCTTCCTCAGGGAAACCTCAGTTTTGCTCTTAAGACCTTGAACTGATTGGATAAGACTCATCAGATTATTAAAGATAATCTTCTTTTTTGTTAAAAAAAAAAAAAGTCAACTGGTTGTAGATTTTAACCACTTGTACAAAATATCTTCATAGCAACACCCAGGTTAGTGTCTGATTAAATAACTGGGTACTATAGTCCAGCCAAGCTGACTCACAAAACTACCTACCACAGGTGGGGTAGTGTAGTATGGTCTTAACTACTCTGTCTGACCCAAGAGGGCTTTATTTGGCAATATTAGAAACTGATTACTTTTCCTTCTAGGCCATCATGGCCACAGTACAAAATTATTTTATTCATTGAGATTTTTAAAAAATAAATAAATATTTTTACTATTTGAACCCTAACTGTGATTTTTATAGAGCAGATTAACATAAGAATATTCTACAGATGACAATCCTCAAAACATAAGTTGGGATATATGATATCTTTCTTTATGCTAACCAAAGTTAGGCACACAAGGAAATCAATTCCTCATTTGACAACTTACTTGAGGTCCCAGACTGATGAATAGGAGAGCCTGGATTTGAACTCATGCCTACCTAATGGCAGAGCTAGAGCTTACTTTGACTTAAGTTCACTAAGCCATTAAGTAGACAGGACAGGGCTGGATTTCAGTGTTCCTGATTGTCCAATGTTATTTCTCATTTATCACACTAAAGGTGTTCATAATTATGAAATGGAGACAAAATGGCAGAGTGCCTCTTCTGAAGGAGGATAGACATTATAACCTCCAAGTTATGCTCAGCTTAAAAATGCTATTTTAATTTTAAGCCTTATGCTCTTCAAATATAGGCCAAAACAAATCTATTTCGGTTTATATAGACCTGTGTGTCTCATGTGATAAATGATAATAGCAGAACAGAAGAATTATGTTCTATGAGAAAATCTAACTACAAACTTAGCTTTTTAGGTGAACTAAATATTAGTCTTATGATGACTGGTAAATATGTACAGGCATAATTCAATAAGATACTCATTCTTCTTTTTTAATAAAGCTCAATTCCAAGATAATTTTCTTAGAAGATTTTTAGGGTTCTCTAAAGAAACAGAATAAGCAGGGTATGTTTCTACATATATGTAATATAGATACAGATAGATTTAGTATAGATATATAGATATTGACATACTAGAGGGGACTCATTAAGAGAATTGGCTTCCACGCTTATGGAGACCGGGAAATCCCACACTCAGCCATCTGTAAGCTGGAGAACCAGAAAAGCTGGTAGTATGGCTCAGTCCAAGTCTGAAGCCCTCAGAACCAGGGAAGCTGACTGTGAAACTCTCAGTCCAAGGCCAAAGGCCTGAAAACGTAAGGAGCCACTGAGGGAAGTCCAGGAGTCTGAAGGCTGGAGATCATGGAGTTCTGATATCCAAGGGCGGGAGAAGATAGACTCATCCGCAGAGGAAAGAGATCAAGTGAGCAAATTTGCCTTTCCCCTGCCTTTTTGTTCTATCCCAGTGCTTGGCCAATTGGGTGGTTCATGCCCCCTTTGGGTGAGGACAGAACTTCCTTACACAGTCCACTCATTCACTCTTTCCTGGAAACACCCTCACAGACCTACCCCAAAACAATGGTATACCAGCTATCAGGAAGGATATCCTTTAATCCAGTCAAGGTGATACCTAAAACTAACCATCACAGAAGTGAAATAAAACTATGTCTTAGGAACCAAAACACCAGAGCACCATGACTCAGTTCCTAAATATTTATAAAATGTGAACATATTTTTACTTGGCATAAAATTTGAAAACATGAAATACTTCAGCAAGCTTGAACAAGAAAAGCTTATTAACAAATCTCAGGCTACTGTAATGTATCTTTCATGGTCAGGCAGCTTTGTGAAGCAAATTGAAGTCAACTCTTGTCAGCTTGGACATATTTTCATAATTCTTATTTTGTGCCTATTATTCCTTGTTAATCTCTATACTTCTAAAGTTTGACAGTAGTTACCTGAATAATCATATTAATTATTATCACAAAAAAATATTGCCAAGAATTTAGTGTAATTACTCAGCTCTCTAGTTCTCTGTGAAACCAATGGTATTTTATTTTTTAATTATTTATTTATTTTGAGACAGAGTCTCACTCTGTTCCCCAGGCTACAGTGCAGTGGCGCAATCATGACTCATTGTAGTCTCAACCTCCTGGGCTCAAGAGATCTTATCACTTCAGCTTTTCGTGTAGTTAGGACTATAGGTGTGCACCACCACGCCCAGCTAGTTTTGTGTGTATGTGTATTTTTTTTTGTAGAGATCAAGTTTCACCATGTTTCCCAGGCTGGTCTTGAACTCCTGGACTCAAGCAATCCACCCACCTTGGCCTCCCAGAGTGCTGGGATTATAGGCATTAGCCATTGTGACTGGCCCAGCAATGGGAAGTTCAAGGATCAACTGGAATAGACTATATAATTCAGAAGTTCTCCCATTCCTTCTGTTCTTCTCTAGTGTACAAGAACTTAACTAATTTTCGTATTTGAAATTGGTCTCCATTGGTGAACAGTCATGTATGTCTAAGAATATTTAATAGCATTTGCTTTCCTGGTACACTTAAGCATTCCACTGAGTCTTATTTTTTCCCAGAGTTTAACAGCCCCACCCTCCTTTACAAAATGCTGATTTCAGCTGTGGCAACATAACAGGATAATTATGAATAGGAATGTATATGCACATTGTAACAGGGTGTGACAAATTCAGAGATAAAGCATAGAGCTTATCTGACAGAATAGCATCAGCAAGGGTAATGCATATTTTTATGTAAGTTCATTTGAATAATGAGGGATTTGGTACACTCGTGGATTGAATTGTGTTCTCCGCAAATTAATATGTTGAAACCTTAACCCACAATGTGACTGTATTTGGAGATAGGGCCTTTAAAGAAGTAATTAAGATTAAATGAGGTCAGAAGGGTAGGGCCTTCATCCGATGGAATGGTGTCCTTATAAGAAGAGGAAGAGACACCAGGGCCATGGTTGTGCACAGAGGAAAGGTCATATGAGGACATGGCAAGAAGGCTACTTCCTGCAAGCCAAGGAGCAGGGCCGCAGGAGAAATCAACCCTTCCCACACATTGATTTCGGATTTTCAGTCTCCAGAGTTATCAAAAATAAATCTCTATTGTTAAGACATGCAGCCTGTGATATTTTGCTATGGAAGGCTTGGAAAACAACAGTGTATTGTTATTTCAGCAGTTTTATGGGTGCACTCGACTGAGTTTGGGGGTGGGAACTGTGGGTGATCTAATAATATCACCGTACTATACAACTAAATCATTAAACCTAGCACAAGCCTAAGTCACCTCCTCACATGTGTAACACCCATACCTTGGAAAGTGAGCCAAACAGGTACCACACATTGAAATTCACTTCCAAGAAACAACTGGCTCTTTCTTTCAGTTTTACTTCTGGGAAAGATTTGTTGGTGCTCCTTCCTTCACAGCAGTGCAGATGATGCCCAAGAGGAAAGAAGTATATGATTACTAAATAGTGACCGAGGTTAAGGAGCACCTGTCTCACCAATGCAAAGATACATGATCCAACATAGCTGATTCATGTATGCGAAAGTCAGGGCCATTCCTACAATGGGCAAGTCTGAACAAAACTTGTGAGCGTTCCTTGTCACCTCTAGCATTTTTACACAATTGAAATCCAGTTAAATTTGACAAGATTCATTTTTTAAATGCACTTTTT
Source organism: Homo sapiens (assembly GCF_000001405.40). Lineage (NCBI taxonomy): Eukaryota > Metazoa > Chordata > Mammalia > Primates > Hominidae > Homo > Homo sapiens. The sequence continues at coordinate 60,894,598 of NC_000018.10, forward strand.
AAACTTGAGAATAGTTTTAAATTTACAGAAGCTGCTCTGACCATGTGTGGTAGATTAAGCCCCAGTTGTCCATATCATAATTTGTTGCATCAGGCACCTTTTATTGGCGTCTTTCCATCCTCTATCTCACTTCCTTATACTCCTCCAGTATTCCCTGAGATCACCTCTTACATAAACTGCTTGTACTCGAATACTTGTCTCACGGTCATCTGAGGGAAACTAGACTGAGAGAATCACTCAGGGGTGCTGTGAGGATTAAATTAAGTACTACATGAAAAGCATCTGCACCAGTGCTTGACGGTTAATAGTAGCAGCTCAATAAATGTTAATTATCATAATATCATCGACCCCAAGCCCTATAGAGCTGACTTGGACTCTTTTTGCTCCCCTAGCCTAAATTATGTACTAAATTCAGGACTTACGCATCTCTCTTTCTCTTGCTCATATTTTAATAATAGCCCTCAAGAATTATCCACTGTAATTGGGACAAGAGCACGTAATGATAAACCAAGGAGCAAAAATGTGTCAAAGGACTCAGTGTGTTTCCCCAGAGTTCTGGGACTAAATGTGCATAAGTAGCTCACACTGAGTTCACTCCTCTGATGTGGCTCCAGTTCATGAACTTGACTGGGTTCGCCATCAACTTGTGGGGTTGTTTACCCTCCTGAGGAGTTGAAAAGGCAATGTTGTTGAGCTGGGATTTCCAGCATTATAAACACCTAAAACGCAAGTAAGAAGTTATGATTATTCATAATTTAAATGTCTAGTTGATTGGTGTAGAAAGAAAGAGCAGGGAGTCCTGGATTTTAGTTCTGGCTCATATTACTGTGTTTATCTTGGGTAAGTCATTGGATTTCCTCTGAGTCTCAGGTTACTCATGTGAAGATAATAGATAATGAATGCATTTAGCTTTTCTCAAAGCTTTAAAAGCCTGTGATTTTTAAAAGACTATAATGTTGGGAGGCCGAGGTGGGCAGATTGCCTGAGCTCAGGAGTTCGAGACCAGCCTAGGTAACACGGTGGCAACACGGTGAAACCCCGCCTCTACTAAAACACACACACAAAAAAAATTAGCTGGGCATGGCAGCGTGCCTCTGTAGTCCCAGCTACTCGGGAGGCTGAGGCACGAGAACTGCTTGAACCCGGGAGGCAGAGGTTCCAGTGAGCGGAGATTGCGCCACTGCACTCCAGCCTGGGCGACAGAGCAAGACTCCATCTCAAAAAAGTCAATAAATGAATTTTCATGATACATTAACCTGCATGTATGGAGAGGTAAGGAAAAAGAGCTGGCCCAGAATCAAAGTGTGAGACCACTATGAAAAAACTGAAGTGCTAACTTGCAAATTTGAAATTTGGATTTTATGGAACTCCCACAACCAGGAACTGCATAGGATTCAATATAAATAAAATTTTTTAGATCATGGTACTTTTCATTTGAAAAGTAATTTTTAAAAGTCTAGTAGTTCAGTTCAGAGGCCCAGCCTGAGCCATTGGCCCAAGCAATGAGTCAATTGCAAAGAGTCCCGAGAGCTGCAGAAAGAGGTGCTATATGCAGTGGTACAAAATATAATATGTTGTATGGATTATTTGTCCAAAAATCAATACATTACTTCTTCGTGTTTGTGCATGAAAATACAAAAAGTGAAACTGACTTGAAATCAAAATGAAACAGACTCACCTATTTCTGTTGACTTAGATAATTAAAGAACAGAATTGACTCGAGCATATAAAATGAGAAGTAAATTGGTTTTTAAAGATTTTTTCCAACATTTGAAAACACAACATATGGCTTTTCATACGCCCTCCCCTCAACTGTGCAAAATTACTAGGTGCTTTTTCTGATCACCCAAGCCTGAAGCCTTAGAGCTAGCTATGCCAACTTCAACGTCATCAGAGGTTATATGCACATAAGACTAAGGAAAGAAGGGGGCTTCTTATCGAAGGAGAGTGCACACACCCTCCCCCAACATGGCCACCAACAAGCCTGGCACATTTCACCCACATCTGGCATTTTTTGTGCTCTGCTTTAGACATTCTACATTTTTTTCAACTTTTCCTTCCAGATCTATTCAGTCACCAAAGCTTGTAGCTTTTTATTTCCTGTCTCTCTCTTTCATGCTTTCCTTTCTGTTTTATAGCAATCACTGTAATTATGCTTATATCCCTCAGACTTCCACAACATTCACGTATGGAATTTTGTTTTTACTAATTTTTCTCTTTGATCAATCCAAGAATGTGTCATCAAATTAACGTTTAAATAACTCTTCAATCATAAGCTCCTGCTAAAAAGTGTGCTGTATTTTCCCATTTCCAACAGGCTGAGCACAGACTTGTTACCAGAGTATTAAGGTTAGTTGTAGCCAAGAAGGAAACTGCCCCCCAACCCCTCCTTACACTGCACCTTCCAACCAATTAAATGAGTCTTTCTTTCAGGAACATTAAGCTTCTCAGCATTGTGGTTTGCCTTATATTATTAGGCTTTATTTATAATGCTCTTTTAGTTCCTCAATGTCACTTATTGAACTCTTCCCAGCCTCCAAGCTCTAACTCATATAAAGTAACTTTTTCCAATAAATTTTCCCTTTCTAACATGGTTCAAACTGAATATTCTCTTATATGATATTCTGTGTCATGTAGAATCTTTAACTATAATTATCAACAATAATAATATAAATAGTAAATATCGGCCATATTTCTTATTTTGTATTGTAAATTATTTTTTGAATATGTCTCATATCCTTGCTTCTACACTTACATTATGGTCTCTGAGACTAGATTCTGTTATATTTTCAGATTAGAGAAAAATTTTAACTCAATTTTTATCAACCAAGCTAATATGTATACTACCTCTCTTTGTTAGCACTATTAGCAGGCACTAATAGACGCAAATTGTTGGAATTTGTGTCCTAGCAGATTGGTTATCTCACAGATCTGTATTAGTGAGATACATATATTTATCAGAAATTTTCAATAAAATATATTATAAATCATTTTTTATATATTTAGAGATTAATAAATTCTACTTATTAAATGAAATAATATACTTATTGAATAATTCCATAGTAAATTTTTGTGATAATAGATAAACCTATTTCTTATGTTGGTAATGGGAATGTTTTAAAATTTACTGTGGTGATGGTTGTACAACTCTGTAAATGTACTAAAAATACACACTTAATGCAGGTGAATTTTATGTATCTAAATTATTCCTCAATAAAACTGTTAAAAATTATATTGTCATGCACAGAATAATTTTCTTCTTAAAGCTATTTGTTTAAATTATTTTTAAAATCCAGCAGCCAACATCAACCATCTGAATTTCAGTTTATCACTACCTCCATGAAATGTTTACCTGAATTACAAAATACCACATTCACTGCCAATATTATATTTTCTTTGCATTTCCACAAGATTAAAGTATGAAAGAAATTTTCTATAGAGTTCCCAAATCACCATTTATCATGTTCTTTGCCATGGCCATATTGAAAGGAACTGTGAGGAAAATTAGACCAAATTCATGTTTATGTTTACATGCACACACACGCATGCACATAATTTAATGTGTAGGTTTCATTTGTTTAACTAGGCTTTCATTTGAATCTGCTGTGAAAACACCATGGCAATTTCAGATAGAGCAAGGACAAATCTAGGCCAAAGCCCTCCTTTAACAAAGAGCTGTATTGCATAGCAGGCTCATTCGGAATGCCATCCAATTAACACTGAATATTTCTCTCAGTCAATACATCGTTAACTTAATTCCTTTCAAATTGAACTTCCTCTGTTCTGATATTGGCACATTAGGAGTTATTATCACTCTGCTTCTGCTGAATGGTTCTGGTGCAGGACTGTTCAGAACATCCCGCTGTTCACCCTCCTATACCCAAAGTATAGTGTCACTAACAGTGCCTCCTGCACCTTAGCACATGTCAATGTATTCTAAAATAACACACTATAACTCTCTATGGTTATTATGATAATATACTGGAAGTAAACCTTTTAATCTAACTAAATAAAACAAATATACTTGTACACACACAATCTGCTTTCATCAACACTCTACACGAACAGAATCTGACTGCTCTAGTCAAGTAGTTTTCTGGGTCTCAGAGTCCTTTTCTATGCCTTTTGGTGCTTACAACTTGCAGTTTTTATATATCACATAGTTCATTTAACTCTCTTTTCCTCTTCATAACATTGTAGGTTTCAGTGCTTGACTGAAGGTGGTGCAATGAAAATGCAAAAGATGAGTTCAAAAGTTGGGTTTTCTTCTTTGATAACACAGACTAGAAACCTCAGGCTCATGACTCTGGATTCTGTTCTCCTCCCCTTTACAATCTGATCAGCAGTCTCTGCTTGCATATTTTATCCCCAGACTAATTTGACACTGGCTGAGGGTGGGTTGGCCTGGAGGGAGCGGCGAAAGAAATAAACAAAGAATAAAGTCCAAAAGGAAATGAGGTTTATCTATTCCGTTCCATTTTCACTGATTTTCCTCTCAGTGTCGGACATTTAGATTAGGTCTTTATACCTGGAAGTAGCAGGGGAATAATTATTCTAGTTCAGTTTATTTTTTTTAATTTTTGATTATTACGGACACATAATAGTAATACATGTTTATGGAGTACTTGCGATATTTTGATACAAGCATACAATCTGCATTGTATTTTGCATTGCATGTGTTTTGATACATGCTTTTATCAAAATATCACAGTAACTGAGGTATTCGTTACCTCAAGCATTTATCATTTCTTTGTGTTAGGAAAATTCAAATTCTATTTTTTTCAGTTATTTTCAAATATACAATAATTATTCTGCTTAACAGTGGTCTGAAGAATCTATTATGGCTTACAGTTAGTGTTTCCCAAAATTATACCACCAGAACAGAGGCTGACTTAGCCTTCAAAGAACTTGATTATGTGTTTAATTATACCTTAGATAATAAATAATGTTTGATGTTTTAAATTCATAGCCATTGTTAATGAAGTGCTGCCAACATTTCAGCAGAAAAAATATGTTTGTAGAAAAATAAGCAACATATGTAAGTTACCAATAATATCCATAAGAGCAACATTATATTATCTAGGTATAGAGAACTTTCAGTATACTACATATCATTTTCCAAATTACAAGATGTAGTAATGAAGCACAACAAAATTATCTTTTGAAATTATTAGATATACTGAAGATTTTCTGTCAAATTAGAAAACATGTAAAAGAAAATGGATGCTTCCTTTTCTTTAATAAAGAATATTTTATACTGCTATATTATTTAGATATGTGACATTGTTTTAAAAGAAAAAGAAACATTCTACAAATTGCAGTGGTGTTCACATAAAAAGAATCACAGAAAATTGCATAGTTTGATTATCTAAAGAAATCAAGTATGAATGATAAAATGAATATACTTGTATTTAATTGGGATATTGTAAAGGTTAATGAAATCAAACAACCTTGAAGGGATATAGGTGATGGTTAATATACCACACTGAATTTTTGGATGAATATTAAAAGAAAACAACCTGATTCTTTTCTGTTTTCTCCAATATTCAAACCAAGTGCAACTCCGGGGAATTATTAGAGAGACAAATTAAAACAATAGATGGACTTGCAGTTGCCTGCATAAGAATGTCTTCACAAAGCCTCCTGACAATTTCAGAGATTTTAAGGTGGTCTATTTACTTTCAAATCAAGAATGCTGCATTTTCTCCTCTTACCAGGCTGTCAATCTCTGAGCTCCCCTTCCCACAAAATAATTTCAAAACACCATGCAAGTATTTTCTTGGGTGTTTTATAAGATACATCTTGTATGATATGTATAAGACTATTTTTTAATGATAGAAGAAAAATATGTAGGCGATTACTATCTCCCAAAATGTGAATCTTCATTTTGGGTATTATGTGAAAGCAATTATTTTTAAGGAATACCATTTCAACATGCATTTTAAAGAGAGCATAATCAATTTACTACTCTATTCCACATAACTAAAATATTCTGTTCATATTTTATGTATCATTGAGTTAAATTACTCAGTCAAAGAATAGCTATGTTAACACCTGGCTTTCTATAAGTTTTGTCCCTAGAGTTTCAGGTCTGCAGATGGGTAATTTTGTTCTCGATATTATGGAAGATGTTTTGGATAAATAAATATTTTTGTCACTGACTAGTCTAATCCTTATAAGAAAATTTATTCTTTTTTTGATAGAAGGTTTATACAGATATCCAAAATATATAATGGGAACACTTGTGGGTAAAAATGTCTAATTGTATAGCATTTAATTGCACCTATCATACTGAAGGTCCATGCAAAGAAGACTATATGTTTATAAAATAAATTATCAAATTGGGCTCTAGGGAATTTCTGCTTCCAGTAATTGAGGAGTGGCTTTTGCAGATGAACCTTCCTTCTGAGAACCAGAAAGGATGGAATTTAAAAAAATGTCTCTGAAAGCATTGAAGGGGTAAAAAGAGGCTTAAGGGATAACAATCCCAGAAACAAAAAATACACAAAGATAAGAACTCAAAATTTATTACTACTTTTCCCTTTGAGGTGTTTGCTGATTCTCAAGAGGCGACGGACTTTGAGAAGCTGAGCAGAGCTTCCAGCAATGCTATGTGTCTGGGAGTAAGCAAAATTTTTGGTATGGCCCACAGAGAAGAAGGGACTCTGAAAAAGGGTCTAGACTCTCAATTAGAACTGATGGAGGATGAGATCTTAAGGCATGGGTAAGCAAATGGATCAGCCTGGACAGAGACTGAAATCCAACTTGGAATCACATCAATTCTTGATTGGATTAAGGAGATGTATTCTTAGCCTAAATAGTTACCAGAAGCAAAATGAAATTCCCTCCAGATAAATCTAACATTATCTCTACATTTTCTTTATTAGTTATGTGAGGCACTCGATAAAACTTTTAGTGTATTCCATGAGACATGCTAACAGAATGAACAAAAAAGGAAAAACCCTAATAGTAAGAATATACAAAACATCTTTATATTCATGTTGCCAGATATTAATTTTAAAATAACTATTATTACTATGCTCAAAATATAGATGACATAATAAAAATGTTATCAGAGAACTTGAAACAATAAAAATATCAAATGGACATTCTACAAGTATAAAATATAACCTAAATGAAAAATTTATATATGGATTTAATAGCAAATTAGTCAAAAAACCAGAAGAGAGAATTAGTGAACTGGACAATAAGTAAACAGAAGGTATAAATGAAACACATGGAGAAAAAAAGGATGAGATGTAAAGGACACAGTGAAAAGATATAAAATGTGTTTACTTAGAGTCAGGGAAGAGGAGTGAAAGAGAATGGGGAAGACGCAATAGCAGAAATGAACTATGATCTTAGAAATCAAGATAAGGATTACTTAGGGAGAATAGGAACTGAAAGAGAGAATGAGAAAGGCTTAGAGTTTGGGCATATTCTTTTTCTTGATCTGGGTGCTTGATCAAAGGTGTGAAAATTAATTGTGCTGCACACTAAAGATATACTTGCTTTTCTGTATGTATTTTTCATTTCAATTTGAAGTAAAAATGTATAACAACAACAACAATAATAATAAACTCTACAAATTCCCAAGCATAATGAACACAATGAAAATACCCCTGTGCACAGCCGAGTAGAATTCCTGAAAACAAAACCCAGCTATATGATGCTTCTAAGATACACGTCTTTAATTAAAGGACAAAGAAAGACTGACTGTAAATGAATTGAAAAAAGATAAATCAGGATCACCTTACCAAGAGAATGCTTATATAACTATCCAAATATCATGGAAAGTAGACATCAAGGCATAAAGCAATTCTGGATATAAAGAAGGACGTTTCATAATGATAAAAAAACAAATCCACCAGAAAGATACATTTGCATGTAATCCAAAAGGTAGCTTCAACATATGGGAAGAGATATTTTAACAATCCCTCTTTGTGGCTGATAAAACAAGCAGACCAAAAAATAAGTTAGACTATAGAAAATCTGCAAAGCACAAGTAAAAATTCAAACTGAATGTCAATTATGACATGCAAAACAAGACAGAAAACACATATTATTTGCAAGTACTGATAAAATACTCACCAAAATTGAACTAGTCAAAATGCACCTAGTCATTTTATAAATGAGAAAGTTGAACTAATTATCTCTGAGAGCAAGTGAAATGAAGCAATTGGCTCAAGGTTATAATGAAAGTGAGAGAGCACAGATCTGAATCAGAGCACAGATCTGGACTCAGGTCCACATTGCTGCAGCCACTTCAACTTAAATAAGTGAGACACAAAGCATATTCTAATAAAGACTTTGCAACTTCATGTCTAGTTGCCTATACAAGAGGCTGCTCTGAAGATTGTGCCATAGATATAAAAAGAAAACTCTACTGACTGTCGTTTTCTATTCTAACTAATGGTAAAATAGTGTCAGAATGTGGGCAAATTCAGAGCCATAAATATATTGAGGGAAGCTTTCAATTTGTATTTGACAACATGATTAGGGTGTAATGAGCCCAAACATAGGTTATAATAAGTCATTGTAACTTTCTCAACCCTACTGTAGTCCTCTAGAAATTTGACAGTAACAAGGAGGTCTAGAGATATTTTTGCTCTGTGCATATTGGAAAAGAGTGTGGCTCTTCCCTAAATTTCTGTGGAAATAGGAACAGGCATAGAAAAAAACAGTATATATTTTTGGTTAGTGCTGTCTATATAAAATATTAATATTAGCAATGGCTGTAAGATTGAACATTCTATGCATATTAGTATATTAGCTAACTTTATTATTATCTGAGACAGAATCTTGCTTTATCACCCAGGCTAGAGTGTAGTGGCACAATCTTGGCTCACTGCAACCTCTGCCTTCCGGGTTCAAGTGATTCTCGTGCCTCAGCCTCCCAAGTAGTTGGGATTACAGGCACACACCACCATGCTCCGATAATTTTTGTATTTTTGGTAAAGATGGGGTTTGACCATGTTGGGTTTCACCATGTTGGACAGACTGGTCTTGAACTCCTGACCTCAGGCGATCTGCCCACCTCAGCCTCCCAAAGTGCTGGGATTACAGGCTTGAGCCACCAAGCCTGGACTTAGCTAACATTTTTTGGACTCTCACTATGTGTCAGGCACTGTGCTATATAATTTACATATATTACTTTTAGTTTTCAAAAGAAAATTTTAAGGAGGGTATCGTTCTCCCTTTTTAACTGATGAAAAATCTAGAATTCTGGGGTTAACTTGCCCAAAGTCAACAAACTGAGTTGGGTTATATATATAATGCTTATCTGTCTCCAATGTCTACTCTCAGTCTATTTCTACACTGAAACCTAATACAGAAAGTAAATATTCCAGGAAACGCTACTATAAAAATAGGGAAGAGTGTGAAATACAGAAGAGCCACAGATGATATGGAACCAGGGTATTGATAGGAGAAACAATAAACAAAACCAGAGCAAGCATGAGTCTAAGAGAAATTCAACATTCCTTAGATAAACACAACCTGCATTATTCACAGTTTAGAATGAATGTGTGTGTGGTGGGGGGTGGTTGATACGCACACATATGTGAGAAAGATTATGTATCTTTAAAATTTATCTGTTTAGTTAACTGTAACTTATTTCACAGTTTGCTTATTGTTTTCAATTAATCCTTTTATTATTTAATCCTCCTAGATCAGTGATTCTCAAACTTCAGCATGCATCAAAATCATCCAGATAGAGGGTTTATTAAACATTAATTCCTGGGTCCCACAATCAGAGATTCTGACCCATTATATTTGGGTCAGATCCAAAATTTTTTATTTCCAACTAGTTTCCAACTCATGTTGATGACTGTAGTCCAGAACCATGTTTTGAGAACCATCTCTTGAGATACTGCTACAGAATAGATAGAAAATCCAAATAGGGATAAACCAGTAAAGTAAGTGATTAGTAAAAGTAAGACCTAATGTTTACTGAGTCATTTTTTTTTGTAAATTTTCAGGCACTTTGTTGATTACTTTCCATTGATGATCTCATTTAACCTTCACAACAATCCCTGAGGCAGATCATATTGGTTCCCATTTTATAGATGAGGAAATGGAAGATGAAAACGGGTAACTTGCCCAGGATCACCCTGTTAGACCCTTTTGAACTCAACTAGCCCCACCCCAAAAGGAGTCCAAATCTATGATGTGCGAATTCATGATTTGCACATAGTAGTGTGAGATCATACAAAGGGATCATCCAAAACGTTGTATAAACATTCAGATTCCTGGGTTCCATATTCAGAGATTCGGACTCAATATCTTTATAATGAAGCTCAGCTGTCTGCATTTCTAACTAGAAAGACATTTTTAGACATTGAATTAAGCTTTAAATTATTCTGGTTGCAGAGCAGGCAGTACAGGTAAGTAGCAGAATTCATTTCATCATGTTGTAGAACAAAGCCTTATTCTTGCATTTGGGTATTATACAGATTTTACAGAACTTTTTCATCAATGTAGAGCATAAAAAATGCTAGATTGTTTAGCTTATTATTCAACCATCAATCTAATAATTCCATAACATTTTTAAATGCATGGACCATTATCTATGATCCTTGCATCAGTTCACATTGCTTAGACACATAGTCAATTGCCTAACTCAGCTTAGCAGTGATTCCTCAACATTGAAGTATACCAGAGCCCCACAAGAGTTCCATTGGTGGGTTTTGTTTGCTTGTTTTAATGAACTTTGAAGGTTCAGATTCGGTAGGACTGGGGTGAGGTTCAAATGGCCATATTTGTCAAAATATTTTAGGTGACATATCATAAGCCAGACATGGAAACCACTGTTCCAGATCATTTTCTGATTGGTCATTTCCATCTGTAAGGATCTGAGCTACTGAGAGTGGATTTGATTCTGTTCACTTGTTTTTGAGTATGTATTCTGCTTCAGTTGTTTCACTGTGATGCCTCAAGGAGTCACAGATGGTGGTCCTGCCAGTCATACCAGCCCAGCCAAAGATGAGAGTGGGAGGTGGGGGAGATGGAGCTGAGTAGCAGAGGGGACCTCAGTCTTCTGACCTGTGATTCTGGTACTCAGTTGGAAAAGTCACAAGTCATTATTACCTCACTGATTTTCTTAGGCAGTCAAATCATTTCACATAGAAAATCTGTCCAACTGGTTTGTATAAGTAGCAGAAGGAAGAGTGTGAAGACTGTTGATAGAGCTGAGAAAAGACCATCCATTCATTCACCTAATATGTGCTGCATATCTCCTCAGTGCCGGGCACTGTTCCCAGCACTGATGACCTGCAGGAAACCAGAAGACAAAGCTCCTGCTCTCATGGTTTCAACTAATGAGGGGGCGTTAGAAATAAGTAAGGAAATAAGTGCGCATGACTGTAATAGAGATAAGCATCATACAGAAAATAAATCAGAGTAAACTGAAAGTGAATGAAAGGGGCCAAGATGAGGCTACTTAAGTAAAGTGGTGACAGAAAAACACTTTCATAAGGTATCATTTGAGCAAAATCTTAAATGATAAAAAGCCATTAGCCATGTGAAGAAAAAGGATTACAGATAAAGGAGAGAGCATCTGTAACTTTCTGAGATTGGAACAGCAACAGCCTGGAGTGTAACAGGAAAGAACGATGAATAGGTCGAAAAGGAAGGATGGGTCAGATTCTGAGAGCTTTGGCAACTGACATGAGGTCACAGACAAAAATGAAGAATGGAATAAAATAAAGGGAAATCATATTCCAAGCTAGAACAAAAATCATACAGATGAAAACTTTCTTCAAAGAAATACAAAGACATGTTTTGTAACTTGGCAAAATAATTCTAAAATTGATAGGGAAAATAAAAAGCAAAACATTAAAAAGAAGATCCATGGTAGGAAACTTGCCCTTCGCTGGACACAGTGGCTCGTGTCTGTGATCTCTGCACTTTGGGAGGTCGAGGAGGGAGGCTTGCTTGAGCCCTGGAGCTTGAGACCAACCTGGGCAACATGGTGAAAGCCTGTCACTATAAAACACGCAAAAATTAGCTGGGCATGGTGGCATTTACCTGTAGTCCTGGCTACTTGGGAGGCTGAGGTGGGAGGATTACCTGAGCCCGGGATGTTCAGGACATCCAGGCTGCAGTGAGCCATGATCATGCCACTGCACTCCAGCCTGGGCCGCAGAGTGAGACCTTGTCAAAAATAATAATAATAATATATTATTATTATTATTATTTAAAAAGGAAAGAGAAGAGAAAGAAAACTTGCCCTTCTATATTTTAAAATGTAAAGCCTCAATAATTTAGAAGTATGGTACTGAAACATGAATCCTTTGTCATCCGTCATATTGAGCTATCAGCGGAGCAGAATAAGAAGTCAAAATTAAAGGCAAATAGATATAGAGCTTTAGAATATGATAAAGATGCCATTTCAAATCAGTAGGGAACAGGTGTGTATCAATAAATTCTGATGGGACAACTGGAAAACCATCTGGAATACAAAAGTTGGACTCATATCTCATTCATAGGCTGGAGTAAATTAATTTCAAATACAAAATGTGTATATGTTATATGTTAATATGGAAATGCAAAATGGTACAGCTATTTTAGAAAGCAATTTGGCAGTCTCTTATGAAGATAAACATATACTTACCATGTGACCCAGATATTACATTTCTATTCTCTAGAGAAATGAAAACATATGTCCATACAAAAAACATGAATTTCTATATTGGCTTTATTTATATTCACCAAAAACTGGAAGCAACCAAAATGTCTTTCAACTGGTGAGTGGATAAACAAACTGTAATGTGGCCATACTATGAAACACTATACAAAAACAAAAAGAGACCAATTACTGCTACATGTTTTAATATGGATAAATCTCAAATGCATTATGCTAAATGAAAAAGGTTCACAAGTCCCCTTACTATATGATTCCTTTTCTATGACATCCTAGAAAAGGCAAAACTGTTGAGTATAGAAAACAGATCAGCGACTGCCCGGGGATGGAGGTGGGTAGAAGAAATTCATTACTATTTTTTGCTCGCCAAAACTTATTCATAGACTGCACGCCCAAAAAGGGAGAATTTAACTGTATATAAATTATACCCCAATAAATATGACTTAAAATGTTAATATGGTTATTAAGTCACAAAAATATTACAAGAAAACTTGGAAGAATTGTTTCATGACTTCTGAGTGAGAAGACCTTTTAAATAATCATATAAAACTTAAGAGTTCTAAGAGAAGACATTGGTATACTTTGCTACCTAAAAAAAAAATGCAAGGGAAAAATATTGTTCAGAGGTCAAAAGACAAAGAACACATATGAAAATAATTTTTTTTTTCTGGAGTACAGTGGTGATATCTCGGCTCACTGCAAGCTCTGCCTCCCGCGTTTATGCCTTTCTCCTGCCTCAGCCTCCAGAGTAGCTGTGACTACAGGTGCCCGCCACCACGCCCGGCTAATTTTTTTTGGGTTTTTTTGTATTTTTAGTAGAGATGGGGTTTCACAGTGTTAGCCAGGATGGTCTCGATCTCCTGACCTCGTGATCTGCCCGCCTCGACCTCCTAAAGTGCTGGGATTACAGGCGTGAGCCACTGCGCCCAGCCGAAAAGAAATTTTTAACTCCTATCACAGAAAAGAATGTTATTCTTCCTAACACAGAACAAAGTCTACAAATTGTTTTAAAAGCAGTCCAATAGAAAAGTTGATAAATAATATACACAGATATTTCACAAAATATGAAGTAAAAGTATACAATTGAAAAGATAACCTCAAGAAAAATAAAGAGCATGCAAATTAAAACTTCATTCTGATTGAAATTTTCACTTATAGAAATTGACAAAAAATATAAAATACAGCCTGTGAGTAAAGCTCTGAAGAACTATGAACTCACACATTTCATGTATGAGAGACAACTGGTACAACTCTATGGAGAGTAATTTTTAATGTATCAGAATTACAAATCAATACTAATATACATATGACTAGGCAATCTAACTTACCTTCTAGGAATTTTTAAAACAAGTATACATTTGTGAGATGAAGTATGTACAAGATAAGGCATTGAGACAATGTATGTAATGACAGCAACTAATATTTATTTAGTACTTATCATATAATATAGTCCCATCCTAAGTGCGACAGCTTTAACTCATTAATTTCTTGTAACTTCTCTATTGGGTAGGTGCTATTACTGCATTTTACAAATGAGGAAACAGAAAAGTTAATTAACTTGTCCTAGATTTATTTAGTAAATGATTAATTGGAATTAACAACCAGGTGCTCCAGCTCCAAGGTCCGTTATCTTAACACCTACACTTCATTACACAGCAATTGAAAAACACGTAAATTTCCATCAGTAAAAGGCTAGTTAATTAAATATGGTACATACATACAGTGAAATAGTATACAACTGTAAGAAAGGATGAGGAATACTCAAGTATAGAAAGACATTTAAAATATACCTGACAGTGAAAAAGGAAAGCGCAGAACCATGGGATATATTATGTTACTACTTGCAGAAAAGGAAAGAGAGAGAAGACTATATCTGCATTTTTTAACATGCATTAAAATATTCCTCAAGGGAATATAATAAACTCATAACAATTGTTACCTTTCGGGAGGAGGTGGAGGGAAGTTGTATAAACAGGCAGACTTCTGGTGCCTGGGTTATAGGGCATGAAACTTTTCATTATATACCTTTGCATGTTTTTGAGATTGAGTTAAATAATGTAAACGGTGTGACTACTGTATAATTAAATAAAAGAAATATAAAAAATTAAGATCTATTTATCAACAGACATTATGAAATGGAATGAAAATTACATCAGAAGATGCATCTCTTATAATCAACAATGGATTACTTTCCGGAATAGAGAAATATGTATTTTTTTAATTCTAGGAGAAAAAGATCAAATAACACGATGGAAACATGACGAGGCATTTCATAGAAGAAGAAACATGAAGTAACGAAACATTGAAAAAGTGGCTCAGTTTTCCTGTCAATTAGGGAAATGCAACGAAAACCAAAATGGCATGCCCTTCTGGTTGCATAAATTTAAAAAGAAATTAAAATAGCAGTCAAAAATGTCAGTGAGAATGTAGAGAAACAGGGAAGAATACACCCTGTTAGTAGGAATCTAAATCGATACTTTGAAGAGAGATTTCCAAATATCTAATAAGGTTGAAGATGCACTTCCCTTGTTGCGTATATACCTAGGAATACTCTTAAAGACTAAACAAGGAAACATCCAGGAATGGACAGAGCAGGATTGTTTATAACCACAAAAAAATCTAAATGTCCATCAATAGGGGAGAGAATAAAAAAACTGATATATACATATCCAATAGAATATTATATGATTGTGAAAATAACTGATAGCTACAAGTGTCAACTGCATAAATGTCACCTATATAACATTCAGCAAAAAAAGTTAATTGCAGCAGGATACAAGGAGTATATGATGTCTACAAATATTCGGTTATAGATATATACATGTGTGTAGATATGTAAAGAGATGTATGGGCCTGATAAACATCTAGTTCAGGTTTGTGACCATCTCTGATATGAAAGGAAAAGAATGGAATTAGGATAGGGTGTCTGGGAGCTACAACTCTATTAGTAATATTTTTTTAAGTTTGGAAAAAGGGACCTGGTTTTTTATATTACCCTTTATATATTTTTGTATGTCTGAAACAATGTAAAAACAAGATTAAAAAAATAATTTGTGTTATCCTTCAGAGGGATTGTTGCTTCAAGATGTAAGTTAATTTAATAATCACACCTGCAGTAGGGGTGAATAGTAAGAGTTAAATTCACTAATAAAAAAAATCTTAAAGTGAAACTCAATACATTCTAAATATACAAAGTATACTAGCATTATAAATGATCAATAAATATTTTCATTATTATCATTATTAATGTATTCAGAACATTATTACCAAAATAGGGTAAATATAAATAAAAAGTCTGATTTTAGCAAAGTGATTGCTCTAAGAGCTGAGGATAAAGCAGTTCTGTGTATTTTAGGAAACTTTGGTTCTTTAAATGTTTCCAAGTAAGCATGTGATTAAGAAAATAGTAATGTGCTACAGTAACTATTTTTATTTGTTCTGGCTGGTAATCAAAACCCTTTGCTCTGTGGAGAGAATTGGTCCCCTGTGATGTGAATCTTGGCTGAGTCTTGTCTCCTTGGAAGCCAAAAATAATCAGAAACTTTGTCTTTCTTCACCTTGGCACTTGTAATGGACACATGATCCAAGTTCAGTCAATTGCAAGCTTCCACTTAGGACTCCTAAACTTGGAGTCTAGGCACAGTGGCTCACACCTGTAATCCTAGCATTTTGGGAGGCTGAGGCAGGCAGATCACCCGAGGTCAGGTCAGGCTGGCCAACATGGTGAAACCCCATCTCTACTAAAAATACAAAAGTTAGCCAGGCATGGTGGCACGCACCTGTAATCCCGGCTACTGGGGAGGCCAAAGTAGGAGAATCGCTTGAACCCAGGAGGCGGAGGTTGCAGTGAGCTGAGATCATACACCACTGCACTCCAGCCTGGGTGATGGAGTGAGACTCTGTCACAAAAATTTAAAATATATATATATGTGCAATAAAATTCATTAAAAAGGTAACATATTTTACACCAATTTCAAACCAAGACCCTGTAACTACTATTGTTTATTGGTAGATTCATTGACTTAACTATGTAAATATTAGGAGGCTGAAGATTAATTAGATATTTGTCCTACCATGAAGGAATTAAAAGTCTAATCAGGAATAAGGCCATATAAATACAAACAGAACAATGGTGGCAGCAGTAACACTCACCACGATTACAGCCCAGTGTAAGAAGGGCTATAATAGAGGCATATACCAGAGTTGTACAGAAGCATAAAGAAGAAATCAAGTCCATCTGGCTGCAAGGGAGAGGAAGGAGGCAGAGAAGCCTCCAGGAGAGCACTGGACATTGGGTAGGAATTTACTACACAGTCAAAATGAGAAAGTCATTTAGGAAGAGGAATACTAGAAGCAGGCAGGCATGAAAACATAGCGCATTTAAGAAAATATGTGTAGTTTTCCCAGCAGTCAGCACAGTGCTTTTACACAGAAGGTATTTAAATGTTAGGTTGATACAGGACCCAGTGAATACACGCATGAATAAAGCTAAGCTTTGGGCAAATTTTTGGTAACAGTGTAAGTCCATAATTTACCACATGATTTGTTAGTCTATGAGGTTGAATCAGTCTAATTCACTTATCAGCTTAATTTTTGAGACAACTCATAATTCATTTGTTTTTAGTTGTCTAAGGAATCTATTAATAACACTCTTACTTATGAATGTTTTATTGCCAATTAAAATATAAGCCTGTAATCTTAAGTTTAAAAAATACTTTTCATGAAATTAATAGAAAATAAGTAGTTAAAATACCATAAATACTAGATTATTTGGCACTATCATTGTAAAAGCTGAGTAATTATGAATTTAATAAGCATCATGATATTATATTAAGAGGTAATTAACACTGAAAAACATAGTAATTCTTTTTGGAGAGACTAATGAGAAATAAGATTAGATACAGTTTTTCATATTTCTTTGACAAATTTGGATAGAAATAAACATGGGAAATGCCAACAATTTTTAAATGCTCTCAATATTTTATCCTTTGTTTTGTTTATAAAAGCGTTTTAAAATTAAACACACATACATTTTATAAAGTAAAAAAATTAAAATATATCATCTCACATTTTTTTCTAATGTGTCCTAAATGAATTAAAAGAGTTATAATAAGTTGACTCACTGAATATTTTTATATAGCCAGTCCTCCTTGTAGCACTTCAACTCTGTGGAAACTGCTAAAGTAAACTTTTAAATTCATTAGATTGATCCTTAAATTTAAGCCCAATTACTAAAATATTTACAGTTCTTATTTTTCTACTATCGGGTTATTGCTAAACCTTAGTGAGCATGTATGTGTCCCTACTTTGCTTGTAATTTAACATTGGTCTTCTATTTCCAGAATCAAGAAGATCCAATGATGTCTCATGACTAAACATAGTATAATACATGGTGAAATAGTTACTAAACATATTAACGTGCATTTGTGTAGTCATCATAATGCATTGAGCTAAACCTTGTCAAACTTCACCTATTATCCTCATATCTGAATTTTCAGACTTCCCCTTACAATTGAAGTCTTTCTCTCAGTTTAAGACACACTCTTTCTTATGACCTTACTTCTTCAATTTCTTAATGTTTTTAATTAGATTTTAAATCCCATCCCTTATGTTTTTGTAAATATGGAACTTCAAGCAACAAGTGGATTTCAATGGCAATCAGCTCTAATGAGAATTTCACTGTTTCATGATGTGGCCTGTGGGCTTGGAGGTTGCTCTGATCCACAGGACTGAAAAGAGTTGTTGAGCTCTCTCTCTCTGCTCCAATAGTAGCTATGGTTTATGGGCATTTGTGCTTTTATTTGCCCTGTAATACTTATGAGCAAACACACTTCCCTACTGATAAAATTAATTTTTCTTTACTGCTATGACTTTGTATCTTCCTTACCCTAGTCTTATTTTTCAATACATCTGCCCTTGTTATGCCAAGGGTACTTCTTTTATGTGGTATTTTCAACATACTGATTGAACATTCTCCTGCCTGAGTGAGATTAAAGATGTCATCAAATAATATTTTCATCTTGATAATGGGGCCATAGGGGCACTGGCAGGGTAGGGTGGGAGTGCATCAACTTTCAGGCCACCTTGCCTGCTACAGAAACTCACCTGCAGAAGTTACAGTTGATACTACAGTTGTCAAATGCCACTGTTCTACTTTTCTCCTATTTTACACTTTTGTAACAGTTCACACCATGTCTCTTGCCTCTGTATCTTTGCTCTCTGGAATGCCTTTTCCACCTTTCTTGGTTTGGCCACCTCTTATTCATCTTTCTTAAACAGCTCCAGTTTGGCCTAAGTGGGTCTTTTCTTTTACCTTCTGCAACTATGTTTCTTAACCTTTACCAATGATCTGTTTTTATCTGTCTCACAAGATGGTAAGCTGGTTTAGAGTAAGATATGGGTCTCCTCTCTTCCATGATGATTTTAGGACTTGATACCTAGTAGATGTTCAATGAATGTTTGAAAATAATTTGTTTGCTTAGTTTAACTATCTTTATTTCACTTTGCTTCTCTACAGCACTTGATATTGACCACTACGCCTTTTGTTTTAGCAAGTCTTTCTCCTGTGGCCTCTTGAACACTCATCTTTGCTTATCCCATTTCTATCTGCCTAAAAACACCTCTGTGATTTCTTAACATCCATCTAATTATCCTCTTTATTTTCTCTCTTTTCCCCTTACTCTCCTCCTTTTCTCCCCTTTGGCCCACTTTCCTTCCCTTCCTCTTTACCTTCCTCTCACACTAAGTTTTATTCACTTAGCACTTCAACTTTATCTTACAGGATGTTTGACTGCCTGTCTTTACATCTGCAAATTGAGTTCTGTGCTTCCTTCTCATTGTGAGACATTCTCACACACAGAGACCTCAAGGTCAACAAGACGAAAATGACTCTAAAACATCATTCTCAGCAAACTATCGCAAGGACAGAAAACCAAACACCGCATGTTCTCACTCATAGGCAGGAATTGAACAATGAGAACACATGGACACAGGAAGGGGAACATCACACACCAGGGCCTATTGTGGGATAGGGGGAGGGGGGAGGGATAGCATTAGGAGACATACCTAATGCTAAATGACGAGTTAATGGGTGCAGCACGCCAACATAGCACATGTATACATATGTAACTAACCTGCACGTTGTGCACATGTACCCTAAAAGTATAAGTATAATAATAATAAAATTAAAAAAAAAAACATCTGTAGCAGTTTTTTAGCTGTTTGCTGTTGAATAATAGAATCTCTGTCCATTCACATATTCCATTTAGGTATCTCAGATTTATCTTTGGTTGGGGAATTTAAGACAAGCATACCAGTCGAGTTGATTCTGTCTCATAGACGTCACTCAAACCCATTTACTCAATTTCTATGGCCTCTACCTTAGTTCAGGCTTCCACTTGCTTTTGCCCAGATTATGGTAGCAGCTGCTACCTAATCTCTCTGCCTCTAGAATCCTGTTCCATTCCACCTTTTCGGATGAAAACTAGCATTGTCTCTGCTAAGGAATGTTTGATCAATATTTTATGTCCTTTTTTATTAAAGTTATCTGACATCTACTCTGGTGCTATTACCACACTCAACTATTGAAAATTCCTTATAATTATGACACAACCTCATGTCACTGTGTCTTAGCTCTGTCTGCAATATCCTTCCAATACACATGTAAAATATATGTAAACAGTGCCTAGCCCACAGTGTTCATTCAGACAGTGATTAGGGTGATGATGGTAATAATAATCATCATCATATATTTCCTGCAACTATCTCTGACTTCTTGAAGAAGTAATTGCCATTCCTGTACATTTCTATAGTATTTTTAAATATCTGTGTTATAGTTGTGAGAGGAAAATAAAAACTTGGGACCACAATTCATTCTGCAAAACGGAAAAAAATTAAGCTGAAAGGGGAAACGTGCAAGAAGCTGGCTTTTCTTTTGTTCCTAAGCAGATAGCTACAGAAAAAAAGGTTAAATATCTTCACAGGTAGCTACTCTATGTTCACCTTATCTTATGTAAAGTGCTGATTAAAGAGCACAAGAACATAACTGACTATTCTTCTACCTTCTCTTTCCTCTTGCAACATGTGGATTCAGTAATGTGACCACACCCTCCCTCTTTCCCCTCCAGCCCACTTTTCCCTTTTAAATATTGAAGACTTCAAAGTCATCTTTGGAGAAAGGCACAGAACACAGGCTTTTACTGTGATTCCATTTTTGTTTTTGTTTTTTCTTTCCCAGGCACTGTCGTTAACCTTGCCAAAATAAACATCTAAATTGATTGAGACCCAACGCAGATACTTTTTGGTTTACATAGCAGTTACTGCATTATTTTACATTCAATTGTTTTATTTCTTACTTAAATTGTAATATTTCTAGAGAGTTTTAAAATTGTTGGGGATTTTCTGCCTCAGAGCTTGAAGAAATATTTATTAATAAATACTTAAATTAATAAATAATTCAGTTAACTAACTCAATTTTGTAGACAAAAAAAAAAAACAGCTTTAAATTTGTAGTTACTTCCCAAGGTTGAACAAAAATAGTTAACTGAAGAACTAAACTGAAGCTCTAAATCTAAGGCTAATGTTCAATGTTTAAGCTATTAATAAGTATATTATATTAATTTCCTCAGAAAACAATACAATTTATGATTCCCAGTAGCCATTTAAAAATTATGAAGGTGGATTATTTTCAGGTTTATACCTTTCATTACATTTCAGTTTTATACCTTATATACCTTTCATAATTTATTCATGCAACCCAAACCAGGTTAATGAGGACCATAGCAAACACTTGTATAACACATACAATGTGCCAGGCCCAGTTCTGTTTCACCTACATGAATTTATTTATCCCCACATTTCCTGAAATTGTTATTATCTTCTGGCTTCTACAGTTGCCTTGGAGAAGACTGTTCTCAGTTTACATTGTCTTTCTATCGTAGGTAATCTGGCATTTCTGTCTTGTTTTCTACATCTTCTCTTTGTCTTTGGTGTTCTGCATTTCACCATGATGTGATTAGATATAGATTTATTTGTTTGTATTATGTTAGGGATGTTATAATAGCTAAAACAAAGAATTTACATATTTCATTAAATCTCTATGTTTTGATCATCATATCTTTGGATATTAGCCTTCCTGAATTATATTTTTTTCTCTGAAATTTATTTTGGATATAAATTGAAACTTCTTTTTTTTCTCATGCCTCTCAACATATTTCCTAACTTTTTATTCTTTATGCTGAATTCTAATTATATAATATCAGTGTTTTGATTCACCATTTCTCTCATCAAATGTGTATATGTTGATGTTCAATCTGTTCAATAGGCTTTTAATTTCAGTCTTTATATTTTTAATTTTTATAGGTTCCATTGAGTGCTTTAAAATTGACTTTTATGATTGTGTTTTTCTCACATTTTCAACACATTCTTTCAGATCATTATTAATATAAAACATACTTATTTTATTTTCTAGCCCAATAGTTCATAAACAGTGGTGGCTCTGCTCCTCAGAGGGTGTTTAGAATTGTGCAGGAGCACCTTTGACTGTCACAGGATCTGGGGGTGAGGGTGGGGTGGGTTGTTATTGGCCTTTAGTGTCAGAGTGGAGCAGGAACACTAAACACTCTGCAACACACAAGTTAATCCTGCACAACAAAAAAAATTGTCCTGCTCCAAATAGAGTGTTATTAAGAAAAACGGATTTAGTCAGAAATGATATTTCTTTTATCTGCAGGTCCTCTTGGGTCTCTTAACCCTTGGACATGGTGAGTCTCTTCTTTATTTTGAAATTTTAATTGTGAGCTCATCTTCAGAAATTGAGGCTGAGTCTCTCCAGACTGATTTCATCTTTATTTTTGTTAGGTGTCTCAGGAGTATTAATAGATTAGTATCATATTTTATATTAATCTGTGAGCCCATGTCACACACAGACCACATAGATTTGAATATAACCCTGCGTGATGGTGGGCAGGTCTGTGGCTGTGAGATCTTAAGGCAGAGGTTTTTGTTACCCACTCAGAACAGAAACAAGGATATTTCAATGTCCTTTCTCATGGGTAGGAAAAATTTTGACTGGCCCATCTTTTTACTGTTGGTAGCCTTTTGAGGGTCCTGATTTTATGTCTGCAGATATCAATTACAACTTACCACCCTGAATGGAACAGAGACCCTATTTCTGCTATTCATATGGGCATGAAGCCCACCCTCCTCAATTATCAAGACCGGCAATCCCCCTCTGCCCCCCCAGGGCAGCCACAGTGAACCCTTGTTATAACCCTGAGTTTCAGATGTTCCCTATGTTTTTCACTCCAAACTCAGCAAAGTATTAAGAAGGAAGATTGTGATATTTTATTCAGTACTTTAAGTTTTCGTTTTCTGTTTTTCCAAAAGTAACGTCAGGTTATCTAGTTTGTCATATTGCCCTGTTCTCCACATTCTGAAACATATGGTCTTTTTCTGTTCTTACATTAGAGCAAAACACACACACACACACCCACACACACACACACACGAAGAAATGCTGCATATGGTAGTTATGGCATATGCTAGCCATTTCAACATTAAATATTTAAACTTTAATGAAGCTTTGAAGTTCAGATGACATAGCCTAAAGTTGGCTTCATTTACAACAACACTTAATATTTATGACTATTTTTAATCTAATAGTTAAAACTGTGTTACAGTAGATTTCTCAGAGCTTGATAGAAGTACAGCTAATTGAAGTTATGGAGCTAATGCACTGACCCATTCACAGGATGATTACCCAAGATTTATGGCTGTCACAGAACAGCCAAAACATGCTGATTTACTTAAGAAATTTTTAACACATGGAAATGCGAAATGGTTCAATAGGAAACCATTACTGCTGTCTTCATTTCTTGCCTCTTTGCATAGTAATACACAAAACTGATCAATGCACATTTTCTCATCTACTTTTAAAAAATAACAGCTTTTCAAATTCGTATTAACAATGCACTCTCCTTTGCTTTTTCAATTTCTGAATATGCCAAAGAACCATAGAATTTCAAAGGCAAATTGTTATTTATTTTCCAAGTTTGATTTTTTAATTGTCCTACACAGAACAGTCAAGAGAGAGGAAAATAAGCAGAAATTGCAGTTTAATTCGTTGGGTCTAACATAAACAGAAGTTACAAGGAGAGAGCATCAAGCTGCAAATTAGGACACAGTTTTGGCAATGAATTGTAAACCCACAGTTGAAATGTAAAGCCCTTCCTTGATTGTTAACTAAGTTCCACTTTCTCATAAAGCTCTAGTAAATATAAATGCAACAGCATTTGTGAAATTCTGTGGATCATTACAGAAAAAGTGACTATTTAAGTGATGACACTTTTAGTTGTTGGTGACTATGAAACATATTAACAATGCAAAATGTACAACAGGCTCTTCCGTAGCCATGGTTTTGCTTTCCAAGGTTTCGGTTACCTGCAGTCAACCAGGATCAGAAAATAGGTGAATACAGTAAAATAAGAATAAAATAGGTGAAAATCAGTGAATACAGTACAATAAGATGTTTTGAGGCACACAGAGACAGACCATATTCACATAACCTTCATTATAATATATTGGTATAATTGTTATATTTTATTCTTAGTTGCTGTTGTTGATCTCTTACTATGCCTAATTTACAAAATAAATTTTATCACACGTATGCATGTATAAGAAAACACATAGTATATATGGGGTTCGAGACTATCTGAGGATTCAGGCATCTACTAGGGGGCTTGACACATAACTTCCACTAATAAGGGGGAACTACTGTACATAATTTGTGTAAGTATATCTTTATTTATTTATTTATTTATTTATTTATTTATTTATTTATTTTTGAGACAGAGTCTTACTCTGTCCCCCAGGCTGGAATACAGTGGCAAGATCTCGGCTCACTGTAACCTCCACCTCTCAGGTTCAAGGGATTCTCGTGCCTCAGCCTCCCAAGTAGCTAGGATTACAGGTGTGTGCCACCACACTTGGCTAATTTTTTTTGTTTGTTTGTATTTTTTAGTAGAGACAGGGTTTCACCGTGTTCAACAACTGGTCTCAAACTCCTGACCTCGGTTGATCTGCCTGCCTCAGCCTCCCAAAGTGCTGGGATTACCACCATGAGCCACTGCACCCACCAGATTAAGATAGATAGATAGATAGATAGATAGATAGATAGATAGATAGATAGATAGACATGCAGACATATATATACATATATACATACACATATATATTTAAATAAGTTTAAAATAAAATTTATTTTATAAATTTAAATAAGTTTAAATAAATAAATAAGTTTATGTATGTTTATATATATGACTTAATCTTTAACATATACTTACACAAATAATATATATATTTGCCACATAATAACCATATTAATAGAGATTAGTAATGTAAGGTAATCTCATAAGAAGAAATTGAGTCGGTGCTGCTGAAGAAGCAGGGGGACTCTGGGTCCCTATCCTGGGCCAGTGGCCGAAAGTACAAGCAACACAAAAGATTCACAGAAGCTGAGAGAATGGCAGCATCTCCCCCTGGCATGGCACAGGAAGTTCTATGACCCGTTGAATACAAAGGTGGCTTCAAGGACCCAACTTGACTCCCTGAGTGACTAGTCAGCATGAGCCAGGGCAAGCAAAAATCTAGTGATGGAGATGCAGTTCTTTTATCTCTCTAAAGTAATGACCAAAATTGCATTGCTAAATAAAGCCAAGGAAACCTGTTTTCCAATGCTATATACGTTAAGAATTCTCTGGTTGCTGCCTTTGTGATGAACTTGGCTTTCATATCAATTACCAATGCTTGGGCTATCAGGCTCAAATATAATTAAAGTTAAAATCAAACTTTGATCCTCCAGCATTTAGTGCAGTTTCCAAGACCTGAATTTCAGGCATTAGTGTGAAACTGAAGTGTAGTGTTAATTACTTGTATATTTCATGGTTAAAAGGGATCAGTGTTGAGTTCTACTTTAATCACGGAGGGCCTATTTGACACTCAGATAAAAGAGAGTTAGGAATTTCCCATGGTGAATTTAAAACTGATTTTATAACCCCACCTGTTTGAACACTTAGTCCACAAGTACTTTCTGCTTGGTTGGGTTTTCTGGTCTACTCTCAGTGTCAATTTTCATAAAGAATTACATGTTGTAATGTTTTGGTTGCTCCAGTTTTTACTGACATCAGCTGAAATAAAAATGACCCCTTTGTTGCAGTATCACAAAACTCAAGAATTATAATTTTTGTAAAATTTGTGTTTTGAATAATAGTGAGTTCTATGTGGAAGAATTATATAAAACATGCATGCAATTCTGTAAAGCAGTCCTTAGAGTAGAATTTCAGATCTTTCTGACTGGGATGTGGCAAGAAAATACACTGACCCATCACCAAGCAAAGGAGATAGCAAATGTGTGTGCGTGTGCACACTCCTGGTATAGGTACGTGTATGTCATCATGTGAAAATATGCTGTTTATTTTTGAAATAATAATCCAAGGCAATATGGGACCATTTCAATTAGATACAATTATGGCTCTAAATTGGATTGATTGGGGCATTACTGCAAAGGAGGAGGAATACTTCTGCATCAGTGAGTGTATCTAACCAAAGAACTGTCAGAGAAGGTAGTGACCATCTCAAGTGAATGATTAATTAGATTTAATTCAGAAACATGCACTTTAAAAAGAAAGTAGCAACTCTACATTATTAGCATTATAAATATACTCAAAGCTATATGATCCATTTTATTTTAATCTTATTTTTATTTGTTTGGCAAAGAAATAAGTCAACTTCTAATTGATTAAATAATAAGGCTCCAGAATCTTTCACCACTATCAATTTGTCCAGTTTGCCATGCAGCTTACTCTTTTGTGCCTAATCACAGGGACCTTCTATTAATAGAAGGCTGCAAATCCTGAGTGCCAATCTGAATTTATTACACTACAATTTTAAACATCGCTTCATGGTCATAAAATTGACATTTAAGTATTACTCTTAGGCATCTTCAATTGCTTATATTTGTAATTATCATTAGACTTTCCAGTTATTTAGACTTTAATAATTTTGCAAAAAAATAATTTAAAAAACTACATAAATATATATTCTCTCTTCCATATTTGAGAGGCTGACAACATTTGGATAAAATTCTTAATATGATTTACAACTCCCTGGACCCTACTGGTCCAATCCTCATTGTACCACTCTTCTTGGTATATAATAAGTGTTCAGTAAATATCCGTGAGTGATTGATTGACTGCAAGGTATATTAAAAAGAGAATAGTGTCAAATAGACCTAGCCTCACATATTTTAGCTATATGACTTCAGGCCAATTATTTAACCTCCCTGGGCTTCCAATCCATCCTCTATTAATACTTACCTGACAGCACTGCTGTGAAAATAAAATAAGACAACATAAATAAAGCAAATAGAACATTGCTCCGATATAGTAAGTGTTCAATAAATATTAATTTCTTTCATTGGATAGTTTTTCAGTGTTGCACATGCTGATAAGTGAGCAGCTGCATCTCAGTCAGAATGATATTTCTAGAATGGTTTAGCCTCACCTCATTAATAAATATGTGTGTTATAAAAATAACTATTGTGTGTAACATCACAATAAAAATGGTAGGTTGGTATATAATGAAAAAATGCATTGAATCATCACTAATATGACTTGCTTGATACAAAATTGAAATGAAAAAAAGAATGTCTTAGACTTGGATTGTTAGTAATTTTTGCATAAATATTTTGTCTAAAATAGGGTGACAGTAATTGGTTACAAGCAACAGAACTGATTTAAGTTGGCTAAAACAAACAAAAAAGACTGTAAGATTATAACACTATTTTAGGAAATGTGAGCCATTAGAGGCCCTGAACCTTTTAGGAAACAAGCCATTCAAGCCTCCTCTTGGTCTCCCTCAGCCCCCTCTCCCTCTATATTCCTTCTCATACTTTGCATCCTAGCTTTTCCCCTTTGACTAACTCATTCCTTAGGCATGAGGGCTGCTCCAATCCCAACTGTCTATAACTTCCATTTTCATATATCCAAGAGTGGGTGACTAGAATGGCTATCAATTACAGATTTTGCAGACAGCAATTTTCCTGGTTCACTAGACCCGACACAGGGCTCTCTCTGCACCAGCTGATGATTCAGGCTCCTATAAGGATGGCTCTCAGAAAGTTGTAAAAGCATGGATTCAAATCAAAGCAGAGGTTGAACATGGCAGACAAGTTTAAAGTTACACCTTGAGTCAGTCTAAAGACAATGACTGTATTAAAACCATACAGTCTGTATTCTAGATACTATTCTAGAGTATCTAGTGCCTAGTGGTCATTTAATTTTCTCAGTTATGCTGTGGGGAAACTAGTGTTTATAACCTTTGTTTCAGATGATGGAATTGAAGCAATGAAAGATTAAGCAATGTCCCAAGACCACACAGCCAGGAAGTGGCAGAGCTGGACTCTAACACTAGTAGCCTAGTTGCAGATCCATACTTTGAACAGCCATGCTATTCTGCGTCTCCATGAAATTGCTTTTACCTCTCAAACAAGTTTGATTTTAGTGCTCTGGGCACTGCAGTAAAAACCAAAATTTCTAGGATTTTCTGGCTTAGAAGGAATGCAAGGACAAAACTGTGTTTTCCTGACAGCCCAGATCCCTGTGAGTAACAACTACTAGCTCAAAGGCAGCTAGTTGGAGTCAAGGAAGAACACTGGTTCCATGTGTTATCAACAGAAATGAGGTCCAATCTGCATTGCCAATGGGTAGGTATGAAAATGTAGAAGGAATGAATCTTTTTACACATTCATTCACCAACAAATTTACCTTTAAGAAGGTCATTTTCTCTATGAATCATACATGAAAAAAGCCAGTTTTTTTCCGCAAAGCTGAAATACAGCCCACAGATTTCCACTCTTTGGAAAGGTGAAAGGAACATTACCTATCAATCTCATCAAAATTATAAGTCAATACCTAATATTAGCATGAGAATGCAGAGGTATCATGCTGTTTGACATAATTTGCCTAACCAAAGTTTATCTAGTAATGAAGACAAAGTCCTGGTGTGAAGCATATAGTTCCCTTACCTACTTTTTTCAAAATGTATTTATCCCTGATACTACTTAAAATAGTACTTTTAAATAAGAAACGATCTTCAGAACATAGCAAACATCAAATTAATTTTAGTATAAAGTTAAAATATAATTTTTAGTGTTTCAGATAATTAAATTGATAGGATATTATTAGAATAAGTCTACTGTGTAAAACAAAGGGGATGTTTATATCTGCTAATGGCTTCTCCGTAAGTCATGTGTAACACAATTCAAAATGTATTTGAGCAATCTTTGAGAGGCATATAACAAAACTCCCATCTAACAGATGTGCCGGTGACAGTAAAAGAAAAATAAACTTCCAAATATTCATGGGCATGTTTGCCCGTCTTCCAAACCCACTGTGCAATTGCTGTATGCTAGAAAATCAAGCACCTGCAAAGTGGAATAATTGATTGACTGTGACTAAGGGCTGTGCCAAAGTTTCTGAAGCCTTCTTGAGGCCCCATAACAAAACACATATAACAATGGTTGGTCACAAAGCTAACGTTGACAATTAAGTTTCATGAACTAACTGAAATTTGCAACCTTCTGGTTTCAATTTTACAGTTCAGTTCTGCCAGATGGAGTAGGGAGAAAATAACATACATAATTAAAATCAATGAAGTTATATCAACCCCAAACACCAAAAAATTAAATAAAAGGAAGAAAGCAAGAAAAAAATATACCAATCATATGTTTTCCCACATCTGTAGCCAAAGTTAAAAATCTACAAGTCAGGACTTGGAAGCCTTTAAGAATAAATCTAAATTGTGATGCAAAAAGCTTCAAGTAAATCACTTAGAACAGAATAATACATAAGAATATATGTATAAATCTCTACTGAGGAAAGAGTCACATATAATCTGGGTGAAGAAAAAAATGCAGTAGTCATGTGGCTATTTAAAATAATTAATAATAAGTAAAAGTGTGCTACGAGAGCAAGAATAGACATACTGGCCAGTAGAAAGAAGAGAAAATGAGGCCAGGCACGGTGGCTCACACCTGTAATCCCAGCACTTTGGGAGGCCGAGGCGGGCAGATCACAAGGTCAGGAGATCAAGACCATCCTGGCTAACATGGTGAAACCCCGTCTCTACTAAAAAATACAAAAAATTAGCCAGGCGTGGTGGCGGGCGCCTGTAGTCCCAGCTACTTGGGAGGCTGAGGCAGGAGAATGGCATGAACCCAGGAGGTGGAGCTTGCAGTGAGCCGAGATCGTGTCACTGCACTCCAGCCTGGGTGACAGAGCAAGACTCTGTCTCAAAAAAAAAAAAAAAAAAAAAAAAGGAAAGAAAGAAGAGAAAATGAGTAGCACAGTAGTTGACATATAGTGAGCCTTTAATAATTTTTAGTTATTTGGTGGATTATTGATGCCATAAAAGACCCTACATTGCATGAGCACTTAATCCCTGATAAGGCATCACAAATGAGTAGGTAATAGACAACTAGACAGCTACTGGGGACTAGAGAAAATCAAATTATCACATTATTTTCTGACATATGTCAGATAATAAATTAAGCTCAGGGTGAAAGAAATAAGTATATAAATGAATACATCTTACCACTACACGGAATATGACATTATTATTATTTTCACTTTTAAAGTTAAACAGGGGAATATAAATCTTATTCAGCTTGCTGATTGCACATACGGTGTTTTTGTCTCCCCCCGATACTCCACTGAAATTACAAAATAATTATACATGTAAAACTCTAACAATCAGGCAGGTATCCATGCCTGGTGGCAATTTTAGGGAATTTAGAGAAAATACGGAACCAAGAAAAACAGGTGACATATCAACAACAGAGCTAAGGGAATCACAAATTGACATCCAAAACAAATGAGTATGAAAACAGAGACCCAGGAATAATCCCAAGATAAGACGGCATATGCTACTTTTGTTTGTAACCATTGCAGAAACCAAGCATTGAGAAAAAGATGACACTAGGGAAGAAATTTACAAGCTAAAACAAGAATAAATGGAATGAAACTAACAACACAAAACTGAGATGGAAAGCAAATGAGAACCTGTAACATTAGATAATTAAGACCTTCAGTAAGAGTCAAGAAACCACACACACACACATTATGTATATATACTGTATACATAACCAAACTATATATACATATCAATCTATACTTATAAAACAAAACTATTAGCATTTTAAAAATTAAAAACACTTAAAGAAATAATCTGAAAATTCTTAATTCCTGTTTAGGAAACCCAAAACATTTAAGTCCAGTGAGATAAAAATTCTGCCAAAGTATTCTTTTAGAACACATTCCCAAAAATATAGATATAGAAATGTCTGTAAGAGTTCCAGAAGGAAAGAACAGTGAGGGACAGAACATTCATGGAAATAACAAAAACCTGAATTTCTGGGCAGAAGAAAAGTATGTCTTCAGACATGCAATACCCATTTATTAAGGAAGATAAACAAAAAAAAAAAAAAAGAAAATTTAGACCTAGACACAATGACACACTTTTTCTCTCTCAAACAAACACACATGCACGTTGGTTAAATTTCACAACTCAAAGGAAGAGAAAAATCATTACAACCTCAAGATGTGGAAGAACAAGGGGTTACTTACAAAGCAGTAGGATTCAGATTGTCTTGATGTTTCAGCAATTTGAAAGATATCCATAAGGTTAGGCTAGGTTGTGTAGCATGAACAACGGTAAAATAAATGAGTAACTTAACAGTTTGCTTTTTGCTCATACTACATGTGCAAAAGAGGCCGGTGCTTGGGTGGGGTGTTCCATCGTCACGGAACTCAGTGGCTCAGGCTAACAGCCACTTCAGCTTGGTGCATGCATGAACATTCGCTGCAGAACTTGCAAGACAACGTAGCAGGAAGCACTGATGCTTTCAGCTTCCACCTGAAAATGGCGTACATCACCTTTGCTCACATTTGCTGGCCAAAGCAAATCACACTGCCGTATCTAGCTTTAAAGAGGGTGGGAGAGTGTAGTCTTACCATGTGTCTAGAATGCAGAAAGCTGAATATATCTGATTAATCGAGCATCTGGTGAACAAATACTTTTGTCACTTTCGCTCTAGCACTGTCTCACTAAGGAAGACAACCAAAAAGTCACATCCTGTCAAGGTATCAAGCCGAAGTCTAGAATCTCTAGGTAATATCCAGTAGGTTCTTCACTGAGAGTGATAATGATTTCCAAATCTATTGGCATACCTAATGTATTTAACACACGGCAGATCTGTTTTTTTTTTAAACACATAGAATTGACCTAGACGCCCATCAACAGTGGACTAGATGAAGAAAATGTGGTACATATACACCATGAAACAGTATGCAGCCACAAAGAAAGAATGAAATCATATCCTTTGCAGCAACATAAATAAAGCTGAAGGCCATAATCCTAAGCAAATTAACAGAGGAACAGACAACCAAATACTGCATATTCTCACTTATAAGCAGGAGCGAATCATTGAGCACACATGGACACAAACCTAAACTACTTTATTTAATTGTCTTTCCTTCGGGTGCAAAAAACTATTTAAAAGCTGAGGAAGAGATTTAAATGACTCAGATGTGTAAAAATAATTGCCATGAGAAGGCAAGAAAAATAATAATTTGAAACATTAAAAAATTTCAGAAGCCTCTTTTTTAAAGGAAATTGGACAAAGATTCAAATTATAAGCTAAGTAAAGATTCACATAAATTTTAGGGAACTTTCAAACAGTATTTTGGAATAGACCAACAGCTAAAATAAAGGGACACCAAATAACTCTCTTTATAAATGGGCTCAAATTTGAATTAAGAGACTGTTAAAAATTGAAATGTATAATTACCAATTAGAAAATATCCAATAGGTGGTAGATGTTTCCTAAGAGCCTTAAAAAGTTAACAGATAGTGTGATGCCTCCAGCTTTGTTCTTTTGGCTTAGGATTGACTTGGCGATGCGGGCTCTTTTTTGGTTCCATATGAACTTTAAAGTAGTTTTTTCCAATTCTGTGAAGAAAGTCATTGGTAGCTTGATGGGGATGGCATTGAATCTGTAAATTACGTTGGGCACTATGGCCATTTTCACGATATTGATTCTTCCTACCCATGAGCATGGAATGATCTTCCATTTGTTTATATCCTCTTTTATTTCCTTGAGCACTGGTTTGTAGTTTTCCTTAAAGAGGTCCTTCACACTACCTGACTTCAAACTATACTACAAGGCTACAGTAACCAAAACAGCATGGTACTGGTACAAAAACAGAGATATAGATCGATGGAACAGAACAGAGCCCTCAGAAATAACGCTGCATATCTACAACTATCTGATCTTTGACAAACCTGAGAAAAACAAGCAATGGGGAAAGGATTCCCTATTTAATAAATGGTGCTGGGAAAAGTGGCTAGCCATATGTAAAAAGCTGAAACTGGATCCCTTCCTTACACCTTATACAAAAATTAATTCAAGATGGATTAAAGACTTAAACGTTAGACCTAAAACCATAAAAACCCTAGAAGAAAACCTAGGCATTACCATTCAGGACATAGGCATGGGCAAGGACTTCATGTCTAAAACACCAAAAGCAATGGCAACCAAAGCCAAAATTGACAAATGGGATCTAATTAAACTAAAGAGCTTCTGCACAGCAAAAGAAACTACCATCAGAGTGAACAGGCAACCTACAGAATGGGAGAAAATTTTCGCAACCTACTCATCTGACAAAGGGCTAATATCCAGAATCTACAATGAACTCAAACAAATTTACAAGAAAAAAAACAAACAACCCCATCAAAAAGTGGGCGAAGGACATGAACAGACACTTCTCAAAAGAAGACATTTATGCAGCCAAAAAACACATGAAAAAATGCTCACCATCACTGGCCATCAGAGAAATGCAAATCAAAACCACAATGAGATATCATCTCACACCAGTTAGAATGGCAATCATTAAAAAGTCAGGAAACAACAGGTGCTGGAGAGGATGTGGAGAAATAGGAACACTTTTACACTGTTGGT
Organism: Homo sapiens; assembly: GCF_000001405.40. Lineage (NCBI taxonomy): Eukaryota > Metazoa > Chordata > Mammalia > Primates > Hominidae > Homo > Homo sapiens. Next base: position 60,928,314 of record NC_000018.10, read on the forward strand.
GGGACTGTAAACTAGTTCAACCATTGTGGAAGTCGGTGTGGCGATTCCTCAGGGATCTAGAACTAGAAATACCATTTGACCCAGCCATCCCATTACTGGGTATATACCCAAAGGACTATAAATCATGCTGCTATAAAGACACATGCACACGTATGTTTATTGCGGCATTATTCACAATAGCAAAGACTTGGAACCAACCCAAATGTCCAACAAAGATAGACTGGATTAAGAAAATGTGGCACATATATACCATGGAATACTATGCAGCCATAAAAAATGATGCGTTCAAGTCCTTTGTAGGGACATGGATGAAATTGGAAATCATCATTCTCAGTAAACTATCGCAAGAACAAAAAACCAAACACCGCATATTCTCACTCATAGGTGGGAATTGAACAATGAGAACACATGGACACAGGAAGGGGAACATCACACTCTGGGGACTGTTGTGGGGTGGGGGGAGGGGGGAGGGATAGCATTGGGAGATATCCCTAATGCTAGATGACGAGTTAGTGGGTGCAGCGCAGCAGCATGTCACATGTATACATATGTAACTAACCTGCACATTGTGCACATGTACCCTAAAACTTAAAGTATAATAATAATAAAAAAAACACTGGGAAAAAAAAGTTAACAGATTAGAAATCAATACAAACTAAGTCTTTTTTGATCAAAGAACCAAAAGCTTCTCTCTGTAAAGTACCTGTACATATTGTAAACAGAAGAGCCAGTGGAAGAATCAAAGTTCAATTTTGGGAAAAAAGTAAAAGGACAACCTGACAAAGTCTGCCAAAGCTCTCACTAGGAGGAAGGCATTAGTATTCCAATACATCCTATTCTTTCTTTACTCCCAATAATAAAGAATAAATGGACAACACATTACAGATTTATTAACTGCATGACCGTGAAAATATCTACCATTAAGCCCACTAGGACTGCCCATCAGAGCAAAGTTTTAAAGATACTTGAAAAATAAGAAGGAAGGCAAATGGACTTGTAATTAAAGCATAAAAAGAGAGAGAAGGTGAAAGAGAGAAACTGTGTCCTGAAATAAAATTGACTGGTTGTGGCACATTGTGTGTGTGTGTGTGTGTGTGTGTGTGTGTAGTAAGAAAAATGTGAGCTTGATGGTAAATTATCAACTTTAAAAAGCTTGAGGTCAAATGGACTTTATTTGCTTTATTTACTAAAGCCACTCAAGTAATAGAAATTTTCTACCAATTGTTAAGTTCTTTCCCAAATCTCAATCTGTAACTTTTTTCAGGATCCTTTTTAGACAAATACTTACTTCTCTGCCATGATGTACTTTCTATAGATTTAATAGATAGAAGGTACATTACAAATGGAACTTTCAGATAAAGCATATTGCAGAGAGATTATTTTAGAAGTTCTTATAAATTTTCTTACACATATCTAGAGTAAAACTAGACTTCTGAATACCTACACCATTTATGAATCAGGAAATTATCAGACAATAGGCTATGGTCCCAGTATCTCTATGGACAAAAGAATTTGTAAACATAGGTAGTTTAATTATAGCAGGGTCATTGATAGTTCGTGGTGATCATTGTTGTGGGTTGAATAGTGTCCCTCCAAAATTCATGTCCACCCAGAACTTCAGGATGTTACTTTATTTGGAAATAGGGTCATTGCAGATGTAATTAGTTAAGTTGGTTATACTGGATTTGGGTGCACCCTAAATCTGATAATTGACTCCTTATAAGAAGAGGAGAGGATACACAGTGATGCAGAGAGGGGAACGCCATGTGCAGATGAAGGAGGAGATTGCAGTGATGCAGCTATAAGCCAAGGCATGCCAAGGACTGACAGCAACCACTGGAAGCCGGGTGACAGGTGTGGAATTCTCGGTCAGAGCCACTGGAAAGAACTGCTTGGTTAACATGATTTTGGACTTCTAGACCCTAGAACCATGAGAGAATAAATGTCTCTGTCTTAAGCCTCTCTGTTTGTGGTAGTTTGTTGCCACAGCCCTAGGAAACTAATACAATCATAAATCAATCTTTCTGTATGTGTATAAACATTTAGGCTACATTCAACAGCAGGCCAAGCTGAGACTCAGCCTCGGAGGAATTATAGACCTCAAATAAATTAGTCACACCACCTTCAGCTCTTGTATAAGGATCATTAAATCTCGTGTTACTACATAGAGTGAATATCCATTGCTAAAGGAAAACACCAACAGTTTTCTACTAGTTGATTAACTTATTATGAATTGTTGTTGTATTGTTCCTCTCATAAGACCATCCACTTGTATAACACCCTTAAAGGAGCAACTTCATAACATTTATCCAGTATAGGAGAATACTGTGTTTTTTAGTTCATGCGTGTTCTGGGAATGGCCATGAACTGTTTTTTGGGATGCTCTTACACCATATCCTGGCTGGATGTTTTTTGTTCATGGGTCTAAGCTTAAAAATAAAAGAGGATACCAGGATGGTATGCAGTATCTAGTTTCTTTTAAGTTCCACAAAAAAAAAGAAACAAAACAAAACAAGAAAAAAACGGAAGCCAAAAAGTTTCAAATGGCAAATGTGTTCCATTCTAGGACATGTCAGATTACTAATAGGGTAAATATATATAGTAACCACTAATACATTTTTAGAATAATGCATTATTTGAGATATCATAGAAATAAACAGGTCTTTTAACCTTCTCAGATACTCTTTAAAAATGAACAACAAATGTGAAGTATTTTATTCTATCTTCAGTAATTGCTGTTGTTAAATTAAGGCTCACAACAAAAGGTACAATACAAGGTAGCATACTGCATAGCAGATACTACGAAAATATTATTAAAATACATTATGTATACCTTAGAAAGACTACAGAAATATTACAGTAGTTTGCTACACTAAACAGTCTGCTTTGACTTTTGACAGACCATTAATAACAAAAAATTTATCAACACTTCCATGGAGAAATTAACATCTTCTCTTTGGGGCATAAAAATGTGGCTTTGTGAATTCTTACAAAAGCCCTGGAATAATTGAGCTGTAAGATCCATGAAGACAAGATGTGGCACCAACCATAATGGTTATTAGGTAGCACCAGAAAAAAACACACAAATTAAAACCTCTCAAATTTACTAGCCCCCAAAATCCTCCATGAAGGAAACCATCACAATAGTGGTAAATTGGATGTAATATTAAATAAACATGGGTGGGAAAACATTTTTTGAATAGCAGAGGGTGGGCAATTCTTGCCTCCTCTGTAACTAACTTTTTTTTTTTTTTGAAAGGGAATCTCGCTCTGTCGCCCAGGCTGGGGTGGAGTACAGCAGTGTGATCTCTGCTCACTGCAACCTCTGCCTCCCGGGTTCAAGCAATTCTCCTGCCTTAGCCTCCCGAGCAGCTGGGACTACAGGTGTGCACCACCACTCCCAGCTAATTTTTGTGCTTTTAGTAGAGGCAGGTTTTCACCATATTGGCCAGGCTGGTCTTGAAATCCTGACCTCAAATGATCCACCCACTTTGGCCTCCCAAAGTGCTGGGATTACAGGTGAGAGCCACAGCGGCCAGCCCTGTAACTAATACACTTATGGGAAAATAATAAAAGTGAGATGAACAGGAACCCTGCCCTTAAGGAATCTCTGAGCATCTATCTCTAAATAGATTTCATACAATTGGTTCTTTTTGTGGACTATAAATATGTACTAAAAATAGTATGCATATTTTGTGGATGGTTTGAATCATTTTCCTTTCAAAAAAGTCACAGCATCCACAGAGCTATAAATAAATACATACATATATATATATATACACACACACACATATATATACACATAGATACATGAAGTTTGTGTTTCCTGCCTGGGACATTGCAACTTTTCTATCCAGTCAAATGGGAACATATTTAACTGGAATAGTTATTATTATTATTATTATTTTGAGACGAAGTCTCACTCTTGTCCCCCAGGCTAGAGTGCAATGGCACCATCTCAGCTCACTGCAACCTCTGCCTCCGGGGTTCAAGCTATTCTTCTGCCTCAACCTCCCGAGCAGCTGGGATTACAGGTGCCTGCCACCGCGCCCAGCTAATTTTTGTATTTTTAGTAGAGATGGGGTTTCACCATGTTGGCCAGGCTGGTCTTTAACTCCTGACCTCAGGTGATCCGCCTGCCTTGGCCCCCCAAAGTGCTGGGATTACAGACGTGAGCCACCACGCCAGGCCGGAATAGTTATTCTTGAATTATTCAAGGGTTTGCTATTCTTCAGAAACTTCACTCACCTAGTCACTCCAAATTTTGAACAAATAGAAGGAATCTTAGCAGAACTAGAAAGCTCTATTTTAGCAAAGATCTTTAACTGAAGTTGTACAGATAAGTAAGGTGATCCAGTAAATCTGCCAGGAAATGCCAAGATCTTCAAACAGGCCAATGGCAGTATGAAGTAGATAACTTCTTCTCAAAACCTTTGGAATAAGAGTATCCTATGAGTTTCATGCTAGTGTTTATGACCTTTTTACTAGAATTTTCCTCTTTACTGATTAAGCATTTGCACTTCTGACTTAGCCTACTAATCCAATGACTTAAGTTTTATCAGAGACAATCATCACCTTAACTCTATACTTCAGTTCTCCCAGCCAGTTTTAGTACAACCAATTAAAACAATTAAAATAAAATATGTCACACCTATCTCACCAATAATGATATACTTTTAGACAATACACAAATGAAAGAATAATGATACAATTTTAGACAGTATGTAAATGAAAGATTTTTTTCCCTTGTGCTAGAAAAAATACAAACTGCAAAAATAACTATCACAATATACCTGAAGTGCCTGAGGTTTCTCCCCTTCCCCTATGCGGGCTCACGCTTCTCAGTGCCAAACCAGATGGAAGACTAATTATTCTACAGGGCTACTGGTTAGATTTTCCTACAATTTAAGACCCTCTAATGCCCTCAGTGAATGTTGTCTTCATTCGAAATGTCCAAAAGAATAAAACCCTTGATGAGTTAAACAAACAAACAAACAAACAAAAACCCTCATACCTGATGAAACAAGACTCCTAGGGAAATCAATCCCAGGAATAAATTTGAAGAAATGGAGCTGGTCTTCAAAAACCATGACACTGAATTGGGATGGTGTGGTTAATAACACAGCACAAGCCCTATGTGCACAATAAACTAGTTAAATATTCTTAGTTCAAGAATTATGAATAAAGAACAGTATTGCATTATCTTTGGGCCAATGAGTATGTGCTGCATGATTTCTAAACTTTATGTTAATTTGGATTAACATCATAAAGGAGATAAAATGGTGTTTGTGTTTGTGAGGCAGGGGTATATTCAGTGGAAACTACAAAGCTTAGAGACATTTGTTAGAAATTAACAAAGATTAAAAAACGATTACATTAAGAGATCAACACAAGAAGTCAGAACAAGAACCAAAAAATACATTAAGAAAATAAAAACAAAAAAAAAGGAAAATTCAATAAAATATTTTCACTTATTTTTTTCTGTATACTTTGTATAAAAATAAGAGTGATGGATTCAAGTACCTAATTAAAATTGGTTTTGTTTCTATCGATTTCTATCAAATACTTTTGCCATTGAATTGTTTCACTTTCTACATGGGTTCTTTTGTGTGGTTAAGAGATCAAACTTTATTAGATCTTGAACAAGAATTAAAGGGAACAGATAAACACGAAGCATATTAAAGAAGAGAAATGACATAACGCTGCAAAAATAAGAATCACACATTTTTTTCTGATGCTTTGCTGATTCTTAATTCCTATGGTTCTGGAGGTAAGTTTTGCTCTAGGAGAGCATTACTCCAAAAGTTGGTTCAAATAAGAGAAGCTGACATGTGACTAACCTTAGAGCTACAGGGGAGAACAACAATGCCTAATTGCAGGATGTGATTTAAAATCCTAGTTGTTCTTGGAGTATTTAGATTATTGAATCCTCAGAACATATTTTCACCAAGATAAGATGATGTTGCATTTAAAAATCACTTCAAATGACGTGAAAATTTCTACCTGATTTTAAACTGGTGAGATAAGCATTAAAAAAGTGAACAATCTCTTAGGAAAATATACTTTGTTATTAAACTCTCCCCAGAGTTATCTGCAGGCTACTTACATCATTCTGTTGATGCCAAATACTCTGGGTCTTGTCAACTTCCCAGAAACCCATGCCCTAAAATTTAACCCACAGTCCTAGGAACGGTTGAATCCTAATTCTACCTAGGAAATTAAACACATGCATAAAATTTAATTCATTCTCTCTCTCTCTCTCTCTCTCTGGAGTATTTGAAAATGTCTATGTCTATGCCATTCAGGGTGTTTAGAAACAAATGTCCCATGCTGGTCATGGTCAATATTCCCAATGTCCCTTTTGCTCTCAGAAAAGCTCCGGAGGGAAACCAAGGGTCCTTCAAAGTCTAATATTCTCTTGCAGGGTTTATCACCCACAAAGCAGACTATAGTTAAAGTAACGACTTGCTAATGGGAAGATAAATTTTAGCTGAAGGAGAAATTGAAGTGCAGAACAAAGAAAGGACCCAAATCTATTACAGAGAAACATATGAAGGACATGAAGAAATCCTTGGACAACTGGTTTTGGAAAATGTTCAGGGAATGTCATTAGAAAACATTTTCAACAAACTAAGGTTAGAAAGGATAGCGGAGAGCCATTACTTCAACTCACTTGGCAAACTAATGAACTTTGGAAAATGCAGTTCTTTAACTTTGAAACAATTGCAATAAAGAACTCGATCCAAATTGACATATTGATCAATCTATTCCAGAACTGATGCTTCAGGAAGATGCCCTGAATGTCAGTGGTGTGAATCACAATGAGGTATTTAAAGCGCAGCAGTTCATTGGGATTTATTTTACAAAAATAACATTGAAGATGAGTAAGAATTACTGTTTCAATTTGAAAAATAAACCCTTGTCAACCAAAGCATAGCAACAGTATTTTTTAATCCATCTTGGCTATGTAATTTTCCACCCAAAATATGACAGATGGCTTTACTTAAATAAATGATTGCACTATGTAAGATCATAGCTGGAATGCTATTTCTCCTGGTGCAGCTACACAGTTCTGCAGCTCTACATATCAAAGGATTTCACCTTCAGAGGACATGAGGATGAATTGACTAACAGTCGTTATGTTTTCAAGATATACACAATACTGCTGAGGACTTTATATGGATGCATAAAACCATTAAGGTGAAGGTTTATGGTAGTCACAGACAGAGCCATTTCTAAGTCAGGCTCACATTTCCATTGTCGAACCTTACCATGTTCAGGGTGAAGCTGCAAGAAATAAGATACACATAGAGAAAAAGGCCAAGTCAGAGATTTTAGTCTATTCCTTTCTCTCTCTCTCTCTTTTTTTTTTTTTTAATCTTTGAGTTTGGTTCCGTATCAACTTGTGAAAAGCTGCTGGAAAGTAAGAGAGATTTTGCTGCCAGGTCTGAACTGCAGGGGTGGAATTGGCAGTAGTAAAACCAAAAAGATTGAGCAAATAAAAGATAATATAGATTGTTTCCTGTTGTGTCTGTTTTCAAATTACTGTGTTTAAATGAACTTCTTTTTTAGCAAACTGTCTTTGGTCTCTCTCTTCCTGGCCTCTAGTGACCTTTCTAGTGATTCTTTCCCTCTCGTGTCTGAAAGTATCTGAAACCTTGGTCTTTGTCTCAAAGAATTCATGAGAATAAATATAACATCGACAGTTTGGATAAGCAGTTTGATCAGGATTTATGAAATATTTGGCCAACAAAAGTTAATCTTATATTTTGCATGGATTTGATGCATTTATAACATTTTTTTAAAAATTAAGAAAAAGAGATTTGAAAGGCAAACTGTAAATTTAGTGCATTTCATCTATAAAGAGATTTGATAATACTAGAATAAGCTTGGATTTTCATGTTGCCCATAGTATCAATTTCAGCTTGTTAGTCACTTTTAAGTTTAATAGGTCTTCCCCCACATTTGTTTGATAAGGAACAATGTGCTTTCAAATGAAGAGGAAACCAACTCTCAGGAAGGAGGAAACACTCAACCACAACAATCCTTCTACTAAGTCAAACAGTGTGGATTGCAAACATTTTATCATTTTGATAAACTAAAAATGGTAATTTCAACCTAATAAGTGCCTATGAGATAATAGGCAGATGAACATAACAAATCTATTACACAACCTGACTTTGGTAGGTGCTATTTTCTAACTTTGATTGCTTCTGCTCTTTAACTGAATTGTCAATAAAAGAGCCAAATAAATCATAAAGTATTGCAGTTGAATAATTACAACAACTTTTGAGGCCTGTATTCATTTGTTCTCTCACATTGCTATAAAGAAATACCTGAGACTGGGTAATTTATATAGAAAAGAGGTTTACTTGGCTCACATTTCTGCAGGCTGTTTGGGAAGCATAGCAGCTTCCGCTTCTGGGGAGGCTTCAGGAGATTTATAACCATGGTGGAAGGTGAAAGGGAAGCAGGCACATCTTATGTGGCTGGAGCAGGAGGAAGAGGCAGGGGATGGTGCTACACACTTTTAAACAACCAGATCTTGTGATAACTCACTCACTCACTATCATAAGAACAGGACTGAGGAGACGGTGCTAAACCATCCATGAAGGATATGTCTCCATGATCCAAACATCTCTCACCAGGCCCTACCTCCAACATTGGAGATTACCACCTGAGATTTGGGTGGGGACACGAATCCAAACCATATCCAGGCTCCTGTAAGAAACTTTTGCTTAGGCATATATTCCCTGACTTATTTCGTAAATAATTCTGTGTATGAAACACTTCAAACAGAGAAAATGGAGACCACCATTATTCAATAATTAATGTCAATAATTTGTCACTTATCTGATTTTAAGATATTAAAATATTACAAATATATTTGAAGTCTTTTTCATATACCTTTCACCACTCTCCTTTCTTACCTTCATTCTAAGTAGTAAACACTAATATGAAGTTGATTTATATTTTTTCTACCATTATCTTATAATGTGATATATTTATATAATATTTTGTTTTTTAATATTACAGGAAAATGGTAGCCTGCATGTACCATACTATGATTAACTGATGATTTTAAGAAAGGTACATGTTGAAATGAGACTGTGTCACTCCTCTCCTCTCAATGTAATCACTGTAGAAACCAGAGTCCCTCCAGAACTTCCAAGTCCCCAGGGTGATTTTTTTAACCAATTCTTCAGTCCCCTTCCCTTCCATTTTCCCTCATCCTCACTGAGTTTTAGCCATGCCAGCCTATTGCTATTTTTTTGTTGTTCCCCTTCCTGAAAATCATTTCTTTAAAAATAAATTTTAATATATGCTTTTAAGGTATCAAACATGGCATTATGGTATACATAAGAGAAAGTAAAAGGATCAATACAGTTAAGCAAATGAACATATCTATCATCCCACAATTACCTTTATTATTATTTTTTTTGGTGGAAAAAGCAGCTAAAATCTACCAGAATGCTTTTTAAACAGATTCATAACACTTTTCAGTACCTGTCATACTTTTGCTTGACTGACTGCATCCGCGAAAGAATATAAATCTCAAGAAAATGGAACATTTTGGGGGAAAGGGGAAGCATGGTTCTATATATGATGTCCATAGCAATAACTGGCTCAATAAGATTAAATGAATAAATTAATTTTATCAGTATTGGATAGTTTTGTTAGATATAAAGTTTGGGGTTAACTATTTTTGCTTTCAGCCTTTGAGAATCTCATTCCATTGCCTTCTGCCATCCATTTTTTCAAACAAAAAGTCATCATAACTTTATAAATTCATTAAACATACACAATAAAATTTAAAAAATTTAATGTACTCCTCTACATCATGAGTCAAATTCCTCTTGTTGCTTTCAAGATTATCTGTTTGTCTTTGGCTTTCATGGGTTTGGTTATGATGTATCTAGGTGCAAATCTTTTGTGATTATTAAAGTTTGTTGAGCTCCTAGATCTCCAGATTAACTTTTTTTTTATCAATTTGAGGAAAGCTTTGATCATTATTTCTTCCATTTTATTCTCCCTTTGTCTCCCTTATGTACTTTTGGGATCATGATTACACATCAATTGGTATGCTTGGCATTGTACCACAAGTCTCTGAAGCTCAGCTAACTTTACTTTAATTTTGTTCCCTGTATATTCTTCAAGTTGCATAATTGCTATTACTTATCTTCAAATTAACCAATTAATTTTTCTGCAATCTCAAATCTGCTGTCAGACACGTCTAGTGAATTTTTCATTTTGATTGTTCTTTTGAATAATAGTTCCTTTTGATTTTTTTCTTTATAGTTTCTATTTCTCTGTTGAGCGTCAGTATTTGGCAAGCCATTGACATCTTCTTTCTCTCACTCCTTTGCATGTAGTTTTTAAAAATTTCTTGTATATATTTAAAACAGATATTTAAGTGCAAGCCCAGTATTAGAAACACATCTGCAACTAATGAAGTAGTAATGGTGATTCAATGGAATAGATGAAGAGTAGACAAAAATCTCACCTCTTATTGTGCCAACTTGATTGGTCTGACCTAAGGACAAGCGTAGAACCTTGTGTAGGAAAAGGTTTGCAATCTCTCCTTTTCATTGTCATTTACATGTATTTAATTCAATGTATGTGTTTAAATATGCATAAAGACATTACTTCACTGTGCTTTTCCTGCCTACTTAAATCTGCAGAAAATCAGAGTCATAAGTAAATTAAAAACTAATGCTTCATGAGGAAAAATCCATACTAAATCAGGAGAAAAGAACACAAAGCTGCTAGATCCAGTGGCTTCATTGGTAATTACTAAACATGAATAGATTCCAGGGTTTAACAAATAGATTCCAGGGTTTAACAAAAATGGACAGATAGATAAACAGAGCCATACTATCTGCTAGCTACTGTGTTACTCATATGATCAAAAGTGTAGAGAATGAAATGAACTTTCTGCTTTGATGAAACTTGGTCTACCAGAAGTACTGGAAATATGGAACAGTGGACTTGTCAATTATTGTTATAATATCTAATATCATTTTGTGTAGTAAATGTAATCTTTTGGCTAATCTTTCAGCCATCTTCATTTTTAGAAAGAATTAAACAAATAACATTTAGAAATAATTATAAGTTCTGTAAAGAAGTTAAAAAGCCAGAAATCACATATTTATTCCTGCTGTTTTATATTCTTCTTATCTACTTGATAAAAAAGATCTTAATACTTCAAGGTTATGTGATATATAAATAGCAAATAATAACATAAAAAATGTACACTCAATATTAAGTATAAATACATGTACAAATGGGGCCGGGCACAAGGGCTCATACCTGTTAATTACCAGCACTTTGGGAGGCCGAGGCAGATGGAACACTTGAGGTCAGGAGTTTGAGACCAGCCTGGCCAACTTGGTGAAACCCCTTCTCGACTAAAAATATAAAAATTAGCTGGGCATGCAGGCACATGCCTGTAATCCCAGCTACTCAGGAGGCTGAGGCATGAGAATCACTTGAACCCAGGAGGCAGAGGCTGCAGTGAGCTGAGATCGCGCCAGTGCACTCCAGCCTGGGCAACAGAGTGAGACTCTGTCTCAAATATAAATAAATAAATAAGCAAACAAACAAATAAATAAAAATACTTGCACAATTACCTGTTGCTAGAACATAAAATATTTCAACAGGAAGGAGAGAGAGAGAAAATTTATATAAATATGTGTTTCTTAATTCAGGGTATGAATTCTATCAATAATATGCTGAACTAAACATTTATGTTTACTTTTGGAACTCTTTGCAAACCACTCTTGCTCTAGTGAACTGTTACTCTCAGGATTTTTCTTAAGTACCTATTGAGACAACTAAGAAATTAGGCAATGTGTGTCTTTAGACTTGCCAGTCATATTGCATGGGAAATGCTTTACCCACCTTTAATTACAAGATGAAAAGCATCCAGAACAAGAGTGGCAGACAGGCTTATATATCAGGAGAGAAGAAAGAGATGATTTGTTCCAAGTTCAGTCCCTTGGCTCATCTTTGGACTCGAAGCATCATAAAGGCAGCCCACTGCATCCCTAATGTGTTGCTTCTGTACATCCAGCACTGCACTAATTTACAGTGGTGCTCAACACCTGTTCCTGATGATGAACAGAAGACTGTAGCTTTGCAGATATCTTTCTCTCTAATTTTGCATTGGATAAAAAAGCTGTAGCGTGAGTTCCAATGTCACTTTAGTGTTAGGCTGAGTTGTTGATTAACGTGTTTGCCCCGAAGTTTACATCTTTAAGTGATTTTTATCTCTCATAAGAAAGAAAACAAGATATTTTTTTGACAGCCTTGTTGAGTAGAATTGAGTAAAAACTCTGTGCATTTTAATGTATACAGTTTGACGGGTTTGGACATGCGTATACACCCAAGAGTCCATAACCATAATTAAGGTCATAGACATATCCAACATCTCCAGAAGTTTACTCGTGTCCCTTTTGTGTGTTTGTGTGGTAAGATCACCTAACAAGAGCTCTACATTTTGAACAATGTATAAGGGCAAAATACGATATTGTTAAATACAAGGTACTGTGTTGTTCAGTAGACCTCATCTTGTATAACTGAAACTGTCCCAATTGAACAACATCCCATTTTCCCCTCTCCTCAGACACTGGCAACCACTGTTCTATTCAAACCAGAGGTATTTTCAATTGCAACTTTCAATTGCAAACTGTGACAAAGTTGAAAATTATAAAGCCATGTTGGATTCCAAGACATTGAGGACCATATATAACATACTGTGCTGATACAGAAATAGATGAAGTATAGTCCATTGTGCCAGACACACACCACACTCCATACTTGTTAGCTGCTATTCTTACTATCAATAAACCATTTTTAGGCTTTAAATTTTCTTCAAGTACTGCCCACAGTACATCTTGTACTTCTAAAAAAAAAAGGTATTATTGTGCTGTGACTGCTCCACATCGCTGATCTCTAATAGAATGTTTTCAGGTAAACACTGTGGGTGCTGCCTCACACAGAGTGCACACTAAAGAAACTCATGTTCCTTTATTCACGTCCACAGCAGTTACTGTGAGCTTGAGACTACCACTACTTTTCAGCCTTTTTTTCTAAACTACAGCACAACTGACATAAAATTTTCTTAAATACTGAAATTAGTTTGTAAGTTATGTGCAATTAGTAGCATCAGTTGTGTCTCTCATTTGCACTTACATTTTTTTAAAAAATTATTCATCAGTAAAATCTTGACTTATCAGAATAATGTCATAATTACTTGGAGTATATTCACCAAATGTGTGTTTATACATATATAATGTGATAGGTATATAATTTAATAAATAACTTATGAGGTAGATATGGAAATTTGGACTTTTCCAGCTTTTACTGAATATAATAAAATTATGTGCTTTGAGTATAAAGAATGAGTTTTGTGGTTTTTATTTTCATTTTTTTTTGTCTTGCAGAAACTAGCCAAGTACGTGCACAAAGCAGATCCCCCCAAAAATACTGGTTCACATAAGAATGAATTAGTACATGAATATATACATATTCACTGTTGATAAAGATGTAAAGTAGATTTTACCATGAGCTTAGACATTTGAAAAGATATATTTTATTATTTTAATTTAGAAAAGAATTTAATGCTAACAACAAATATACATATATATATGTATATATATATTTTAAAGTCTAGGTGACAGGTCAGGCACAGTGGCTCACACCTGTAATCCTAGCACTTTGGGAGACTGAGGAGGTGGGTGGATCACCTGAGGTTAGGAGTTCGAAACCAGCCTGGCCAAAATGGTGAAACCCTGTCTCTACTAAGAACACAAAAGTTAGCCAGGCGTGGTGGTGCTACTAAGAACACAAAACTTAGCCAGGCGTGGTGGTGCATGCCGGTAATCCCGGCTACTCAGGAGGCTGAGGCAGAGGGATCACTTGAACTCAGGAGGCGGAGGTTGCAATGACCCAAGATCGCCCCATCTCAAAAAAAAAAAAAAAAAAAAAAAAAAAAAAAAAAAAAAAAAAAAGTCTAGGTGGCAGCAGAAATACCTGATGAAATTATTCAAAACAATCCACTATCATGTACTCAAATTTACTTTGAAATTATCCTTAGGTAAGTAACAGATTATTTCATCTTTATTCATGGATTAGATAAAAATGTGATAGAATCAGTGAGCTAAAAATGGAAATAGATTTCCTTTGATATCTATCTTGATGTAAAGGATTTTTGACCAGGTTAAAAAAGTAGCTTGCCAATATCCCTTAGCTATAGGTAGAGCCAAAAACCCTCCACAGGGCATGAAATTAATTCTTATCATGTCAATACTCTAATAAGAGGGTTAGCATGACCAGTTATTGTTCTTCCTTCCCTCTTTCATCCATTGAATCTTTAATTTCTTCCCTTAGATGTTAGTTTGTTTAATAATTTATTTCACAAATATTTATCGGGTATTTATCATAGGCACTAAAGATTCAGAAGTGAGTAAGATAGAGTTCCTGCCCTCAAGAGGCCTGTAGTTAGGAGAAATATATTTATAAACATCAGTTACAACTCAAAATAGAAATGGAACTATAATATACACAACATATTTTCAAAGCCAAAAAGAAAACGAAACTAGCTTTGGGGAAAAGTGTAAGAAGGAGAACGGGTGGTAGGTGAAACCTTCCTTGAGATTATTCAACTCTATTTAAAAGTCACAATCCCTTTCCAAGAGGTTCTCAGGAGGAGGGTATTACTAACCTGGTGAACGTGAGATCACTAATCTTCTCCACACTCCAGTTTCTGCATCAGTAAAGTATCCAAGTCAGACACGATTTCCAAATTTGCTGCTATTGCAATGTCCTATCATTCTAGAACGGCGGGGAGCCAGGACACATCACCCTTCCACTCCTGACAGTCTCCAAGTTTTCACACACAGTTTTGCAGCCACAGGTGGCTGGAGAAGCCTCCTCCGAAAGCTTGAGTTCCCAAGGTATTTAGAAAATTTTAAAGAGGTAGCACACTGTTTGTACATACACTTGTAAAACAATTATAACAACAAGCACAGCCGAAATCAAATGAGGGAGGTGGGGAGATCATCAAAATGTGCACAGAGAGAAATTTTGCACAGAGGGAAGAGGCTATTCTGTCAGTAAGGGTGTCTCTGGTGGTGCAGCTGAAAGAACTGGGCTGACCATCTACAGGTGCACACTGTGGGAATCATTGGGGGTGAAACCAGGAGGGGGTGTAATCACAGCTCTGAATCCCCGTGAGGTTCATCCTCCAGCACGCTTACCCATCTGTTAGGCTGTGGCATATCTATTTGATTAGCGCTTTCTAAGAGCACAGGCTTTTCCCCTTTCTCCAAGAGCCGCTGTAGGAGAACCAATGATGAAAAGACAACAAAGACACGAAGAAGTTAACAAGGCATATGTACTTTGAAATGGAATCTCAGTCCTTTTCTCTTATTGACAACATTGATTCAATCTTTGTGTAAGGAGTTAAATTTATATGTGTGTCTGATCTATCTATCTATCTATCAATCATCTATCACCTTATAAAAATGGAAATTAAGCAAACTTTCAAGATCGGATTTTGTTAACTTCCTTTTCATCAATGGTGCTTTTAAAAAACATTCGAGGACCTGTACTAAAAAAAAATTATTTGGCTCCAAATCAGGTGGCAAAATTGCCACACTTAATAATTTTAAGCTAATTTTGAGTGCACTATGAATCACAGTGGTGTCACATAGCTTATTTCAATAAAACAACTGAGGGCAAACTAAGGTGCAGAGAATCACCGAGCTTTGTGTCTTAGTTCATCAATATTTGCACTTTCTGGAATTCTAAGGATAGCTACCAGAAATATATGTGTGCATTAGAATTACAATGGTTTAGGAAGTGTTGGAGAGAGAGTAGAGTATAGTTGGCTGAGCTATCACGAAGTTCTTATTTACTACCTATAAGCCCCATGTAGGTGATGGTGACTGTGCAACCTGCTTTAAAAAAAAAAAAAAAAAGCAAAATAAAAGACACATTAAAAGATCAAATGCAATGTTATTTTAACCATCTGTGTTAAAGACACTGATACCCATTAGCAGAAATCTAGTTTCTCCTCTGTGGTGGTAATGACAAAATCTTTTTAAAAATCTGTCATATATTCATTCATTCATTCATTCATTCATTCATTTGATTACAATTTACCACTTGGTTATTGAGTGCCTACTACGTTTCAGGCATGACCTGAATCATTGATCACTTGAATGTAAAGACGAAGTTCTTTGCTTCAAGGATTTTATTATCTGGTAGGGAAAATAAACATATTTTTCAGACCATTACATCATAATCTAATAAATGCTCAAGTGAAGAGGTGTATACGTTGGAGTAAAAGGGAAAGAAGAGAGAGTACTTGGGACTGTGCTGGGGTTGGAGGAGGTCATGGAAAACTTTAATCCAATGTCACTTGGATTAATACTTCAAAGTGAGTGTTTCCAGGTGGTTGCATTTCAGAAATGGAGCTCACATGTCTGATAGAGGGATCACCATGTGCAAAGAAATGGCAGGGTGACAGCATGGGTCAAAATCACAGAATTTCAAATGGTTTGATATATACAAGAGAGAAGAGAGGGGACTGATAGGTAGGACACAAAAATTGAAGGAACTAGAATATCTTTCTAAAGAGTTCATATTTATATTACAGACTGTAGGAGCCTCTTGGATAATTCTGAGAAAAGAAATGAGTTTTAGAAAGACTACTATATTAGTTTTCTAGTGTTGTAACAAAATACCCCAAATGCAGTGGCTTAAAATAGCAGATATTTACTCTCTCACAATTTAGGCGGCCAGAACTCTGAAATCAAGGTGTTGTCAGGGTTGGTTCCTTCTTGGAGGAACCCTAGCTTCTTGTGGTTGCCAGCAACCCTTGAAGTTCCTTGACTTGTGCAAACATAACTACAAACTCTACCTCTGCCATCACATGGAATTCTCCCTGTGTGTCTCTGGCTCTGTGTCCAAATTTCCCTCTTCTCGTAAGGATACCAGTCACATTGGAGTAGGGCCTACCTCAATCCATTATTAACTCATTTTAACTTGATTGCATCTGCAAATACCCTATTTTCAAATATGGCCACGTTCACAAGTAATGGGGATTGCATCTTTTGTTCAACCCATAACCACCACTATTGAGGCAGGAAAATAGGATCTGGAGGCAGGGAACCTAAGGCCTATTCATGCTGACTTCCTAGAACTGAATCAAGAGGAAAACCCCACCTCTCCACACCCAAGTAACAAAAGGATCAGAGGCTACTCCCTTTGCACTGTGGTTGCAGATGAAACATGGCAAGCACCTCTGATTGGGTCCCTCCTGAAACCAATCAGACTAGTTTGCTGGCCAAGTACTTACGTGTAACTCTGTAACTTCGTAACTTCACTTCAGCCTGTGATTGGTCACCTCCTGGTTGCAGGCCACTCCTTTATTTACACAGGGTATAACCAAGTAACCAATGGGAAACATCTAGAGGGTATTAAAACCCCAGAAAATGCTGTAACCAGTGGTCTTGAGCCACTCCCTTGAGCCACTCCCACTCTGTGGAGCGTGCTTTCATTTCAATAAATCTGTGCTTTCCTTGTACAACAAACTACTGGATAAATGAAGGGAAGGAAAGAATACAGTCAGGTATACCAGTGAGGAAGCTATTGTAGTTGTCTGGATAAGAATTACTGAGAGTTTCAACTAAAACAAGAACCATAGGAATGTAAACATAGATATTTGGAGTTACAATCAAGAAGTCTTGATAATTAGTTTAACGTGCAGAATAAGTAGAACAGTTATGCTTCTGGGTGTACCGGAGCCAAAAATAAATATTTGCCTTATCAAGACCCATTTTTTAAAATCCTCTATATTTACCACCCTATTATAATCGGGGTTTTCTATTAAAATCTCCACTAATTGCATGATTCTCACATCCCTTTATTATCACCTTTCTTAAAAGGCACCTCCTCACTTGAGTTATCTTTCACCTTCCCTTTTATCCCTACAGTTTTTCACCCTGAATTAGTTCTCCTAAAACAGTGAAGTGCATAAAATCATCTGGGAAATTTGTTAAAATGCACATTTTTGTCCCACCTCCAAATATACTAAATAATTAATTCTAGAGTAGCAATCAGGAATTGACCTTAAAATCAAAATGCATATGGTCCCTAGTGACACTTGGAAAAACAATCACATCCTTTCAGTATTCGAGTGTGGCTCTCTCATTTTTCAAACACATGTATTATTTTTTCAGTCAACATGAGGACACTGGATAATGTCATTCATTATAAGGAATTCAGTCAGTATTAATTCTGAGATATCATTCAGTTCTACTGAACTCTTATCTACTACAATGCCCAGTCTTACTTCCCAAATTTAATAGGTATTGAGTCCAACACCCTCAACCTTTATCTTACCCTATCTTATTTAGTCTACAACATATACTTCAGGCTGTTTCAAGTAATGTTCAGCAATATAGGAGACTTTGGCAATTTGAGGTCTTGTCATCATAATTTCCCTCAATGGCTTTCCTCAAACATCATCATTGTCCTGAAACATATTTAACACATTGTTCTTCTTCAATATTTAACATCTGCTGTGAACTGAATGATTCCTCCCATTCTCACCCCCATTACCCCACTGATATGTTGAAGCCCCAATCCCACTGTGATTGTACTTGGAAATAGGGCTTTATAAAAAGATAATTAAGGATATTGAGGACACAAGGGTGGAACTGTAGTCTAGTAGGATTGGTGTCCTTACAAGAAGAAGAGAAACCAGAGCACTATCTCTCCTCCCCTCCCCTCCCCTCTCCTCTCTCTCCATACATGCCCAGGAAAGGCCAGGTGAGGACCTAGCAATCTAGACTATAAGACTGTTGTATTTTGTTATGGTGGTCTGAGCTTACTAACACAGCATTTGATTTTCATTATCCTCATGGCTTTTGCAAGCTTTCCCAGAATTATCCCATTGCCAGACCTGCTTTTTTTTTTTTTCTGTCACCCAGGCTGGAATGCAGTGGCATGATCTTGGCTCACTGCAACCTCCACCTCCTGAGTTCAAGCGATTCTCCTCCCTCAGCCTCCCCAGTAGATGGGATTACAGGTGCGAGCCACCACGCCCAGCTAATTTTTGTATTTTTAGTAGAAATGGGATTTCACTATGTTGGCCAGGATGGTCTCGATCTTTTGGCGTCATAATCCACCCAACTGGGTCTCCCAAAGTGCTGGGATGACAGGGGTGAGGCACCATGCCCGGCCCAGACCTGCTATTAACCTGCTTCTATCTAAATCTATAGTGTCATTGATAACCTTTGTTAAGCACTTCTAGAAGACACTTTTCCATGTATATAGGATGCTTACATGCCTACAATCTAAATGTATATATAAACCTATATATAAAATGTGTATATAGGGTGAGCACAGCGGATCACGCCTGTTATCCCAGCACCTTGGGAGGCCGAGGCACATTGATCACTTGTGGTCAGGAGTTCGAGACCAGCCTGACCAACATGGTGAAACCCCGTCTCTACTAAAAATAAAAAAATTAGCCAGGCATGCAGTCCCAGCTACTCAGGAGGCTTGAGGCGGGATAAATGCTTGAACCTGGGAGGTGGAGGTTGCAGTGAGGTGAGATTGCACCACTGCACCCCAGCCTGGGTGACAGAGCAAGACTTTGTCTCAAAAAAAAATCTATATCTATATATAAAATGATTTGATAATTGTATATTATTGTATGTAACATTTCAGTCTGTCAGGGCTGCTATAACTTAGACTTGGTAATTTATAAACAACAGAAATTTATTTCTCATAGTTCTGGAGACTTGGAAGTCCAAAATCTAGGTGCCAGCAGATTTGGTGTCTGCTGATGGCCTCTCCCTCATAGGTGGCACCTTCTATGTGTCCTCACATGGGAGAGGTGAACAAGCTTCCTTGGGCCTCTTATGTAAGGCCACTACTCACATTTATGAGGGCACAGCCCTATGACCTCATCACCTCCCAAGGCACCCCTCTTCATACTACCACACTGGTGATTAAACTTCAACAAATGAATTTTGTGAGGACACAAATTTAGATCATAGTATGTACCCACTGTCATACAAAACTGACGAATTACTAAACCTCAACAATAAAAGCAACTGTTGCTCTTACTAGATACTAGATTACTTGCATGTTTTATCTCTTTTTTTCTTCACAACAAACCTGCAGGTAGATTTCATGGTATTACAGACATGAATACTGAGAAGCATACACTCGCCAGGTTGAAATTCCTGCTAGAGTCAGCACCTGAAAACAGATCTGTCTGCTTCCAACATCATTTTTTATCCAGTAGATTATTTATCATCCACAGTTACGAGTGATAATCATGTAAATCCCAGTGTTCATTCTCTAGCATGAGTGCCATGCAAACACAATTTCTTATTTATTCTGGGATGAAAAAGACTATTGCCAATAACATACTGATTGGCCAGCAATAGTTTCTGAAATTTTAATTACAGACACAAAACGATGGAACATTCGTATCACTCAGTTGTATGTTTACAAAATCCCCAAGTCTCCTATAGCTATGCCAACATAGAAGTGTAATTACTTTATTGTTACAAATAAAAATATCAGTAAGTTTCATGTTTTACAACAATATATGTTTTGATACGCGAATGTTGAATTCCTTTTTGCTATTTGACAATAACCTTAAAATTGACTGATAGCTGGCTTCAAGCATTACATGGACCTGTTAAAACTGGTATTTAAAGAACAGATTTATTGTTTGCTGATGAGATATTTCCTTTTATGTGAGTGCAGTACCTAGTTGTTCATTTTTGACTTTTTGTCTAAGGTCAAATGCAGGATCAATTTAAAATTTTATAAGACCCTGTCCAAAACTCTTTCCTACTGCAACCATGATGATCTACAAGGCTGCTTCCATCTCTCATTTCAATATGTGAAAGTTCTATTAGAATTTGAGGTGACAAATTGCTTGCAGCATGAAGCCGAAAAAAACAAATTAGAGAACTCCATAGCAGTGTTGTTAGGGTATTCTCCCTACCTATCAAATGGCAGAGTTTAAAATCAATTGGATTATATAAAATGCATTTTTCAGCTCCAGCTCATGTTTCTCCTTTTTATGAAAAGTAAGAAAACTGAATGCAGTATGGGTATGAAACAAGGCTAGAAATAAAAAATTGTTAAAGTATGAAGAACTGAAGACTTCATCTTTAAGATCAAACGTGTCAGAAATTTCTTAGTGCCATAGGTTCTGTGGCGGTTAACATGTATGGGAAATGCCTCCCTTTTATAAATGGGATGAAACTTTATGAAAATAAATGAGTCATATTTGCCAGTACACAAAGTAGGTACTATTATAACTAATGTACTTTTCACAGCAGCATTAACTCTTTGTAAGTAAATGGTTTTACCTTTTCTGTTTCTTTCACTCTCTTACTTTCTAAAGCCTAAGTTCCTGATTTTCTACTCTTCTTGCTCCTCCTACTCATTCACCCCACCCTGTTGTTGCCCTCGATCGCTCGCAAATCTTCAGCTCTGAAATCCTTATAGATTATCCACACAACTCCAACTCTAACTCTACACTTTATTATTGGTCTCACTTCTCTTATTACCTGCTGCTCATGATTTCCTGGACTCCCTATGTTATGTGAAATTCAATACATCTAAAACCAACATTATTATGTTTTACAAGATTAGTAGTTCTTCCAAGAGATCAGATGTTAGTCCTTTGTACCATTATGGTTCCAGTCTTCCAGTAATACCTGGGAGTCATACTTGACTCTTTAATTGAAAATAATTGGTAAATATTGTCCATATTTACGGGGTACATGTGATATTTTGTTGGATGCATAGAATGTGTAATGATCAAGTCAGAGTATTTAGGGCATCCATTACCTCGAGCATTTATCATTTCTATGTGTAGGGAACACTTCAAGTCCTCTCTTCTAGTTACTTTGAAATATACAATACATTGTTGTTAACTATAGTCCTTCTACTCTACTATCAAACATTAGAATGTATTCCTTCTATCTAAATGTATGGTGGTTAATGTTCTATCTAACTGTATGTTATCTAATTGTATGAAGAGTGGATAGAACATTCAGTTAGATAGCATTAGCAAACCTCTCTTCATTCCCCCCTCCCAACACATCCACATCCTTTCAAGCCTCTGCTATCATTCTACTCTCTAACCCCATGAGATCAATTTTTAAAAATCTCCCTTCTATATCAGTTATTAACTAAGCTTCATTGATTTTTTTAGTGTAAAGTCCTTCTCTCTTTCTTTCATTTTCAATATCACTAGCACGTTCCAAAGTTTCAACGTCTCTTATACAGATTATTGTTGTCATTTTTTCTTTATACTTTGGTTTTACCACTCCAACCCATTCTACATATTAGTTATATCTTTATCTTGTTGGAAAATATTACCTTGTTCCAAGTGCTCTCTTGCTGCAAAGTCATTAATGTCACTCTACTTCCTGATGATAAAGCTTACACTAACTATTAATACTTGGCCTTACAAGTCTGTTAAAACTTCATTTCCTGGTTTTCTTTCTAACCTTGTGTTTCACTACTTCCCTACATCATTGTTAGTTGATTCATTATTTTCTGGACGTGTTATAAAGCAAAGACTTCATTTGTGTTATTTCCACTTTCTTGAATTATTTTTTCTTGTTTTCCATAAGGCCCCAGCTCCTGCAATCCTCCATAATGACCTATCTCCAGCCCCTCTGTGAATGATTCCTTATTTTTAACTTCTAACCCACTTACCATCTGTCATAGGTCTACAGCATATGGAAGATCAATAACAATTTATATAAGCTTCTGTCTTTCCATGTGTGTTGTAATGCTCTTGAGAAAATGCCTTTTTCCCCCTGATTATCTAACATAGTGTTCCATATTCTACATACAGTAATCTTAATAAATATTTTCTTGCTGTTGTTAAAGGTGACGATAAGGAAGATGCTGACTAAGCACATGGCTATCATTAGAAACAATTTTATGGTACATGGTCTTGGGTCCCTTCCCTGCTCATCCCTCACATTTGGCCCCAACCTGAGTTGAACTTGGCATCACTTAAGATTTTAATAATCAGAAGAAAGAAGGGAGATATTCTTAGAAAATAAACCAGCATATGAAAAGGGAAGGGGGTACAGACAGTGATTGGCGAATGGAGAATCAGCATGTTGTGAGTGGAGAATATTGTTCACTTAGAAGTCTGGCCAGATTGGAATTGAGTAATGAATATACTAAATGTAATGGCTCAAGACTGGAAACAACCCAAATGTCCATCAGGTAGATAAAATAATTATATATTCATGCAGTGGAACACTGCATAGCCATGTAAAAGAGTAAACATAACAATATACCCAACATCAATAAATCTTATAGACAAAAGTTATACACATTGTGTGGTTCCATTTCCGTTAAATTCAAAAATAAGCAAGATTAGGCCAGATGCAGTGGCTCACGTCTGTAATTCCAGCACTTTGGGAGGCTGAGGTGGGAGGATCATGTGAGGTCAGGAGTTCGAGACCAGCCTGGCCAACATGGTGAAACCCCATCTCTACTAAAAATACAAAAATTAGCCAGGCATGGTGGAGGACGCCTGTAATCCCAGTTACTCGGGAGGCTGAGGCAGGAGAATCACTTGAACCAGGAGGCGGAGATTGCAGTGAGCCGAGATGGCACCACTGCACTGCAGCCTGGGTGACAGAGCAAGACTCTGTCTCAAATAAATAAATAAATAATAGACAAGATTAATCTATCACTGGAAGGAAAAAGGGATTGTTACCTTTAGGGGCATTGACTGGGAGAAGGCATGAAAAAGTCTTTTTTTTTTTTTTTTTTTCTGAGATGGAGTCTCGCTCTGTTGCCCAGGCTGGAGTGCAGTGGCAC
Organism: Homo sapiens; assembly: GCF_000001405.40. Classification (NCBI taxonomy): domain Eukaryota; kingdom Metazoa; phylum Chordata; class Mammalia; order Primates; family Hominidae; genus Homo; species Homo sapiens. The sequence goes on from NC_000018.10 coordinate 60,952,212, forward strand.
GATCTCGGCTCACTCCAAGCTCCGCCTCCCGGGTTCACGCCATTCTCCTGCGTCAGCCTCCCAAGTAGCTGGGACTGCAGGTGCCCGCCACTACGCCCAGCTAATTTTTTTGTATTTTTTTTTTTTTAGTAGAGACGGGGTTTCACCGTGTTAGCCAGGATGGTCTCAATCTCCTGACCTCGTGATCCGCCCGCCTCTGCCTCCCAAAGTGCTGGGATTACAGGCGTGAGCCACCGCGCCCGGCCGAAAAAACCTTCTTAGATGCTGAAAATGTCCTATATTTTGATCTACATAATACACAAATGTAGAAACATTGAGCTATACACTTAATATAATTTCTTTTTACTGTTGATTTTATCTTAATCAAGAAGCAAAACAAAAAAGAGAATGCAGTAAGAGATTACATTATATACCAGTAAAATATTATTGCCATTTGTCACTATTTTAAACAGAATTCAAACATTATTAGCAAATCCATAACTTAAAGTATAGCTCTTTTGTAGACTACATATACTCGAATGTAAGAATGAATACACCATTTTACGGCTAGAGTTCAAGATGGACTTGTCTTTCCCTAAATTTTCTACCACGAGCATATAAAACAATGAGACCCATACACATATGCCTCAGGAAATTTAATTACACTACAGTTATGGTAAAGTAGGATCACTAATGTTCCAGGGAATTAAATCTTTGATGATACCGAAGGACTTTTTATATCAGCATCATCATAATAAACACTCAATAAATGGTAGCCATTTTCTGCCAAGTACTGTGAAACACATATTCTGAATACATTATCTCTTTTACCAATCACTAATGTTTTAAGTTTGCTACTACTATCTGTGTTTTAAACATAAGCTAAGTGAATTTGGGAAGTCAAGAAACTTTTCCATTAACACAAATGGTAGGTGGTAGAGCCAATATTCAAAATAGGTCTGTCTGAGGGCAAAACTTGTGTCCTGTTCATTACTGTTCTTTACTGTCTCAAGACACTTAGAAATTAAATGTAAATGTGGATGAAAGTACTTTGGGAATAAATGTTGAAATAATAGTAATTTACATTTCTTTCCTACCTCTGCCCTTTTCACATAATAAAGAATAAAATATAGAATGAAAAGTCAGCTGTATTTAGGAAGAAAAGGACACACACAGTTAATGCATAACAGTTAAAAATTAGAGACAATATTAAAGGGTGAACTTCAGTAAATTAGACACTGAAGGAAATTTTTAAAAGCGAAGTTTGGCTGGAAGTGTTGGATCACACCGATAATCCTAGTATGTTGGGAGGCCAAGGCAGAGGATCACTGGAGCTCAGGTGCTTGGCATCAGCCTGGGCAGCATAGTAAGACCTGGTCTCTGCTAAATATATATATATATATATTTAACATAGATACACACACATATATGTATATATGTTATATATATTATATATAATATATGTGTGGACTATATATAATATATAATACAATATATAAATAATATATTATATATTACATATAATGTATATTCCATATATATATGTGTGTGTATATATATGGAAAGAAGATACAGCCCCCAAGGGGAGGGTCTGAGAAACAAACAAAAAAGATAAACAAATAAATGTTTAAAATGTGGGTAAATATTTTACAAATATTTCTCAGAGCAAATGATGATTATGTTGAATTTGATAGTGAAAATACAAGATAAAATAAAGATTCTAGATAACGATCACTTATAACATGGGGATAACTAGATTTAAAACATTGTATGATCATAATACTGTTTGGGAGAAGAGTAAAAATGTTTAATATAATTAGATATATAAAGTATTAATATAAAGTGATAAACTAAAATAACAGAATAAGAGTACATAATTTCCAAAGTAAAGAGAGAAAATAAACACAATAATAAAAAAAATCATAAAAATAACAAAAATAAAATGCAAAATGTCAGGAGAGAAATGAAGCCAAATACACCAATAACCATAATAAATACATATGGATTAAAATTGTCAATTGAAAGAACAAGATTATCACTATGGAAGAGATTGTTAAATACTCACCAAGATCTGTTTCTCTGTCTTCTTGGGCCTGAAATGGCTCCACATCCCGTACTTCCTTAGGTATCTGTTATTGATTATGTTTTAGCCAATGAAATGTGAGAATAAGTACCTCTTCCAAGTCTTCTCTGTCAAAACTTCCCACATGGGTGCTTCCACACTCTTTTGTCTTCTACTATCTGTTACAAAAGACAAGAAAGCCCCTACAAAATGGCACTGTGGAGGACAGCCAGGACTCATGTATGAGGAAAACAAAAGATTCTATCACATCCATTATTATATGTATATATTATTACATGATATATTTATTATAGATAACATATATTATATGTGTGTGTACACATACATAAAAATATATAACTATTCACCAAATTAAAATTATCCTAAGAATGAAGGAGGGATTTCAAAGTAGAAAACCTATTGAAAGTCTATTAAGATAATTTCTCACATTAAGACATTAAAATAGGAGAAAATAGAAAAAAAAATGAGATTACCTAAAACCAAAAGCTTCTACACAGCAAATGCAACAATCAACAGCCTGCAGAATGGAAGAGAATATTTGCAAACGTCTTATAAGGGGTTAATATCCAAAGTATATTTAGGAACTCATACAAGTCAATAGCAAGAAAATAAATAACCTGATTTTAAAATGGGCAAAGAATCTCAGTAGATAATTCTCAAAAGAATAAATAAAAATAATCAGCAAGTACACTATAAAAGCCACAAATCACTAATCATCAGGGAAATGCAAATTAAAACCACAATTAGATATCATCTCATACCCATTAGAATGGCTACTATCACAAAATCAAAAGCTAAGTGTTGGAGAGGATACAGAGGAAAAGGAAGCCTTGTACACTATTGGTGAGAATGTAAATTAGTAGAGAAACTATAGAAAAAGCATAGAAGTTCCTCAAAAAGTCAGTAAGAGAACTACTGTACAGTCCAGCAATCCCTCATCTGGATATATGCCCAAAGGAAATAAAATCAGTATGTTGAAGAGATAGCAACACTCCCATGTTAGTTACAACACTATTCACAATAGCCAAGATACGGAATCAACCTAAGTATCCATCAACAGATGAATGGATAGAGAGAGTGTTGTATATATACACAATGAAATACCATTTGGCCTTAAAAAGGAAAGAAATACTGTCATTTGATACAACATGAATGAACTTGTAAGACATTATTCTAAGCAAAATAAGCCAGGCACAGAAAGACAAACACTGCATGATCTCACTTACACTGATGCTCCCCAACTTAAGGTGGGATTATGTCCTGATAAACCCTGTGTTAAGTTGAAAATACCATAAGTCAAAAAAGCATTTAATACACCTAACTTGCCAAACATTATAGTTTAGCCTAGTCTACCTTAAATGTTACATTAGCCTACATCTGGGAAAAATCATCTAACAAAGCCTATTTTATAAGAAAGTATTGAATATCACATTTAATTTATTGAATACTATACTGAAAGTGAAACAAGGAATGGTTGTATGGATACTCAAAGTACAATAGGACTCTAACTGAATGTGTATCCTTTTTGCAGCATCATCTTAAAGTCAAAAAACAGTAAGTCAACGTGTTGTAAACCAGGCAATGTCTGTATGTGGAATCTAAGAAAGTTGAACTCTTAGAAGCAAAGATTAGAGTGATGGTGACCAGGTCTGGGGCTGTAGGAGGGAAGATGTTGGTTAAGGAATACAAAATTTCAGCTAGATAGGAGGAAAAAGCTTAAGAGTCCTATTGTACAAGATGGTCACTATAGTTAATAACAATGTATTGTATTTCTGAAAATTGCCAAGGGAATAGATTTTAAGTGTTCTCACTACAAAAAATGATAAGTATGTTAGGTAATGCATGTGTTACTTAGTTTGATTTATCCATCCCACAATGTATACATATTTCAAAATAACCATGCTATACACAATAAATATATACACAATAAATATATTTGTCATACATATAAACTGAGGAATTTTTCAATTAAAATAAATAATTTTTCAAAGATTAGAAGAAAATAACAAAACAAAGATCATATCATGCAATTCATGATAGTTTAAATTTTAATACCCATTCTCCACAATATAGAGAAAAATAGTAAACTACAAATCTGAAAATGGCATATTCCAAATAGTAAAGCAAACTTCGATTAAACCTTTGAAACACTTATTTTAAAATTTGAATTTCAGCAGGAAGTTTCCTGTCTGTTTATATAAATCCCCAAACTGAAGGCCTTACCCAGTGAATTAACATAAGAAAATAAAAACATTATAAGCATTAGAAAACATTAATGTAACTTTCATAAGAGGTAGTGTTATTGTCTCACGAAGGGAATCTAGAAATAAATTATTATAATTAATAATAGAATTAAGCAGATAAGCTACTATTAGATCCACACACAAAAATCAGATGCATTTTATACACTAGAAATTGACAGCTAAAAGTATATTATTTAGAAAGATAGAATTTGCCATAGCAAAAACAATTTTTTAATATGTCCAAATATATATGTCTTAAAAGTCTAAGTCATAGCACCAAAGGGTGCTAGCAAAGAAGGGGTAAATCTACTATGACACGTTTCTCTCACTAATTACAACTGAAAATTCTGGACAAAATACAAAAAGCAATCAACTGGGAACTCTGAAATAGTGACAGTAACAAAATAGGAAAAGGAGCCAAAACATGAGGAATGACCTCTCACGGGGTGAGTTTCTCAGATTTTATTACCACAAATGTGACCTTGGCTCCACTGCAGCAGATACCTGCAGTCAGATCTCCAAGAACCATTTAATTCTGGCCAGAGGAACCGGAAAAAAGGACACTGGAAGTTGGAGAGTATAGATAGGAGAGTCCTGTTCTCTTTTTAATTTTTTTTCTTTTCTTTTGTCTCCTCAGGCCTGCCCTGGGAGTTGTCCCAATTGGGAATCTGTACTGTAGTGGAGGTGAGGTGGAGGTATAGTAATGGCACTTAAAACCTGAGAGAAAACCCCTCTCTTTAGACAAAAATATAAGAAAAAAGGCAATCCTGTAGTTGAAAGACTATGGGGAATATCCACATTGTTTTTTTCTTTCTCTTTTCTCCCATCGTTTTTCCTTGAGTGTGACCTGAGTTATGTGGAACCACAGAGCAGTGTGAGCAGATACAACTATAAGAAAAACTTCAAATTTCTCTAGCCTCTGGGAACTGAATAGTGTATGAAAAATCCCATAGAATTGAGAGCTGGAGGAAACTTTGTAATTCTACACATAGAAACAAATAAAAGCTTCAGCCCCAGGCTGGGCATGCACAAAACAGATCCAAAGCAGTATATCATAGCTATGAGAGTGGTATTACAACATAAGACAGTGATCAAATCCCACATTAATCTATAAACATCTATGTATGGGACAGGAAATGAAACTGGACTTCCAGTTCAATGTTGAATAGGAGTGGCATAAGTGGGTATCCTAGTCTTGTTCCTGATCTTAGGGAGGAAATGTACAGACTTTCATCATTGAGTATAATGTCAGCTGGGAGTTCTTCATTAACAGCTTTCATCAGTTTGAGGAAATTCCCTCCTATTTTTTGTTTAAGTTGTTAAGTGTTTTTATAGTGAAAGGGTGTTGAATTTTGTCAAATGCTTTCACATCTATTGAACTGAGCATGTTTTCCCCTTAATTTAATTAATATAATGTATTACATTGATTAAACTCTTGCTTTCTTATGATAAATCCCATTGGTCATGGTGTATAAATCTTTTAAGATGCTGTTGGATTCAGTTTGATAGTATGTTGTGAGGATATTTTGCACCTATATTTATTTATCTATATATATTTTTTATTATACTTTAAGTTCTAGGGCACATGTGCACAACGTGCAGGTTTGTTACATATGTATACATGTGCCATGTTGGTGTGCTGCACCCATTAACTCGTCATTTACATTAGGTATATCTCCTAATGCTATCCCTCCCCCGTCCTCCCACCCCACGACAGGCCCCGGTGTGTGATGCTCCCCTTCCTGTATCCATGTGTTCTCATTGTTCAAGTCTCACCTATGAGTGAGAACATGCAGTGTTTGGTTTTTTGTCCTTGCGATAGTTTTCTGAGAATGATGGTTTTCAGCTTCATCCATGTCCCTACAAAGGACATGAACTCATCATTTTTTATGGCTGCATAGTATTCCATGGTGTATATGTGCCACATTTTCTTAATCCAGTCTATCACTGTTGGATATTTGGGTTGGTTCCAAGTCTTTGCTATTGTGAATAGTGCCGCAATAAACATACGTGTGCATGTGTCTTTATAGCAGCATGATTTATAATCCTTTGGGTATATACCCAGTAATGGGATACCATCTCATACCAGTTAGAATGGCGATCATTAAAAAGTCAGGAAACAACAGGTGCTGGAGAGGATGTGGAGAAATAGGAACACTTTTACACTGTTGGTGGGACTGTAAACTAGTTCAACCATTGTGGAAGTCAGTGTGGCGATTCCTCAGGGATCTAGAACTAGAAATACCATTTGACCCAGCCATCTCTTTACTGGGTATATGCGCCTATATTTATAAACAGATATTGTTTACAGTTTTCTTTTCTTGGGGTCCCTTTGTCTGGCTTTGGTATCAGAGTAATGCTGGCTTCATAGAATGAGTTAAAGAGTTTTACCTCTGCTTCCATTTTTTTGTAAGAGTTTAAGGATTGGTGTTAATTATTTAAATAATTGGCAGAATTGGCCATTGAAGCCATCTGGTCTTTGGCTTCTCTTTATTGGGAAGTTTATGGGTACTAATTCAATACCTATACTTTTTATATGTCTGTTCAGATTTTCTATTTTTTCTCAAGTCAGTTTTTGTATTTTGTGTGCCTTTAGGATTTTGTCCACTTCATCTAGCTTACCTAATTTTTTGTGATAATATTGTTCATAGTACTTTCAGTCCTTTATTTATTTCTGTAAAATTATTAGCAATATCCCCATTTCAACCTCTGAATTTAGTTATTTGATCCTTCTCTATTTTCTCTTAATCTACTTAAAGGTTTGCCAATTTTATTGATCTTTCTAAAGAACCAAGTTTTGGTTTCATTGATTTTTCTCTATTGTTTTTCTATTTTGTGTATCTTAACTGTGATCTTTATTATTTCCTTCCTTCTGATGGCTTTGGGTTTAGTTTGTGCTTTTTTGTTCTACTTCCTTAATGTAAAAAAAAAATACATGTTCTCAATTGAAGATCTTTATTTTTATTGTAGGCTTTTACAACTATGTATTTTAAGCACAGTTTTGCTTTTGTGTTTTCATTTTCATTCATCTCAAAGTATTTTCTAATTTCCCTTGATGTTTCTCCTTTGATCCATTGGTTATTTAAGAGTATGTTGTTTAATTTTTACATATTTGTGAATTTTCTAGTTTTCCTTTAGTTATTGATTTCTAGTTTCATTCTGTTATGGTTGAAAAATATCATTTGATTTCAATCTTTTAAAATTTGTTGAGAATTGTTTTGTTGCCTAATGTGTAGTCTATACTGGAGTATATGAACACTTGAGAAAGCTATTGGCACCTGAGAAATCCGTGTACACTATAGTGAGTCTCTTGTAGACAACATGTAGTTGAAACATTATTTTATTGATTCTGTTAATCTCTGCCTTTCAATTGGACAGTTAAATTGTCAAAATGTATACTATGCTGTTTTGGAGTGGCATGTTCTATGTATTCCTATTATGTATAAGAGGAATTAGTTGTTTTGTTACAAAATGTGAAGCAGTCTAGTATATGGGCAATAACAGAGATGAAAAACAAATAAAAACCTGCCTTCTAGTTGATGCTCATAGTTTAATCATCTGTGTGACTCTAACTTAGCCTTCTGTTTTTTAGATTCTTCATCTGTAAAAATAAAATTATTGGATTAGTTGATCAAAGACATCCTTATTAGCTCTGAATTTCCATAATGAGTGTCAGAGGGGGAGTGTAATTCATAGTTTTTAGCTGAATATGGTATACAACATATGACTTTTTAAAGTGAAGATTGGGCATGGTTACATCCATATACAAAGCAGCAATTTGGAGAGAGAGGCTTCCTAAACCTGCTTCAGAAACCAGTTGAATGCTTCACATTACCTTGAGTCCATTTGACATATTTTCTCAGAATTGAAAATGAATATATAATTTGAAAAATGTCAATATTAATTGAAACAGGCCAAAGTTTGCATTTCCAAGTATAAACAATATATAAATAGCAAGTTTTGAAAGATTTAAATAGGACAGTGATTGTTTTTAATAGAAACAGCATTGAATCACTTGTAAAAGTGGCTTAATTACAATGTATTGATATACAATTGAAAAATAATCAAATGCCTAATGACTTCCAAAATTCTTTCTATTAAAATTGAACATTTTATTCAGTTTCAAGAAGACCAAACTGATGCCTGTCAGACTTGTGCACATCTGTAAAACTCCATATATTTTTCTTTGAGTACTAATACTTTATCAAAGAAACGTATCGATCTAGAAACAGCTCTGATTCCACCATATTCCACAAAGAAATGAGAGCTACAAGCTTGACAACAATCTGCCAAGTAATGTGGAAGTTATAGAACTTCATGATTAAAATGTTTATTTTCAGCATAGCTTCTGAAAATCCTTGGCTCTTATATAGGTAAGTTTATATCTAAAGAGACCTTCTTAATGAAAATGAAGAATTAAGAACTTGGAGTCCACATCAATTTTTCTCACAATTGATATTAAAAATCATATAGCACCAAAATGTGTCCATCTGTTACTACTCCAATATAAAATAAAAACTTGACTAATCACTGCAAAATGTAGCCAAATGTAAGAATTTTTGAAAGCACTAAGTGGCTTATACCTTATTCAAGTAATATGATTATCCACGGAAGGTAATGATAGAGCAACCAGGGTTTTAGAATTTCTACTATTGAAGGGCTTTGTAGTAAGCTATTTGGACACTTTTTAAATAATAGCTCACAGCAACCATGCAAAGCAAGTAGTATCTTTATGACGTTACAAATGAAGAAACTAACGCCCTGTTACAAATGAAGAAACTAATGTTTAATGAGGCAGGTTGCACTGTATGAGCATTAGTATACAGTCTGATAGGAATCGCAATAACAAAATGTAAGAACCAGTTTGTGATCCAGATCACCCCAGGTGCTTCCCTTTCACAAAGATACCATTAAAAAAAAAAAATGATGGGTGTGGTGGCTCACATCTGTAATCCCAGCACTTTGGGAGGCCAAGGCGGGCAGATCACCTGAGGTCGGGTGTTCGAGACCAGCCTGACCAATATGGAGAAACCCTGTCTCTACTAAAAATACAAAATCAGCCAGGTGTGGTGGCACATGCCTGTAATCCCAGCTACTCAGGAAGCTGAGGCAGGAGAATCGCTTGAACCCTGGAGGCGGAGGTTGAGGTGAGCCGAGAGTGCACCATTGCACTCCAGCCTGGGCAACAAGAGCAAAACTCCATCTCAAAAAAAAAAAAAAGAAATTCTTGAGGATCAGTTTATTTCCCCCATCTGTAAAATGTGAGCATCAACAGCATTTTCATTGTTGAATTGTTCTGAAAATCAACTAAACTTTTAATGAGTTATCTCACTTGTAAGGGGTAATCAGTAGGTGATCATAATTATTACTGCAGTAGCGGAGAGATCATTTAATACCAGGTCTAGTTTCCCCAAAAGCTCTTTCTATTATATACCATTTTGCTTTTTCACTTACAAACAAAACAAATAAACAGAAATTCCTGCTTTGCTGCACCATTATAAGGTGAGCTAGGTAGTGGAAAGAACATTAGATGTGTCATTGGGAGATATGTACTATTTTCTTAGCTGGGTCCTAGAGGACAAAAAAAAAATCGTGTATACTTGAATAACTCATTTAAATTTTTCAAAATTCCAAACCCTACAAAATCCTATAGACTCCAATTCTACAGAAAAAAAAAAGCCATAATAGAATTTTCCTTGCCCAACCTAACAGGGTTATTGTAAAATAAATTTAAGAAATCTTAAAGTATAAGGTATATTATAAAATTATAGTGTATAGTATATAAAATCATGATATTATAAAATTGTATTAATTATTCTATTATGTTTCCAATTTGTAAAAAGTTCACATTGTCACTTAAAAACTGACTGGCTTAATATTAACTAACTAAATAAACCAAAATGAAAAGCATTTATTTCACTAAAGTGACCATTTTTAAGTGTGTGTAACTAATAATAGTACCCATATTTATTGACTACTTACTAGTGCAGGCACTGTTTCAAATGTTTTACATGTATTTGTTCATTTGATTCTATGCATGTAATCCTTCTAAACATTTATGTTCAGTATTCTCTTATAAAATATTAATGAAGCTTGGTAACAGTTGTGTATTGTAGCACGCATTGCCATGGTGAAGTTAGGTAGGCAATTCAAAGAACCAAAGAGTTGGGCCTGATTTACTAGCTGTATTGAGGTTACCCTACAATTTGACTTCAAAGGGGCACCTTTCTTTACATGAGCCAAGATTCTTTTCACTCTCATTCTCATCTGTCAAGATAGATGCTTATGGGTCAACAGAGGTTTTCCAAACACGTGAGCCATCCATTTGATACCTCTGCCAACATTTCCATTCTCAATTTATTTTAGTGGCAACCTTTTGGCTGAGAGACAATGAATGCTCAATCACAACTATATTTGTCTTCAGGGTAACAACCACATGCTTACAATTTTGAGTCACTTTAATTCCTCCAATTTGACTGAAACTTAGATTATCAGAAGTAGGGTATTAACATTGGCTATGACATAGGATTTTTTAATGTTATAAGGCAGTTTCAGAAAATGTTGTAAGTTTAATAATACAGTAATAGAGCACAGATCTACTTATTTATATTTATACAACTTATTGAGGAGCATATCAATTATCTTACCAAATCTATGAGAATAGATTTACCTGTCTTTTAAAACTTGCTGCCTGGAAAATAAAAACCAGGATTTATTCTGCCATAGTCCTAGAACAGGGTATGAGTTAGTAAGTTTTTACTGGGGGAAAAACATTATGGGACATCTTTTCTGCTTGTGCTGATTAAGGCTATACTGTCTTCATTTTTGTCTTATTAATTTCCTCTTATTCCCATTTTTTCCATTCACTCATTCATTGCTTCATTTATGCTTTGGATTTCTATTATGTGCAAGATACATACAAAGATCTAAATGCTGAGGTGTTTAAGCAAGGAAAAATTAAATGCCCTGCCTCTTAAAGATCTGGTGAGACATGGAAACAATCGGCTATAATATTAATGACGTGATTTTTCATTTCTTCAATATAAGTTCAGTGTTCAGAATTCTAGTCTCCCAGGAAGCATGGTACATTAATATTAAATCATTTTGTCTAATTAATAAAATATATCAGTACTTCTCTTATGGCTCCTAACTTTTTCTCACATCTTTAGTATTTTCTTATTTACATATATTAGTTCATCTATTAGACTGCAAGCATGTGCTGATTCATTTTTGTGTCTCCTAAAACAATTATCCACGTGTGCATTGGCGATGCTAAGAGATGATTTACTCAATGAAAGAAAGAACAAGGAAAACGACTGAATTTCAGGTTAAATTTGTTGCTAGTGCTAGAATATTTCTTATGCCTTCCATTTACTTCTTCAGAGCTCATTCATTGTTCAAAAGAGACTGTTAGATCCACACAACTATGGATGAGAGAATGATGGGCACGGCACTTGCTGAAAGTGCATGCAGATGCCATGGCAAGTGTGGTGGGCACTAAGACAAGGTCTCATGAGGAGTGATCCCCAGAATCTTGAGTTCTCAGCTTTGCAGATTCAGGAACAACAGAAGCCAAATAATAAAGCATTCCTCTGGGTGACTGAGGAACTTATTTTATTTAATTCTTCACAACAAACCTGTAAGGGAGATGTTATCTCTGTTTGTACAGATTAAGAACCTGAGATTCCTGGAATTTGCCCATTGCCCAGGGCCGGCCAAGCAGTTACTGAAGTGGAAGATTTAGGACACAAACTTGGATTTATCTGACACTAAAGCCACTGCTTTTTCAAAAAGCTGTACATATGTGATTTTTCTGGGGTTTATTGGGCTCCAGGGGACTGATGCCTTTGACCCACCAAGAGGAAGAAAAAGAAGTAAGAGAAGGCAAGCAAGCACCGTTCCAGGGAACTGTGGATGCCTCCTCAATCTGAGTTCTGTACCTAATGAATATTTATCTGTACACTCAGTTTTATCTGTACACTCAGTTTTATCTGTACAATGCAGGTTCTTTCCTGGTGCTCTTCCCTGTTTAACTAACATTGGGACTTCGTATCAGGTTCCTTCCAATTTTACCAGCTATCATGAGTCTAGGGTTCGTAATTCCATGCACATGGATCAGCTATCCTTTCTGACTGGAATTTTGTTGTTTGTTTGTTTTTGAGACAGAGTCTCGCTCTGTCGCCCAGGCTGGAGTACAGTGGCGGGATCTCGGCTCACTGCAAGCTCCGCCTCCTGGGTTCACGCCATTCTCCTGCCTCAGCCTCCCGAGTAGCTGGGACTACAGGCGCCCGCCACCGCGCCCGGCTAATTTTTTTTTGTATTTTTAGTGGAGACGGGGTTTCACCTTGTTAGCCAGGATGGTCTCGATCTCCTGACCTCATGATCCGCCCGCCTCAGCCTCCCAAAGTGCTGGGATTACAGGCGTGAGCCACCGTGCCCGGCCTCTGACTGGAATTTTAAAATACATACAAACAAGGTTCACTTTTACTCATTAATTTTTAAAATCTGAGGGAGTTTATTTAACCTTTCTCTGCACTCGTATTTGCAGAACTTCACAAATGCAATCAGAAGAGCTTCCATGGATGTTCCCATGATCAAAGTTACTTCCATAAAATCGGCCAAAACTCAATCTACAGCAATTTCTCAGCAATTTCAAGGAGATTTTCCTAATTTAAATGGTAAGAATAATTGGGTTGCAGAGAATTACGGTCTACCCCATCTTGTCAGTGTTTTGACAAGCTTTTCTTTACATCCAGTACAGTGCTTTGGCATCTAAAGAATGAAATTGAGATTTTTGAAAAGCACTGTGATGCCCAACATAGATAGAACTAAAAGAAAAATTAGTTGAAAGATTTTGTAGCATATTATACTGCATCTCAACCCCAAGAGAAAAAAGAAATATGGCCATCATAACTGCATATATGGGAGCACACTAAATCCACCAATAGGGACAGAAAGGGAGAGTAACAATTGAAGTAGACTGAAGAAATACAAAGATGCATTGTGAAATTAACACTCACCTACTATGCTTTGCCTTATTCTACTAAGTATAATCTCTGCCCCCCTAAAGCAATGTGTATTGCTGGCTTCCCACTTCTTTAAATAGCACTTGCAGTGAGTGATAATACAACAACACAGGGCACAGTGTGAACAACCAACAAGAGAATCATTTAAACAAGTGGATTTGTAAAACATGATTGTTTTAAGCCCGTCCATGTCAGGACTGCAATTTGAATTAAACATAAGGTGACTTCTTTCACTGAATCAATAAGTGCAAATAATATCGCTCGCAACCATGTTTTATTTCACAGACAAAAATTGTTCTTAACAGCTTTCTGAAGGCTATGCTTCAGCCACCTGCTGTTAAAGTTGTTTGCTTTTTCTTACAAAAATTGTTCTCTTGCAACATTGAAACAGACAAGCTTGCAGTCAGTTAGTTCACTTGAGGCTAGAGTCTAGGGAGGTTTGAAAGGCACTTTTCTTAATGAACACCATAACTTCCTGCACCCTTCCTGCTGGCAAGTCAGAACAATAGACAGATCAGAGGGGTGTGCCTGAAGCCAGTTACTTCTAAAAGTCTTACTAGTATTAGCTGACTTGAATCAGGGGCAATTTCTACCACTTTCACAAAGGGAGACTTCTAGTGGTCCACCTGTTTTTGACTTCTAAAAACATTGGTTTTACTGGCAGATAATAGATTCTATTGCAATCCTAGTTGGTGATAAATTAAGAACCTGGATAGCATATCCTGTTCTTGTCTCTCGCTTCCATTCTTAAAATATGATAAAGACCACTATAAAACTTTTTATTCATGCATTTATTAGATGTCTAAAAAGACAAGTAGTAATTCAGCTTACAATGTTGAATGATTCTTGAAGCACAATATGGGAAAGGGAAGGCAAACTTATGAAAAAAGTAGTTTATCATCTTTCCTCTGCTTGTCAAAGTTCATACAAATATTACTGATTTTCATCTTATCCTAATTGTCTATTCTCATTTCTCAAAATTTCAAAATGAGTATATAAAAGAATAGTCAATGACCCAGTAGAGTCACAGGGTAAAAACAAATAAACCAAAATCAAACAACAGAAAAACCCAACATACTTAGATAAACTATTTTTTTAGAAATTAATGCATAGACTAGGTGTGGTGGTTCATGCCTCTAATCCCAACACTTTGCAAGGCCAAGGTGGGAGGATCGCTTGAGCCCAGGAGTTCAAGACCAGCCTGGGCAACAGAAGGAGACCTCATCTTGACAACAGCCAAGAAAATCTAGCTGGGCATGGTGGTATGCTCATGTGGTTCCAGCTACTCAAGAGGTTGAGGTAAGATAGCTGTTTGAGCCTGGGAGGTTGAAGCTGCAGTGAGCTGTGATCATACCACTGCACTCCAGCCTGGTGGCAAGAGTAAGATTCAGAAAGAAAGAAAGGAAAAGAAAGAAAGAGAAAAAAAGGAGGAAGGAAGGAAGGCAGGCAGGCAGGCAGGCAGGCAAATCTGCAATGGATCATTCTTTTAGTGCTGTGTTTTTATGCTCTGGAAAACAATGTGTGTTTTGAGGAGCATGGAGACAGCGTACTTGGAAGTTAGCCTGAAAAAATAAGTTAGATGATGAAACCGTCAGAGTACTAAATAAATAAAATTAGAATAGTCCATAAGTATTTCATGGAAGTTGATGAGTATATTTTCAATAAAATGTTTATTTTAGAAAGTTGAGTGATGTTTTGAAAAGTATACATAAGTATTAAATTTTGCTATGAAAAATAAGCTGATTTCTTAAAATGTTTTCCACTATTTAACTTAAAATTAAATTTTAATTTAAGTTATATGAAATAATACATATATTTTAAGATATATCTGGGGACAATTGTGGGTTGATGTGGTAGGATGAATTCTAAGTCCCCTACTATTCCTTTCTCTGGTATTTAAGTCTTGAAAAATGCCTTCCTTTAAGTGGAGATGAGAACTGTGAATTCCTTCTGGCCAATAGAAAATGGCAAAGATAAAGAGATTTTTAAAGACAGATAAAGTCCACAAATCAGTTTATTTGTGATTAATCAAAAGGGACATTTTTTCTGGAAGAGCCTTATTAGGTGAAGGTCCTTGAGAAAAGATTTGGCCTCCCTCGATGTCAGACATTGATCTTGTAGCCTTAATGAAGTAGGCAGCCACACTTCCCACATCAAGAAACTATGGGAAGCCTCTAGGACCTGAGTTTGGCATAAAGGTAACAACCACTAAAGAGCTGGTGCCCTCATACAGCCACAAGAAAATGAATTCTTCCAACAATTTGAATAAGCTTAGAAGCAATTCTTCCCCAATCAAGCTACTAGATGAGAACGCAGCCTAATAAAGACCTTGATTACAGCTTTACAGGACACAAAGCAGCTAAGAGGACCCAGCCAAGCTGTGCCCAGATTTGCAACCTATGGAAACTCTAAAATAATAAATATGTGTTGCTCTAAGCCACTAAAATAATATTGATTTGTTATGCTGCAATAGAAAACAAATACACTGTTATGCAGATGCCTAACTATCCTTATATTGCTTTCTCTACCACCCTGCATCTCTCTAAACATACACACATTCATACAACAGAATTCAACTTAAACATCTAAATGATATTGCTGTAAATTTTGGAAGATACCATCTAGAAAACACAAAATTTAAGAATAAACATTACACAAGCTTTAAGAGTTCTTCCCAAAATTATAGAAAACACTAAAAGACAATTTTTTGCCCTTCCTCCTTTGAAGGAAGTACAATGACACTGGAAATGAAGAAAGTAAATTTAAACACAGCTCTTAATTTGAATGACCAAGTGAAGGAAGAATATGGGTTGAGGGTTGAGGAGACTGCTTTGCCACAACAGCAGTTAGTAGCCACTCCAAACTTGGGAATAATAGGGTTTCCCTGGGACACAGCTTATCCCTCATGCTACTGAAGGTATTTCCTAAGGCAGACAACAAGACCTGGAAAGAGACACGTCTCATCATGCAACATAATTTCAGGCTGGACACAAATGGAAAGTTTGTCCTTGGTACAGAGCTTCCACAAAAACAGTGAAGAAACAGCCATGTAGAGGTAAACACTTGGGTTGATTCATGGTTCTAGCTCCTACCACGTTCTTTTTAGTCTAATGATTTATCTGTGTGCTCTAGCTTAAGATTTAAGAGAGAATTCCAGTATCATTTTGATAATTTTTGAGGGGACACAAGGAGAATTCACACCCACTATTTTAGAATGAATATCACATCTCATTTACCTTTCAAGAGTGAGTGAGAGGTGGGGACAGAGAGAGATAGCTAGATGGCTAGATAGCTACATTCTTACTGTGCCTTAGGAAGCCCTACACAGTCAGCATCTCTGTTACTCTTTGTTCTCATATCACTCTTACCTTTGGTCTTCCTGCTCCAGAATCCCTGGCCTCTTGCTATCACTGGAACAAGTTAGATACCATCCCATCTTGAAACATTTTTCCTTGTTCCTCTATCTGGAATGCTCTTTATTTAGATATTTTTATCACACTGTTTTATCAAATCCTTCACCTTTTGGATGAGGCCAATCTCCAGTCATAACACTCCCCAGCTTTCTTACCTACTTTTTTCTCTCCTAAGTACTACCGTCTGATATATTACATATGTATGTTTTTTTAATCTCTCTCTAGCCACAGAATATAAGTTCCCTCAGTGCAGGGATGTTTGACCGTTTTGTTCACTGGTGTTCCTAGTGCAATAGAAGGCACTCAAACATTCGTTGAAGAAAAAAAAATAGCTTGAGATTAAAAAGAAAAACAACTAGACAATACTAGTCCTTAACAAGAAATAGAAGAAAAAATAAAACCATGTTATGGATGAAAGCTTGAAAAAAATCCTGCAGAATATAGATTATTAAGAACAAATCACACAAATAATAAAGGCTATAATAGATAAGGTGGATAGCCCAACCAAAAACATACAGATGGATCACTGGTGTTCCTTGGGCAAAACCAATTTTTTTAAAAAAGGACAATAATCAAATATAATAGAAGAAAATATTCCTATATGGGGCCTAAATATTAATACAAGCTAAGAGGGTTTACTATGCTCTAGAGACTTTCACTGGTACATACATCAAGTGTTAAAATCAATTTATTCATAAAAGAAGACACTGTGACCTCATGTCAGACTTTTTCCCATAATGTAAGATCCCAGTAATGGTTCAAAGTCTAAAGAACTTCAATGAGAAAAAGTTATTGCTAGAAATTATATGCTGAGCTAATTTGTGGTTCATGCGACTTGGCACCTGAAGAAAAAATTATCACATAAGGAAGTCTTCATTACTATTTACCAACTATGTATTAGTAAAGTACTCAAAATATATTACAGAAATGAGATTTATTAAATAAAAATAGAATGTAATGGGGGTATTGCAACATAAAGCAACTGAAAGAAAGCATTAAAACCATTGAAACACAGATTTAAGCATCAGGAAATATAGTTAATGTGGGCCAGGCATGGTGGCTCATGCCATAATCCCAGCACTTTTGGAGGCCTAGGTGGGCAGATCATTTGAGATCAGGAGTTTGAGATGAGCCTGGCCAACATGATGAAACCTGTCTCTACTAAAAATACAAAATTAGCCTGGTGTGGTGGCGCATGCTTGTAATCTCAGCTACTCGGGAGGCTGAGGCAGGAGAATGGCTTGAACCCTCGATCAAATGGCTTGATCAAAAGGTTGTAGTGAGCCAAGATCCATCACTGCACTCCAGCCTGGGCAACAGAGCAAGTCTCCATCTCAAGAAAAAATCCAAGTGTTGTAAGTATTTCTTTAAAGAAATATGACAGAAAGTATAATTTAACAATAATTACACAAAAAATTAAAATTCTATCATAAAACAAGAAGGCAATAAGCAGTTAAACTATATACTGTTATGACTCTGAGAATTAAATATTACACCTAATTAGTTGTAGCAATATTTAATGAACAAAGATAGTGAGATAATTAAAAATGTGATGAAAATTCCAAATAATTAGATATAACCAAGTGAAAGAAAACAGTTAATATGGCATAACACACAAATCTAAGGAATCAATTGCAGATACATATTAAAGTAAAAAAAAGTGACAAAATAAGACTATATAATTAGTTATGACAGTAAATTTGAGTAGCTAAACAGTTTAGCTTATTTGGTAAAATAGGAAAATAATGAGATTAAGATAAAAACCAATCAGTCAAAACCAATTGCATGGGATCTAAAAAGGAGTAAGTGAAAAGAAGAAATGATCCAGAAAGTTTGAAAATAAAAAAGCAAGCTTAGATATTAGAGAATAATCAAATAAAAACAAAGTAGAAGTTGCTACGTTACTTCCAACAAAGAAAAATCCAAACTTAGATTGTTTCACTAGTGTATTCTGCCAAACATTTAAGGAAGAAATAATCCAATTCTACACAAGCTCTTCCAGAAAGTGTGAGAAGGGGGAATGCTTACCAACTCTTGTTATGAGACCAAAATTACCCAGAAAGCAAAAGAGCCATTGAAAAAAATAAAACTGTCGATGAATATCCCTCAGGAACCTCAACATAAAATTCCCACGAAATATCAGCAAATTGAATCCAGCAATATAAAATCTTGGGATGAAGAAAGAAAAACTTAAAAAATGCAAAAAACAAAACAAAAAACAAGAAAATATAAATTCAGAAAAGTAAAATTAAAATATTAAAACCTAAAACTAAAAGATCGGTGTTTGTGAATATAACCAAAAGGTTATTCTTTGGGGGATAAACAAGAAAAGAACAAATCAAGCAAAAATAGAAAAATCTTAATTTAAAAATTAATGTTAATGGGGGAAATAAACATACATTTGTAGAAGTAACTTATGACTTCATACTAATATATGTGACTATATCAATGAAATTCACAATATACAACTAAAATTAAATTAAAAGTAATTAGAAACATGAATAGGAAAATAAATGTTAGATATTGAAAAAATTAGTGGTCAAAGAATATATCTAAAATAAGTGTCAATATCAATTTAAAAATAAATTCTTGCATTACTAAAGTCCATTTATAATACCCATGCTATATAATGATTCATAACGGGTAAATATTGGGAGTTTCAAATCATATTTATAATCAATTGCAACCAGTATATCAGAAATTTATAGCACCAAAACATAGAAAACTGTGACCAATCTATGGTCACAGTACATTTATTCTAATGTGAATAAATGTAAAATACTTTAGAGCTTACCAGCAATATTACTACCTGGACCTACGATCAAAAAAGCATATTTATAGTAATGCAGAGATAATTTATTACAATAAATCCAAACTATAATTTATTACATCATTAGGTAAAGAGTAAAATTATTTTTTAGAAATTTACAAAGAATTCTTGAATAACTAGAGAAAAAAATTACTATGAGTTGCAGGAAATTTTCCAATATAATCTGAGTTTATTTTTAAAAATAAATGTACAAGTTTAGCTAAAAAAAAAAAAAATTGTATTGGGAGGCCGAGGCAGGCAGATCAGGAGGTCAAGAGATGAAGACCATCCTGGCCAACATGGTGAAACCCCGTCTCTACAAAAAATACAAAAATTAGCCAGGTGTGGTGGTGCTTGCCCGTAGTTCAAGCTACTTGCGAGGCTGACGCAGCAGACTTGCTTAAACCCGGGAGGTGGAGGTTGCAGTGAACTGACACTGGGCCACTTCACTCCAGCCTGGCGACAGAGCGAGACTCTGCTCTGTCCCCCCGCCCCCACCGCCCCCACCACACAAACAAAAAAATTGTAAAGACTTTTAAGGTAAAAAATTTCGTAAAGACTTTTAAGGTAGGACTTAAAAAGTATCAAGAATTAAAAAGTATTATAAAGATATACTAATTAAAATAGTAATACATTTGCTTATGAATAATGGAATATAATAAAGAAAACAAATTTCATAAAAAGGATTTTATAAGTCAGGAAAGAGTGAGGATTGGCCTGGCGTGTTGGCTCAGGCTTGTAATCCCAATACTTTTTGAGGCCAAGGGAGGCGGATCACGAGGTCAGGAGATTGAGACCATCCTGGCTAACACGGTGAAACCCCATCTCTACTAAAAAGACAAACAATTCGCTGGGCGTGGTGGCAGGCGCATGTAGTCCCAGCTACCAGGGAGGCTGAGGCAGGAGAATGGCGTGAACCCGGGAGGCGGAGCTTGTGAGACGAGATTGCGCCACTGCACCCCAGCCTGGGCAACAGAGCAAGACTCTGTCTCAAAAAAAAAGAGTGGGGATTATTTTACATGAAATATATATGCATAATACATATATTATATATATAGCAAGACTACTATTCAATAAATCAATAAATATACAAATATACACAAATATACAAAATACACAAATATACAAATAATAAGCTTATGTCTCCTGGTGAACAATTTGGAGAAAAGATAAAATAATTTCTGCACAGTAAATGTTAAATGTAGAATATGAAACCCTAAAAGAAATAGAAGAACACATAGATGGCTCTTTAACAAATTTAAAGGCAGAAATCATAATTAGTAACATAAAATAACCTTACATTTTAGAGCTTCCTTAGTTTTATTTACTCAAATGGATTGAATATGTAAAGAAACCAAAAAGCAAATTATAATTTGATATAAATATTTACAACCTGTGACAGAAATGGCAAAGTAGGGCTTTGTCAAATGCAAAGAAACGACATGAATCCCAATAGTGGGAAAACATTTGACAAAATGTATTGACAGAAAATTCACAAAAGAAGAAATACAAATTATAAATTACTATTTGAAGAACATTTTTACTCATTAAAAGCAAAATGAGCATTTAAAGTGACTCAAGATCAGACAGCTTCTTGTATATTTATAAAAATATTAACTCTCCCTATTTCCTCCATCCCATAAAACATTATTATTTGCCTGGGGCCAAATGTTTAATATATTTAGAAAGGATATTTGCAAATGGCTTTATCAAAACCTTACATATACTGTGCCTTCCTTTATACATGCATTTTTCCTCTCAAAAACAATAGTGCCAGTAACAATTACTTGTGAAAAGTTTAAAACAGAGAACAATGTGACATAGAATTTTACACTGGAGCGCAATTTTGTGTACTTTTTTATGACAATAGTGTAAGATCTAATATATATAAAGATAGATAGATCGATCTTGAAATGTGCTTTAATGTATGTTCTTTTACCCTTTTGTGAAAATATATATTAAAATAAAGTCTGATTTCAACTTAATCAGGGACACATGATGAATGTTAAATGACATGAGCACACAGGCCAAACAGAAACATTTTTGTTATGACCGATCATTTAAAAAGCTCAATTAGCAGCGCATGGTGGCAGGCACCTGTAATCCTAGCTACCTGGGAGGGTCAGGTGGGAGGATCACTTGAGCCTGTTAGTTCAACTCTAGCCTGGGCAACATAGTGAAACCCCAACTCTTATTTTTTTTTTCTTAAAGGCTTTGTTAGGTACCCGTTCAAATGATTAATTTTCCCTGCGATAAACATATGTTTCCATGTAAATTTAATTTCACATGTCAATTTAAAAATTAAGGCAGCATTTATCCCCATTGAACAAGGGAGAATCAAAAATATTCTCTAAATAGAACTATTACTTCTCATCTTCAGGTGAAACAGACACTGCATCTACTTATTACACATTTGTGCCAAACAATTTTCTGAACCTTCTCATGCTCTTACGCTTGATCTGAGGCCATCAGCCAGCATGGTGAGGTTTTCTGTACCCAGTCATTAGGAAACAGCTGCTTGAGTATCAGCATCAAGAAGAAGTGGACTAATTCAAGAGCAAAATTAAAATATCATTTTCAAAGAACATTCCTGCATCTGGAGATATTTTCCATGTCTGCCAATCTGAAGTAACCCACCAGAAACATAATTTGTATTCATAACTTTTTAAATTTTTATATTTTCCT
Source organism: Homo sapiens (assembly GCF_000001405.40). Lineage (NCBI taxonomy): Eukaryota > Metazoa > Chordata > Mammalia > Primates > Hominidae > Homo > Homo sapiens. Next base: position 60,974,450 of record NC_000018.10, read on the forward strand.
ATTTATTGTCTATGTCTCTAAAGAAGCAAATGAGCTCCAAGAAGGGAGCATAAACTGTCCTGTTTAATAGTGACAGTGCTTAAGACGTCACAGGGGCTCAATATTTAATTGAATGAATGAATTTTCAGTTACAGTGTGGAATGAAAATTCACTTATGGATGATATACCACAGTCGGTCAGAAGCGTTTGAAAAAATTGAGCCACGACGATACAGGCTATCAATTAGAATTTAATAGATTGCTAGCCTAGATCCAGTTCAGACTGCTGACTAAGTTGTTTCACTCTCTTTCCATGTAATTTGATGGGCAATATTTAGCTAACTATTGATACACTTGATATGGAACTACTGGCACTGCCAAAACACCAGATCCAAAGTTTGTCAATTAAGTTCACAGTTTTGGAACGGTCTCTTAGCTTCTATTGCCTTATTAAAAACTTCCAATGAAATCCAGTCACTTTACTTGAGATGTCCCACAAAACAACTTTTCATGACAAAATTAGTTTGGAAAACTTGTATTAAATAGCTATATCTTAGAGATACTCAATTCATGCTAACATATTAAAGACCTTTGGAAACTCAGAAAGAAATGATTTTTAATTTTTGTTAACCTCAAATCACTCAAAAATTATTTGGACACCAATCCTTTTTCTTTCAAAACCTCTTAAAATCTTCAGAGTGCTGGCAAATATTCTTCAGTGGTCCTGGACTGCGTAGTCTTTTGATTCTTTCAAAGAGTTATCATATACCTTGAGAATATACCACAGGCATGTCAGAAGTACTTGAAAATTTTGACAAAATGATGTAGTTTTATTTATATTAATAAATAATAAGTAGAACGAAATAGCACATTTAATAAAGAAGATATTTGCCTTTTATGAATGTCATTAAAACATTTTCTAAATTAGGCAATATAACAAAAACTTTCAATAAATTCAAATAAGTCATAGTGAAACAGTCCATAATTTATAATAATATGAAACAACACTACAAATTCATGACAAAAATTGAGAGGAAACACTTTAACCTGAAACTTGGAAATATGGGTGGAGAATCATTGATGGTTGGGGAAAAATAAAAGACTGTGAGGCCGTTTCTGCCAACTCTGCTTCCCTGGTGGTTCACTAACCCATGCCTCTTTCACACGGGACAGGCTGCCTGCCTGAAGAGTCATCGTCCCCACCCTGGGCTCAGCTCGCACCCCTCCCTGTGTCCCCAGTGAGCCAGTGAGGCTGCAGATTACCTACTGTAAGGAGAGGAACTATTCTGACCAATATGAACCATCACAGTATCAGCGATATTGATGAGAATGAACGAACGCCTTTATAACAGCAACAAATAAATATAAATAAAAGTTTTTAAATAAAAGCATAAAAATTACACAATATGGAAAATGGCTAAAACTATGCTCACAAAAAAATCTGGAAACTTAAAAAGAATTTGTTTTTTTTAAAAAAGGAAGTAAGTACTCCACATAAGAAGTTTGAAAAAGAATAAGCAAAATCAACCAAGATATACTGGCAGGAGAGAAATAACAAATATACAAGCAGAAATTAATAAAGCGAAACAATAACTTTTATAAATATATGCAGAACTTTGTTCTTTGAAAAAATAAACATGAACTTAAAAATACAGGAAAAAGCACAAAATCACAAAATTATAATTGGTAATGAGAATGAATCATAGCAAGCAAATTAAAATCATCTGTCTCAACTCTACGGAAATGTATTTTAAAACCTGAAGTGCATGATGGTCCAGGAAAATATAAGATATCAGAAAAAGGAAAGGATGATTATGTTAAAACAATAGATGTCTTTTGTTAGATATTCTAAGTTTATAGGCATACTATAGATTTCTTGATATAGTTTGGGTGATTTTCAAAGTTTTAAAAATTTGGAAAGTAACAGAAAATAAACTATGGTATCAATAATGTTTCTTCAACTGGTAAATGAATACAATCACATCAGAATGCATTTTAAAGCCATGGCTTAACTCCTAGCCAACATGTTAGCCTACAAAAGCAATTGAGAGACATAACATAGAAATAATTTGAAAGTAATGATATGGTGGAATTAATGTTGCCTTAATTAAAAGACCAAATGCCAGCTCAAAATTTCCTTCCTGCGGCATTATTTCCTGATTCACTGGGCTGTTACTCTTACTCTTCAGTGCTCTACAGTCGGCATCTATTTTAGCAGCGAACACTCTGTACTGGAATTATGCATTTTTATGTGTGTCTCAGACACTTTCCCTTGATGTTGGTGACTGTCTTCTTTAATTCTGTATTCCAGGGACCTGCCACAAAATCTGACTCTTTATAATCAATGGCTACTGAATTCATTAATTCATTTATTCATTTAACTAATATTTTTTAAATATTTATTTTTAACAGCTTATTGGGGTATAAATAATGCACAGAGAACTTCATGTATTTAATGTGTATAATTTGATGAGTTTGGACATATGGAAACACCTATGATGTCATCACTGCAATCAAGGTAATACACATATCTGACACCTCCAAAAGTTTCTCTTCATTTGTATTTGTTTTTCGTTTATTTTGTGGTAAGAACACTTAACATGAGATCTACCCTCTTAACACACTCTTTGAAGTACACAATACCATGATGTTAACTATAGGCACTATTTTGTACAGCAGATACTTTGAACGTATTCATCCAGAACAACTGAAACTTTATACCCATTGACTAACTCCCTATTTTCCCCACCCCCAGTCCCTGGCAACTTCAATGAGTCTGACTATTTTAGATACCTCATGTTTTAAGTGGAATCACATAGTATTTGTCCTTCTGCGACTGGGTTTTATCTCACTTGACATAATGTCCTCCAGGTTTACCCATGCCATCTGTGACAAAAAACCCCTTTTGAATTTCAACTTTGGCTAATGAAAAAACCATTAGCCAAAGCTTGATCTCCAATTCACACATTTCTGCGCAGTTCTGTGTCCAGAGCCTTGTGGTCAGATAGTTCTTTGTTCCAGTTCTTTCTGTGCCAAAGTAAGGGACACTTTGGGGAACCCTGGTGATATGCTTAGGCTCTGTGTCCCCATCCAAATCTTGTCTTGAATTGTAATCCCCACAGTCCTCTCACATTGAGGGCAGAACAGGTGGAGATAATTGCATCACGGGGATGGTTTCCCCCATGCTGTTCTCATGATAGTGAGTGAGGTCTCACAAGATCTGATGGTTTTATAAGGGGCTTCCCCCTTTGCTAGGCACTCTGTCTTGCCTCCGTCTGAAGAAGGTGCCTGCTTCTTCTTTGCCTTCCACCATGATTTTAAGTTTCCTAAGAACCTCCCCCTGCTCCCTGCCCAGCGATGCAGAACTATGAGTCAATTAAATCCCTTTCCTTTCTAAATTACCCAGTCTCAGGTATTTCTTCATAGCAGTGTGAGAACAGACTAGTACACATGGTCACCTGACAAACAGAGCTCAGAGTTATTTGGGGAAAGATGTTCATCAGAACTCCCAAAAGATTAGAAGATTATCACATCTATCAGACGTGGTTACAAAAAAGGGAAAGGAGTCTGGTCTAGTCTCTTGTCAAGACCACCTCCAAGGAATGGCCAACATCTGAAGGTAATAGAACGGCCTCAGAAGGAATCTCCTCAAAATTAGCAATGCTTATTTGTCCACCAGGAGTTTTGCCTTTTTGCATAATAACTAATATCTTTTTAAAAAACAAAATGCCATTACGAATATGGCTCACTCAGTCTGTCAAGAAGAGGGATGAACCCAAAAGTCCAATTTGCTTTTTCAGGGGAGGATTTTACAAGGGCATGAGCAGTGCAATGGCAATGTAACTCCCTCAGCCCTCCAGTTACTATTTCCTACAGCCCCAGGATTAGAAATAATTTTTAAAAATGTGTCACCTAGATTGTGCACAGAGTGAATACGTTTCTACAAGTCTATAGCCTCAGTTATGAGGAATGTCACTGATTCCTTAAACTCCTTTATCCAACTGGTCCAATATCCTTCCTGATTGGGGGCCCTCTAACCATAAGAGAGCTCCACGTGATTCATTAGCAAAACGACAAAACCCTACAAGAAATGTTCTTTCCGAAGTTCTGCTTAAAGCTGGAGCTGAGCGCAATGACTCACTGTTATTCTAAGTGAAAGGAATGCAAGGAAGCCATCAATCTTGAGATCGTACATCTATTTGAGCTACCCAGGAAGCTAATGCCAGTGGAAAAAAATGGCATTTCCACAAAGATCTAGTCAATGCCCCCTTACCATTTCTTTCATCCTTCCTTTTATTCTTCAATTCCTGCCATCTCCTGGGTTTATCAGAAAGTTCCTCATGCAAAAAATAAATAAATAAATAAATATATAACACTTTTATTATTTTATTCATTTCATCCTAAAATACTTCCTGAGATATAAGTTTAATTTTGTAAAAAAGTAAAAGTAACCCTAATATAGAAATATATTACATCTTGAACAGTCACAGTTCTGGAAAAAGAAAGTACTCACTAAATATTTGTTGGGCAAATGTATATTAATTTTTTTGTGAATTCATCTGAGCCCTTTATTCAGCCTTAAATAAGTGAACAAAAACAAATTTCTCTAAACTTGCCTGATATTTAAATGCTATATTTATTTGTTTGAGTGAAAAAAAGAAGATAATGAGTCTGAAACTTGTAATCACCAACTAAGCTAGATTTGTAGGGCATATTGCCCAGAGACTACTTTATTTCACTTTGGGAATTAACCCCAGCTTAGCTGCTACCAGCAGGCATCATTGAGGGTAGCATAAAACTCTAACTGAACCTTTCTCTATGAAGGTTAACTGAGAAAACTATGAAAATATACTATTCAGCTGTGGGGCTTGATTTTTTTTCAGAAAAATAAACTCTCTAATTACTAAATTATGTAATATATATAAAAATTCAGTATATACATTTACATCTAATATTAAGAAAATGTCAGTTGGAGCAAAATAATAAAAGCTAATATCAAAGTTGAAAACTGTCATTTTGAAACTTGCACTAGGGGTAAAAGCTATCTAGAGTATGTTATACAGAGATCACCAGATCACCGTGGGCTCCTAGGAACTCCAGGTTTGTTCCTTTTGTCAAATTTTTTCTTTCCACCCACTGGAGAAAACTCCTGTCTCTGCCCAAACCCACACTGCATACTGGTTTCTGGCTCTCTTTTTGGAACTAGTCCCAGGGTATCTGAGGTGTGTGGAGGTTTATTGGTTCAGCCCACTCCAAATTTCTACAAATCCAGGATTCTGTTCTCCAATCAGACACCACTGAGGACTTTGATTGGCAGCTCATCTAATCACAATGCAGGTTTTATCTATTGCAGAGCTCTACATTTGTTCCTGAGCTGGCAAAGATGCCTGGACACATTGAGAATAAAATATCTTCTCTAAGTTGAGTTTTACCTCGCAAAAAACTAAGCAAAGGATCTATAAAGATCATAACACTAAATGCCTTTTATTTTCCTGGGACTTCGTTTTTCTTCATAAGGGCTTCATAGACAGGATACAGCCAGCCCTCCTGTCATTTGTAAGCAACCCTTAACCCCTATACTCTTTATCAACCTCTCCTGCCTGATCAGGGCAATAACTTCATTATTTGACAAGCATTCAGAAAACATCAAAGGGTCATTGCTTTTTAACTCTAGAATTTTTAAGTGTTTGACCATTTGTACATTTTTAACACAAAAACACAGTTTTATGCCAATGGCTTTCTTCCAGTGTGAGGGAGCTTATCTGATAGGCAAGTAAAAAAGGTGATCTCCAAAGAACGACCTTGTGTTCTATTTTAGTCCATTTTTTGTTGCTATAACAGAATGCCTGAGGTTGAGCAATTTATAAAAAAGAGAAATTTATTTATCACCATTCTGGAGGCTAAGAAGTCCAAAACTGAGGGGCCAGCCTTGGGTGAGGGCCTTCTTTTTATGTCATCCCATGATGGAAATTGAGAGGGGGTGTGCGTGAGAGAGAGAGGGAGAAGGGGGCTGAACTCCACTTTTATAAGGAAGCTCCTCCCACAAAAACAGCATTAATCAACTCATGAGGGGATCACCTCTATGACCCAAACACCTCCCATTAGGCTCCATCATCTGAACACTTTCACAGTGGGGATCAAGTTTCTAACACATGAACTTTAGGAGACACATTTAAACCCTAGTATGCTCCATAACAATGAGCAACTGTAGCTTAGAGAGACTCACTTTGCAGTTCAAAAGCTTTTCAAATTTAAGTGTTTTGTCTCAAATCATGTATTGTTTGCTCCCTCACTATTGTAGTTTTGTGACTTTTTCCATTACACAAGGCTTAAGGGGTTAACATCTCCATAATTTCTTTCTTGACAGAGTCTCACTTTGTCACCCAGGGTGGGGTACAGTAATGCAAACACGGCTCATTACAGCCTCAACCTCCCCAGCTCAAGCGATTCTCCTGCCTCAGCCTCTAAGTAGCTAGGATAATAGATGCATGCCACCACACCTGGCTAATTTTTGTATTCTTTGTAGAGATGTGTTTTTGCCATGTTGCCTAGGTTGGTCTCAAACTCCTGAGCTCAAGCAATCCACTTGCCTCAGCCTCCCAAAGTGTTGGGTTTACAGGCATGAGCCACTGCACTCGGCCCTCATAGTTTCTCCATTAATTTGTTTTGCTTAAAGAAAAATAAGCGCTTAAACTATATGGTATAAAATCTGTCTGTCTTGCAATTGCAATTGTCTTTTTAGGATAGCAAATTATAAAAGCATGTGTAAGAAGAAAAACATTTGCTAGCCAAGTTCTACGAGACGGGGCTCTCGTTCTGATTTTCTAGTGCCTTAACTTTTGGTATTACTCCAACCACTTACTTGCTAATTTTTGTCTCATTTTTCTTAGGTAATGTTAGACTAGGTTATCACTAAAAAAATCCTTAATCATAATAGTCTATGAAACTCTAATATTTAGCAAATGCCTTTATAGTAAAAGCAAATTATTTGTTAAGTTATATTAACTTTTTTCATACTACTATTTAATCTAGTAGTGTGACGGACTTATTCTTTGCTGTTACACTGAAAAGTTTGGCTTCTCCTTGGTACACTAAGGAATGCATGTATTAGACACTCAATAAGTAAATGTTGATGAAAAAGAGGAAAAAGGAAGAGAGAGAAAGAGAAGAACGCAAGAAAGTATGTAAACCAGCAGGCTTTCTCTCCAAAGTTGCGAGCATCTCCTAACTCATTAAACTGCAAGGCACGGACTAAATTATGTTCTGCCCCAGGAAACTCACAACTTTACAACTTGTTTTCATTGGCACAGAATAGCCCCCACACTCTTCATCCTAGTATTTCTTTTCTTTCTTAAAATTATGGGAGTAATGTTTTCCTTCCAATACTGGTTCTCCTCTGTGCTCTTAAGCCCGCAGTTATTCAGTAAAATTGACTGCATGACAACTTGAGATAGAAGTAATGTGAGGTCAGCAATCTGAGTCACATATCAAACTAAGAAGGTATTATGGGACAAATCACATTTTAAGCAGTTGGAGCTTAGATAAATGCAGGAATATTGATAGCATTTATGGTCTGTATAACAGCCTGTGGTGTGACAGAGCAATAGCACTTTGAAATATAGGCAGTGGATGTTAATTAACGGTAGATCATAATGGAACTCCTGTGGTATTACATGATGTCCATGTGAAATCTCTAATAATTTATAATGCTTGATGTGATCCCATAGCATGTGACAAGAAGTGTGATTATTTGTAGCTTTGCTTGCTCTGCAGCATAAAATTTACTTTAGAAGCAATGGGCACTGTTGCTAATACACACCCCCCTCTTGCTAACACAGGCGTGTTCCTTCAAAGATGCATTTCAGCTTTTCCAGAATCAAGATATGGCTTCAAATCCTTAAATGAAATGTAATTCTACAGTGAATAAATATTATCTCACAGGAAATACATAAATACTTTTTTTCCAGGAAACAGTGAGTGGAAAGTAGTTTCTTAATTACTAGTTCATAGCTGTGTGGTCTCAGATGCTATGATTTTGAGTCCCTAATGTGCTAATTTTAGACTAATTGCATCCTTGACATCTAATTGTTCTGTTCCAAACCTGACAGCCATACTGTTCTTTCAGATGCTTCCTGGGGAAGTATGAGAAGAAAGACATAAAAAGAGACTTTCACTAGCAAACTAAACAATTTAAGGATACTTAGCCCCACTCTCAAAATTTACGAAAGCCTTTAAATTTCAAGAGTAGAAGAAGCGTGCCACACATTAATGATACATTTCCTCTGCATTATTAAAGTGTTCCCACCAGTGTTATGTTAGGTGAGTGACACATGTGTCAAAAAATGCTAATTGGATTCAACTGGTCTTGTTTTTCCCGCTAATTTGTACCCACAAATTAACTCTTGTTAATCTACTTGTAAATATCAGTTGCAAAAATATGAGAAGTAAATGAACAGCCCTCAAGCAAATGATGCATGCTTTTTCCAGAACCATCTTTCCATTTCCTGGCCCACTTATCCTTCCACTGAAATAGGAGCCTGAGAATGAGGGACAGAGAATTTCAGCTGGAGTGAAGGGCTTCATTTGTCTCTTTCTATGCAAAACCAACAGACCCTTAGACCATGAAGCCAAATACAAATTTCTTTCTTTTGAAAATATCACAGGAGCAGCTGTTCCTCAGCTATTTTGAGTGGATTTTCTGAGAACAGCTTGTAGCTGCAATATTGTATATGGTAGATGGTTGGCAAGAACCTGGCTGTGGGAGGGGAGTAATTAAAACCTAAAAACCAGTGTAAGCTACAGTAACTAACAAATGAGGGACAGGGATGGGGAGAAGGGACATGCCCCCAAATGGAAAGGGATGGATAAGAAGGTACAATTACCCCAATGGCAAAAAAGGCTAGCGTTATTTTATTTATCTAATTTGAGCTTAATCCTCCTAATTTGTTAGCACAATTTTCAGGGAAAAAAGGAAGAGATTGGAGGTAAGGACAAAAGAAAGAACCACAAAGAATAAAGGAAGAGAAATAATTTCAGATGGAAGTGAAAATTCAGGCTGCAGTGAGGCAGCAGGTAACAGCCTCTTTGCTTTCCCACTGGGTTTGATGACACCTCAGCAGAGCAGGAGTCTGCTTATTGGTTCCACGCTGGCTTGCACATCATATCTCTGGCTGAGAGCTAACGTGTTTTGGGGCCCCTGATCTGGGTCATAGAATATCATCCCTGTGTGCAACAAGGAAGCATGGTCAGCCTGTGGATTCTGAGAGAATAGCCAGAGTGTCATCAGAACAGCATCAGCATCTGAAGTCAAGCTGAGGCAACAGAGATTCTGAACCAAAGAGGTTCCCAGCAGAAGCTATTTGACATATCCCAAAAGATCCTTGATGTATCACACACTGGAGTAGCCAAGACCTCCCCACTCAGTCATCCCTACATTGTCAAAGCCCTGGAGCTTGGGCTGCTAGAAAATATGTTCATGACAACCTTATGTGTTAGTCCCCAAATCCTGTGTTTTCATTCAAACACCCACTCTCCAGATCTCAGGCACTTGTCATCTGAACATCTCAAATCTAGCTTTGACCTGGATCTTCTTACAAAGAGGCCTTGGTGCTTATAATTGTTTCATTTCATTTCATCTCAAAAATTTACAAATAAATAACTCTCTGGCTCATGACTCTGTCTTTGACATTTGCTTTTTATTAACTCCTCACTCTTATCCTTATCTGTGTCTTTGGCCACATGTAGAAATTAAATTTTAAAAAATAATTTGATAAGTTTCATAGGGCAAATAAGAGTATTCCAGTTTTCTAAAAATTTTGAAACAGTTATGTATAGCTTATCCCAAATTAATGCATTTCCAAAATGCATAGAAGACTTGGTTCTAGTGACCTCTTAGTGACTTCTCATGCTTTGGAAGTTTGAAGGTGTGAGGGTGTTTTGGTTATCATAATGGTTATGGCCACTCCGAGAATTTCATTTAAGAGTCATGGATACTTGATGTCCTGAAATGAACTTGCAGTCCTGCCCAACTGAAGCATTGCCCCTAACTCTTCAAGATATCCAGATATTTTACAGGACATTCTTAGAGATGAAATGCTTGTTTATAATTTACTAAAGCTATAATGTGACTGTTTTAAGTGCAAGCACAAGATTTTCTTGTGTGGGTTTAACACAAATGGGCTATTCTAGGAATGCAACATTTGTGTAAATAGAGAAGAGATTGTATTTTCTTTGGACATTCACCAGGAGTTGATTACAATTTTGTAAAACCACAACATCCCTGGAAATGCGGCTCATAAAATCTGAGTTGCAATACAGTTCGCCTATACCCAACTGCATCTGTAGCAATCACATTTGTGGTAAATGCTTGACCGCTTCCTCGGCTCTCCCAGTGTAGTCATGTCCATGAATTTGCACCTTTGAAACATATGTGATGCTATTACAAATTACTTTGATTTCTATTTTAAATAGAATTCCAATTCCAATTTAAAATAGAGTATTATGGAGATCAACTGTATAGTTAGGTTATGCTAGCTATGAATTGCATATCAGGATTAAAGAAGACATATTAACATAATATTTTTTTATTTTTTTTAAAAAAGAGGAATTAGGTGTGGGAATATTAAGAAGCACAGCACCAGAACAATCTCTGAACAAATTAAGGAGTCAAGTGTATTGTTACAAGTTTGCTGTTTCAGATCTAATATTTTTACTGCAATCTATATGTAGATATTCCACCTGTTGCATCACTAAATTTGTTGACTTCCAGTCTACTTACCCTGACACACTTACCAGGTGAGAGTAAGTGAAAGGAGGGCACTCCAGGAAGAAGGCCATGTAAGCTGTTCTAAACAGGAAAGTGCGTATTCATCTTTCTCAGTCCTAAGTTCCCGATTTTAGGATTTTTTTTTTCTCCCCAAACTGCAAGGGCTAATGAAAGGACTAGAAGGCAATTTGAATCTATGGCTCCAACATTCATTAATATAGCTAGGACCAGACTAGAGCTTGGACTTGAATCAGTTGGAGAATGAGCCCAATCAGCAGTGCCACAAGGATCTCCCCTTCTTTAACTCCTGATAAGGGAGGAGACCACCCCTCATATTGTCTTATGACCAATTTCTGCCTCCAAAGAAAGAAGAAGTAAAAACTAAAAGGCAGAAATGAAATCCACAGGCAGACCACCCAGCGCCGTGACCTGGGCCTGGTAGTTAAAGATCGACCACTGACCTAATCGGTTATGTTATCTATAGATTATAGACATTGTATAGAACAGCACTGTGAAAATCCCTGTCCTATTCTGTTCCGATCTAATTACCGGTGCATGCAGCCCCTAGTCACGTACCCCCTGCTTGCTCAATGGATCATGACCCTCTCAAGCGAACCCCCTTAGAATTGTGAGCCCTTAAAAGAGACAGGAATTGCTCACTTGGGGAGCTCTGCTCTTGAGACAGGAGTCTTGCCGATGCTCCCAGCCAAATAAACCGCTTCCTTCTTTGACTCGGTGTCTGAGGGGTTTTGTCTGCGGCTTGTCTTGCTACACCAAGTGCACAGATTCCTGCTAACATTTTCATACCTGAGACTTATTCTTCCTCCTGTGACTTGATTCTTGGTCTGCAACACAAATATCTCCCTCCTGCTTCCTTCGATTCTTCCCTAAAATGAATCCCACTAGACCAATTACAGATTTATGATTAGTTATTCTCTACTTCATCTGCATGAAGTTTTTCTTATTATGATGTGACTATCATGAGGCGGAGAGCCTATTTCTTGGACCTCCATGGTGAGGTATGCTCCATGTGACTCTGATCAGAGTCTTTTATGTAGTTCGATGCCTACTGATCTCTTTGCCACTGATTATACTCAGGTTCCAACACTTTGCTTTTGTGCTTTACTTCTGCCTCCCAAGGTTTGACTGATCTGAGAAAACTTTCTGGAATATAATAATTTAACGCTTTTTGTGGCTACTATTTAAAATTGATGCTTTGCCCCTCCTCCAAAAAAGTCCCCTTCCCGGCTAGTAGATAATTCTTGCTGTTAGATGATTAAATTACCTAAATCAAAATAAAATGCTTTCCTTTTCCTTTAATAGGGTGGATATATTGACACAAACACTCAAAGGTGTGATTCTTATGGTAAATAAGTTCCTATAGTGAAATGCATGCACTAGACATGTAGCAATTAAAACCAGTTATAAACCTTCCCATACTCTGACTCAATTAGTTCTAAGTAACGTGTTATATTTGGCTTCCTATATAGAATATTTTACAGAAGTAAAACTGAATTGATCAATTGGTACTTGTTTCTTGTACTCTTTGCATTTATATTAATCATGACAAATCAATATATTGACATTTCTAAGTAAATCTTTTGTAAGTTTAGCTGCCTTATTCCATTCCCTAGGTCCAATTAATTCTGGATACACTAGCAAAATAAAATTTATGGATAAGCAAAATTGGGAATCAGACCATAGATCTATAGATCAAGGTTCTCACCTTCAAAACTACGTAAACAACTAACTTCCAAAGGAAGGGCATCAAACTCCCCAGAGACTGTATGCTGTAATAGAGGAAACTTAAAACATAGTCTTCCAATACCTGGAATCGAATTCTTTCCTTGACGCTTATTGGTATATGACACTGAAGAACTAAGTGTTATTGAAATAGGCTAGGACTTATTTTAAATGCTTAACAGCCATATACATGCTTACACACATTTTAACTTGGTATTTACTATTTTAAATTCTTAGAAGGTACATGCACCCTACTGTTTGCACTAATATGAATGGGCTTTGTTACCAAGGCCCCAGTTTTTAAAATTAAGGAAATGTATAAGTAAAAGATACATAACAAGAGCTTACTCTTTGGATTATATTCCACTAACTCCTATGCTACCCTGGGATGCCAACTGCTATTATGATGGAGAAAAACAATCCTAGATATTTTGTTTATGTCTACGGTACAACAAATGGCTAACTTCATTACCATGACCGCCTTCTTACTTCCTATGAATTAGAATAGTGATTGCATGATACCCTAGGGCTTGCCCATGAACATAAGGCCTATAGGCCATTTTTGCGTAGCAGCTGCTATACTCCCCCACTTCAGCAGAAACTATAAATGTGACCTATATGGAAACATTTACCCTAACTACTAGGGGCACTAGCACCAGAGATTCATGCTCTATACTTTAGCTGACTTCCAGTGCACCAGAGTCTTTTTTTTATTATTTTTATGGTGGGCACTACAGAGGCCTGATGCTGGCCCATGGAGGGCCATGACAAGAAGAGAGGGATGCCAGGTGACACTCAGAGTCTATCAAGCCACCACAAGCTATGCTAGATTTCTGCTTGAAACATGTGTAAAACTTTTAGTTAAAAGTAATAAACCTTTTTTATTGTTTAAGTAACAGAGAGTTGGTATTATTGTGTTTACTTTTGTCAAATCCTTAGATCTTGGGATAGAAGGAATTGATCAAATACTGTCAACACTTTTGGATCTTCATTTTTGCAGAAATACCCTTAAGACTCCTCAGTTAAAACAGGTATAAGATTCTCAATCTTATAAGGTTGCTGTGAAAGTGAAACATAACATACATAAAGGAATTTTTACCTAATAGAAATTCAAGACATGATAGTTTTTAAACACATTACAAATCAGAACTAGCCAGGACTTAGTGAGGGGAAATCTGTGATTCACTCCAACAGCCACATACTTGTGAATAACATTCATTTGTTGCCAAGTTTGCATTGTGGGGACTTTTCAAAGACTATTCAGATAAGAGACTATTCAGATAAGATAAATTATAAATGTCTTGTGAATCATAATTTTCTACATTCACAAATCTAGCATATTTTGCTATATTGAAGAAAACTTCCAAAAAAATTGATGATACATGAGAGCTTATATTCCAAATTGGGTTAGAATAAATGGAATTCGTGATATTCTGTGGTAATAAAATTGCTATACTATTGAGTTAACATATATTTGGACCATCTTTTAACAGATTTAATGGACTATCAGGATGTAGGAAGGAATATATTTTGAACCAAGTGGCTTTAACAATTGTGTTCAATTCACAAAAGAGTGTCTAGGTAAATGTTGAACTTCTCTCTACTAGTTCATCATATTTATTGATCTTTAGCATGTACAAAAAAGAAAGAAAGAAAGAAAAAACTTGAGTAAGCAAATCCTGTGCATATACATACCAAACCCATGCAAAGAAACAGATGTTGGTTACTTTGCTATGATTGTTTTAAGACAAGCTTTCATTAGAAATATAGGCAAAAATCCTGCAGTCGGCAATCCCTAAGGAAACAGCATTAAACTCCGGCCAGATCTGTAATATGATGTCCATCAATCTGTGAAATCTTCATGTTGTGCTATATTTAAAGGTGAGAACCTTTTAAAAAATGTCCTTGAAGAAGGATTTTAGGATAAGACACCTTCTTTTGGGGAAGATTAAAATACGAAAGAACTCATCTCAGATCTTACACATTGCTTATGTTTTAAAAAGAGGAAAATTAGAAATAAACTAGACTCTTCACCCACCACATCAACTCTTAAAGAGGATCCTCATTTTCAGTAATGTTAGAAATCGAACACCCTGACATGCATAATGAAAGACAGAAAAAACTATGAAGAGATACAATAGATGAATGCTAAGAGACTGAGAAGGAACCCATTTATTTTATCCAGAATGAAGTGCAATGTCAGAACAAGAGCCATTTGAATGGATAAATATTGTGAGATAAAAATCTAAGGAGATTCAGATATGAGGAATTAAGTAAGGAAATACATTTGGAGATGCATAGTTCTTTGTAATTATAAAAAGTGAAATGTATTTTATCTGTGCCTTCAGACATATTACATGAAATAATTATAATATGCTAGGGCCATGAAATAAGCTAATGACTTGTTACATCTTTTAAAATGTGTGTGGGGGGTAGGGGAGGGCAATAATCAATACTAAAAAGGATGCAAAGAGTGTCTGCAGGACTTGGAAATAAGTGAAACTCCTAATCGATGGAATTAGCCATCTGTACGAAAGAACATAGATATTTTGTAAATACATGTTGTAGAAAATTCTATGAAAACACAAAATCAAACAAGATAATAAAAGGAGCAAAATGGGTTCCAGCTAAGGGAACTGGAAAAATTTCCCAAATTCCTCTACTTTTTAAATACAGTTTTTTTCTTACACAAAGTTTGGGATAAATGCTGGATGAAATCTAGAAAAAAAGATGGTGCCACAGAACAAGGGTTGATTAGTCTGTCTTTGATACACATTTGGAGAGGAGGCATGAACTTGGGGACTCAAGCATTTAATGAGTCACCACAAGTAACAAAACCATTATAATCTTCCAAATAACTTTTTGCTTTGCCTTCAGGTTTAGCATTACACTTCTGGCTATAATTGCCCTCTTATATAGACAGACAGACAATACCTAAGCAATGTACACACATTTCCAGCCCACTGGCATTTATTTTTCTCATTATTTATAAATTACATGGATTCTGGTTAAAAGGGAAACAATCTTGTTTAATTTAAAATGTTTTCAAATGTATTAATAAATTTTAATGTAATTATGACTACAGACAATGTTGACTTAGAATTTCTCATTATTTATAAACTACATGGATTCTGGTTAAACGGGAAACAATCCTGTTTAATTTAAAATGTTTTCAAATGTATTAATAAATTTTAATGTAATTATGACTACAGACAATGTTGACTTAGAATTTCTCATGATTTTTAAACTACATGGATTCTGGTTAAAAGGGAAACAAGATTGTTTCCACAGACCAATGTCCAGAAATTATTTATTTTTTAATAAATAAAAAATAATAAATAAATAAAAATTTAAAGACAGAAAAATAGTGCAAGAAGCGCATGATTAAAGGACAAACTAATTGTAAGTGTATGAAGCGGAAAGTAAGATTTAAAATCTTCAGTATGAACTTGGAAAGTTTGAGAGGATATAATTTACAGTTGAATTTCTCATTGGGATACACTAAAGGTAAATTATGGAATGCAGGGTGTATAGTTACACGGATATATTGCATAGTGGTGGAATCTGGGCTTTAGTGTAACCATGAGGCAGATACTGTACATTGCATTCAATAAGCCATTTCTTATCTCTCATCTCCCTCCCATTCTCCCACCCTTCAGAATCACCAGTGTTTATTATTCCACAATCTATGTGCACTTGTACACATTGTTTAGCTCCCAGTTACAAGTAAGAACTTGTGATATTTGACTTTCTGTTTCCGAGTTATTTCTCTTAAGATAACGGCCTCCAGTTCCATACATGTTGCTACAGAAGATATGATTTCATTCTTTTTTTATAGCTGAGTTTTATTTCATTGTATATACATACTTATACCACATTTTCCTTATCCAATCATCTGTTAATGGACATTTAGGTGGATTCCATATCTTTGCTATTGTGAATATTGCCACAGTGAAAATACTAGCACAGGTATCTTTTTGATACCCAGTAGTGGGATTGCTGGATTGAATGGGATATCTTTCTCTGAGAAAGCTTCATACTGTTTTCCACAGAGGTTTTACAAACTTACATTCCCATCAACATTGTATAAGCATTTCTTTGCTTCTGCATCCTCGCCAACCTCTGTTGTTTTTTGAATTTTTAATAATAACCGTTTTGACTGGTGGGAGATGGTATCTCATTGCAGTTTTAATTTGCATTTGTCTGATGATTAATGATGTTGAGCATTTTTCCATATGCTTTTTGGCCATTTATATGTCTTCTTTTGAAAAATATCTGTTCTGTTGGTGTTCTTTTCTTTTTTTAAAAAAAAAAATGGGTTTATTTGGTGGTTGTGGTGGTGGTGGTGGTTGTTGAGTTGTCTGAGATTTTTGTAGATTCTGGATATTAATCCCTTGTCAGATGTATAGTTTGAAATATTTTCTCCCATTCTGCAGGTTGTCTGTTCACTGTGTTATTTCTTTTGCTGTGCAGAAGCTTTGTTAGTTTAATTACGTCCCATTTGTCTATTTTTGTTTTTGTTGTTTTTTGTTGTTTGTGCTTTTGAAGTCTTAATCATGAATTCTTTGCGCAGATCAATGTCCAGAAGAGTTTTCTCTAAGTTTTCTTCTAGCATTTTTATAGTTTCAGGTCTTATATTTAAGTCTTTAATCCATCTTGAGTTGATTTTTTAATCTTTTAAATAAAATTTAAAATTAGATAACAGTATTTTATATTTATGTACACGGTTACTATTTCCAAAACTCTCCATGTATAAATCCACATTTCCATCTGATATTACTTTCAGTCTGAATTTTTTTTACATTTCTTTTAAAACAAGTCTGCTTACCACCAATTCAGTCAACTTTTGCTAGTCTGAAAAAGTCTTTATTTCACCCTCATTTAAAAAATATATTTTCCCCAAGCTTATAATTCTAGACTGACAATTTGTTTTCTGTTAGCACTTAGTGGATGTCATTCCACTCAATTCTGGTTTGCACAGTTTCTGTTTGAAATCCACCCAGTAGTCCCATAAATAGTTGTTTTTGGATATACAGAAATTAACTTTCCTGGTCCTAAAGCTTAAAACATATGTATTTTGAGACAGAGTCTTACTTTTGTCGCCCAGGCTGGAGTGCAGTGGCATGATTTTGGCTCACCGCAACTGCTGTCTCCCGGGTTCAAACTATTCTCCTGCCTCAGCCTCCTGAGTAGCTGGGATTACAGGTGCCCACCACAACACCTCGCTAATTTTTGTACTTTTAATAGAGACAGGGTTTCACCATGTTGGCCAGGCTGGTGTCAAACTCCTGACCCAGGTGATCCACCTGCCTCAGCCTCCCAAAGTGTTGGGATTACAGGCGTGAGCCACCACACCAGGCCAACTTATATTTGTTTTATCTGAGTTCCTTCCTCAGGAAAGAATCCCTTAGGCCTCTCAAAAAGTATCAAATAATCAAAAAGTGTCAAATAACTGAAACTCAGCAGGTCACCACATCCAGACAATGAGATGCGGAAAGCATCATTCATCGTGATTGCTTCCTTGCCCCTCCCTAGTTCCTGTTTTCTTACACATTGTTGCATTTCTTCCCTGCTATATAAACCCCTAGTTTTAGCGGGTCAGGAAGATGGACTTGAGGCTGATTTTCCATGTCCTTTACTGCAGCACCTGATTAAAGCCTTCTCCCTTGACATTACTCATCGTCTCAGTCATTGGCTTTCTGTGTGGTAAGCATCAGGACCTAGCCTGAACCCCTGGTGTCTTGGTAACATGTTGAGAAATCTGTGGAATCTATTCTTATGTATTGTGTCTTATTTTGTTTGGCTATTTTTAAGATTATCATTGCTTTTCATTAATTTGATTATTATATGCCTTAATGCATCTGTCTTTGTGTTTTTCCTGATTGATTTATTAAACTTCCTGAAGCAGTGGCTTTATATATTTCAGTAATTTAGAAAAATTCAATAATTATTTCTTAAAATATTTTTCCTGTTTTGGCCGGGTGCAGTTTCCCCATCTTCCTTTCCTTCTGGAACTACAATTAACAAGTATATTAGACAACTTAGTATTGTTCCGCAGATTATTGTCTCTGATTATTTTCAGCTTTTTTTTTTCTCTGTGCATCAGGTCTTAAAGTTTCTATTTCTATGTCTTCAAGTTCATTAATACTTTTTTCAGCAATATCTAATGTCTTAACCCCATCCATAAATTTTCACTTCACAGATTTTTTTTCAATTTTATGTATTTCAGTTCATTCTCCTTTTTATAATTTTAGTATCTCTCCCACTATGTTCATAATTTCCTTTATATCCTTGAGCATATTTAAAGTAGATGTAGTAGTCTTTGCTTGCGGATTCCAATCATCTCCTGCCATTTCTGGATCTGTTTCTACTGAGTTTTTTTTTCTGATTATTGGTCACATGTTTTGCTTCTTTGAATATCTAGCAGTTTTTATTTGATATTAGACTTTTTTGATTTTACATTGTCAAGAGTCTAGATCTTGTGATTTTCATTTGAAGATTATTGGACTTTGTTTAGCATGACTTTAAGTTACTTGTAGAACAGCCTAATCTTCTTTGAGGTTTGTTTTTTATATTTGTTAGGGTTCATTTAACTAGCCTTTTAACTAGGGCAGGGGTTGGCAAACATTTTCTATAAAGGCAAGATAGTAAATACTTTAGGCCTTGTTGGTCCCACTGTTTCTGTTGCAACTACTTAATTCTGCCATTGTAGCTTGAAAACAGCAACACATAACAGATAACACATTAAAAAAATGAGTGTGGCTGTGTTCCTTTACAATTTTAGGAAAAACAGGTGAAAGGCCACATTGGACCTACAGCCTGTAGTCTGCCAACTCCTGACCTAAGGATAATTTAGCCCTACTATTATGGATTGACTGTTCTGAGGTTCCTACTAAATACATTTGTTGTTCAACATGATTTTTTAACTTTGCCTGCTCAAAAATCCATTATTCCCTGAGTTTTTGAGATAGCTGAGAATTTTTCAACTTAAGGTTTATCAGTTTTTCTTCTTCTAGACTTCTACATGTGCTCAAAGTCAGCAGAAGTGTGTCTCTGACAGACCCTTGTTTAAAAGCCTCATCTAAGAAAATCCTCTTTTTGATCAACTTAAAGGCAACGGACTTAGGATCTTCATCGCATCTGCAAAATGTCTTTACCTTTGCCATACAGTGTAGCCTAATCAGAGTGATATCATCATATTCATCTCCCTTCTTTCCGGGTACAAGATAAAAATTCCTTGCCCCAGCTGTAGAATCAGCCATATTTTCAAAGACCTTGGGCTTCTTCTAGTGGGGAATTATATTTAGAATCCAAGATATGAGTGCCAAACATACTGGTCATTGCTGAGGTGTCAGTGTTTCCAGGACACAACATGGGAGGAGAAGGTGGTAAGATCTGAAGCTTGGGTTATTGTAAAACTTGGCAGGCCAGGCAGAGTCACAAAGGGAAGGAGTCTCAGAATACAGGCAACATCATATTCTAGGCATTTTGATACCAACATAGAACGACAAAGTATAACAAAGATATGTATTTTCCATTTCACCATTTTTATTCAATTGAGAAGACAGCTTTGGATGTATGCTTTCATACTGTCTGAATCTGAAAAAAATACAAACTCAAAAACAACTAATTTCAGAGAAAAAAATACTTGACAGGAGAATGACTTTTTTTTTTTTTTTTTTTTTTTTTTGAGACGGAGTCTCACTCTGTCGCCCAGGCTGGAGTGCAGTGGCGCGATCTCGGCTCACTGCAAGCTCCGCCTCCCGGGTTCACGCCATTCTCCTGTCTCAGCCTCCCGAGTAGCTGGGACTAGAGGTGCCCGCCACCACGCCCGGCTAATATTTTGTATTTTTTAGTAGAGACGGGGTTTCATGAGAATGACTTTTATGTAGGCAGAATAAATCTTTTACATGAATCAAAACTTTATATTTGGGATATTTTCTGTCTCTTACATTCTTATATTAAGAAATCACATATTTCATTAAAAGGAGACACAAAATCTTTAAGATTGGAGAAGGCAAAATTGCAGAAAACTAGGAGAATAAAGTCTAGAACATACAACGAAGAGTCAACTATGGTAGCAAAACTTCTCTCACCATTACTTTGAAGTTACTGCCACCAATCAATGTCAGCTATAAATGGTAATAGGAAGTTTCCAAATGTAGATAAAGGAACTAGTAGAAGAAATGGAAAGATTATTGCTTAAGGACTCAATCATAGTTTTGAGTCTGTTTTTCCACTTACATTTTTTTAGTGACTTTTGGTAAGTGATTTAGCCTCTTTGAATCACAACATTATTACAAGGAACATACACACTTGATATAAGCATTAAAATTGATTGTGGGCCAAACACGGTGGCTCACACCTGTAATCCCAGCACTTTGGGAGGCCAAGGTGGGCAGATTACCTGAGGTCAGGAGCTCGAGAACAGCCTGGCCAACATGGCAAAACCTGTCCCTAGTAAAAATACAAAAATTAGCTGAGCGTGGTGGTGGATGCCTGTAATTCCAGCTACTCGGGAGGCTGAGGCAGGAGAATTGCTTTAACCCGGGAGGCGGAGGTTACAATGAGTTGAGATCACGCCACTGCACTCCAGCCTGGGTGACAAGAGTGAAACTTAGTCTCAAAAAATAAAGTAAAATTTTTTTAAAAAGGTGATTGTGAATCTTAATAGTCTGCAAACAGAGGTGGTCAGTGAATGATGTTACTGTTGATTTCAGATATACCTACTTAGGAAATGTTATGTTGTAGCTTTAATTTTTAAAATAGTAGAAAAGTGATTGACATGATTTGAGACAAATATGAAATCTGTAGGTATGTCACTGATACAGTCAATTCATTGTCAATTCCAGTCAAGGCTTCTAATACATAGACAAAACTGGTATTTGTGCACTAATGTCAAGAAGTGTGACTGAATTGGTGAATGAACAGCTAATCCTACAGCAAGCACTAATATGTTAAATACTGGAAAAATGTTTCCAAAAACAGCAGATGTTCTCAGATCAAATACTATTTCAATGAAAAATTGTGGGAAATAGTCAAAACTAAGGCACAAAAAGAAGTTAATGAATTTGCATTATTATTTATGAAAGAATTGAAAAGTTATGTGAAAATATGATAATGTCAAGTGGTGAATGGCCTGTTTATTTGGACTTAACAAATGTTAATATAAAAAAATAAAGGAGTTACTACAAAGAAGGAATAGCTGTGAACGTCAGAATGGTTGCCACACCATTTCTCACCCTAAAGTAATCTCACATACAGATCTCAGATACAAAGAAGCAATTTTGCAAAAAGTAAAATTTGTTTGTTCCAATGCTAATTAAGGCACCATACTGTTAAGAAAATGATTATGATTTTGATTGAGGTCTTGCTACTACTTCATGTCACTTTCATCAATATAAAAATACAATTTCACCCAGTATTATAGCAAGCTAATTAAAACATTTAATTTTCAGTCAAAATTTGTTTAAACATGATGGCTCTAAAAGTACAATAATATTCAAGTCTTCCTGAAATACAGATGTTGTTGTAAAATGCCTTGCCAACTGGATATCAATTGTACTGACCTAGCCAATAAGCACATTACTTGTGACAGCATATAGGAAAATTGGATGAGTTATGGCATACGTTTAAAAACAGTATTTTCAAAGTTTCCTAATTCCTGCCTTAATAATATTATCAATGAATTACATTAGGAGATAACTGTGAGACTTGTTTGGAGGGAGGCCTGAAGATTTACCCAGGGAAAAAATGGTTCACAAGGACAGCTCAGGCACAGTTAAATTTGCAATGACTTACCCCAAAAATATTTATAGATCTTCTAAAATGTTCAATCCCCAGTTCAAAAAATACATTGGGCACATTTATAGGATAAATTGAGGTATCTTACAAAGGGTGTATGATGCAATGGGGGAGATAGATACTTTTTATCTAAATGAATATTCATTTCTCTGAGATTTTTAAAGCTCTGAACTAAAATTTAGCTAGTTTCTCCAAAATTTAGCTTCGGTTTGAAGTAATGAGAAATGAAATCAGGCTGACTCATCTTTCATCATGCTTCTCCATCTGTCCCTTTCCTTCAGACCCAACTGTCTATAGTTTGGGCTCATACCTGGATGCCTGCAATCCTGAGAGATAAAATTCCCAGGAGTTCTTAGCACACAGTTTTTGAAGACAAAGACACAGATGAGTCATTTAAGGTGGAAGTATGTGAGGAGAGAAGCCGACCCAGAAATAAGCCTCAAAGACGGCCAACACTTCCGTTAGAGAAGATGATTTTAGCGAAGGAAGCTATGAAGAAGCAGCTTTAAAGGCAGGTGGAAAGAGGAAATACTTGGAAAATTGACTGAAACATCAAAAAAAAAAAATTGAGAAATATTCACAGGGTTTGATTCCATGAAAATTTTTTGTTACATTTGCAAGAACAGTTTTGGTAAGGTGTTCGAGACAGACACCAAACGGTAATGTTTGAAAAGTGAAACGCTGGTGAAAAATGAAGAATGTGTAAGTGTACAACTCTTTTCAGGGACTATGATGGAAGGAGAGGCCCAAGGGAGTGGACGTAAGATGTCAAAGATATTAAAGCGTGTTTAAATGATCGGGGAAAGTTAAAGTGCAGAGGAGGATGAAGGTTTCATGTTAGGGAGAAGATAACACACAGAGCACACCTGAGAAGGCAGGATCAGGTGGGATCTTAAGCATGCATGAAAGGATTTCCTTTTGACAGGAGGCACATGACATCAATTAAAACAGCAAGAGAGAAAGAGGCAGATGCAGGTGAGTATGTAGATTTAAGAAAGGTTTTCCAGTTAAAAAATCTCCTTGCTCTCTCAATACCCTTTAATTAGTTACTTCAGTCTTCAGTCACTCAAAGACTCCAAATATGGGTTAATTTTTAAAAAATCATACATTGCATTTTCATGTAAATATACTAATCTAGCTGGAAAAAAGTACCCACTGTAATTCTCTTCTTCCCATTTATTTTCCATGCCACCTCCTAGCTGAATTTAATCATTCTAAAGGCGTAAGTCAAACACTTCTCTATCAATGGTCTCCTTTGCCTGTACAGAAATCTTTGCAAAGCACTTACTGTGTTGAGAAGTGATTATATGCTATAGGTTATTGTGAGCAGAATTACACTGTTTTGTTTTGTTTTTGTTTTTGTTTTTGAGACAGAGTCTTGCTCTAGTGCTCAGGCCGGAGTGCAGTGGCACAATCTCAGCTCACTGCAGCCTCTGCCTCCTGGGTTCCAGCGATTCTCCTGCCTCAGCCTCCCGGGTCACTGGAATTACAGGCATGCACCACCACACCTGGCTCATTTTTGTATTTTTAATAGAGACAGTGTTTCACCATGTTGCCCAGGCTGGTCTCGAGCTCCTGACCTCAGGTGATCTGCCCGCTTCTGCCTCCCAAATTGTTGGGATTACAGGCGTGAGCCACCATGCCCAGCCCACTATTTGTTTTAGAGCATGGCTAGGTAGGAAGGGGGAAAGACTAGCTCTTTGAAGAGCTAGTGATCACCTGGAATCCATTGCAGTGTTCCAGACAGGGGGAAAAACCTGCTTCAACTAAGGAAAAGAGAATAGTAGAAGTGACTGGACTTTAGATGCATTCAGAAATTGTATTCAACATGGTGATATTTGTTAAGAATTGATTGCGGGTCATGTGAGAGAAAGAGTAAAGATTACACACCAGGGGCCTGTCAGGGAGTGGGGGACTAGGGGAGGGATAGCATTAGGAGAAATACCTAATGTAGATGATGGGTTGATGGGTGAAGCAAACCACCATAGCATATGTATACCTGTGTAACAAACCTGCACATTCTGCACACGTATCCCAGAACTTAAAGTATAATAAATACAAACAAACAAAGAAACAAACAAAAGATCATGCACAGGTTTCTGATTTGCAGTTTGGAAAGCTGGTGTTACCCATCAATATGTACTGTGTGAAGAAGAGTTAGGAAAGATAATTCGGTTTGGGCCATGGCATCTTGTGGTTCCTGTGATGTATGCCCAGGAAGGGCCTAGCAATAGAATTGAGAAATCCAGGGGGGGGACAGATTGGGAATTATCACCATCTACTGTTTAATTAATTCACATCTGTGGATTTGAATATGTTCACCCAAAAACAGAATGTAAAGTGAGTAGAGAGCTGAGAAGGAGTTAACGACATAGAAGAATAAAAAAGATCCCTGGAAGGAAAATATGAATAAACACTCAGACATGGGAGGAGAATGAGGAATAATGTCGGAAAAATCATGAGATATAATAAAAGGATAGCCTAATTTGGAGTTAGACTATATGTCAGTTATCATTTTATTGCCTCTCAGATCCAAATATACCTTTTAATATATGCTCTGTGATAAACAACATAATTCCTTTAATTGTGTCTCCTTTCAAGTGAGCGTGATGTTTTGCTTTTCAGTAAAGTGCACTGGAGAAACATTGCAAAAACGAAAGAGCTCTCCCGTCCTCTTTCTACAGGAGCTAGAGGTGGGCTATGTCCACCTGAAGGCATCCAGAGAAGCTTACCCAACCACAGGCCCCAACTGTGGTCCCTAGGAGACTTTGCAGCTTCAGCCTAGAGGTAACCTCTCTGTTGCCCCCTCTACCTGGAAACCAAAGTCCTATTCTCTAAGCATCTCCCAGCATCACCAGCTCCAGAACTCCCAGAGCACACTTTGCCACCAGTTGCCGGTCAGCTACCTGCTCCCTCCTGTACTCTGAGGAGTGGATGTATTTGTTTTCTATTCCAACTCTAACAAACTACCACAAACTTAGTGGTCTGAAACACAAATTTACTATCCTAAATTTCTGTAAGTTGAAATCCAACATGTCTCACCGGACTGAAATCAAGATGGCAACATGGCTGATTTCCCTGTCTGGAATCTGTAGGTAGAATCGCTTTTCTTGCCTTTTCTAGCTTCTGGAACCTTCCCACATTCCTTGGGTCATGGCTCCTTTCTCTTCAAAAGCAGCAAAGTTGCATCTCTCTGACAATTCTCCTATAGTCATAGCTCTCTCTCTAGCTATAGGTGAGAAAGTGGCACTACTTAAGAACCTGTTATTATAATGGATCCATCCAGAAAAATCCAGATAATCTCTCCATCTCATGGTCCTTAATTTCATCATATCTGCAAGTGCTTTTTGCCATGTATGGTAACAAATTCACAGGTTATAGAAATCAGGATGTGGACATCTTCAGGGGGCCTTTATTCTTCCTACCACAGTGGGTAATTGCTCACCCAGTAACTCCAGACTAGCTCTGGCTAAAGAAGCAAACTTCTTTGCTATCTTGTGTAATAAACTATATTTCTTCCAGAGAAATCTGAACTTCTTCCAAATTGTCCTTTTGTTGCTTTTGTTTGTGGTGGTGGTGTTTTTATTTTGTTGTTGTTTTTGTTGTTGTTTTGAGATGGAGTCTCACTCTGTCACCCAGGCTGGAGTGCAATGGCACAATTTCGGCTCACGGCAACCTTCGCCTCCCGGGTTCGAGCAATTCTCCTGCCTCAGCCTTCCAAGTAGCTGGGATTACAGGCATGCACCACCATGCCCGGCTAATTTTTATATTTTTAGTAGAGACGGCATTTCACCATGTTGGTCAGACTAGTCTCAAACTCCTGACTTTGTGATCCACCCATCTAGGCCTCACAAAGTGCTGGGATTATAGACATAAGCCACTGCGCCCAGCCCCAAATTGTCCTTTTTAAGGCACTTTCTCTCGGGATACCATAGAGTTTCCTTTAATTTTTTTATTTTACTCTTTTATCATAGTCAGTAGTTCTTTGTATCAAATTCCTCCTGTTTAACCTACTGTGTGGTTTCTGTCTCCTGATTGGACTTGGACTTGTGATAGCTTATCTGCATGCATTTTCCAAAAGTAATCTATGAAAGGAAAACATGTACTAAAACTATAACATGAGAGATGGGAGAAGAATCAAGGGTTTTGTTTGGTTTGTTTTGGCTTGGTGAAAAATTAGCAATTGAGTAAACTGAAGGAAAGAATCATTACAGAAGTAGGATGAAGGTACTAGAAAAAGAAATACTGTCTTCAAGATAGGAGAGGCTAGAATCTATTCTAGAGATTGAAAATGCTGGTTATCAATCATGAGAGGCTTCTTTACAATTCTAATTTCCAAGGCCTATGCTCAGAGATTCTAATTAAGTTTTTCTCCGGTAAAGCTCAAACATCAGTTTCTTTGATGGCTAGCAGTAGGGAGGCAAGAATAGGGGTAGGCAGATGTGTAGACATAGGAAGTTAACATGTTAATAAGATCCCCTATGATTAACGCAATTTTGTTTCTGAGAAATTTAAAGCAGTATTATATGTTAACAATGAGGCATGGATTGTGAAACGGCTTTGGACATTTAATGACACCCAGTATGACACATGTGTACAACTCATTGTATAATAATGTGGGTTCAAAGAATCATAAAACATGTTTTCTGGCCTCTTGAGAAACTTGCTCTTTAGTTGGGAGACTGGAAAAAATAATAAAAGTATGAATAATACCATGGGTAATACATTTAAGTTTCTAGGAAATTGTAAAGGCAATGAAAACAATTGGAGTTTAAAAGAAATTGGTTTGAGTGATGAACAAAGATTTCAAGATATGGAATTTAATGTAATCTGAAAAAATGTGTCACAAAAAATGATACAAATATTCTTAATGATGAAATGGACATGCACCTCATTTAAGAGTTTCGGAAGAGATTTGCCTAGCTAAAGTAGAAGGCTTTAAGGAGACAAATGAGAGAGTTTGAATATATGGTTTAGGTCAGATTTAGTTTTTATAGAAGAGCCAAATGAAATATATTAAGGGAGAATGTCGGTACCACAGTAAGGAATTTGGGCTTTATTCTGTGGCTGATAAAAAAGCCACTTAAGTGTATATATTTGGCATCCTCTTACCTGCCTTCTGCAACTCTAGTCAGTGCACTGAAAATTGCCCAGGCAGCCTCACTATGGGGTCCTAGTGACAGGAAGCATGGTTATGAGTACATAATTAAGCAGAACATGTTCCTGAATACAAAATGTACACTCATGATCTCATAGGTCAAAATTCAATGGAAACACTTTAGTATAATTAAAGCTTATAGTAATATGGAGAGTGTTTTGGAATATCACATAACTTTCTCACCTTTCTTGTTATAGTGTAGGTTTTGTTATTTGGTTTTGTGTGTGATTTTATATTCTTCCTTCAGGTATTTCACAAATAATATATCCATGAAGCTTATGCTAACACCACCAAAAAGTAAAATGGGTACAACCACAGCAGTGAGGTTAGTCCAGCTTTTTCCAGACTTTCAGGAAATCATAGATTTTTACCCCAGTCTTTTAAGAGAGGACTCTTGATTTTCCTATTAAGAACAAATCTTGGTGGGTTACCCAAAGAATCAACCTTGAAATAGGAGAAAAAAAACACAGGGTATTTATGTTAAAGAGAAAAGTCCAACCCACATGCTATGAACTGAATGCTTGTGTCCAGTCAAAATGTGTATGTGGAAACTCTAATCCTAATGTGATGCTAGTGTTTGGAAATGAGTCCTTTGGGAGGTAATTAGGTGATGAGGGTAGAACCCTTATGATGAGATTAGTGCCTTCATACAAACAGACACGAGAGAGCTTGTTTCCTCTTTTTCTGCTCTCTGCCACCTGAGGACACAGCAAGAAGAAGGCCATCTACAAAACAGGAAGAGGATTGTATTAGGGTTTTCTAGAGGGACAGAACTAATGGAATAGATACATATATATGCATACATATAAAGGGGAGTTTATTAAGTATTAACTCACATGATCACACGGTCCCACAATGGGCCATCTGCAAGCTGAGGAGCAAGGAGAGCCAGTGTGAGTCCCAAAACTGAAGAACTTGGAGCCGGATGTTCCAGGACAGGAAGCATCCAGCATGGGAGAAAGATGTAGGCTGGCAGGCTAGGCCAGTCCCTCTCTTCACATTTTTCTGCCTGCTTATATTCTAACCGTACTGGCAGCTGATTAGATTGTGCCCACCCAGATTAAGTGTAGGTCTGCCTTTCCCAGTCCACTGACTCAAATGTTAATATCCTCTGGCAATACCCTCACAGACATATCCAGGATCAGTACTTTGTATCCTTCAATCCAATCAAGTTGACACTCAGTATAAACCATGACAAGGCCCCTCACCATAATCACCGTATTCCTTGATCTTGGACTGCAGAACTGTGAGAAATAAATTTCCATTTTTTAAGTTACCCAGTCTATGGTAATTTGTTAGAGCAGCCTGAACTAAGACATCTCAGAAAAAAACAAACAGACAAAACAACTCTTCTAGGTCTGGGGTAGGGAGATAGAGTGGAGAGGAAGGACAAGGAGATTTGAAGTG
Organism: Homo sapiens; assembly: GCF_000001405.40. Classification (NCBI taxonomy): domain Eukaryota; kingdom Metazoa; phylum Chordata; class Mammalia; order Primates; family Hominidae; genus Homo; species Homo sapiens. The sequence continues at coordinate 61,003,305 of NC_000018.10, forward strand.
GAAGGATCATGACTACAACCAAGGATTAATTCCTAATTGGAATAGAATGAAAATTGCCAGACAAGTTTGAGTGAATCTAAGGACATCAGCCTGATGTCCCTTTTTCTCTGTCATAAACTGGGAGGAGTGAAAGCTTGCCAGAGGAGACCTAAATTCCCAGCATTACATCCAACTGTTGTGGAAAGGGAAGAGGAGAAATGGTTGACTTGGGGTCTGGATGAGTGAACCTGGAACCAGCTTCACCTCTCTGGCTCTGTGTAAAAGCAGTCAACCAAACACCAGGGTGTGCTTACCCCTGAGAGAACACGTATGTTGTCCAAGGTTAGCAATATTTGAAGGTTTATTTTAAGTGAAATTAATTTCCAGATATTCAACTTCCAGATGTACTCCTTCCAAAATTTGATTTGCCTGAGAACTCACTCCCTCTCTTTAGACAATAAGTCCTTCCATTTTACAAAATAAGAACATATTGTTTGGTGCGTTGCCCTGGATGTAAAAAGTATGGGACAAAAATAAAGAGACAGTTGTGATTCTTGGTCTATCTGTTGAGAGAGTGAATATCTCTACCTAACTGGATTTAAATATTTATCTTGTAAACCAGATGATTATCTAGTCCTTAGGTTTCGGTAATAATTCAATTATGGTCTATGGTGCTGTCAACTACTAAATCATTAAAAATACTTTTGGTTATAGATCATTGTGTTAAATTTGGTGTATAATCAAGGAAGACAAAACAATTGAATGACATTGTTATAAAACAACTGCCATTCTCATAAACTTATGTATGTGGACAAGATTTTTGGGCATTTATATCTGTAAACATTTTTAAATGAATAAATGTGATCATTAGCTTTTTTTCATTCAGTAGTATGTAATATTCAACTATGAATTCTTGAAATAATTGGAAAAAATTCCTCATCTCTCTCATAATGGGATGGATTTTCAATAAAGTTTTACCTTTTTATTTAATGAATATGCATCAAATTTTAAAATATATTTGAATTATTTGGATTAACTGAATACTAATAATAGAACTGATAAACATAAAGAAATAATTTTTCAAATTTTAAACATTTTTAACATCAAAATTTTTAAGCATATTTACAACATGCTTACAGAAAAAATAATCTTTATAGAAAAGCATGGTAGAGAAAATCAGTTAGATTTTACATACAAGTATGCTTTACATAAAAACAACACACGACCTCAATATCATAAAGCAGTAAGGATCTATTTGCTCATCTGGAGCAGCTAGAGTTTGGCTTGGTGCTTCTGCTTATGTTGGCTGGTCTTGCTCATCCATCTGTGATGCCTGGATGTTGACTGATCTAGGCTCAGACAGCTGGGGACACTCAGCTCTGCTTCAGGTGTCTTTTATTCTTTAAGAGACTAACTCTGGCAGAAGCACAATAGAGAGGGCAAACCCAATCATTCAAGAGCTTCCTAAGCCTCTGCTCATCTCACATTTTCCAACGTCACCTTGGCCAAAGCAAGTCACAAATTAATCTCAGAGACAAAATGGGAAGGTAGTACAAAGTTACATGGCAATGGATGGGGAAAGCCTTAGGGCCACTTTTGTACTCTACCACAGGGTGGTAACTAAAATACTTTAATGCACTAAAATATATAAGAACAAATTCTATAGGAAAAATAAAGGGAAAACATGAACTCAGGAGAAAAGGAACAAAAATAGAATTTATGACTTTCAGTGAAGGGCTTGTTCAATGTTTCTAATATGGATGACAGTGGGTATCAAATTATTATGAATTTAAATTGCATTGGATATATTTTAAAAAGTGATAGAGCAGTTCTATTTTAAAATGGCAATATTTACAACATGTTAAAATCATATCCTTTGCAACTATTAAAACTTATGAGGAAACTAAATTAAAAATGTGTGAGTAGTGACTAGATCTCCAAAATTATTTCAGGAGATATGTAAGCAAAATAATTTGAATGCCACTGATACTGAATTTTCAGAACTCAGAGAAAGGAGGGAATTATGGAATTTCTAAAAAACTTGTGAATTAGAAGAAGTCTGGTTCAGGTCAAAGCTCATCACATTTGGGAACCTCAAAACAAAGGGCAATGCTGTCAGCAAACCCAATATGGGACTTTTGGTAGGGCACAGCCCAGTTATTCGTGACAACTTGGATATAAGACTTCTGTGTCCTGTGGATAATTCCTACATTAAGTAAAAACATTCTAGGCCTGGAGGGGCACGGTGGCTCATGCCTGTAATCCCAGCACTTTGGGAGGCCGAGGCAGGCGGATCACAAGGTCAAGAGATTGAGACCATCCTGGCCAGCATGGTGAAACCACATCTCTACTAAAAATACAAAAATTAGCTGGGCGTGGTGGCATGTGCCTGTAGTCCCAGCTACTCGGGAGGCTGAGACAGGAGAATCACTTGAACCTGGCAGGCAGAGGTTGCAATGAACCGAGATCGTGCCCCTGCACTCCAGCCTGGCAACAGAGCGAAACTCCATCTCAAAAAAAAAAAAAAAAAAAAAAAAAATTCTAGGCCTGTGGGACAGCTAGAAATCCAACACCAGAAATTCCTGAATTAGACCATAGATCTGAGGAGATAATTCATAGGTGATTATAGAATTACAGATTGAGATAAAGAGTATATGACACAACCTCACAGATTGGGAGCAGAGAAAAGTCAAATATAAGAAAGTCTTATCATGAAGTCATGTCCTCCCAAGATTAGGAATTATCAGAAGTATCATTTGCCAAATCTTAAGCCAAATTTCAGATCATTTCACTTCACTCATAACAGGGCAGGACACGGAGTGACAAAACAAGCCAGGCCATAGTAGGAATTATCAGAAGTATCATTTGCCAAATCTTAAGCCAAATTTCAGATCATTTCACTTCACTCATAACAGGGCAGGACACGGAGTGACAAAACAAGCCAGGCCATAGTAGGAATTATCAGAAGTATCATTTGCCAAATCTTAAGCCAAATTTCAGATCATTTCACTTCACTCATAACAGGGCAGGACACGGAGTGACAAAACAAGCCAGGCCATAGTAGACACAATGAGGACTGAGGCTAATGGCCATAAACCAGCAGGAATAGCAACCAGATGTTAGTGCTAGAACCAGATACACAGCCACCCATGAGGTTTTTCTAGATTCCATCTGTGTTATTTTGTCTCAAGAAAATCAAAATTAAATAATATAGGGATATCAAATTAATATATCTTAGGATAATATATATCTTGGGATAATAGTCATATATCTGCATGAGAAATTTCTTAATTTATTATCATCTATAATGTCTAGATCATGGAATTCTTTCATCTACTCATATTTTGAATGCCCAGTGTCTAGCTTTGATGGAAAAACTAAATTATGCAAGTATCAAGATTTAGTACCACCTGAAGCAAACAAATTAACTAAATGATTTCTCAATTTTCCTTCCAAGTCTTATGATTTAATGAGGTTATGCAAAAGATGACTAAATACAAAATGTGTGGAAATGTTGTCAACGTTAAGTGTTTTCCTTTAGAGGCGTAGGTGGCTTCAAGAGCCTTGATAGCAAGGCAAGTGTGACCTTTTCTGTTGAAAGACTGAAACTCAGTACATGCATTCATGAGGCATTTACCAAAATCCTTTAGAGCAATTGCTGAGGCACTTTTGTTGTGAGGTCAGAAAAACAGGATAGAAAACAGTTTGAAGTATTTTCTGGAACTGACTTGAAGAAAAACCCTAGGAATGGCTGTGCCAGGATAAATGAGTAATGGTCTGTGCCAGTCACAGTCTACTAAGGAGACAGAAATCACAGCAGCTCTTTTAACAGAGAGAATCTAATATGCAGAAGTAAGTAGGTATAAATAATTGTTAACTATATTAACTAGAAAGGTAAAACGAAGATGAAAATGCCAAGACATGTTGGTGGGAGCGCCTGCAGGAGCAGCTGCCACATCTAAGGCTGAGCAATTATTTCTGCTCCCTGCCTCCAAGGAGTTGGAGGTGAGACCTTTCAGGAGAGGGCACTGGCCAACTGGGGATGGTGTCCCGGAGGCTGGTTCAGCCAGTGTGATACACATTCCAAACGGGAGTTATTGCTGCTTCTTCAAGTAACTGCTCCTGTCAAGGTGAAGTTGTAAGACTGTAGTAACATAACACTGATAGGAGCAGGAAATAAACAGGAAAGAACTCAGTTTGCGGGCTCCTCCAGCTTCATGGTCTCCCTCTTGCACCTTTCACTGGCGAAGTCTTGTAAAGCAGAAATGTAGTAGGCAGAGTCTCAACCTCAGCAATGCCAAGTCAAGCATAGATGGATGAGTTCAAAGCAAAAAATCAATAGTGTAGGCCAGGCATGGTGGCTCATGCCTATAATCCCATCACTTTGGGAGGCTGAGGCGGGCAGATCACGAGGTCAGGAGTTAGAGACCAGCCTGGCCAACATGGAGAAAGCCCGTCTCTACTAAAAATAACAGAAAGTAGCCGGGTGTGGTGGTGGGCGCCTGTAATCCCAGCTAGTCAGCTACTCGGGAGGCTGAGGCAGGAGAATCGCTTGAACCCCAGAGGCAGGGGTTGCAGTGAGCCGAGACCACGCCACTGCACTCCAGCCTGGGCAACAGAGCGAGACTCCATCTCAAAAAAAAAAAAAAAAATTAAGAAGAAGAAAGAAAAAAAAAAGAAAGAAAGAAGGAAGGAAGGACAGAAGGAAGGAAGGAAGGACAGAAGAAAGGAAGGAAGGAAGGGGAAAAATAAAAAGAAAAGAAATGAAGGAAGGAAAGAAAATAGTGTAATAATTGGAATAAGGCAAAAAAAATGTAAGGGAGGACAGCAATTTGCAAATTTATAGAAGGCAAAGCAATGGAAGTATGCATCCAAATGAGAAATAAAAAAATATCAGAATGTGATTGAAATTGTAATTCTCTAACAGTTACATGAAAGTATCTTTGTAAGGAACACGTAACTGTGGCCTATAAAAAGTACAAGCTGTTGGTGATCAAATATACTCTCTTTATATTTAATCAGAAAAATATATTGATGCTGAGTGGTGAAATTTTAGAAGATATGAATTCAAAATGTACTTGGGACTCACACTCACTCTTTTGGAAGGAGATGTAAGGGGAATGCTGAATACCCACTTAGCCCTGGCTCTCTGAGCCTGCCTAGCCCAGGAGATATTTGTCTGTTGCTGAACAGCAGTAGGAAACTGAGACTCATTCTGATTGTTCAGGTAAGGCCTTATGAACAAAACTAGCAACAGTGAGAGTTTCAGAAGTTGACAGTCCAGCCCCAAAACTTAATGGAAGTCGTACACATGACTCTGGGAGAGAGCTGTGTTATGACCACATCTGTGATTGCTCCCTTTAGAAGTAACCCGTTATCCATTTAGAAACCATGAGAAGGAGCATACACTGGATTTTGTGCTATGTCTGTTTTCTTTTGCCACCCAGCTGATGACTCTCTTTCACTTTTCTCTATTGTTCACACCACAACCACATGCCAAATAAGATTATAATCAAGAGGAAAACTCAATAATGAATAAGAAAGTGTATTCTAAGAAGATTCGTAGACATTCTTTCTAGACTTACGAAGACATCAAAAGTTAAAGATTTAAGAATCTTTCTCAGAATTATAGACATGTGACAAAATTATGGGATTCAAATTCACTGGCCCTTAATCCATAGTAATTTTCACTACTTAATGTCACTCTCCCTAATACCAATATAAACAATTGTAACAGTACCATAAGCATGATGCATATCAATTACAATTGTTTTTTTAAATAAGATGTCAGCTAAATGGATGTTACCATGACATGGGCCTTTCTATTTCCATTTAGCCCCATACCCGTGGTTCAAAGAAAGCCGGCTAAAGGTAACCGGCTAACAGGCTACATCTTCTGTTGCCATCCCCAGAATCACTCTGATTCAGTTAATAAAAATTGACTTAAAGAATATATATTATCAAGTGCAGTTTTAGGGTACAGAGGGAGTAGGAGAACTTTTAATTGATTTTAAAAACTCAAGGTTCTAGAGTGCTGGGCATATGGCAGTTGCTCAGTTAATTAGATTACAAGGACATAGACCCTATTACCAAGGAATCCACACACTAATTGAGTCAACATCACGTTGGATAAAGGTGGTCTGTAAAATTTCAATCTGTTAAGAGGTACAAAATAATGACCTAAAATGGAGGAGGAGCACACAAGAGATTTCTGTGTCATCCTTACACAGGAACCAACTTATCTTTTTTTTTCAATTGTAATATACAAAATCATTCATACTTACTTGTATAATTAGACACCATAAAACACCTCCCCAAATTATTAGGAACATGTTTATTTAGTCTGATGACAGCTAATGGGACTCCCAAGACAAGCAGCCGACTTTCACATAGACTGAGTTTCACACACAAATCCTGGAATTAATCTGATGGGGGCACCCACTTAAAATAGAGATGGCCTCCATTCGCATTCCCTTCCCCAAAGTATTTAGTGGAACAAAATAAACTGCAGCCAGGTCGGTGCTTTTTCATGAGAGAAGAATCAATATAGGTTTCTAAGGCCCTGGCAAAATGCAGTGACATGATAGGTTATAAGAGAAAACAGGCTCAGACAAAGAAAGGAAGAAAGAAAATGGGAGCAAGTGACCAGTCACAGAAACCCATTTTATCTTACGTAGTATTGGGATAGATAGATAGATAGATAGATAGATAGATAGATAGATAGATAGATAGATAGATAGTATTGTTATAAAAATTAATCATTATATATTAGGTAAATATACCACATCAAATAGATATTCTCAGTATATAATAAAAATTGCAATTGTCTTTATTGCTTTTAGCACTCTCTCTTATATTTATTGCTTTTAGCTCTTTCTCTAGTAGGTCAGTGTTTCCCTGAAAATGCACAGCAGCCTGAAAAAAGAAAATTTTGCATTTTAAAATACCAGAGTGACACTGGGATTAAAGCTAGGCCCATTTATGCCGGCATATGAGATCTGAGCCTCTGTTCTCCAAGAATCAGAACACCTGAGTTTTATCAGAGTCAAAGAGACATCAACGAATTCTGAAGAGGAGTAGCAATTCAACAATAATTTAAGATTTGATGGCAAGTCAACCTACACAGGTTCTCTATCACATAAAAATTCCATGACTGTCTCTAACAAGAGGCCTTGACACTGCTGCTAATCTAGGGATATTCACAAATACACTGGGTTGAATCCTTTACAATCACTGTCCTGATTCCTGCTTTCAATGAGCTCTTAAATAATTTGTTTATCACTTGAGCCATTTGGTGATAAATGGAGTTCATTCAGTGTGTCCTCTAATTAATTAGTTTGCTTTCTGTGCTATTAATGGAAGCAGAAGTATATCCATTAGCCATTTGGGAGTTCGCCTGCATGCAGCCTTTGAAAAAGGCATGCTTCATATCTGTGGAAGGTGCTCGCTCCTCGCAAAGCTGTTTGGGCTTCAACAGGAAGAGAAAGGTCTTTCCAGGCAATCAGATTTTCCTTTAGTCCAAAAGGGAAAATAAATATCCCCCCGGATTGTGCTTTTCTTAAAGTGCCTATAGTTTCATTGCAATTTCCATCCAAGGCAACATGCATTTTGTCAGGCTGCGGTTCAGCCATTAGGTTGCTAATTAAGTTAACAAGTGCTGTGTGCAGCTTAATTTGGCAACAAGCTATCTTGTAGAGTGTTCAATAAGAAAAACAGCATTTCTGTAATGATTCTGTTTTTAAGCTTGGAATTAAGCTAAAAACCACAATGGTCCTCATGATGGGATGTCTGATGCATGCATTCAAAATGCAGAAAGTGAGGATATACTATTTTGCACATTGGAAACTCACACCTTTTATTTACAGATTTACTTCACTGTTAGCTGAAATAGGGCTAATTACCTGTGTACATTTTAAATTCATCACAATTCAAATGAAATGTGTTTCTCTGTCTTCTTGCAGCTGTCATTTTGCCCAACTGCAAATTGACTTTTAGTAATGAATTTCCATTGCAGTTGGCTAATTGTGGGTGTGATTTATCCTCTTGTCCTCCGTTGATCTCTCTTCCAGATTCTAGAGGCTAAAAAGGAAATGCATTGGTTTATCTATTCAATAAATATTTATTGAACATCTACTATGTGGCAGACTCTGCATTAGGCTCTAGGGAGTCATAAAAAAATGTACATTGAGTAGCTCTTAATGGAGTTTCCAAAAGAATAATTGTGTTTTTATTCCATCAAAAAAAAACATAGTGTGGGGAGGAATATACCTGGACTAAGACCCTGGAGACTGATGCTTAGGTGTATGATGTATAAATATACTTAAATCTTACCACAGAAAGAAAATTAAATATTCAAGCTGTCTAATTTATCTGGGCCTCAATCACTCATTTGTAAAATGGAAAGCGTGGCCTATTTGTTAAAATCCCTTTCAGCAGATTTCTTGAAAAATCCAAATTGCATCATGATCGACCTTCAACCAAATGCTATTTCCTCAACCTGGAGTTTCTTTCTCTCCCTTCCTCATTTCTACACGTTAAAAGACCACTCAATAGGGTGTGGAGTCTAGTTAATTGTATTGTACCAATGTCCATTCCCTGGTACCACTGGGGGAAGCTAGATGATGAGTACAGGGGACCTCTCCATGCTATTTTTGCAACTTCTTGTGAATCTATTATTTTAAAATAAAAAGCTTTCTTAAAATGACCAAAATTCACACCTACCTCAAAAATGAAATCAAAACTGCAATCAATCTCTTCTTATCTTCCCTCTATTGTAACATTCTGACTACATTAGAGTAGTTGCAAACACACCAGCCTCTCTTGATTTTAAACTTTGAGAGCTGGAACTCAATCTTATTTATCTGTGTATCCTCCACAGACTTTAGAATAGTTGCTGCTCTAACCCAGGTTAATTTAATTAAATTCAACAAACTAGGTTCAAAACACTGGTTAAAACAGTTCTTTACATCTCTTATCTCATCAGGGAAGCTTTGCCTTACATGCTGCTTTTCCTTTCGTGGCATTCAACAGAATCTGTATGCAGAATGTGTTTAGGCATACTGCTCACATACTCATTTTCTCAAGGTGCCTACCAGTAAAATGTGACTGGTAGTAACACTCACCTGGTTACCAAGGACAAAGAGATTTAATTAACCAGTTATGGCAGAATATAGTATATAAATAATGGAGCATGAGAGAAATAGGGGTTATGATGTATAAATATTCAGATCCTGCAAAATCTTTTTCTGGATTTGGTTTCAAATGGAAGAAAATTAAAATAAAGTGCATTTCTATTTGTTTCTGATGATGCTTTCTGACACCTTGAGCTCCTAACATTAAAACGTACATACATAATGTAGATATATGGAGATTAACAAGACAAGAAGTCACTCCAAAAGGTCATTTCCAACCACCTATGTCTTGTATGTGTTGGTAGCAATTGGTAGCAGTCGGAATCAGCCATCTGTAGCTGCTAAGATAAAGACTGCTATGCCTATATATTTTACTACTTGTTAAATATAGGTAATTGCAAATGATTAATGTGTAGTTTCAGTAAAATCTATTGAAATGCCAAAATACCAAACGACTTTAGTTCAGCAGCTACTACTGTTTGAGAATATAGGTAAACTATTGAAATAAAAAAATAATAACATCCAGGACAGAAAAACTGCAAAAGCTAATAAAATTTTTAATTGTTTGTAATGTATGATTTAAAATGGCATTTGCACTTGATTTTTTCCTCTAGGAATAATTGATAGCTGTCTTGAAATATTCCAATCATGTATAAATAGGGAGAATGTTATCATTAATGGTTATTCATTTTCCCAAAACTTGATGAGTATAAATCTAAATTCCACTTTATCAAAAATGTAAATAAAACTATACAAATATTTTACTATTTGTCTACCTAGCTTGAATGCCAGTTAAATTTTAGGCTAGTTTTGTATTAGCGTTCCTTTCTATAATCACCTTTGATCTCGAACATAAGGTAGGGAAACTTAGGCATCTATTATATATAAAAGTTGCTCATCTGACAAGTAGGATGGTTACAACAAATATGGCCAAGAGAATTAATATAACCGCATCCACCAATCTGTTTACTTCTTTGAATTATTTTGAAGGCCTTGATAAAATGAAGAAGCTACCATGCTGGATGTGTTAAAACACAATATGGATTTTAGTTTTGTGAATTAAGACTGATATGAACTCATACTAGAAAGCTAAAGAATTAAAATTGAATGTCCATCTATATGCAATATTAATAGGCAACAGAAGACATAGTGTGAGTCCCACCATTGCAAGTGGTTATTTATATAGGAGTCATTAGTTGTCTGAAGAGCTGTCATGAAAGTCACAAACTATGTTATTGTTGTAGTAGGCAGAACATATCCCTAACAAGATGTCCATGCCTCGGCCGGGTGCAGGGGCTCACGCCTGTAATCCCAGCACTTTGAAAGGCTGAGGTGGGCAGATCACCTGAGGTCAGGAGTTCAAGACCAGTCTGGCCAACATGGTGAAACCCTGTCTCTACTAAAGAAATAGAAAAATTAGACAGGCGTGGTGGCATGCCCCTGTAATTCCAGCAACTCGGGAGGCTGAGGCTGGAGAATTGCTGAATCCTGGAGGGAGAGGTTGCAGTGAGCCAAGATCATGCCACTGAATTCCAGCCTGGGCAATGACAGAGTGAGACTCTGTCTCAACATCAACAACAACAACAACAACAACAAATGTCCATGCCTCAATCTGCAGAACCTGTGAATGAATATATTATATGTAAGGAGGAATTAAAATTTTCACTTTCTAATCAGCTGACTATAAAATAAGGAGAATCATCAGCTGAACTGATCACATGGTTTTTGTCCTTCATCCTGTTGATATGATGTATCACATTGATTGATTTGCATATGTTGAACCATCCTTGCATCCCTGGGATAAATCCCACGTTGTAATGATTAATGATCTTTTTAATGTATTGTTAAATTCGGTTTGCTTGCATTTTGTTGAGGATTTTTGCATCAATATCCATCAGAAATATTGGCCTGTAGTTTTCTTTTAAGTTTTTTTGTCTGGGTTTGTTATTGGCAGTATTGGCCTTATAGAATGAGTTTGGGAGTGTTCCCTCCTCCTCTATATTTTGGGATACTTTGAGTAGTTTTGGTATTAGTTCTATAAATGTTTGGTAGAATTCAGCAGTGAGGCCATGAGGTCCCTAGCTTTTCTTTTATGGCTTCCATCTCATTACTTGTTTGCTCTGTGCAGGTTTTGGATTTCCTTATGGTTCAATCTTTGTAAGTTGCATGTGTCTAGAAATTTACCCACTTCCTCTATATTTTCCAATTGGTTGGGATGCAGTTATTCATAGTAGCCACTAATGATCCTTTAGATTTCTGCACTATCAGTTGTCATCTCTCCTTTTTCATCTCTCATTTTTATTTGGGTTTCTCCCTTTCTTACTTAGCCTGGCTAAAGGTTGTCAATTTTATTTATCTTTTCCAAAAAAACAAACTTTTCATTTTACTGATCTTTTGTATAGTTTTCTTCATTTCAAATTATTTTATTTCTGCTCTGACCATTATTATTTATTTTCTTCTACTAATTTGGGATTTGGTTTGCTCTTGCTTTTCTAGATCTTTAAGATGCATCATTAGGTTTTTTACTTGTTTTTTTTATTTTATTAGCTTCTTAATAAATCTTGGCCTCTGTTTGATAAGTTCCTACTTTTCTTCAGAAACAGTGCTGTTTTGGCCTTTACTCTTCTATATAAATTTTGTTTTTAAAACATTTTAATAAAGTTTGTTGTATGTACTTAAGGTATACAATAAGATATTATGGAATTTATATAGATTGTAAAATGTTTACTATAGTGAAGCAAATTAACATATTCATTATCTCACACTCATCCATTATGTAAGGTAACAGTGGCTAAAATCTGCTCAGTTAGCAAATTGTTGGACACCTTTCTTTACATATTTGACCATTTTTATGTATTCTTTTGAGAAATGTATATTCAGGTCCTCTGCCCATTTCTTAATTTGGTTATTTAATTTTCTGCTGTTGTGTAAGTTATTTGTAAATTTTGGATATTACCCCCTTATCAGGTATATGGTTTGCAAATATTTTTTCCCAATCTGTAGATTGCCTTTTCATTTTGTTGATTGTTTCTTTTGCTGTGCAGAAGCTATTTCATCTGATGTAGTTTCATTTATTTAGTTTGTTTTTGTGGCCTGAGCTTTTGGTGTGATACCCAAAAAAATCATTGTCAAGGCCAGTATCAAAGCCTTTCACCTATGTTATTTTTAGGTTTTTTTTTTTTTTTTTTTTTTTTTTTGAGAAGGAGTCCTGCTCTGTCGCCCAGGCTAGAGTGCAGTGGCGCGATCTCTGCTCGCTGCAAGCTCCGCCTTCTGGGTTCACGCCCTTACGCCACCATTCTCCTGCCTCAGCCTCCTGAGTAGCTGGGACTACAGATGCCCGCCACCAGGCCTGGCTAATTTTTTTGTATTGTTAGTAGAGGTGGGGTTTCACCGTGTTAGCCAGGATGGTCTTGATCTCCTGACCTAGTGATCTGCCCACCTCAGCCTCCCAAAGTGCTGAGATTATAGGCGTGAGCCACCATGCCCGGCCTATGTTTAGGTTTTTAATTTATTTTTAGTTGATCTTAGTGTTTGGTGTAGTATAAAAACTCAATTTCAATAACGTTATTAAGTCAAAAACTGTTTAGATTTTGATTGTAAATTTATTGACCCTATAGATCAATTCAGTAAGAATTCATATATTCACATACTCAGTGTTTCTGTGCATGATCTAATAGCCCTTGAAGAATTTTTGTGTTTAAAGTATTTTTTATCATTTCCCTACAAATTTCTTACATTTCCTTTGTTTACTTATCCCTAATCGTATTTAATACTCTCTGATAATATTATATCTGTTATCTTCTCTTTAATTGTTAAGTACTTTATTACTGGGTATAGAAGTTCAACTGATTTTTAAATTTAATTTTATATCTAACTCTCTTGGGGAATATATTTTTGTAATTTCTAATGATTTGCTTGTAGAATCTTTTGGATCATCAAAAAAAATTCTATCATCTAGAAATAATAATGCAGTTATACCTCAGTATACAGAACAGGATTTTTCCAGGACCCCTGTGATACCAAAATCCATGCATAGTCAAGTATCCCAGTTGGCCCTGCAGAATCCATGAATGAAAAAGCCGGCCCTCAGTACACCCAAGTTTTGCATCCTCAAATACTATGTTTTCGGTCCACATTTGATTGAAAAACATCCGTGTGTAAGTGGATGCACACAGGTCAATCTGATGTTGCTCAAGGGTCAACTGGATTTTAATTTCCTCCATTTCACTCCTTATTCCTCTAATTCCTTTTTCTTGTTTCATTATACTATTTGGGGTTGCCGTTAGAAGTAATGAGTGGACATCTTGTGTCATTCCTTCTTTTAAAGAATATGATTTAATGTTTCTTCATTTAGGGTGATATTTGCTCAGATTTATTATAAATGATATGCTTATCGGAATAGGGAAGTTCTCTTCTATTTTCAATTTACTGAAAGTTTTATGTTAAAGAGTTATTTATTGTATCAGATGGCTTTTCTATCTAATAAGATGATTATTTGTTTTCTCTTTTGATTTGTTAATGTGATGAACAATATTCATGGATTTTCTGATGGAAACTATTCTTGTGTACCTGGAATAAACCCACTTACGGTATATTGTCTCTTTAAATATACATTTGCATTCAAATTGCAATTTTGCTTAAGATTTTACACAGGCCTGAGCTTTGTCTTTTTTATAACCTCTTTTTTTTGTTGTTTTGTGATAAGAATTGTACTAACCTTGAATGAGTTGGGAAATGTTTCTTCATTTTCTATTATAAATATTTGGAGGAACAAAAACATATGTCAATGTATACTTTTTTGCTGGAATTTCACAGGAAATCTATTACAGTGGTCACATTGGAGAGGAGGGATAAAGACTTAGGGGACAGGGAGTGATGAAGAGGGAGAGGGAGGCCTCTATTTTCATTATAGTCTCCTCAGGCTGTTTGCTTTATTCACCATGTTCATGTATTACATTATTTCTTTTGGAAAAATTTTGAAGAATAAAGTCTTCCATCTATCACAAATACAAAGTAAACTCTTTCCATTACCCCCTTTATAACAATATTACAGTAGCCTTCAGGGCATACTCACAGAGCTCAAGTGAACCCCCTGGTGCTGACTTGCAATTCAGATTTTTACTCTATCCCTTAGAATTTATTTCTCTACACGAGTGTTTTGCTGCCCAGCATCCAGAGGTTCACCGTCCTAGGAACTAACCCGGCTTTCCATCTACAGGAACCCATACTCCTCCACTCTTAGTGCTTATGGGCAGGCAAAGCCCTCTCTAGCTTTAACTTTGCCCAATTTAGGCCAAGGGGCAGCACACTTTTGGAATTCATATAGTTAGACAGTTAGGAGATGTAGTAGCTGGGGCTCTGGTAACATTCCCGAGTCTCTGAATCAAACTGGTTTTGAAGCTCCAGACATACCCAGTGACTTTTCCATTACCTGAACAAACAAGTCTATTTTCTGTATGCGTCCATGTGAATTGGGTCTCATTTTACTTGTTATACAAAGTTTCTTAAATGGCAGCAGAGAAATTTGCCAAGCAATTTCTATCTCTGAAGAAAGAAAGATACAAGAAAAGCAGTGACTACAATCTCAGTAAAACATGGTTAAGACAAATTAACAGTCCGTATTCCAGGAAATGTTGCTTTTTCAAATTAGTTGCATTGCTTTAATAACCAGATTTAGACTATAGACTCCTGAGACAATGGTCTCCTAAGCAGAGGTAGTAAAGCTAGGTGAAAAGTTCATGGTCCCTGCTGTAATCTTGACATCTCCATTGGTGACATTAAAGATTAATTTTGTGTTTTTGGAGCTCATTTTATCTCATGCGACTCTTACAAAAACCCTGCTAGGAAACATTATTATGCTCATTGTGGAGTTGGGCATAACAATGTTTCCTAGCAAGGTTTTTGTAAGAGTCTCATGAGATAAAATACGTTTGACATAGAATAAGTGTTCAATAAGTCACAGTACATTGTGATATTAGACTTATTAACAGAAGTCTTGTATGTTATGTGAACAGAAATGGCCTAGGGCTTTACTATACTGTGGTGTCTGAAGTTACAAGCCAGCCCTGATTTTTTTTTTCAGTTTGATATATATTTCTTTTCAGTATTTCCTTCCTCATCCAGCATGGAAAAAACCCAAAGGTTGTGCCCAGTGTACAGTTATCAGCCCTCTTCCTCTCATGGCTGTGACCCACACTTTCAGCCTGAACACCTCCTGACTCTTGTCCCTGTTTGCATAATTGTCAGTAGTGGTGCTGGTAACTGCGCTGTTTTCTTCCTCTGGGGTCACTACTGCTATTGCATGGCTCACACTGTTCATCTATTGGACCCCGTTGCTGTTGGGGGCACTGGGATCATTGCCTTTGCCACTTCCCACAGCAGTTTCCAGCTGCTCTGCCTTGCTTCCATGGCCAGCTGCTCTGAGCTGTTTCTTCCTCTCACCCCCAGGCTGATGAATTCTACTCCACAGCACTGGATGAAACCTGCAGTGCCATTTTCTCTAAATCACAACTCCAACTTTCAATTCATGAAATACCAATGTGTAATTTTAACAAAAGGCTTACCTTACTCTCAGTCACCAAAACAGCTCTAGGAAATATTTTTCTATTTGTGTATTTCCATTATGGATTACAGCTTTCTCCTCTAATATAGCATGTGGCTATAAAGTAGTGGGTATAAATGTGGTCCAATTTATTTTTCATGCAATAAATATGAATTTAATGTTTTATTATAAATTGCTGCTAGTGTAAAACTTTACTTCTTATAATAGCATACTTTATTATTTTTGAAGTTGCCAAGATGATCTTTTTTTTATTTGTATAGTTGGTAACTTTATTTTGCAATTGACAGATATAATTTCAAACTAGGATATGCCATCTCCAAAAAGCAAATAAATAGTATTTTCATGTGAGTAAGGAGAAAGAACAGGCCTCAAATAAAAGTGGAATGATATAAAGGATCATGTTTCAATTTTATAGTCTTTCTGTCTATGATACAACATTTGACTTGTAACCTTGCTTTTACACTCACCATCTGCATATCGCTATGATACAGGAAATGTGAGATGAGTCCAGGTCACTTGGATCTGTAATATTAAGTAAGAACTTAACATCTAAATAGAATGAGCCTGGTCTGGAGCAGTGTACTAGAAGTCATATAATTTCTATCTCCCAGTCACCAGTCATTTGTTATGTCCTTGAGCAAATCATTTAACCTTTCTATGCCTCAGACTTTTAAATGAAATAGGATAATACCCACTCTGATCACAGATATTCACAGACAATTAATGAAAAGGAAAAGTGTATGGCATTTTACATAAATGAGGGTTAGAAAAAAATAATTCCTGGGCAGTAATTTGCAAACAAGCCAGATCTACATCTGCTACCACCTTTCTATGTGCAGATTCCTTGTTAACCTCAAGGGAGGGAGACAGACACATAATTCTAGCTAGGAGCCCAGACTAATAGAATACTAACAACATCTATCAGGCACTTACTACATGCCAGACACTGCTTTAAGTGCTTTACATATATTACTTCTATTAATCCTCACACTAACTCTACAAGGCAGGAACTCTTGTTAGCCCGTTTAGCAGCTGGGGAAAAGTAGGCACCAGGAGATTAAGTGGAATGCCCAAGGTTATATGGAGCTATGTCTAATTCTAATGGTTTTATCTAGAATCTGGACATCTAGCCACCGCCTGGCAGGCACAGCCATCCATCCCACTCTTCTCCAATGCCTGCCAGGGTAAGAATAGGCCTGTGCTTATCTGGGGCTAATATCTGGATGGGCTTTCTTTTCTGAAACACTGAGAGTTGTCCCAGGAAAACTCATCCAAGTGGAAGAGATGAGTAAGAAGCACAGATCTGGATCAAAACAGTTAATGATGGAAGAGATGGATGATTTTTTTAACAGCTTGATGCTTGTAACTTGCAGTGCTCTCTGGACAGGACAGCCACTCAATAAGTCAACGGATAATTATTGAGATCCTACTATGTTCCATGTCCTGTTGTTGCCACTGGAGATTCATCAGGGACCAAGAATGAGTCTCAGTCTTTCTTTGAAACAATTCCTTCTTAATGGGGCAGTAGCGGGTGGGGGTAGGGGAGATTTGGGGAACGAGAGTGGGGGATGTGAGAAGAGAATACACAAATAAAAAGCAAGCAATAAGTAGCATCCTTTTAGATACTAAAAATTATTCGGACAAAGTCAGAGAAAAGGCTTGTTCCTGAATCATAGAGAGAGGAGAAGAGAACTAAAGGAGCTGTTTCTTGAAAAGCCATCAATCATCATTAGAAGCAGAGTTTATAGTTTTCACAATAGTGGTACTGTTGCTGGAGGGCTTAAGTGGGTCTCCGGATGCTGGTGAGATCCCAGCCCCAGCTGGTGTCCGGATTATTGACACGGCAGCAAGAAAGAATTCAGGGATGGGTCAGAAAGAAGCAAAAGGCAAGGAACTTTCATTGCAAAGTGGACGTACACATTCAAGAGCGGGCGTGCAGGCATAGTGGGGAGAGTGAGTCGCACACATGGAGTTTGGGTTTCTAATTTTACGGGTTCTTCTAATTAGAGAGTGGAATAATCATGAGGTTTTCTAGGGAAAAGGCGGAGATTTCTTAGAATTGAGGTGCCTCCCATTTTTATACTAAATATGGGCATACTTGTATCTGCCACTGCACTGGTGGGTGAGTGATTTAGTATGGTAACGAGCATATATTTAGGTCTGGGGTTGGGTGTGGGTCAAATCCAATGCTATGTTGGACTTAGGTGGTCTCAAGCAGCTGGAGCCCCCGCCCCAGTTGTTGGTCTTATCAACCCAGGCTCGTCCTTCTCTTTGTAGCTAATTTTAACATCTCCTTTCTTGCTGCTGTGTGAAATTGCTGCTTGATATGTTCTGATTCTCCTGTGACCACTGAGTATTTCTATTTTATAGGTATTTCTTTAATAAGTGGATGGAATAATTATTAGGTATTCTGGAAAATGAGGGGATTTCCGAGGCTTCCCAGTTACCACCCCCTTTCTCCCTTACTTGGGTTTGTTTGAAAGAGTCGTGGACATGTCACCCTGACTGGGGTTTTGGCTATTTCCTCTTCCTTATTTTGGGTTTTCTGTTATTCTGTAGTTTCTTTGCCTGGTTTTTGTTTTAGCTGTTGTTTCGGTTTTTCCATCCTCCTGTGACCACCCAGTGCTATTCCTATTCCAAACCAATATGAATGGGAGGATATTTTCCCCACCTGAGTTGCTATGAGAAGCTGCAGAAGCACAATAGCATGAGCTACAAGCTGGATGGATCTTCATATTTTCATCTGTAGCAGGGGTCCCCAACCCCTGGGCTGTGGACAGTTCCTGCTGGTGGCCTGTTAGGAACCAGGCAGCACAGCAGCAGGTGAACAGTAGGCGAGCAAGCACTACCACCTGAGCTCTTCCTGCTGTCAGGTCCGCAGCAGCATTCCAGTCTCATAGGAGCACGAACCCTATTGTGTACTGTGCATGTGAGGGATCTAGGTTGTGCGTGCCTTATGAGAATCTAATGCCTGATGATCTGAGGTGAAACAGTTTCATCCTGAAACCATCTACCACTCTTCTTTCATCCATGGAAAAATTGTCTTCCACGAAAATGGTCCCTGGTGCCAAAAAGTTTCAGGACTGCTGATCTATAGTAAAAAATAGACACTTCTCTTTATCCCAACTGAACTATAGGAAAATAATGAGAATAGAGGATTCACCAAATAAATTAAATATAATAATAAACATGAAAAAATACACATGAAAATAGATTGATCTTATAATTAAAGAAATGAAAATGAAATTACAGTGAGTTTTTTTCTTTAAGTTGGCATGAATTTTTGAAAATATAATAGCTAATGTTGGGAACAGACATAAAAAACATTCTATTAAACAATACATTATTGAGTGTTTACTGTGTCTTAGGTATTTTGCTAAGCACTAGGGATTAGGGATACATTATTTTATTCAACATCTACTTACAAAGCATCTACCATGTAAAAAGCTGGTTTGCTGAGGATTTGGATTTCCTGGTGGATAGGAAAGTTTGCTTCCTGTCCTCATGGAGCTTACATGCTAGCAGATGAGACAGACATTTAAAAAATAATCACGCACCAAAATACAAATTTAAATAGTGAAAAGTGCTATAAATGAGATATTATGGCTCCTACAGGAGTTAATAATATCAGAACTAAATTAATCAGGGCAAGAGAAGTTTCCTTTGAGAAATTAACATTTGATCTGAATTCTAACAGATGAGTCAAAATTAGCAGGGCAAAGAGGAGGACAAGGTACTTTCCAAGAAAAATTCATGATGTGAACAAAAATGTGAGGTAAGAAGGAGCAAATACATGTGACAAACTAAAAGAGAAATCAGTGTGGGGAGTGCAGGAAGCAAGAGGCGAGGAGATGAGGAGGGAACAGATTGTAGAAAGCAATCAGAAGCCACCGAAGGGATTTAAGTAGACAAGTGACATAACCAAAAATAGTGGTGGAAATGCAGATAAGGCTATGTCCTTGAAGAGTCAACATTCTAGTGGGGAAACAGGTATTTTCAGATGTAACTGGGACAGTACAAGTTGGCATAAAAATTCTGTTGGCCAATTAGGCAGTAACTCTAAATTTAAAATGCATTTGCCTCCACCAACCCTTCATATTTCATAGAAATGACTGCATATGTACAAGGATGTTAGTATTATTGAAAATTCTGAACCAATCTAATGTCTTTCAAATGGTTTCAAATTAATAGAACATGATATGGCCATATAATGAAATACTATGCAGCTATTAAAACAGAGTGAGATAAATCTGCATATATTACTTTGATGTTTTAAAAATAAATAGCAAAGTTCAAGGTTGTAGGTACATCTCTGTCCCATTTTCTTAAGACAAACCAACATATATATGTATATATATGTTGTATGTATATACATATATGTATATATATGTTGTATGTATATACATATATGTATATATATGTTGTATGTATATACATATATGTATATATATGTTGTATGTATATACATATATGTATATATATGTTGTATGTATATACATATATGTATATATATGTTGTATGTATATACATATATGTATATATATGTTGTATGTATATACATATATGTATATATATGTTGTATGTATATACATATATGTATATATATGTTGTATGTATATACATATATGTATATATATGTTGTATGTATATACATATATGTATATATATGTTGTATGTATATACATATATGTATATATATGTTGTATGTATATACATATATGTATATATGTTGTATGTATATACATATATGTATATATGTTGTATGTATATACATATATGTATATATGTTGTATGTATATACATATATGTATATACATATATATATGGCAGAGGGCTTTATACTTTAAACACATATTATTTTGCTTGATTTTATTATAAAAATATTCACTGAAATGTAGTGTTTATCAGTAAAGATACTGAAATACATAATAAACATATAGAAGATAATTTTTAAGCAGATTATATACATTTTCATAATAAAAGAAAAGGAAAACATGGATAACAAGACAGACTAACAGGCCAACAAAAGTCAGATGCTCACCATTTTTGGACAGCACACTCCTCCATTAAAAATTAATGGCAACCAGTAGACAACATAAACAATTCAAGTTTATGAAGGCAGAGAACAAATTCCATTTCCAACATTTTACATAATTTGTTATTATTTACTGGTGTTTGTTTATTACCAATATAGTGTAAAATATTTGTGTGTAGTAACATTTCCATTTGTCTTAGACACCCTAGGTTTTAGAACAATGGTGGCTCCTTGTAAACATTCAATAAATAATTGTTGAGTCATAGGACTATCATGAAAATTGACTACTGATACCTTAAACTCAGGAAATCAGCCCAGAAGACTGAAAAATGCCAGAGGCCATTGTGACACAGGCAATCTCATATCCAAGAATGCCAGATATGACATTGAAAGAGAACATTCTAACTGACTGCTAATGAGTATGATCATAGCTGCAATTCAGTCTGATCTCTGAAATGGTATTTCTCCAGATAGCACAGACTTCCTTTAAGGGTAATGTCACAGCCGACTAAGATCTCATCGAAGACGTCTAATGTCCATTGAAATCATTTTAATGCTCTTGGCTGAAGTCAGCAAGCTGTCATTTAATTACGCAGGATTTCTGATTGCTCATCATCACCCCTGTTCTCATTCAGCTCTTCACCCTTGTGTGTCTCCTCTATGGAGAGCTTCCATTCATCTGAATAGCAGCTTTAGTCAAGGAAGATGTGAGTGAGTATGAGAAGGAAGATGATCTTCAGAATATGAAAAAAAATTAGACTGTGGCAGAGCTCTTTTTTCTGAAATTCTCATAGCATTGACTCACTTACCAACTTGCTTATGTGATAGTACCCATTTTACAATTTTTACATTTCCCCCTTTTCTCAACTGATAACTAATGCTAATATAATTCAGATGAATGAGACTTATAAAATAGTTATATGTTTTCAGATTAAAAGGTAATGTCCCATTGACCACTGACTAAATGGGATTTAGAGACACAATGAAAAACAATTTAATAGTCTTCCTTGCATAGAATAGAATAAGAAGTCATTTTATCAAATTTGCATAGAAAATATACCTTATGTTTTGACATGAAAGATAACAACTTCATTGTAGAACAATAACATAACTTATTCTCTGGGAATAACCTTGAATTATGTAATTTAAGAATTCTCTAACAATGCCAAGTGAAATCTATTAAATCAACACTCATCTACTTTGGCTTTAGTATTTCAGGTTCTGTGAGATTTCCAAATTTCAGCATATTAAGAGTAAATCATTCATAAAAACAGAAAACATATATACAAGTTATTTCTTTAAAAAGCCATCTCTCAAAAGAATAATTGTTCTCTAAACTGGAAAATGATGCACATAAATCTTCATTTTAATTTTTTGATTTCTGTTGTATATGTCTCCCCCCACCCCATAAAACAATTCAGGATTACTATGTACAAGCCAAATGAGATAATGTTTCAAGGAAACTGCATTGATTCTGCTTTCAGAAAAGGTTCATTGGAAGTCCACTGATAACTGATATTTGACAACCTGAAAGCAGTTCCAGATTTGGAACAGGTGCAGGTTCTAATAGGCATATTCCAGAGACAAAGCAACAAAGTCTTTCTTGGTGTGATTACGCTTATTATTCTGTGATTGCCACATCCTGATCAGAGATATACTTAGTCATTAAAAATAGTGCTGTAGAATTACCCATAGATTATGTATGAAACTGTTGGGAAAGGGGAAGAGCACAAGAGAAGGCTCTGAAGTATTTTCAGTTGATGCAGAGTGAATGACAGCTCCAGGTGGAATTCTGTGAAACAGGAGACCATGATTAATACATTGTTTGTTTAAAAGAAAATGGGGACATGAAGTATAGCAAAGTATTTCTGAAGATGTTGTTTGAGGGAAGGATAAATTGGTATAATATATGAGAGTTTCATTATTTGAATACACTTCATTTAAGAGATTTAGTAAGGAAGGTTTTTGGCATTTGGATGTGTGAGTGTGTGTGTGTGTGTGCACGTGTGTGTGTGTAGCCAAAATCTCAGCACTTGTGGGAAGTCAAGGCAGGAGGATCACTTGAGCCCAGGAGTTTGAGAACCATCTGGATAATACAGCAAGACCCTGTCTCTACAAAAAAATAGTAAAAACTAACTATTAGCTGTGCATGGTACCAAGCATCTGTGGTCCCAGCTACTTGAGAGGCGCACACACACGTGAATTTCATCTCTTTAATACACATTGCTTTTGTCCACCTAGTATGCATCCTATCTCAGTCATATAGAAAAGTAGATTCACCTTCTGCTTTCAGTGCCAAATCAAAAGTAAGGAGTAGAAATGTCAGAAAGTGGGTGGGAATTGAAATATCTGTTAACAGAACACGTGTAAGATAGGCAAAACAAATATGTACTTTAGAAGAAAAATTGAAATATTTGACCATGATCAGCTCCCTGGATAACTGAATAAAAGATACAAAATTTGAAAAGTATGAAAAGCCACGAGGAGACACAGAGTGGGCACAAAAGCCTAGGTGAGGATGCTCTAAATCTAGAGAAATTCTCATGGACAAAGGCGGTTCTCTATGGATTTCTGTACAAAACTCCTTAATCTACACCTACTGGGAACCTTCGTTTTAATGAAAGAAACAGCTAAGCCCAACATTTACATTAGTAGTTTTATTTATATTTTAAATAATTTTTATTTTTTTTCTTTTTTTGAGAGAGAATCTCACTCTGTCACACCAGAGTGCAGTGTTATTACTATGTCTCACTGCAGCCTCAGCCTCTTCAGCTTGGGCAGTCTTCTCACCACAGCCTCTCAAATAGCTGGGACCACAGATGTATGCCACCATGCCCAGCCAATAGATTTTACCTTTTTTTTTTTTTTTGTAGAGACAGGGTCTTTCTATGTTATCCAGGTGGGACTCAAACTCCTGAGCTCAAGTAATCCTCTTGCCTCGACCTCTGAAAGTGCTGAGATTACAGGTGTAAGCCACCGCGCTTGGCTACATTAGGAGTTTTCAAACTTGCTTGCACATTACAACCATATTGATGCCCAGGCCTTATTCCTGAAACTTCAGATTCAATTGGCTAAGGGGCAGGACCCAAGCATCAGATTTCAGAAAAAGCTGTTTGTGGCCAGGACTGAAAGAGAGTCACTTATATTCTGGTAGTAAGTACTCTGGGGTAAGTCATATATATATGTGTGTGTGTGTGTGTGTGTGTGTGTGTATATGTATGTATATATATATATACACACACACACATATAGACATATATATGTATATTTATATACACGTACTCACTCTGTGTGTATATTTGTTTAATATATGATGTTACATATTATATAACCTCTATATCAACAATTTTTAAAATGTGAAAAGATACAAACATAAAATTGAATATGTTGCAAAGTATGCCAATTAAACCAAGAGCTCTTGTTGTTTTGAAACAGTTGAAAACAACAAGGAAAGCACAGATAATGATTCGGAAATACAATGGATAGTGATAGCTATAGAAGTTAAAGTTCTCATAGATAATTGGATTGTAACAATGCTGCAAGGATTAGAAGAGGGGACAATAACAAAACTAGAGAGAAACAATAGACATCAAAGATTTTTTAGCTTTGATCTTATTTCTGGAATTAACTTACAACATCATCTTCATGTGATTCAGGATCTCTGTGAGCAAGGGTGTGTTTCAAATGCCTGAATTGCATAGTCTATAGTACTAAATGCAAGTTTTCTCTTAAATAACTACATTGAATATGTTTCTCTGGTGTCTAAACTTCAAAAATAAAGGTCAAAATGTTCCACTTTGGAGAGGCTGTGCTTGTGTGGTGGCAGTAAGTATAGGGAAACTCTGTACTTTCTACTCAATTTTGCTGTGAATCTAAGACTGCTCTAAGGATCAAGTCTTTTTTTTTTAAAATAAGCTATCAAGGTGGTGCAAAAAATATCAAAAGGTTAATTTATAAAACAAGATAGACCAGGCAGGGTGGCTCACATCTGGAATCCCAGCACTATGGAAGGCTGAATCGGGTGGATCGCTTGATCCCAGGGGTTCAAGACCAGTCTGGGTAACATGGCGAAACCCTGCCTCTACAAAACATTAACCTGGCATAATGGCACACGACTGTAGTTCCAGCTTCTGGGGAGGCTGAGATGGGAGGACTGCTGGACCCCAGAGGCTGAGGCTGTAGTGAGCTGAGCCATGATCGCAACATAGCACTGCAGGCCTGGGTGATGGAGTGAGATGCTGTCTCAAAAATTAAAAAAATAAAATTACAAAAGAAGATGTAACATATGACTTTACTGTAAATACACACACACACACCCACACACACACACCCACACACACCCACACACACACACCCACACACACACACGGTAACTACAGACACCAAAACAGAATATAGAGATGCAAGATTCTCAATAAATTTTCCTCTCTTTTCTAATTTTCTGCAAGTTTCATGAAGAGTCTTTAAAATAGTAAATTTATCCAATAAAGTACATTTCCTCTGAACCTATAATTAATGCCCCCACCTTTATTGAATAGTTAGAGCTGTGAAATATGGAATGTTTATGTATTGTTTTGCCTGGTTCTCCTTTCTTGCTCCCCACTGCTTCTTTAATGTGATTAGGAACCAAGGTAGTAAAACATTTAAATGTTTATAGAGCCACTTAATAGTTTCTTGTTTCCAAACTCAAACAAAAATAGAAAAACCCAAAGAAACTTCTAGAATTATCGAGGGATGGGGGTATAAGAATTGTGAACTCACTAAGTAAAACTAGTTTATTTTCTTTCATTTTATTCATGCAGCTTTGCCTGAAACAGAAATTTACTTCCGCATGGGTCAATTAAATGAATGTCATAATTTACCAGATGGTGTCACAAAATGATGTGGAGAACTATATGTTGTTAGCCACAGTCCTGTAACAAACAGTGGGTCTGCATTATCCTTTTCCTCTTCAACCAGTGGCATACTTATAACATCTTATTTTTGCAAATGACTTCCCTCTTTGATATGGTTCGATCTGTGTCCCCATCCAAATTTCATGTTCAATTGTAATCCTCAATGTTGGATGTGGGGTCTGGTGGGAGGTGATTGGATAATGGGGGTAGATTGTTCATGAATGGTTTGATGCCATCCCCTCAGTGCTGCTCTCATGATAGTGAGTGAGTTCTCATGAAATCTGGTTGTTTAAAACTGCATGACACAATTCCCTTCTCTCTCTTCCTCTTGCTCCTGCCATGAAAGACATGCCTCGCCTCCTCTCCTTCACCTTTCACCATGATTGTAAGTTTCCTGAGGCCTCACCAGCCATGCTTCCTGTACATCCTGCAGAACCATGAGCCAATTAAACCTCTTTTCTTTACAAATTACCCAGTCTCAGGTATTTCTTTATAGTAGTGCAAGAACAATACATACACACTTTCTCATTTATGAGCACAACACAAGGCAATATATATTATGGTTCTTTGAAGACAACACAGTAGGTAGTTGTCCTTAAAATTCTCCTGTCTCTTTGACAAATACAGGGAGAGTTGAATGCAACTAGTTTATCTAGTGCATCAAGCATTTTTGTTTTATTTAAATTTTTATTTTTTATTTCATACTAAATAATATCAAATAATCTGAATTAATGACTGTATTTTCCAGGTAGAACACCTTTCCCTGATATTCAGAGTGCCTTCATTGCCTGCCGTAGGAATGATCAACCAGTAAACCTGAATCAAAGTTATCAAATAGAACTGACAGCTTTAAAAGCCAATACCTGTAAAGATTCCTGACCTATACTCTTCTCCATTTCCAAGTGTAGAAAATGTATTACTAAGTTAACATTCTCTGTTCTTATACCATGAAAGACTATCCTATAGGCAAGATATACCTAATACTTTTGAAAAGACAAGGGATCTTTATTTCCTTAAAGGCTTAAGATTTCTGTCATAGTTTCTATTCTATTTCTGCCAACCGAAGTCCACACTTACTTTCTTCATGTTCAAATCTTTCTCCCTTCTTGGAGTTACTTAGCTACTTTCCACCCAAATATCCCACTGTACCACAATTAGACATTTCTTCTCTTGAATGGAACACTGCCTACTTAGTCGTTAACAAGACATCCACATTCATCTCGTGCCTTTACTCATGGATAGGTCTCCTCCTGAATGTCCCTTGGCTCTTTTTGCCCAGTGTTGAGTGAAGTCTTCCTATGGGGATGGCAGTGAACCTCAGCCTTGATCCCAACTCCTGAATAATGTCACACTTCACTCCCCAAAGCCCAACACATTGGCAAGGTCAAAGACAAAATTATGCCAGAGGAATTCTGGCAATCAAGTTTTCACATTTTTAGAAATATGATAAAATAAGCAAATTTAATATAACATCTTTGAAAAAGATGGAATCGTGAGTTATAGATTGTAAACTACTTTTCTGTCTCTGACGTTAGCACCTTCAAGTATTTAAACCCCCTAAATTGATCTTAGAGACTAAATGAATGCCTCACCTTATTTTCAAGAGTAATTTGTAGACCAAAAAATTGCATTTGGTATAGTTGGACAGACATCTAATAGGATGCAGAACCAGGAGGCAGTATCCAGACCTCTACTCTAAAGAGGGAACACATTAAATAAACATGGTGAGTCTGCATTATTCTCCAGTCAATTGAAGGGTCAGTTAAAGTCCAATCAAGTCCCCATTTGGCTAGAGTATCAGTTTGATAAGACTTTGTAATGGAGTTTACCAAACTGAGGAATCCAAATGAAATTAGTGGTTATGATATCAAAGTAGTAAACCCACTTCAAGTACTATTACTTAAGCATAATTAAGTGGACTCTGTAACTCAAGACTTTCTATAAAAAAATAAGCAGCAAAAGTCCTTAATGGTACAACCATTGAGGACTGGTACATTTACTCTTTTAAAAATTTTTATGGGTACCTACTAGTTGTGGATATTGTACATATTGAACTGTAGGTGCTCATGCAGAAACACACACCACAAACATACAGATATTTATAATGAATAAAAAGTTTTGGTGTCAGCTTACAACCTTTCCTACTTGGGTGTTTGCAATACCCACAGCCAGGTGAGGCTAGGGTAGATTTCAGTTTATTCTTTCCCAATTCTACACTAATAATGATAATTCATTTTGAACACGTGGCATATGCTAGGCACTATTTTAAGTATTCTATAGCTTTCTACTCATTTAATTCCCATATCAATTCTCCATTTTACAGATGAGGAAAGTGAGGCATTTTCTTCAAATCATTCTCAGTGACCTAGAAGCTCTTAGATGTTCTTTGGTGCACACAGAAAATTTATGGGGGACTCTCATAGGATTACTTAAAACTAAACAATACCTGCGGTCTTTACTTCCAGCTGTCTGCCTATTCCAGTGGATAGGAATTCTAACAAGGACGTGCTACAACTTCTGGTTTTCTTCCAGGAAAAATGCACACAAATCTGACTAACCCATCCCACCCCCACATACCATCAGCCTTTACCTTCAAGATTGAGCTTTAGAGAAATGAGGGGTCGAGGTCTTGAGGAAACCCAAGGGACTTAATGTATTGTAAATACTTTCCAATTACTGCCATCCCTAGCCAGGCAACTCTCAACCATAGTGTCCATGCTATCTGCATGGGTGTTTGCATTTTTCCAAAAAAATCTGTTGCTTATGGTATTTTTGGCTTAGGGTGTAAAATGCCAAGAATATTACAACACAAAAAAATAATTTTGTCTGAAAGCAACTCTTTCTTCCCTGGATTCAGACTTCTCTTTTGAAACTCAAGAAAGAACAATGAAACTGCATTCATTTTGCAATGAAACAAACAAACAAATGCCTTGAGGCAGTGTACATGAATGAACTCTTTGTATATAACAATAGTAAAAGGTCAGGAGCAAAGTAATTTCATGGAGAAAACAGGCTGATATCAGATTGTTACTCCAAATCATTCTCCTGTGTCCTGGATTCATATCTCGAATTATGAAAAGAGAATTGTACCCAAATGTCTTGCAAGCACCGCAAAGTCAAAATACTCAAATAAATATTTATCTCCAACTTTCATTGTTAATGTCTTAGATTCCCAATGTAAGCTAATGTAATGTATCTGTAATGTTCTGTAATGTATCCAGGTGCCCAAGCAGGAGATGGCAGGATTTCAATTTTTCTTTCTCTTTCCGTCCTCACTTCTGACCCAAGTCCTGTGGATTCTACTACAAAAGTAACTCTAGCCTTTCCTCCACCTCCATCTCCAATACCACTATCTTAGATCAAGTCCTCCTATCTGAACTATCACCATGGACTTCCCAACAGACCTTCCTGCATCCAGCCTCTCCCTGATAACATTTGTCCACATAATGGAGTGTTATTTGGCCACAAAAAGTAATGAAGTACTGAAGTATCCTCTAACATGGAAGAACCGTGAAAACGTACTTAAAAAAATTTCTGCTCCTTGAACTTTAGTCTTGAAACACAATTCAAACCAGTTCACTCCTTTGTGCAAAAGCTGGTAATGATTCACCATTGTCTTCAGGTGAGAGTTTACACTCCTTTGGAAAATTAATTTATTTGGATGTTGATTTTCACCACATTCTTTCCACTTTCTCCTTTGAACTACAATCCAGAGATAATATGCTGTCCAACATTGTTGGTTTTTAAATTGTTATTGTTGTCTTGCTTTAATTTTCATTTTCATTCGGACCCTGAAAGCATTGGTTTTCAAATCATGTTCTACAGATATTTGGATGGGGTGTCTTTGTGAACACAGAGAAAAAGAAATTATGACAATTTTAACTGTATTTAAACATTTTCTCTAACCTTTTGAGTGTCCTTTTATTGAGACATACTTCAAATACCACAAAATTCACCCTTCCCAAGTATGCAATTCAAAGATTTTTAGTATATTCACAAAAATCACATAATCATCACCACTATCTAAATCTGGAATATTTTCATCACCCCCCAAAAGAAAACTCCTTGTAAGCAGGTACTCCCAGTTGTGTCTTCCCCCAATCTCTGGCAATCACTAGTCTACTTTCTGCCTTTATGGATTTGCCTATTCTAGATTTTAAATAAATGTGTAGTCATATAATACATGGCCTGTTATGTCTGGCTTAATTTTTTTTAGTACGTTTTCACGGTTCTTCCATGTTAGAGGATACTTCAGTACTTCATTACTTTTTGTGGCCAAATAACACTCCATTATGTAGATATATATTTTTTAATATTCATTCATCGGTTAATGAAACTTGGGTGTTTGCACTTTTTGCTATATGAATAATACTGCTGTGAACATTTATATACAAGTTTTTGTTTGGACTTGCATTTTTAATTCTCTTGGGTAAATAACCAGGAGTGCAGTTACTGGGTCATATGTTAATTCTAGGTTTAACTGTTTGAGAAACTGCCAAACTGTTTTCAAAAGTGGCTGCACTATTTTACGTTTCTGCCAGTGATATTCCAGGGTTTCAACTTCTCCCTATCCTTGTGAACACATGTTATTGTCTGTCTCTTTCATTACAGCCATTTTATTAGGCATGAAGTAGAATCTCATCAAGATTTTGTGTTGCATTTTCTTAGTTACTAAGGATTCTAAGCATCTTTTCATGTGTATTGTAGCCATTTGTATATCTTCTTGGATAAATGTCTATTCATATCCTTTACCTATTTTTCTTGTTGGGTCATTTGTCTTTTTATGATTAATGCCATAGTGCTTTTTAAATCCTCTTTTAGCCAGCTACCTACTACCCTACCTACTACCTACATTTGCTATTGTAAAATACTGATACTTAATGTGCAATCTGGTAACAGTACAACTTCTGAAATCTTGAAAGGCAAAAACCAAAGGTTGCTCATATCCTAGGCAGATGTATTCTATCTTTAAAATAAAAATAAAATAAAATAGAGGATACTCCTTTCTAAAGCAAAAATATAAGTGAATGTCTCTAACTTCTCTAACCAAATGGTATTTGGGGGAACGATAATGTAAACATGAGTTCTGTTAACATATATGGCATGTTTCATTAAATGTCTGTGCGTGAAAGCAGGACAGCAAAATGACAAAATACGTTACATAAAAAGTTACATACTGTTTAGTATATGTTCTCATATATCAGGACAATCATTTCTTTTGTGCTTCTACATTTCTTTTACCAGTTGTTATGGTTTTGCAGTTAAGTATAGTGGCAGCTTGGTGGCTGGTATAAATTTGAGGGCTACAAATTCCAGCTCCATCTCTTGCTAGCCATATGATTTCAGTCTAGTCATTTAATGTCTCCAAGTATTAATTTCCTCATCTGTAAAATTGGCTTATTGGAGACTTAGCATACAGGCTTGCTCTGAGGAAAGGACATGTGATAATGTATTTAGTTCATTCTTGCCACAAAGTAAGCCTTCAATACATATGGTTCATTAGTTCAGGTCCTCCAAGATGCAGACAACAAGATGAGATTAGACGTACAGAGATTTATTGAAGAAAAGGCCTGTGAAATGTAAAGGAGAGGAAGCAAGAGAAGGTAGGGAGGTTCTTCTAATGGAGCAGCAAGTCTGGCACCCGTAAAGGACAAGGGGAAAAAAGATCATGAAGGAAAAGTCTCAGACTGCACCCCAGGTCCAAAAGATGTTTAGTCAGGCCAATGGAGAGTCTTCGATCCAATATTACCTGTGGGAGAAGTCTTATGTCCGGCTAGATTGGGCCTGTCTTATTATGCCTGCAGTGCTCAGTCATTGGCTGAGAGCAGCCAGAGGTGGGGGGTGTCTGGGCACAAGTCAGTGGTAGACACAGAGGGACAGCAGCTGGGGCCATCAATCAACTATGCTTTCAACAGCAAAAGAACTGAGTGGAGCATTTGCATGATACTATATACTGCAATGCCAAAAATATGCATAATAATATTTTTACTATTGTTTTAATTATCCAATGTTGCAAATACATATTTTTTAAATTCCTATCTCTAATACCAGATAGAACACCCCACAAATAGAAAGTGTGTCTTCTTATCCTCATATTTAAGGTATCCAGAAAAAGCATCACATATACTAATTATTTAAAAAATGCATGCTGAACAAATAAAGAAATTATCTAAATATATGTGGATAATTTATGCAAATATTATATATGAAATATACAGACAGCAGGTTTCAGAATTCTAAATCCAAACTGTTTTATGGTATCTGAATTAGTGATTGATAAAAAGAGAGAAACACAATGCAATAAGGTCACCACTGAGAGCAGCAAGTATTTCAGAGGCAAATTTACTCATGCCTCCTTTACCTGGAATCATCTCACTTTTCTTCTATGGAGCAGGCTTATGTAGATATAACAAGAGGGCAGTCTACAGGACAAAGTGGTTGTCAAGCAATTTCTATTATGGACAGTTCAATCTCAAATGATTTATGAAGTTTTAGTTGTTTATTGCACATAGTTGCTTTACACAAAGACATTTCAGTTTAGTTGGATTTATTAGAACTCTAATCAGATTAGTTTGCTGAAAAGAAATGGCTACACTTCACTGGAAAATGCCTCATTCTCCCCTGCCCATCCCAGAAGTTATATCAAATGTACCTAAGCTGAAGTGAAACAGTTAGGGCTAATGTGTGAATGTCTTTCCTCTTACAGAAAAATTAGCAAAATGAAGACAATTAATGATTGCATAATTGACCTCTGAGGATAACAGAGCAACATTTGAGGATAACAGAGTAACCCTCTGAAAACCTAGTAGTCAAATTATACCTAAACCCACCCTCAAAATCACTCAACAGAGGAGGCTGTACTAATTTATTTGTGTCCCTCAAGGTAATGGTGAGCCTTCACCAATTTCTAATTTTTTTCACAACTTAATAGTTTCATATTATCACTTATTTCTCATCATATGATTATGAGTTTTTAAATTGGCAAATTTAAATACAAATAGTTTGATGATATCCTCTATACAGTTTGATATAGCAGAGTGAGAGCAGAAATCTATTCTGTTCCCCACATATCATTTTCTCTGTAATTAGGATCATACCAATTAATACAGAAATATTGAGATAGAAGAAAGTCAACTGAATGAAAGCAAGTACACCTTGAGAATATAAGAATTATTATATGCTTATAACTAAAATAGATCTTTTGGTTTATTTGATCTTGTTGTTTTTCTAAATGATTTTGCATTGTTCACAGTTCATTAATCAGTAGCAATGCATTATTATCTAATAATAATAGAATCAGATGTAACCATTATAACATCAATGATCAGACTAACCCAACATTCACAGTTTCTATAATTGCTGTCACTGATACTAAGAGTAGTCTTGAATGTTTTATTATATATGTTATGATTATATATATGTTATAATATATTATGATTATAATCTACTTTAATTAAAATGAGTCCTCACAACTAATTATGTAACAGTGTTTATTGTTCAATATAACACTATGCAGCTTTACATGCAAATAAAAACTACGTTAGCAGAAAATCCTTAGGTGTCACTTTTTAAATAACAGACACAAATAAGTTGACATCTTACTTAAAGTACTATAAACATTAGAACTAGATTATATTTTACCTAGACAAAAAAAAATGAGAAGTTAAATCAACCAATATAAAGCTAGGTAGCAACATTTGCTATTGTAAAATACTGATACTTAATGTGCAATCTGGTAATAGTACAGCTTCTAAAATCTGGAAAGGCAAAAACAAAAGGTTGCTCATATCCTAGGCAGATGTATTCTATCTTTAAAGTAAAATTAAATAAAATAGAGGATACTTCTTTCTATAGCAAAAATATAAGTGAATGTCTCTAACTTCTCTACCCAAATGGTATTTGGGGGAACCATAATGTAAACATGAGTTCAGTTAATGTATATGGCATGTTTCATTAAATGTCTGTGCATGAAAGCAGGACAGCAAAATGACAAAACACGTTACAAAACGATATGGAAATATATCTTAAGAACTATAACACTGCTACTGCTTTAAGGCAATAATCCCACTTCTGGGAAATTTATATTAAGAACGTAATTATACAAAAAAAGATAGCTGCATAAAGATGCCAATTGCAATGTTATCTACAATGAAAAAATGTTGAAAGAAATTGAAAGGTTCTACAGCAGATGAACTGTTCAACGAATTCTGGGATAGGACCCCACTTGATGTAATATTATTTATCTAGCATAATTATAAAATCCATATGAAAACAGAAAACATTACTTATCTAATGTTACATTTTAAAAATTTAAAAGGCATTATAGTTTTATAGTGATGATAACATTTTTTAATACAGAAATACTGTGAAGAGGATTCTCCATAAATCTACGTTTGTTTAAGGCAATGAGAGTAAAAGGGATTTGATTGTTCTTTACAAAATAATCCTTTCCTTCAGTGTTTCTCTGAATTGTCAAAAGTAAAGAAAAATACTGTGGGTATAAATTCCAGAGAAAAGTAGAATTAATTCAAAATAAGAAATTTATAATTTAGACTAACCAAAAGATACATCAAATATTAGTGATGTTCTTTTAAGCTCTGTTCAATCTGATAACCTAGAATTATGCTGGCAGCTATTTGTGTAAATAAAGAAATGGGAAGAGAGCCTGCTTTATGTCTCCACCTGTTAAGACTGCTTAGGGCATCACTATGTGCTTTGAAAATCATAGATAGTAATATTTAACTTGAAACATCATATTTTGCCATGAAACATGTTAAATTGCCAGCACTTTATTGAAGTGTGGCACTGGATATTTGATGAACCATTATCTTCCACACAATTTACCCTAAACTCGTCTCTTAATCTCCTTATACTGGTTTTATCAAATAAGGCATCCTTCCATTTCTTGTCAGATGCCAAGTATGAATCATTACTAACACTGTAGCAAATACCTAAAGGCCACTGTGAGTTTATAGTTACAATAAAATGTTGTATCTAATGTGGAATTTTAGCACTTTCCAGTGTCCCTCTAATACTAAAGTGATAATTGCACCATTGGGCTGTTTTATGAGGCATTTGTTCACCTCCAGAGTAGATAAACTGGAAGAATGAAGGTTAGAAATTTCATCCTGATGGTAGAACTGGGTTATTGCTTGGGAAAGAGTGCCATAGAGCACATGACAGCATGCTTTGCATACGTATTATTCTCTGCTTGCACTTTGATTGGCTACTAAACTAAAAATTAAAGTAAAATTATTACAAAATTAACATTGCATAAAACATGCAAAAAAGAATACAAGAAGAGATTTCTAGTTGAAAATTAATCTGAAGCAAATTATAAAGTAGCAAATATACAGCTTATTTGTAACTGATAGTGTGCATCAAATTTAACTATGTTAACTGCTGGATTTCCTTTCTTGAGTTTTCTTTAGAATAAGCAGCAGCTAGATTGAAAGCTTGTACAAACCATGTGCCAATATTTTGAGTCTGTAATGTTAAAATGTTAGAAGGAATAAGATCTAGTATTTGGTAGCACAGTAGGGTGACTGTAGTTTACATAATTTATTGTGTAATTCAAAATAACTAGAGGAATGGATTTGAAATGTTTCCAACACAAAAAAATGGTACATTTTTAAGGTGATGGATATCCCAGTTACTCTGATCTGATCATTAAACATTGTATGCTTGTATCAAAATATCACATGTACCCCATAAATATATACAACTATTATATATCCATAAATTTTTTTAAATGTCACATGAGTTGGCTCTTCAGCTGGAAATTTGAGGGAAAAGTAACGTGGTAGAGAATATGTGAGTCCTAACTACTTTTCTAATTAACGTTTTACTCCAGAACTTTTTAAATTTACAGAAAAGTTGCAAAGAAAGTACAGAGAATCCACATAAACCCTTTGCACAATTTCTCCTATTGTTAACATCTTAGTATAAGACATTTCTCACAGCTGAGAAACCCACATCAGTACATCATTACTAATTGAATTCTAGACTTTGTATGGCTTTCATCAGTTTTTCCATTAATGCTATTCTTCTGTTTCAAACGCTGATTCGGAACACCACAATGTATTTAGCATAATTACTTTTTGAAAGGAAAAAAGAGGTGCATATAAATTATTTAATTATATTATTATCACATCACCATTTTTTGTGCTTCATTTGACCTCTTTCAGCCAAATTTGCATTAAACTCATAGTACAAAATATCAATAGGAAAATGAACAATATAGAGTAACTTTCAAAATATGCATGGAGCTTGTTTATGTAACCCATACGCACACTGCACCAAAACACCAGGGACAATTTTATCACTGTTTTATTTCTCCATATCAGAACTTCAAAGTCCTTGCCTGCAGAACTAGCTGGCATATCCTGTTATCCCCTTAATGAGCAACTCTGCCCTCTGCCTTACCCTCCCACTCCAAAAACACAGGTTATATTCACTACAAAGTAGAAAACGGTTGGATTTGCAATTGACCTACTTTTGCCCTAGTTCACATTGCTGCCAATATTGCTGGTGAAATGTGGGCATCCTCAGGTCCATCTGCTGCTGTAGGGCCATAATGTGAGGTGTCTGTCTGCCCAGGCCTCTGATGATCTTTAAGAGAAAACAGAACTCTCCCACTGAGCTCATGTTTTCCACGTATGCCTCTTCCTGATTCCCAAGTCACCTGCCCTTTATTCTTAGATCTTTCAATTCAGTATCACATGGCCGTTTCCTCAGGGCAGCAGGCATTAAATATCATTGTCTTGGAGTGATTTGGAATTCAGATCCCTAGAACCTAGAGTTTCTATCCTTTTCTGCCTCTGGAATCATCTCCCTTCCCCCAGTCATTGGAGTTGGGCACTTTCCTTTTTTATAAACACTCAAAAATGAAAAGTACTGACCCCATCAATTCTGCTGTCTCAAACTGGAGCTTAATTCCTTGTATGAGACCCATATGTTCAAAACTGTCTAGCTTGGGGGTTTCTTGAGGGAGTAGGCTTGCATGCTTTGATTCCATAAAAATCTGATTATTTTCTCCTTCATCTAAGCCTGGGAATGGGAAATAGAAACTAAGGGATCATTTCCTAGCCTTACTAGTGAGACACTATCTCTATTCCCGAAGCAGAGAGAAAAAGCAATTTTTTTAACAGAACTAAAGTGTCTGTGTTTTACAATTAAAAGGGAAACCACAAAATCTAACAAGATCTATGTTGTCAAAAAAAATTAAAAATGTATTCTTTGTTATTTATTCTAAATAAAAGTTTTTGAAAAGTTATTTTAGTATAATTCCTATGCATTGTAAAACTTTTCAAAAATGGGAAAAATAAGAAAAATTAAAATAATTTAATGTAATGAGCATCCTATTGTTACATGTGATTAGATGAGTTTCTAATTAATATATTCAATAACAGGATGGGTATCAGAATATATGTACTAGTTTTATGGTTGACATTTTAATAGCATTATTAAAATATAATTTACATACCATATAATTTATGCATTTTAAGTGTACAATGAATAGTTTTTAATATATTTACAGGTTGTGTCACCATCACCATAATTAAATATTAGAATGTTTTCATCATCCCAAAGGAAACTCTGTACCATCGAGCAGCTGCTCCTCTTCCCCCTCCCCACATTCTGAGCTTTACTGCCTGCATGCTGCTGCTATAGTTACTCACTAAGCTACTTTTTAACTCAATACCTTTGTTTATTTTTGCCAATTTATATAAATGGAATCATACAATATGTGGCCTTTTAAAAATCCGCTTTCTTTCACTTAGCACAGTGTTTTCAAGGTCCATCCACATCATAGCATATATTTCATTAATTTTAAGACTGAATGATATTTCATTTTAGGGATAAGTCACTTTTTAAAAATCCATTCATAAGTTGATCAGCACTTGACTTATTTGTATCTTTTGGCTATTATGAATTACACTGCTTTGAGCATTCATATACCAGTTTTTGTATGGGCATCTTTTCATTTTTCTTGGGTACGTATATAAGAGTGGAATTGCTAGATCGTATGGTGACTCTATGTTTAGCATTGTGCAGAAGTGCCAAACTTTTCGAAAGGGGCTGCAGAATTGTAAATTCCCACCAACAGGGCATGAGGGTTCCAGTTTCTCCACATTCTTGCCAACAATCGTTACTGTCTTTTTCATTACAACAATTTTACTGCATGTGAAGTAGATTCTTATTTGGATTTTGAGTTGCATTTTCCTAATGACTAATGGTGTTGAGCATTGTTTCATGTGCTTAATGTCCATTTGCATATCTTGTTTGAAGAAATGCCTATTAAATAATTTACTCATTTTATTATGTGTCTTTTTGTTGTTGGATTGCAAGAATAATTTATATAGCTGCAACACAAGTCACTTGTGAGATATATAATTTGAAAATATGCCCTCTGATTTTGTGAGTTATCTTTAGAGTTTCTTGATAGGTGTTTTTTGAAGCACAAAAAATTTAATGTTATGAAGTCTAATTCATCTATATGTCTTCTATATAGTATTTTATCTAAGAAACCATTGTCTAATTTAAAGTCACAAATATTTACTTCCATGCTTTCTTCTGAGATTTTTGTAGTTTTAGTTCTTATATTTAGGTCCTTGATTCATTATGATGGGGCTTGGTTTGGTATCATGTGAGCAGAAGTAGAATTTTGTTCTTTACATGTGGCTATCTAGTCATTCCAGCATCATTTGTAAAAATGGCTATTCTTCCTCCATTGAATTTTCTTCATATCTTTATTGAAATCAACTGACCTTAGAAGTAAGAGTTTATTTTCAGGACTTCAACCTATTTATTTGATCTATGTCTATCCTTATGCCAGAACCACAGTATCTTGATTAATGTAGCTTTGTAGTAAGTTTTCAGATTGAGAAGTGTGAATCTTCCAACTTCTTTTCCAAGACTGTTTTGATTATTCTGAGTGCACTGAATTTCATATGAATTTTAGGATTCATATGAATCCTAAAATTCCTGCAAGAGAAAAAAGCTGGGATTTTGAGAATTGTGTCAAAGCTATAGATCAATTTGGGGAATATTTCCATATTAATATTTTTATTGTGTATTTATATACAATATTATGTTATCTGAGAAACAGCATTTTCTATTTTTTTCTTGTCTGGTTGCTCAGATTAGATCCACTATTGAATAGAACTGGTGAGAGTGAACATCTTTATCTTGTTCTCAATCTTAAGGGAAAAATATTGAGCATTAGAAATGACGATAGCTGTGGACTTTTCATAGATACCCTTTATATGATTGATGAAGCTCCCTTTTGCATAGCTTTTTGAATATAATATCATGAAAGGGTGTGGATTTTATCCATACTTTCTCTGCATCTATTGAGATAATCATGTGGTTTAACTCCTCTATTCTATTTTTTTAATTTTCAGGTTATTGAGGTTTTATAGAGAAATAAAAACTATATTTTTAAAGTGAACAACTTGATGTTTTGATACACATATACATTGTAGAAAATTCACCAAAATCAATCTAATTAACATATCCATCATTTCACACAGTTACATTTATCTTTTTTTGTAGTGAGAACACTTAAGATCTACTTTCTTAGCAAATTTCAGGAACACAATACAGTATTGTTAACTATAGTCACATTGGTGTACATTTGATCTTGAGAATTTATTCATCTTTTATAACTTCAACTTTATTTTTTTGACCAACACGTCCCCATTTTCCCCTACTCCCAGCCTCTGGTTAACTCCACTCTACTGTCTTCCTATTAGGCTATTTGAGATCTGCATATGCAGTATTTGTATTTCTGTATCTGGCTTATGTCACATAGTATAGTATCCTCAAGTTCATCCATACAGTAATCAATGGCAGGGTCTCCTTTTCAAAGGCTGAATAATATTCTGTTCTATGTAAATGCATGAACACTATTTTCTTTATCCACTCACCCACAGATGGACATTTAGTTGTTTTCATATCTTGACTATTGTTAATAATGCTGCAATAAACATGACCTTACAGATATCTCTTTTGAGTTCCTGATTTTACTTTCTGTATATATAATATATATATTATTTTCTATATATAAATTATGTATTATATATTATATATATTATTTTCTATATATAAATTATGTATTATATATTATATATTATTTTCTATATATAAATTATATATTATATATAATATATGTATTATACATATATACCCAGAAGTGGGAATGCTAGATCATGAGATAGTTCTATTTTTAATATTTCAAGAAACCTCCATATTGTTTTCCATAATGACTAATTTGTATTCCCACCAACAATATACAAGAGATCCCTTTTCTCCACATCCTCACCAACATTTGCTATTGCTTGTCTTTTTGATAATAGCCATCCTAACAAGTGAGAGGTGATATCTCATTGTGGCTTTGATTTGCATTTCCTTGATGTTTGGTGATCTTGAGCACTTGTTTGTATACCTGCTGGCCATTTGTAGGCCTTCTTTTGAGAAATATCTGTTCAGTTCTTTTCACATGTTTTAGTCAGGTTATTTACTTTGGAACTGTATATCCACATGCAGAAAAATGAAATTGGACCCTTATCTCACACCATATATAAAAATCAACTGAAAGGGATTAAATACTTAAATGTAATTTCTGAAACCATGAAACTACCAGAAAGAAAATAGAGGAAAATCTTCTTAACATTGGTTTGGGCAATGATTTTTGGATATGACACCAAAAGCTTAACCAACAAAAGCAGAAATAGACAAATGGGATAGCATCAAAATAAAAATCTTCTCCACAGCAAAGGAAATAATCAATAGAGAAAAAAAGGCAACCCATGGAATGGGAGAAAACTTTTGCAAACAAGGTATCTGATAAGGGATTGATAGTCCCATATTCTATTAATATTGTGTATTACATGAATTGATTTTTAGATATTACATCAAACTTGCACTTTTCAAATAAAATGCACTTGGTCATAATTTATAATACTTTTTTTTTCTTTGAGACGGA
Organism: Homo sapiens; assembly: GCF_000001405.40. Taxonomy (NCBI): domain Eukaryota; kingdom Metazoa; phylum Chordata; class Mammalia; order Primates; family Hominidae; genus Homo; species Homo sapiens. Next base: position 61,043,896 of record NC_000018.10, read on the forward strand.
GTCTCGCACTATCGCACCGGCTGGAGTGCAATAGCGCGATCTTGACTCAGTGGAACCTCCAACTCCCAGGTTCAAGTGATTCTCCTGCCTCAGCCTCCTGAGTAGCTGGGATTACAGGCACCCACCACCATGCCTGGCTAATTTTTTGTATTTTTAGTAGAGATAGCGTTTCACTATGTTGGCCAGGCTGGTCTTGAACTCCTGACCTTGTGATCCACCTGCCTCGGTATCGCAAAATGCTGGGATTACAGGCTTGAGCCACTGCACCTGGCCTATGATACTTTTAATAAGTATTATAAAATACTCAGGTTTTCGTATTTTGTTGAAGACTTTTTAATCTGTATCCATTAAGTATATGAGTATATTCATAAGGTCTATTTTCATTTGGTTTTGATATCAGAGTAATGCTAGATACATAGAATAAGTTGGGAAGTGTTCCTTTGTCTTTTATATTTTTGAAGGAGTTAGTGTTAATTCCTTAAATGTTCTAGTAAGTCATATAAACTTTATACCTAGATAGCTCCATTCCCTTCCTTCTTCCTTTTTTGTGCTATTATTGTTACGCACATCATGTCTACATATGTTACAAACCCAATAAGACGTTGTTATAATTATTACTTTACATCACCTTATGTCTTTTAAAGAAGCTATGATAATAAAGGAGAGCACAATCACAAATATTTATAAATTAGTTTTCTTATTTAGCATTTTTTGGTTTGTTTCATGTTCTTTTTTGGTCCTGTTATCATCTGGGTTCATTTCCTTACTCTAATATAGCTTCATTCCCACGTTGTTCTATTGTATTGCTATAGTCGAATATAATAAGAGTTTGCTGAGCTTCTCTAATATTTACAAAAATGTTTGTAAGTCTGTTTAGAAATTTTTCAGCAGTCATTGTTTGAATAATTTTTCTATTCATTTCTCTCTTTCATTTCCTTCTGGTATTCTCATTATAGGTAGGTTGTTGGGTTTAAAATGTCTTATATTTTTCTGAGTTTTTATTTTTGTTCATTAATTTTTGATTTTCAGATGTATAATCTTTATCTTTCCTAAAATTTGCTGATTCTATCAGCTCAATCTATACTGAGACTTTTTAGTAAATTTTTATTTTAGTTCTTATACTTTCAATTCCAGAATATCCATTTGTTTCTTTCATAAAATATCTATTAATATGTGCTGTTTTATAAATCATTTTCTCATACCTGATTTTTTCTTTAAGCATGGTTTTTATTTCCTTGAACATATTTATATTAGCTGCTTTGAAAACTATCTCTAAGTCCAACATCTGAGTGCCTTCAAAGGCAATATCTATTACCTATTTGTTTTTCAGTGTGTGGGTCATAATGTGTTTTTTTTTCCACGTGTAATGATTTTTATTGAAAACTCAGCATCTTTGATAGTAAAATGTAGCAACTGAGGATACTTTCCAATCCTCTTTTACTTAGACTTGTTATTGTTGCTGTTGTTGTTTGGATGATTGTGTTTATCTACTTAGTGACTTGGTGAAAATAAACTATATAAGGCCTGTTTCCCATGCAGTATGTAGCCTCCAATGTCCGTGCTCACTATTTTTTCTTCTTTTTATATTTTAAAGTGGGGAAAGGTGACCCTATTCAACAAATAGTGCTGGGATAGTTGGCAAGCTACATGTATGGGAATGAAACTGGATCCTCAACTCTCATCTTATACAAAAATCAACTCAAGATGTATAAAAGACTTAAGTCTAACACCTGAAACCATAAAAAATTCTAGAGGATAACATCAGAAAAACTTTTAGACATTGGCTTAGGCAAAGACTTTATGACCAAGAACCCAAAAGCAAATGCAACAAATACAAAAATAAATAAATAGGACCTAATTAAACTAAAATGCTTCTGTACCGCAAAATAATCAGCAGAGTAAACAGACAACACACAGAGTGGGAGAAGATATTTGCAAACTTGCATCCAACAAAGGGCTAATATCCAGAATATACAAGGAACTCAAACAAATCAGCAAGAAAAAAAAAAACCATCGAAAGGGGGATAAGGAAATGGCCAAGAAACATTTGAAAAAAAAATGCTCAACATCACTAATGATGAGGGAAAGGCAAATCAAAACCACAGTGAGATATCACTTTACTCCTGCAAGAATGGACACGACTAAAAAATCAAAAAATAACAGATGTTGGCGTGGATGTGGTAAAAAGGGAACACTTTTACACTGCTGGTGGGAATGTAAACTTGTACAATCACTATGAAATCAGTATGGAGATTCCTTAAAGAACTAAAAGTAGCACTACCATTCGATCCAGCAATCCCACTACTGGGTATCTACCCAGAGGAAAAAAGTTGTCATTATATGAAAAAGACACTTGCACTCCCATGTTTACAGCAGCACAATTCACAATTGCAAAAATTTGGAACCAACCTAAATACCCATTAACCAACGAGTGGATAAAGAAAATGTGGTATATATACACCATGAAATACTACTCAGCCATAAAAAGGAATGAAATAATGGCATTTGCAGCAACTTGGATGGAGTTAGAGACTATTATTCTAAGTGAAGTAACTCAGGAGTGGAAAACCAAATATTGTATATTCTCACTTATAAGTGGAAGCTAAGCTATGATGACGCAAAGGCGTAAGAATGATATAATGGACTTTGGGGATTGTGGGGAAGGATGGGAAGGGGTGAGAAACAAAAGACTACACACTAGGTACAGTGTACGCTGCTCAGGTGATGGGCACACCAAAATCTCAGAAATCACCACTAAATAACTTATCCATGTAACCAAAAACCACCTGTTGCCCCCCCAAATCTTGAAATAAAATTTTAAAAGTGCCCTTAGGCATGAACTTCTCTATGATCTGTTCCAAGTAAAGTCAGTCACCTTGGGAAGAACTGTGGAGTTCTTAATTGTTTTTTTTTTCACTTATACTTTAAGTTCTAGGGTACATGTGCACAACATGCAGGTTTGTTGCGTATGTATACATGTGCCGTGTTGGTTTGCTGCACCCATGAACTCGTCATTTACATTAGGTATTTCTCCTAATGCTATCCCTCCCGCAACCACCCACCTCACAAAAGGCCCTGGTGTGTGATGTTCCCCACCCTGTGTCCAAGTGTTCTTATCGTTCATTTCCCACCTATGAGTGAGAACATGCGGTGTTTGGTTTTCTGTCTTAATTCTTATCGGCTGCCTCTCCCCTGAGGCATAACCACTTCACCACTGTATCACCACTGGGGTAGAGACAATAGCCAGATTCTCACAGTGATCTTTTACTCTGCCAGCAGTCCCTGTAGGGGAAGCAAAGTAGCCACTCATCTTCTAGGCTTACCTTTTCCAGAATGGAGACCACAACTTATGAGCAGGAAGAATTTATGGGCGACTAGAGCCCGATATTCTCAACTTACCATGCTTAGGGTAGAGCTGCCACCCTATCAGTGAGCCCTGGGTGGCAGAAGGGACCCCCAGTCCTCTTTGCTATGCCTGCTCGGAATACAGCTTCCACAGCATGAAACTGGGGGTTAGCTGGGGTATAAGTGGTGCCAGTGGCCTATGCCTTTCGGAATGAAATTGTGGCCCTTAACTAGGAGTTATAGGAAGAGAGAATTCTCATTTTCTCGGCCACACATTCCAGAGAGGAGCTTCCATAACATGGGGAGGGTGAAAGGAGAGAGAGAATAGCAATGAGAGATGAAGCCAGCTGGACTTCTGGGTCCTGTGGGGACTTGCAGAACTTTTCTGTCTTACGAAAGGATTGTAAAATGCACCAATCAGCACTCTGGTACTAGCAAAAGGATGGTAAAATGCACCAATCAGCGCTCTGTAAAACGCACCAATCAGCACTCTGTAAAATGCACCAATCAATACTCTGTAAAACGCACCAATCGACGCTCTGTAAAATGCACCAATCAGCAGGAGTCTAAAAGTAGCCAACCGCAGGGAGGATTGAAAAAAGGGCATTCTGATAGGACAGAAATGGAACATGGGCAGGGACAAATAAGGGAATAAAAGCTGGCCACCTCAGCCAACAGTGGCAACCCCCTTGGGTCCTCTTCTACTTTGTGGAAGTTTTGTTCTTTTGCTCTTTACGATCAATCTTGCTGAGGCTCACTCTTTGGGTCTGTGCCACCTTTAACAGCTGTAACACTCACAGCGAAGGTCCACGGCTTCCTTCTTGAAGTCAGCCGGTCCATGAACCCACCAGAAGGAACCAACTCCAGACACAGCAGTAGGTTCTTGTTCTATAGACTTTTGCTTTTGTTACAGAGATTTAATTCATTTTATTGAATTAACAGGTTTCCATTTGCTTTATGTCCTTATGACATTTTCTCAAGATTTTAAATATTTTTATTCTTGGTTTTTTTTTGTTGTTAATTATTTTCGAGTTACATAGCTGCACTGAGTTCCTCACGCAGTCATTCTGGCAGTCCTAATATGTATTATTGTTATGGTGCCAAACTGCAATTTTGTTTTTATCTTTGACAAAATATTTATATGGGAAAGAAGTGTGTGCTTTGTTCTGTTTTTTAACTTCCAAACAGTTGGGCTTTCATTGTTTTAGCTTGTAATTTTTCATATTGATGTTAACGCTCTATTTTATTTTATGATGGAAAATAATGTTTTCTTTCCTGAAATTAAGTTTAAATATTTTCTGTCATCTACTAAATGATAATATGTGCTGTATTTGGGAGGGAAGGATATTTGCTTTGTTTTTAAAATGAGGAACAAGTTGTCCAAGAAAGAGAAAGAACATTTAAGTTGGCAAGATACTCACTGATAAAAAGCCCTCAAGCCAACAGCAGGTTTCATCACAAACTAAATTTCAGAAAATCTCAACAAGGGCTTGCTTTGCTAGTAAATTCTCACCAAGAGGCAGGTCATCTATGACTGACACAGCATCAATTTTGTAGAAAATTGATGGTGTACTAAATGGTGATAGATCATTTTCTTTCTAGTCATTATTATTATAACACAGAAGCACAAAGTCATGGAAGAGCATAAGAAGAAAGGAAAAGCTATACATTAACATGTAGCTTTTTGTATTAGCTAAATTATTGCAGTTGATGATATAAATGTGTGTTGAGCAGGCATGTGTTATTATTGCCTTGTAATATGCCAAAGAGTATCACTGTAAAATGTGAGCTGATGTTAAAATATCCATTATACCTGTAAGAACATTCATGTACTATGAAATGGTAAAAAGACAGAACAAGGTAGTTACAATGGCGTTACTAAGAATAATATTCTGTAAATAGAGTTTTTCATTCAAAGAACAAAAATGAAAAGAAGGAGCCGTTTCACAGAACCACCAAGATATTTTATTTTTCTTTAGTTTTTTTGGGCTATGAAATTGTATGGCCTTTGGTGGGGCTGGAATTCTTGTAACCTTCCACAGAGCATAGTGGGAGAGACTGGTATTATCTATTTGCAACTATGCATCCAAAGCCTGTTGTCCTATCTTATTGTTAAGGATAAAAACTCACTTGGACCAGAAGCTTCAATGGCCAAATCACCAAGAGAATAATTTCTCTTTGAGCCAAACAAAGGCATGTCACCAGGCATGAGGCCGTGGGGTGGGTAACCTGATAATTGACAGCATGCCCTTGGGTGTGAAGGGCGAAAGTACAAGGTCACGTTTGGTGTTAGCCTAAGATAGAGCTAAAGAAATATGATTGGCATTTTTTGTTTTATATCTCTCAAAATGAAGACAATGAATGTTGAAGAAATCGCTAAATTCAGATAATAAATAATGGGTAAAAAAATCTGAAACAGAACTGGCAGCTTCAAAACCAAGCAGAATGGCATTAAGGTTCAAAGCTTAGGCTTGGGGGATCCACTACCTGAGTTAGGATCCTCAGGATCCTAAACCTTACCCCCTTATTCACAGGATCCTGGAGCAAAATATTTTACTTTTTTATGATTTTGCTCTGTCACCTATAAAATGGGGCTATTAATAAGGTTGTTGTAATGGATTAAATAAATATATCCAGGTAAATATCTTTGAACAATTTTAGGAATGTGGTAAGTATTCAATGATTCATAGCTGTCAGCAGTCTCATCATTGTCACTACAATACTTTATCAACCACCACTAGAATTCTCCTAAATAAATGAATTAATTTCATTTTAAAAATAGATGGTTTAAGACATGAGGCAAATATCTCCTAATAGAGGGAGCTGCCTAGGGATAAAGTTTCAGGCTTATATTAAGGCAGAACAATCATCATATCTGTTCAGGATTCCCAAAGAGAAATCACCGTGGATAAGTAATCACTTTAAACCATAATCAGTTTAAATGTAAACATAGAGTCTTACAAAATGCCAATATAAATGAAAATTAAAATGTCTTAAAATTAAGCAGTCCACAGTATATGTGACCTCCTGTAAAGGGCTTCAATCCCAAAAAAGGGAGTAGGCAGAGTCCTCATTTTTTGGTTGTGATTTCTTTTTTATTTATATATATACTTCAAGTTGTAGGGTACATGTGCGCAACGTGCAGGTTTGTTACATAGGTATACGTGTACCATGTTGGTTTGCTGCACTCATCAACTCGTCATTTAGATTAGGTATTTCTCCTAATGCTGTCCCTCCCCCAACCCCCTACCCACTGACAGGCCCCGGTATGTGATGTTCCTCGCCCAGTGTCCAAGTGTTCTCATTGTTCAGTTCCCACCTATGAGTGGGAACATGTGGTGGTTGGTTTTCTGTCCTTGTGATACTTTGCTGAGGATGATGGGTTTTGGTTGAGATTTTTATCCTCAAGCATGAAATACAATAATAACTTAAGACCTTAACAGTATAGTTTTCTTTTTTTTTTAATTTTTACTCTTTTTTTTATTATTACACTTTAAGTTTTAGGGTACATGTGCACAATGTGCAGGTTAGTTACATATGTATACATGTGCCATGCTGGTGCGCTGCACCCACTAACTCGTCATCTAGCATTAGGTATATCCCCCAATGCTATCCCTCCCCCTTCCCCCCACCCCACAACAGTCCCCAGAGTGTGATGTTCCCCTTCCTGTGTCCATGTGTTCTCAATGTTCAGTTCCCACCTGTGAGTGAGAATATGCGGTGTTTGGTTTTTTGTTCTTGCGATAGTTTACTGAGAATGATGGTTTCCAATTTCATCCATGTCCCTACAAAGGACATGAACTCATCATTTTTTATGGCTGCATAGTATTCCATGATGTATATGTGCCACATTTTCTTAATCCAGTCTATCATTGTTGGACATTTGGGTTGGTTCCAAGTCTTTGCTATTGTGAATAGTGCCACAATAAACTTACGTGTCCATGTGTCTTTATAGCAGCATGATTTATAGTCATTTGGGTATATGCCCAGTAATGGGATGGCTGGGTCAAATGGTATTTCTAGTTCTAGATCCCTGAGGAATCGCCACACTGACTTCCACAGTGGTTGAACGAGTTTACAGTCCCACCAACAGTGTAAAAGTGTTCCTATTTCTCCACATCCTCTCCAGCACCTGTTGTTTCCTGACTTTTTAATGACTTCTTCAAGGAGAACTACAAACCACTGCTCAGTGAAATATAAGAGGATACAAACAAATGGAAGAACATTCCATGCTTATGGGTAGGAAGAATCAATATCGTGAAAATGGCCATACTGCCCATGGTAATTTATAGATTCAATGCCATCCCCATCAAGCTACCAATGACTTTCTTCACAGAATTGGAAAAAACTACTTTAAAGTTCATATGGAACCAAAAAAGAGCCCGCACCACAAAGTCAATCCTAAGCCAAAAGAACAAAGCTGGAGGCATCACGCTACCTGACTTCAAACTATACTACAAGGCTACAGTAACCAAAACAGCATGGTACTGGTACCAAAACAGAGATATAGATCAAGGGAACAGAACAGAGCCCTCAGAAATAATGCCGCATATCTACAACTATCTGATCTTTGACAAACCTGAGAAAAACAAGCAATGGGGAAAGGATTCCCTATTTAATAAATGGTGCTGGGAAAACTGGCTAGCTGTGTGTAAAAAGCTGAAACTGGATCCCTTCCTTACACCTTATACAAAAATTAATTCAAGATGGATTAAAGACTTAAATGTTAGACCTAAAACCATAAAAACCCTAGAAGAAAACATGGGCATTACCATTCAGGACATAGGCATGGGCAAGGACTTCATGTCTAAAACACCAAAAGCAATGGCAACAAAAGCCAAAATTGACAAATGGGATCTACTTAAACTAAAGAGCTTCTGCACAGCAAAAGAAACCACCATCAGAGTGAACAGCCAACCCACAAAATGGGAGAAAATTTTCGCAACCTACTCATCTGACAAAGGGCTAATATCCAGAATCTACAATGAACTCAAACAAATTTACAAGAAAAAAACAACCCCATCAAAAATTGGGCGAAGGACATGAACAGACACTTCTCAAAAGAAGACATTTATGCAGCCAAAAAACACATGAAAAAATGCTCACCATCACTGGCAATCAGAGAAATGCAAATCAAAACCACAATGAGATATCATCTCACACCAGTTAGAATGGCAACAGTATAGTTTTTAAATCTTCATGTCCTAAATTTGCCTAAAGAAACATTTAAAAAGCAATGAAGTATGTAAAACTCATTTAGGCACAAGTCTGCCTGTCAAAAAGAATGATTTTCCAAAACCACAGTGAGATACCATTTCACACCAGGCAGAATGGCTATTAATAAAACATAAAAAAACAACAGATGGTGGGGAGAAAAGGGTATGCTTATACAATGCTGGTGGGAGTGTAAATTAAGTCAGCCATTTTGGAAAGCAGTGTGGTAATTCCTCAAGGAACTAAAAACAGAATTATTATTTGACCTAGCAATCTCATTATTGGGTATATACCCAAAGGAATATAAATCATTCTACCATAAAGACACATGCACACATATGTTCATTAGAGGACTATTCACAATAGCAAAGACATAGAATCAATCTAAATGCCCATGAATTGTAGACAAGAGAAAGAAAATGTGGTACATACACACCATGAAATATAATGCAGCCATAAAAATTAACAAGATCATGTCCTTTGCAGCAGCAACATGGGTAGAGCTGGAGACCATTAACCTTAGCAAACTAACACAAAAACTGAAAAACCAAATACCACATGTTCTCACTTATAAGTGGATGCTAAATAATGAGAACACATGGACACGAAGAGGGAAACAGATACTGGTGCCTAATTGAGGGTAGACGGTGGAAGAAAGGAGATGATCAGAAAAAATATCTATCAGGTACTATAATTAGTACTTGGGTGATGAAATAATCTGTACACCAACCCTCTGTGGCACAAGTTAACCTATATAAAAAACCTGCACATGTACCCACATGAACTAAAATAAAAATTAAAAGAAAAATAATGATTTTTTTATTCCACATGATTTTCCTCTTTCCAGTGGAGCTTTCTTCTATCAAGAGTTATGCACTATCCTTCAACACCCTCCAATCCACTTAGAGAAAACCTGGAGACATATCGAAAATGAGTCCCATGTCATGAGTACTACGTGTCCCATATTCCTAGAAAACTCCATGACTTGGTCTTTATGTCCTGGCATTTTTAGCCTTGGATGTCTATGAGTTCAAAATGGTCTGTCTGCCAGTATGATATACCTAAGATAAAATGGTCCTATCACCTGTGAAATTCCATAGAGGCACCTGTTACATGGAACCATTTTTAGCTTCTAGAATTGTCATTCTTCATCTATAGTGGGCATTGAAATCACTGGGAGTCTGGTTACAATGGCATATTTTAAAGTTGGCTCTTAGGGACTCCAATCTAGGAAGTCTGATGTGATTATCTGAAACTTTGCCTTTTCAACATGTGTCAGAGGTGATCCTGACCTCTAAATGGTCTAAGGACCAGACCAATGTCTTTGGGCTGCTGTAACAAAATACCCTAGACTGGGTAGCTCATAAACAATGAAAATTTATTTCTCACAGTTTTGGAGACTGGAAAGTCCAAGATCAAGGCTCCAGCAGAGTTGGCGTCTGGTGAGAGTCCATTCCTTATAGAAGGTGACTTCTAGCTGTGTACTCGCACGGAGAAAGGGGCTGGCTAGCTCGCTCTCTAGTCTAGGATCTCTTTTTTTTTTTTTTTTTTGAGATGGAGTCTCACTCTGTCTCCCAGGCTGAAGTGCAGTGGTGCAATCTCGGCTCACTGCAAGCTCCGCCTCCCGGGTTCACTCCATTCTCCTGCATCAGCCTCCTGAGTAGCTGGGACTACAGGCTCCAACCACTATGCCCGGCTAATTTTTTGTATTTTTAATAGAGATGGAGTTTCACCGTGTTAGCCAGGATGGTCTTGATCTCCTGACCTAGTGATCTGCCCACCTCGGCCTCCCAAAGTGCTGGGATTACAGGCGTGAGCCACCTCGCCTGGCTTCTAGGATCTCTTTTGTAAAGGAACTAATCTCATTCATGAAGGATCTACCCTTATGACCTAATCATCTCTCTAAAGCCACGCCTCTTAATACTATCACCTTGAAGATTAGGATTTAAAATATTATTTTGGGGTAGACAAACTTGTAGACCATTGCAACCAACTAGCTAAAACTATGTTTTAAGAGTGTGTGTGTGTGTGTGTGTGTGTGTGTGTGTAAAGCATCCACACTTTACCATGTTGCTTTCTTTCATTCTCCAATGCCTTTCCTGAGTCCACTCTTTAAGACTCAAGTCATTTATCTATTCCTGAATTTACCTATCCCTCCCCAGTCTGCCCTAGAAGAATTATCAGAATATAATGAACAGCTTTTTATTTATCCCTTGTATTATTTTATTTATTTGCATACCTGCTTTCCAACTAGTACCTGACCTTTTCAGAGGCAGTAACTCTATTTCATTTTATCTAAATTTCTTTAGGATCAAGCACAGTGAGTGGCATATGCGATGCTAATAACTATTTATTCAATGAACAAATTTTCAAATGACCTTGAGTTTTTGAGGTTTTGAAAGTCAGGACAAGGATATTCACATTCACTACTGATTTATTTTTAACTATTTCCTTATAGCATTTTCCACATTTGCTAATTCTCTTGGTCACCATGTTAGAATGAAGTATGAAAGTAAGACCATTGCTGTGTGTCAGGAGACCCTTTCAAACTATTGAGATATGAGGATCCCCTAATAATATCTATCATCCAGTAAAGAAACAGGATATTAAACTGAGAATGCCTTTGTAACATCCAGCTCAGTTCACATATAAATAAACTCTGACAAGGTCACAAGCATGAAGTGTCCTTAATTTGTCTACTTTGTGTTCATACACTTTAAGCAAATTGTCTAGTCATAACCATATTTATATTCATCCTCTGAATTTCAAGTGGATGAGAAAAGAGTTGAGAATGGTCAAAATAAGAACTATAGAGTAAATGTAAACATCAGTTATATACAAAAATGACTACAATGTGCAGTTCCAACATCTGTTTATAATTCCTCTCACTGAAGAATAGGTTAAGAAAGTGGGCATGGTCAGGAAATTGTCCCTTCTGTTTACTCTGTTGTGAGTTGTTCTTCTTTCAGAACCTAAGTCCTGTTGATCCTTTTCTGGCCTACTACATGCTTTTTTATTTCACATGGTTTTGTGCATGGATAATTGTTTCTTTATATTAAGCTCCTTACTACAAAGAATTCCTACTCTCTTAGTCACTGTCCAAAGTTCTGATTTTCGGTATATGTTTTTTGTTAATACACTTTAAAGAGTTTGTCTACTATGCTGGCTAAGAACCTGCCACCATATTTAGCTGAGTTATAATATCATTTTCTATTTTCTTTGCCCTGGAATTCAGCTTCTTATCTATGTGTTTCTTGCCATAAGCGTTTTTGTTCTTTCCCATGTTCTATTCTACACACAAGACAAGAAGTCGATTTTCACACATTTTAGCATGGAGGGGGAGAGGGTGGCCAGGAAACCATAATCCCAATTTTAGCAGAAACACAGGCACCATGGTAGTTCTTGTAAGAGTTGATTAAGTGAGAACTTCATGCCCAATAAATATGCAAACTACATCACGCTAAGCAAATCTACTAATTTTCTATTTGCCTTTTGATATTAACTAGTTGAGTTTGTTACTCTAACATCATAATTTTAAAACTAATAAATAACAAGTAGAAAGAGTTTATATATAATTCATTATTAAATAGGCCACCCGCAACAGAATTTGGGGGTTATTGGCTGGGCATGGTGGCTCATGCCTGTAATCCCAGCACTTTGGGAGGCCGAGGCAGGTGGATTACTTGAGGTCAGGAGTTCAAGACCAGCCTGGCCAACATGGCAAAACCCTGTCCCTATTAAAACTTAAAAAAAAAAAATAGCCATACATGGTGGTGGCGCATGCCTGTAATCCCAGCTACATGGGAGCCTGAGGGAGGAGAATCGCTTGAACCTGGGGGAGGTGGAGGTTGTAGTGAGCTGAGATCACACCACTGCACTCCAGCCTGGGCAACAGAGCAAGACTGCATCTGAAAAAAAAAAAAAAAAAAAAAAGAATTTGGAGGATACTATATAACCCAAGCTGCCCCTTTCATAAGTCAAATCTGGCAGTGATGTACACATGAGTTCAAGATGAGAAGACCCTAGAGGTCAGAAGACCAGTTAAAGACCTGCAACCAGTCAAGATAATGACCGTGGTATCCATGGAGATGGAATTCACCCAGGTTGTGAACCTCTGCCTTTCAACCCTCTTTGGATAGCATAATTTACAATGGTGTGTTGAGTTCTGATACTAGTCATATCGGTTAGGCCTTACAGAATTCAGAAAGCCCAACAAAGCACAGCCTTCATTCTTTTCTCTTGCTTTCATGAACCCATTTTAGGCTTTCCTTGAGATGAGCACACTTAACAATAATTCCAAATCAGAAGGTAATCCACATGTAAAATAAGGCATCTAAATCTGAGATCCATGATGATTTCTTTTTCTAAAAGGGCAAAAAAGAAAATGCCGCAGTCCTGTCATCCCTCTGTTAATGAGTACTGAATTCACAGCTCCAGGTTCTGTAAACCTCATTTAGATGTGTCAGCAACAGCCAGAGCTCTATTAAAGGTCTGAAACAGGAACAATAATTAAGAAGGCTCAATGCCAATTCCTTTCATCTTTAACTGCTGCTTACAGTTCATACACAACAAATACTAAAAGGTCATCAGAACTCATTGTATAATGACTGTGTATTTATATCCTCCAAATTTTCCCTCTAACAAAGGTAGTGATAATGGCCTGAGAAGAATTGGATTTGGCCATAGGGAATGGGAATAGCACAGGATAGAAAGAAAGGAAAAGATAAAAAGGCCAACTAAATGCAGGACACACAGTATAGTCTGCACTCTGAAAATTCCTTTAAAATCACATCCTACAAAGGGCAGTCTACACATCCCTTAGAGAAAATAGTCTTAGTATCAAGAATCAAGAGACAATGTTTATATCTCACTTCAATTGCTCACTAGCTGTGGAAAATTGGAAAAGTACTTAGTCTCAGGGTCTTGGTTTTGTTATCTATAAAGTTAGGGTTGGGGGACAAATAGTAATACTTGCCCTATGATTTATTTTCTTAGACTATTATGTAGATTAAATGAATTAACTCACATGAAAGTGTTTTAAAGAGTTATTTATGGATTGCACTAAAGAATAACGTGCTATTCCTACAATTTAACCATTCTCAAACTTTCATTTTCTTTCTCATTAAATAGAAAGGTTTGTTACTTCATAGTAGGGAATTGCTTTGAGATTTGTCTTTCAGTGAAGGAGAGGACTTGGGCTGATTCATCCATGCCCCTCTGGTGATTAATGAAAAATACCTGTGAAATCATCTACATGGACAGAATTACTAGTAACTAGCTACTAGTAGTTAATACTGAGTTATTAGTGCAGTTACTAACCACATGATATGGTTTGGCTGTGTTCCCACACAAATCTCATCTTGAATTGTAGCTCCCATAATTCCCGCATGTCATGAGAGGGGCTCCGTGGGAGGTAATTGAATCATGGGTGTGGGTCTTTCCCATGCTGTTCTCATGATAGTGAATAAGTCTCACAAGATCTGATGGTTTTATAAAGGGCAGTTCCCCTGAACATGCTCTCTCTTGCCTGCTGCCATGTAAGACGTGACTTTGTCCCTCACTTGCGTTCCACCATAATTGTGAGGCCTCCGAGCCATGTGGAACTGTGAGTCAATTAAAACTCTTTCCTTTATAAATTACCCAGTCTCAGGTATGTCTTTATTAGCAGTGTGAGAACAAACTAATACACCCCACAACCCAGGAAAGCTGGATTATTATCACCACCTCACTCACATTTATAGAAAGGTAGATAGTTTTTGGCTGTTTTACGAACATTCTATATTACTTATAAGACTTAAAATAGTCTTCTCTAAACTGAGTCTTCCTTCTTACAACTCTCTACCATCTCTCACCTGGAGTACTGCTTCATCATCAAATCTTACATGACATTCCTCACGCAGCATCCAGAGGGTTTCTTTTCAAATTTAAGTTATCATGTTACTGGTGGTAAATCCATATGGGTCTGCAGCAACCTCAAAATTCAACTTAAGGGACACAAGGCAGAAAGAGAGACCAAGGCAAGCTTTAGAATAGAAGTAAAGGTTTATTAAAAAGCTTTAGAGCAGGAATGAAAAGAGGTAAAGTACACTTGAAAGAGGGCCGAGCAGGTGACTTGAGTGATCAAGTGCACGGTTTGAACTTTTGACTTGGGATTTTATATGTTGGCATGTTTCCAGGGTCTTGTGTCCCTTCTCCCCTGATTCATCCCTTGGGGTGGGCTGTCCACACATGCAGCGGCCTGCTAGTGCTTGGGAGGGGAGCATGCACAGTGAGTTTACTGGAGTTGTGTGCATGCTCACTTGAAGCAGCCTTCCCTTACCAGTCAAATGTCACTAGCAGGTCATATACCACTTAAACTCTGTTGTTTTGCCTCTTAGTTCACATGTGTGAGCCCACTCATCCAACTCCCGAGATCTTATGGGGAAGCTGCTGATCACTAGTTTCAGGGTTTTTCTATCTATTGGGAGACTTCCTTTCTCTGGCCCTAGCTGTGACCAATTATTATTTTAGAGAGACAGTGTAACAACTGCTGGACCATCACCTGATAGTCACCTGACATTCCTGGTAGGGTTGCTGGGGAGCCCTCTCCTGACCTGCTCATGCCTGACTGGCTACCTATGGGAACAAGCGTGTTCCCCCCTGCTCACATTTCTCCAGTGAGCATCCGTGGCGTAAAAGCTTCATATTAGCATCTTCTTCCCTCCTGCCCACCCCCCAGCTCCGCCACCTCTCTCACCCCATCTCCATTCTCACGCTCATCCTTTTTCGCACGGCATCTTGTGTAGTTACCTGCTGGCTTTCCCCTGGATATACTGCTAAGAAAGCCCCAGCTTAAAGGCCTTTACTCTTAGAGTTTCCTCTTGAAATAATTTATCCAGATCTCACCGCAGAAGTCATCCCCTAGGAGATACCTGTCCCAACTGTAAGCGTCTAAGGTGGTTCCTGCCAGCTGCTGCTCCTCTTCACTTTACCCTGCAGGTTTCCTTCATAGAAACTATCAAAATCAGCAATTATTTTCTATACTTATTTATATTCTTTCTCTCACACTGGAACATTAAGTCTCATGAGTGCAGGTATCTTGTCCACCTTATTCACCATCGCCTAGCATTATGACCAGCAGAAAACAGGCATATCAGAACATGCCTTCTATTTGTTGAAGGGGTGAGTTCTCAGAAAAGGAGAAAAGGGGAAATGTTTTAGTACTTAAAATTTTAATATTTATAACAGTGAAAATTGAAAAAGAAATCTGTGCAAGGGAAGTCTGGGAAAAGGTTAAGAGAGCTGAGTATTATGAGGTTAGGGAATTGTGTTTTATATACAGATGTCTGCTTGCAAGAAGTAGAATTGAGTGACATAAGTTATATGATTTCAGATTTGAAGTTGGAATCAAGTTCTAAATGTGCATACGACTACCACCACCACTATTAATGTAAAGAGGATACTAACACTAGTAATACTAGTAACACTAGTAATAGTTTGGCACGTATGTTAGCTACTACTACTAATTTATTATTATTATTGTCATTAGCAGCAGTGGTAGCGATAGTAGTAGTATATTCATGAATATTTACCAAATAATATGAGGAAAACTTTCTAAATGAGTTTTATAGATATTATCTCATTTAAACAGTAGAAAAATTCCAGGAAGTAGATGTTTTACAGAAAAAACAAAAACAAAAACAAAAAAAAACATAGGTGACTTTCTCCTTTTTTTGGGTAGTAAGAGGTGGTACTTCGAGTTAGGTCTGGCTGATGTTAAAGAGAGTCCTATTCATTCATCACGCTGAGAAAATTCCCTCATGTGAAGAAAAGCATTATGCTCTGGAACTGCTTTTGATTCTCCCATAATGTAAAATGGGGGTCTGGTTTTGCGTTTCTGGACAGATGTACAAAGTACTGAATTATACATAAGATCTCTTAGCATCAGTGAACGATGACACCTGGAAGGTGGTCCCTGTAGGTAAAGAAATGGGCAAACTGCAAATAAAATTATGCTTCATGCTTACAAAGGACAGTTTCTGTTCCCTGAATATAATATTTCTTGGTTAAAAATAAGTTTTGATTTCATTCTGGCACCAAAAATAGTATAGAATGAGAGCTTGCCTCCCAATAATGTTCTTACTATAATTACATTATTTTAGGTAAGAATCATTATGTTTCTCCTGACACAGATGTTTATTTTCTTACTTTGTAGTGATTCTAACGAAAAATATTATGAAATTCCAGCTTTAAAAAAGCTAGTACAATTTCCCAAATGCCCCCTAAGCTTGCCTTGTGATTGGTTTATTTGGTCCTAGTTACTTACGGGATTTTGCTCTATTAATATGCCCATTTGATGGACTCCTGCTAAAGAAGATGCTGAGCCTTTGAAACACGAGCATCTTTGGCTCCATAAGAACCTGCAGTGCATATCAGTCATAGTGTCATATCACCACTGATATTCTCATAGCCATAGGACTTAGCCTTGAAGTAGAGGCTGATGAGGTTATCAAGAGAGTTTTACAGAACCTAGATTATTAAAATCTTTGTATTGAAGTATAACAAAGTACAGAGAGGTGCACACCTTGTAAGTGTACAGACTGACGGATTTTTTATAAAGTGGCACATCTATGTAACCAGCACCAGATCAAGAATCAAAAGTTTATCTGCACCTCAGAAATCCCCTTACGCATCATGCCAGTCTTCTCTACCTGTCAAAGGGAATCAATCTTTTGACTTCTAACTTGGATTAGTTTTTTCCTGTTTTTGAACTGGATGTATAATATGTATTCTTTTGTGTCGGGCTTCTCACTATTATGTTTGTGAGATTAATCCATGCATTTTTGCCTATCGTTTTAGCTCAGAATTCTAGATTTTTAAAAGCTTGAACGCCAACTCAATGAAAAGTGAGGATTCTATAGAGAATTCATTTCATTGTCATAACTCAGCCGGTTGTTTTCAGTAAAGAAAAATCTATATCATTTCCCCCTCACATAATAGATTAGTACCTTCTCCTACCCTTGCTAACCTGAAACATTAGTATTTCTTTTTTCAATGTATGC
This sequence comes from Homo sapiens, assembly GCF_000001405.40. Classification (NCBI taxonomy): domain Eukaryota; kingdom Metazoa; phylum Chordata; class Mammalia; order Primates; family Hominidae; genus Homo; species Homo sapiens. The sequence goes on from NC_000018.10 coordinate 61,061,496, forward strand.
TAAGATGATGACATTTTTCTAGAGGGTAAAAGATGTACTTGGACCTGTATTCTAATCATTTGCTCTTCTAGCAAACAGCTGATGAGAAAAAATATGAACCAAATATTGGCCTTTACTAGAGATGCCGTTTATGTTTTTTTTTTCTAAGTGTTGCTAAAAGTGAAAATGTGTACAGTTTCCCCTTAAATGTCAATAATCTTCATGCTACAGATGGAAATACTGTATTTTCTCTGAGCTTCATGGTAAGTCATTTGCTGATACGTAAATCTAAAGCCGTTTGAGGGTATAAGAAATACACATTTTCCCCTGAGTGACCTATTTCTACATGTGGATCTCTGTTCGAGCTAAAGTGTACCAGGGATCAGGGCAAGAAAATCACATTCAACTAGAGCATGTTGTAGTGATTTCACAGCTGCAGATGGTCAAGAGCACAAATTATTCCAGCTAAGGCTGGCATTAATCTAATCTCAAAATCCTTGATTCATTTCAGCCTATTTACAAAGCCATCACAATTCCAAGATTTGCTTTTAGCCAATTTGCCCCAGTTAGTGAAAAATCATGTCCTCTTCTAGGGCATCTGTTCCACCTGCAATTCGAAGTCATGCTCATCAAAAGACCCTCATTTTGGAAGGTTCTAAGCCTATCTGCAGCTTTACAAATATATGCAGAGGATTACAAAATACAACCCACTGTATTTTGAAAATAAATGTAGAAGCTTTCACAAATGTTCACTGTCCCTTGATACAAACAAGTGAAAAATGATTGTTCTTTGAAGTCAAGTCATATTTTGGTGTAGATTTTCACTCTGGCTTGTAAGAAACAGATCTTGACAATACAAAAGAGGTTGCATTTACATACTGCTTCCAGCAAATTCTTTAGAATGAAAAATCACCACAAGAATATAAAACATGCAGACCATAGACCTGTCATAAGCACTGCAATGCAACTAAATGTTTAGCAATCCATGTGGAAGTGAAATATGCATAATGCATTTCAGAGCAAGGTCTTTGGTCTTGCCTCCAAACGGCCAAATGAACCAAACTGTTTGAAATTTTCCATATGGATTCCACTCTGGTGTCTTTTCCAATGTTTCTTTCTCTACTCAAAATTTGTTGTGCCCCCTCTCGGGGAGTTTACATCTTACTCATAATTTTAAAACTACTTCATATTCTACCTACTCTGTCTGAAGCCTTACTAAAGAGTGATATTAAATAATCTTAATGTTATAATCTTAATGATTATAACAACTAGAACAACAACAGAAACAATAGAAACTTCCATTTTTGAGCTTCTAGTATGTCCTAGCACTTCTTTAGATGTTGCCTATTGTCATTCTTACAATCCCCTAAAACAGAGTTTATGATTCTCAAGTTGCATGAAAGGAAACTAAAGCAATAAAAATTAAGTAACTCACCTCAGGCCACACGGCTAACATACAGCAAAATATAGGTCTGCCTGACTCCAAAGTCATGCTCCTTCTAGCGTGCTGCACTGATTCTCAGTAATTTCTGAATAAAGAGGCAAGGTTTCAAGCAGTACCTGAGTAGGGATCTTCTTAACATGGACACATATCAAGTAGACTTGCCCTCTTTAATATTATTAAAAGTATTTTTAAAAGGAAATAATTGCAAATTGCACACACTATTGTTGCATTACCCAAATGTTTGATTTACAAGCATATCATACAAGTAGGTGTTTCATGTTGTCCATCAATTCTCAGTCATGCAGGAAATTATTTGATCAGTGTCTCAGTATTATATTTATTGTCTTCTTGAGTTCCTCCCTTGTCCCTTTTTGTCATGGGTTTGTATGTGTGAATGTATGTGTGTGATCATTTTCTACAAAGGCTGAACATCCAATAATTTTCATTTTTATTTGAGCTTTGCTTCCCTTTGTGAAACACCCTACAGAGTTCTTCCATCCTATTCCATCAATCTCTCTTTACTGTGTGTTTTATTATTTTCTCCTTACACATTTCCTTCCATTCTTCTGTATATTCTTCTATTCCTTTTTTCTAGGAGGAAGAAAGAGGCGCTTCTATTGCTACTTCTACTGCTCTTGATGCCCCCAGTGCATCTTCACATGCTCCTCTTTGTCCTAAATGGTCAGTGCTTGGCACTGGTGCAGCTGCAGCTGCCCGTCATCAGGCTTCCCCTGGTGACCACTTTTCCCAGTCCCTTTTCAATCCATTAGTTGACTTCAGGAAGCAATACTAAAAGCATTCCCTTGGCGTGTGGAGTGGTTCTGAGGTTCACCTTTTAACCAAGTTTCTGAACAATAGAATTTTCTATTCATTTTCTCTCCAGAAATCAAGTTATTTTAGGGAGAAAGAACATGTTTCCTGGCAGAGGACTTTCTTGACTATTCTCTCTAAAAATGAAACAAACCCAGATCCTAATGTGTCCTAATTCCCTTACTATAAAGAGTCTCATCCCCTCAATGGTTTCCAAACTGTCCTTGAAGTGTATTTGTGAATCATTTCTGAGAATGTAGCATTTGGTCTTTAACTCTTTGCAACCAAATCATAAGTCACAGAAACTCCTAGTAAATTATTGTATTGGTCAAGTTAGTCAAGCTTAAGGGAAGTCAAAGAAAAACATTTTTTTCTGAATTGTTAAGAAATTGCAAAGATGCTGTTCTATATACAATGACTTGAATGTTCAGTTCATTTGAAATGTATTATTCACTAACTGTCAGTGGACACAGTCTGATTTATTATGACATAAGCAATATTTTGAGTGGAAAATTAGTTTGTATCTTGAGGGACTTGAAAAATAAAACTGTGATGGGATAATAAGCAGATTTAAAGAACAAACCCAGTGAAACGAAAGAACAATTTTGACCTCTACTTTGGGCAGCAGATTATTCAAGCATGTGCTTTGAGAATAAGACACGCAAAATAAGATTAAGGGAGATAATAGTAGATCTTATCCTTTGGGTCTTGGTTAAGTGCAGACATGTGATTACTACAGACAGACCTTACACGTTTCAGATAATTAAAAACAATTTTGAGGCTCAATGAACAATGTGAATAACTCCACAAAAGGGAATGTTATTTTGAATACTATAAAGAACTCAATGAATTTTCAATAGTTTTTGACAAAATATCATTTTTGATGATTAGTGGAGCATGAGCTATGCATGAAAGAGAAAAAAAAAGCCTCACCTAATTCATCCAAAATATCATGTTCCTTAAACATTTATTGCTTCACATCACTTTAAAGCAGAGAAACTGTTGTTTGGAAAAACCTTGCACTTGAAAATTGTCATTCAACTTGTTAGGATGATCTGTGTTATTACTGAGAAAACAACTTTCCTGAAAACAGGTTCACACTGAGAAGAAAATGAATCAGAATTTTGAAATTCGTTGTTTCAACTCTAAATCTGTTAGTTGGGCAGTAGTTTACAGGAAAGGATGGGATTTTTAAATTTACCTTTGGAAATTGTGGATTTTCTTGATGATTTGACAATCAACAATTTATTCTGTGAGTAGCAACTGTTTAATGCTGGGCTTTGTATAGCTTGACTTTTCTCAGCTGCACTGTATTACACCTGAGTCATTTGAATTGCAGCTGGGAAAGAAAAATCAGTTGGTTTCCTCAATTAATTTTGCATGTGCATGGCTTCCCAAGGAAAACTAATGCTCTTCCAGCTTATCTAAATAAAGGCTAGTCAACATTGCCCATTGTGCTCAGCACTGCATGCTGAGAAAAATAGAACTTGTGAATCTTAACAAATAAGAAAAACCTATCAAACAGTTGTTTGATAGTTTCAAAGAAATGTTTTTTTAGATATTCAAAAGCTCCATAACATATTCAAAGAAACTTGATGGACCCATTCACTGTGTCAGCTGAACAGTGAATGCCACCTTTGCTGCTACATTACATGGTCTACAAATTGTCATGTTTTGTTCAATAAAAAAACAGGCTTTATGTATTTTTAAAACCCCAAAGGTCTAGAACAATTTTTAAATTTAAAAATATTTCTAATGCTGAGCAAGTTTTCTTTTTAAACAGACATTGGGAGGATTTGCAGGAATAAGGTAACATTTTATATACCTGAAAGGATGTAATTAAAATTGTCCAATGTGATTAACAAAAACTTCCTGCATTTGTAAACATCAGTGCTACTGTGGAGGTTAACTACTCTCTAATGGTAAAACTGTTACTGTATCCATGTGAAAGAAGAAAGCTTTAAATAATTATTTTTTTTGGTGAAATTACATGAATTTCAATCCTGTTGTCATTTTTCACTCCACATTAAGTATATATATATGTTGGCTGGGTGCAGTGGCTCACACCTGTAATCCCAGCACTTTGGGAGGCCAAGGCAGGCGGATCACAAGGTCAGGAGTTCAAGACCAGCATGGCCAATATGGTGAAACCCCATCTCTACTAAAAATACAAAGATTAACTTGGTGTGGTGGTGGGCACCTGTAATCCCAGCTACTCGGGAGGCTGAGGCAGGAGAATCACTTGAACCCGGGAGGCAGAGGTTTCAGTGAGCCGAGATTTTGTCACTGTACTCCAGCCTGGGCGACAGAGTAAGACTCCATCGCAAAAAAAAAAAAAAAAAAATTATGTTGCTAATGCTTAGAATCCCTTTACCATAAGCTATTTCTTAACAAAAGAAAAAAAATTACAGTAGTACAGTTTTCTGAAAGACATGTTTATCTCCCTTTAAAAAATAATAATCCTATGCAAGTGCATTCCTCATTAATTTTACAAAGTAAGCAAGCCTGGGACTGGTTGGAGAAAAAAAAAGTTAAATTTATCACAAATATCCTCTTCCATGAACAGATAACTTTTTTTTTGTATTTTAGAAAATTCATCAAATGTTATATATTCACTTTGTAATAGGTTGTTACGTAAAACCTTATTCAGTTGGTATTTATTTCTGTGCCCTGATCCATATAATTGTAAAGTATATATCATCAAATGATACTAGAAGTTCTTTCTAATATGCTTTTATCTTTGCAAAACTCTAAGAGATTTCAAAAATGCAATAACTGTATCTTGTTAAAAATATAACAGAAATATGCAATTTGGTATAAACAAAATATAGATTCTACCACCTTCTCTTTTGAAATCACAGAGGGGAGAAATAGAAAACAGCAGTTCTTTTTAAGTGTCAAAAGCTCATAAAATTGTTGTCTGGATTAAGTGAAATGATATGAAAGCACTTAGAATAGTTCTAGGAATATAGTAAATATTCAAGAAATTGTAGCTTCCCTCATTTCGCATCTCTATATGGCAGAAATCATGCTTTTGTGTGTGCCTACATTCTAATATTTCACATATTGTATGACACATTGAGGGTACTGAATAAATATTTGGTGAATCTTCACTAAGCATCAGGTACTATCTAAAGTTTTAGGGCTACAGATGGGAAAGAAAAAACTGTATCTGCTTTTAATGTGCCTTGTTTTTTGCCATATCTTGGGTGTGGAGACCATTTAATGATGCCACAAATATAAGACTTGGCCAAGTATCAATGGATCACCTCAGAGTTAGATTCCCACCTCTATTAATATTCAGATTTTTTAAATTGGGCTAAAATAATATAGATTATAGGTTGAACTCAGTCTGATTAGTCAATAAGATTGATTGGAAGGGAACAGAGGAAACCAAAGCTATCTAAGCAAATAGTACAATAGTGGGTGGGCTTGATAAAAGACTAGTAGCTTAATTACAACTACTTAAAGTTGTTGATTTATATTATTCTGGAAATAATCCCCAATTGTTTTAAGATTTTTCATGTAAATATCAATATACTTTCTCAAATTAGGAACATCTCTTTAAGTATTTGCTCCCCGAATTTCACCAAATCTTCAAGTTCAAACAATATTTCATTCGTTTCTCAAGACCCACTCCCAAGCTTTTCTCTACTCTCACTTCTAATAAGAAATCAGGTCAGTGAATTTTAAGGATGGAGGCTCCATAATTCCTTTCTGTCTCTCTTTTGGGTCTAAAGCAAGGAGAGTTTGCACTGTATCGAGTTGGATGCTTGAGAGATATTTATGATTTTTTTTAAAATGCCATTTCTAGCCAAATAATGTCATATTAAATAAATTATAATAATTGCCCTCAGATATGAAACACTAAATGAAAATATGCTGATGATCTCTTTGTAAAGGCCTGCATGTCTCAAAACAAAAGTTTCACCAATGAATGAGAGAAAAGTTGGGCAGATTCTAAAGGAGGGTCTGGTGGTACACACTCAGCCCTAACACATTGTCTCATTGACCTTCACACAAACTGCTGAAGAGTAAGGCTTGGGTCGCCATTTATATTACATGTGAATATTTGTTACTCCCCTTTTTCCCTGTATTCAAACAATCATTGGTGATTGAATGACAAAGATTCAATTCACTGGTTTGTCAGTGATCAATCATATTCTTTCTTTAGAATTTTAACTAACACTAAGAATATAGAAAACAGTTATTCTTGGAAGGAGAGATCTAAAAGACTAGGAACTAGGTAGTCTTCATGATCAATAGCAAAGGAAAGGCAAACTCCCTCGCTTCACTTGCAGAGCTCTCCAAGATCTGTTCTCTGCCAGATTAGTCCTAGTAGTCCTGACTAGTACTGCTACCTTTGCTGTGTGCTCATCTAGCATATATCCCCTATAAATTTATGCATAGCCTCTCTAGCGAATTATTTACTGTTTTTATTCTTTTTTGTTCATGACTTAATTCCCATCTAGTGGTGGTCCACAAATATTTGGTGGTGAATGAATGAGTGAATGAATAACAGATGAATACTAGGCTGATGGACAGTTATAGAAAAAGAGAGAGGAGAGAATTTGCAGACTCACGAGCCCCAGCCTTGATCCTTGAGCTTCCTTCTTCCCTGGGCTCCCCCTTTTTTTTTTTTTTTTTATTTAATGGCAAAAAGCAAGGCTCATTAAAGGCAGATGTAGTTTGTTCTTTCCCATCTGTGTCCCTAAAACTTTAGATAGTACCTGATGCTTAGTGAATACTCACCAAATATTTATTCAATACCCTCAATGTGTCATACAATATGTGAAATATTGGAATGTAGGCACACAAAAACATGATTTCTGCCATATAGAGATGAGGAAAGCACACAGTAAAACATAGTCTATGGTTTCTAACAAGCCGAGTGCATTTCACCTGATTTAGCTATTGCCCTGAATCCTTCAAATCACAATACTGTACCACGAATTTGGGTTTGTTTCTATTCCTTAAACCAGGAGTCCACGGCCAAGATAGTAGGTTATCCAGGAAGCAGAGTTTATAGAGTAGCCAATTATTACAGATCTCTAATTTTCTCTCTACAATGAAACAATAAGCAATTGGGAAGGACCAACGGTCAGCTGGCAGATACTCATCTTTTCTCTAAGGAAATCTGACATGTGTCAAAGATAATTGATTCCCACCCCCACCCCACAAACAAGAATACTCTCTGGGTAGTTAATTTTAAACAAATCAACAACAACAACAGAAGAGGTGAACCACTGCAAGTTTTCTTATCATCCTCCAATTATATGGTTGCAGAGTGGCCCTGAAACACTTTCTAAATGAGAAGTCACTAGAATGTAGACACAGTGAAAAACTGCATTATAAAAGTATATGCCATAAACATTTAAGTATTCTTCCCCAGATGTGTATTTACCAAAAGTGGTCATTTATACAGATAAGTCTTGTCTCTCATTATGCAGTACATTTTGATGGCGTCAGAGCTCACAAATAGGAAGAACATTGCATGAGATTGGAACGACTGTAGATGTTCATAAGTATAGAAAAATGGGGTTGAACGTCATAATAATGAATAGAGGCAGGAAAGATAAAGAGAGCCCTTCCATACTCTGCTTCTGCATATAGACCTTTAAAATGTGATGTAATAGGCTGAAAATATCTCACAAAATTACTTCCTGAAGGTGAATTAGAAATTCTTAAAGACTACTCTAATTCAATAGAATATAAGAAAAGCAGTAATCCATTCAGAAAACCAGGTTTAGTCCAATTTTTCAAGTTATTTTAATTAGATGGATTATTTTTTACTTGGAAAGGACACATTTTCTGCTAACATATGTATACCCTTTTTAAAATTAATTTTTACTTAGAGATCTGGAAGAAAGAAGCTACAAAATGTCCACTCAAAGACTACTCTCACATTGAATCAAAAATAACAACAATAGTCACAAGCATAAACTATATTTTTTCAAAATATAAAATTAAACACATATAAACATATCATTTATATATGTTTATTTTGCCCTATTCATCTGCATTTTGCTGCCTTAAATACTTAAGCATCTTAAAAGTTTCATTATGGAAGTGCCTTAATGCCAGATGCATCAAGCTCATTATTAATTATTTTCATGCTATATTGGCAACAAGTAAATGTATACGCTTAGTAAAATATTTACATTATCACTTTATTGGGAACTAAAATGAGCTCACAATAAAACATAGTATTTTGAGTTTTGAAAGCTCTTAGAAAAACATCTATCGACACTAGAGGCATTAGATTAGGCCCTTCCTTTAGCACTATTCTACGCACTGTTAAGTTGAAGAGATATTAGAATTGCTACTCTACCACAGCATGTTAGGTTTAAGTATTACAGTGAAAGATTTCAGTCTTAACACATTTTACAAAATCCACGAATCTTGCTGAAACAGTAAGGTGGTACATTAGGGAACTATAAATGCATGATCTCATACCATGTGGAGTATTCAAATGAGAAATACATATATTTCTATATTAAACTTATATAGGTCCATCCTTATTGAAGCTCAGCAGACATAAAAATATGTGTAGCCACATTCTCCCAGTGTGTAGGATATTCACTAAAGACCAATAAAGACTTTATAAATTGCATTATCTGTGTGGGACTATAAGGATGGCACTTAGTACACTATAGCCATCATACTCCAAGGGGTACCCTGGTACACTAAAACAGTTACTGCTACTTTCAAATGTGTGTTCTTGTTTTGTTTTTAACAAGGAAACATCTTAGAAACCAGCAGAGACGGACCCACTCCTTATCTAAATAAATGTTATTTATCCAAACTCTTGTAGAATGGTATTAACCGTATTGATTTTCTTATCTCATATTATCTGATTTAATAAAAACTCATTAAATTTCTTTAAATATGCTTAATTTTATAACCATTTTCAGCTGATCATGGAATTTTAGCAGTTCAAATATATAGTCTCTATTTTTCTTTGTCTCTGAAATAATACTAAGGCCAAGGACACATTATTGAAAGTAGTATCGGGCTGGGCGTGGTGGCTTACGCCTGTAATCCCAGCACTTTGTGAGGCCGAGGCGGGCAGATCACCAGGTCAGGAGATCAAGACCATCCTGGCTAACACGGGGAAACCTCGTCTCTACTAAAAATACAAATAAATTATCCGGATGTGGTGGCGGGTGCCTGTAGTCCCAGCTACTCAGGAGGCTGAGGCAGGAGAATGGGTGAACCCGGGAGGCGGAGCTTGCAATGAGCCAAGATGGCTCCACTGCACTCCAGCCTGGGAGACAGAGGGAGACTCCGTCTCAAAAACAAACAAACCAAACAAAAAACAAACAAACAAAAAAGTAGTATTATTAAGTATTCTGTTCATAGTGCATGAGTGTTCAAATTACTTATTTCAGAAGTCATACTAAACAGAGAGTCATTACTGTAGAAAGGGCATTTTTTTTTTTTTTTTTTTTTTTTTTGAGACGGAGTCTCGCTCTGTCGCCCAGGCCGGACTGCGGACTGCAGTGGTGCAATCTCGGCTCACTGCAAGCTCCGCTTCCCGGGTTCACGCCATTCTCCTGCCTCAGCCTCCCGCGTAGCTGGGACTACAGGCGCTCGCCACGGCGCCCGGCTAATTTTTTTGTATTTTTAGTAGAGACGGGGTTTCACCTTGTTAGCCAGGATGGTCTCGATCTCCTGACCTCATGATCCACCCGCCTCGGCCTCCCAAAGAAAGGGCATTTTTTAAACGTACATGTAGTGAGAAATTTATTTGCCTACAATGATAATAGCTAAAGTAAAGTGGTAAACTCGGACTGGCCTATAATATGACTCTGGGTGAACCAAGGGAGGCTGAAAAACTAATTTAATCAACACAACTAAGCTACGTAAAGAATAATTCTTAGAAACATTATTCTTGGCATTAATGTGATACTCATTTTTTTCCCTTGAGAATTCAGGAATTATTTTTCTTACTCAGATTCAACAACTGTATGAACACAATTTTAGACACAATTCAAAAGAGAACATATAGCAAAAAAAAAAAAAAAAAGTCTTTCTACTGCAGTGACTCAATATGTGTGTGTATACTCACCATAGTTAGAGACTTGTTAGAAAGTTGTCAGGGAGGATAATGGGTCCACTGAAATTCACAGTGACTCTTGTCGCACCATGCTCAGGCTCAGGCACATTGTTTAAAATGATGAGAACACATGGACACCAAGAGGGGAACAACAGAAGCTGGGGCTTACCAGAGGATGAAGTGTGGGAAGAGGGAGAGGATCAGGAAAAATAACTAATAAGTTACTAATTGCTTAATATTTGGGTGAAAAATAGTCTGTACAACAAACTCCCATGACACTAGTTTACCCATATATCAAACCTGAACTTGTTAATGTTTACCTATATATCAAACCTGTACCCCCGAACTTAAAATACAAGTTAAAAAGTAAAAATAAAATGAAATTTGTTAGTTTCCTTTAAGACTGACAGTTAACACTGTCTGTTTTTTTAATGTACATCATGTTTTGAAATATACGTATATTGTGAAATGGTTAAATAATTAGCAAATGCATTACCTTGCATAGTTATCATTGTGTGGTGTGAGCACTTCATATCTATACATTTTTCAAGTGCACAATATGTCATCATTTAGTTGAAGCAATTGTGATTCAAAAAAGAAATGTTTTGTGAAACTCATAATGAGAGGATAATTTCTAGAGAGAATATTGAAACATGCACAGGTAAACTTTATAAAGCCCCTCAAAACTCAGGAAAACATTTTATTTCTTTGCCATTGAGCATTTTGGAAACATTCACCACTCTAATATTAAATTGAATATATGAGATGAATTTATTTCAGTTCATTACTGTTTATTGCTGAAAGTCTAATAGAAGATATTGGCAAATTTGGTCCATAACATCTAAAAATGTATTTTAAATTATTTTAAAATTATATTTTGCAAAGTAGATTTTGTTTTCTACCAAGTAGCCTAGAACCTTTACGTGAAGCTTATTTTATAGCAGTTAGAGGCTTATTTCATTTCTTAATGACATACCCAAAATAATAGTTCACTTTTACTTAGTTCACTGAAGTATAGATTTCTAAGCCAAATATAACATTCAGTAATATACTGTTTCAATAACTTTCATAATTCCAAGGAAATATAGAAAACTTTCACCAAGCTTAGCCTTATGAAGTAGTAATGATAACATTTTAGAGCTGGAACATTCTAATAGTCTCAGTTTACATGTTTTATGCTGATTTTAAAAGATTCTCAAACTCCAAGTCTACATTTGATGAGGTTCACACAGATTGTGGCAGATGTAGGAGTAGATGTCAGACCATGAACTCATTTAACTCATCAAATGTGACCATGCTTCCAGTCAAAGATGATGGCAAAGTTAAGGAACAATTGCCACACTTCAGGTCAAAGATGATGGCAATTTGAAACAGGGTAGTAACCAGGGAGATGGTGAGAAGTAGATGTATTCTGCCTGAAATGGTGGAGCCAGTGTGAAACGGAAAGGTTGGAAGTACCATTTGGGTCACGTTAAGATGGGAATGCCTGTTGGATACATAGATGTCCCACAGGGTGTTGGATTTATACATTTGGAAGTTGTTAGCATAGGGATGGTATTTAAAACCGTGGCACTGAATGAGTCTCAACAAGAGGATGAGCATATGTAGAAAAAAGAACTCAAGGACAAGCTCTGGTGCATTTGTGTTCAGTATCTTTCCCTCCCAGAATCACATCCTCTCTGTTGACCTTTTAAATTCAGCCATTGCTGTAGCAGCCAGCTGCTATGCAGCTATAGCCTGACAGCTCCCTACCTCAGCTGAGCTGTGTTATCTCCTGGTTTTGCTCTGGGCTTTCTTTGTGGCCACTACTTGGGAGCCTGTGGTAGCCCACTCAGCCATTCCAGTGCATGTTTATACCAGGAAGATTTGAAGTACGGGTAACAGCAATGAGGCAACCCTTCATCCGTGAAATACATAAATATCCTCCTCATCTACATGTTGCCTGGGACACTACTAGGTTTATTTTCTAAACCTAAACCTTCTGGTTTCTCAAAAAGGCCCCAGAAAGATTGAGCCTCAGTTATTCACGACAGTTGTAATCAACTTAATAAATCATCTTTCATTCAGTTTTCCCTCCATCCCTGATTCATAGTTTTCATTTTGGCTCCCGACTCCTCTTTGGAATCACTTAATAAAAATAAGTACCTGCAGGCAAGTCCTTGTCTCTGGATTTTCCTTGCAGGGGAACCCAAGCTAAGGCAACATCTAACATTGAGAGCACAAAACTGAGAATAAGCAACAAACATGGTAGGAGGAAAACCAATAGATTGTGGTGTCCAGAAAGCCAACTGAGAAAACTGTAAGGAGGGTGAAGGGTCACCACCTGTGTAAAATACTACTTCAGGTTTAAGTGAGGTGAGGAATGAGGCCTGACCATTGGATTGAGCAACACAGAGGACATTGGCAATGTTCACATGAGCACTTTATTCCAGTGAATGGCACATTTAGGGGAGAATAAGAGGAGAGGAACCATAGACAGTGCGTAGCTGGCACATTTAGTGGCTTCAAGAAGAAGGTTTGTTTGTTTAAGACGCGAGGAATAAGAGCAAGCTTGTGTGCTACCAGGAATGATCTAGTAGAAGTGAAGGGTGATAATGAAGGAGAGAGCAGAGAGAACAAGAAGGACATGATGGAGCTATCTAATTTCCAGGCAGTGGGGCTGGCTCTAAACAGGACCATCTGTGCTAAATTTTGAGTGAGGAGAGTTTGCGGGGCAGATGCTAGTCATTAAGAAGATGTAAGTTGGATTCCTAGGTATTTTATTCTCTTTGAAGCAATTGTGAATGGGAGTTCACTCATGATTTGGCTCTCTGTTTGTCTGTTGTTGGTGTATAAGAATGCTTGTGATTTTTGTACATTGATTTTGTATCCTGAGACTTTGCTGAAGTTGCTTATCAGCTTAAGGAGATTTTGGGCTGAGATGATGGGGTTTTCTAGATAAACAATCATGTCGTCTGCAAACAGGGACAATTTGACTTCCTCTTTTCCTAATTGAATACCCTTTATTTCCTTCTCCTGCCTGATTGCCCTGGCCAGAACTTCCAACACTATGTTGAATAGGAGTGGTGAGAGAGGGCATCCCTGTCTTGTGCCAGTTTTCAAAGGGAATGCTTCCAGTTTTTGCCCATTCAGTATGATATTGGCTGTGGGTTTGTCATAGATAGCTCTTATTATTTTGAAATACGTCCCATCAATACCTAATTTATTGAGAGTTTTTAGCATGAAGGGTTGTTGAATTTTGTCAAAGGCTTTTTCTGCATCTATTGAGATAATCATGTGGTTTTTGTCTTTGGCTCTGTTTATATGCTGGATTACATTTATTGATTTGCGTATATTGAACCAGCCTTGCATCCCAGGGATGAAGCCCACTTGATCATGGTGGATAAGCTTTTTGATGTGCTGCTGGATTCGGTTTGCCAGTATTTTATTGAGGATTTTTGCATCAATGTTCATCAAGGATATTGGTCTAAAATTCTCTTTTTTGGTTGTGTCTCTGCCCGGCTTTGGTATCAGAATGATGCTGGCCTCATAAAATGAGTTAGGGAGGATTCCCTCTTTTTCTATTGATTGGAATAGTTTCAGAAGGAATGGTACCAGTTCCTCCTTGTACCTCTGGTAGAATTCGGCTGTGAATCCATCTGGTCCTGGACTCTTTTTGGTTGGTAAACTATTGATTATTGCCACAATTTCAGCTCCTGTTATTGGTCTATTCAGAGATTCAACTACTAGTTCAACCATTGTGGAAGTCAGTGTGGCGATTCCTCAGGGATCTAGAACTAGAAATACCATTTGACCCAGCCATCCCATTACTGGGTATATACCCAAATGACTATAAATCATGCTGCTATAAAGACACATGCACACGTATGTTTACTGCAGCATTATTCACAATAGCAAAGACTTGGAACCAACCCAAATGTCCAACAATGATAGACTGGATTAAGAAAATGTGGCACATATACACCATGGAATACTATGCAGCCATAAAAAATGATGAGTTCATGTCCTTTGTAGGGACATGGATGAAATTGGAAACCATCATTCTCAGTAAACTATCGCAAGAACAAAAAACCAAACACCGCATATTCTCACTCATAGGTGGGAATTGAACAATGAGATCACATGGTCACAGGAAGGGGAATATCACACTCTGGGGACTGTGGTGGGGTGGGGGAAGGGGGGAGGGGTAGCATTGGGAGATATCCCTAATGCTAGATGACGAGTTAGTGGGTGCAGCGCACCAGCATGGCACATGTATACATATGTAACTAACCTGCACAATGTGCACATGTACCCTAAAACTTAAAGTATAATAAAAAAAAAAAGAAGATGTAATGGTGTGTGAATATGGAAGTTTTCTGATCAACTTTATTTTCTCAGTGAAATAGAAAAAATATCAGCTGAGAATGGGGATAGAGGAGGAGAGTTTGGAGACTGAAGTGGAAAGAAGATATAAAATAGACATTGAAGAGAGAGAGAGAGAGAATAGATTGTTCTAACTCTTAGGGAGTAATTTCCTTGTATTACATCATGCATCTCCCAGATAGAGAGATCTCTTATTTTCATGATGAATCAAGTTCTCTCCAACATTGATACCTCTATTCATTATTAATGCAACAATGAGTGCCATAAAGATACCTGTGAATTTAAATTGCATAATATATAAAATGTTTTGTAGATATTGACTGCTTTTATAAAATAAATAATTCTAGGTACATCACAAGAAAATGTCTGATATTAATTTGCTTCAAAAGTTCTCTGCCAATTTCTCTCATATGCCTATCTGAATATGGTCTGTAGACTCAAGAAGACAGCCTGTGATGGGAATAATTAACATGCTGGGCACAAGCAAGTCATTTGATCGAGTAGAGTTAGCCTCTAATGCCCTCCACTGCTGACCCTCAGCTCCTCTTTTAGGAAGAGTAACCGCATCCCCACTGCGGGTTCCACCCCTTCATGTTTACATATTATTATAGATATTTGTTTCCAATTTCTTCATCCATATGTAGGTGCAAATAACTAATAAAACCTCATGCTACCATTTTCAAGGTTATCTGCTTTGTAATTAAATGATGACGAAGTTTTGGACATCAGGAACCAAGTAGGAATTATTTGAGACATCCTGAAGCTCCTATCTAATATTACACTATGCAAAAAAAAAAAAAAAAAAAAAAAAAAAAAAGTTCATTTGGCTTGTCATGACCAAATGGAATGCCTTTTATCTCCCTGTACAAAACAGCCATCCTCTATATTTATATTCAGTTTCTATGATATATCGGCCTTTACTGAGATATAAAGCTGCTCATTGCAATATTTTCTCTAAGAAATACTCATGATGTTGTCAGAATCCAGATGTTGTCTATGGCAGTGATTCAGTTCTTGAGGTGTGTAATGCTACAGCAGATGAGGAACTCTTGCTTTTGGAGAAACTACAATTTTCACAATGCAGTTAAATCAAACATTAGCTCAAGTGATTGCAGGTGAACGATTAAGACCCTGATGTGAAACAGGTGTCCTGTGTTTGCTTGACTCTTCTAAACAAGCAGGTTGGCATGGCAAACAGGAAAGAAGCCCATTTCTTTCTCCTGAATGTCTATGGAATTAAAGTATATTCTTCAGTTTAAAACATGTTAATTCAAGATGGAAGAATGGGCACAGAAATTTGATTCTCAAAATTTTGAAGATCCTCCAAATAAAAGACTAAAACATAAGTGAATGAATAAATAAGCTAACAGTTTAGGCAGTGAACCAATAACTGCTAAGAAAGCAGAAAATGTGTGGTCAACAACAAAGGAGAAATTTCCATAAATTCCCAGAAGAAAGAATATGGATGGAAACGTGGGAAGACGAAAAAGACAAATAATTCTGTAGCCCGTAATAAACTACAAAGACAATACCAAGAAGATGGGGATATACCCTGTTGGCCAGAATCCTGCTGGTTGCAAATTGAGCTCAGAGTCAACAGGTAAAGCTGAATTCTAAAGTAAAAAGTGCAGCCCAAAATAGAAGGACTCAATGAAAGTCTGTAGATGAGATATATGGCACAGCTCTATCAGTTACCATCCTCATTCCCCTTTCCTTCACCAGCCCTCAGAGCAAAAACAGGCTTTATTTGTCTTCTTATAGCAGAAATCTCTACTGTTGTAAAATCGAATAAAATATATAGAGACATTTAAGGTGCATGACTTAGGTGTCTAATCCCCAGGAAGCCACTCCCTTTCTGGGACTTGGAGCTTCAGTAGTCTGAGAGTTAACTCCTACTTGCTCGCCTTAAATGGCAATCTGCTAGTTCATAATTCATAACACACCTCTTTCACCACGTGGAGCTCCAAAGCACAATTTCTACTCAAGAGAAAAAAATTATTGGCAAGCATCTTTTTATAGCAATAGCAGAAGGAATTCTCGTAATATAAAAATATGTATGGATATCAAAGGATCATTAGGCATATGAGTGAAGAAAGTAGTATGAGAGAAAAACCAAGTGAAGACAGAAATATAGATTAAACAATAGAGTAAAATAAGCAAAATTTTTTTAAAAAAACCTTCTTAATATTCCAAGAAATGTTTTAAAAGTTATAACTAAAATAAGATGGTGTTATGAAAAAGGAACAATTAAAAGAGAAAGTTATTTTAGCGATTTTAAAAGAAATGTAAAATATGAGAAAAGCCAAGATATATTGAGGTTCTAGAAGAGAAGAAATAAATCAAAGAAAATTAGCAAAAATATTATATAGAAGCTCTCAGACGTAAAGTATAGCAGTTTCCATCCCACTGCATGATGTGCATAATAAATTAAAAATACACCTACACCTTGTTTACAAAACCGAATAAACCCAAAGATTATTATTATTATTTATTTATTTATTTTTTGAAACGGAGTCTTGCTCTGTTGCCCAGGCTGGAGTGCAGCGGCACGATCTCGGCTGACTGCAAGCTCCACCTCCCGGGTTCACGCCATTCTCCCGCCTCAGCCTCCTGAGTAGCTGGGACTACAGGCACCCGCCACCACACCTGGCTAATTTTGTTTTTGTATTTTTAGTAGAGACGGGGTTTCACCGTTTTAGCCAGGACGGTCTCAGTCTCCTGACCTCATGATCTGCCTGTCTCGGCCTCCCAAAGTGCTGGGATTACAGACATGAGCCACTGCACCCAGCCAAGATAAATTTTTAAAAATATTCCAATAGAGGAAAATATTCAAGAAAGGTGAATAAAAAAAAATCACAGGATACTTACAAAGAAAATAAAGACTGACATCAGAATTCTCATCAGCAGCACTGAATTCTAGAAGACAATATGAAAAATTCCTTTAAAAGTATGACAGGATACTTATTTTTGACCTATTACACTGCCTATGTGACTAAACTAGTGTTTAACAATGAAAGTAGACATTTTCATACATAGAAGTACTCATAAAATTTACCTCATAGATATCCTTCTTTAGGAAAAGAACTCAGAGAAAAAGAGTCAACCAAGAAAATGGAAGCCTAGATATCCCGAATGCAGGAAAGCGGCAAATGAGAATCTCAATATGACAGCTGTACCCTAAGTCTAGCGAGAACCTTCCCTGGTTAGCACAAAAAAAAAAAAAAAAAACAACAAGGAGTCCTGAGAAAAGGCACCCAGAAAGAAAGGATTCCGAGATTAGAAGGTATAGTTGAGAAACTGGGGAAAAATTTGAGGAGAAAATTAAGGCAAATTATGTAAGAAAAAGTAATGCAATTAAAAGCTTTAAAGAGAGGAAAAATGAGAACTATGCAACAGATTAACGATTCAAATACAAAATACAAATCATAATAAAATATAACATTATTTTAAGCATTACATGGAGTGAAAGAAAGGAAAACCCAGCTGACCTTGTTGCTAAGGACATTCTTCCTTATGTGGCCCAGTGGCTCTGATACAAGACCTACAGAGAAGGAAATGAAATCCCACTGTACTACGTAGGTTGGCCCTAAGCAATCTGCACAAGGTCATTACGGCAGTTTTAAAAGACATCTGTAAACTATTTGACACCCCTCCCAATAAGAGGTGGAATCTATGTCACCTATTCTTGATTCTTGGTCACCCAGAGTGACTCCACCTACAGTAGAACAAAGCAGAAGTGGCATTGCATAACTTTCAAGTCACACAGCTTCCTCCTCCTCTTTGGAGACCAACTCTTGGAGTCCTGAGACACCATATAAGAAGTCCAACTACTCTGAAACTGCCGTGCTATGAAGAAATCAGGCTACATGGAAAGACCATGTGTAAAAGCTCTGAATGCTCTGAGAGTCTCAGCTGAGGTTCCAGCCAATAGCCAGCATCATCCACCAGACATGTGAGGAATCATTTGACATGACTTTGCCACCAACCACTTTACGACTCGTCGGTCTTTGAGTCTTTTCAGCTGAAGTCTCAAATGTCATGGAGCAGAAATAAGTTGTCCTTTCTGGGTCTTGGTGGAATTTCGGAGTCTGTGAAATTAGTGAAATTATTATGCCACTATACTTTCAGATGGGTTTTATTCGGCAATAGGTAACTGGAACACTGTCTATGGCTCATTAGGATAAAAAAGAATGATTCAAGTTGATTACGTACATGAATAAAATTAAACAGGAAAATAAGCAAAATATAAATATCAAACAGTGGGGAAAGGAGAGGAGAAAATGCACTAGGTTAAGTGAGCTAAATCCTCATTTTATATGTCTAAAAATCATCAGATAAAGTTGATAAATAGTCTTCAAAATCATAAGTCAAAAATATGTGAGCTATATAAATGACCTACAGAAAAATATAAAATTAAAGCAATTTTGAAAAAAGCCTTTCTCTGAAGAGTGATACCTGAGTTTAGGAAATAAAGCTTAAGAAATTGTTCATAGTCACCTAAGATAATTTGCATTATTTTGCTTCCAAATATATGTATCATTTGAATATAAATTTATTTGAAAAGTCACAAATACTTATGATTTCTAATTTTATTTAGCAATGACATGTGCAAATGAAAAACAAATTTTAAAAAGTTAATGCAGCAAGATGTTATAAGTTTCCACATCAAATTACCAAACCTGAAAAATACTAAGTTAGTTAATGTTTGAAGAGTTAATGCGGCCAATTTTCTCATGCTGTTGATGCAAATGTGACTTGGCAAAAAGCAATCTGTCTTGAAAGAAATCTGTCAATATAGATCATGAACTGATACATGCAGGTAAATCTACATGCTCGACAGTGTTCATTTCAGCATTATTTGGGAAAAGATTTTAGTTTAGCTTAGACTTTATCAGTGCTGAACAGTCATGCTTGTCTGAGGAACTGGTGAGGTAGAATCAATACGATGCTTATTTGAATGTGGGTTGAGGAGCTCCCTGGGACAATATGAAAGCTCTTTCTGTGCCTTCTGTTTAGACAGATCTTAAGAAGCCTGGAAAATTGATGGTACAGGCCAGTTGATTTATCATACATGAAAGGCAAGAAGCCTAGAAATTTTTCCCATAATTACACATCTTAATCCTCTGCAGAAAAAAAAATAGAATCTATTTTAAGGCAGTGTGTCAGCAATAACAGCACTGCTTGGTGACCCTTTAACAAAGAGTAAGTTAATGATAGAGAGAGAAATTTAACATCATTTTTTTTCTGAGACTACTCCTGAGTCAATGGAGAATTTCGTGCATCAGTGGTATCAAGTGCAAAAAGAAGGTTCCCAAGGGATGTTGGTCCTGGAAGAGCATAACATGCCAGGTAGCACCAGCAGGAATCATCTTATTCATAAGCATTTGTGAGTAATCCCCAGGGACAGTCAGTAATATATGGAGGTACAGTTAACTTCCTTGGTTGTTGTCCAACTCTGTTTGTGCAAAACCTTGAACAGATGTGGGCAACAACCAGAGAAGTTAAACGTATATAGCAAAAATATTGAAAACAATCCAAAAGTATTCATCACTGGAGGAAAGATTAATTATGTTATAGTTTATTTTGAAAAAGTGATCATTGCCAAGAGCAAAACATGCTTATATAATACAGTAAAAAGAAAAGAAAAAAATCAATATATAGGCTACATATGTAATATATGGGCTTTATATATAACATGTAGCCTATATATATGTGTGCCATATATACATATGTGAGCATGTATCTTATATATTTATATTTATGTATTATATATACCTATATATTATACGTAAAATATAACATATTTTATACATAAGATATACCTTTATATATTGTATATAAATATATACGTTATATATATTCTATCTTTATATAAAACAAATATATTTTGATATATATCATATAGTTTCATATATTATATATAGAGATATAATATATAAAGATATATATAATATGTATATATAATATATAAAGATATATGTATATATGATATATAAAGATATATGTATATATAATATATAAAGATATATTATATGTATATACTATATATAATGATATAAATAATGCATAGATTTTATATGCACTATTATAAATACCTTTATATATTGTATAAAATATATGCACTATTATTTATATCTTTATATATGTATATATTATATATATATTATATGTGTGTGTGTGTATATATATATATATAAAGTGCTGGAAGGGAAGTATTAAAATTAAGTGAAATTACAGTAAAATCCAGAGTATGTTATGCTGCAGTCTAATTCTTGCTGATTACTACCGTTTCATCTCAGGTCAGCAGGTATACTTTACTCATAATAGAGACTAGAAGATATCAAGCTAGAAAAATAGTAAGTTAGTCAATATTGTGGAGGGTGCTATTAGGCCAATGTTCTCATATGCTGTTGATGCAAATGTGACTTGGTAAGGAGAAACCTGTCTCAGACATGTAGGCTGAGGGACCAGCTACCATCTGTGCCAGAAAGAAAAGAGCTCTGAAAGTCTCACATCAGCAATCAAATGTCCCAGCCCAGAAGTGACCCGCGTGACTTCCACTCAGAGCTCATTGTTCCGAACTGTCTCGCTGTCACACCCAAGCTAAGGGGTATAATCTTATCATGAAAGTATACCAGAAAGTATAATCTCACCATGTCCCCAGAAAGCTGAAAACTAATGACTATCCCAGATTTTTAAGTTGATATGCAAGAGCTTCCAAATAATTACTATGATAAACACAAAATATAAAGGAAAAAAACCTAAGTAAACTTCATTACATATTCTCTCTTCTCTTCTCTTTTTTCCTTTTCTCCTCCTCCTTTCTTTCTCTCTCTGTCTCTCCCTCCCTCCCTCCTATTGTCATTCCTGATAACGTAGAACCAGAAGACACTATGACTATGTATATAGTGGAAGCCTTTGCCTTCCTAGTTAACTGAGGTTCATTTTACCTTATTTAAATATTCTTCCCACTGTCAGCTGGCACTGCCTTCCATCATTCATGGGTAGAGAAAATGGGAAGTGAATGTCACTACTGACAGCAGAATCTCATGTTCAAAGTGTAGTGGAAGTTCTCATGGTTGCTGTATGACATTAAAAAAAATCAGGAATTTAAAAGATATATTGTCAGACATGACAAGATACCCCTACCTCCTGTCTTTTGTCTCTATCTTTCATTCTACAAAGTACTACAAAATTAATCTTGTTAAAGTACCGATCTAATCATGTCATAATATCTTTCAACCAAGACACATTCCCTGCAGAATAAAGGAATGATTTCTTAGTCTGACATTCAGTGTCCCCCACAAAGTGGAGCTTAATTCATTTATCCAGCCCATCCTTCCACCATGTGCCTGTTAACATTTCCAGTTCATAATGACAGACTGCCTCCAAATGTGGCTGGATTTTTTCTGTATTCATGGCTTTATTTGTGTAATTCTCTTTGCCCAAAAGGCTTGTCTTCCTTGTCTCCAAGTTCATACCAATTCCAGCAGACTCAAATAGTAGTTTACTACCCCCTCAAACCTCCTCAATATCTCTAGAAAAAAAAAATCACCTCTGTCTTCCATGACTCCCACAAAACTATCTACATTTACAACTATAGCACAAGGGGGAAAATATCAAACCATAGAATGTTTATGAACTTTTGTTATGTACATTACTCAAAGTAGCTCCAGAATTTTTTTATAGGAGAAGGTTAGGGAAGTGATGAAGGGCCACTTGCAGTTCAAGAAAAACACCCTAAATTTGCCTTTGCCATGACAAAAGTACCTATGCTTTGGTTATTTGGAGAAACTTGGTGGGAAAATAGTATAGAGAAAAAGGCTAAAGCCACTCCAAGTTCCCCCTTGTGGCATCATTTCCTCTACTAGAATGAGAGAAAGGGCTTTGCTTTACTTTTTAAGTTTTCAAGTAAGAGTTATTCAAATATACATAAACACATGGAGAAGAGTTATCATAATGTATACTAATGTTATAATAATGTTTAGTCCATTTGTCATAAGAAACATTGCTACAACTGCTCCAAAGAGAATAGAAAAATATCTGCGTGCCCTCTTTAGTGTCTCTTTTCTTGGGATTCCTTTCTATGGATGACCTCTTGCCTCTTGGCCAAGTTGGATTGCTTCTTGCCACAGTGGTGATACAAGATGCTCCCAGCTCGTACTGAGGGGCCTATCACATGCTTCAATATTTGGAAGGCTTTCTGATTGGCCAACTGCCATCCAGGCCTTAAGAAAATATTCCCTTTGTGGCAGTGCCCTTTCTCTTGGGTTTGTGTTTCTCTGATTTTGTTCACATTGAAGAGGTTTGATCTCCTGGGCCAAGAACAGGATCCTTGCCTAAGGGACTGGTTCCTAAAGCTAAAGGGACTAAAATGATCTCTGATATATGTAATGTAGTCCATCACCATGATTAGGGAGTATTCAAGAGAATTGTTGATCAAATACCTATAATACTGAAAAGTGAGCCATTGCCCAAAGTGTTGTCTCTGCACAACTCTCAGATCATAGCAGGGATGACTTCTGGTTGGATATTCAAAGATTTATAATCCCAGACATTTCTATCATATTCCTGCCTTCGTTTAGTGTGCTTACAATACATATTTTTCAATATTTGCTAGATGTCCATAAAAAATACTACTGACAGTGTTCAGTCTGAGTTTGTGAGAGGAAAAAAAAAAACTCAACCTAGTCTGACAAAAAGTAGAATGAGAATATCGGCTCAGATATTTAGGAAGCACGATGAGTTTAACCTGAAGCATGTCAGTCCCAAGAAATAAAATTATGTCATTGGGTCTCTCTCCATTTCTTGACATTTCTGTGTTGGGTCTCCGTTCTTTAAAGCAGCACCTCTTTACTTTGTAAAAAAGATGCCTAGATGGCTACCCACAATTCCAAGTATATATCCTGTTCTCCCGGCAACTCTAGAAAGAGAGATGTTTTTTCCTCAGTGGGACTAGCAGAGAAATCTAGAGAGTATTTTGATTGGCCTAGTTTGGTCATGTAAACGGTCATTTTCTTCTCAGGGTGGACTCCAATTAACCAAGCCTTGACATGCCTTGATGGTCATGTGACTATGCTGGGAGTAGGAGTTGGGTGAGTCCGGAATGAATAACCATTAGGAAAGAGGAATTCTGTCATCAAAAAAAAATGGGGAAAGGATTTGAGGCAAGAAAAAAAATGACAATTGTACAAAGTAGGTATATGTTAACATACATATACAGACATACACTTTTCATTTATCTTGTGCTTGTATTGGATTTTTGTCTTGTTTTTCTAGTTATTTTACCATTATTTATCTGGCCTTAGACAGTTACCCAGAGTTTATCAAACTGAAGAGTCTGAGAAAACAGTCCTCACAAGAATGCCTTCACTTCTGACACCAATTATAAGTTTGGTGGGGTGGGGAGGGGGTGGTGTTTAGTAATCCACTAGAACTTATAAACATCACTGAAATCTGTTATCCTCATGGTTACAGTTTATTACAAGGAAATAGTTTTAAAACAGCCAAGGGAAGAGACACACAAGGCAGATAGTCCAGGAGGAGTCCTATTACCAGAAATCCCAGTTGTCCTCTCCTCTGGAACCAGAAACAGTGCTACCTCCTCCTGGCCATGATGTGACAATGTACATGGGATATGGCCAACCAGGGAAGCTCACTGGAGCCTTTGCTGACCATAGGCTTTATTGGGCTAATCCCATACTCCCCAAATGACAGACAAGTACTCAGTCCTTCCAGAGGTTGGAACTTAGTCTCCAGTTCCTCCAGAGATGGGAATTGATACACCCTGCCTCAAAGCCCCATCATAAATCACACTGTTAATCTGTCCAGTGAACAAAGCCCTTAGGCAAAAAAAGATACTCCCATCAGACAGGATATTTGAGGAACCCAGGGATCACCTCTCAGTAGCTGAGGACAAAAGCCAGACCTCTCTCTGGGTAAGGTTAATTCTTCACTACACAACAGAATTTTAAGTGTCAAATCCAGGCAATGCCAATTCACTTTAGTGAAATAGCTATTCCATTTATTTTCTTAAATTACTAATGAAAAATAATATTTTAACAACTTCTCTACACAGGTCCCTAGTTATATGATGAATATTTCTTGCTTTACTTCAGTTTCACTGGTGTGTAAATAATTAATGAGGCACAGCTCACAGATTGATGTTCATATTTATTAGTTTTTGTTCTTTTGCTACACATGCCCTGTGTAATCTTTGATAATCACTCAAGTTATTGAAAAAGGGTTTGCAGAGCCTTGATATTATTTGCTTATTAATCTGTGACAAACCATAAAATTGAATATTTTCACCATGACTACCTCATGGAATTTGCTCACTTTGTCTCTGATTTAAGTAGCAATGCACAATGCCAACAGCTTTTAAAAGTGTCTTTTTTGGGGAACAGAACTATATGAATATCATCTTTTTTTTCATTGGAGATATACAAAAGGAACTGAAATGTTCTTTAAAAATACAATCACTGATATGGTTTGGATCTGTGTCCCCACCAAATCTCATGTTGAATTGTAAGACGCAGTGTCGCAGATGAGGCCTGGTGGGAATTGTTTGGGTCAAGGGGGCAGATTCCTCATGGCTTGGTGCTGTCTTTGCTAATGTGAGTGAGTTCTCCCAAGATCTGGTTATTTAAAAGTGTGGCATCTCTACCCGCCTACTTTCTCTCTTGCTCCTGCTTTCGCCATGTGATGTGCCTTCTCCCACTTCACCATCTGTCATGAGTGAATCTCTCTGAGACCTCTCCAGAAGCCAAGCAGGTGCCCACTGTCATGCTTCCTGTACAATCTGCAGAACCATGAGCCAATTAAACCTATTTTCTTTATAAATTACCCAGTCTCAGCTATTTCTTTATAGCAATGCAAGAATGGCCTAATAACATTCTTTAGCTTTGACTTGAGGAATTGTGTCTCATGCCTATTCAGTATAGTCCTGCTGATACGAGATGCCAAATATTTGAAACTGGCCAGCAAAAAATCTTCTTGAGACAACATGCTGAGGGTTCAAACTACATCTCTAAGTGATGATAAACTTGCACTAAAATTAAGAATTTGGCAGTGGCTTCAGCATGTACATCCTCAGTTTGATCGAATCTGGCTGTATTTTTGGCTACTATAAATGTATGCTCCCAAGAGTTTTCATGCTTCTTTTATTTTCTCATAGTAGTAAATATCCAACTTGTGTGCCACCTCTTCATGAAGCATCCTCCTGGACAATGCTTTTTTAGAATTGAGCACATGCAAATGAAGAATTAGGAAGATGTTGGTGAAGAAATAATCCTTTCCTGCCTCTCTCCTAGCTCTCTGTGGCTGTCAATATTCCTTGGCCTGTAGATTCATCTCTCTACTATCTGCCCCTGTAAACACATTCTCCCTATGTGCCTCCCTGTGTAGCTCTGTCTTCACATGGCTGTCTTATAATGACACCTGTCATTTATTCTCACTTCTGGAGGACAGGTGTCTGAAATCAAGGTTTCAGCAGAGCCAGTCTCCCCCAAGAGACTTTGAGAAGGATTCTCCCAAGAATTATTTCTTGCCTTTCCAATTTCTGGAGGCTCCAGGCTCTCCTTGGCTCATAGTGGCATAACTCTCATCTCTGCCTACATCCTCACCTGGTCTCTCTCTTATGTCTTTCCCTCTTATTTTATAAGGAAACTCACTATTATATTTGGGGCCTACCCTATAATCTTATCTTTGGATCCTTAATTTAATTATAACTGCAATCAGATCATATTTACAAGGTCCAGGTGGACACCTTTTGGGGGGCCACCACTGAGTCCACTACAACAACAACAAAAAACTAGTATCCAGAAAACATTATGAAATTACATAAATTAGCAAGATGAAGACAAAAACATCATTAAAAATCAGCCCCCTCACCCCCAGAAAGAAAGCAAAGCAACCTTTAAACATATAGTTTACAGAAGGCATTTCACACAACCCATACAAATATTGAAAGAAGCTCAACCTCATTAGCAGTTTCCCTATAACAACTTTTCACAGTCTATGGTGAGTGACTCCTTGTTAGCCTGATTCTCCTCTAGACTGTAAGTTTCTCACCTGTCATTTTCACACTTGCATCACCTCCACCTGGTACATAGTCTGGACATCATTATGTTGTCCATTGGATAATCAGATTATTTGATCAGATAATCGCCTACCCTCCCAGTAGTTTTGATGATAAAAGGAAAGCGAATAATAGGTAAACTCAGGAAGAAACTTGCAGCTGCTAGTATCTGAGCATCTGACAAGATAAGCATGAGGGTTGGCAGGAAGGGGAGACTTATTGGAGTGGAGAAGATATAGGGTGCAATGATAAAATCCATTATGTACCATTTTTCTGTGGTTACCTTGACTCACAGGCCAATATTCTCCACACATAGTGCAGCCGCCCAAGTGTGGAGCGGAGAAAACGTTTTCTCTCCCAGTGTTCCAAATCTGTCCTTCCTTGTCTGAAACTCTCCCACTTTGTGACAGCAATCCTCCGCTGCCCCTGATGCTTTAGGTCTACACACAACTCGGAGTCAGACAACTTGGGTTCATGTCTTGGTTCTGCAACCGGCTAAAAGCCAACATGTGCAAATCACTATAAAAATGAAGGCTACATGGGATAATCTCTAAGGTTACCCACAATTCTGACATTCTACATAGATGCTTACCTATCCCCTCAAACGTGAAGGCCTGGGAAACATGTGTCTGAAGTTCCAAAAGTCACCAGCAGATGGCCCACATTCTCAGTTTTGGCTTAGATCCAAATAAGATGGAGAGAGAGAGAGAGAGAGAGAGAGAGAGAGAGAGAGAGTGTGTGTGTGTGTGTGTGTGTGTGTGTGTGTGTGTGTGTGTGTATCAGTTTCAGATTCAAGTAATGACATTTGACATTCAGAATTAAATAATGAGGTGAAGGTGCCTCATTCTCAGAAAATGTTTAGTCAGCCCGCACAATAACTCCATACTCCCTACTCTCCAGCTAAGGAAGTCTTGGTGCAGAGGGATTATGAAATTCAGGTTTCCCCAGAAGTTAAAGATCAGCCTGGGCAACATAGGGAGACCTTCGTCTCTACAAATAATATGAAAAATAATATGAAAAATAGCATATGTCTGGGTCCCAGCTACTAGGGAGGCTGAGATGGGAGGATGGTTTGAGCCTGGGAGTTTGAGGCTGCAGTGAGCTATGTTTGCACCACTGCACTCCAGCCTGGAAGACAGAGTAAGATCCTGTCAGAGGAAAGAAAAAGAAAGAATGAGGAGAAATAAGAAGGAAGAAAGAAGGAAGGGAAAGAAAGAAAATAAATGTAGGCTTCAGAGCTACTCAGTGTTTAAGTCAGGATTTGAAACTAATATTCTAACATATTAGAGAGTTTCTTTAGCACCTCCAATATACTATAACCCTCCTCTTAGACAACATTTAAATAAATATCACATATTAAAAACCATAACTTATGTGACTTACTTTTAATAGACATTTAAAATAGAAACAATTGCCCTTTTAAAGCTAATTCTCATTACACTATGTAACATTTTTTCATCCATATGTTATCTTGGTATTACCCTACCTGCTGCCTCACCACCATCTCCACCATACACACTGCTTAAATATAAAGGGAAAGGAACTATACAAGAGTGACTTAACAGATTAGTGCTGATACTCTTCTGTCTCTTCTTTAGAAGTTTCTTGTAGTCTACACCAGAATGTCATTGATATAGTATATTAGTATAGAATAGCACTTAAATTACCCCAAAGTGGATTTTCTAATAGGTGATGAGATAGAATAAACTTGTTTTTTTTAAAAATGCTATTTTTTAGAGTAGTTCATAACGAAATTGAAAGGTTGGTATGGGGATATCTCATCTATCCCCTACCCTCCTACATGTACAGCTTCCCCCATTATCAACATCCCCAACCAAAGTGCTAGATTTGTTACAATTGATGCATCTACACTGACACATCACAATTACCCAAAGTCCATGGTTTACATTAGGGTTTGCTCGTGGTGGTGTACATTCTATGGGTCTGGACAAATGTATAATGACATGTATGCACCAGTCTAGCATCATACAGAGTATTTTCACTGCCCTGAAAATCCTCTGTTCTCAGCCTATTCATCTTTCCTTTCCGCCAACCCCTGACAACCACTGATCTTTTTACCCTCTCCACAGTTTTTCCAGGACGTCATATAGTTGGAATCATACAGTATCTAGCCTTTTCACGTTGACTTCTTTCACTTAGTAATACGCATTATTAAGTTTACTCCATATATTTTTATGGCTTGGTTGCTCATTTCTTTTTAACACTAAATAACATTGATTGTTTGGATGTATCACAGTTTATTTATTCATTCACGTGCTGAAGGACACCTTGGTTGCTTCCAATTTTTGGCAATTATGAATAAAGCTGCTATAAATATTTATGTGCAGGTTTTTGTGTAGACATGTTTTCAACTTCTTGGCATAAACACCAAGGAGTATGATTACTGGATCTTTTGGCAAGAGTATGCTAGTTTTGTAAGAAACTGCCAAACTGTTTTCAAAAGTGACCGTGTCATTTTTCATTTCCACCAGTGACGAATAAGAGTTCTTGATGCTCCACATTCTCGCCAACATTTGATGTTGTCAATGTTTTCAATTTTCCCATTCTAATAGGCCATATCTTATTGTTGATTTAATTTGCATTTCCCTGATGACATACGATGTGAAGCATTTTTTCTTATTTTTTTTTTGCCATATGTTTATCTTCTTTGGTGAGGTATTTTTTTTTAACATCTTTGGACCATTTTTTAAGCAGGTTGTTTGTTTTCTTATTGTTGAGTTTTAAGACTACTTAGTATATTTTGGATACAGTCCCTTATTAGATAGGGTTTTTCAAACATTTTCTCCAAGTCTGTGTATTGTCTTTTCATTCTCTTGACAGTGTCTCTTGCAAAACAGAAAATGTTAATTTTAATTAAATCTTGCTTACCAATTCTTTCATTCATGGGTTGTGTCTTTGATGTCATATCTATAAGCTATTGCCAAAATCAAGGTCGTCTAGATTTTGTCCTATGTTATCTCCTGGGATTTTTATAGTTTTGCATTTTACATTTAGGTCTGCAATCAATTTTGAGCTAACTTTTGTGAGGGATTTAAGTTCTGTGTTTACATTCTTTTTTTTTGCATATGGATATACTGTTTTTTTCAGCACTATTTGTTGAAAAGACTGTCTTTGCTTCACTGCATCGCCTTTATTTCTTTGTCAAAGAACAGTTGACCATATACATGTAACCACTAAGCATGTTAGCTGTAAATTTTATATAGATATCCTTTATCAAGTTGATGAGTTCCCTTTTATTTGAAATATACTGAAAAATTTTATCATAAATGAGTGTTAGATTTTGTCAAATGCTTTTTTGTGTCTATTGACATGATCACGTGATTTAACTTCTTTAAGCTGTTGATGTGAAGGGTTATATTAATTAGTTTTCTAATGTTAAACCAGCTTTGCATGCCTGAGATAAATTTTACTCATAGTATATATTGTTTTTATACATTGTTGAATTCTGTTTGCTAATATTTTGTTGAGGATTTGACATCTATATTCATGAGAGATAGTGGTCTGTAGTGTTATTTTATTGTAACACCTTTGTCTTTGTCTGTTTTGGTATCAGGGTAATGCTGGCCTAATATAATGAGTTAGCAAATATTAACTCTGCTTCTATCTTCTCAAAGAGATTATAGAGCACTGATAGATTTTCTTCCTGAAATGTCTGGTGGAATTCACCATTGAGTATGTAGGGTCCTGTTGCTTTCCATTTTGAAAGGTTATTAATTATTGATTCAATTTCTTTAATAGATGTAGGCCTATTCATATTGCTTATTTCTTCTTCTCTGAGTTTTGTAAGGGGCACACTGCGTCATTCAAGAACTCTTTCCATTTTATCTAGGTTATCAAATTTGTGGGCATAGAGTTGCTCATAATATTCCTTTATTATCCATTTAACATCCATGGGATCTGTAGTAATGACCTCTGTTTCATTTTTCATTTGTATACTAGTAATGTGTGTCTTCTGTCTCCTTTTCCTAGTTAGCCTCACTAGAGTCTTATTGATTTTATTGATATTCAAATAACCAGCTTTGGTTTTATTTATTTTCTCTATTGATTTCCTATTTTCAATTTGATTGATTTCTGATGTACTATTAATTATTTCCTTTCTTCTGCATACTTTGAATTTAATTTGTTCTTCTTTTTCTGGTTTCATAACATGAAAGCTTAAATTATTTATTTTGGGTCTTTCTTCTTTTCTAATATATGTGTTCAATGCTATAAACTTCCCTCTGATCACTGTTTTTGCTACATCCCACAATTTTTGATAAGTTATACTTTCACTTGTATTAGTTAAAAATATTTTTAACTAATGAAATATTTTAAAATTTCTCTTGACACAAACCTTGGTCCTGGTCCTTTACCATTTTGGAGTCACAGATTAGATTCTTAAGAATCTGACAAACCCACAGAATTCAATAATGTTTAAACAAGGCCACAGCAACAACAAGACCACAGCAGCAACAACACAATTAATGTAGTCTCAGGGGGTTCATCGGTCATAGGTTTAAACATCATGCTCTAGAGTTTATTGGCCATTAAACACTTCCTTATAAGTCTGAGATAACATACTTTTACCGGAGTATATTATGGACAAAAATATGGACTGTCTGGGTATTTAGAAACCTTCTTTGCACCATTTTATTGTGGTTATTACATTGCTCTCCCTTCTTTAATTCTTAGATCTTGTAGAGGTCCTTTTAAGTTGAACCTAGTAACTCCTATTTTCCTCAACAAAAATCAAAGGCCACATTTGTTGGAATCACTGCCATCTGTACAAATATGCTCCAACGGAAGTGGAACCCAAAGGGAAAAGAAAAAGAAAGAGACATTTTGTTTGTTTTAATTTTACTGATTGATTGATTGATTGATGGGAGACAGAGTCTCACTCTCTTACCCGGGCTGGAGTGCAGTGCCATGATCACGGCTTACTGCAACCTCTGCCTCCCGGGTTCAAGCAATTCTTGTGCCTCAGCCTCCTGAATAGCTGGCATTACAAGCAAGCACCACCATGTCCAGCTAATTTTTGTATTTTTAGTAGGACTTGGATTTCACCATGTTGGCCAGGCTGGTCTTGAACTCCTGACCTCAAATGATCCACCCACCTCACCCTCCCAAACTGCTGGGATTACAGGTGCGAGACACCGCGCCTGACCGAAAGAGACATTTTAAAACTCCAACATATACTAACTAACTAAATCTACGTCAACATCGTAACATTGGAGCACTGATAAAGTTGAAAAACCACTAGCTTCTAAGTCTTCCTTATTTTGAGACCTGCCCTATTCTTTGCTTATAATAACAGACGGCCTGTTTACTTACAACAACAAGAATAATAAAATAAATTCATAATGTTGATCTGAAGAGCACCCTGTCTGAAAGGTGAATTCCTCCTGGAGCGCCATATTTTTGTTTTTCACATTTTAGACTGCATCAATTCCATATTGAGAAAAATATATTGGAATTCTCTTATTTATCTTGTATTGTAAGTTGAAGATAACAGAAGCCTAAAAATATTTATCAACCAGGTAACTTTTTAAAAGTCCTAATGCTAAGGATGAAGTTTTGGGTTGCTTTATTCAGTGACTATATATAAAATGTATACTCAGGTCTTATTTCACTTAGAGAAAGTTTGTAATATTGAAAAGAATATCTAAGGACAAAGATATACCTATGTAAAACTTCTCAGTTCAATTGCCCCACATGCTTAAAAAAATAGAAGATTAAGTTGCTAGGTTTTTATTGAATAAAAAATGCATTTTTCTTTCTTCATCTTCTTCCACTAAAAACAGGATTTCTCTAAGCAATGGTTATCATAATATGGGTGAACACATCTGTGCTTCATAGCTTATGACACCCCAGAGTGTGTTTATCTCCGCTCTGCTTTTATGGCTCATTGCACTCCAGGGTGCAGCAAGCTCTTAATGGCTCCAGAAAGCACTGCCAGTAATTTTTTGCCACTTAAGACAGTTACTATCACAGGTGATGATTACAAGTTGGATAGTATTTTGTTCTTTCTCTACATTGCTTACCCCAGATCATTTAATAATTGTATGTAGTATCTCAGTCTTAGGAGATGTACTTTCTGACCGGAATGATGATGATTTTTATAAAAGTGAATATGCCTAAATGTTCATAATTCACATTCAAATTTCATCATTCGCTAAATGCAGGTCAGGTACCAAGAGCTAATGACAAAGTCATGAAAAGCAATACTTCTTTCAAGATCTCAGTGGAAATGACAAAGTTGCATAATATGTAAAACAACCAAAAAGCTTTCTTAAAATAAAAACATCCACTCAAATTAGTATTTGAGATTGACACCAAGACAGATTACTTCTTTCGTGTCTTAATTTTATTGATAACTCTGTAAGAGAACTTTAATGGACCACCTTGTGAAAATCTGTTATATAAAATTATATTTTACTGTGTTGTAGACTTAAGCAGGTATAATTATTATCTAGGCAGTAGTTCTAATTTAACAGTAATGGAGCAGTTGTCTAATATAATAGCATCTTATATAATAGAAAGAGTAATTATATATGATATTAATTTAGGTTGGATCATGAAATTCTTTCTGTGAAAATGCTGGTGTTTCTAAGGCACTAGAGATAACCAACTTGAAAGCTTGAAACCTTAGTAATTCAATCTTCAAGTTTTTTTTTTAAGTTTTTCTGACTTCTAACTTAAAAGATATCCAACTCTTCCAGAATCTCTGTTTCTTCTTCTAGAGTAATTAAGTTTTTAAGACTTTACATTATTTAAGCTAAAAAATATTTATTTCAACAAATGTGCAGCCTGCATGTTTGCTACCATTTATAAGCATATATTGATGAATAATAAAGATAAATTCAATTATAATGGGAATATTTTGAACATATTAAAACCTTGAAACTTAAACAGCTATGAAGCCCAAATGCTTAGTTTTTCTGTCACGTTCTTATTTCTCATAGTACATACTTTAGGAATGTGAACAGCTCCAATAATGGTGTATTTCCAATATCATAGGCAGGATTAACAGAGTCAACTCATTGGTCAGGTAAGAGCTGATTACAGTAAAGAGTCCATCAAAACCCAGAGCACTGTTATACTTTTCTAATTCACTATAGCACAAAGTATAGTACTGGACATGTATTCATAGTAAATATGTAATTATTAGTCTGATTGGTGTAGGGATTAGTTGAATAATGGCAACTGGTTGAGAAGATGTTAGCAAATAAATGCATATCTACAAATGAAGAATAAATTTTACTATTTTAAATCATTATATTCAGAAGGCTGGGAGGAAAAAGTGTCCTTGGAATCTATGCCATCTCTAGAGGTTTATATGACAAAGAAGTAAAAGTAGCAACATAAGGAAATAGTGAGCAGTCAGAGAGCACAGTGTTATTAACTCACATTTAGAAATAATTTTATGGAAGGATCCCAGAATAATAATATATATTTTCATATTGACCAACCTATGTTCTTTATATAATTCAGAGGTTAAACAAGAATTAAGAATGTGAACATCTTTCCAAAAAGAAAGAAAAAGAGCTTAGTTGCCTATTTCATTGTTGCTAATCAACTAAAGTAGGAATTTCTTGGCAGCTTTAGAATATTTTACAATCTGAAGGAATGTTGAGGCGGCATATTCAAATCCTTTGCATAGGTGACTATTTCTCATATTTAATTTTTACGTAGTTTAGCCCAGTGTGGTGGCACACACCTGTAGTCTCAGCTACTCAGGAGACTGAGACAGGGGTATTGCTTGAGACTAGGAGTTTGAGGCTGCAGTGACCTATGATTGCATCACCGCACTTCAGCCTGAGTGACAGAGCAAGACCCCGTCTCTCTCTCAAAATAAATAATAAATAAATAAATAACACAGTTATCTTTCTCCATGAACTTTAACTCTTCCCACCCCAATCTTTTTCATCTTTCCTGGACATGGATGCAAATGCTCCCTTATTTGATATACATTAAATTTCAAAAGTAAGTCAGCAGGAAAGGAAGAAACAAGTGAACTGAACAAATGCACAAGGCATGGAACCACAGACTA
Organism: Homo sapiens; assembly: GCF_000001405.40. Taxonomy (NCBI): domain Eukaryota; kingdom Metazoa; phylum Chordata; class Mammalia; order Primates; family Hominidae; genus Homo; species Homo sapiens. The sequence goes on from NC_000018.10 coordinate 61,096,282, forward strand.
CTCCTATAAGGGGAAAAGTAGAAAGTTGGTGTTAGAAAGAAAGGGAGAAATGCAAACTGATTCAGAAGGCTGAAAGGAATGATAGGTTTTCCACTTTGCGGACATAGAATCTGACTTGTGGTTAGACTGATCACTGACCTGTGACTCTGACCCAGCAGATACACAACCTGGATGTGAGCAGGGGCTTGTTACCAGGATTTCATGCAGGCTTACAATAGCATAGGCATTCTGAGAGCTCAAGCAAAACCTTTTCCTTTCCCCAACAATTTAACATCTGAGCACACTGTCAAGTGGTTATCTGCTAGTGATATAAGAATGGAATAAAGTTCTCATTACGAATTTGTCTGAACTGATTTTTCCCGAAAATCGCACAAGAGAATTTCTCAATACTACCAAGCTATATACATGCTGTGTATAAATAGAGCTCGAGTCACTTAGTGGCACTTTTGCTACAGCATTTCCCCTTTATGATCAATAAATTTCATAGAACTGGGTATTTATGCTTAAGGGACTTTTTCCAGTGAGAAAAAAATCTATTCTTATCAGCCCCTTTTATGTATGTACATAAAGAGAGATGTTTGTGAGTCTATAAAAAGTACGCTTGATCTTGTTTGATAGACTGTGCCCTCCTCAGAGTGAATAGGCTTTCGAGTGGGTGACTTTGTATTTGCAAATGAACGGCAATATGTGCCAAATCCCCTCCCAGCCACAAATGTAACAAGATGAGAATTTTATTTCTGGAAGATTTCAAAACAGGTCAGTTCTCATTTACTCCTCAGCGGGTGCTGCTGAAAAACTAGAAAAAAAAAAGGAAGACGTGGCCATTAAACACAGGAGACAAAACAATACGTACATCAATCAACGCTTAGAAATAGGCTTTGAATGTTATTCATTACCCGTTTTCATCAAATATACATCACTCTAATGATCGGCATATTATGAAGACAGGCATTTTAGAGACAAATTATATGATGGACTAAAAAAGATTGCCATTTTCTTGGCAAGGAAATGTAGTTTAATTTTTAAAAATCATATAATTGTTATGGAAAGAATCAGTATAAATCAAACAGAGAGATAAGATTTTTATCAGTCATGGCAACCTTCTCCAACTTTCCACACAAAACCATATAAAGATACATAATAAAGTTAAATTTTAGACTATTACAGTCAAAAGCATGCTTTATGACTGAAGCTTTGCTCTATTTACTTGGTTGATATTGGTGTGAATGGATTAAAAACACCCATAGGGAAGAGGCTCTCTACCATGTTTTCTGATGTTTTTACAGGATGGCACCTGGAGGGCTGCAGTATTTCTTGAAAAGTCAATACAGAAATCTAGTGCAGGTTTGTCTCTTCCTTTATTAGATAAATTGACAGGTGAGAGGAACCCTCTGGTTGTCTGACACGAGTACAAGTCATTTTAACAAATAGTTCTCACTAGAGGCAGCCATAGGCAGCATCGCCTGAAATTCTCAGTGCCACTTACCAGTGATGCTACGCCTCTGTCCATTTAAATTTTTAAATTAAAACCTCACAATTTGCTCAGTATCTTGTGTTCTCCAGCTATCCTTTTCTGAGCTCGACGTTTTATATGGCAAATTACAACCTTCTGCATGGGCCAAGTATGTGATCCTATTCAGAGTACTGTTATTGATGTGCAGTTTGTTCTATTAGCTAATGGCTAGAACCGATTGCTAAGACTTAATGGATTCTGTGCTCTGGATTTGGGACTTTACACTTTTGCTCAATAATGGGGTTTCTGACCTTTGAGTGTGCAGACAGTATTCAGATGGAAGACAGGAAGATGCCTGTATCTGGAATGCACTGGAACAGCTATCACGAGTTCAAATGGGTCGCTTTTGGTGGAGGAGGGGAACAAATGGAAGAAATTACAGGACTGACCTCTAACCAAAAAAAGCCATATAGAAAATTAGCACTGGAACATTGAGTGCTACAAAGGAAGTGTTACAAAGGGACCAGAGAAGAATAGGAGAGAAATAAGAACCAAGGACTCATTCAGAAGATGTTAGGCTTTTAAAAAAGTCATAGTGTACATATGTGAAATAAGAAAGCATAGGACTCTAAGCAAATACAAAGTAAGTAGTTGTCCTTTTTGGTTATTTTTATTTAGTAGACATGGCTTTTTTATTATTTTGTAATTCTAGATATTTTGGTTCCTTAAGTGTCTTATGCTTATAGTAAGGATTATTTGTCAATGAATGACCCATGGACTCCTCTAAGACCTATTTGCTCACCCTGTGATGCCCTCACTGTCTAGTCTCATCTTAACCTTCTTGTTACTTAACTCAGCCTTCTATGAAGCCCAAAGTCAAAAGGTTGCTCAAATGGGGCCATTTAGGTAACTTCCATGTAGAGGCAGTCTGCCAGAATATTAGAGACTAAGCCAAAATACAAGACCTTATAAAAGGAGAAGAAACTTGATTCTTGGTTTTGGGAGAAAGGAGAGTCTCCTCCCCCTAAAGAAAAAAAGAGAGAAAGATGGTGAAAGTGAGATAAAGGAAAAGACATTGAACTGCTTAGAAGGTTGAAGGGAGATCAATATGAAATGAACAGAATCTATTCATATACTGTCCATAGGGCTCAGAGGGTTTGTAGCAATTCTATTAATACACATAAATTCCAAGTACTCCTGAGACATGGAATTATTGAGCATGCATCTAAGAAATGACATGGGTAAGTATATACTGTGAATTATAGGTACAGGGAAGGAGTTACATATGATGCAATTAGAATAGTCAGGAACCCAAATTTACTCTCTACCCCAAAAAGGTCAAATGCAGAGTACACACAGCCAGCATTTTCTTCCCAGGTAGAACTCTAAAGGCCATTCTCTAAAGGAATTATAATCAATGTTGGGGGCAAAGGATTCCCGTGGCAAGTGTCCTTTCCTCTCCATCTCCGCTCTCCTGCTGAAAAACAAAATGCTGTCGATGCTGGCACTGAGTTGGGGAATGGGGTCTGCAGCCCACCCGCTGGATCCTATAACTCTACCTAGCAAAGTGGCCATACATAGAGCTCCTTAGAGAAAATGTCTAGAAAAGTGTTTTACAGCAGCATAGAAAAGCCACATCTTTCTTAAGTATGAATAAAGAAACAGAAAATGCCAGGTAGGTGAAAAGAGCCAGCAGCATATAAAAGAAAGCAAAATAGACAAACATTTAAATGGCTTTAGGAAAAGTACAGAAAATAGACATGAACTTTGAAAACAACAAGTGTGTTTGGAGTGATCAGAAAAACTGTCACAAAACAAAAACAAAGTTATGAACAAGGAACACTGAAGGAGGGAATAAAAAGTCTGAGAGGCTGCAGATGTTACTGTATAATTAAAGAGAGACTGAAAAATAAGGTTGAGGACAATCTAGGGCGGACACTACAATCATAATAGAAAAGAATTGCACAGAGCTGAAGGACTCATGTTCAGATTGAAAGTCAATCAAAACAGAGCCAGTGAAGTCCAAGCAGTCAACCCATGCATTTTGCAGTAGAAGGATGTAAAAATCCACGGCTGGAAGTCTCCATGAACAAAAAAAGGAACTCAATAGAAGACGTGAGAGAGGGAGAGCAGAATGAGGGTATTTGAAAGATAAATAATACAAAGAGTAGGAGAACCTTCAATAAAAACTTAAATGTTGGGGCTGGGAACGGTGGCTCATGCCTGTAATCCAAGCACTTTGGGAGGCTGAGGTGGGTGGATCACCTGAGGTCAGGAGTCCGAGACCAGCCTGCCCAACATGGCGAAACCCTTTCTCTACTAAAAATACAAAAAATTAGCCGGGTGTGGTGGTAGGTGCCTGTAATCCCAGCTACTCTGCACTCCAGCCTGGGTGGCAAGAGTGAAAGTTCTTCTCAAAAATAGAAGAAATGTTGGGCAAATATCCAGAGACGGTCTGTTCTCTGTAAGAATTTGGTGACAGCTAATTGTTTAATATTCCCATTTATTCTCTAAAATTTTTTTAAGGTACTTCAGAGAAAAACAGTGGATTTCCAGACAGGAAAGATGTAAACCTGGGAAGAAACATGCTTCAAGGCCTAGTTTGGCCACGACAAGACTATTGGGGCTGGCAGAAAGTGGCAGAGGGCAACAAAAAGAAAGTGACAGGGGCTCAGAAGGTGTAGTGCTCTGAAATCATCTGCAAAATATTATTTCTAAAAGGTAAAAGAAAGAGAACTGAGAAGCCCAGATCTCAACTATGGGAGGGTCCGACAATGGAGAAAGAGGGGCTATGCAGAGTTTCTGTATTTTAATTTTTCACTGTAGCAGTGAGGAGGAGCCTTAGAGTATAAGAAGCTATTCTGTCCAATGTCCACTCTTTCCCTATAGTTCAGTAAAATCTAGGATATAATTAATAGAACAGAATATATTTTGTTTCCATACAAAAATGTAAAAAAGTAGAGACAGTATATCTGGAAAGATAATAAAAACATGCCTGAAAAAATGTTGCCACAACATAGATACAAATTACAACCTAATATCTTTCAGGAACTAAAGTGAATATAATACAATAGTCAGCAATATGAAGGAAGAAACAGAAACAGAAACTAAAGAATTACAAGAAGAGGTGATCAGACAATAGAGGAATTGAGAAAGTTAGGGAAAGAAATAAAAAATACAAAAAGACAAAAATATTTTAGGAATCAGAACCAAATTTTGAAAGAATAGAAGCTGTGGAAAGCAGAATAAGGCATATGAGGAAGGAAATGAGAAAGTCAAATAAAGTAAGGTATGAAAAGGGACAAAAGAGATAAAAGCATAAAGAACATACAAACATGGAAATCTGTGTAAAGGTGAATATATTATATATATATAATGTATGTATATATATTTTATATACATATATAATGTATGTATATATATTTTATATACATATATAATGTATGTATATATATTTTATATATACATACATACATACATATATAATGTGTGTCTGTGTATATATATACACACACACACACACAGAGTTCCCCAAAGAAGAAAAAAATATTTAAAGTAATAATTAATAAAACTCTTACTGAAGTTAAAAAAAGATTTGAATCCACATAATGAAAGGGTTCACTCTGGGAAAATTTATTCAGAATAGTTATCAGCAAGACAGATCCTAAAATAACTTTTTTCCTTTCTTTTAGATTTTTTTTTAATTTCAAAAGCTTTAGGGGTACATATGTTTTTTGTTTACATGGATGAATTATTTTGTGATGAAGTCTGGGATTTTTGTGTAATCGTCACCCAAATAGTGCACATTGTACCCAATAGTTCATTTTTCATCCCTCAACCCCCTCGGCCTCTCCCTGCTTCTGAGTCTCCATTGTCTACTATACCACTCTGTTTGCCTTTGCATACTCATTGCTTAGCTCCTGTAAGTGAGAACATGTGGTATTTGGTTTTCTGATCCAGAGTTACTTCACTGACGCCAATGGCTTCCAGTTCTATCCAAGTAGCTGCCAAAGACATGATTTTATTCTTTTTATAGCTGAGTAATATTCCATGACGTATATATACCACATTTTCTTTATCCACTCATCAGTCGATGGGCACTTAGGTTGATTCCATATCTTTGCGATTATAAATTGTGCTGTAGAAAACATATACATGCAGGTGTCTTTTTTATAATACAATTTATTTTCCTTTGGGTAGATATACAAGGCTGAGTTGAATGGTTGATCTACTTTCAGTTCTTGAGAACTCTCCATACACTTTTCCATAGAAGTCGTACTAATTAACATTCCCACCAGCACTGTATAAGTAGTCCCTTTTCACCACATTTGTACCAACATCTGTTTTTTAAAAATTTTTTAATAATGGCCATACTGGCTGGGGTAAGGAGATATCACATTGTAGCTTTAATTTGCATTTTCCTGATGTTGAGCACTTTGTCATATGATTGAGGGCCATTTCTATATCTTCTTTTGAGAAAAATACATATCCTAGAAAATTATCAGACTTTTGAATAAAGAAGCTTTGGTTCTCTGGGCAAATAAAAAACAAAATGTCCCAGTTAACCTGGTGTTATCTTGGTTTAGACTTGTTCCTCAAGCTAATTACTTATATTATTCCTTCTCATACTCAAAAGTATCAGTTAGATTGACTGCCGACCTGCTTCTAAGAGAAAGAGCATTAAGTTGGTCTCAAACATCTTGACAAAAACAGAAGACAGAATCCATTTCACGAACATTTACAGTATATTCGGAGGAGAACATGAACCAAAGATTTTCTATCCAGACAAGATGCCCTTCAACTATAAAGCCTACAGTACTGTGTTTTAAACATGAAGCAGTTCAGGTAGTAATTTTTTCATGTGGACTTTTCTTTAGAGAAATACTAAAGAATTAGTTCTAGCCAATGCATAAATAATTAGAGAAGCTCTAGCAAAAGAATCAGTTCTATGCATTGAATATGTTACTTGTATATTTGAGACAAAAATATATTTAACAACAGATCTAAGACACATATAAAGGTTAAAGAAGACAGAATAGGATGTAAATGTTGTGTGCTGTGACAGTGAAAAATAATACAACCACAAGATATTGGAGGAAAGGAGGGACATAATATAGAAAGTGGAGTAAAGTTAGAGGTTGTCTCATATGCGACATCAGGAATATGAAGGAAACAGATAAGGATGATGAAGCAAGGTCTAGAAGTATAAGCTTATGGTACAAAGATAAAAATCAATAAAGATAGTGCTATCTATGTATCTATGTATTCAGCCATAAAAAGAATGAAATCATGTCTTTGGCAGCAACTTGGATAGAACTGGAAGCCACTGGCCTAAGTGAAGTAACTCAGGATCAGAGAATCAAATACCACATGTTCTCACTTACGGGAGCTAAGCAATGAGTATGCAAAGGCAAACAGAGTGGTATAGTAGACACTGGAGACTCAGAAGCAGGGAGGAGCAGAGGGGGCTGAGGGATGAAAAATGACCTATTGGGTACAATGTACACCATTTGGGTGATGATTACACAAAAATCCCAGACTTCACCACAAATAATTCACCCATGTAAACAAAAAACATAAACATAAAGCTGGGTCATTAGGAAATGGAAGGGGACGGAGAAGAAATAGGATATAAGCTGTAATGGTTAATATTAAGTGTCAACTTGATTGGATCAAAGGATACAAAGTATTGTTTCTAGCTGTGTCTATGAGGGTGTTGCCAGAGGAGATTAACATTTGAGTCAGTGGATTGTGAGAGGCAGATTCACCTTCAGTCTGGGTGGGCACCATCCAATTGGCTGCCAGAGTGGCTAGAAAACTCAGGTAGAAGAAGGTGGAATGAGCTGACTTGCTAAGTCTTCCAGCCTTAATCTTTCTCCCGTGCTGGATGTTTCCTGCCCCCAAATGTCAGACTCTAGGCTATTTGGCTTTTTGAGTCTTGGACTTACACCAGTGATTTGCCAGGGACTCCTGGGCCTTTGGCCACAGACTGAAGGCTGCACACCGTTGGCATCCCTACTTTTGAGGTTTGGGGATGTTGAGCCACTACTGGCTTCCTGGCTCCTCAGCTTGCAGACAGCCTATCACGGGACTTTGCCTTGTGATTGCATGAGTCAATTCCCCTTAATAACCTCCCTTTCATACACACATATATCCTATTAGTTCTGTCTCTCTAGAGAACCCTGACTAATACAAAAACTAATTTTATTATTGCTCATAGAGAAAAGGATAAGATGATGGGGCTGGTGATGATGATGATGATGATGATGATGATGATAAAGAGACAGGAGATAAATGGATGGATAGATAGACATAAAAGGTATAAAAAAAGGATTTCAGTCTAAAGGGTATTATAAAGGTAGTTATGAAAACAAATATAACTTTTCTATATGTCAAAAAGGCTAAATTTTCAAGAATAGATAAAATAGTACAATGTTTAAATATATCTACAGTTGTACATATGCACATGTACAGGCATATCCAGGGGATACTACAGGTTCCATTCCAGACTACAGTAATAAAGTGAATATCACAATAAAGTGAGTTACACAAATTTTTTGGTTTCACAGTGTATTTAAAAGTTGTGATTACACTATCTTGTTAAGACCACAGTGAAGTTTGCTGCATCAATTGCCTCTTCCTTTCACAAAAGATTTCTCTGTAGCATTTGGTGCTGTTTGATAGCAGTTTATCCACAGTAGAACTTCCTTCAAAACTGGAGTCAGTCCTCTCAAAACTTGTTACTGCTTTATCAACTAAGTTTACATAATAGTCTACATCTTTTGCTGTCATTTCAACAATGTTCACAACATCTTCACCAGGAGTAGATGCCATCTCAAGAAACCACTTTCTTTGCTCATTCATAAGAAGCAATTCCTCATCCATTTGAGGTTTATCATGAGATTGTAGTAATTCAGTCACATCTTCAGGGTCCATTTCTAATTCTAGTTCTCTTGCTATTTTCACCACATCTGCAGTTACTTTCTCTACTGAGCTCTTGGATTCTTCAAAGTCATCTGTGAAGGTTGTAATCAGCTACTAATGTGGATATTTTGACCTCCTCCCATGAATCACGAATATTCTTGACAGTATCTAGAATGGTGAATCCTTTCCAGAAGGTTTTCAATTTACCCCGCTCCACTAGAGGAATTACTATTTATGGCAGCTTTGGCCTTCTAAAATGAATTTTTTAAATAATAAGACTTGAAAATCAAAATTCCTACTCAATCCAGGAACTAAAAAATGGATGTTGTGTTAGCAGATATGAAAACAACATTAATCTCCTTGCATATCTCCATCAGAGCTCTTGGGTGACCAGGTGTGTTGTCATTGAACAGTAATATTTTGAAAGGATTTTTTTTTTTCTTAGTGATAGGTCTCAGCAATGCTTACTGAAATTATTTACTGAAAATATTCAGTAAACTATTCTAAAAACAGATGTGCTATCATCTAGGCTTTGTTCCACTTATAGAGCACAGGTAGAGTAGATTTTGCATCATTCTCAAGGACCCTAAGATTTTCGAAAAGGTAAATGAACATTGCCTTAACTTAAAGTCATCAGCCACATTAGTGCCTGTTTAAAAGTCATCCTGTCCTTTGAAGCTTTGAAGCCAGGCATTAACTTATTATTTCTGGCTATGACAGCCTAGATGGCATTTTCTTCCAGTATAAGGCTGTTTTGTCTACATTGAAAACCTGCTGTTCGCCTCCATCAATGATCTTAGCTAGACCTTCTGAATAATTTTTTGCAGCTTCTCCATCAGCGCTTGCTGCTCTACCTTGTACTTTCATGTTACGGAGATGGATTATTTTTTCAAAATGCATGAACCAGCCTCTGGAATCTTCAAACTTCTCTTCTACAGCCTCCTCATCTCTCCAGCCTTCATAGAATTGAAGAGAGTTAGGGTCTTGCTCTGGATTAGGCTGTGGCTTAAGGGAATGTTGTGGCTGGTTTTACCTTCTATCCAGATAACTAAAATTTTATTCATATCAGCAATCAGGCTGTTTAGCTTTCTTATCATTTGTATGTTTAGTGGAGTAACACTTTTAATTTCCTGCAGGAACTTTTCTTTTGCAGTCAAAAGAAAAACTTGGGTAACTGGCACAAGAGGCCTAGCTTTTCGCCCATTTCAGCTTTCAACATGCCTTCTTCACAAAGCTTAATTATTTCCAGCTTTCGATTTAAAATGAGAGACATGTGACTCTTCTTTTCACTTGAACACCTAGAGGCCAGTGTAGGGTTATTAACTGGCCTAATTTCAACATTGTTGTGTCTCAGGGAATTGTGAGGCTTGAGAAGAGAGAGACAGGAACAGCTGGTCAATGGAGTAATCAGAACATAAACAACATTTATTGATGAAGCTTGCCAACTTCTATGGGCACAGTTCATGGCCCTCTGAACAATTACATTAGTAACCTCAAAGATCACTGATCACAGATCACCATAACAGATATAGTAAGAATAAAAACAAATTTAAATATTATGAGAATTACCAAAATGTGATACAGAGACACAAAGTGAGTACATGCTATTGGAAAATGTTGCCAATAGACTTGCTTCATGCAGGATTGCTGCAAACCTTCAACTTGTAAAACGTGCAATATCTGTGAAGTGAAATAAAATGAGGTGTGCCTATATTTTAAACAGAAAACATAACAAAACATAACAGAAATAAAATATGAATATCATCTTGACCAATATGAGGGAGCTTACCTCACAGATAAATATTAAAAATCTTTCTCTTTATCACAAAGCTAAAGACAAGTCTATGCTTATTACAGGAAACATGTATAAAACCAAACTATTTAGAAAGTTTAAAAATGCAAATATGGGCAAAAGTAGACCAGAACATACAACCAAAAAGGAAGCAGAGACTGCAAAGTTAGTATCAGACAAAGCGGTATTCAGGGTTCAAAAGCATTAACAGCGACAAATAAGGACACTTCAAAATGCTAAGGGAGGCAAATAATAATGAAAGCATAAAACTTTTATTATCAGACACCAAATACCAGTAGCAAATTTCATCAAAGAGCAATTACAGTTGATACTGTGAGAATTAGAAATACCTTTTTAAAAGAACACTTTACTTCTCTAATCAAGACAGATCAAGAAGACAGAAATATATATATATAAAATATTTAAACTACATGTTATAATCAACCAGATGATTTTTATGTAGCAAACTTTATGCTTTCAAGTTATAGAAAACACTTCTTTTCAAGTGTACATACAAAAGAAGAAAATTGACAATATACTAAGCCAGAAAGGAAAAGGAAACCACAAACAAACAAAAACTAACAAATATATATATTTTAAAAAGCAAACCTTTTAAAAAGTCTCAAGTCAGGAGAAAATACCAACTGAAGTTACAGAAACAACTGCAATAAAAGCAATATATATCAGAACTTACGAAATATAACTAAAGCAAGTCCTACAGGAAACATTTTTAAAGAAGAAATGAAAATAAATGCAGTAAGCATCTGGCTCAGAGTCAGAAAATAGAAACATAATACAAACACACCAAAAAACAAAAGGCAAATGAAGAAATTAGGGTACATTCATAAATTGATGACATAGCATAAATGAATGAATGAATGAATGGTGTTTTTGAAAATGATCCATAGATTTGTCACTACCTAATTTATTCAAGAGAAAAAATAAAAGAGCAAGAGAAAGTAATCATAAGAACAGAAATGTTTAAAATTATAAGACTACTTCAGATGACTCTAGGCAACTTAATGTAAAGGCCTATATAAATTGAATAGTTTTCTAGGAGAATATGATTCAGTGAAACTTAGTGTGTTATACTTTCTTTAGCACAGAAGAAATTAAGAGCTAACACTAACAAAGCACCAAGCTAGGAGATCTCACTGGGTAGTTTCAATAGAAATTAGACAGTAAATAATTCCAGTGCTCCATAACTGGGTTCAGGACTCAGAAAGAAAGAAAACATCCCAATTGTTTTTTAAAATGAATATAATATTGATAATAAAAGCCAACAAATATTTCATTTAAAAAGACAACTATAGATTAACCTCACTTACGAATATTAACATTAAAAAAATCCTGAGTATATCAAGCCAAAGTCAACATCAACTTAACAGGTAACAACTCACTGGAGTTTATTCTAAAAATATGTGAATAAACTTGGTATCAGGCAGTTATAGTCAATTATATTAATAGATCAGAGAAACTTTCCTGAGGGGGAAATTCTCATGATCATCTCCCTCTAGATACAAAAAAAAAAGACATTTGACAAAATTTGGCAGATTATTTATTAACAGGATAAATACACATATCACTTTTTCATCACAACTATTTAACATTCTACTGGAGATATTTACCAATGCTTTTAACAAGAAAATTAATTTTACTCAAGAATTTTTCTTATTCCCCAACCCTTCCAATACACAATCAATCCTATCATCTTTGTAGAAAGATGAAATCCCACACAGTGAGTAAAAGTAGTAAGATAGATAATAAAGTACAAAATTAATTTAAAGAACAAAATAAGATATAATTAAAAAGGAAGATAAAATAGAAGATCTCATTACAATAAAAATTTTAACTCCAGTAAATATACTTAACAAGGAAGATTCAAGACAATATTTTTGAAAATAGCTCAAATTCTCATGATGGATACGGAAGTGAAATTAAACAACTAGAAGTAAAATTACTATTTATTTAAGACTCAATATCTTACATAAGTCAATTTAAGTTCAGTGTGAACCCAGTGAAAATACCAAAAGGTTTTTGTCCATCTGCAACTACATAATTCAATTCAAAGTTTACATGCACCACCTAAAAAGCAAGAATAGCCAGAAAATCTTTAAAAAAATAAGAGATATAAGAGTCACTGGCATTGCTAGATATTAAAATACAAATTTTGATAGTAAAAACTATGTTACTGTTACATGAATAGACTGACCAATGGAAAAGAATGAAAAGTTGAGAAATAAACCCAAATATATTTATATAACAATTATCAAATTAGTACATAAGGATATATATATTTAAAAATTATGTTGACAAAACTGGGTGGCCATCTGGAAACATACACACTTGAAACCACACTTCATACCACAATAAACCAAGATCAAAGATTTCAGTGTTAGTGTAATATTATTAAAGTATTAGAAAAAAATGTCTATTAGAAAAAAAAGTTGAGTCATCATTTCATGATCTTGAAGAAAGAAGACCACCCTGTTGTTTACAATGTAGAGCTATGAAAGAAAAGATAGAAAATTTTAGATATATAGAAATCAAAAAGTTCTGTGGTTAAAAAAAAAATTTAAGGAGTAAATTAAAAAGCAAATGTCAAACATTGAAAGATGATTAGCAAGCTGGGAAAATATATTTGCAACTCCTATCAGATATGAGATTAGAACTTTTAATAACTACAAACCTCATAAAAAATTAACAAGAAAAAAATCCAGAAATTTAATATAAAAAGTGTTCAAGGATATGAATACAGCTCATCCTCCAAACAGAAGTTAAAATGGCCTGTAAACATATGAAAGGATACTCAACCTCACTCATAGTAATAGAAATGTAAATCATAACTAATAGTAGATCTTATTTTTTCATCTTTCAAATTGGCAGAACTGCAAATTGAACAAGCAAATATTAGCAAATCTAGATTTCTTCATAAACTGCTCATAATAACACAAAATTATATCAGACTTATGTAGAAAATTTTGGCAATATTTATCAAAATTAAATATCTGGAAATATAAAAACAGCAATTTTATATTAGGTTGTTATATATATTACCAACATTCCATCATTTTTATCCAAAACTGGTAATATTTTAACCTTATAAGAGCAAAAGACTGGAAACAATGTAAATGTTTACGTATAGGGCATTTGTTATAATATATCCTTTCAATAGAATACAGTTGTAATTAAGAATCAGAAAGCTATTTAGTATATATATATATTTAGTATATATTTTTTTCATAAAAAGCAAAGAAAACATGGCACAATTTTAAACATTTGAGTGTAGAGAAGGTATAATTCATTTTATGTTGGTATGAGACAAAAATGGAGAAAGAAGAAAGAATAATTCCTCCAACTGCAAAATATGAAGATATTTCTAAAATTTCATGTAACAAAAAATAGTTTTTAGTCTCTTATTTTAAGTTACAAAAGTAACTAAGAGAAAGACTAAAAATTGTATAAATCTGAAACATTGATGAGGGGTAAAGAAAGCAATAGTACAATGGATCTGCATCTGAACTTTTCATTTTAGAGTTGCTTAGATATTATCTAGTGTTTCTAAGTCTTAAAAAAGAGGAGAATAAGACTGATTTCAACCATGGGAATAAGCACCAAAAGAATGTGCCCCTGAACAAAGAGTGCTGAGGAAAGCAGAGTTAGCACTTCCATGTTACTTGATTCACCGGCTATTTTGATAAAAATGTTTTTAACAAAAGTTAATGAGTACAGGCAAAGATTAAAAGATTATAAGATTCAGAAGGCAGGAGCTATATGTGATTTTGTTTACCACAGTTTCTATCATCCAATGTCTGCTATGTAGTAGATCTTAGTAAATAAGATATAAAGAGCTCTTAGAAGTCTCTAAGGAGTGGTCTCACCTAGAAAAGTTGGTAAAGCACATAAATAGTTCAGAAAATAATTACAGGTAGCCAATAAACATATTTAATGTCCAACCTCACTAGTAATGCAAGTTAAACCCACAGTGAGCTATCCCTTTCCCCAAATGAAATTGGAAGTATTTTACAGTAGCACATGTACATATAGAAGCTGTGGTGAGGCATAACTCACACATAAGTAATTTAAGTATAAATTGGTTAACAAAAAAAAGAAAGAGAAAGCTTTCTGATAAACAATCAGAATTAGCAACAATCTTTACATCTTAATGCTTTGATGCAATATCCTTATTTATGGAAATCAATTCTAATGAAATAATCTGATATACAACAAAATATTAATATATAGGGAGTGTTTCACAGCCCTATTTAACACAATGAAATTGTCATGAATCTAAGTAGTTAACAATAATATTTAGATTAATTATGTATACCCAAATGAGAGAATAGTATTTCATTTTCAAAACTTTTGTTCCAAAATACACCCAATTAAATTGAAATGTTTATGATATGACAAATAAAAAAAGCAAAATACAAAACAATAGATATATACCAACTTTGTGTGTATCGGTGTATAGGTATTATAAAATGGGAGAGAAAACATTGTAATAATGTGTAATATATTTCAGGATGTTAATAATGGTTATTTCTGGTTCTTTGGATTACAAATTATTTTTCTTTTTTTTTTTCTAAATTATCCAACTTTTCTACAAGGAAATTCTATTTTTAGAATTAATAACAACAAATATTATTTCCTTAAAAGTAAAGTTATTCTAGTAATGGCAGAGCAGCTTGTAACGGGCTTACATAATGGACTACAGATAAAATTACAAACTCTGAACAAAATAGAGAAAATAAGTAGTCAGAGCAGAAAGAACCTGGAAGAGAGTCAACTTTGTAGGTTTGAATTTATGCAAGTTTTCACCTGGGAGGGGTCCACACAGGGTGGGATGTCTGGACCTTCAGCAGAAATCTGTCTCCCAGGCATGGATTCAGGAATGTCAGAGTATCCAGAACATGTGGAAGAAACTCCAGGAGAGAACAGCACAATGTGGGGAAGTTGAAAAATCTGCATTTAAAATCTTTCCAAACTCTTAACTGATCCCTGATCTACAAATACTTAAGACTTCCAGGTGTCTAGCAGAAAGCAACAGTTTAAATGCAACTCTTTTTAAACTTAAAAAAGTCTTACAGACAGATTTTAGCTACTACCAACCGTAAGGGAGATGGCATTGAGAGTTTGAGTTGAGCCAGATTACTCGTGACGGAACAGTTATATACATTCTTCAGAGAAAGACAGCAGAACGTAGAGTCTCCGGAATGTTTTATAAACATTATTATTTTATAAACAAAATTCATAAACAAAACAGAAAAAAATATGATCCACAGTCAAGTGAGATATCAGTCATCAGGAACCAATTGAAAAATACAAATATATCAAAATGTAGACCAGCTATTTTATTATAAATATGTCCAGAAACTCAAAAGAAAATATAGAATGAAAAGATGGGGAATTTCAACAGAAAAATAAAACTATAAAAATGGAGATTTTAGAAATCAATGCTACGATATCTGAAATTTTAAAACTCAGTGGATGGGATTAGAAGAGGATTGGAAATGAAAGACATAGGATCAGTAAAAACTGTCTAATCTGAAGAACAGAGAAAAGAAATAGAGTCTCAGTGACATGTGGGACAATAGAGTAGTCTAACAAGGAACAATCAAAGTCACAGAAGGAGAAGAGAGAGAATGAGGCAGAAAAAATATTTGAGGAAATAAGGGTGGAAAATGTTTCAAATTTATTGAAAACTAAAACTTAAATTTGAAGAAGTTCAGTGACGACAAACATACTCAAGCACATCACAGTCAAACTGCAAGCAGCCAGAAAAAACAAAGACACATTACATACAGAGGAATGACATGAATGGCAGCTGACTTACATTCAGAAAAAAGAAATATAGAAAACAGTGAATATCCTTATAGTGCTAAAAGAAATATATAAATTGCCACCTAAAATTCTATGTCCAGCAAAGATATTCTTCAAAAATGAGAGTGAAATCATGATTTTGCAGAAATATAAAAAGTAAAAGAATTTGTTACTTGCAGACAAAGATGCAAAGAGAAAAAGAAATTATTCAGGCTAAAGAAGAGTACCACTAGATGAGAAGAATAAAAAATATGCCGTAAATATAAAATATTACCTTTTTCTTACCTTAATTTAAATATACATTATATATTCACCCACATAGTTATAATACTCTACGTGGATAAATATAACCATAGCATTACACATTTCTTAAAGCTTGCTTGAAGAAGTACAATCTTAACTCTAGGTATACTGTGATAAATTTAGGATATATATTATAATCCCTAGAGCAAACAACTACAAAATAATGTCAAATTTTATAATCAAAAAGTGTAGTAGAATAATTAAAATGGACCCCTAAAAATACATTCAAATAACACCACCCCGCAAAAAAAAAAAAAAAAAAAAAACACAGAAAAAGGGAAGAGAAGACCAAAAAAACTAAGAAAACTCAAGAAAACATGGTAAACATCAACGATAGCAATAACATTTAACATTAAAAATTAATTCATTATATTTAAAAATAGATTAAAACCTACAGATTGCCAGGTTGGATTTAAAGCATGGCTTCACTATAAAGATAGAAGATGATGTACTACAAAAATAGTAAGCCTAAGAAAGCTGGAACACCTGTATTAACATAAAACAAGTAAAATTTAATTATTTTTTTAAAAAGGACACAGACATTTCATAATAATCAAAGGATAAATTAAAAACAGACATAACAATCCTAAATGTTCATGCAACAAATAACAGATCCTAAAATACAAGAAACAAAACATTTTTAAAGTTAGGAGAATAGATACATCCACAATTAAAGACTAATACTTCTCACTCAATAACTGATCAAAATAAATGGTTAAAAAATACATAAGTCTCCTGGTTTCCAATAAGCTATGTCAAAACCTAGAGAGACCCTCTTCACACTAAATTCCTTCATTCCCACACTTAAACCAGAAAATAAGACATATGTACTAAAAGTTTATAACTTCTCTTGAACCTATCAAAGAGCTGAGGTCATAGGGCAAGCTACTAACCCCAAATCTCAGGATATGGAGGAGTCTGCTGGGAAAGAAGTACATTAACATTTACTTACCAGGAGCAAGGCTATCAAACATCAATAAAAGAATTCAGCTGTAACAGCTGATGAATTGGTAAAGACAGACATAGTACAGACATTGTGAAGCACCTAAAGGCTACAGGTATAAGGAAGATTATAGCCTCCTTCAGACTTTTAACCTACAGCAGGCAATTTTATAGATTCCATTATGAATATTGAAAAGCAAATGAACTTGAATAGCCAAAACAATTTTGAAAAAAAGCCAACAAAGTCTGAGCATTAATACTACCTAATTTCAAGAATTACTATGAAGCTACGTTAATTGAAACAACATGGTATTGGTTAAAGGACAGATACGTAGATCAACAGAACAGAGTCTGGAAACAGACCCACAGAAATAAAGCCAACTAATTTTTGGCAAAGATGCTGCTTCGAATATGCATAGTATAAAAGGCTATAAATTATCCAACACTACCTCACCAATATAACAAGTATGGAGATTATTTTAATCTTCTGCCAATGCCTCTGGTAATTATAAATTATTGACTAGCTAATTTAGATGGCAACTTATATGAATACAATCTGAAAATCAAATTTTAAACATTATATATATATATACATTATATATATACACACACACAGATACACACATATATGTAGTTTGTTTATTTTTATCTCCAGTAGAATAACAAATTATATTATTCTTCAAAGGAGGCACACTGTCTACTATTTGCAATATAATTTTAGTACATATTAAAATGCAAAGGAATTAGTAAAGAAGTAGAAGAGCCGAATCACATTATTGGGACAACATAAAAGATTTGAATTGTCAAATCAGATTCACATGAATCGGAGATCTTACCTGATATGAAGCTTTACAAAAAATGTCAAGAATGCAAATGGTTTCTAGGCATAGGTAAAGCAGGAAAAGGTACATACATGTCAATACATCACGCAAATCCTTTGTCATACACTGGATATGCTTCAGCACAGAATAACATTAGAAGTCTCTAATACATTACTTATTCAGAAAAGAGCTGGCGCAACCCTGAAATGAACCCAGTTTCTACCAAAATAGTGACATAGCTAATGCAACGTTTTTCAGGCAGCCATGACCTATAAATACAGAGTCTAGGCTACTTTATCATAAAAAATACTAGACCAGAAATATTCTGTTAAGAGCTCTTCATAGAGAGATACTATCTCACTTTAAATATCATTGATTTGCTAGCCAGAGGATCTATCATCAGCACCAAGACACCTGACACTGTTTTTTCAAGGATGGATCCTCCAGTAATAAGAAAGAATGAATGCATGATCTACTGCTTAACCATTTTCCTCCTATAAGCCATGAAGACATTATACCAACATATTCTACCGTTTGATTGAGCAATCCCATTACTGGGTATCTACCCAGAGGAAAAGAATTTATTATACGAAAAAGATACTTGCACAGGCATGTTTATAGCAACACAATTTGCAATTGAAAAATATGGAAGCAGCCCAAATGCCCATGAATCAACGAGTGGATAATGTAAATGCGTGTGTGTATATATATAAAGTAAATATATATACACACACACATATACATATATGTATACATATATACATATTTCAAATGTTTAAAAGATTATATGTATACATATATACACATATATGTACATACATATAGGTACATATAGGTATATATGTACATATATGTGTATATATGTATACATATATGCATGTGTATATATATATGTGTACATATATACATATGTGTGTGTGTGTATATATATATAAAAAAAGGTGGTATGGCTGAGTAGTATTCCATGCTATATATATAGTATATATGGCTGAGTAGTATTCCATGGTGTGTGTGTATATATATATATATACACACACACATATACATATATACACACACATATACATATATATATATAAATGTGGTATGAATATATATATATGGCATACTATTCAGCCATAAAAAGGAATGAAATAATGGTATTCACAGCAACCTGGATGAAATTGGAGATTATTCTAAGTGAAGTAACTCAGGAGTGGAAAGCCAAACATCCATATGTTCTCACTCATATGGAGGAGCTAAGCTATGAGGATGCAAAGGCATAAGTATGAAACACTGGACTTTGGGGACTTGGGGAAAGGGGTTAGGGGTGGCAAGGTATAAAAGACAACACATTGGGTACAGTGTACACCACTCGGGTGGTGGGTCCACCAGAATCTCAGAGATCACCACTAAAGAACTTTTTCATGTAGCCAAACACTACCTGTTCCTCCAAAATCTACTGAAATAAAAAAATTAAAAATTGGAGTAAATAGGTACAATGTCTCCAATTTACCCTCAAATGGTTCAGAAAAAGTTGTGAATGCATAAATATATGGGTCAAATACATAACCAGCTAGTCCTCATTATTCAAGGATTCCATGTTTGTGAATTTGCCTGTTCGCTAAAATTTATCTGTAGCTCAAAATCAATGCTCCCAGAGCTTCAGTGATCATTTGTGGACTAAGGCAGAGTGGTCAGAAATTTGAGTCGACTGCCTTGCCCGTTTCCAGCTGGGGTCCAACAAGAATATGCTCTGCCTTCTTGTTTCAGCTCTTATATTATAAGCAAGTGTCCTTTCTGGGGTCTATTTAGTAACACGTTGTTCACATTTTTCTGATTTTTGTTGGTGATTTTGCCGTTTAAAATGACCCCCAATTGCAGTGCAGAAGTGCTATCCAGTGTTAGAAGTGCAAGGAGGCTGTGATGTACCCTAAGGGGAAAATGCATCTGTTAAATAAGCTTCTTTCAGACCTGAGGGATAGTGCTGTTGATCACAGTTCAGTTGTAATGAACCATCATTATATATTAAATTAGGAGTCTTAGAAACACATAGAAAACAAGGTTCAGTACTGATCAGTTGATAAAAACAAGGTTGTGATCAGAGACTCATGTAAACTAGTATTCACTTATTCAAAGTCCATGGCAACTTTATGGAACAAAACTACCGTGAATAAATAATGAGAATCAATTGTGTGTGTGTGCTTACACACATACACGGCAAATGGAACAAAAATTAACAATTGCTGCTGGATCTGGGCAGAGAGTGTTTGAAAATTCCTTTTACTACTTTTACAACTTTTCTGCAAGTTAGAAATATGATCAAGACAAAAATTCACCAAAATAGATCATAGATAAATTATTACAAAATACCTTTGCTAACAAGAGTCACAAATTGTTTTCTTTTCCTCTGGAAATCTGATACGATTTGGGAATCTAGTTATTTGTCTGGTATTCTGTGGAAAAGTAGAGAGAGCGAGAGACAGAGACAGAGCAAGAGAGAGAGAGAGAGAGAGATACTAGTTTGTAAAACCCAGGCTCTAGAAGAAATAGGCTGATCATGCAGTAAAGACAAAGTAACCAAAAAAGCAACAATAATTTTTTTAGGAAGCTATTGGGGCTCAGGGAATATGCACCCTGAACAGCAGACAGTAAGTAGCAGCATAGAATATGCTTCTGTTGGAGACTTAGTAGAGATAGGAGTGAAAGATGTGAAGAGTGTTAGGTACCTGAAAATACAGTCATTGGAAAAATGCATACGTCCTTGGGTGTTGAAGACAGCCAGCCTGAGATTCTCTTTATAGTATACATAAAGATAGCTTAGCCCTGTTAAAGAAAGCAGGTTTAGATTGGAGAAGTCCTATTTTGCTGAAAGAGGTTTTCACTCATTCCCCGTATTGTTCCTGGGTGGCAACCATTAAAGAGCTGATTGCATAAAGGCTGTGGACTTTACTATTAATTAGAATATATTCTTATATTGTGGAGCCATTAGTTCCTGACATTAGATTCTACCAGTCATTTCTAATATTAATGAATCTGGGCTTGCGGACACTTTTAGTTATAATTTTAACATTAAGGCTCACATTTTCAGGATGAAAAATCTGTCCTTACTAAGACTTATTTTTAAAGTCACGTACAGATGCGCAAGCCCACGCACAAGTGAATATAATTTACATAATTTCAAACATCTGATGTTTAAAAAAGAATGTGAATACTGCTGTTGTTTTCAAATGTTTTCGTTTTTTAAATATTTTAGTAAATATAGCTCAGATAGTTTCACACATAGTGATTTTTTCATCCAATTCTTGTAGAAAAAATGATAAAAATAAAATAATAAAGTAAGTCATTTAACTTATCTATTTAAATGAAAAGATGATGATTTTCTTGAGACCATAGTGTTAACATTGCTATTAAATGAAAGACATAGGACTTGGGATTTGATTGAATTCAACAACTGTTTATTAATATTTAATATGTGCTGGACAGTCCCTATCTTCAAGGAGCACACACAATGTACATAAAAATACACACAATCACACACACACACTATTGTGATCAATGATACCATAGCTGGCAGAGGTTGCAGTGGAGATGGAGAAAATAACTGATATTTATTGATTAACTGTAATATGCTTTCCAGTGCCCTAACTCATTTCACCTTTACAAAAACCTCATGATGTTACATTTTATGATTATGTTTTGAGGCTCATAGAAGTGAAATAACATGCCCATGGTTACACAGTCAGTAGCAGAGCTGAGATTCAAACACCTATGTCCAATACCTACTTGCATGTTTGTTTTACTAAAAATTTGCCATAAAAGTACAAATGAAGGAGCTATTGATTCTACTTAAGTGACTTAAGGAAGGCTTTCAGAAGGAAGTGGCATGAGGGATTGCCTTTAAACAAAAACACTGTGACTTCAGCAGACAGTGAAAGAGGAGGCCAGCATCTCAGGCATGGCAGCAGTGTGTACACAGTCGCTGGGATGCATAGGAACATTGCGGGTTCAGAGACTACTGAGCGCTGAGCCCTGTGGTGGGTGGGTGAAGATAGGTGTGGTGGGAGGGGAATGGGTAGCAAGAATAGTAATAATAGTAAAGGGACATAAATCTGTAATGGTTAGTGTGGATGATATTGCTTCTGCTGGGAATTTGGGCAAGCATCTTCTCAGCTTAAAGGAGCCACCAATACTTTAAAAAATGAGGCAGTTTATGATTTGCCAGTTCTCCGTTTTCCATGGATAGTTGAGCAGAAAAAGGATCAGTGAGGCAACAGCCCAGGCAAGTAATAATTAGGCTCTTGGTAAGACAATGACTTTGGAGACACTGGGTATGGATACTTGAGGTAGAATCAACATGCCAGTGTGGATTCGGTGGACAATAGATAATTCAAAGCTCATTCTCAGGTTTCTGGTTTCAGTGATATCATTCATTAAACCATGAAGCACAAAATGGAAAACAAGTTTGTGGAGCAAGATAAAGCATTGAAATGACAAATTTACATCCAATTATTACATCAAGACATTATCTTTACCTGATTTTAATGGTAAAAAGAGAAGATAACTGGACACGAGAAAAAGATAAGACAATTGTGCTTTTGAAGGCTTTGATATGTGTACACTCTTGAGAATATTTGAAAACTCTATAATGGCATGCCTTATACCTAAAGGTGAAGACAACACAATTATTCAACCAAAATGGCTATAGTTTTTGTTTGTTTCTTTTTCTCACTGCATGCTGGCAAAACTGTCAGCAATTAATTAATGTCTCTTGAAGTAAGAGTCTCTATGAACTGCAAGAAAACATTGCGGGAAATATGTTGAGCCAATACATTAATGCCAATACCTTAATGCGCCATGGGTTTGAACCACTTGATTCTTTAAGATGTCTTAAGTTGTCCCACTTGGGGGTTTAAACTTTTGAAGATTATACCCAAACCATGCCTTCTGACCCTGAATAGATTGTTGATCTTTTAGGTTGGTTCTTGCCAGAGAGAGCGTGTGGTGGGGAACAGAGGCTCGCCATCAGGGTTGATATACCAGAATCTCCTATGCAGTGACCCTCTATATTTACAGGTATTCTCTTGATAAACCCCCACTGGGACAGCATTTAACCAAGGCAGAAAAAGTCTAAAAAATGAATTTGATAAGGCAAAAATAATATAAAATGACCATTCTGAGTTGGTTTCATATTTTATTCAAATTGCCATTCTTTAACCGAGAGGTACCAGCAATGCTTAGACGGATATATGATTGCCCTGAAGTCAGATTAGGGTTGATCCTAAACATTTCTATTCTGTCTTCCTGAAGTCTCGAGAAGCCTCTACAGCTTTTTAAAAGAAAAAAAAAAATTTGTAATTGACAAAGGAAAATTGTATATATGTATCATGAACACACGACATTTTGAAATGAGTATACATTGTGAAGCAGCTCCATTGAGCTCATTAACATATTTGCTGCTTACGTATTTATTGTTTTTCTCATGAGAACGCTTAAAAGCTACTCTCTTAGCAATTTTCAGAATACAACAGATTGTTATTAACCATAGTCACTATGTTGTACAATAGCTGTTATTAACCATAGTCACTATGTTGTACAATAGCTCTCTTGAATTTATCCCTCCTAATATAAGTAAAATTTTGTATCCTTTGACCAACATCTTTCCAATCACCCCCACCCTTCGCCCCGGGTCACCACCTTTCTGCTGTCTACTTCTATGACGTCCGTTGCTTTGGATTCCACATATAAGTGAGATCATGTGATATTTGTCCCTCTGTGCCTAGTTTATCTCACTTAACATGTCCCTCCAGCTCCATCAGGTTGTCACAAATGACTGGGTTTCCTTCTTTTTTAAGGCTGAATTATACTTCATTGTATACACAATAGACCCCATATTTTCTTCATCCCTTCATCTGTGGATGGACACAGGTTGTTTCCATATTTTGACTATTCAAGAAACCTCTGTAGCTTTTTGAGGCAATAAATTCTGTGGCATTTCTACCCACAATGTAAAGCAGTACGTTCTTGTCATTCTCTAAAATTCACATTTCTAGGATACAAGACATACCTTATAGATTAAATATCCAGAAACTATCAAAACCTGCATTCACCCGAAACATGAACTTCATGAATTTTCAACCAACATCTATTCAGGTTTCACTCCTAATTATTTTGCTTTCAGGAGAGGCTGTGCCATTTACCAGCCCTGTGACCTGGGGTTGCTGCAATAGTTTCTCTGTGTCTCAGTTCCTTCATCTTTAAGTACATTTTAATAGTACCTATTTTAGAAGGATATTACAAAAATTAAATTATGGAATAATCAGAAAGCCTTTAGAATAGTGTCTGTTATATATAGTAAGTGTTCAATAATTCTTAAGGACTTTTCTCATCACAGACATAGACAATGTCTAGATTTTAACAAACTGAACAGTTAACGGTGCCCACATCTGGTGCAAAAAAAGTAGAAAAATTGGGAGAGGATCTGAAAAGAGTAAACTTGATATGCTACCTGGCCAATAATAATAATGCCATCGTATATTTAAATAGCATTTACCACTTATCAGGTACTGTTTAAACTTTTACATATATTTAATCATTTAGTTTTATAATTCTATAGAGTATACACTTCTATTTCTGTCACCATTTTACAGATGAGGAAACTGAAGAAGAGGTAACTTAATTAACTTGTCCAATGTCACACAGCTAATAAGAGGCAGAGTGGGATTAACCCAGAAGGTCCACAGATGCATTCTATACCCTTCACTGTTACATAATTTTCTCTCTTGTGGTAGTTACCGAATAAATGTTAGCTGTTATTTTGTCAGCTTATAAACATTGCTGCTTCTGTTAATGACCCTCATCCTTTTAGAAAAATCCAGCCCAGGAGAAAAATAGTGAAAGCTTGAAGCAGAGTAAAACCACATCCACACCCATTGCGCCTTTTCAATAGCATCACAAGTGTTAGAGGGCTTGGAAGCAGGTCTTTTTCCTCAACAGCATCGCTGAAATCAGGATTCAATTTGGACAAGAAATCAAGCTAAGTTTAGCACTGACTTTGAGTGTGTATTCACATGCTCAGTGGCAAAACGGTTTTTGAGAATCCTTCTAATTTTAACTTTTGAATAAACTGCCCTGAACCCTCAACTAAAACTGTGGATAAAGATGTGGCCTGGGAGAAAATGCAAAGAAAATACAGACCTGGATGGGAGACATCAACGGAAAAAAAAATGACACTTTTGTGAACCCAAAAAAAGATCTAAACTTTTTTTTAGGTAGTGCACAAAATGAAAAGTACTATTTAGGTTGGATAAGGAGGTGGTATACTGCAGGGGTTGGCAAACTATGGTCCAATTGATGCTTATTTTTGTATAGCCTATGGAGCTAAGAATGATCTTTGCTTTTTTGAATGGTTGAAAAGAAAACCAAAGAATAGTATAAGAATATATTTAATTACACAGGAAAATTATATAAAATTCAAATTTCAGTTTCCATAAATAACATTTATCAGAACACAGGCATGCCCATTTTTTAATGTATAGCCTGTGTTTACTTTTTCACTACAACAGCAGAGTTGAGTGGTCCCAACAGAGACCATATGGCTCGCAGAGCCTAAGATGTCCTATCTGGCCATTTACAGAAAAAGTTCATCGACCCCTGGTATAGTACAATGGAAAAGAGCTTGGGTTCTGCAAAATTTTTTAAATTGGTGTGACTTAGAAAAAAAATGCTACATTTCTCTTGCCTTGGTTTTCATCTGTAAAATGAGAGAGCTGGCTTTGGTCACAGTGGTTTTCTAACTCCTCAGCGACTCCGAGGCTGTCTGGGAGCAGACGAGGGGCAGAAGAAAGAAGTGAGCAGAGAAGATCTATGCCCTTCTGACAATCTGCCTTCCTCAACCAGAACCATGGCTGTTATATCTGATTCTAAAGAACATTTCGAAGAATAGACTGTAGTATCGAAAACAAAAACAGGAATTTGAACACCACTGGAAGAGCTTCTGTGGATCTGGGGAGGCCTAGGTCTACCCTCCAGCTTCTCTATCTTGTCCTCATTTCTATGCTGGGTGCAGTTCTCTGGGTTTTCACTTGTCAAGGCCTTTCCTAGATCAAAGAAGTCAGGTTCACTTTCTCCGTCATAAAGTCTATTTTCATATATTCATGAAATGTTTAAGCCTTTTTATTCAAAGCATTGGGTCCATACACTAATAGTAGAACTTCTTTTCTTTGAAAATAGCAATAATAGCCCTTGTCTAAGTTACCCTGGGCTTTAAGATTTCTAAACGCATTAGCAAGAAACAGTGGATAATTTGTTGCATAGAAGATAAGAGGATAGGGGACTAAAAAATTGAATTAGCCTCTGCATTTCAATTCCTTCATGCAAGAAAGAAAGGGTACTGACTGAGCTACCTCAATAGCGAAAGATTTCATCTACAAAGTTGGTTTGGGGAGAGGAATACATGCATGATCTTGAATAACTATTTAAGCTGTTTGTGTGTTTTTTTTTTTAACGTCACACTGACCTTCTGATTGAGCCGTCAGGTGATTGGTTTTTGCTTTAATGCCATGAGAACCTTACATAAATTCTATTTGTTTCTGAAGGATATTAAAAAATGAAACAAAATTCATCCTTTGGCTTTTTGTAGATGGATATCCTCTTACTTAATGATAGAAGACTTTGAGATAGGTTTTTTTTCTGTTAGTGATTTCGCATTTAAGAACTCTACTCTTGTTATTTTTTGTCTGATTTTCACTTAGAGATGGCAAAAATACAACTTTATGGTTCAAAGAGAAACACTTAACGTGGCTTATGAAAAATGTATAGAACTTCTCCAACATCAAATAACTCTTAGAATACTGCAGCTTGGTAGGCTAAGTGTAAATGAAATGGAAGCACACTCAAAACATATCTGAATTTAAAAATTAAAAGAGGAAAAGACTCCAGGCAAAAATGTATCATGATCTTGCAAAGCCCAATTCTTGAGAAAGTTATTAGAAGCATTTTGTTAAACACATCACTACTAGGACTTCTTGTCCCCTTGGAATTGTTTGGCAGAGGAAAGAGAGTTTAAATGTGATGATAACCCACAATATTCTTGATGCCATGGTTTCAAAGTACAATGGCTTGCTATGCTTCCTTTTTGACATGCCCATGTGCTCTTGCTCTGAGCTACTCAACACTAGCCATGACAGAAGCAGCTGCATAGCACTGGGGTGTGAAATTATCCTTATGCATATTTGGTGGAAGAGTTAAGTTTATTCATTGTCATCACAAAAGCAATTGCAAGGACAGTGCAGCACCGAACAGACCCAGTGTCATTTGGACAAAATAAAAAGTCTTTGTTTCTCTTTTTGTAAATACGCATTCTGCAATAGTATTTAAAATGAAGTTTTTTAATTAAAATTTTTATCAAAGACTTCCAGCGTTAAGAGAGGTTAGGATACATTTTCAATTTAACCTCCTGTCTTACTCCATTTTCCATCTTTCATCTCTGAAATTTGATTAGGATGCTCCCATCCCACGGCCATCAGGAGAAGTCTCTTTAAGGATTCTTCAAAAAGTGCCATTATAGTTATTAGAATTGTCGCGTAATTTAAAAGCAAATGGAAGTCAGCTGTGCTGATTTTAACCAATGGTTATGAAACTACTATCATCATAATTCCAACAAGAAGTGGAGTTCACTGTTTCACAAAGGATGCAAGTTTGGGGTTGACGTAAAGTTCAATATGGAAATTATAACAATGGATTAGCTTCTTGAATGAAAATTCTCCTTATCTACAAAGCAAGAATACAGAGAAGTGAACTGATTCCTCTCAGAGAGCTGGGAAAGACTTTTCCCCCCTCAGTGAGAGTTTCCTATTTAATAGCATACTCATAAAGCACAAGTAGGAGGAAGCCAAGACTGAGAGAAAGGCACCTTCTTTCTGACCCATTCTTAAGTTCCTGGTTTTCTTTTCTCACCTATGATCATTATAACTGCCCTGGTCTTCTTGAATCATGAAGTGTTTAACCTGCTTTCATTTTATGTTACATTTTCCTCTTGACACCTTTATTTAAATGCATGCAAATATATGTAAAGTGACTATCCCAATGCTCAGTGCCATGACTCTCTGTGCCCGACCCCTCACCCCACAAGAGCCTGAGTTAGAAGCATTATTCGTTCCACTTTGGAGGAAACGGGCCCTGCAAGATTAAGCAATTTATGTAAGTGGCCCAACCAATGTTGAAACCGTAGCTGACTGCAAAGCCTGCAGAGAGTCTTATAAAACAAAGTCTGCTATACAAGATCCTGAGGAAGTATGGAGGTGCTTCACAGTTTTGTATAATTTTTTAAATTATTAAAGAACAATAGTGGAGCACTTATATTCTCCCTAAGTTTATCTCCCTGATAAACTTACGTATCTTTGAATTTTGAGTATTATCTTAAAAGCAATAGCATATTGCCTGCTGCACGTCACCTGGATGATCATGTTAAAATAAAGAATTGCATCTGGGCTGGGCGTGGTGGCTTACGCCTGTAATCCCAGCACTTTGGGAGGCCAAGATGGGCAGATCACCAGGTCAGGAGATTGAGACCATCCTGGCTAACATGGTGAAACCCCATCTCTACTAAAAATACAAAAAATTAGCTGGGCGTGGTGGCGGGCACCTGTAGTCCCAGCTACTCAGGAGGCTGAGGCAGGAGAATGGCGCGAACCTGGGAGGCAGAGCTTGCAGTGAGCTGAGATCATGCCACTGCACTCCAGCCCGGGCAACAGAGCGAGACTCCGTCTCAAAAAAAAAAAAAAAAAGGAATTGCTTCTGTTTCAAGGTCTGCATCTACATTCCAATCTTCCCCTTTACAAGTCATTCTTTGCATAATAGCCAGATTTCTTTTTAATAACGTAAATCCCCTAAACAAAATCTTCCAGTGACTTCCCACTACCATTCAAAGAAAATCCAAATGCCACACATTGGTTTGTGAGCCCCCAGGTAGCCCAGCCCAGGCTACTTCTCCAACCTGCGTTTTCACTTCTTCACCTTCCCCTGCAAACTTATCTCACTCAGTGAGCTCCATGAGGGCAGAGTCCTGGCCTGGATTATTTTTCTACTATACCTGTAACAGTGCCTGAAAAAATGGAGCAGGCAATCAAAAAACAAACACTTCTAAATGAATGGATGCTTCACATTGGCACTAGATGATGCTATCTTAAGTGTTGAGAGCTTAGAGAAAGACAACAACAGTAATAACAAAACAGACAGACTGAACAAACAAATGACTGTAATATAAGGAAAGGCCAAATCATGGCACATTACACTGACTGAAGAATATTTCTCAGGAGTTCACATAGAAAAGAGTGGAAAATGTCACCTTCACACATCCCCACAGTGGTGTGACACACTGAAGAAAGATCCTGCCATAGCCACAATGGAAACATCAGCTTAATTTCCTCAAAATAGCACATTAGTCACATTGAGTTAAAGTTGCTAATTTGAATTTGTTTTTATACTTTTATTCAAATACAATTTTTATTAAATTATTGTATACTTTATATAAATTTATGCTTATTTATACAATTTAGTATGAGTTTCTACATTTACTTATATACTTTAATATTATATAAAATTGTAACATTTCCCAATTATAGATTTATAAGTTACATAAGCATAATGAGTCTCTTACAACATAAACTGGCATTATTACACTAATAAGCAGATCCACACCTTACACAAATCTGAGAAACACTGCTTTATTCCATGCTGTCTCCTGCTGACTATCTCTAAAATTTCCTTTGAAATCAATTAGTTTTAAATTAAATATAAAATATGAATTGTGGTTAAAATATACAGTATATAAATTGTTTGACAGAAAAGATATTTTTTGTATCTCAAAGGGTTAAATGTAAGCCAAGTACGGTGGCTCACACCTGTAATCCCAGCACTTTGGGAGGCTGAGGTGGGCAGATCGCCTGAGATCAGGAGTTCAAGACCACCCTACGCAACATGGTGAAACCCCATCTCTACTAAAAATACAAAACAATTAGCTGGACGTGGTAGTGCACACCTGTAGTCCCAGTTACTTGGGAGGCTGAGGCACGAGAATTGCTTGAGCCCTGGGGGCAGACATTGCAGTGAGCCGAGATCATGCCACTGCACTCCAGCTTTGGCTACAGAGTGAGACTCCATCTCAAAAAAAAAAAAAAAATTGCCAAGGAACCTGTAGTCCCAGCCACTCAGGAGGCAGGGGCAGGGAGATCACTTGAGCCCAGGAGTTCGAGGCTGTTCTGAGATATGATTGTGCAACTGCACTTCAGCCTGAACGACAAAGCAATACCTTGTCGAAAAAAAAAAAAAAAGAGTTAAATATATCATCTGGCAAGTAATTTATGAAAAATATCCCAGGAAAAAGTTTACACAATGGGTTAAACGGGTGGTTCTCAAAGTGTGGTACCATGTCTAGCAGCATCAGCATCTCCCTGGAACCTGTCAGAAATGTACACTCTTGGGCTCCATCCCAGACCTCTGCACCAGGAACTCTAAGGGTGGGGCCCAGCAAGCTGCATCAGAACCAGCTTCCTATCCCCAAGTGATTCTGATGCCCCTCACCTTGAAATCGCTGGGTTAGATAATGTAATGACTCATAATATTAGGAATTTGGCCATAAGATAGAGAAATAGCTTTCCCTCCAAGAGGCTTACTTTACAATGAGTTTTTGATTTTTAATTTATACAATTGTGTTGTTCTTTGATATGCGTCTGTATTAATCAGGTTTCTCTAGAGGTATGGAACTAATAGAATAGATGTATATATGAAAGGGAGTTTATTAAGGAGAATTGACTCTAACGAT
This sequence comes from Homo sapiens, assembly GCF_000001405.40. Lineage (NCBI taxonomy): Eukaryota > Metazoa > Chordata > Mammalia > Primates > Hominidae > Homo > Homo sapiens. Next base: position 61,127,142 of record NC_000018.10, read on the forward strand.
TACAAGTTCGCATGATAGGCTGTTTGCAAGCTGAGAACCAAGGAAGCCAGTGGTGGATCAGTCTGAGTCTCAAAACCTCAAAAGTAGGGAAGCCTAAAGTGCAGCCTTCAGTCTGTGGCCAAAGGTCTGAGAGCCCCTGGCCTTTCTTCTTTAGGCCTTAAAGGTCAATGCCAGTCAGTCAAAGTACCTTTGGGATAAACAGGCTGTGTTTACAAGATTCCAAATCAGGGAGTAAATTTGATTAACTAATTCAATCAGACATACAGACAAAAAAATGAAGCCTCTCATTCCACATTTTTGCGTCTGCCCAAACCCTAAGGAGAGAGTAAGCCTCACACATAATTCTAAATGATCTTCAAAATGAAGTCTGGGAAGTGTCCTAGAAGCTGTCATGTAGTTTGGCAATCTGCATTTGTGTCTCACACTCTGGCCACCACACTGCCATTATTTTTCCTGATGACGCCCCCTAGAACTCTGAAGTCTGTGATTCTCATACAATAGACATCTTTAAAGCCAGGAAGCTTCCAAAGGGAATGACTGCCCTGAGCTTACAAATTCATTTCTCTTGAATTAGTCCATGGGAGAAAGAGAAATGCAGTTTCTTCAAGAAAGATCAGAAAAAGGCCAATAACTCTCTAAGAAATGCCATTTAAAATAATAAATTGTTTCCTCACCAACAAATTTTCCCATTGGCACCTGAGCGTGTTTTTGTATTGTTTAAAACAACAAGAGAGAGTCTCTTTTCTAAAGAAAGATGCCACGTGACCCAACAAGCACTCCAGGAGAACAAAATAGAGGGGCGTTCATTTCAGAGGCTGGGTCCTTCATCAGCAGGGGGTTTGGCACCGAGTACTGTTCTTCACACCAGGTTTCACTGCAAAATTATCAGCTGGGAGAGAAACGTGGCCCCTGTTGTGCCCAGAGCTGCAGCACAGCTGGGAATCTGAAGCAGCTCTCCAAGGAGACTGCATTTGTTGGGAAGTCATAGCAGAAAGGAGGAAGGAGATGAGAGGAAAGGAAAATTAGACCTGAAAGAAAATGCATTCTCTCTGAAAGACACACTCATATTGTGTGATATGTGACTCTCTGCTTGGCTGTAACCTGTTTAACTATAAAAGAGGCCCTTTGTCCTCTAATTCTAAAGAGAATTCATGAATATGAATGTTAGAAAGCAGCCCTCTGGTTAATCATTTCTGAGCTGGCAGCAGTTGGAAGAATCAGTGTTTACTTATTTATTGAAAACTGTGGTTAATGTGTTTATCTGTGCTAGAATCATACTTTCCTTTCTCCATCTCGAGGACTAGTTACCAAGAACCATAAATTTATTTTAGTATTCATGAATTCCAAACCTCTTATAAGTTCAAAAGGTTTTCTTTAAGCCAAAATCTATAGGAGGTTCAATAATGGTAGAAAACCTCTATTCTTTTCTAAGGAAAAATGTTATAATAAACAAGATAATTGCTGGCTGTGTTTGCAGTAGATAAGATACAGTTCAAAACTAACATATGAGAAATAAAAACAAAACAGCTAACCGTGTCTTAAAGGTTCAAAATGTTCAACACACATTTTCAAGGAAAAAATATCTGAAATTTCTGTCTTTTTATGGTTTATATGTATACTCAGGGAAGACTGTTTTCCAAGAATCCTAAAATTTGAAAATCAGTTTTTGGTGGTTATTTTAAAGTGACTGAGCCATCCTCCAGAGTGGCTTGGAAATATGCTCTAATAAAAGCACCATTATTCACAGGATGGAAAGAGCAGAGGTTTGGGAACGAGGCAGTTCTGAATTCACATCCAAGCTCTAATGATTTCTTGTTGTCTATGTTTGGGTAAGCAACAGCATCTCTCAAGCTGTAGCTGATTAATTCAATTTATACTTATTTGTAAGTATCAAAAAAATGCTTACTTTGTGACATTTCCAGGTTCTTGGCCAAAAGAAAGGAATAGTGAGGAGGCTAACACAGGTGGAGATGAATGAATGAAGGAAGAGGTCAGAGACCTAAAGCAGGGCCAGGCCATTTCCATGCTGTGCCCTTAGGCCATAGTAACCTTCACCTAGTACCCTGTGTAAGAGAAGAGTCCTGGGGGGAATTCCATCAGGGGAGGGACATGTTCTGCTTTATGTTTCAGCAGAACCTCTCTGCCTGCTCTGCAGAGGGGCAGGGAAACCAGTTAGGAGGCTGTTGCAACCACACAGGTGGGTGACAGTGTTGTCCTAACTTAGAGAGGTAACTGTGGGCTGGGGATAAGTGGTCACTGGATATGCTTTAAGATAGAGCTACTAGAATTTGCTGGTGGATTCAGTAATGGGAGTGAGATAAAACCAGAAGGCAAAAATAACATCAATATTTTTGGCCTAAGTAAGTGGAAAAATAAAGAAGTCATTAACTGAGACTATGGCAAGAGAGGATTAAGGTCAGGGGAAGGTAAAATATTAAGAGCCCCATTTTAGATAAAGTTTCAGGTGCCTCTTATATGCAAGTGGATAGAGTACTTAAAAATTTCAGTTTCTTGTGAGTAAAGATAGGAAAGAGAAGATGTCCAAGGACTAAGTCTGGAGGGAGGCCATCATTAAGGACCAGAAAGATAAGTAGAAAATATTTAAAAAATAAAAATGACAGAGAAAGCACGACCGAAGAGTATAAGAAAATCCAGGAGACCAGAAATCCTGGTTTCTTGGAAGCCAGGTAAAGGAAGTGTTTCAAGAGGAGAGTAATGCACTGTGTTAAATGCTTCTGAGAGGTCAAGTCAGACAGAGGCTGAGATTCAACCACTGTATTCAGCAAAGCGATTATTCTTTTTTTGTTGTTTTGTTTTTCATTCTTTTTTTTTATTATTATACTTTAAGTTCTAGGGTACATGTGCACAGCGTGCAGGTTTGTTACGTATGTATACATGTGCCATGTTGGTGTGCTGCACCCATTAACTCGTCATTTACATTAGGTATTTCTCCTAATGCTATCCATCCCCCCTCCGCCGACCCCACGACAGGCCCAGGTGATTACTCAACAATGATCTTTAAGGGTAAACCCTTGATAACAATGGCTTAAATGAGGTATAGAATGATGGCCTGTAGAGTGTATATACATTGTTATAGAGCAAAAATGGAAGAAAAAGGAGGAAAAGATGAAATAATTGTCTAGCAGAGTGAGTAAACAAAGTCAGAAAATAGCATGATTGCCTGGAAACACTCAGGGCCCACCGAGGTTAGTTGGTTATGAACTTGGTGTGTGATTTTCTGCCTTAACTGCCTCTGTGCAGGGACAGAACAGGGGAAGAGCCAGGTTTATCCAAGGTAGTTGGATAAATAGGTATATGGTGAGGGTAGTGCAAGAGAGATGAGTATATGCATGGGAGTGATTATAATAATTGAACATATAATTTAAACTGGGTAAAGAAGGAAGTGAACACATGAACTGGGTGAAGGATTGTGAAATGGACATAGGACCAATAAATTGAAGATGGGAGTAGATACATGAAAGAGGAGTACTATATGAGAATCAAACCTGGACATTTCTAGAGAGAACACACAGACTGGGAACATGAATGGGAATCAAAGAGGACACCTACCTCACCTTCATAGATAGTGGCATGTGATATTTGGGAAAGAAAACAGCTCCCCTTGAGAGGGTTTCATGGTAAAGCATCGGGGAAGAGCCAAGTTTCCATTAAAACAAGAAGGGAAGGCAAACAATACCAGCAAAGATTGAGGATATTGGGATTTTCAGAAGACGATAGTGAATGGGGTTCAGAAGGTAGAGAATGATGAAGATGAGGTCAGAGAAGCGGGTACACAGAGTCCTGTGGGTAACAGAGACTGGGAATGACCTCAGAGGCCTGGAACGCACTGAGCGTGAAGTGGCCATGAGATGCGGTCACATGGCACCCAGGCAAACACTGATATCATGAGAATGGCAGAGGAGGAGGAACATGACCAGGGGCAGGACAAATCATGCGGCATGATTTCAGAATGGTGGTTTCACCCTAAATGGACATTAGATATGCTAATCACAAACCCACTTCCAGTTACTCTCTGCCCTTGAAAGCAAAAAAACATCATTTACTAACACTTATTCTAAAAACCAAAGTTGCCTGGGCCATGTGAACTATCATTCATTCAAACTAACTTTGCCTCCAATTAGTTTAGATGTACCTCTCTAATAAAGATGACGCACTACTTACTAAATACTCTGTTGTGCCTGTCCTTTGCATTTTATGAATTTATTCTCTTTATAGAGATGTCAGCTTTTTCTAGTTGATTGAGAATTAGCAATATCTTAAAGACAAGCAGCATTCAAGCAAAGCATTCATGCCACCTTTGCTAAAAGAACAGTTTTCCTCGAAATCCTCACCTCATTTTTGATGCTTCTTTCTTACTCCCTGCCTTCCTGGTGTCCTCTGTGCACATCCTGTCTGCCCTGGGATGTGTATTTCTGCAGTTCCCTAATTCCCAAAGTCAGCCCTCCCTTCTGTCTGCTCAATCCCCAAACTCTTGCTCGGCAACAGAGCGATCTCAGTCAGGTATGAGGAGAAAATGAATCACATTAGAGTAATTTGCTCTAAGCAATGAACGATTTGAAGGTGAAAATGGGTACTTTCATGAAAAGAGAGAAAGAGAGCTTGTTAACTCAAATATACTTCCACTAAATAAAAAATATGTATGTTTGTTAAATGGAGAGGCTGTGAGTGAGAGCCTCGTGTACTCTCAAGTAGAAGCCTCCCTATTTTCATTACCCATTCCCATGTGTCCATCACAACACACACACTCCACATCAGGAGTTAGGATATATCATCATTCTGTTGCTAAAATACTGTTTCCTTTGTAGAACGACCGTCTGCTGTTAGCTTTTCTTTTTCACAGCTGCATTTTATTAGTGGGAAGAACACCCCCCTTTTCTTTTTTAAGAAAGTGCCATCAAACATTTGGCCATATTAATCTTCCATCTGTAAGACACACTTTACTTGGATTAGCAGCAGGGTATGTGTCCTCTCTGAATTTGTTTTCCAGGGAATGGGAATTTATTCAAGTAAATTAATTTGCAAACAGATACAGCCATTGCTGGATGAATGGATTTTCGCTTGGCACTTTGAGGTGGAGCTCTGCGGGTATCTGGGCTATTGGCACTCACTGATGTCCTCAGATTGTCTGCCAGACCCATTCCTATAATGCTGTAAGAAAATATATGTGACAATTTTACAGCTCAGAACACAGCTCAGCCATCTAGCTTCCAGCTCTACTGTTTATTTAAATGAATCCTGTAAGCTCATCTTCTTAGAAGATGTTCATACATGTGGCCATTTAGTTGCTTTTTCTTTTTTGACTTGTTAATATGTTACTTTCACCACATCCATTCCTTGCGTTAAGTATTTTGAGGGTTCTACCACATTTAAAACAAACCCTCTTGAAGTTTAACAATACACAAAAATTCACTTAGAGTTGGCCAATTCTGGAAATTCTTCAAACTTGAAAAATTCAGAAAATATTATATCCCATTGCTCCAAATGTAATAGTATCTGTCAACAGGTTTCCTGCAGGCAAGTGATGTGTTTAAATAAATGGTAAAATATATTGGTCGGTCACTGAAAAAAACAAATGAGTATAAGGCTTAGTGGGAGTGATTTGCTTTGTTTGTTTGTATCTTTAGTAAATTCAGCCAAAGGGACAGGAGGCAATATTAACAAATGCATATTTCATCCATCTGTATAGAGAATTTTGAAAGAAAATGAGAAGTCTCAGCCTTCCACTGTGAAGGTGTAAATGTTCTCTTTCACAAAATTTTCCACGCAGTCAACAGTATCATTGATTTCTTGAGTATTGACTGTCCTTACACACTCAGATATGGGATAACACTGATCATGATTAGTTCAGGTAGAGATGCAATGATAAATCCTCGGCCAAAACAGTCCTCAGTGCACATAATGAAGGCTGAAAATAAGGACTGTGTTTACTGTCTCATGAAACTGATTTTACAAGCATCGGTTTACATGTTTGGCCTTGGGTACTTAACTGTTCTGGGTCTCAGTTTCACCATCTATAAAAGGTCAAAAACGAATAAACTTGATGTTTTAATTTTATGGTGCAGAGCTTCTCTGTAATATTTAATTTTTATTTCAACCTCTTGTGTTCTCTTAAAAATTCTAAATTAAAATTTAAGTTTGATAATTAATTCACCAATTGTTTTATTTTGCCAAAGTAAATGTACATGAGTCTCCATCGTATGTCAAAGGTCTACAGGAGGTATATTTCAGCAAAAGAATGTTCTTCCACTGGGCCTTGCATAGTTTGGGAAGAGACCCAAACTTTGTGGGTCTTTGAGCAAAGACCTAGAGAAGTTCCTGGAGGAAAAGAAGAGAGGCAGACACTCCTGAGTAATCAGAACAAGTGGAAAAATCATGACAGCCAAGCTGAATACTGAAAGGCCCCCTCACAGCAGAAGGCATATGTGCTTCCCTATGAGCTACAAAACCTGTTAGAGATTTTTCAGGCCGGAGGAAAACAAATTGTAAGGAGAGGAAATGGTTTATCCTGGTTTTCCATCTGCCGGACTCCTTAACATGGGGAAGAAAAATCATTCACAGGAAAATGTTAGGTTCTAAGTAGAAGTAGCGTTGATTCTGCTCTGCCTTTTTTCCTACATGTAATTTTCCTGTGTTCTTTAAGAATATGTATATTCTCACCTCTTGTTATAGCTTACATAAAACCACCAGGGAGCTTAGAATTCGAACAGAGTTGCTAGTTTGCCACTTACAGGGCTGATTAGGTCTCAGCTGCCTATAAAATAGCTGAGTGGCCTCAGTGACCACTCACCATCCTCTTCTTACTGGTTGGTTCTCACATTGGCCCCTCATAGGGGAAAAGATGAAGGAGGGTATAAATCAATATGACCAGCAACTCTTTTTAATAGTCACAGCTTCTGCAATACTTAATGTCCCTATCCTCATGGGACAGCAGCTATTTCAATTCCTTTTAAAGGAAAAGCTATATACCTCGCCACAAAATGGATTGGATAGTCAATAACCAGATGATTTGTCTGTGTTTACCTTAGTCATGTTATATTCCTTTCTCCATTGAGAATTATTCTTAGTATTCTAAATTATTGTTCTTTGGTTATTAAATTTAAAAAAATATAAGGGTAAGTTTTTTGTTACTATATAAACCACGTGTGTAGGGGGTGTTAATCTACTGACTTCTATTTTATTTTTAAAAATCCTCATTTGCGCTTTCTTAGTTCTTAACACCATTTGTAAAATGGCTGTTAACATTGACCTTGGATAATGTGTAGATGCCCAGAAAGAAATAAGCCCCAATAAGATGTTGCAGGTATTTTACCAGGTTTTTCCCACTTTGGGCACAGAATCTTAACTCTAATGAGCAGGTGAGCTCTACAATTATGCTGTCCAACTCAGTAGCTACTCACCACATGATACTATTCAGACTTAACTCATAAAAATTAAATAAAATAAAAAATTAATTCCTCAGTTGCCCTAGCTACATTGCAATTGTTAGCAGCCATATGTGTGGTTAGTGGCTATTGCACTGCACAGATATAGAACATTTTCCTCACTGCAGAAATATCTGCAATGGTCTATGCAGCTCGAGTTTCTATGTTTAACAACGCCTAGAGATGTTTTTAAACCAAGTCTAGCAGAGGTTGATAAAATGTTTTGAAGAAAATTGCTGATACCACTCTGTGCAGTACAATTAATATATTACTTATTTTACAGGTATTCCTTGTTTTTGAGCAAAACCACCTTATACAGTGATATTATCTCACTACCTTTCATGGGTTGAATTATTTTTATATGTATGTAGGTTAGTATTTATGTAACTTTTCTTGCCAGCCAACAATTTATTTGTATGAGGTTGCCCTCTCTATCTATGGTGGTTTAAGAAATTACTGAAGTCTCCTACTAATTTTTACTCCAATTTTTTATTTAAAATAATGGAAAAATGAAAATGGAAATACTCATCCAAAGATGTGCAGGTCTCATCATTGTAATTCAGCTAGGACAAGAAGGATGTCAGATGTACCCAAAGTGGTAAACCTTTAGCTCAAACTGAATCTTATTCAGGACAGAATGATATAATTAAATGTGCTTAAAGTAGCAAGGATTGGCCAGGCATGGTGGCTCATGCCTGTAACCCTAGCACTTTGGGAGGCTGAGGCAGGCAGATTGCCTGAGCTCAGGAGTTTGAGACCAGACTGGGCAACACGGTGAAACCCCATCTCTATTTAAATACAAAAAATTAGCCAGGCATGGTGGCGTGTGCCTGTAGTCCCAGCTACTAGGGAGGCTGAGGCAGGAGAACTGCTTGAATCTGGGAGATGGAGGTTGCAGCGAGCTGAGATCATACCACTGCACTCCAGCCTGACAGAGTGAGACTCCATCTCCCACCCACCCCACCACCCCCCCAAAAAAAGTAGCAAGGACTTAGCTTCAATTGCATGGTAAGTCAAGACAGTACAAGCTCAGTGGCATAACACAGTAAAGGTTAATCCGAGATCCTAGCAGTGACTCTGTGACCCAGCTTCGCCTACCTGTGTCACCGCACCCGTCAATGCGTGACCATCACTGCCTGGATAAGAGAAGCTAGAGGACCTCTTGGCTTCCATCTCTTTGAATCACATCTCGTTATTCATAACTCAGCCACATGTCCACCAAACTATGAGCAAGGAAACCTGAAAGTCTAGTTTTTCTTACCAATTGTGAAGAGGAAATGTGTATGATGATATATCTTATTGTTTCTGCCACAGTGTGCCCATATAGAAATCCCAAACCCTTTATCTGATTTCCCACATATAGAACACCCTCAACCCCTCCCTAAGGGAGACAACCCAGCTAGTCACTGCATCCAGCTGAGAGTCTGGGATGTCAGAATAGTGTATATAAACCTACACATGATCTATAAATAGCTCTTCTTTACATGGCAATCTTTGGGTTAAAAATGGAAGGGTTTGGCTCCCTACACATTCTCCCAGTGTAAAATACTGGAGCAAGGACAGAATGCATCCAAAGGAGAATAATGTGGGCACAAAGCAGTCACTGCTTCATGGCAATGTTTATATCCCTCTGGAAGAATTTGTGAAGTCTCCACTCCCCCATACAGGGGAGAGGGGAGGTTCCTTACATCAGCCCTGACTCTGCTGTCAGGAGGAACATCCTGGTTCATTGTGCTTAGTGGCTCTTGGCTCATATTCTAGGGGGCTCTTCCCTATTCATTATCCTCCCTGGCAACATCTGTGGTCCAGGGGTCAGAAACATGCTCTACTTGAAGGCATTTCACAGCCCTACAAGTCTTACATTCAAGGAGGGCTGGAGGCCCAATGGTTGTTTTAAGTGTTGGACAAAGGTCTTATTGGTATAGGCTCATGAATTATTTGTCAATGTAATTTTCTCAATAACTTAGTGGGTTACAAATCCATGTGTCTTCAGCCGACTCCATGTACTCATGTCTACCATCAAAAAACTTTTTAAACATAATTCCCAATGTATGATAACTACCTTGATGTTATATAAAACAGTGAGAGGGACAATTACATCCTTAATCTGAGCTCCATGAGTCACTTGATCCAGCTGAGAAGCTCTGTTCAATCTTTGTTATGCAAAATCCTTTTTAAAATCTCTAGAAGCAGTATATTTTTTCAAGTTTTCAAGGCCCTGAATCTTAGGATGCTATCCATCTTTTCATGTCTGCTTGCAAACTAGATAATTCTTTCCTGGACTCATCTCTTTCTTAAAATACATTGCCAATTCGACTAACACTTGCAAGTATATACTACTACAGTTCTGTTTTCCATCCTCTTCCCCTAGAGCTACAAGCTGAGAAGGTGCAAAGTCTATCTTTCAAGATGTAGCAGATGATAGTATTTTTAAAATATTTTGCATAACATGGGCCACTATTTTTTCAGCCTCCAAAATCAGTTTCTTTACTGCTTGTAAGCAAGTGAAAAACATTTCAGGTCACTGATATAGCGGCACCTCACTTTCAGTACCAAAACCATTATCAGTCAGGTTTTGATCAAGTTCACAGAAACCTTTCTAGGAATTACAGGTAGGAACAGTTCTAATACATTGGAAAGCTAGGGAAATAAAGATTAGTAGGCCACTTGCAGCAAATCCTTATGCCACTTAGAAAGTTGCCACCAACTGTGAATTCATTCTTGACAGACCTGAGGTGGAACCTACCCTCAGGACCTGCCTTGGCTCATGGCATCTGCTCTCTGCTGGGACATCCCTCCTCCCTTCAATGCCCTTATTGAAGATTACAGATGGATGGCAATCCATTTGTTCTCATTAGTTCTGGCAAGGCTGCTTAACGCTGCAGTTCTGTTTTTGTGTTCGTTTTACTTTATTAATTTCATATTTGACTATAGGTACAATGTTACCTGGCAAATCTTTAGAACTTATTCATCATTTAAATAAAATGCTATTCTCGTTGATTAGTAACTCCCCATTTCCCTCTCCCCCAGCCCCTGGCAATTACCATTTAATGATTTGATATTATAAATTTGGCTATTTTAGACATCTCATGTAAGTGGAATTATGCAGTATTTGTCATTCTGTTAGCGGTTTATTTCACTTAGCATGATATCCTCAAAGTTCATCCATGTTGTGGCAAATGGCAGAATGTCCTTTTTGGAGGCTGAATAATAATTCACTGTCTATAAATACATATACCACATTTTCTTTACCCACTCATCTGTCAATGGACATTTAGTTTGCTTCCACATTTGGCCACTGTGAATAGTGCTGCAATGATCATGCAGTGCTAATATCTCTTTGAGATCCTGATTTCCATTCTTTTGGATAACTACCCAGAAATAGGATTGGTTAGCACTTGGATAGGAATGCAGCTCTGTCTTATAACCAGATCTCTGTCTCTCTTTCTCTCTCTCTCTCTTTCTCTCATCGTCATCTTCTCTCAGTTGTATTTATTCTGCAAAGTCAACATTCATCTGAACTGGTAACTGCTCCTTGTCCTGAGAAGAGACCCTCCCATTTAAGCAACACAATGGCATGTCCTCTAGGCAATAGTAGAGGGTATATTGCTACTGGTCAACATTATACAAGTTACAATTTCAGAAATAGGTAGATGAGAAAGAATAAGTACACTAACTTGATGATACCAAGAAATTGCAACTTCAACAAAATGAATGATTTTATTCATAGTCATTGTGACTTCTGCTGGATAGTGGCTGTTTGAAGTTCACAGTCATATTATCTCTAGAAAGACTAGCACTATCTAGGGATGAAGGACTTATTAATAGAAGAGAGAGAGAGAGAGCTTATGACTTAGTCCTTCCTCTACTCCAACCCTTCAATGCTTTTCACAGGGAATTCAGCCAGAGTAAAATATAATAGGGATCTTCTTATTAAAAGTATTTTTAAGATGGCAGACAGTAGTATTCTACCAAGTAACTACATACAATCTTTGCCTCCTCATACCCTGGAAAAGTAACAAAATACCCAGTCTTTATTCTACTAGCTTCACCATAATGGAGGCTTTAGATGGTATGGCTAATTAAAATTCAATTGTATTTCAATAACAGGTCTTTCTTTGTCATTTCATACTATACAAAGCTACAGATCTTTCTACCTGTTATGAGAAAAACAGGAAGCATCATAGTCACTTTATAGGCAACCAAAATTTTACTAGAGAAATAAAAGATACAGAATGCACAATGAAGCATCACTGAGAGACCCCCTAATGATATTTGACAACCTTCCAGAAGACAGAAAGGACCTTATCCAAGACAGAACTGAAAACTAGCAAACAGGCATGCTGCTCTGCCACAATAACTGTTCAAGCCTCCCAGAAATAAATCTGAATTAACACATAATTGTTGTTTTCTGGCTAGTTTTTTTTCTAGAAATAAATATGGGAGAGGGCTTTAGTTATTACATATCTACTTTTGAAAAACACACTAATAATCCGCCCTTTCAAAATGCAAACTGACAAATTTTTAAGCATGAAAATGAGAAAAGGAAGAGAACTATATAAGGGATTCCAAAGAATGAAGGACATGGTGAAAATGAATGAGTTTTCCCTTTTATCCTATTCTATAATATGAGAGCAGAGAGACACTTAATGAAATTAGTAGGCAGTAAATTTAGACCTAATAATAGGTAATACTTCATTAACTGGGTATATGGACTTCTCTGCAGTAAGAGGTCATGAAATGAGTACAGTAGCTGGATTTTTTAAAAAGACTGGATCATTTTGCATCTATTAATAACTTTCTGAGTTTGACAAGCCAAGATAATGAGAAAGGTAATCTTATCACTTGCATGAGGATACATGTCAGTTGCTTCAGTCAGCCTTAAAGAGCTTCTCTATGAAACACCTGCAATTGACTTTATATATATATTATATATATATTAGATATTACAGGTGTATAAATATACACACACACACATATATATTACAGGTGTATAAATACACACATATATATTACAGGTGTATAAATACACACACACATATATATATATTACAGGTGTATAAATACACACACACACACACACACACACACACATCCCTATATATTTTCCTCTGAACTACTGAATTTTAAGTCATTACTGAAGAGAGTATTCTCGATCCAATGAATCTATACTCAAATGTTTAGAGCACATTATAAGAGTCCACAAACTTGAGACTTAATTATAAATTATGCAAAATATACATTTATTAAATTGTCAAAAATAGCAATGGGATCTTTTTTTCATTCATCGTCTGTCTTCCACAGTAGTGAATAGAGCAGTGGGGTAATAGCTGGGAAATCTGAACAAGTCATTCAGCTAAAATCCCAGAGATACAGTGAGGCGCCTCCACATGCACCAGCATGTCGATGAACAAGTGGGGGACAGTAATTGCTCTTTAGAAATATTTTATATAAACGCAAATCAGACAGGCAGTTGAAAATATTTTCTGAACATCTACTTACTCCCTGAACACTGTCCACGGGTGGAAGAGTTGCCTGGATAAATGAAGTAGCACAAGTCCTGCCCTTAGGAAGTATTCATCATAAGGAGGAAGACAGATACTTTTTAAACACCCCAAACGCAGTGTTTGTGTTATTCTACTCTTAGAAAAGTGATTGAATAATTCAGACATTGTTGTTAACTCAGTCCTCTCTGCAACTGTAAGAGGGATAATTATTGTGATCACCCTGTCTCCATCAGAACCTGAGTTCATCACATTAAATATCAGGAAAAATACTATCCTTAGGTTGTTTCTGTACCTTGGCTATCGTGAATAATGCTGCAATGAACATAGCAGTGCATGTAGCTCACTAAGATACTGATTCTATTTACTACTGATATATACCCAGAAGTAGTATTGCTGGATCATGGGAACAAATAAAGAAAATGTGGTATATCTATATAATGGAATATGATTCAGCCATAAAAAAGGAGGAATTCCTGCCATTTGAGACAACGTGGATGAACCTAGAGATTATGTTAATTGAAATAAGTCAGACACAAAGAAAAATACTGTATGATCTTATTTATTTATTTTTTTTATTATACTCTAAGTTTTAGGGTACATGTGCACATTGTGCAGGTTAGTTACATATGTATACATGTGCCATGCTGGTGCGCTGCACCCACTAATGTGATCTTACTTATATGTGGAATCTAAAGAAGTTGAACTCACAGAAGCAAAGAGTAGAATGGTGAATGCCAGGGAATGTGGGGTGGGAGAAATGAGGAAATTGTCAATGAGTACAAACTTTTGGTTATAAGACGAATAAGTTACGGAGATCTAATGCATAGCTTGGTGGCTATAGTTAATAATGCTGTACTGTATAATTGAAATTTGCTAAGACAGTAGATCTGTCCTCAACACACACACACACACACACACACACAAATGTCACATCAGTGAAGTGATGGATGTGTGGATGTGTTAGTTTGTGAGGATCATTTTATAAGTTAGCTATCACATTGCACACCTTATATGTTTACAATGTTCATTTCTCAACTATGCCTCAATAAAGCTGAGGAAAAAGGAATAATATTGGATATAAAGAAAATATTTTCACCTAGAAAGCTACATACTTCAAAATATTTTCAGAAGTAGGCTTATACCTGTGTTGATAATTGCATAGTATCTTGTCCTGCTGCATATGGAGAAAGCAGTGAAATGGTTTGTGTGACTATATCCTAAATCCATTATTTTCATTTGGTCATTAAACAGGTAAACAATTTTATTGAAGCTTAATAAGGACCAAGGTAGGGGATGAGGCTAGGTTGCAAAAATAGAGTGGTGATAGATACATTGTTGAAAGGTTTACACACCAACCTGCAGGGTTTGGAATTTATCCTACAGGTAACAAGTACTATGGAAGGATTACAGCTGGGCAATGGTATTATTAAATACACATTCTGAAAGTATCACAGTGGTGGTAGTGTAGATCTATTCAAGAGGGGAGATGGAAAGATTTGCTTAAAACCTATTTCAGTATCTAGAAAAAAAATGACGAGAATATAAAATATAGTACTTTCAATGAAAGAAACAGTTGATGTCTTTAAAAGACACTTGAGAAATGGCATCTGCAGAATGTTATAACTAAATGAATATGGGGAGGGGGTTATAAATAAGTTTTTAGAGCAACTCCAAGAGATCAGATAATGCCATGATTTGAAACATGAAAAGAGTTCTCTAACTTGTCTGTATGTCAAAAGTCACCAGTAAAGTTGCCCCTGACCCACTCCTAGATGTTACGAAATAGCAGGACTTGGGTGAAAGCCAGGTATTTGCTTTTTTTCCAAGCCTCAAAGGGGAAACTGCTGGGGATCCAGGGCTGAGAAGCAATGAGATAGGGAATAGAGGAGAACCTGCTGATATGGCTGGTGAAGGAGAAAGATAATCTTTTTTGAACAGAATCTAATTTAGTTACTTGTGGAAATGAAAGCCCAAGAGAAACCAGGTCTCTTCTGTGTTATGTGTCTATCCTAGTGATTGCCACACAAGGGGATCCCATAACGGTTTGTTTTATTAAATGGGCAAATCAATTGTCAGTGGAGAAACTAACATAGGAATAGATTTTAAAGTAGAGAATACACTGAGACATAACATGTTGTATTAGTTCATTCTCATGCTGATAATAAAGACATACTTGAGACAGAGTAATTTATAAAGGAAAGAGGTTTAATGGACTCACAGTTCCACATGGCTGGGGAGGCCTCACAATCATGGTGGAAGATGAAGGAGGAGCAAAGGGATGTCTTACATGGTGGCAGGCAAGAGAGCATGTTCAGGGGAACTCCCCTTTATAAAACCATCAGATCTCGTGAGACTTATTCATTATCACAAGAACAGCATGGAAAAAAACAACCCCTATGATTCAGTTACCTCCCACCAGGTCCCTCCCACAACACGTGGGGATTATTATAAATCAAGGTGAGATTTGGGTGGGGACACAGAGCCAAACCATATTGCATGTCATGGTAGAAAGAGGATGGGCTTTGCAAACAGAAGGGGTTTGCACACAGCCAGTGAGTGGCAAATTCTACTTTTGCCGCTCACTAGCTGTGTGGCTTGGAGCAAGTTACAGTCTCTTTGAGATTCAGTTTTCTCAATTTTCAAATATAGAGAATATTGTTGCATTTTCAATGCTCCAAAAGAAGTAAATTAATACATGTGTAAATGTCACAATAAATATATAAATTACCCAGAATTGAGTACAGACTCAATAAATGATAATTATTGATGCACTATATCATTTAGTTGTTAAATTATTGATACAATATTTATAAATATCAATATACTAGTCATCATTCTTATGGACTTTAAAGTGTTTGAGATCTTCTAGGAAAGATTTGTAAGTCAAAGAAGGACAAGAACAAAAGCCTGAGGTACATGAGCAATTAAAAGGAAGATAGGAAAAGCAAATAAAAAATAATTGGTGATAAGAGAGGAGATGAGAGAGGAACCCAGATAGGTTTTAGGAAACAAAGATCAACCAATAATGTCAAATGGAATGGAGGAGCCAAGTGGGCAGTAGCTGAAAAATGACCATTGTAATTGGCATAGAATTGGTCACTGATCACTTTAGTAACAACAGTTACATTGTAGTGATCAATTGAATTTAGAAGTACCTACTAGTTAAAGAAGTACAGATGTGGGTGTAGGCTACTCTTTCAAAAACTTTCGTGCTCAATGTATATACACATACACACACACACACACACATATATACACACGCATATACACACACACACATATATATACACACACTATATCTATCCATCTATCCATCTATCTATCTATCTATCTATCTATCTATCTATCTATCTGTCTGTCTATAGAGAGAGAGAGTGTAGTTGCTAGAGAGAGTCAGAGCCAAGGACACACTGCTAGGTCTTGAGGACAAAAAAATATTGTTGGGTTTTCCAAGGCTGAGCCACAAATTTCCATTCCAGTACCTGAACACTGACTGCCACATATTATTTCTAGTAGACATCGTTCTTTAGTGGGTGAAAGAGTATGATATTCTGGTCAGAGAAAGAGAGTGAATAGAAAGGCATTATAGGATTAGGAAGAATCTTTGCAACAAAGTGTAGTCCAAGATCTTGGACAGAAGAAGAGGGAATATAAAGGTGGAAGCAGCTCCAGTTTCATCTCTTACCACCACTCTTGTTTGGTTTGGGGCTACTAGAGAGTTTGTTTGCCAGCGACCTTGGCCCTAAAGCAAACCCATATTACCATGATAGACTCTTTATGGAAAAACAAAAAGACAAAATAAACTCTTTTATATTGACTCATATTGGAACCTGATTGTTGGTCTTTCCACTCTTCCACCTTGTTACCTCCTGCATGCTTGCTGACAGATTAATTTCCAGATTTGGGTCTACAGCTCCAGAAGGAAGGTTGTGAGCTTTCAGTCTTCCTGTGTTCATAGTTACTAATACTAAAGCCTAGATACTATAAAACCAAAACAATAAATGCCACATTCCCAGTACTGTCAATTCAGAAAAAAAGCCATCAAGACCACAGGTAATGTCCACAAATGCAGAGGGTCTAGCTGGCATCTTGTCACAATTCCTAAACCTGGGAGATTTGTCTGTCCTCTGGCTACACATGAACACAGTAAGCCTATATAAAGATGGATAAAAGAGCCTCCTGAAGATATTTTTGTAAAGTAAACAAAAAATTAAAAAATTAGATTTAGCATACATACAAACTTGCTCCACTCTTCAAACCACCAACCCCTTTGCTGCAACTGAGGGGTCCTGCCACAGAGCTTCCCCTGTCCCTGCCTTCCCAGATGTGCACCTTGTCTAGAAGCATCTGCTCCATTACAATTGATCTTTTTGATTTTTCCATTGGTTCAGGGTCTTTATGCAGCGTATATAGATGATAAATGAATGAACATATATTTGATAATGATGGCTATCAACTTAAGTGGTTGATTCTTCCAAGGAACATATTTAAAGTAAATGAGATAACCAGTCATACAAAGACTTGGGAGAATGCTATCATAGGAACTTCAAGAAATTTACTGTAAGTGGTAAGGAGATGCCTAGGGAAGGAAGATGGCATATTGCACAGGCATAGACTGGTGGAGTTGCGTGTTACTCTTCAGAGATAAGAACATGAATATTAAGAATACTAATTAAACTAAAGAGCTTCTGCACAGCAAAAGAAACTACCATCAGAGTGAACAGGCAACCTACAACATGGGAGAAAATTTTCGCAACCTACTCATCTGACAAAGGGCTAATTTCCAGAATCTACAGTGAACTCAAACAAATTTACAAGAAAAAAACAAACAACCCCATCAAAAAGTGGGCGAGGGACATGAACAGACACTTCTCAAAAGAAGACATTTATGCAGCCAAAAAACACATGAAAAAATGCTCATCATCACTGGCCATCAGAGAAATGCAAATCAAAACCACTATGAGATATCATCTCACACCAGTTAGAAAGGCAATCATTAAAAAGTCAGGAAACAACAGGTGCTGGAGAGGATGTGGAGAAATAGGAACACTTTTACACTGTTGGTGGGACTGTAAACTAGTTCAACCATTGTGGAAGTCAGTGTGGTGATTCCTCAGGGATCTAGAACTAGAAATACCATTTGACCCAGCCATCCCATTACTGGGTATATACCCAAATGACTATAAATCATGCTGCTATAAAGACACATGCACACGTATGTTTATTGTGGCATTATTCACAATAGCAAAGACTTGGAACCAACCCAAATGTCCAACAATGATAGACTGGATTAAGAAAATGTGGCACATATACACCATGGAATACTATGCAGCCATAAAAAATGGTGAGTTCATGTCCTTTGTAGGGACATGGATGAAACTGGAAACCATCATTCTCAGTAAACTATCGCAAGAACAAAAAACCAAACACCGCATATTCTCACTCATAGGTGGGAATTGAACAATGAGATCACATGGACACAGGAAGGGAAATATCACACTCTGGGGACTGTGGTAGGGGGGGGGAGGGGGGAGGGATAGCATTGGGAGATATACCTAATGCTAGATGACGAGTTAGTGGGTGCAGCGCACCAGCATGGCACATGTATACATATGTAACTAACCTGCACAATGTGCACATGTACCCTAAAACTTAAAGTATAATTAAATAATAATAATAATAATAGTAATAATAATAATAAAAAAAAAATACTTCGTTAGTCAGGGTGTGGTGGCTTACACCCATAATCTCAGCACTTTGGTAGGCCTAGGCAGGCAGATCGCTTGAGTTTAGGAGTTCAAGACCAGTATGGGCAACATGGTGAAATCCTGTTTCTACAAAAAAACACAAAAGTTAGCCAGGCATGGTGGGGCACCCCTGTAGTCCCAGCTCCCCCAGAAGCTGAGGTGGAAAGATCACTTGGGCCCAGGAGGTCACGGCTGCAGTCAACTATGCGCATGCCACAGCACTCCAGCCGGGGTGACAGCATGAGACCCTGTTTCAAAAGAAAAACACATAAAAAAGAATACTTTGTTTTGTTACATCATTATAAGCATTCTTCCATGAACTTAAGAAATACAAGATAAAATAAAACCTGACCAGTTCTTACTAATCTGTGAAATCTTTTTCCCTGAGAGAAACCAAAGAAAGGATTACTGTAATGAGGTCTTAACTCCCACATGTTTTCTATTTGTTCTAATCGTTGGTGAGGGAGGGAAGAAAAGGCAAATATTTGAAACCAGTGAATGCTAGATATAATTTTGCAAAATATCAAGATATTTCTTTAGCATTTTTAATTTTCTCAGGCTTCTCTGGAAACTGTGCTACTAGTTGAAATATTATTAAAGGAAAATATATGCAGAATTATGTAGGAACCAGAGATGAAAAGATCTCACCAAAACAAAGTGGTTTAAATAAAAAAGAAAAATGAAAACAATAGAAGGCTTTGAAAGGATCACACAACCTGGGTCAAGCATGCTCACAAAATAGCCAGGGCATTGCTAAACTAATTGCGAGATGATGTTTTGCTTGGTGTTTAATGAAGTGGCCCTATAATGTTAGAACATAAAAATGAACATTTGAAGACATTCATCATAATACAATCAATGATTTATTTGTGTAGGGCCTTCTTTGCCATTTGAGAGTGTTGAAAGTCTAGATGGCACATCCCAGAGCCAACCAGCCAGAAAGGTCACCTCTTGCTTCCCAGCTCTCTCTAACATTCACTGCTCTAGTTTTTCATTTTATTTAGGAACTTATATTTGGCCAGAATTTCTGTGCTTTAGAAATTTGAGCCTAATTACTCTCACAAATTCATTTTCCTGAGCTCTCAGGGTTTCTGCAAAGAGACATATAGATAGCACTTTAATATCCCAGAAACATGTTAAAAAGTTAGAACTTTCCAGCACTTTGGGAGGCAGAGGCGGGTGGATCACCTGAGGTCAGGAGTTCGAAACAAGTCTGGCCAACATGGTGAAACCCGGTATCTACTAAAAATACAAAAATTAGCTGGGCGTGGTCGTGGGTGCCTGTAATCCCAGCCAGTCGGGAGGCTGAGGCAGGATAATCTCTTGAACCTGGGAGGCGGAGGTTGCAATGAGCTGGAATCATGCCACCGCACTCCAGCCTGGGAGACAGAGTGAGACTCTGTCTCAAAAAAAAGAAAAAGAAAAAAGGGGACAACTTTTCCTCCATTTTCTACATAACACAAAACAGGCAACTTTACTCTTGAAGAAAATTGGAAACAATGTCTGCATTAGGTAGATGCTCCAAAGGCAGGGGAACATACACCTTCCTCTCCACTGCCTTCCTCATACAAGGCACAGCGAGCAGACTGACAGAGAGAGACAAGCTGATCAGTGCTGCTATTTTGTTTCAGTTGAGGCTAAAATATATCCTTATATGTCATCCTAATAATTAACAATTCACTAAAACATGAAGCCATTTTAAAATCAAAAAGAGTTTGGAATTGAATGTATCTGATATGGTTTGACTGTGTCCCCACCCAAATCTCACCTTGAATTATAATAATCTCCATGCGTCATGGGAGGGACCCATTGAATTGAATCATGGAGGTGGGTTTTTCCCATGCTGTTCTCATGATAGTGAACAAGTCTCATGAGATCTGATGGTTTTATAAAGGGCTGTTCCCCTGCACACGCTCTCTCTTGCCTGACACCATGCAAGACGTGACTTTGCTCCTCCTTTGCCTTCCACCATGATTGTGAGGCCTCCCCAGCCATGTGGAACTGTGCGTCAATTAAACCTCTTTCATTTATAAATTACCCAGTCTCACGTATGTCTTTATTAGCAGCGTGAGAACTCATACAAGATCTAATATTTTGAAAAGTAGAAAGCTTGCAACAATGAATTCTCAAAGGGCAAGTCTGTTTCCAAGAAAAGCAGAATATATATTGAAGAACTGCATTTACACTATCACACATACACACACAAGAATATACACATGTGTGTGTCCATATATAAATGTGTGTGTTGTTTTTCCAAATACAGAGATCAAATATATATGTTTTAGGCTTCCCTTAGTTTTTTCCACCTCAACAAAGCTTAAGGTTGCCAGTGAAAACCTAAGTCCAAGTCTAAGAGGTATATTCAGGTCATTCTCCACCAAAATAGTTAACATAATTAGAAAATGTAGAAGTGAGTCACCTAAGGGTACATTATAGTAAGTACTCAGGGTCATTCACTTTTGTGGCTAAGTATAAAACAAAATGTACCAACTTCCATAGGAAATAAGCATCTGAGCCCAGTTTGAGCTCCATAAGCCAAATAGAGTCAAAACTATCCTGAGCTGGATGTAGTCCCAGCTACTCAAGAGGCTGAAGTGCAAGGATTGCTTGCACTCAGGAGCTCAAGGCCAGCCTGCACAACATAGTGAGACCCTGTCTCAAAAAATAAATAAATAAATAAATAAATAAATAAATAAATAAATAAATATGGAAACTGATTCTTAGCCTTCAATTTGAGTTCAATTTGAGGTCATCAAAATAATTGCCCTTGGCTTGCTGATCTCATTTCTGGGTAATCTGTCAGTGTTTAAGACCATGGCTTCCTTATTTTTTTCTTCCAGATTAGTCCAAAAGTGTGCTCTAATTAAGTTACCCTGTATGTGTTTTCCAACAGGAGGACTCTAGTGGAGGGGCACAGGGCCACGGAGGGGCATTCACATGGGCTTTGGAGTTTGACAGACATGCCTCATATCTAAAATCTACTGAAGACTCACTCTGTGGCCATAGGCAAGCTGCTTGACTTATGACCCTTATCTCATCTTTGAAGTGGGAATAATAACAATTGCACAGATGTTCTAAGAATTAATTTACATAATCTACACATATGGATAGATTAATAATATGGAGTTGTTATTTAAAAAGGTAGCCATTTATTACCTGATAGGTGTTTACATATCAGAAAGATTAATTTTAAAACAAAGCTAAATCAATGCCTCCATAGTAAAAAAAAATCTTAGTGACATACAGATCTCTAAAGCAATTGTCCCAAACATTCTTATCCCTTCGTAAATTACAGGGGTTTGCAAACTAAAACTTGTGGGCCAAATCTAGCCTGCACTTGTTTTGTAAATAAAGTTTTATTGGAACAGTTACACCAATCATTCATGTTTTTTTCTGTGGCTGCTTTGGTGCTAAAATGGCAGAGCTGAGTAGTTGCAGTAGAGACCACATAGCCTGCAAAGCCTTAATTATTTTCTATTTGGACCGTCGCAGAAAAAGCTTATCAACCCCTGGTTTGCAACATTAAAATAAAAGTTTTATTATTAGAGAAAAAAAGCTCCTGTTACCTTTAGTTACATTTACAATTGTAACTTTATCCCAAGCAGCAACAGTGCAGTGACTTATTGGGTTTGATCTGTGGGTGGGTTGGAAAGTGACAGTCTCCTGAGGGGTCCGGAGACAACAAAAAAATCTAGCAGCAAAATGATAATGGATGAGGAAGGGAGAGAAAAAGATTGTTACCATAAATAATAGAAACTAAGTTTTCTTCCCCTGGAAAAATTAACTGCTCCAAACAGAGCCAGGACTAGTATGACGAGACCAAAGACACTCACCTTAAGCACAAATTTAAGGGAACACCAAAAACTGGAATCAAGATAAATAATATTTAAAGTAATACTTTTAAATAAAAATGAATTCAAATAAATTCATGATGATAAAATATCAGAATATTACACAAGGACAACATCACTGTTACTGACTTTCTTTTGTCTCAGGTTCTAATATGGTGCCATGTGGATCAGCCCAGCTTAGTCCACTGGTAACTGAGCCAGCCAATGTGTTCGGCAGCAGGATCCTGAAAGGATGAACAGTAAAACAACCAGAGCGATTGTGACACAGGTCTTTAGATATTGTAATCAGCACAGCTGCTGACGCATCAAAACACAACCTTAGGCCAGACATAGTGACTCACACCTGTAATCCCAGAAGTTTAGGAGTCTGAGGCAGGAGGATCATTTGAGGCCAGGAGTTCGAGATCGGCCTGGGCAATATAATGAGACCCCATTTCTACAAAAAAAATTAAAAAATTAGCTGGGTGTGGTGGTGCCTGCCTGTGGTCCCAGCTACATGGGAGGCTGAAGCAGGAGGAATGCTCAAATTCAGGAGGTTGATGCTGCCATGAGCCACGTTCACACCACTGTACTCCAGGCTGAGTGACCAAGCAAGACCCTGCCTCAAAAACACAAAACAAAACAAAAAATGACAAAAAAACACGCAACTTGAGTTTTCTCTCTCATCATCCCTATAAACTTTAGTCAAGGTAGGTAACCTCAGCTGCCTCAGGAGGCAAGTCCCAGCAGGCTCCTGACTTTCTGCTCCATCTTAGGCAATCAATGTCCCTAAGGCCCATTGCAAACACAATCTCATTGCAGGAGTTAATACTCGGCCCTCCTCCATTCAGAAATTGGAATAAGCAGTCTCTTTTTGAAAAATTAAAATATATAAAAACTATTGTAAGGGCAACGGCTCTCACTTAGCAATTTGCCCCTGCCTCAAACTGAATGCCTGAGATATAGAAGAGAAGAGAACTTGATTTCCCTGCCTTGCAATGCAGTAATCATCCCACCCCACCCAAACTCCTTGGTTTCTTATCCCTAGGAGCAGGTGCAGAAAGGAGTGAGAGGGCTGGAAAGACCTTCTTGATACCATTAAACACAGGTTCTGTGCAACATTGGCCTTGCATCTTCAACGGGGACACTCTTGCAGCCCCTATTCAGGCTCTTTGGACATACCCTGCCCAGCGTCTCCGACAAAGTCCCTTGACACAGATGGATGTGGTAGCCAACTTGTGACTCCTTCCTCAGCCTCAAAGCAGCCAGCATTTATTTCCTGAGTTTTGCTGTTGGAGGCCTGCCGTGTCTCCAACTTATACCATTTCACAGGACTCAAGGCAAATCCACCCATCTCTCTCTCCTCTTCACCCACATTTGGTCCATGAGAAACATCTGTTCACTCTTTGCCTTGACAGACTCCAGGAGAGCAGGGCACCCAATGCAGCCACTTCTTTTTCTGCAGTCTTCTTTTGCAGGAGTTAATACTCGGCCCTGCAAGTCTCCAAACTGCAGCTATGAGATGCTCCCGGGGAAGCCTCCTCCTTAGATTTGCCAGGTGGTGACTAGACTAGTATCAGAGCACTGACTCTGTACAAAGAAATCTCTTCCCAAATCCTTTCCTCTTTCCACTCTGACCTACTTTTACAACCTGTCTGGTTGAGTGATCCAAGAATCATAGAACAATTTCTTTAGAAGTTCATTCTAAAGAATTCTCCCTATGAAGGGCATGTCTGATAGCTGCTTTGGTATTGTATTGGCACCACAGTAAAAACCAAGACAGAAACATTTCCACTTTAACATCTTTTACCATGTCACAAAGAAGTCTCAACCAATTCAGCCCATTACCTAGGTTTGATAACCACAAGGTCATATGTTTGAAGTAATAACCACAAAATAAAAAATCTGGCCAGGTGTGGTGGCTCACACCTGTAATCCCCCAGCACTTTGGGAGGCCGAGGGCAGATGGATCACTCAAGGCCTGGAGTTTGAGAGCAGTCTGGCCAACATGGTGAAATCCCATCTCTACTAAAAAATACAAAAATTAGCCAGGTGTGGTGGTGCATGCCTGTAATCCCAACTACTAGGGAGAGTGAGGCACGAGAATCACTTGAACCCGGGAGGCAGAGGTTGCAGTGAGCTGAGATGATGCCACTGCACTCCGGCCTGGGCAACAGAGCAAGACTCTGTCTCAAAAAAACCAAGATCAAAAATCTGAAGTCATACAGGAAGGAAATGGTGTCTTTATAAAACTCAAATAAATGAATATTGTTTTTGATTAATGATGCTTATTCATATTAATCAGTAGTAAAGAAAATAATTAATTAAATAAAATCTACCTACCCTGAAGCATTTAAGATTTTCCTAAAGATTTAGGGAGAGGAAAATCTGCTCACTTGGTGATGTTCCATCGGAGTAATTACCTGGAGAATTGATGTAATAACACGATGACAGCAGGCCGTGCTCAATATATTGCACTTTTAGTGCAGTTGGGGAAACTGCAGCTGCAGATTTTGCTCATCTTTCAGCTTAAGAAATTAAAGTTTTCCTCAGTTGGTAACATTAATGATCAGAATATTTTGCTACCGAATCTTGAAATTTAATCTACCCATATGGATCTTTTGGAGTTGCTTTTTTGAGTGTTTTAAATCTTAATTCCTAAATGCATCTTCAAACAACAGATGCTAAAATATATACAGTACAAATAAAAGTTTTCACCTGCCTCCATGTTTTTAACAGTTCTGCTTGCATTTATTAATGCCACCTCTATGCTTTCTAGACTTGCATTTTCCTTATCCTTGCTTCTCACACCACTGGACTTGCAGTCAAGCCTATTCCAAACAGACCCTCCAACACAAATTTCAAGAAAATGCTATATGAAGGAATAGATAAGTCTTACATTTTCTTCTAACTTGTTTTCCTAATGAAATGCTTTGGCGTGATCTGAGTTCCTTTTATGACACGGGAGCTTTTGAGAAGTTTCTTATGTGAAGTTTTCAGGGTCCATATCATTCATTGCCTACTTTATTATTATTATTATTATTATTATTATTATTATTATTATAAAAGAAGAAATAGGCATCCTGTGGGATAAGGGAATAATCAGGGAGATAAAAGTGGTTGCAGTAGGCCAAGAAATGCAGTGTGGATTTTATTAGAGTTCCTTCAACTCAATCCTTTCACACTGCCTTGTCCCCCAAGCTAATTTTCACCACTTACCACTTTTTTCTTCTTTCTTTTTTTTCTCTTTCTTTCTCTCTCTCTCTTTCTCTCTCCCTTCCTTCATTCCTTCCTTCTTTCCTTCTTTCTTTTTCTTTCTTTCCTTCCTTCCTTCCTTCTTTCTTTCTCTCCTTCTTTCCTTCTTTCTTTCTTAGTCTTGCTTTGTCACCCAGGCTGGAGTGCAGTGGCACCATCCTAGCTCACTGCAGCCTTGAACAGCTGAGGTCAAGCAACCTACCTGCCTCAGCCTCCCAAGTAGCTGGGACCACAGACATGGATCTCCACGCCCGTTCAATCAAAAAAAAATTTTTTTAAGAGACAAGGTCTTACTATGTTTCCCAGGCTAGACTCAAACACCTGGGCTCCAGTGATCCTACCACCTTGGCCTGCCAAAGTGCTGGGATTACAGGAGTCAGCCACTGCACCTAGCCTGCCACCACTTTTCTTATGGAAAGAAGTGGGGATGTAGCACTTAGCACCCTAGGCATGGACTCATTGCTCCCTCCTGGCCCCTAAGTTCATATCTCAGGCTCTTCTAGGCAAATGGGCAACTTATGTTATCTCCACCTGTCTGTCTGGAGCCAGGGAGAATTCACAGCATCAGCATGGTCTAGCCTCGAGCCTGGCACCAAGTGCTTAACCATACTCCAAGAACTTTCTAGAAAGCTTACTCATTCTGCATTGACACTCAAATACAAAAGTTTTCCTGCCGATTTATCTTGGTTATCATTTTCTTAGTCAGATACATTTCTAAGGATTGTTTTGTCATTTCTCCCATCTTTTTGTTGCTAACTTAAATGATTACAATATGAAAGGCAAGGACAGCAAAAGCCCTGTTTGACAGAAATATTCCCTTGCAATGCCTATGTGGCTTTTTAAAATTAGGAATCCTTTTAAGACAGCCCTGCGGCTATCTTCAACCCTTTGCATAACTATTTGTCCACTCAACAAACATGACTTCCAGGTAGTTAGTAAAAGAACTCTCTGAGCCCATAAAGATCTCAAAAGCAGCTAAAGAAAAGGGAGACGAAGCTGCCTTCTTGGCATTTCTACCCCAGACCCTAAATTTAGCATCATTAATCTCCTCCCTTTAAGTTAAAAAGTTCTTTAGGTGCAATCACTCTTTACCTATTTCATTCTATACTTCCTGTTAACTTGATTCTCTGTGCTCAGAAGCCTCAAAATATCTGAGAAAAAAAAAAAGAACCAATACTTCCAAATATTCAGATGTTTGATGCCACGTGCAGAATAAACAGCCGGGGTGGGGGCAGTTTGAATTTTATCCAGATCCATTTAAATTGTGTACACTCACCCCTAGCCCTTGTTTTCAGGTGCTCAGGGACATAATTCTTTGAAATAAAATAACTCAAAGTTGTAGTCCTTACATACTGTCTTTATTTACTCATCACTTACTGCTAACGAGATCACATATATATACAATGTGCCAAAAGTAATTTCTGCCCAAATCGGTATATCATTTATAAAATATTCAGTGTAGGCCGGGCACAGTGGCTCACGCCTGTAATCCCAGCACTTTGGAGAGTGAGGCGGGCAGATCACTTGAGGCCAGGAGTTCAAGACCAGCCTGGCCAACATGGCGAAAGCCTGTCTCTACTAAAAATACAAAAATTGGCCAGGTGTGGTGGTGCATGCCTGTAGTTCCAGCTACTAGGGAAGCTGAGGCAGGAGAATCACTTGAACCCGGGAGGCGGAGGTTGCAGTGAGCCAAGATCGTGTCACTGCACTCCATCCTGGACGACAGAGCGAGACTCAGTCTCAAAAAAAATAAATAAATAAAATATTCAGTGTAAAAATCATCTTTTGATTGAAAAGCAATGAAAGATAACTAAATAATCTCTTCCTGCTTTAGAATTTCCCCCTCAGTATACCCTGTGCTAGTTTCTTGTGTCTTTCACCCTTGTTCACTTGTGTGTTCTCACATTTGTCCCAACAAAGCAAGTCTGTGAAGGCAAAGTTTCTTGAGAGGACCCGGATGTCAGCTGGCAATTCCTTGGGTTTACTTGTCAGCTGTGTCATTCTGTATGGCCTGGGTGATATAGTAGAAAATTGCTGCATTACATCAAGCCATTAAACACTGAGGCTTAGAGTTAATCCAGGGCTCACTGAGATTTTTCATATAACCTCTAGGTGCTAATCTTCTTGATATGAGGTTGCTCTGTGCCTTCCAACATTTGAGACCTGGATGTGTGCACAGAGCAAGTTTCATCCACAACTCATGGACTCCTGCTGATGATTACTTTTGTGCGTTAAGCCTGCTAAATTCTAATGCTATAATTCTGTAGCTGTGTCCCCCAAACTATTATGTAATCAACCCGAATGCCAGCTGTCCAGGATTTACTAAAGCAGTCATCTTAAAGGAAGCTTTGAGCAAAAAATGGTAGAGAGCACTGATGTCTCAAATGATTAAAACTAGCTCCCTAGTGTTATTTTATATTAGTCTTGTCTTCATTATTTTTGTCATGGTTTCACTGAAGATGAGAAGCATGAAAAGTGGGATATTCTTTATTTCATGCCTTATGGTTTCACATGAATAAGCTGTTCGACTGAAGGAATGTAATCACAGTGATAAAGGCAACAGTACAAATACAGGAACTTGGTTCTCTAGGCAGGAAAACAAAACAAAGAAAAAGAAAAACTCATTTGATGATGTCAACCTAAGATTTTTGAAAAGTAACAGACCCTTATAGATCCATTGGTGGCAGGGAAGTAAAAACATTCTTGTGTGTTTCTATCTTTTTTTTCTTTTAATGTAACAGGAGTTACAGAAAAGCTCTGTTTACCTTCTTTCTTTTATGAAATCATGGCAATGACCTTAGGGCAAAAATATTGGAATTCATTGCTGGAGGACTGCTTGAGATGGCATGATTGATTAGTACACCGTCCACCCTCTATCTCTTTTCAGATCACATCTAATAGCATGCTTCTTACCTTTCTCATGCCTTTTAATTTAGCTCAGTTTTCATGGCTGGCCTTATGGCTGAATGCATTTATTTATTCACTTGATGATTTTATCTTTTTTTTTTTCCTAGCCTCGCAACCCAGTACGTCATTTTTATATCATTTAAAACAGAGCAGTTTGGGGTGTAACACAGATAAAACATTCCATGGGAAACAATGTTTTAATTAAGTAATTATGTCCATGTTGCTACACAGTGAAGTATCCTTAACCGCAGAGTAGGTTCTCACAGGTGAATGAATACATACATGTACCTATAAGCTTAGAGAAAGGCTTTGTACATTGCCCTGTCCATGAGAATCTACTTTAAGTGCTCTATTTTATGAATGACTTACGTATCAGTGGGAAATAGACAGGCAACTCTAGGGCCTGATGGAAACAGTGATCCTTCAGCCATGATGAAACCACAAGAAAGTTTATCTTCTCTAGAGTAGCTACAACTGCAGAGAGTTTACTAAAATTGCCTAGTAATACTTAATATCTACCCAACCCCTTTTTGAAAATGCTCTCTCCTACACCCCTCTTCTTTCTCCATTCCCACTCCCTACTCACCACCAGCAGCAAGTTTTCAACAGTCTTACAGAGAGCTCATTGCCAAGCTGACGGGCACTGAAAACAGGAGAGCAGAGAGCGTTCTCACTTCTGGGCCTTACAGCACGTGTCCTTGTTGTACCAAGTTGTAACTGAAGTTTTATTATCCTGTGGAAGCAATACTAGGACTATGAGGTGTGAGGAGTTGGAATAACATTCTTAGTGTAATCTTTCCAGTGAATTGTGAACGACACGGATGTATTGGCTGAACTGCAATTTTTTATTGTATGTATTCAAGGTATATAGCATGATGTTTTGAAATACATATACACCACCAGGAAATTTATTGTTTTAAATAGGAAATTGGGTTGTTAGTTTTGAATACTATCAAAATAAAGATTTTTTGGAGGAAAGGGAAGTGCATTTGTTGAGTGACTACATTTCAGGCATGTATTCAAAAAACAGCTTCCATACAGATATTATTATCTTCACTTTATAAATAAAAAATTTGAGAATCATAATAATTAAGTTTCCCAATTTAACATCTCT
This sequence comes from Homo sapiens, assembly GCF_000001405.40. NCBI lineage: Eukaryota > Metazoa > Chordata > Mammalia > Primates > Hominidae > Homo > Homo sapiens. Next base: position 61,156,944 of record NC_000018.10, read on the forward strand.
AAAAAATGATAGAGATTCAAACACAGCAGTCTCTGTGCAAACCGCATGCTTTTCAAACTCCCCTGGCTGATAATTTCAGAATACAATTTGTTCACAGATTGGAAACTGCCAATGTTAAATATAAAAAAGTACAATCATGGGTTTATCTTGCCATTAACAAAAATTAAAACAAAAAGAACAAATCTATAATCCTGCCAACAGAATAAATCAAACTGTTTTCATTTCTCTGTATTTCATTTCAGGCTTGTTTATGTCCAAATTTTGGCTCCACAACTGAAAAATCATGACACCTTTGGCAAATTGTTTAATTTCTTGATACCTGAGTTTCTGCATCTGTAAAAATGAAGGTAATTTTAGTACCTTCCTCACAGGATTGTTATGAGCATTTAGTTAGATAATAAATATAAAGTGCTTGGGATGGTACCTGACAGATGACATAAACTTGGTGTTAACATTATTTCTACTTGTAAGCATTGCACAGATTCACAGCTGAGTAGCTACCCACCCTGCCTCAGCTTAATTCTAGGAGTATTTCTTTTCCTGTGAGCCTCCTCCGACTCAGTAGCAGGAAGAAAAGTTTAAACTTGATCATCATGGAATATTTATGCCTGTTTGGGTTTAAACTGTCTCATGAAAGTGAGTCAGTACCTTTCTGAGAAATACTCTGTGACTTTTAGGTCCGCCCCACTTACGCCTCTGCCATCCCACTGCTCCCCAAGATAGCGCCTGGGGTATGAGAGCACCATAAGCCCACAGGTTCAGGGCACACTCTGGACTGGAAATCCACAGGACGCCTACTGGATCCCTATTGGGCTCTACTGAAGGGAGGCTGACCTGGGCCTCCCTTTAGCAGAGACCAATTCCGTGGGTCCTGTATTAATTTCCTATTGCTGCTGTAACAAAGTACCACAAATCTAGTGGTTTAAAATAATGCCTCTGTATGATCTTATAGGGGGAAAACGTTCCCTTGCCTTTTCTAGATTCTAGAAGGTACGTTCCACGTTTTTAGATGCCTATATTCCTTGGCTCATGACCATGTCATTCTGACTTCTGGTCTCATGTGACTCTGACACTCCTGCCTCCCCTTTACCCCTTTCTAAGGGTCCCTGTGATCACAGTGGACTCATAAGTATAATCCAGGACAATCTCCATCCCAAGATACTTAATTTCGTCACATCTGCAAAGCCCTTTTGTCATCTAAGGTAATATATTCACAGGTTCAAGGGATTAGGAAAAGGACATCTTAGAGAGCTCATTATTCTGCCTACCAATGTCCCTTACTTTGGGGTCTACTGACCAAGCAGTAGTGCATTTGCGACTTGTTGTTTTGCCTTAGACAGAGACTGGCGACTTTCCCATATTTTTGACACCACCTTAGCTCTCACCTTCCTGGGTCTCAGTCACAGCTTTTAAGTAGCTCCTCATTGAACTGAACGTCCCATAGATTATCTGTCAAGATCTTTCCCAACACAAGGCAAACTCCTCATCAAAGTCTCTTATATTAGAGTTCCCCAGAGAAACAGAACCGGTAGATCTATATATGTATATATAACAATTCATACATATATACACACACACAGGTATTTATGTATATTTATATACATATGTCAGATATGTATAGATATATAACAATTCATGTGTGTGTGTGTGTGTGTGTGTGTGTGTGTGTGTATAAAGAGATTTGTCATGCTATTATGGAAGTTAAATCTCATGATGTTTCCTCTGCAAGCTTGAGACCCTGGAAAGCCAGTGGGTACAATTCAGTCTGAGACCAAAGACCTGAGAACCAGCAGAGGTGATGGTGTAATCCCAGTTTAAGGACAAACAGGACTGATGTCCAGCTGAAGCAGGCAGGTGGGAAATAAAAGGGGTGAATTCCTCCTTCCTCCACCTTTTCTTCTATTCAGGCCCTCAACAGATTAGATGATGTCCACCCACTTGGAGGAGACCATCTACATTACTGAATTCACTGATTCAAATGCTAACCTCATCTGGAAACACCTGCTGACTCATCCAGAAATCATGGTTAATCTGGGCACCACGTGACAAGGTGAAGCAGACACATAAAATTAACCATCACAACTTTCAGCAATGTCCTTATTCTCTCACAGCTCATATTGCATATTCCCTTACCCTGGACCCATTCCATGCCAATGGGAGCTTATGGTGGCTCCATGGCTCTCAGTCACCAAAGCTTATCCTGCTACTCTGTGTTGCCACAAGTTTGCTGTGCATGACAGACTTCTCCATTTTCCACCATGCCAAGTTCCAAATAGAGAGCAGGACATGAAAGCCTCCTGTTTTTGGCGACCTTCCCGTATTTTTGACACCATCTTAGCTCTCACCTTCCTGGGTCTCAGTCACAGCTTTTAAGTAGCTCCTCGTTGAACTGAACATCCCATAGATTATGTGTCAAGATCTTTTCCAACACAAGGCAAAATAATTGTATCTAATAACACCCACTCCCTCCAATATTTCTGCTCTGAGCAGAGGTAATGACAGGCATGCCTCGTTGCTGCACTTTCTGTAACTCCTTCTCTGTCTCCATAGGAATGGAAAAAGCAGGGAATTAGTTTCCTTTTTCTATCCTCCAAGGAATAAAATCCTATTCCTTCCCAAAGTGGCATCTGCCTTTCCCTTTATCCTGGAGCCACATGATGGGGTGAGACACAGAGAAAGAAGTTACTGGACAGGGCACAGTGACTCACACCTGTAATCCCAGCACTTTGGGAGGCCAAGGTAGGTGGATCACTTGAAATCAGGAGTTCAAAACCAGTCTGGCCAACATAGTGAAACCTCGTCTCTACTAAAAATACAAAAATGTAAATCCCAGCTACTCAGGAGGCTGAGGCAGGAGAATTGCTTGAACCCAGGATGCGGAGGTTGCTGTGAGCTGAGATCATGCCATTGCACTTCAGCCTCGGTGACAGAGTGAGACTCTGTCTCAAAAAAAAAAAAAAAAAAAAAAGAGTTACTGATAATGGAAAATCATAAAATATTGTCTTTGTTACAGGGACCATTTTATTTCCTATTTGCATTTCTTGCTTTATCATAGTGGTTGTTTTGGTTGGCTGAATCATCTTTATAATTATTGTTTGTCATAACTGCATCACATTTCTTCATATGAAAAACATTTTAAGCATTCTAGGAGTATGAGGAATATATAAGTTGTGTATAGAGTTATAATTTTCTCTTTGAATTTGTTTTCTTAGGGTAACTACCCCTAATTGGAATTATTGTGTTAAGAGCATAAACGTTTACAATTCTTAAACCATCACTTTAGGTTGATTTCCAAAAAAGTTATTCCCATTTACATAATAGCTGCAAGACTGGCATATGCACATTTCACACCATGTTTTATAGGATGTGATGTTATCATCTTTTTAAATTTTGGGGTAATCGTGATAATAAATAAGTGTAACAATTCGTATTCTGGACCAAGTAGTATTTCAGCATTTTTCATGTATAGTTAATACATGCATAAAAATACATTAAATTCTCATTGTATGCCTGTGTCATATTTTTACCCCATTTAACACATGAAAAACTTGAAGCAGAGAGATTAAATAATTTTTCCAGGATCACATAACTAGAATCTGAGGTGATTTCATAGATGCTTTAAATGTAATTTCTTTGTAGCTTAGTTGAACATTTTTCCGTATGCATATTAACAAATGATATCTCCTGTTATAAGAATCTTTGGGGATTTCATTGGGTGTTTTTTTGTTTTTTTTTTACCAAAGAAAAAGTATGAGCTTTTTATGTAATATATGCTAACCTTTTGCGTGTTATTTGTGTGATAGATATTTTCAGCCTCTTATTAATAACTTTTTATATGTTTAGTCTACCTGCTATGTTAAAAATATGATTATTCATATAACCTTTTCCTGGTGCTTTTTTTAAAAGAAGGAATATAAGATGAAATCTTGTAGATTGGTTTCTAAAAAAATAGCCTACTGGGACTTCCTAATACTCGAAATTACACATAATATCTAAAAGGACATTTCATCATATATAACATTAATTTATATCACCTGGCATGCAGTGAGCCATATTTCTTTCAGTGGCTAAGCTGTTGCCAGGTTCTAAATTAGGTTCCTTATGGAAGCTGATTAACCCTTTCAGGATAGCAGCACAGCAGTGAGTACAGACATTGCATTAACAATGGCAGGGAGGTTGTATTCACTGACCAGAGCAAGACGTCAGCCAAGGAAAGCAATGGTGCGTGGTCACTGGATTCCTGCCATCCTGACAGGTTCCCTGCCTCCTGAGCTGAATGCAGGGGATGCTTAGTTTAACTGTGACTGGCCATGTAGCTGGCTAGCCATTTGACTCAACATTGTAGTACACATCTGTAATAGGGTTCTCCTAAGAAAGAGAGCCAGAACTAGTAACACTGTGTGTGTGTGTGTGTGTGTGTGTGTGTGTATAAAGTCATGTGCCACACAATGGAGTACCAGTCAACAACAGACCACATGTATGAAGATAGTCTAGAAGATTATAATAAAGCTGAACATTTCCTATTGCCATGTGACATCGCAGCTATCACAGGGCAATCACTTGCTTTTTTTTTAGATTTAGTTTGGTCTAAGTGTACAGCGTTTATGAAGTCTACAGTAGTGTTTATCAATGTTCTAGGCCTTCGTGTTCACTCACTGCTCCCTCACTCACTCACCCAGGGCAACTTCCAGTCCTGCAATCTCCATTCATAAGTGCCCCAGACAGCTGTACCACTTTTTAAAAATCATTTATATTGTATTTGTACTGTGCCGTTTCTATGTTTAGATATGTTTAGATACACAAATAATTCCTGTTGTGTTTCAATTGCGTACAGTATTCAGAACAGTAACAGTCTGTATGGGTTTGTAGCCTAGGATCAACAAGCTATATCATATAGCCTAGGTATGTAACAGGGTACAATATCTAGGTTTGTGTAAGTACACACTATGATGTTCTCACAACTATGAAATTGCCTAACAATGCATTTTCAGAATGTATCCCATCACTAAGTGACACAATTGAGTGTATATAGAGAGAAAGATTTATTATGAGAAATTGGCTAACACAATTATGGAAGCTGAGAAGTCCCATGATCGGCCATTTGCAAGCTGTAGACCCAGTAAAGCTGGTGGCATAATTCAGTCCAAATCAGAAGGCTTGAGAGCCAAGGAAGCCAGGAGTGTAAACCCCATTCCAAAGACCTGAGATGAGATGAGTTGTCCCAACTCACACAGTGAGTCAGGAAAGAAAGGAGAATACCTCCTTCCCTTCCTTTCTGTTTATTCACACTCTCAATGGTCTGGATGATGGCACACCACCTAGGGAAGGGAGATCTTCTTTACTGATTCAAATGCTAAACTCATCCAAAAACACCTTCACAGACATACTCAGAAATAATGTTTAATTTGGGAACCCCAGGGCCAGCCAAGCTGACTCATGAAATTAACCATCACAATGCCCAAGAACTCAGTGCAGATTAGAAGCTTGACAGGACCCTGGTCTGTTCTTGGCAGGATGATAAAATGTGTAAACTTTGCTTATTCTATTGCAAAGCTTCTCTCCCTGTTAACTTTCCCCTTCCTGCACCATCAATTTCTCCACCTCTGCCATCAAATCCCAGCTACATTGACACTCCTACCTAACTCATCAAATTCAGTCTCCAGAATTGATTCTAGCATCATTTATTCAATCAAAATATTTACTAAGCACCTGTTAATATGCTAACAGTTGAGTTGACAATAGCGATCAAGACACAGTTCCTCCTCTGAAGCTGCTTCCAATTCACACCTTGGTATGAATTTTGTCTACGTTCTGTCTTCCCAAGAGTATTGCAAATTTAGTTTTTCTTGTAAATTAGATTTCAGTGAGGACTAAACTCTGATCTTCTTTCTTCTCTTGACAAATGCCTATCTAAGGGGCCTGGACAGTTACACCTTACAAACCATAAAGTCTCATCAGAGGGGTTTCATTTAACACTCTATAATGTGGCTCACTTTCCAACCTGACCCCGGCATAACATCACACATAACACACAACAAAGAAGGAAATCAGAATATTTAAACTCCAAATATGTTTCTCTGCCCTATCTTGAAATAGCCCTACAACATTGTCTCTTGCATGCTCTACATTCTGTAGAGAATCCCCTTTCTCTCTTCCAGGGCTTTTTCCTGATCCAGGGGAGAATCAACTAAGAGTCTGACCCCTTTTTAAGTCTGATAAGAAACATGTACAATATATTCTGTATGAGCTTGCCACCTAAGGGCTTCATCTGCATAATAAGAACCTTGGTCTCCACAATCCCTTATCTTAACCCAGATGTTTCCTTTCTATTGATTCCAGGTCTTTAGATAAACTCTTTCATCCAGCTGCCAATCAGGAAATCTTTGAATCTGCCTATAATCTGGAAGTCCCCCTCCACCAGCTTCTGGACCAAACCAATGTACTTCTTACATGTATTGACTGATGTCTTATGTTCTCCTAAAATGAATAAAACCTAGTGTGGCCTGACCACTTTGGATACATATTGTTGGGGTCTCCCGAGGGCTGTGTCAAGGGCCATGGTCACTTGTATTTGGCTCAGAATAAATATCTTCAAATATTTTACAGAACTCAACTTTTTTCATCAACATCAGGTATCATTAATTAGAAGCTGGTAATAGTTTAAAGAGTAAAGAGCCTTCTTGATGCCCTCTCCAATCTCTTTTCCTCTCTCCTTCTCTCTCTCTCTCTTGCCCCTTCTCTTATTCTCTCTCATCTTATATATCCCTAGACACATTCTCAATATAGGCCTTCACAACTCCAATGTTTTCTAATTTGCCATAAAGGAAAAAGTGAATTGAGTGTCAAATTCACCATACTACTTATCCAATGAAGAAATCAATAATAAAATGTTTTCCGATGTAAAGTTTGTGTCGCATAAAGATGAGAAATAGCTAGATGAAAATATAGAGAGCAACATTGTGGGAAATATATTATGAAAGTGTACACACACAGTGAATAACTTATGATGGCTACAGACTATTCTAACCTTTATCTTCAGAAGGGAGCAATTACTCACAGCCATGTGGTGCGTATGAATTATCATTACTCACTTGTGAAAGTAAATGTGTAAATGTCACTGTAGGCACTAATAGTCATGCGATATTGCTCTACTTTTAATAGAATATTCGTGCTGATATAGTTGGTACATTTGTATGCATTAAAGAATGTTTTATTACAAAGGAAAGGGTAAAGAAATAAAAGAAAAAATATTTTTTAAAAATTAAAGAGGATGGTAGGGAAAGACAAAAATAGCATTAGAGAAACATGGTGATACTCTGTTGAGTGAATACTAGGTGTTTTTAAGTGAATTATCTCATTTAACATTGGTTTTTAAACACATGAAATAACTTCTTTGTTAGAAACTGTTCTCCAGAAAAAAGAAACAGAACCAATCAAATGTATGTGTGCATGCATGTGTGTGTGTGCATGTGTGTGTTTGTGTGTGTGTGTGTACATACAGAGAGAGAGAGACAGAAACAGAAAGACAGAGAGAGATTTATTTTAAGGAACTGGCTCATGAAATTGTGAAGACTGCAACTGTGAAATCTTAAGGGCATGCCAGCAGGCTGGAAATTACAGCAAGAGTTGATGTTGGAGTCTCAAGTTTGAAGTCCATAAAATCAGGCAGAATTTCTATGTTGCAGTCTGGAGGCAAAATTCCTTTCTTTTCTGGGAATCTTGATCTTTTATCTTACGGCCTTTAACAGATTGGATGAGGCCCACCCACATTATGAAGGGTAATTTACTTAACATCCACTGTTCACTGCAACATCTACACTGGTATTTGTCTAAACAACTGAGCACCATAGCCTAGCCAATCTGACACATAAAATTAACCATCACATCTTCATGTTCAGAAATAGGACAATCAAGGTCCAGAGATGCTAACACCACATTCCGGGGCACACACAGGAGTCGTGGCACATAGGGAAGGAGCAGTGTATGAACTTTGGAAAATGCCTACCTATGCATCCCAGCTGTGCCACTTAACCAGGTGTGGAAACCTGGGGAATTATCATGTCTGTGCCTTAGTTCTCTCGCCTGTAAAAGGAAATATTGGGCATACTTTTCATGGTTGTTCCAAGGACTCAAGGAGATAAAGGTTTTGGAATACTGGGCATGGACTATAAACAGGTCCCCTAGCAACCCTGTGCTTCTACTTTATCATCCCTCCCAGGGAAGAACCAGATTCAAGTTCAAGGTTGGCTAACTTCAAGCTAATCTGCTAATTAATAAAACACATGTCCCAATGACAAGAATATGAAACACTAATTTGTTTCACATTGAAGTGGTACATGCTGTGTGTTTATGCCATTACTAGAGCCAACACTGAAATATCATTTGATATGTATCTGAAGCCTTCTATCAGGCTCCAAGATAAGAAAGAGGCAGTTTTTTTTTTTTTTTTTTTTGAAAAATCAGTAAAACAAGGTTATTACCCTCAGAGCAGTTTATAATCCAGTCTGGAAGACAAAACATGTGCGTGCATCACACAAAGTCCGGAACTAAGCAGCTCAAGGGGCACATGGGAGCCCTGTCATTAGAGCCCATGTCACAGCCAAGTATCCCCTTATAAGAAGGACTGACACAAATATCAAAGAATAACAGATTCATTATGACTTCCAATAGTTTTATGGAGACACAGTCTTTGTAGGTAGGTAAGAGCCATCTCTGTGAGTAGTAGGTGAGGTAAATACAATGTACAAAGCATGTAAAACTGTTAAGCCATTATATATGTTTACGATACATAAATAACCCAAAGAAATTGCAGTGGCTAATGGCCAGCTTCCTGCAGCATCAGTGCCCACTTTTTTACTTCGTGCTGTTAAATAACAAACATTAACCTACTAGTCATAATCTGTTCTATTGGGATCATGATTTGATAAAGCATAGTTTTGGGTATAGATACAGTAGGGTGCAAAAGTATGTCTCAGCAATATGCAATCTATTTTTGTTATTCTTTAGTTTTAAAAAATAGGGCACAGTGGCTCATGCCTGTAATCTCATCACTTTGGGAGGCTGAGATGGTCAAATAACTTGAGCTCAGGAGTTTGAGACCAGCCTGGGCGACATGATGAAGCCCTGTCTCTACATAAAACAAAATGAAAGAAAAGAAAAAACTAGCCAGGTGGGGTGGCATGTGCCTATACTCTCAGCTACTTGGGAGGCTGAGGTAGTAGGATAACTTGAGCCTGGGAGGACAAGGCTGCAAGGAACTTTGCTCGTGCCACTGCACTCCAGCCTGCCTGGGTGAGAGAGTGAGACCCTGTCTCAAAATAAATATAAATAAATAAATAGATGTAAACAGGAGAGCCTTTCTGTTTTATGTTTTGATCCATTACATGAACGAGAGAAGAAAAAAATAAATAAAAGCAATTAGCTACAAAATATAAAGCTTTTTTGTTTGTTTGAATGCCTTGAAAAGGATAAATTCTTACTTTCTTTGGCATTGCAAACATCTTCCTACATCTTGGAGGTGAGCAATGCATCAATTAATAATCATAATTCCCTGGTGTTTATATGCAAAGTACAATTTAATTCATCAAATGTTCAGTTTTTTTTGAACCTAAAACTGTAATTTATTGCTGTTTCAGTACAACAAGTCTTCAGTTCTCTACTCTCACCTAACCTGACCATCCACTAGCTCTCTAGTGAACTCCTTGTGTTTTGAGACATCATTCAATTATGTCCTCCTCTACAAAGCCTCTCCTGTCACCTCTCCCTGTACCCAACCAAAAAGTAGCACTGATTTCTCCCTGGTGTTTAACCCCTGTGTATTGTATGTTGTGTACAGACTTCTAACAGAGTATCTGTAACACTTTATAGCACTATTTTGTTACATAGCTGTTTCCTATCAAACGACATATATATTTCTTGGGACCAGGGACTGTATTTTATTCATTTTCTATTCCCGATACCTACAGCATACTTGGAATATATTAAATAATTAATAATGTTTGATGAATAAATGAATGGTAGGGAATATCAATAGTTGCTCCCAAAAGTGTTTTGACTACATCCAGCGAGTAATTCATACACTAGAAAATTCGTCATGATGAATGTGGATCTTAGAGTGAGAATATTCGAGACAGAAGGAACTTCAAGAACCATCCAATACCTCATTTTACAGATAAGGAAACCTTGGCCCATAAAGGTAACTTTTTTAAGGTGACATAGATTGTAGGTGCCAGTGCCAGCAGTGGGGCCATAATTTACATCTCTGAACAATTTGTCAGATGTTCTTGACCCTCTACCATACTGTCTCTCTTGAAGCAAACAAAGCAAGATGCATTTCCTTTAAAGGATGTCAAATATTGATATGCCTATTAATGCATAATAGCTTCCTCTCATTCATAGTTGAAGAACTTACTAATATAGCATTAATTCTGCTTTCCTAAAAGTTGTCACCTTTCTTAAAAGGTCTCCTTGTGACATAACTTCTTAAAGAGATACTCAGATTTTAGGGTTCTTGCTTTTTTTACACAAAGATTTAGTAGATACATGAAACACATAGTTATTTCTGGGTAATACATAAAAGATGTGTAAAATATATGGATTTTACCAATGTAGTGCTTTATTTAAACAACTGCACATAGCCTGCTATGCTCACATTGTATTATAAACTTAGGGGCATCCTCTGTTACTTTCTATTGAATTAGCCCCAATCATGAAAATAACAATTTCAATGAAGTAAACTGCATAAGTAGAGATTTTTTCCAATTTTTAAAAATAGAGCCTTTTATAATTTAATGGGTAAAATAATCACCTATAGGTCTGGTAATTCAACTCAGGATTTTGATTTATATGTTCCTGGTTCACTGGAGCAAATAGAGTTAAGAGATCTCAAGAATAGAAATGCTAGAATATCAATGGTAGGATTATTTCTTTCAACGTGTTTAAGACATATTTTAAAATCTGATTTACCAATTTCAAAAGAGAACACTTTATTGTTTTTTAATATTTACATTTTTTTAAGTTTAAAAGTTTGTATCGAGTCAGCTTAAAACTGACAAGGAATGATTGGCCTCCAAATGACAAATTAAGATGTAGGTTTGGAGTTGTTAAGATGTCAGTCAGAATGACTGACAAATTTCACTGCTGAATTAAGTTTTAAATTCTCTATAAATCTGACTGCCAGTTGGAATGGTTGATGTAGTCTCCAATTATCTGTAAGAAAGCTGTTTTGAGTAGAGAATCAAAAAATGTTGTGTGGCTGGGGAGGATTATGGTGACACCTCTGATTTTACTCTAGGCCATTGTCCAGATGTCCTTTCATGAGGACAAATGACCAGACTTTCACTGATCTCAAAAGATTATTTTCATTGTGAACATCAGCATGCTAAGAAAGTACAGGGCATAAAATTGTCCTGTATAGCACAGAAGGCAATACACAAAAGGAACCATAGAAACTATCAAACACCACTCACACGTATTACAAGTAAAAGGAAGCCAACATATTGCTAGTTAGTTCCATAAAAGGGCCCAAACCCAGATCTTTCAATTCTTTCCCCCATATCATCTTTTTCAGATTCAAATCCTCATATGACAATTCTTTCTTTAAAAGGTCTTAGGTGCATCCTTTCTTTAATAATTTAGTACCATATCTTTTAAAGTGAATGAAATACTCATATTATTTATCCAAACACAACTCAGAGATGTGATTCCATGCCACGTTTTGTGAAAGATTTTTGTTGAAACACTTAATATCAGTCCCGGAAAGCAAAATAAGAAAAGATTTTACTGTTTCAACAAATTTGATGAAATACATTTCGTTGTCTCTCAGCAGCAAGGGACACTGTTGACATGGTTTGACCTCTGGAGCATCTAGAATGCAGGGTGGTGACCATAAAATAAATTCAGTCAAAAATATATCTCAATGATTTAAAAATTAATGTGCTTATTTACAGAGCAACTTGAGGTAGACTGTAAGTAGAAACAAAAGTAGGAAAAGCAAAGAAGTCACCCACTCTGTCACCTGTATTTTACTGAAACTTTAAGAAAAATAAAAATTCTCAGGAGAATGTAGAACTATATTTATATACATGTAAAGTTAATTTAAAATCATTTTCCTGAGGAAAAGAGCAATCAAGTAAATGCATTGCATGGATAACTTACAAAATACACACAACTGGATGATAGAAATATGAAGAGATTGTCAATCTCACTAGCAACCAGGCAAAAGTAAAATAAAACAAGATATAATTTGTTACCCACCCTGCTGCAAAAATTATAAAGATTGACAATAATTGCCACTAAACATTTTATGAGAAATCAGGCACTAACATTTGAAAAAGGTGGACATTTGAATAGATAGCACTTTCTGGAGAACATTTCAGCATTATTAATCCAAATTTTACAATGTGCATACCCTCTGACCAAGTGTATTAGTCGGTTTTCACACTGCTATAAAGAACTTCCCTGAGACTGGGTGATTCATAAAGGAAAGAGGTTTAGTTGACTCGCAGTTCTGCATGACTGGGGAGGGCTCAGGAATCTTACAATCATGGTGGAAGAAGAAGCAGGCACCTTCTTCACAAGGCAGCAGGAGAGATAAGAAAGAAAGGAACTTCCAAATACCCATAACACCATCAGCTCTCCTAAGAACTCACTCATTATCATGAGAACAGCATGCGGGAAACCGCCCCTGTGATCCAATAACCTCTGTCTCTTGACATGTGGGGATTACAGGTCCCTCCCTTGACACGTGGGAACTGCAATTCAACATGAGATTTGGGTAAGGACACAGAGCCAAACTATATCTCCAAGTAATTATATTTCTAGTACTCTGCTTCAGAAATATTCACATATGTACAAAGATCTGTCTTTAAGAATGGTTATTGCAGCACTGTTAAAGGAAAACTTTACAAATATTCTAAATATTTTCCAACAGGGAATTCTTTAGTTTGTTACATTAGTGTCATCTTTTGGGAGGACATCTGTCCAGTATTTAATATTAAATGTGAATCATTTTGACACGGATATTCCACTTTTAGGTATTTATCCACAGGAAACAAACAAGTTCACAACGATATTAATTGGAGCATTTTTGATGATAGTAAAAAAGTAGAAATAACTCTTAACATCCATCAAGGAGAGATTCGTTGGATAAGTTCTATGAAATAAAATACTCTGAGTACTAGTCAATCATTAAATTAAATTAAATAGATCTATATTATTGTTATGAGAAAAAGTAGAAAAATATATATGATAAATCTTACTCTACAAAAAAAGCTAGACTATGTTATTACAAACATCATGTAAATGGCATACTGGAGAGGGATCAATCCGATAGCAAACCCCAATTTGGATTGCTATTGCTTCTTTGCTACTGCTTCTTAGATGACATAGTAAATCCCTATTAAAAAGTGACACTGCCCATTCAGATGCAGCCCTACCCACTGTTGTAGTAATGTTCTTGCTAATCACTATTTCTTTACCTCCCTTTGGGGCTCTTGGAGGTACTTTCTGCTAAGAAAACTCAATTGGGACAGTTCAGTCCTTCTCAGAGGTTCTAATGACATTGAAGCAGCTCAGCATACCAATGGGATTGTGCTGGTACATCCTTTATCAGGCCATAAAAGTTCCTATTATAGCATTTAACTCAAGGCAATGGGTGTAACTGTATATCTGTGTTACTAAGAGGGGTGCTCAGATAGACTGATTCCTAAATGCAGCAGAACTACTGTTTTGTACATTATATTTTAAATAGCTGATCTTTCCCCACTTCCACTAAATTGCTCTAGCGGGAGCTCCCGATCACAGTTCATCCCCCTCCCTGGTCACAGCAGAGTGGGTATGACCCAGACTGGCCAATCACAGGGCCTAATCCTGCTAGCCAAGTTTATGTTTCAAATGAGGACAAATAGGCTGAACAACAACAACAAAAGACCCTCTCACACCTGTAATCCCAGCACTTTGGGAGGCCGAGGCAGGTGGATTACCTGAGGTCTGGAGTTTGAGACCAGCCTGACCAACATGGAGAAACCCTATCTCTACTAAAAATACAAAATTAGCTGGGCGTGGTGGCACATGCCTATAATCCCAGCTACTCGGGAGACTGAGGCAGGAGAATCTCTTGAGCCCGGGAGGCAGAGGTTGCAGTGAGCCGAGATCACGCCACTGCACTCCAGCCTGGGCAACAAGAGTGAAACTCCATATCAAAAAAAAAAAAGACACTCTCTGTCGTTTTTGTTTTTGCTTTTGTTCTCTGGCTGAAGCGGTCAGGAAACACTATCATTCTTCCAAGTACCTTTCCTTTGTGCAAAGAAAAGTGCTCTTTAAAAACTCTAATCCAGCATGGACACACGACCAATAAACATATGAAAAGGCAACTATTACATTTGTCACGAGGGAGAAGAAAATTAAAACCATAATGCAATACCATTACACACAAAGAAGAATTGCTAAAATGAAAATTAAAAAAAATATATATTTAATGTGGTTGAGAATGTTAAGCAACCAGAATACTCATACACAATGGTGGAAAAAGATTGATTCAATTACCTTGGAAAACTGTTTGGCATTGTCTACCAAAGCTCATCAGTTGCATATCTTCTGAACCAGCATATACTAAACCAAAATGTGGATCTCTCCAAAACATATTCTATTAATATTCTTAGCAACATTATCACAATAACCCCAAATTGGAAACTATCCAAATGTCCATTTGCCAAGGGTGCAACATATGGTGTTCAAAACAAAGACTAGTAAAGGCAGTGGCTCATACCTGTAATTCCAGTTTTTTGGGAGGCTGATGTGGGAGGATCACTTGAGGCCAGGAGTTCAAGACCAGCCTAGGCAATATAGTAAGACCCTATTTCTGCAAGAAACTTTTAAAAATTAGCCAGGCATGGTGATACACACCTGCAGTCTCAGCTACTCAGGAGGGTGGAATGGGAGGATACTTGAGCCCAGGAGTTCAAGGCTGCAATGAGCTGTGATCATACCACAGCACTCCATCTTGGGTGACAGAGTGAGATCCTATCTCAAAAAATAAATAAATAAATAAATAAATAAATAAATAAAATATGTGATTAAGCTATAGATTTTACATATAAGTAATTTTGGTGATGACAATAAATAAGCAAAAGGTTAAGTGTTTGCTTTATTTTATGGTCTGCTTATATAAAGATAGTTATCTAGCAGACAGAGCCACCTTAAGAAAATCCAGAACTGCATTAATAAATAATAATAATAATGGACTGTAGGGGAAAAAATATAAAAATCATTCCCTTTCTTCTGTCACTTTCCATTTATTTTCCTCTTTTGGCTGTGTATGTACGTGTGTATATGTGTGTGTGCGTGTGCATGTGTGTGTGTCCATGTGTATATATATGTGTGTGTATGTGTATATATACATGTATGTGTGTGTGCATGCATGTATGTGTATACATAAGTGTATATATGTATATGTATATATGTGTGTATATACATGTATATACACACACACACACACACATACACACACACACATATATCATGGCCTAAAAATTTTAAGAACTGTTCTATCAATTAGTCAACAGTATCATGAATCGATTGGCAGACACAGAGTTTTCCTATGTCTAAGGGAAATAGTGCATATGAAATAATCAGACTACTTCTTGGCAAATATGTTAAACATTAGTTTCTCTTTTCTTTCCTATGCTAAGATAGGGTTGTAGTGGTGATTCTTAGATGGCTAGGTTGGAAGGTTGTATTGTTATCTTGTTATCTGACCAGTTTTATCTGATGCACCAGAATATGCACTCAACAAGTTGTTTATGCTTTCTGTCTCTGGAGGTTTTGTCTCACTTTGTTATTTTACAACTTTGTCCCACCCACAGACTTCCATTAACATATAGGAAATGCTTAGCTTTGTGTGATGTTTGCACTACCAAAGAACAGTTCCCTGACTATGGGCAGGGAACCGATTAGAGAAATGGCTTTGTACAATCTGCATGTTCCACTTCATGACTTGATTCTCAATAAAGCAACCCATTTTATCTTAGACTTCATGATGACAATAACCATCTTTATTTTACAATAAAAAGTGAATATGGCATTAATTATTGTTACTTAGTCATTTTAGAATACTATAAATGTTTCAATAAAAAATTGCTATGCTAATCAAAATATTTCCTGTTTCATTACAACTATGAACTCTTCCTCATGACTGCAAAATGAGCAATAAAGTTTGATAGCATGGCACAGTCAAAATTGCCTCTTGGATAAGGGTGATTTTCCTCAAAATGTGTTATATGAATGCATTAAATATTTGATGCTTAATAAAAGCAAAATAACATCTCTTTCCACTAAGCTGCCTCAAATACCAATTACATAAGAAAGATTTGCTAAGCTAATGATTTTCTAAGTAACCACAAACACTTCTTTAATTCCTGATGTGTTCTTCTTTGTTCCTTAGAATGCATATGACTTGTTTTCAATATGTTGTGGCTTCACTTTTTCATAGCAAGGATTTACTTAAAAAGCCTTTTAACTGTGCATAGGATTTCATACTGATACATCCAACAATGCATTATCAGGCAACATTGCCTCAGACATGAAAGCACTGACACAAAACCTCCAGCCTCTCTTTTCTAATTAATGTGATCTCTGAGCTGGTTTGTCTTAAATATATTTTATGATATAACAATGTTTTGTAAAGAATATAGCTTCTGACATATTGCTGACTACAAACATCACCTGGCGTGTTCCCATAATGACTCACTTCTCCCCTTGTTCGCATGTGTGTGTAATTCCCTCCCTCAATGATTCTAGGATTGGCCGTGCGTCTTTCTTTGGCGCATGACACATTAGAAAATGCAATACAAATAGAGGCTGAATAAAGGCTTGTCCATTAGGACTTGTTCTCCTGAAACCCAACTGCTATGTGGAGAGAACTGACGTGCCCTGGCTCATAGCCCCAAGTACCTTTCAGACATGTGAGTGAGGGTGTTCAGACAAGTCAGCTGCAGCCTACTTACTAAATCTACAAATAAGTTCAGCCAACACTACATGGAACAGAGATGGGCCATCCTAGCTGAGCCTTGCACAAATTGCTGACCTGCAGAATTAGGAGCAAATAAATAGTTGTTGTTTTAAGTTGCTTCTAATAGTTATCTTCCACTCTGTCATTCCCTATTTTTTTTTTATTTTATTATTACTATACTTTAAGTTTTAGGGTACATGTGCACAATGTGCAGGTTACATATGTATACATGTGCCATGCTGGTGTGCTGCACCCATTAACTCGTCATTTAGCATTAGGTATATCTCTATTTTTGTGAGCCAACGTAGAGGTATGGTATTGATGATCAAGGTTTAATTATGTGGAAGAAGATAACATGGAAAATTTCAGAACAGAAACAAGGGATATTTTTATCTGGACAGGATAGGTTAAATAGTGGGTGACATACATCTCACTTGGGGCCACTGTGGCTAAATCATGACCACTAATCTAATATAAACACGGAACACTTTGTTGATATTTCAGCCACCTGAAATTATAACTCAGTAGGGTTAACACCAAATTGTTTTAATTAAGCGTCTACCAGCTGAACTTGTGCTCAAAATAGAAATTTGGTTTGGTATGATAAAGTTGTTTTTCTTTCATACCTAGTGTATAGGACAATATTTGTACAACTAAGTGTGCTTATAAATGCCTAATTTATAGGAATAATAAAAGTTACTGGAGGACACATAATTCTTTGTACTCCCCTATCACATCAGCGTACTGTTGATCAATTATTGACAATATTGACTGATCTTGACAGTACTCGGTCTTCTGTCTTTATTAATCCACACATTTAGTAATTATTTACTGAGTGTCTACTATATGCCTAGGATTGAGTTAGGTATTGATACACCAGATAAGCAAGGTCCCTGTTCTCATGGAATTTCCATTCTAAAGGGAAAAAAATAGACAATAATTCCAAAGTACTTTAAAAAATTAGATAATTAAACATTGTAAGTACTCTAAAGAGATGAAACAAAGTGATGTCTTAGAGAAAAAGTACTTGGACAGATAGAAGGCTTCTTTAGATAGTGTTGTGTCAACAAAAACCTCTCTGAGGACAGGATATTTAAGACCTGAAGAATGCAGGAGTCATCTAGGTGTAGCTATCACAGATCTCTACAGATCTAAAATATTCTGAAGCTCAATAAGATACAGAAGAAGGCTGAAAACGAATCTGAGGAAACCAGTAAAATTATCCAAGAGCTGAAACATGACATAGTCATTTTAAGAAAGAACCAAACTGAACTTTTAGAAATGAAAAATTTTACTACAGGAATTTTATAATGCAATTAGAAGCATTAACAAGAGAATAGACAAAGCTGAGGAAAGAATCTCAGACCTCAAAGATCACTACTTGCAATCAACACAGGCAGAAAAAAAAAAGCAAAAGAATTTTAAAGAATGTACAAAACCTCTGAAAACTATAGGATTATGTAAAGAGACTAAACCTGCGACTCATTGGCATTCCTGAAAGAGCTGGAGAGAGAGTAAGCAACTTAGAAAACATATTTGAGGATACTGTCCATGAAAATTTTCTCAACCTAGCAAGGGAAGTCAACACGAAATTCAGGAAATTCTGAGAACCCCTGTGAGATATGATATAAGATCACCATCCCTAAGACACACAGTAATCAGATTCTCCAAGTTCAATGTGTAAAAAAAAAAACCATTAAAGGCAGCTAGAGAGAAGGACAGGTCACTGTAAAGGGAACCCCATCAGGCTAACAGTGGACCTTTCAGCAGAATCCTTAGAAGCCAGAAGAGATTGGGGGCCTATATTCAGCATCCTTAAAGAAAAGAAATTTCAACCAAGAATTTTGTATTCACAAACAAAGCTTCATGAACACAGGAGAAATAAAATCCTTTTCAGACAAGAAAATGCTAAGGAAATTTGTTAGGACCAGACTTGCCTTACAAGAGGTCCTTGAGGTAGTGCTAAACATGGAAAGACAAGACCAATATCTGCCACCTCAAAAAGACACTTAAGCACTTAGCCCAGTGAAACTATAAAGTAACCACACAATCAAGTCAACATAACAACCAGCTAACAATATGATAACAGTATCAAATCCTCATATATCAATATTGACCTTGAATATAAATGGGCTAAATGACCCACTTAAAAGGCACAAAGTAGCAAATTGGTTAAAAAACTAGACCTAACTGCATGCTGTCTTCAACAGACCCATTTCACATGAAATGACACCCATAGACCCAAAAGTAAAGAGATAGAGAAAGATTTATCATGAAAATGGAAAACAAAAATGAACAGTGGCTATTATTATTATTTCAGACAAAACAGATTTTAAACCAACAATGATCAGAAAAAGCAAATAAGAGCATTACATAATGATAAGGGTTCAATTCACCCAGAAGACTTAACTATCCTAAATACATAGGCACCCAACATTGGAGCACACAAATACATAAAACAAGTTCTTAGAGACCTATGAAGGGACTTAGATAACCATAAAATAAAGGTGGGAGACTTCAAGACCCACTAACAGTATTAGACAAATTATCAAGGCAGAAAACTAACAAAGATATTCAGGACATAAGCTTGACTTTTGACCAAATGGACCTAAGAGACATCTATAGAACACTCCACCCAACAACAGAATATATATTCTTCTCATCTGCATATGGCATACACTCTAAGATTAACCACATACTTGGCCATAAAGCAATTCTCAACAAATTAAAAAAAATCATACCAACCACACTCTCAGACCACATTACAATACAAATAGAAATCAATACCAAGAAGATCTCTTAAAACCATACAATTATCTGGAAATTAAACAAGCTACTCCTGAATCACATTGCAGTAAAGAATACCTTTAAGTCAGAAATCGAGAAATTCTTTGAAACTAATGAAAACAAAAATACAACATACTAGACTCTCTAGGACACAGTTAAAGCAGTGTTAAGAAAGTTTATAGTGCCAAACACCTACATGAAGAAGTTAGAAAGATCTCAAATTAACAAGCTAACATCACATCTAGAAGAACTAGAAAAACAAGAGCAAACCAAGAGCTAGCAGAACAAAATAAATAACCAAAATCCGAGCTGAAGTGAATAAAATTGAGGCATAAAAATCCATACGAAAGATTAGCAAAACTAAATGTAGGTTCTTCAAAAGAATAAACAACAATGATTGCTACCTAGATTACTAAAAGAAAAAGTGAGAAGATCTAAATAAACACAATCAGAAATGACAAAGCATTACCACCTACCCCACAGAAATGTTAAAATACCCCTGAGACTATTATGAATACCTCTATACACACAAACTAGAAAACCAAGAAGAAATGGATAAATTCCTGGAAAAAATACAACCTCCCATATTGAACCAGGAAGAAACTGAAATCCTGAATAGACCAATAAAGAGTTCCAAAATTGAATCAGTAATAATAAAAAACTTTCTAACCATAAGAAGCCCAGGACCAGACGGATTCACAGCTGAATTCTACCAGAGGTACAAAGAAGAACTGGTTCCAATCCTACTAAAATTATTCCAAAAAATTGAGGAAGAGGGACTCCTCCTAAGTCATTCTATGAGACCAGAATCTTTCTGATACCAAAACCTGGCAGAGACAAAAGAAAAAAAGAAAACTTCAGGCCAATATTCCTGATGAACTTAGACTCCAAAATACTCAGCAAAATACTAGTAAACCAAAACCAGCAGCACAACAAAAAGCTCATCTACCACTATGATGTGGTTTGGCCGTGTCCACACCCAAATCTCATCTTGAATTGTAGCTCCAATAATTCCCATGTGTTGTGGGAGGGACCCTGTGAGGGATACTTGAATCATGGGTGGCAGTGGGGAGGGGGGTCCTTTCCTGTGCTGTTCTCAGGATAGTGAATGAGTCTCATGACATCTGATGGTTTTTATAAAGGGGACTTCTCCTGCACATACTCTCTCTTGCCTGCTACCATGTAAGATGTGACTGCTCCTCATTCTCCTGCTGCCATGTAAGACATGACTTTGCTCCTCATTTGCCTTCCAACATGTTTGTGAGGCCTCCCAAGCCATGTGGAACTGTGAGTCAATTATTAATTATTTACAAAATTTCCTTTATCAATTACCCAGTCTCAGGTATGTCTTTATTAGCAGGGTGAGAACAGACTAATCCAGTAAATTGATACTGGTAGAATGGTGTGCTGCTGCAAACATACCCAAAATGTGGAAGTGACTTTGAAGGTAACAGGCAGAGGTTGGAACAGTTTGGAGGGCTCAGAAGAAGATAGGAAAATGTGGGACAGTTTGGAACTTCCTAGAGACTTGGAAGGCTCAGAAGACGGGAAGATGTGGGAAAGTTTAGAACTTCCTAGACACTTGTTGAATGGCTTTGACCAAAATGCTGATAGTGATATAGACAATAAAGTCCAGGCTGACGTGTTCTCAGATGGAGATGAGGAATGTATTGGAACAAAGGTGACTCTTGCTGTGATTTGGCAAAGACACTGGTGGTGTTTTCCCATGCACTAGAGATATGTGGAACTTTGAACTTGACAGAGATGATTTGGGGTATCTGGTGGAAGAAATTTCTAAGCAGCAAAGCATTCAAGAGGAAGCACAGCATAAAAGTTTGGAAAATTTGAAGGCTGATGATACAATAGAAAAGAAAAACCCATTTTCTGGGAAGGAATTCAAGCCAGTTGCAGACATTTGCATAAGTAATGAGGAGTCCAATGTTAATCACCAAAACAATGAGAAAAATGTCTCCAGGGCATGCCAGAGGCCTTCATGGCAACCCCTCCCATCACAGGACCTGAAGCCTAAAAGGAAAAAATGGTTTCCTAGGCCAGATCTAGGGCCCCTGCTGTGTGCAGCCTAGAAACTTGGTGCCCTACACCACAGCTGCTCCAGCCATGGCTAAAAGGGGTCAAGGTACATACAGCTCAGGTGGTGGTTTCAGAGGGTGCAAGACCCAAGCCTTGGCAGTTTCCATGTAATGTTGAGCCTGCAGGTACACAGAAGTCAAGAATTGAGGTGTGAGAACCTCTGCCTAGATTTCAGAGGATGTATGGAAACACTTGTATGTCCAGGCAGATGTTTGCTGCAGGGGCAGGGCACTCATGGAGAACCTCTGCTAGGGCAGTACAGAAGGGAAATGTGGGGTTTGAGCCCCCAAACAGAGTGCCCACTGGGACACTGCCTAGTGGAGCTGTGAGAAGAGGGCCACCATCCTCCAGAACTCAGAATGGTAGGTCCACCTATAGCTTGCACTGTGCACCTAGAAAAGTCACAGACACTCAACATCAGCACATGAAAGCAGCCAGGAGTGGGGCTGTACCTTGCAAAGCCACAGGGGCAAAGCTGCCCAAGACCATGAGAACCCACCTCTTGCATCACTGTGACCTAGATGTGAGACATGGAGTCAAAGGAGATCATTTTGGAGCTTTAAGATTTGACTGCCTCACTGGATTTCACACTTGCATGGGGTCTGTAGCCCTTTGTTTTGACAAATATCTTTCATTTGGAACGGCTGTATTTACCCAATGCCTGAACCCCCATTGTATCTAGGAAGTAACCAACTTGCTTTTGATTTTACAGGCTCATAGGCAGAAGGGACTTGCTTTGTCTCAGATGAGGCTTTGGGCTGTGGAATTTTAAGTTAATGCTGAAATTAGTTAAGACTTTAAGGGACTGTTGGGGAGGCATGATTGGTTTCAAAATGTGATGACATGATATTTGGGAGGGGCCGGGGTGGAATGATATGGTTTGGCTATGTCCCCACCCAAATCTTATCTTGAATTGTAGCTCCCCAAATCCCCAAGTATCATGGGAGGGACCTGGTGAGAGGTAATTGAATCATGGGGGCGGGTCTTTCCCATGCTGTTCTTGTGATAGTGAATAAGTCTCACAAGATCTGATGGTTTTATAAAGGGGAGTTCCCCTACACAATGCTCTCTTGCCTACCATCATGTAAGACGTGACTTTTTTTCTCATTGCCTTCTGCCATGATTGTGAGGCCTCCCCAGCCATGGGGACTGTGAGTCAATTAAACCTCTTTCCTTTATAAATTACCCAGTCTCAAGTATATCTTTATTAGCAACTTGAGAACAGACTAATACACACTATCAAGTAGGCTTTATTCCTGGGATGCAAGTTTGGTTCAACATATGAAAATCAAAAAATGTGATTCATCACATAAACAGAACTAAAAACAAAAACCACATGAGCATCTCAATAGATGCAGAAAAGGCTTTTGACAAGATTCAACATCCCTTTCATCCCTTTGTGTTAAAAACCCTCAACGAACTAGACATCAAAGGAACACACCTCAAAATAACAAGAGCCAATAATGGCAACCACGGCAACATCATCTTGAATGGGCAAAAGCTGGAAACATTCCTCTTGAGAACTGGAACAAGACAAAGATGTCTACTTTCACCACTAATATTCAACATAGTACTGTAATTTCTAGCCAGAGCAATCAGGGCAGAGAAAGAAATAAAAGGCATCCAAATACAAAGAGAAGAAGTTAAAGTACCTCTTAGCAGACAATATGATTCTATACCTAGAAAACCCCACAGTCTCTGCCCAAAGGCTTGTAGAACTGATAAACAACTTAAGTAAAGTTTCGAAATCAAATGCACACAAATCAGCAGCATTTCTGTACACCAATAATGTCCAAGCTGAGAGCCAAATCAGGAATGCAATCCTATTCACAATAGCCCCCCAAAATAATAAAATACCTACAACTATAGCTAACCAGTATGATGAAAGAGCTCTACCAGAAGAATTACAAAACATTGCTGAAATAAATCAGAGATGACACAAATAAATGGAAAAACATTCCATGCTCATGGATAGGAAAAATGAATATTGTTAGAATAGCCATACTGCCCAAAGCAATTCACCAATTTGGTGCTATTCCTATCAAACTACCAGCGTAATTTTGTCATAGAATTTATACAAAATTATTCTAAAATTCATATGGAACTAAAAAGAGCCCAAATAGCCAAAGCAATCCTATGCAAAAGGAACAAAGCTGAAGCCATCACATTACCTGACTTCAAAGTATACTACAAGGCTGCAGTAACCAAAAAAATATGATATTGGTACAAAAACAGACACATAGACCAATGTAATAGGTCAGATAACCCAGAAGTAAAGCCACACACCTACAACCATCGGATGTTTGATAATGTTGACAAAAAACAAGCAATGGGGAAAGGACTCCCTATTAAGCAAATGATGCTGGGATAGCTGGCTAGCCATACACAGAAGATTGAAACTAGACCTCTTTGTTTCATCATATACAAAAATCTAGTTAAAATGGGTTAAAGACTTAAATACAAGACCTAGAATTATAAAAACCATTGAAAAAAAACCTAGGAAATACCACTGTGGACACAGACCTTGGCAAAGATTTCATGATGAAATCTCCAACATCAACTGCAACAAAAACAAAAATAGACAAGAGGGACCTAATTAAACTAAAGAGCTTCTGCACAGAAAAATAAACTAATACAGTAAACATAAAACCTACAAAATGGGAGAAAATACTTGCAAACTATGCATCTGATAAGGGTCTAATATCCAAAATCTATAAGGAACTGAAGCAAATCAACAAGCAATAAACAAGGAACCCCATTAAAAATGGGAAAAGGACACAAACAGATTTTTCTCAAAAGAAGACATACACACGGTCAACAAGCTATGAAAAATACTCAACATCATTAATCATTAGAGACATACAAATGAAAACCACAATGAGATACCATCTCCCACCACCAGTCAGAATGGCTATTACTGAAAAGGCAAAAAATTAACAGATGTTGGCAAGGCTGTGGAGAAAGAAGAATGCTTATTTACTTCTGGTAATGTAAATGAGTTCAGCCACTGTGGAAAGCAGTTTAGAGATATATCAAAGAACTTAAAACAGAACTACATTTGACCTTGCAATCCCATTACTTGGTGTATACTGAAAGGAATATAAATTTTCCACCAAAAAGACACATGCACCCATATATTTATCACAGCATTATTCACAATAGGGAAGACATAGTATCAACCTAGATGTCCATCACTGGCGGACTGGATAAAGAAAATCTGGTATATATACACCATGGAATGCTATATAGTCATAAAAGAGAACAAAATCATAACCTTTGGAGTAACATGGATGTAGCTGGAGGCCATAATACTACCTGAATTAACATAGGAACAGAAAACCAAATACCACGTAAGTGGGGGCTAAATATTGAGTATATGTGGACACAAAGAACAGAACAATAGCCACTGGGGCCTGCTTGAGGAAAGAGGATGGGAGAAAGGTGAGAGCTGAAAAACTTCCTCTCAGGTACTATACCTACTACCTGAATGACTAAATCATTTGTACAAAAAACCCCAATGACATGCAATTTACTCATGCAACAAACCTGAATGTGTACCCTCTGAACCTAAAGTAACAGCTGAAATAAAAAGAAAAAGAAAACATTCTGAGATAATGACTACATATCAAACTTGGACTCACTTTTATACAAGTTTGTACTCACTTGGGCTCACTTTTATACAAGCCAACAGTGAACAAGGCAAAAGAAGACAAGGCCCTATTGCTATAATCAATACTACTGGGCAATTTGCTGAAAAATATTTGGTATTGAGTAGATCAAATAATTTGGTGGCTGGATTGTTTGAGGTTTTTTTCCAATTTTTTAACAAGTTGTGATGATTTTTCTGAAAACACAAGTCAATCATTATTTCACTAAGTTACTTCTACTCAGCTATCTACTTTTAAATGTTACTTTGGATAAAATCAGGCTTAGTCTATAGATCAACTGGCTTATATGGATCTTTCCAATGGGTTTGGCTTGATAATATATAGAGTTGTCTATTAACTTATACTATTTTTCAGGTCAAAAAATAAATTCTGAGATGCCTATAAGAGAATGAAAATTGGCACAGGTTGGCTTTGAAGACAAAAAGAAGAATCTTCTAGAGCTCTTGACTGGTAACAATCAGCTTATTAACCTAAACCTTTTCCTAATATTCCTCTTAAAAGTGTGAGTTTCACCCTAGAGAAGGAAGTTATATTTATATTGGACATGAGAGAAAATTCTTATATAAATTCTTGGCTGAACTAGGTCCACAGAAAAGAAAAAACATCTCAGGTATAAAAATAAAGTGTGGTGGTAGAAGTACACTCTGTACCGTAATAGCTATTTCACACTTTCAGAAAGTTGATTCCAGCATGGTTTCTAATTACAAGAGAGAGACATAAGCTAATTAGTTATTGAGTCTCTATGTTCTTCTTTAAGGAAAGCCATCGATCTTTACCCTCAGAAATTTATTTTTACACAGTCACATGTGCAAACTAGCAGGTGACAGACTACCTGTGTGGGGTGCTCTTTTCAGCTTTGGTCTTTGAAATGAAAATAATCCTACTTTTACTTACAGGGAGTTTTCAGTTTTCCAAATAGTTTAGAATATAGAAGAGCTCACCAAGTGAACCATATTTAATTATCCATAGCTGGTTACCTATGTAGCCCTTAAAGGAAATTAATATTAAGGCTTCAAAGACACATGGGATGTCTTTTAACTGTGCCCCTTTAAATCTTGGTGGCAAGAGTCCTGTGGCTTGAATTATGTGTATTATTACCTTCAAAATGCTGATACAATAAAAACCCAGATAAGAAGGTTTAAGAAGAAATATATTGGCCACAATAAGCTTGATAGGAGATTATACGTGCTTCAAAATTGAAGGTGCTTTAGTTTGAGTACAACTAATTTGGGACCTTGTGTGCTTCTAGTCCAAGGGTGTGTTTATTACGTTAAAAACAAGATAGATTAATATTTATACATTCTACAATTTGCAATTAAATAAAATGAAATTTTTTACACAGAATATTTTAATGCCTATAGGTTTTTAATCCTTTATTTCATTACATTACTAAAATTTCTGACTGACAAAACATATAGTAAGTGTTCATTGGGGCATCTGTGGAAGTAGAGTTATATTTGGGATCTGACTAATATACCTAATGACCAAGGCTGGATTGTACATGAGTCCAATTCCTTACCCTGGTTTTTGGCAGTGAGAAAAGGGAGGGAGACAAATCCCCCTAAAACACAGCTTGCCAAGCCTCCTCTTCCTGGTATCTTACTCTTGCTGCCTGCTGAGCTTTCTATGGCTGAGGGTAACTTTTCCCAGTAGGAGGAAACCCAGGATATTCTGCCATATCAGCAGCATGAGATTTCATGAGAATGCATCATTCACTAGAAAGACATTTCACACTCATGCCAGCAGTTGTACCATCTTTGCTACTCCCATAGAAGGCTCTGTTTACTTGTGTTATAACCCAGATTTGATTTTTCCATGTTTTTATTAGGGAAGTACATTAAAGAGAAGGAGTCTTGGTCTCTCGAACATGATTCTGACTGGTATTGACTCTCCTCCCTATTTGGCACTTTTTATTTAGCTGAGTGGTCTTAAATGGTAAACCAAAGGTCTTCCTGTTCCCCTTGCAGCACGAGATGGACATTGTGCCATAAAAGCCTTTTCAGCATTGTGCAAGGTTATCCCTGACATTCCTGGGACCAAAAAGATGGACAGTTCAGTCCCACAGATCTTCAAAAAACTTTATTGAAATAAAATTTTTAACCTGCTTCTCAGGCTTTCCCTAGCCTTTCAGATCTCCAAACCAAAGTTCCTTTGATTATTCCTACCTCAGTTTTTAATCAGATCAGCTTTATTAATCAAGGTCATAGTATGACTGAGAGGTAACATCATAATCTGAAAGATACAAATCATCTCCATAAAACATCCCAAATATATCCCATCTGAGGATACCACAAATCCTTTCCCTTCTTCTAGTTACTCTCTTATTCTCACATAGAAATTAACTAATACACTAATTAAGTGTCAGAAACTGGCAAAAGCATCTAACGTAGCATTTTCATAGCCAATTCTTTTCTTTCCAGCTTTTATTTTAGGTTCAGGGGTATATGTGCAGGTTTGTTACATGGGTAACTTGTGTGTCACAAGGGTTTCGTGTACAGATTATTTCACCACCCAGGTACTAAGCATAGCACCCAATAAGTAGTTTTTCGAGTTTCATCCTCCTCCCATCTTCCACCCTCAAGTGGTCCCTGGTGGCTATTTTTCATTCTTTGCATCCATGTGTTTACGGAGCAGTATTTAGATCCCACAAGTAAGAACATGTGGTATTTGGTTTTCTGTTCCTGCATTAATTCACTTAGGATGATGGCCTCCAGCTGCATCCACGTTGCTGCGAAGAACATGATTTTATTCATTTTATGGCTGCATAGTATTCCATGGTTCATACCCAAATTTTGATCTTTCTCCTACTCCAAATCTGCTGCAGCCATATCTTTCCCCACTAGGTAGATGATTATTCCTTCCTGTCAGTTGTTCACACCAAACCCCCCTTATTCCAGTCTTTCACATTGCACATCAATTCATCCTATTACTTTGCCTTTGATATACCAAACTCCAGCCACTGCACCTCATCCCCACTGCTACCACACTCGACAGAGCCTTCTACCTTGCTTCCTGTTGTCTACTCTACACACAAACTCAAGAATTACCCATTTAAAATACATCAAATCTATGATAAGCAACTTCCCATTCTCCACCCCCCAACTCTCCCACCCCTGGCCTCTAGTCACCACCATTCTACTCTCTACTTCAATGAGTTCAACTTTACTAGATTCCATATATAAGTGAGATCATGCAGTATTTGTCTCTTTGAGCCTGGCTTAGCATATTTCATTTAGCATAGTATCCTCCAGATTCATCCATTCATCCATGGTATGGCAAAAAGTAGGATGTCCCTTTTAAAGGCTGGACGGAGAGTCTGGGTCTCTTCTCGAACAACTGCAGCTGGGATGACTGAAGCCTTGAACATTTCTGTGAATACGTATATTCAGGGAAATGCTCTCTCTCTCTCTCTCTCTCTCTATATATATATATATATACACACATATATGATATATATACACATATATGATATATATACACACACACATAGAGCATTTATATATATACACACATATATAGCATTTATGTGTGTGTGTGTGTGTGTGTGTGTGTGTGTATCTCATTGTCTTTATCCATTCATACTACTGATGGACACATAGGTTGTTTCCATATCTTGGCTATTGTGAATAATGCTGCAATTAATATAGGAGTTCAGATACCTTTTCAGCATATTGCTTTAAGTTCCTCTGGATATATACCTAGTACTGAAATTATTGGGTCATATGGTAGTTCTATATTTAGTTATTTGAGGAAGTTGCTGATCAAAGGGTGCAAAGCTTCATATAAACAAGAAGACTAGATTTTAAGATTTAATGCATACCAGAGTTACTACAGTCAATAATTAGGTATTATATACTTCAAAATAACTAAGAGGTCAAATTTCAAATGGTTCACCATAAAAAATAAGTAAGCCAGATGATAGATATGGCTAATAATCTTGATTTAATGACGTGACATTGTACACGTATTTCAAAATATCACATTGAACTCTTTAAATATATACAAAAATAAATAAAATAAATAAAATGTCAAATCATGTCATCCCTTCACTCAGATTTCTCATATATCTCCCTACTTTATTAAAGTAAAATTCAAAAATCCCTATGGTTGCTTACAATATTCCTCAATACCTTCCAGACCTCAATTCCCCTACTCTTTCCCATCACTCTGGTTCAGCCACAATGGCCTCTTGTGTTCCTCTAACACCCTACATACCTCTATCTGGAAGGCTCACCCGAGCAAAACCTTTCCCAGAAAGCTAACTCTTCCAATCACTGTTTGAATGTCACTTTCTACTTGAAGCCTCCCATAGTGCTCTATTCAATACTGCAACCTGCCTCTAGATCTTCATCCTGGTGTCCTAATCCTCCTTATGCTATTCTGTTTTTCCATAGTACATACTTTATTTTGCTATACTTATTGTATGTTGTTTGTCACATCCCACTGGAACCTAAGCTCCAGAGTACAAGAATCTCAACTGTAAGCACATAGAACAATGCCTGATGCTGGTTGGGCGTGGTGGCTCATGCCGGTAATACCAGCACTTTGGAAGGCGGAGGTGGGAGGATCACCTGTGGTTGGGAGTTCAAGACCAGCCTGACTAACATGGAGAAACCCCATCTCTACTAAAAATACAAAATTAGCCAGGTGTGGTGGTGGGTGCCTGTAATCCCAGCTACTTGGGAGGCTGAGGCAGGAGAATCACTTGAACCCAGGAGGCGGAGGTTGCTGTGAGCCTAGATTGCACCATTGCACTCCAGTCTGGGCAACAAGAGTGAAACTCCGTCTCAAAAACAACAAAAAATAAAAATAAAAATAAAAAATAAAAAAATAATTCTTGACATAATGTAGGCATCCTCCAAATACCAGTTGAAAAGATTTTCTTATTACATGGCTCAGTCCCAGCTTGACGAGGGTCTGACCCCATTCCTGGATGGAGTCTGGGTCTCTTCTTGAACTGCAACTGGGATGACTGAAGCCTTGAACACTTCCATTTGAACTTATGATGGACTTCCCCAAATTGAGCACAATCTGTTCAGAGTTCCTGGGAGCTGTCAAAATACATACAAATAACACTCAAAAATTGGAAACACAGGCAAATCTCAGCATCACTAAACATGATCAGTTTAGCAGCCTGTAATTTGAGCATGGCTTTATTACCTTAAAATCTAGACCAAGATATCTCACATTTCTGTTTGAGGTCAATGAGAGATGATAGTCACATATGCAGAATGCTTCTATTTGTATGCATGAGATTATGTAGAGTTTTTTTTAACCTAGTATACTACTCTAACAAGTCTTTTCCTTTATTCTTGGAATTCAGTGTGGAACTGAGAAAAGTCTCTGTTCCAAACTCGTCTCTCTCCCATGAGCAGATTAATCCACATTTATAATGTGTGAGCCCCTAAATTCCAGGACCTTATATTCTCTATGATCTCAATCCTTAGCTTTTTCAGTATTTCTCTACCAAAATGCCAAGTCATATTGGTTCTGCCATTCCATAACTATAATGCTCAGAAATATTTTCAGCTTGTAATTTCCAATTACTAAAGAAGATCCTTCTGTTTATTTCCAGATTTGAGAAGAATCCTTCTCCATGGGCTTCACAGCTTGCTGTTCTACTCTTGCTTCCTTCTAAGTCCATTTCTTAAGGGACCATGAGAAAATTGCGACGTCAGCATGCTCGCTTAGACTCTGCTTTCCTCAGCTGTGAAATTCACTGGGCTGTGAGCAATGCTTCCAATTTTGATAATAGCATAAACATGCCTAGATGAACCTCCTTTCCACCTACATCAGGATGTGACCCTCATTTCTCTGTCCTGGTCCTCTCAAATGTTTCCTGATCTTTTCATCTGGGCTTTGTCAACTTCAAACCACTCAAGTCAGAGTAGGGAGAGCCCCATTTTCTGAATTTGTAAGTCTCCTGCCTCTCTACTTGCAGTTTCCCAGTCTCTGTATTGATTTCAACAATAATTTTTTATTGATTGTGTTCTTCCCTCAATTCCCAGAGTTCTCCTTTCAAAATCCAAACAACTCTCTGTTCACATGTAAGTAATCAGGCTCAGTAGTCAAGAAAGCTTACAGAGTTTCCTCTGGCTCTATTTAACTGTTTTGTTGTTGTTGTTTTGTTGTTGTTGTTGTTGTTGTTTCAGCATCAAGAAATTCCAAACATTTGTTGCCTTAAAGTCCATTTTGGACTATGAGCTGTAACAAATAAATTAACAATAAATAAGTGAGGAAAATCCCCTTTATAACAAAAGCTCCCTACGACTGACATTCTGGATTTCCAAATTTGGCTTCTCATAATAAATGCTGAAAAACATGCCTGCCCCACACCCCTGGCTAAAGGTCAGCAAAACAGAAAAGATAATCCAACACAGTAAAGACCATGCCAGTCAGGAAGTCCAAATATATGCACAATGGAACTTTGCTCATTTTGATGTGAGACCTTTCTGGCCTTTCAATATTTTAACTTGCCATCCTTCCCAAGACTGGATTCTTTCTCACTGCATGTGGGATGTTACCCAGCAGATATACAGGTGCTCCTTCAGAGTCTGTTCTGGCTCAGAAGATGGATTCCCATCCCTGCCAACTTGAGTGTTTTTTTCAGTGCAAGAGCCATGTTCCCTGCATGTAGAACATTAAATATGAAATGTATAGCTGTTCCTGTAGTGTGAAGTTCCCAAGAGTGTCTGCTTCTCAAATTGTAGTCCTCAGTGCCTGTCTTCACCATACCCTACAAATTATGGCAGACATTAGAGTCCCTGACTCTCCTATTAACAAACTCTTCTACAAATAATCCCCATGGGGACTGTGCAGAGGGCACACAGGCACAATGACCCTGTGCATTGCCACTCGTGTCTTTGACCCAAACACCAATGGGCTTAGCAAGCTTAATTGGACTATGAGTGGACCACAAGAATTTCTTGACCCATCAAGTTTAAAGCCTAGAGGAGAAATAGGCCAAGTAATCACTTCAACCCTCTCCCACTAGATCTCGTGGGCGTAGCTAGCCTTCTGGATCCAATTATTCTGACAATGAGAGAGATATACCAGTGTAGAGCCAAAATTATTATAAATGAATCAAATTAGGCAGTTATTTGGAGCCTCACCATGAAAGAATAAAGCTAGATTTCAGATCTAGAGTAAAATAACTACCAACATCTTCAATAACGCAGATTGTCATCCCTGAACATGTTTTTACTCCACTCCTCAAGTGGAGTTTATGTTAATTATGCAATAAATATGCATACTTGCTGCAAATTGAGGGTTGAAATGGATTTGAGACCTTACCAAATAAAACAGGCCAAATAAAAACATTCTGTATACTACGTAAAATATAAAATGTGCAATAATACAGGAAACAATTAAAAAATTAAATTTTCACTTTTGTGAAAGTTGGTATCTAACTAACATTTAGCCCAACTGAACCCTGTTTTCGTTTGGAATTCCATGTTGCTTCAATTAGCAGAAAACCCAGCTAATCGTTGCTTACAGATAAATAATTTTATTGGTCTCACATAACAAAAAGTGAAAGAGGAGGAGGCCCAGCATTGCACAGCTCTTCTAGAATGTTCTGCTATCACATGCTCATTCTTCTTTTTGCTTAGCTGTCATCATCAGTACCTGGCTTTCACCCATGGGTGACAGAGGGCTAATGTATTCCTTGGCATAGTGTCTATGTTGCAGGGGGATGGGGGAGACAGGTAAAGATCTGTGGGTAGAGAAGAACACCAACAGGGTCTGTTCCTTTTTAAAAATTTAACCTAAGCACCACCCAGCAGCCTCTGCTTCCATCTCCCTGGTCAGAACTGGGTCAACTAACTGCTCAGGGCTGGAGGAAAATGAGGAGTTAACTGTGTTTAGCTTTCTTGTCATTAGCAGAGGAAGGCACGAAGTAAAGGGTTTATGAATAGCTTTAGCCAAACTGCAAACTTCAATCAACCACTTAGAGCTCAGATATTCACTGACGAAGCACAAGTATCTCTCTCTGTCACACACACACACACACACACACACACAGACACAAACACACAGCTTTTCTATTTGTAACGATCATCAGAATTCAGTGACCAAGATTTACTAGTCGAGTATAAAAAGTCAGTTACCACTGGCTGATAAATGATAAATATAAAGTGAGTCTATGAGAAACAGGCAACATGACAGAGGCAGAAAATTCCAATTACCTCACATACAAGAAATGAAAACTTTGAAATAATGTACTTGCATTCCTTGCATCTAGAGGCTGACTATGCCTAATATCTCTGATACCTGTGGTATGGAAAAGAAAATTCCCAAACTGTGGGGTTCAATGATGCCAGTAATCTTCCAAAAAGTAAACTTGGGAACCACTATAGGGTTGCCACCTGTTGATTTTGCCAAGATAGGACATACTACCTTCTATCACCATAATCACATAAAGAAAAGGCCAATTTGACTGACACTGCGTTGTTCTTATTTTTTCCTATTTCTCACAGTACTGGAAAGAAATGTGTAAATGACTGGCCTAGGATCTAATTGCTTTAAGTTTCTCTCCCACATTCTGCCTTCTTTCTTATACACACCAAACTGGTGCCCACTAGTTTTTTGAAGGCCAGAGGTTCACTACATTGTAGGCTCTTTTAAAAGACAAGCATTCCAAGGGTTTCAAGAAAGAAAAATAATATTTTAAGGCACTTTATATCATAGAGATTTTATTTTTTATTATTAGAGCCTTCCTTTGTCAACCAGGCTGAAGTGCAATGGTGCGATCATAGCTCACAGCAGCCTCATACTCCTGGGCTCAAGCGATCCTCCTGCCCCAGCCTCCCAAGTAGCTGAAACTACAAATATGAGCCACCACCCTCTGCTATTTTTTTTTTTTTTTGTAGGTATGGGGTTTCATTGTGTTGCATAGGCTGGTTTCAAACTCCTGGCCTCATGCAATCCTCCTGTCTTAGCCTCCCAAAGTGCTGAGATTACAAGTGTGAGCCACTGAGCCCAGCCTCAAAGAGATTTTTAAGCTTTTGGCCTCACTCTCAGTTCTACCTCTGATCCATCATCAGCCATCTATCTAAAAAGTAAAGTAGAGGGACTAAGCCACAGTCCCCATAGTGTTGGTCTGGAAATAGATACTATATTATTCAAATTAGTACTGCTGTAGGGCAATGTCTCATCAAAATTGTTCTGCAGTGTTTGATGGATCCATTGAGGTTCCTGAAAGATTTCTGTGCCAAATAGAGTAAAGTTAACACTTAATAGCAGGTCTGCCCCTCTGGTACCTCCACCTTCAACCACATCAGGATGGCTTTGTCTCTTTTATCAGTTAATATTCCTCATAAGATTTTGTTTGTAAAGATGGTTTTACTGTTGTAAAATAACAACAATAATAATTCTGAAAAACAATCATATAAAGTTCCTCAATCAGTCACTATTTTCTCCTGATGTGAATTGAATACAACTCTGTGTATCATTTTACGCTTAAATGAAATTTTGTTTTTTATTTTGGATTCAGAGGGTTCATGTGCAAGGTTGTTACATGGATATACTTAATGATGCTGGTGTTTGGGGTATGGATGGTCCTGTCACTGAGGTGTTGAGCATAGTACCCTATAGGTAGTTTTTCAGCCCATGCCCCCCTCCTCCCCCCCCAACTAGAGTGGTCCCCAGTGTCTATTGTTTGCAGCTTTATGTCTGTGTGCATTCAATGTTTAGCTCCCACTTATGAGTAAGAACAAATTTATGGCTAAGTCCCCAAAAGCAATTGCAAGAAAAACAAAAATTGATGAGCGGTACCTAATTAAATTAAAAAGCTTTTGCAAAGCAAAAGAAATTCAACAGGGTAAACAGATAACTAAGAGTCGGGGAAAAATTCGCAAACTATGCATCTGACACAGGTCTAACATCCAGAATCTACGAGGAACTTAAACAAATCAACAAGCAAAAAACAAATAATCCAAATAAAAAATGGACAAAGGACATGAACAGTCACTTCTCAAAAGAAGATGTACAAATGGACAACAAACATGAAAAATTGTTCAACGTCAGTAATCACCATAGAAATGCACATTAGAATCACAATTAGACAACATCTCACACTAGTCAGAATGGCTATTATTAAAAAGGCAGACGCTGATGAGGCTGTGGAGAAAAGACAATGCTTACACACTGTTGGTGAGAATGCAAATCAGTTTAGCCACTGTGGAAAGCAATTTGGAGATTTCTCAGAGAATTTAGAACAGAGCTTCCATTTGACCCAGCAATCCTATTACTGAGTATATACCCAAGTGAAAATAAATAATTCAACCAAAAAGACACATGCACTCATATGTTCATTGCAGCACTATTCACAATAGCAAATACATGAAATCAAACTAAGCATTCATTAATGGTGGATTGGATAAAGAAAATGTGATACATACCTGCCATAGAATACTATGCAGCCTTAAAAAAGGAAGAAAATTATGTCCTTTGCAGCAATGTGGATGCAGCTAGAGGCCAATATCCTAAGCATATTAATGCAAGAGCAGAAAATTAAATGAATTTTTAAACATAGAATTATAAAGCCACATTTTGAAAATCTTACACATTAAAAACAAATTTTTTACAATAAAAATGAGAGTATTTGTCACATAAATGTAGAAATTTCTAATAAAGACAAAAAACACTCAGAATTTGTTTTCTCACAAGAAAATATTTTATATCTTAAAGCAAGGAAAAATTAAGGCTCTATACACAGAAGAAATAAGTTCTATTGTTCAATAGCACAGCAGGGCAATTATAGTTAACAACAATGTATTTTACAATTCAAGGTGGCTAGAAGAGATTTGAAATGTTCCCAACACAAAGAAATGCTAAATGCTTGAGGTCATGGATATCCTAATTATCCTGACTTGATCATTATACATTCTACGCATGTATCAAAATATCACATATACCCCATCAATATGTATAAATACTATGTATCAATTAAATATCTTATACATTTTTGGGGTAAAATAAAAATCTGTCTCTGAGTAGACAGAGCTAATGTAACAACAATTTAGCTACATGGTTGAAAATTTGCCCAATGTATGGTGAAAACGTAGGAGCATAAGGCCAATGGGAAGAGACAAAGACATAAAATTGTTGGTGACACCCTCCGGCATCACACCTATATGTCCTTCAGCTACTGGCCACGCCTACTCTTCCACATTGCTTCCATTCTCTTCAAGGGCCATGACTACTCAACGTCTTAACTTGCTTGTTTAGTCATCCTTATCATTCATCTCCCTGTAACCCAAATTTGAATCTCCTTGTGTGTTTCCTCCTGAATGGTATCCTGGTGCCCACACTAGACACATGAAAACCTCAATTTCTCAAATTCTCTCACTCACTGGTTTATGCTTTGATCAAAGTTATTTCCTGAGCACTTATGTTAGATGGGAGACACACAGATAAAAGAGAATCTAATCTGTAACTTCTAGAGCTTCACAATCAATTTTATAACACAATTGAGACAAGGTACTACCAGAGCACAAAGGGAAAATTTCTTACCTCTATCAAAAAGGCTATGTGGGGCCAGGTGTAGATTACAGCTCATGCCTGTAATCCCAGCACTTTGGGAGGCCAAGGCAGGTGGATCACCGTATGTCAGAAGTTCAAGACCAGCCTGGCAAACAGGGTGAAAACATGCCTCTACAAAAATACAAAAAATTATCCAGGCATGATGGTGGATGCCTGTAATCCCAGCTACTGTGGAGGCTGAGGCAGAAGAATCGCTTGAAACCGGGAGGTGGAGGTTGCAGTGAGCCGAGATCATGCCATTGCACTCTAGACTAGGCAACAGAGTCAGACTCCATCTCAATTAAAAAAAAAAAAAAGCTACGTGGAAGAGAAGACATTTATGTTCATTCTAGAATGAAGAGTTCAACCCATAGACCAGGGGACACCTGCCATTATTGACAGAGGGGAGTATGTGGGAAGTGCATGGAACCATAAAACAGCATGAGACATTGAGGAAAACCACAAGTATATCTGCTTGAGTTTCACAAGAGTCGTAGCCGTGAAGAAGTGGCAGAGGAGGTGGTGAAGGAGAGCAGGAAAGGTCTTGGGTACCATGGTAGGGAATATGCATGCAATCTTATAGGGATTGAAGAGTTTTTAATAATTTTTCTTTAGTAATAAAGTAATTGATAAGGTGTGCTTTATAAAAATCAGTCTGGCTGTGGTCTGGAGAGTTGGCTATAGAGACCAGGGCTGGGAAAACAATTAGAGGGTTACTAAAGTAATCCAGGAGAGAAATAATGAGGGCCTAAATCAAGGCAGTGGGAATGTAAAACCATTCTGAATTGCAAGAGGGAAAGTTATTAGGTGGCTTATCATAATTTATATGCAACTGGTGCACCCAATCCTCCCCTTCGAACACTTCACCACTGAGCACTGCAGGAGAGAACAGTCATCATTGAGCAGAGATTTAAGAATAGAAATTGATCTGACGACCTACATTCCTCTAAAATTGCAACACAGAACGTCTACATCTTCCCACCACCAAATCTGCAAACTCCCTAACTCTGCAGACTCTAACTGACTTTTCTCGGGTATTAATGGAGAAAATGCCTCAGCTGCTGCAAAAGCAAATCCCTCAACCCATGCTCTGGATCCAACCCTCTCTGAGCAGACCATGGACTTCTATGGCAATTTCTTTCACAACTGCATCCTCTGTCTTTTCCGATCTACTGGACCATTCTGTTTAGTCTATGAGTGTGCTGTAAAATCTCCTTTAAAAAAATATTTTTCCAGCAGATAGAGCATGGGGTTAAAAATAAAATAAACATAAATATTTTACTCTAGATCCCCCACCAAGTATGTCAATGCTCTACTCTTCTTCTACCAAAGTCTTCTTTAAAAAAGATGGTTACATTATTTTCTCTAATTCGTCTCACATTTATTTCTTAAAATTATAAAATAGTCCAGTATGTAAGAACTGATGTTTTACCATCATGTGGCTCCACAACCTCTTGGATTTCACTAGTCTCAATTGTTTAAGCATGTTATATACTCTAATATCTCCATGTTTTTGTTCGTTTTGTTACACCAGTATAGAATGCCTTCCCAATCTCTTCCCATGAAAATGTCAATCATTCAAAGTACAGTTTGGAAACCAACCATTCCATAAAGTCTTTCTCAGTTTCTTCAATGAGACTGATAAATTTTCTCTGTCCTCATTACTTGTATCTCTATTATTATGCCCTGGTCTATTCTGCCTGGAATTATAGTTTACAATTCAAAGCTCAAGGTCATCATTTTTAATTTATAATTCAGGGTCAGGTGTCTGACATCCACAATAAATTGCAAGCTTTGTAAAAGAAGGACCCTTGTCTTACATTCATTTCCCTCAGAATATAGCACTATACCCAGTTATAAAAATGCTTGCTTACTTAAATAATTGATTGATTAATTAATTTAGGAGTAGATAAATTGAAAGATGAAGATGCATACATTATTAACTTTTTAATACTCAAACTTTTGGATTTCATAACATTTGTTATTTTATATTAAAATTTGAGTCTTCAAATGTTCCTAGATACTCAATACTGCCAAAAACCTGATCAAAATTCATCAAGTCCTTATTACCCAGAGTATTATCTGCTAATAATGAGCATAGAAAGAGAAGCTGAGTATAAAATGTTCTTTCATAGGGGAAAAGAGAGAAAGACAGACTTACCTGCAAATAACCAACTAATTTCCTATCTCCAAGCTGTAAATTTATGGTTTTAAATCCAGTCCAGGCACCAGTGTACAAACGTAATAATTAATCCAGTCAACTCATTCCTATCTTGCGTGCTATTTCCTCTGCTTGGAACACTCGGCAACTTTATGGCAGCCCCTTAAGATCTCAAAAAAAAAATTACTTCCTCTGGAATACCATGACATGAAACAACCTCAACTAGGCTTTTTAGCTCTTTCTCGTGTAACAAACTGTTTTTCATGTGTGTTCACATGGAATTTAAACATAATATTTATTTCTCAAGATCAATTTTAGTCATTTTTATTCAATCCACCACAAATAATCAAAACTCCTTGAGTATACATTAAACATTTCATACAAGATTGTCCTTAACCTCAAAAACATATAGCTTAGTGTCAGAGATAGACATTTGCCAGGCAACAGACTGTAATAAGTGGCATATGCTATTTCTTCTGCTTGGAACACTCTTTCTCCTATCTTATGGCAGTCTCTTAAGATCTCAAATAAACATTACTTTCTCTGGAAAATCACGACATGCAACTATCTTGTCCTAGCAGTTCAAGTTGGCTTTTTAGCTCTTTCTCATGTAACAAACTTTTTTCATCTATGTTGACATGGAATTGTCTCTTAGAAGTCGTGGTACATTAAAACATAGGCCATTCTATTGCCAGAAATTAATCACAAAAGTGATAACAGAAAGAGAATAAAAACATCAAATTGTCTCCATTCTTTATGTCATACATTACATCATGCGAATTTTTGTGTTTGTGCCACTTAGTAATATATCTGTTAGAGAACAGATGGAAGGCATAGAGGTTTTAAACAGCAGGAGCGGTGATTTAATCAGATTTGTACATTAGAAAAATCACTTGTCCTGGATTGTACGCAAAGATCCATTTGGAAGCAAATTCTATAATCTCAGTGAGAAATGAAGGGGATATTTGAAGATTTAAAAAAAAAATGTTGCAAAATTTGAGAGCTATGCATAGTGCTGAATCCATACAACATAGATGATTGACTGGAGGTTGGGAGTTATGAAACAAGAAAAGGCAAAGATGACAGACATCTAGGTTTCTAAGTTCAGGACACTAGGACTAGTAAGGCCCCTCAGTGAGTGAAAATTTAAAAAAACAAACAAAAAAAACCATGTAACTTGAGAGAGAACATAATGAACTCTTTCAGAAAGGGTTTATGTTAGATCTGACACTGAATATGGGCTGATGAATTTATGAACTTGGTAATAATGTGGCATATTGTCAACACCCCAATCTTCTATTGGTAATGAACAGACAGTCCTGAACCCTTTGCGATATGAGCTCTTTAGAGACCTTGATGAAAACTGTGGAGTTAAGTCACCAGCAAAAATTATTATGAGCCACACAACTTAATAAATTCACCAGTTCCCTACATGCTGGACCACTGGATTCTACTTGATGATTCCCTGTTCAAGTAATTAGATGTGTTGACATTAATCCAAGCTGGATTCCCTCCTAACAAGAGGATAAATGTCAATGAATCATGAATAAAGAATATGGAAGAATAAAGGTTAAAAGAGTGAGTGAATTAACCCATTCAGCCTAATAGTTTTTTTACCTAATGAAATAATTTTTAAAACACTACAAATGTTCAAACTTATGCTTTTCCTTCATTTACCTCATTTTTGTTCATCTTGTATATTTTTGGTAATACCTTATTTATGATGAGATTTTGATTCAAGGCTTTTTTATAAAAATAAGATTTGCCCACATGCATCTTTGGAAGTGAATATACAATTCTGTTTTCAGGCTTAATCACCACCAGGCTTTCCTCCTCCCTGAAGAAAGCATTTGAAAAGTCTGTGAAATGACCATATATTTATTGAAGGGATTGAAGGGTTACACAAGGGTGAAGAAGGTGCTAGCAAACAAGCTAATTAATTCTCTTGATTTGAATATGAATGCTAAGGTTATAGTCACTAGGACTTAACTCTACAAAAATTCAGCACCTTATTTACCATATTAAATCCTCCCAACTAATTACTGTATAAATAAAACAACCGCTTTTTCACATTCACGATCTGGATACCAACCAAAGCACAGCATTATAATAATTTTGAATTGTACATTTAGGGCAAAAACAATCTTGGAAGAATAATACAGTTAAAAAAATGCAAACCAGTCTCAAATAATTCTCTGCTTTTCATACAAAGTCAACAATACTGAGGCATGTTCAAGTAAAATTCATATGAAGCAGGTATTGGTAATCAGGTCATCAAACAAGTAATGTGGACAGTGAGAATGTAGTGTCTGTAGAGCCAAAGACATCAGAGGCAGCTCAGTTCAATATCTTCTAAACCAGCTCACAGATGGAAGCTTTAATGATCAAATCAATGTGTTGGAGAAAAAGCATCCAGTTTTTAAATTATAGCTTTATTCAACATATTTACAATGCTTTTCCTTTCCTGTACATACACCACCATGATGACATATCACAATGATTTCATCAGGAAAAAAAAATGTTCAAATCCTTTGTGAATTTCTATGTAAGGAATGTAAGGAAAAATGAAAATATAGCCATTTTGTTTGCATAGCTATTTCATGTTCTTTTGAATGATCTATAAGGGAGTTGCTATTTATATTTCTGCTCTTTTTTCTTTTTACAAAAGAAATTGCTCATCTATAATTACAGTTATATGGTACAGGGTTTTCTTATTGAATTTTCCTTTTCAATGGAATTGATTTCTTTATTGACTCTGGAAGTGAAAACTAGTAAGTAGAATCTGGCATAAAAAGAATATTTGGCCATATGCTTATATCATTTGCTATAATCTGAACTCAACTAGAATACTAATTGCTTTTGGCTTCTCACACAAATGAAAGGGCACATTTACCAATGGAAAAGTCACTGACTTTTCCAAACAGGTATATAAATCCACTCTGAGATTTACTTGAATCTTTAACTGAAGAAATTATGCAAAGGAAAAACCAAATAAGTGATATGAGCTTGGCACAGTTAGCAACATTCTGGCTTAAAGAGAATTAGCATATAGTACAAGAAACTAGATACAGCATCATTCCCGTCTGCTTTTGTCATATGGCTCAGGAATGAAGACAATGAATGATTATGACTGGAATGCTAGTTGGCTAAAAAAATAAACTCAGGGAGTCCAAATAACTGTACATTTCTGGACACTTCAAATTTGCCAAGATTTCTAACAAATATGCATGTTTGATCATAAGAAAGGCTGTTTTGGAAACTGTTGATGACTCAATTTGTCTCTATAATCACTATGAGAAAAATCAAAGGCACCACCTGTGCAATATGGAATTTGGAGGACTGTTGTCATGTCCAACAAACAACATGTTCAACCTGGTGAAAGCTGACTCCTTTCCTGGCTTAAAATTAGTCTGGTGTGCTCGTCTAGTTGGCACTACTTACTGTTTCCTGAGATGGGTGATGATAAGCCTATTTGTAATCATGTGAATTCTTTCCTGCATTTTGACAGGCATACTTTGAGTTATTTGAGGCGATGAGGGTAATGATTTACCAGTGACATTTTACTGTCTGTTAAAGGAAAAAATGGCACCACACTTACATGATCCAGACATGAAAAAGGTTCAGCCTGTTGAAGACTGTGACAAAAAAAGTCTCATAATAAATTAAAAAGTAAGCTGTGATGCATTATATTTTGACTGTACATTACAAGTACTAGTACTGTTATTACTATGTGGTATTTTTTGTCTTTCTGTAATTCTGAGACACTTCAACCTGCAATGTCATGTTTTTCTTGTTATGATAGTTATTAGCAAGTATTAGAAATTTCATTTAGTGTTTTGATATGAAGCCATAGCACATAAATTTTGTTTCAAAAGCCCTTTTCATCAGAAAGATTAAAGCCAATTTCAAGCAGATATGTCTCTACTTAAAAACACAGACAAATTTCTCTTTCAAAAAATAAAAACTATGGTAAAATTTCATAAGAGGTGCAAGTTAGGTGAAAAAAAAATGGAAGAAAATATGTTTTACTGAGCCAAAGACGCTTTGTGTTTGTTGTGTTATATTGAGGGATGTTCTAAATTCACCTGTAACTGTTC
The DNA here is from genome assembly GCF_000001405.40 of Homo sapiens. Classification (NCBI taxonomy): domain Eukaryota; kingdom Metazoa; phylum Chordata; class Mammalia; order Primates; family Hominidae; genus Homo; species Homo sapiens. The sequence goes on from NC_000018.10 coordinate 61,200,279, forward strand.
TTGTTGATTTAGTTGATGACTCTGAAAATGGGCAAGAACTATGATTCTTGTTCTACTAAAAGCATGAATAAATATTAATAAACAGCAATCCCAGGTGAAATCGGTACTCAGATAATTCATTCCCTCTGAAAGGCTGCTCCTTGTCAATGTTAATTCTGAGGGCAAAGGTGTGTTTTAAAAGCAATACAAACACATATCCCTCTCAAAAATATTCTACTTGGAAGGTGTTAGTACAGTAAGATCTAATTATTCCTGGTAGCCATGGTCCCTTACAGCACAAGATAAAATAAAACTAATATAATAACTTTTTCCTGCCAGAATTTTAGAAAACATTGTGTTCACTTGAACTCCACTATACCAAGAAGTTTTATCTGGGTGCAACCTGGAGCAGGAAAATGAGCCCTTCACTAAAAATGTATGAGATGCAATATTACATTGTCTTCTTAATTCTCTCTTCAGTTGATTCCATGATCTAGACTCTCAGAAAATAAAAGGATCATGAAATAAACTCCTCATGTCACCATGTTAATGTATATTTTGATATTCCCTGATTTCCAGTATGCCAAAATATTAAGGTTGTACTTGAAAAAAGCCCATGTTTTCTAAACTTGTGTATTGGTCAAGTAAGATTCACATGGGAAGGATGTTAAAAAATGAAAGTTACATTTTAAAAAGAAATTTTGAGACAATGAGTGACAGAACCAGCTAGAAAGAGTTTGCAGTTGTATGGGCATCCTAGGCTATTTCACTATGATAGGAAATATCAGGTGATTAGCAAAGTCAGAACAGATGCTAAGCACTCATATGATTTTTGCCTTTCTGTGTAAATGCCAATTTATTTTATTTTATTTTATTTACTTTTTTGAGATGGAGTCTCACTTTGTTGCCCAGACTGGAGTGCAGTGGTGCAATCTCATCCCACTGCAACCTCCACCTCCTGGGTTCAAGCGATTCTCCTGCTTCAGCCTCCCAAGTAGCTGGGATTACAGATGCGTGCCACCACGTCCGGTTAAATTTTGTATTTTTCGTGGAGACGGGACTTCATGTTGGCCAGGCTGGTCTCAAACTCTTGACCTCAAGTGATCCACCCACCTCAGCCTCTCAAAGCGCTGGGATTACAGGCATGAGCCGCCATGCCCGGCCTGCCAATTTATTTTAAATATGAAATCTCCTTTTGGCCTCTGCATAATGAGACTTATACTGCTTTATTTCCATTCCTTTACATTGGTGGAATCTAGGCCATGCAAGGAGGGAAAAGGAGGAAATGAAGAGGGAAAGGAAGGAGAAGGCTGTATGAATGGCATATCTCCACAGTCCTAGAAGTTCTCAATTCTTTCAGGGATCCTTGAACGGAACAGAAGAGATTATAAGAGACTACACAGATGTTCCACTGAGACCAAAAACTTTCTACAGGCTCTCAAGAAGTGGAAAAAAGCCTGGCATGAATCCCACTGCATTCCAGCCATGACTTTGTTATTTAATTATTTCTCAGGATGGAAAAGGCATAGATTCAGAATCACACAACTCTGTACTAGAGATCATCCAAATGTTTTAGAACAGAAAAATCATCATCTTTGAAAAGTAGTCACATTATTATTACAAAATATTTTAGAAAACAGTTACGGTATGAAATCACTTAGGTATCATTTGACTGTAACTCTCTTCATTCCTGAGCCAAATGTGGCAAATAGTATTAACAATTTTATTTGAATTTTGAGCTTGCCAGTTAACGACTGTCCATTTATGCCCCCAGATGCTCCATTGCTCAATTCATAAGAAGGCCACATTCTGCATTTGCTTTGAGGTTTGCTAATACAAAACTGTAAGAGCTCCTCTCGGAATTCTGGGGGCTCCATATGCCCTGAAGCTTAAACAAGCCAATTCCTAAACTCAGTTAATAAGCAGACAGCAACATTCCATCGGCAGAAACAACAGTCAGGTTTTAGATACCAGGAAAAAGGTCCTGAATCTTCCCTTTACCTGGGAAAAAAAAATGTGCATGAAGGAAAAAATTCATTAAAAGCATTCTCTGGCTCAACCTGAACATCTCCAAATTAAAATAACATGAATCCTCTATCTTTTCACTGATTGAATTACTCTGATTTGTACAGCCATTTATTAAATTAGAGGAGCATGCAATGCTATATATATTTTGGGTACAGAAACATGAAGATGAGAGTTCACAGGTCAATCCAACTTTTTAACCAATTTTTAATTTAGACTTTGCAATTGCATAACAGTTCTCATCATTTTCAGATTTTCAAAGTTGCCCTCGAACTGCCTTTCAGATAATCTCTAGATTTTTGTTGACTGCTTCCTTTTTTCTTTGTTTTTTTTTTTAAACAAACCATATTTATTTACATTTTGCTTCCAAAGGGGCAAACTTTTGCAATCTATCCATCCGACAAAGGTCTAATATCCAGAATCTAAAAGGAACTTAAACAAATTTATAAGAAAAAAACAACCCCTTCAAAAAGTGGTCAAAGGCTATGAACAGGCACTTCTCAAAAGAAGACATTTATGTGGCCAACAAACATGAAAAAAAGCTCATAATCACTGGTCATTAGAGAAATGCAAATCAAAACCACAGTGAGATACCACCTCACGCCAGTTAGAATGGCAATCCTCTTTTATTTTCTTTTTGACTCCCACAAATATTTTCTTTCTCTCTCAAGAAATAAAGTTATTTTTCCCTCTCAATTAAAAAGATTTTTTTCAGTCTTTATAGTGACAATGAGTACACCTCTCCCAGTGTTTAATTCTATTTCTTCATCTTTGTAACGCATGATATAATAACCTGCACCAATCTTTAAGGAAAAAAAAGAAAAAAAAAACAACAACAGTTCAGAACAGGCCCCATCTATTTTGATGCAGAACTTTCTTTCAGGTCCAGATGATCAAGAGAAACCTTGAAATAAGGAATAAATAGCATAAAAAACAAGACTTTCATTTGATGGGATACAAATCCCTGCCTATTTAAGGTTTCCAATAATTGTTTTCAAATAACAACTCTCACGAACAATGTTATAAGCAGTCAGTTCTGCAGAGTCCTAGAGTTGCCACATTCTCTTGTAGTTGAGTACCTAATTTAGGAATTTTGTCTAACCACAACAGACAAATTAGAGAAAACACTCCCTATCAAATAGGAAAAATCTGTTAGGGCTGCTTTTCACAAGTAAGGTTAATATATTACCATTTTAATTTTCAACAGGGGTCTTACTTCTTCTTAACACCCAAATATATACAGATACATATCATTTTAGACAGTTTTTCAATAAAGCAGTAAGGATTGTGAATTTTTTCCACTTGATGGCTTCATAGATTAACTGCCTGTCCCAAATGTCTTGTTGAAAAGGTTAATATAACCTGCTTCATCATCATGTCCACACATGAGTTTTTGCACCTGTTTTGTTCCATATCTAAGAAAGAAATAACAACACTATTTATGTAATCCAATAACTTCAAATATATAGGCTACTCTTTCATCCTGCCATGAGACAATTTGGGGTGATTGCTAAGATTTAGTCACATATACTATCTGAAGCTAAATATTACTATGTATCACAGTCAGGAGACAGTAAGAATCTAAATGCCTATACCATGAAAGATGTTACAGAAATAAACTCTAAAGCTAACTATTAAATAGAGTCTAAATCAAAGAACATGAATGAAGCTTGTGTTATGATTTGTGATTTTCTGAAAATCATAAAAATGATATTGTAAACCAGGAATATATTTTTAAAATTCTATTATTGTAAAGCAATGTTGATTTAAATAAACATAATCTATTTAAGATATATCAAAAGATTTTGATTTTATTTCATTTATTCTCCCTGAAAATTAGCCAGAAATTAATAGCGATAATACAATATACATATTGTAAGCCCAGGATCCAAATTTTTAAATAATTTTTCAAAATAATTCATGCACAAAATTTATATTTTCCTAAATGGTTTATAATGAAAAATGGCAAATCTTGCTCCATCCCTTTCCACTACCAATTCTCACTCCCAAAGACCAACCACTTTCAACCCTCTTAGCTGTTCCTTTCAATGTTTACTTCTATATTTATTTTGGCATCTGTACAGGGACAGCTTCATACTTTTTAAAATGTATTTATACTGCTATTTTTAACTTCTTAGTTTTAGGAATTATCTGTCAACTTTGTTTTATAGTAAATAAAGATTTATCTCTCTTATACCACCATTATCCCACATCCCACCTACCCATCTGCCTCCATACTCCTAATTAACATAAATGGATGTTAATATATTAAACAAAATGTTATATATTATTGTTCAATATATGATATTTGACATACATGTTGACATAAATGTTAATATATTAAATAAAAGTTAGTCTTTATTATGTCTGGATAAGTGTTATTCAATGCACAGTTGAGTGATATGTGTATATGTATACATACATAAAATCTACTGCATATATAAAATATATTTTCTACATACATAAAATCAGTTCGCTTTTTTCCTTTTATGTGTTTTCTTCCAGAGCCCCTGGAATGCTTGCTTCAGTCTGGACGGGTTTCTCTTTTACTCTGCTTCACTGCAGTAGTCTGAGAATTTCCGTTTATCAACATCTTTCAATGCCCCTTCATTACTCTCCAGTATTGGGACACTTTTCATTAATCTTAGGTCTTTCAATTTTTAAATTCATTTCATATTTTGCCGAAATGTATTCTCCAGTAACTTTTTTAAAAAGTGCGCTCTAAAGTTACATGTTTTGAGTTTTTCATGCTGGAAAATATCTCAACTTTACATTATGTCTGAATTTCATCAATGTCATACCTGGCTCAGTCAATAGTTGTCACAGGTATTAAGCCATTTTGGAATTTGCTACTTTTTTTCTGAGGAACCTGTTTTAGTTTAGTTTATAGCATTTAGAAATAGAAAGTAACTTTATAGAATAACACCAATATTCTAGTCTGCTTGTCCCAAATATAATTAATAGTATTAGGATATAAGTGATACTAAGGTGGTTTTTATTATTTTTTATACACCGTGTGCTTTTACTTTTTATTTAAACTACAGCTAAATCTAAGTTTTTAACTAAAATTGAATGGCGTTTATCTAAATGCCCAGTTATTGACCAAATCATACTTAGAAGAAGTTATTATGTCCCATCTAAGGAATCCTTTAATTTGGGGATTAATTTTACTTACACATGCCATTTCAGTCTAAGTTGCCTTATTCCGTCTATTACATTATTCTTGTCAAGTCTAAGTTTTATCATGTCTGAATTCTTCTAACACTGAATCTGTGATGTAAAAATGTATGATGTGCTACAAATTTTATTCATAATTAATTATATCCTATTGTAACCTGTAAAACATTTCTTGTAAATTACCTCATTTATGTACAGTTTCTTATGTAAATTTGAAAAATATTTGCCATGACACATTATGTAAACATTCCCATATTCTTTTCCTTAATGCTTATTTGCATGAAAGTAACTTGGGTTTTGCCTGTTTGTATTGGATAGCCATTAAGCCAACTTCAGTATCTCTGCCTTTTTTTCTGTAGTTTAACGGTTTCTAATTTTGTTCATATTCTAAATAGACGTTAGAGTCAAACTTTTTGTTTTCTACTTTCTAAATAAATTATCTGAGTTGTTTAAAAAAATCTTTATTCTATTATTATCCCTGATGGATAACTGAAAATCATTTTCACCATGAATATTGTAACCATTGTTCCATTGTGTCTTGATTCCAACTTTTTTTTTTTTTGGTATGAGATCTTGTTCCATTCAGATCCTGTGTATGTGCACTCTCTTCCCTCTTTTGAAAGCTTAAAGATCTTCACTTTGTCGCAAAGGTACTAAGATTTTGTGATAATGCAGTTTAATAGTTGGCTTTTTTCTTTCATTCTGTCAGACTAATCTTTTTGAGACTTAGTTTCTTCAGTTCTGGAATTTTTTTCTTGTATTATTTCTATAACTTTCTTCTCTGTGTGATTACTCTTATCTGTATCTATAATCCACTTAATAAGACTCTGAACCTCCTAAATCTCTATTCTAGTTTTACTCCCTCCTGACTTTTTGGATTACTTTCTGAATGACTTCTTTGACCTTATGATCCAACTATTCAATTACTTTATAAAATTTATCTATTTATAATATTTCCTCTATTTCTGAGAGCTCTTTGTTGTTATCTGAATGTATCTATTTTATATCATCTTCATTTTGTTACCTAAATTAGTCTTTTTCACTTATTCAACTTAGAATATCCCTTAAAGATCTTTTTACATGTTTTTCTTATTCCCTGAATTATCTCAGCTTCTTGCAGATTCATAATTTTTCTCTTTTAGGTAGAAAGCTTTCCTCTGAAATCTTGTACTCTTTGGTCATTCATTAATTCTTCACCTAGAGCACTAATGCGTTCAGACTCTGATGGCGCGCAGGAAGGGACTTCAAGGGAGGATGGTAAAGCTGTTTTTTTTCCACTAGAGGGACATCCAGAATACTATATTGGAGATTTTTTTCTCAGGTTTTTCAGTTCTCAGGGAGTAAAATCTCCTTTTCTGCCCGATGAGGATGCATGGCTAGATGTAAGAATCCTGCAGACAAGGGAACAACAGCCCCTACCACTGGTTAATTCTTAACTTCCAGAGTTCCATATGAAAAGTCAACTGTTTTCTCATTAATATCTTCCTCTAACACCTATGGTGTTGCTTCCCTCCTTATGCTCATTCATTATTACTTATCAATGTGATTTCCATGTATTAAAAAATAGAAGGAAAAAAAACCTGTTCGATTCCTTCTCTGCTGTTATTTCTCCTTTCATTTTACTGGTTCTCTTGGACTTGTAACTTTTTATCCCTTTATTGTCATTTAATTTAATAAATGCATATGATCAATTGACCATGATGATTCAGAGGCATTAGTATGATTTTAACATGTTCAAAGTTTTTGAAAAAGATATTTACAGTATTAAATGTACATTTTAACAGGAATCCTGAGACCTCAGGTTGAAAAGGATGAGAGAGAGTGAGAGATGGAAATGTGTTTTGCCTTAGAAGAATTTTGCCAGTGTGATTTAGAGATTGCTTTTTGTTTGTTTGTTTGTTTGTTTTTGTTTTTGTTTGATAGAGTCTCGCTCTGTCACCAGACTGGAGTGCAGTGGCTCAATCTTGGCTCACTGGAATCTCCGTCTCCCGGGTTCAAGTGATTTAGAGACTGCTTTTTAAGTGTTCCATGAAAAAGCCCACTGAGTTAAAAATATTTAATTTTATATCAGATAAAAGCACAACCATCCTAAATAATCATAGCACATTGCTAAGTAAGATGACACAAGTAACTCACACAAGCAGTGAAGCTGTGGAAACAGGAAGTCTGGTCATACATTATGGCATATTCATGAAATGGAATACTATATAGCCAATGTAATATAATCTAGGTCAAACATTTTTAAATTTTACTCTTTAAAGACAATATTATTTTTGTTTATAAATATTTTTGTTAAGAAAATAAAAACTTAAGCTGCAGAATGGGAGAAAATATTTACAAAACACAAAAGTCTTGTATGCAAAATGTAACAACAATTAAAATTCAGACAGAAAATAAACAGCTCTATTAAAAATGAGCAAAATATTTTATAGACACTTTACCAAAAATGGTATACAAATCACAAATAAGCACAGGTAGAGATGTCTGACATCATTAGTCACCAGGGAAACGCAAATTAAAACCTCAACAATGTATCACTACATACCTACCAGAATGGACAAATTACAAAGACTGAAAATACTAAGTAGTGAATGTGAAGTAAATAAAAATCTTATAAACCACTGATGGGGATGAAAATTGGAATAGCCCCTTTGGAAAACTTCCTGACAGTTTCTTATGATGTTAAACACATAGCTACCAGAAGACCCAACAATACCACTCTTAAAGATTCCAAGTAAAGAAAAAGAGATATCCACAAAAAGACTTAAACTCTAATGTTCATAGAAATTTTATCTAAAATACCTAAAAACTGGAAGTATCTCCAGTATCATCCAACTGGTGAATTAACAGAAAATTGTGGTCTATTTATAGAATGGAATACTACTCATCAATCAAAAGAAATAAACTAATATATGCAACAGTACAAATCTATCTCAAAAGTATCATGTGAAATGAAAAACGTTAGACACAAAAGACAATATATTGTCTGAGCCCATTAATAGGAAGTTTTAGAAAACAGATGAGTGGTTGCAGGAGGCTGGGGTGGAGGGAAATAATTGACCCTGCAGAGGCACAAGGGAAGCTAGAATGGTATGAACACGTTTTATACTACGAGTGTGGTGGTGGTTACACGTCTGTATCTATTTGTCAAAACTCATTAAATTGTACACTTAAAACTGGTAAATGTTGTTATATGTAAATTATTCTTCAATAAAGCCGATAAAAAATAAGATGTAGGTTTTACAAGATAAGGCCACAGAAAAGCACTCGTATTGAGAGCAAATGGATTTATCAATGGACTGTTCAAGAATGGGGTGCCTTTGTCTGGTGGCTTAGTAGAAGAATTTTATTTGTGGGAACTAATTTATAAAGGTGTTAGAAGAACTCAAAAGCCAAATAGGGGAAAATAAGCAAACCAGTGAGTAAAAACATCCGAAGTCACTACCACACCTAGGGCTGGGAGGGATGGAAAAAAAAAAAAAAAAAGGAAATGATATTATCAGATCTTAGGAGCCAGGGCCACACAAGAGGAGCTAGAGAATACAGTCAGGGACTGCTGATGACAACACCGCAAAGGATGGGGTTTTCTGGAGGGATCTAGAACCACTGCCAGAAACACAGACTCTTTGACAGAGAGGGAGATCAAAAGATAGCCTAAGTCCTCCCATCTTCCCACCAGACCTTCTGTCAGCTGAAACTGTCAGAAGCCATTTGGCAAAAAAATCAGAGAAACAGAATTTTCAGGGGTCAGCCTCCTATGATACACAGTCGAGTGGGGAGAGCATGGCTTAGATATGCAATGAAAAGACTAAAGAACTGGCTGGGCGTGATGGCTCATGCCTGTAATCCCAGCACTTTGGGAGGCCAAGGCAGGCAGATCACAAGGTCAGGAGTTCGAGACCAGCCTGGACAACATGGTGAAACCCCGCTTCTACTAAAAATACAAAAAGTTACCCAGGCTTGGTGGCGGGCACCTGTAATTCCAGCTATTTGGGAGGCTGAGGCAGGAGAATTGCTTGAACCTGGGAGGCGGAGGTTGAAGTGAACCAAAATCATGCCATTGCACCCCAGCCCAGGCGACAGGGCAAGACTCTGCCTCAAACAAACAAAAGGCTGCAAAACTAAGGTCACAACCATAGTCACCTCTGGTAGAATTATGGTGGTTTTTAATCCTTATACTTTATCTTTTTGATTTTTTGAGTATATACTTCTTTCACAATCAATAATAAGGGAAGTTATAAAAATAGAATCAAATAAATTTGAAGAATTGTGTACATTTTGATGGTATCAAAAGGATGCAAAGAAGTCCAGTTTTTCATAAATTTTATGTTATTTCCTTTAAAAATACAAAGAAGATAAAGCTTGTGGGTTCAGCTTAGACTTGACTCTAGTTGGTAAAGGCATTAAGTCTTCAGTCATCCCTACTTAATTACGTTATATGCAATGTTGTTTCAAAACGTTCCAGCAGAGCTTGGCACATGCTGCTTTCCCACCCAGCCAGCTGGAAAGACCCACCATTCCTGAACAGAGCCAGAACAAGCTGCAAGCACGCGCAATGGTGATGGAATCACATGGGCAATTCACCCGGTGGCCAGATGCCTTTCACAGTTTAACCAAAGATGTTAGGCAAAGCCAATGCACTGGGGGCCAACCAGACTTCATGAAATATATTTGGGTTATTTTTGCATAGATTTATGAACAATGTTTTCCCAGTTTCATAAGTAATGATAGTCATTCAGAGCATAAAATACAAGTTAAATGAAGTCACAGTATCGTTTTTAAATTTCAGTGCATCAGTCAGGATGCAACCACAGAAATAGAATCAGGAGGACATATATATATATATATATATATATATATATATATAGAGAGAGAGAGAGAGAGAGAGAGAGAGAGAGAGACATACACACACACACACACAGATTTATTACAAGGAATTTAGGAATCTGTAGGGCAGGCAGTCAGGAAGAGCAGATCCAGCAAAAAGAGGGTAATTGTAGACCCAGCTGCTCTGGGGAACTCTTTTGCCTTGAATAATTCAGCCCCTTTTAAGGGCTCATCTGGAAAGGTCTGGCCTACCAAGAATAGTCTCCATAATTTAAAGCCAAATTACTCGGGACTTTAATTACACCTGCAAAATCCCATCACGGCAGCGCCTAAATTTGCGTTTGGTTGGGTCACTAGAAGAAGGTGTGTATGCTACCAAATGGCTGCTGACCTCTCTTTCATCCTCATAGTTTAGACTAAGCTGACATATTAAAAAACTATCATACACAGAAGCCACATATTTAGAATTACTTATGTACATATATAGAAAGATAAGTGTTCATCATTGTTTTTAAGAATTAACTATCTCCCAACTACAAGACAGTACCAATCTTCTTAAATTCTAAGTGCCAGTGCAAGATAGGTGCTCAATAATATTAACTGAATTAATGATATTTTAAAATGCATGCTCTGCCCACTAATTTAAAATTCATTTTATTTTGAGAATAAAGCAAAAATTAAACTAAACAGATTGAAAAAGAAATAGTGGCATTTTAAATAATAACATTCTGACCGCCAAGAAGAGTGCTTCAGGCCTTTTCTCTTCATCTCATGGACCTCTTTTTTATCCCCTAAGCCTACCTGCACTTCTTCCAGCAGAGCTGATACAGAACATGAATTTTGTGTGAGCTAAAAAGTGCTAGTTCAAGTTTCACAGTCAGATGAATCATTAGGAGCTTCTTTGGTTTTGTTGTCATTTATTTTCATAACAGAAAGTCTTTCCTTATATATGGGGTTAGTACTGTAACTTTTATCAAGCTCCATTATATTTGTCATTTACTGTGTATCTCATCCCCTTATACTGTTAATTCCTTGCCAGGAGGATGGTTTTGTTCACATGACAGCCCAAGAGCCACCCACACAATTTGTGGGACACAGTAGGAGCTCAAATATTTATTGAATGAAAGAGGTGATGAAGAAAGAATAAATTGTGCCTTTGCCTTAAACTCCTGAAGAATCCCAGCTTCTTTAATAAGTTTCTAAGTAAACGCTTTTCTTCTCACTCCAACCCTATTAGTAACCCTAAAATAGGGAACAAAAATAAAACTCAACTGTTGATGTTATTGGCCAGTAATAGATCTGCTATTTCTTCAAGGATTATGTATATATCAGGAATTTTTTATTTTAAAATTAAAAAGTTCTCATCTTGATGAGCTCTGCAGACTCAGTGTGGAGAAGCTCAGTATTGATTAATGCAGGCATTTAAGTTTGGGGAAATGTGGTCAAATAAATAAACACCAGGAAAGACTCAATGAGCAGCCTCATATATCAAGGACAATATCCTGAGAACACAAGCCTGGATTATGAAAGGTTTCATGCTTGTCTTTCCTGTCATACACTCAATTTTCTCTCAGAAGAGCAATTGGGGAAAAAAAGCTCAGCAACAGAAAAAACAACCTATAATCTATTTCGGCCTTCTTAGTAAAAAGTACGAGCTAGAAAGCTTCAAACTAATGCCAGTATGAAGCAAAGAGGCTACTGCACTCAGCATTAAAGCTCACTGCATTTTCTCCTGGAAATTTTTTGAGACTAACCAAGTGGATATTTTTATTACAATGTCCAAATGGAATGAGGTTTTACCAATTTTTTATGAAAGCCAAAGTTCTGGGTTCCTAATTTATAAATAAACCATCCTATGCCAAATGCATTCCTGAGCTCTTTGGCGGAGGTTTTGGGTGTCTCATACTTGCAGAAATCATAAAAGTTGCTATGGTCTCAGGAGAAATGTTTTAATAAAAAGATATTTTATTAATATCACAATTAAGGGATTAAAATTCCCTCTTCTGCTGTCTACAAGGGAAAACTTGCCTCTATTCTCAGACCACTAAAGCTAAGCTCCTCCATTCTCCTGTCCCCATTGGCAAATCTGTTCCTGTCTCTAGGCTCAGTCATTGAAGGTGGAACACTCAAAGCACAAAGATAGAACTGACAGAAGAGGGATTCTAATATAGATTCCTGCTCTTTAGAAAGGGTCACAGAGACCTGAGTTGACTTTTTAGCCTCCACCTAAGAAGAGTGATTATGAAGGGGCCCAGTGCAGCATGCAAATAGCTCAAACAAGTAGCTACCTGTACGCTCACAACTGATAACAAGACTCACCTAAGTTATCCATTGCTATGTAACAAATTACTACAAGCGAGCATAAAGTCACACATATTTGTTATCTCACAAATTTCATGCATCTGGAGTCCAAGCATGGCTTAGCTGGGTCCTCTGCACCAGGGTATCTCAAAAGGCTGAAATGAAGATGTGGGCTGGGCCTGAAGTCTTACCTGAAGGCTCAACTGGGGAAGAATTATTTCCAAAGCCTACACAGTTGCTGGAAGACTTCAGGTTTTTGTGGACTGGGAAACTAAGGGCCTCCGTTCTTTGCTGGTTGTCAGTCTAAAGGCTCTCTCCGTGCTTGCCACATGGGCCTCTGCATACAGCAGTGCACAACATGGCAGCTTGTTTTATTAAAATCAGTGAGAGAGAGAGAGAGAGAGAGTCTGCTAGCAAAACCAAACTTACATCAGTGATCTCATCATCTTTGCTGTATTCTATTATTTAGAAGCAAGTCACAAGTCCCATCTGCACTCAAGGGAAGAGGACTACACAGGGGCATGAATACCTGGAGGTGAGAATCACTGCAGGTGGTCTAAGACGGAGACCCCAGACATTAGTCAACCCAGAACCTGAGGGGGCTTGCAGAAGGGAATAGACGGCCAGTCATATTTCCACTTTCATTACTACATCCAATAAACAGAATTTTCTTCAGCACAGTGGACAGAAATAGGGATTTATTAAATAGAACTGTTTGGATTCAGGGGTATGGCTAACTGCTTCGAATGCCAGCTTGCCTAGGGTGTCCCAAGGAGTTTAGAGACAGAAATACTGCACCCATTATCCAAGAGCAAATAGACCCAATGGAACTTCAGACCCTTGACAACATTAAAGGTCTTTAATCTATTAAGTATGTGTAGGACTTTCAAATTCTTTATGGTTTTCCCTTTTTCCTCTGCAGGAGGAACACTATTGCCTGATTCTATCATTATGGTCTGTTTCTCTCTTCGCATCCCATTGGTGGGGACTATCTCTAACAGTGGTGATTCCTTTTCATTCAACCATTTGCACCCTGTCATCTGAGCTCCATTGCAATTAAAAGTAGAAGTTGGTGAGATGTGTGGCCTAAAAATAATGGCCATAAAATCAAATGAAACTAACTGGCCAATGTATAGATTGAACTAATAGTTATTATTATGTCATTATTAGCTCCATGTTGTTGAAAATACATCATCAGAGCCAACGAAGACAAATAGTAAGTAATAAAAGAAAAGGGGGTGAGGACCTTCAAACTCTTGCCTCAAAGAACTTTAAATGTTATAATTTATCCTTACTTTAATTCAAATGCCAAACATACGGAATTCAAACAATCCTACAGATTGGCTTGTCTGATAATCTTGCCAAGAACTAAATACAGAAGAATCAATTTTGAAATTTAGGAATAGAACAGAGAGGTGTCTCAGACCACAAAGACTGTAGAGCCATACTTTGGTCCTGTTGGCAAGACTTTAACTGTGTAATATTGTTTCTTTCTTTTATGGCTAGTGAGATCCTTCATTTTCTATCTGAATCACATCTTCTCTATGTGAGATACATGGCACCTAATCAATCTGTGTCTACCAAAGCCCAAGAGATATGGTGTCTTCCTAGAACACAGATCCCAGTACATGTACTCAGAAGTCAATTTAAAACAGATCACTTGATTTTATTTACAATTGGGACCATGTTAAATTTACGAGGAAGACAATCAAAAAAGAAACTACATAAAGAAAGAAATAACCAATCAAAATGAGTTTGTATGAATCTGTTGTTTTACCATACAGTTTATCGGTTCAGAAAATGTCCAATGTGGAATGGCATGGTACTGAGACCTCCAAAAAAAGAAAATAAAGTCTTCTGAGAATCATTTCCTTTGGAACCTAGAGCAAGAAATAATTGTCAAGGAAGTTTGAGGTCTAATTTCTACTTGCTAATGTTTTGTGTGACTTTGTACAATTCCTTCAGCCCCTTTAGGTTTTGGTGTCTTCCACGACTGAAATGAGAAGGGGTGACCTGGATAATTTTCTTGTCCCACACGACTATAAATTCCAACCTGAAGATTCCTAGCGTCATTCATAGTTTAGGAACTTGTGCAGTGTGGCACTTGAATGGCAACAAGGGTGCTTCTTAGGAAACAGGGACCATTGATAAGCATTTCTCCTTATATTCCTGATACCCTGTTCTGTTAAGCTCTGTATTTCAAGTGATTACCCACAGAGGGAATGAGATGCTCTTAATTAGCTTCCTGAGTACCCTGAGGACCACACTGAATTTATAAAAGCATTTCTTCATTTACAATGTCCTGGTTTTTTCCTCCTATTCCAAATATGTTTGCATGGGAGATATTTTAATATTTAAATGTGTGTGCCTTCTAGATAAGGCCTAAACATACCTTCTTTTTAACACAGAAAATGCAAACAAATAAAGAGGAAATGCCAAAACATAGGAACATTGTTTAAAACAAAAAACAATACAAAATAGAAACAGAGAAAAGGCATTATCTATTGGTCCAAATAGGTCTTTAACCCATGCTTTGAAAATTTTTCCAAAGAGATCCTTATGCCTTTGTTTTTCCTTTTCCAATCTTAGAAAAGAAAATATTGGATGATGTTATAAGATGTCATAATTGGACTGAGAAATGCCTGTGTCAAACAGAATGCTCTTCAAGTATCACTGGAAATTGAGAACTTTGGCGGAGAAAAGCCTTTACTTAGAGATAACCAAATAAGCCTAGAGAAAGCATGTGGTGCAGTCAATCCCTAAATTTGAAGAGAAACAGCAAGAAGCATTTTATTATGCCTATTCACTTTTAAACCCCTGAAGGGAGATTAGCGACAAAGTAAATACACATCCAAAACATCTTTACTATCCAGTATGCATCATTAGAGGGGACAAGTTCTTAAAGTTCTGTTATGACATAAAGTAGCTTTGAAGTTGCCTCTGGTTGGCATCAGGTAGCTCTTGGCACAAAAAGCCAAGCAGGACTTGCAGGGCAGCCTGCCACTGGCCTAAGAGAAAGGAGCATTCATCTGTTGGGAAAGCAAATGCTTGATGAGTAGAATGTTGACTTCGTACTGTTGAAGGCCTCAAGCTTCATCTGTTTGCAAAAGAGAGGGTATTTTGGAGCGAGTCCTGTGTGAGCAAGCTGCAGAGAGGCAGGGTGGAGATGGAAAAAGATAATCTCCCTGAACATCTGTCATGATTACACATAAAACCTTACTACAAAGTCAAATGAGATCTGCTTGGTACTTTGGACTGTTAAGCCTCTGCTATGTGAATGAATGTTTGCAGTCATGACTGTGTGTTTCTATCTGGTTTTATGATGCCTATCATTATAGACCCAGGCAGTCAAGGGAGGCATAAGCATCATAATCAACAGGTCAACAGAGAAGGTGCATTTGCCCATATAAGTCAGAGGATGAGGCACAATTTTCATATGCTCTTGTGCTCTTTTCCAAAAGGAGTCAGGCAGGGAAGTAGACATACTTGCCATTATAGTAGCTGCCAATTTACTGTGCTTTTCTCAACTGATGAAGCCACAGGCCACTGTCACTCCAAATCTTGTCAGCAAAGATGGCAGTGGAAGAACAGTGACAGCAGCCTTCTCTTTCCCACCACGGTGAGGAAGAGAAAGCCGTTCTCCCACAGAGCCAGCACATTTGGTGATACCTCCAAACTCAGCATGGCGCCTCGAGGCTTGGCTGCCTACTGCACAGTAAGGGTCTTTTGTAATTTATTTAGATGCATATTGACCTTATTTTCTTGGCAGTGACATGTGAGAATATGTTCTTTTGGAGGATTTGGGCAACGGGGATGGGGGTGTCCGGCACACTGCCTTGCTTCATCCTCTCTGTTGAATTCACCAGTGCAGAGCGGTTTGCCACCTCTTTTCTCTCCATCAGAGCATCACCATCTTTGCTGGAGATGGCATTTTCAAGCCCTCAATTTATATCAGAACTTTAAGACATGAAGCTATACAAAATGAAATATTTGGATGTCACGTGTTACCCTTATACATAAAAACCAAGTAATGAGTTGATTTTTTTAAAAAGCATTTGCCAGCCAGGTTTTTCAAAACAACAAATATCCCTGATATCAAAATAATTCTCTGGAATCAGAAATCCACAGACATTTAAACTGAAACAACATGGCAGTCCTTTTCTTAGACAAAGATACCCTTATAATGATAAGCTTTAAATGGGCATCACCTCCACACTTGTAAAGAGACATGCTTCTAAGGACCATGACAGAGCCTGTGACAGCATCTCATCTTTTCTTAATTCACTGAAAAACATCTAACAAACATCTTTTAAACTGAGTTACTCCCCTTACGATTTTTTTATTCTTCCATTACAATATCCCTCAGCTTATATCATCTAAGTAATGTTAAAATTCAGTTCTCTTTACCTTGATTTCTTAAATATTCAAAATGATAATCATTTACATTTAAATATGGCAATTACCTTAGTACATCACAAACTGCCAAGGTCTATATTTTCATAACATCTTTGGACTGGAACACAAAAGACATGTATACAAATTTGCAGTGGACACCAAAATTAGGATAGGTGGTTATAATATTATGATTCAACGATAATAGAAGACCAGAGTTCAGTTCCTCCTTAACTGCATCATTTCCCCCATAAGACACAGAAAAAAATATTAAACAAGATGACTAAATTAACAATTAGTCTCTAAATTTGATTATTTTCTATAATACCTGGGTATGTGGCATATAAATATATGTCTTGCATTTAACTCCTAATTGAAAAAAAATTAATCTTAGCTCATTACCTCATCTCCCTGGTCAATCATAAATTTCACACTCTGTTTTATTTTTTTCATAGCTTTTATGAGGATGGATTCTATTACATACGTGTTCAGTTACCTGCTGATTGCCTATCTCCCTACAGAAATAGAAGGGCTAATGGTGGCATGAATGATGCTCTTCTTCTTCTCCGTGACAGTCCCATCAATGAGACGCATGCCTGGTACATAATAGACACTCAAACACTTGAGAAACTGATTAATCAATTCACAGTTAAGATTTTAGGAGGTGGACTTGAACCTCATTGAAACCAGAAATCACATTCACAGCAGCTCTTAGAAGTAAGCCCAATCTCACTTCATACCATCATATAGTGGTCTTCAATGTCCAGCTTTCTGTTTGCACCAACCAAAATTCAAACTGCAGTCAAATACCTGCCCCTGCTGTGTTGTAGAGTCAAATACTCTACTGAAACTCTGTCCTCACAAGTTTCCCAAAACATTAAAAGTCTACTATCCAGCGGTCTTATTTCCTCCTCTTGCTCTTTTGGTCTGTCCCATAGCATTTGCCATGTCTGAGCTTCTCTGCACTATGGCCCCTCCCCTTTTTGACTGACTGCTTTTATTTTCTTCATAAAAAGCCAGTTCTCTTCTCCTATGAGTCTGACCATCAGAGGTCCCACCATTTCTCATTGCTTTACTCTCCCCTCTGTGTACAGTGGTCTCGACCTCAATTTCTAGCCCAGTTTTCTCTTTTAAGCTCTAGAGATTTATCTCTAAATTTCTGCAAGATAATTCTTCTTCCACGTTCTGCTCTTATCTCAAGTTCACCAAATCTAAAACTACCTATCATTGACATTTATTTTTATAGAAATACATCTTTTCCTCCTAATTAGATGAAAGCACGTTATTCTTTTTTGGATCCCTCCATCATAAAAACACATCCAGTGCCTTGGACTTTTCAGGTAATTAATAAGTATCTGTGCTGGATGAATATCAAGTATGATGAATGTTATGGTACAGCTGTGTCCCTTCAATAAAGAGATATTGAATTTCTAACCCCCAAGACTTTAAAATGTGACCTTATTTGGAAATAGTATTATTGCAAAAGTAATTAGTTAAGAGGAGGCCATACGGAAGTAGGGTGGATTCTTAATTCAAAGTGACTAGTGTCCTTGTAACAAGAGAAGAGAGAGAGACAGGGAGAAGAACACCAGTGACAATGAGGCAGAGAATGAAGTGCTGCACCTACAAGCCAAGGATGCCATGGATGATGGCAAACACCAGAGGCTAGAAGAAGCAAGGAAGGCTCCTTATCTACATGTTTCAGAAGGAGCACGACCCTGCTGACAACTTGCTGTTGGACTTGGAGCCTCCAGAACTGTGAGAGAGTAAAGTTCTGTCGTTTTAAGCTACCTAGTTTGCAATACTTTATACGGCAGCCTTAAGGAACTAATGGAATGAAAGAGCAAAGCTTTGAGATCAGATGAACCTGAAGTCAATCCCAACTACATCATTTAATGATCTGATCTTGGGAAATCTACTAACTTCTCTGTCTCTCTGTTTTCTTAGCTGTAAAATGAGGACAATAGTTGTTTCACAGGATTTTTATAAGAATTTCATGTATAATATGTATTATAAACTTCACACAGAGCCTAGCATATTATGTGCCCAAAATTAATATCCCATTTTCCCTTTGCAGTTTTAAATGAGCCTTTTATTTATGCTACCTGGTATATTCATTCAACATATAAGTATTGAATGTCTTCTCTGAGTTAGACACTGCTCTAGGCATTTGGGATGTAGAGTAAACAGAAATAGAAAAAAAAATACCCCTTTTTAAGGGAATTTACATATGGATAGCAAACCTATGTTCTTTCTTAATAAATGAATGAATAAACTAAAATCTTCATTACTATTTGTGCTAAACTCTGCTTTAAGGAATTACGATAAGAAAGGAGTGGATTTGGCCAGTAAACTACAGTAGATTGCTACAAAGCTATCCTAACTTATGCCTTGCTTACCATGGTATGAAGCAGCATTAACTAAGATTATCTTTCCCTATAAGATGTATGGGTGCAGAAAACAGTTTTTGTTACATTTCTTAACTGCAACTCCACATTTTAATAAGACTCAATAAGAAAGCAATTAACTTTAGCATACACAAAGTTTTTAAATGGTTAAATTGTCATACGTAAAGATAACTTCAAGCAAATCTTCACCATTGAAAATGAAAACAAAAAAAAACATTACCCTTCTGTGATTTTCAGTCTTAAGAAAGAAAATCTTTATATAATTATGATCATTTTTTATCATTTTCTAAAATGCATGTAATGGCAAGCACTAGAGTAACGAAGAAAATTTTAACTAAGTGCTATTGAAAATGCAAAGCAATGGAAGTAACAAAACAACAGGAAGCTCTTAAGTGTTAGAATCTTAAGAAAGAATGAAGAGAGGATCAACAGATTTTTCATCGCAAATATAATAAATTATTTTATAATCATTTGATATGATATATTTATCAATAGGAAGGATGTCAGAGAACGTAAACATTTGGCTTCAGTGATTCTCGGGTCATCCTGAATGTGGATTCTCCCCCTCGTTCCACATCTCTCTGGCTCCATGTCTCTAGAGGCGCTCGGTATACTTACAGTAGCCATGTGCCACATGGTGTGTGGCCACAGCATTCTTTTTTTTTTGTTTTTTTGAGACAGAGTTTCACTCTCTCGCCCAAACTGGAGTGCAATGGTGCAATCTCAGCTCACCGTAACCTCTGCTTCCCAGGCTCAACTGATCCTCCTGCTGCAGCCTCCCAAGTAGCTGGTATTACAAGCACATGCCACCACACCCAACTAATTTTTGTATTTTTAGTAGAGACAGGGTTTCACCATGTTGGCCAGATTGGTCACGAACTCCTGACCTCAAATGATCCACCTGCCTCGGTCTCCCAAAGTGCTGGGATTACAGGCATAAGCCACCATGCCTGGCCATTGCATTCTTAATATGTGCCATGTCCAGACTGAGGTGTGCTATAAGGGTTAAATGCATACCAAATATTGAAGACTTTGTATGAAAAAATGAATATAAACTATTTCAATTGTTTTGTATATTGAGTTCATTTTGAAGTGATAATATTTGGAAGCTTGAAATAAAATCTATTATAAAATTCACCTGTGCCTCTTTCCTTTTAATATATCTAAATGTATCTACTAAAAACTTAAACTTTCATACGTGGTTGACACTTGTGGCTTACATTACATTCTATTGGATGGCACTATTCATGTTACGGAAGTCCCAGTTGTGGGCAAAAGCACAGATTTGTTTCAGTAAAGATCAGAAATCAAGAAATTAATTCCTACCACTAGCTGATTGTTTGATGTTGAGCCAGGAAAATCATTTAGCCTACTGCAGCCACCTCACCAAAACCTAGTACCATATTCATTCAACAACAGCAGTTGTTCCAAAGGTGAGCATATGACTCAATGAATACTAATAACAGTCCTTTTAGATTTGAATTATGAAACTGGACAGTAAAAGTTTTCTTTCTACTAAGACTGATAAACTGAAAGGATGGGAATCTGTGACTATTAAGGTGTAGAGAGGAGACTGGTCTTTCATAGGAAATAACAATGACACATAGAGGGAAGCAAAGCTCATAGAAAGAGAAAGAGAGAATGAAAGAAAAAGAAAGAGAAGGAAGGAGAAAAGAAAAAAGCTGTGTTTAAGCCCCTAGAGCTAGCCATGCCTGAAGCCAGTGCAATGTTGAACTTCCCAACTCTGTAAAATAGTGAATTCACTATTTTGTTTGAGCTTACCTTGAGTCTAAATTCAATCTTTGGCATCAGAAAAAAAAAAACCCAATCAATATCTGCTTGTCCTAAGATCAAATGAATTAAACCTTTGACTTTCAACCTGTCCATCAGTGTTAAGCTATTCTGCAAATGACAAAATGCTTAAAATAAGCCAAGATTCATCACATATTGATATAATCTATATGCAAAAGCAAACCTAAGGGAGATGTTCCTTTCCTTGAGATAAGCAAGTTGCATATAGTCCAATGAGCCTCATTTGTGCTCACATATCTATCACAACACCCATCAAACCTGATGGCATTGATTTATACTACTGGACTTGAAAACTCTTGGGGGCAAGACACATTTTGTCTTTGTATGATGACTACCAGGCACTGTGCTAGGCAATGAATGCTTGTGGAAGGCGAATAAAAATAAAATCATAAAAGAAAAGACGTTTGCACACAACTTTGCAGGTATATATGTATTATGCTTTCACAGATATAATACAATTGTTAGCTTTTGTTTAATCATTGATTTATACATAATATACCAACAGAGAGATGGTCTGCTCCTAAAGAAAAAATAGTGTGATAATCATCAAAATATTCTCTATCACTTCTGTATGTTTTTACTGCATCCTAGGCACTCTGTTAAACAGATTATATGCGTTTTAGTTAGAATGTTAAGTTTGGCACAAAAAAAAATTTTAATGTCTTAGAATAGTTTATATTATACTACTTTGTAGTTTGCTTAATGCTTCCATATATATCTTCATACTTTCAATTCTTTGCCACCCAGGGAGGTAGATAGGAAAATATTAATATCTCATGATTCATGTGAAAAGAAAACTTCAAGAAGTTAAAAGACTTCTTAAATAACAATAGTAGTAAATCAGATAAGAATCCAGGTCTCATGACTCCACAGCAGTATTTGCTGCACTGTAGAAAGAGTAACTAGCATCATTATAAATTAACTAAAAAGAGTCAGATACCTACAGAATCTGTCAATCATACTGGTAATGCTTTCACTGGTGTCCCTTACTTCCCATTTCCCAAGCATTTTCAAACTTAATTTCTGCATTAAAATTCTCCTCCTCAATCTCCCTCCCTTCCCTTTTCCTCTTAATAAATCCATTTACTGGAATAAAACCAAGTGTCATGATTTGTAACTACTGGAAGGTTTTGCTTGCAAATAGGAAGCTACAGACCTTCCCCTAAAATGAATGCCTGCTTCTCCTAAATAAGAGACAATGAACCATGACAGGGAAACCTCCCTTCTCCATAATTCAAAGAAAAGCTTTCCTTGATAAGCTTTTCTGCCAGGGAGGGCTGGTTCTGATTGCAACAAAGCAATCTCCAGCCTCATTTTGATCTTAGCACACTAAGTAGGAGAGACTGTAATGTAAGAATGACAGATTCTGCCTTTCCATTACTGCCCTTGTATCATGTCTTACATTTAGAACATTTTTAGCAATATGGTTAACACCATAAAATCTTATATATATATGGGCTTCATATAAACACACACATAAATAGATACATATTTAGGCAAATAGAAGAACAGACTCTGTGACTAACACAGTTTTATGTTGAAAACTGGAATTCTGTAAAACAGTTGTCTCTGTCCATCTTGTACTACAAGAATGAAATATCGAAGACTGGCTAATTTATAAAGAGCAGGGACTTATTTCTTACAGTTTGGGAGGTTGGGAAGTCCAAGATCAAGGGTCTGGCATCTGGCAAGGACATTCTTGTTCTCTCATCTTGTGGCAGAAGGCAGAGGGGAGAGAAGGCAAGAGGAGGCCAAAGTCACCTTATATAATAGCAATAATTCTGCCCCTAAGGGTGCAGTCTTAATGGCCTAAGCAACTTTTAAGGGGCCCACCTCTTAATACTGTTACTGTAGCAGTTAAATTTCAACATGAGTTTTAGAGGGAACAAGTATTCAAACCATAGCACAGTGGGTGTATAGATTTCAATTTTTATAATAATCCTTTCATAACAACATTTTGAGTCTATAGAGCTGCAATACCTTAACAGTCTAAATATTTCATTCAGGACAGAAAAAAGAGAGGTGGCAATTGAGAAGTACTACAATAATTTCATGAGAGCTGTTTTTTTTTTGTTCACAAGACTGTAAGAGTGGGAATTCCACTTTAGCCTGCCAGGAAAAGAAAGCTTAAGAGTAAATTCTGGGAACAACTAATTTTTTAAAAATCTTTCTATAAAAAATACGCAGGCTGCTACAGTCTTCAGTCAAGGAATGGTAAGTCCCTACTAAGTGTCAGGCCCTATGCCTGGGGCTTAAATTATGTATGTGAAGACAACATATCACCCCGCCCCCTGGTGTAGCCTTCAGTTATTAATTCAGCAAATATCTATTAAGCATCTTGTATGACCCAGGCACTATGTGCAACAACAACAACAACAAAACAGCTAAAATCTTCACCTTCATGGAACTTACATCCAATTGGAGGAAAAAGATAATAAATGAATAATGTTTAAAATTATTTATGTTAGCTATTTATTATTTTATGAAAAGAAGTTTATTTGGCTCATGGTTCTGGAGGTCTGAAAGTCCAAGAGTGTGACACTGGCATCTGGTGAAGGCCTTCTTTTGCAACATAACATGGCAGAGATCACATGGAAAGAGGGCAAGAGCAAGAGAGTTAGGGAGAGTCAGCTTTTATAACAAAGCCCCTTCCAAGATAATGAACCCATTCCTGTGATGGTGACATTAATCCATTCATGAGAACAGAGTGATTAAGTTTCCAACATATAAAGGTTTGGGAGACACATTCAAATCATAGCATCTTCTAAATAGAGTCTCAGAGTCTACTCTTGCCACTCCCTTCCCCCACAATTCCTTCTTAACAATAGGCTATTTATTTATTTTGAGACAGAGTTTCATTCTTGTTGCCCAGGCTGGAGTGCAGTGGCTCAACTTTGGCTCACTGCAACCTTGCCTCCTGGGTTCAAACGATTTTCCTGCCTCAGCCGCTGGAGTAGCTGGGATTATAGGCACCTGCCACCACACCTAGCTATTTTTTTTAATTATTATTTTTAGTAGACACGGGGTTTCACCATGTTGGCCAGGCTGGTCTGGAACTCCTGACCTCAGGTGATCCACCTGCCTTGGCTTCCCAAAGTGCTGGGATTACAGGCAAACAACAGGCTATTTAAATTCAAAAATTAATAACAGGTTTTGAGGAAAATAAAATTTCTGTACCAGTTAAGGGTACAGAAATTCAGAATGCTATTGTCAGGGAGGATTCTATTTTAAAGATTTCAGCTGAAACCTCTCAATGGGCAATACTTGAATGGAGCTCCCAAAATACGAAGAATCAAGTCGTGCCAAGACCTGTAAGAAGAGCATTGTAGGCAGAGACCCCTGTACAGAGGAGCCTGTGGCTGAAGCATGGGAAGAGCAGTAGGGGATGATGTTGGAGAGATGGGCAGGAGTTGAGTAGGCAGTTGACTAAGGAGAATTTTGACTTTACTCTAAGTATGACACAAGGCCATTTAGGAATTATAAGTAAAATCACATGCCTGAAAAAGCTTACTGTTGGTACTACATGAAGAATAATTTGTAGACTGAGATATGGAAGCAGAGAAGCAGTTTGAGGCTCTGAAGTAATCTGAGAGATAACAATGGCCTTGATTAGAGTATTAATGATAGAGATGGTGAGTATACAGACACCAATAATAGTGCCAAGCACTATTCTGCTGGCTTTGCATTTATTTGCTTGTTTGACTCACATATTCAATATTTGAACCATTTATTAACAATCCTAAGAAATAAATACTAAAAGTATACCCGCTTTACAAATATGGGGAAAAAAGCAGAGTGAATTTAAATCACTTCCTCAAAACTAACAAGTAATAACTGAAAAGGGGATGTGAAGGTTTAGCCAAATGAAAAGTTAGAGGGAACAGCCCACACACAAGATCACCTTCACTTCTGATACCAGCTACAAGTTTGAGGTCCCCAAGACCACCTACGGTTTTATAATTCACTAGAACTCACAGAACACATTGAAGGCTATTTTGCTCATGGTTATGTTTTATTGCAGATTGAAATCAGCCAAGGGAAAACATTCACCGACTGAAGTCCAAAAAAATATCAAACATGGAGCTTCCAATTGTCCTCTCCTTGTGGGGTCAAGACAGCATGAATTTCTCCACATCTCTATATGACAATATTCATGGAGAACTCCCAACCAGGAAGCTCACTTGAGCTTGGTGTTCAGAGTTTTTATTGGGGCTCCATCATGTAGACAAGATTGATTGCCCAAGTGTTTGATCTCAGTCCTTACTCTCCCTGGAACTCTACTGATACTGTGTGACTCACCCTTCCTGCCTCCAAATCATACTGCTGATTCTTCTGGTGTGTCCATCCTCCACTCTAAACCACACTGTTAGACTATTCTGACCAAAGGTTCATAGGCAAATAAAGACACTTCCCTCAGGCATGACACACCAAGGGCTTAGAAATTACCTCACAGAAGTCAAGGACAAAGGCCAAATCTATCTTTGGGCAAGGTTAGATTCTTTACTACACAGAGGAAGAAAGGGATATGAGAGAAGTGAGTTCTCTTTCAGCCATTTTAAATTTGAGATGCATATTTTATATCAGAATAAAGATGTTAAGTAACAGTTATATAAACATATCCACAGTTCAAGCATGAGAAGACTGGACTGAAAATAAACATTTTGGAGCGAACAGACTATAGATGTTATTTAAATTCCATGGGATATAACAGGGTAAATTAAAGAGAAAGTTTAAAGAGAGAAAAGAAGAGGAACAAGAACTGAGACTGGAAACACAACCACACATAGGGGTCACAGAAAAGAGGGAGGTATAGCAAAAGAAATTTAAAAGCCCATACATTCAGAAGAAAAAATGAAGAAAAAAGTAGAGAAAGTACGTCCAGAAGGAGAGGTTTATGTAGGAAAACCACCTCCTATTTTGGAGATGCATACTAAAGTATTTAAAGATGCTTTCAAATGAATCTGTACATCTGTAACTTTCAAATGAATCAGCAAAAATTAGAAGATAAAATACATATTGTAAACATAAAGGAAACACAACAAAATGTGTTTGAGATTATTGAATCTAGGTGCAAAACATATGAGGGGTTCATTGTAGTGTTCCTTCAACTTCTTGTATGTTTGGCATTTTGCATAATTAAATGTTGGGCATGAGAAAAGATACAGCTAATGGCCCATGCCAACATATTCCTGAGAAATCCAGAAGGTAGGGCAGATCACAGACGCTTGGAATTTGGTATCGGAAAAGGCAGGAGACAAAAATCCAGAGTGAAGAAATTTAAAGAGAGAATGAGAAAGGAGAAAGATGTGAGGAGAGTTTCTCTAAAGAAAGGCAGAGAAATTGAGCACAGGCTATAATAATGTAGTGAGGGCCCTCACTACATAAAGTGGTAGAGAGTGGGAGGGAATAGGAAACTTCAAGCTTCAAAAGAAGCTGATGCTTGAGCTACATTTGCAAGGATGTGGAGGTTTTTACCAGACTGAGAAAAAGAGAGGAATTCCAGGCAAGAAAAACAGCGTATGCAAGGACATGAAGGTATAAGGAAGGTGTGCTACTACATTGTGTTTGAATATCTGCAGTTTGACTAGTACTAAAGCTGCTAAAATGAGTAGAGGTCAGATCACAAGCTGCTAAAATGAGTAGAGGTCAGATCACAAAATAGCCAGCGTTCCTCAAAAAACGGTCTAGGTTCCTAACTTAAGAATCCACTAGGGCACTAATTAAAATGCAGATTCACAGATTCCACTGACAACCTGTTGAATCAGAACCCCTGGCAGTGGGACTCAAACTGGGAACTGGAAAAGGAGAACCCTGCATGGGAAAGTGTGTGTGCATTTCTTCTCCCATTCCAGCCAGCATCACGTGTCCTTTCATCTCTTCCCTCTCTATAGATAGACTTTTTGTCTTTCCCCCCACCCATCCTCTTACCTGCATCCTCATAGCTTCTGCTCCTCAGAACTTTGGTTTGCTTATGGCTTGATCTTGCATGGAATTGGCTCCAGCTAAGACCCTTCAGCACAAACATCCACTGCAAACCGACAACTCCATCTAGATGTCCCTATACCTTTTAGTTCCTATTACGGAGAGAGAAACCGAGAAAGGAGGAGGGAGAGGAGAGGAAGAAAGACAATTGTCACACAGAATGGGCCATGAGTCCACTCTAGACTCAGTAAGCAGTGACTAGGGCCATGTCACATGTACATAGGTGCAGGTTCTCTAGAACAATGCTACTCAAATGCCAGTCTACAAGGGGGAAAGAAGCTTGTGCCATAATGTAAACTAGTGCACTTCATTCATCAATAAGGTGTTGCTATGAAAAATATCAGAAAAAAACATCAGCTGAACTAAACACCATGCTTAGTGGCACAGTTAATTTATCTTTTGGCACAAGCTCCTTATGTTATTGAGAACCAATCCAGACATCTCCAAGACCTGTAAGCAGTCCCTGGAACACACTCTGAGAAGCACTGCTCTAAAAAGAACTGTGGATTATACAAGCATTTAAAATAAAACAAGATAAAATATATGTTGATATTACTGGTCAAAATTCACCAAAATGTTCATCTAGAAAACCCATGAGGAAAGCATTCTGAGAAATATACAAAAGTGTAAGACTGATTTCATCTACAAGCATCAGACCATACATATTTCAGAAGACAGTGAGAAATTAGCTTATGCTTTAATTTGCCACTGAAAATAACTTGGACTACTAGCAAGTAAGATGTCTGTTTTTATAAAGAAGAAAGTGTGAACCCAAAAGCACTGAAGGTATGCCTTTATAGCTTATTTTTACTTCTCTCCACAAGGTACAGTACTAGAATGACCTGGGAAGCATAAAAGTCATAGAACATTTTTTTAAACTCTCTTCAAGGCTGTTAGGAGGTATAAAATACACACCTTGAGCAAAATAAATGTATGCACCTCAAGAAGATAATAAATCACTTGTAGCTTTATTGTTGTCAGTCATTGGTTTTTGAAGGGCAAACCGTACTTGATTCTTGACTTGTTCTTTGCTTCACTGATCAGTAACTTTCCTTAGAAGCTACAAAGTTTTCAGTGTTGACAACTCTGTGATTTTTTTAGGGAGAAAAGTCACATATTTTAAAAATATGGTTTCATGGACATATTGGTGTGCAATTCAATTCCACAAACCTCAGTTGAACACCTACTATGTGCCAGGAACTGTTTCCTCTGGACTGCAGCAGGAATACAGAAAGGAATAAAATGTCATTAAGGAGCTCATATAACCCCTGAGGGAAGACTAACGTCTGTAAACATAAGTAGAAATTAAGGTGGACTGCAAATAGTCTTATATTTGGGAAGAAAAGGGCATGATTCATTCTGACTATGTGCATGTAGGGAGATTTCACGACCAAGACCAGGAAGACTTGGTCCTTGAAGGACAGGCAGTAATTCAAGATGCAAGGTAAGAGGTAACTAAAGAACATACCAGGCAGAGAAAATAATTGAACTCAATCATGAAAGAGTGTGGTTCATTTGAGGAAACTCAAGAAATCTACTAACGCTAGTCCATAAATGTGTTACGGGAAGGATAGACAAAGTACATAAGACCATGTGGGCTTACAAATGCAAGTGCTTTCATAGAATTATGAGAAGTACTAGGTTACTAGATCACAGAAGTTTTATAAAGGAGTAGTGGGTTCTGAGGCTGGGATACAGATTAGAGCCACATTATTGTCGGCTTTGAATGCTATTCTGAGGAATTTAGTGCAAGAAAAAATTAGTGTAAATTTATGGCATTGTAAAACACCCTTTGTTGTAGATCGTAACATTGTTTGAAATTATTCAATCCTTGCTTCTCCTATAGCAATTTCCCCTGCTCCATTGCCTTTGGCTTCAGTCATGTGATTTGCTTTGGCTGATGGAGTTGAACGTGAGCAGACGTGCCCTGTATCTATCACCCCCAAGTGGAAACTTTCAGAGGTATTAAAACAGTTTCACCACACTGTTTGCTCCTATACCCCTGCCATGGAGAGGTCTGATTCTTTAGCCTGAGTCTCAGAATGGAAAGAATCATGAAACAGACCTCAACCTTTATAACTTCAATCTGGATAAGAGACATAGTAGCTAACAGCCACCAATATAGGTAAGCAAAAAATAATTATTATTATAAAATAAAATATAGACTGTTGTAATCTACTCTGAGGTATCAAGATATTTTGTTACACAGTATAAAGCAGTGAAAGCTGGATAATTCACACTTTGAAAATTATGAAACTAAGACACTTTCAATATAAAAATACAGGAAACTTTAAAGAAAAATAAAATAACCTGTAAGTACAATCCCCAGAGATAGTCAATCACAGAAAACATTTCGCAATGGCCTTCTATGTATGTATATACATTTTAAATGAAATTATTATTGTACTAAGTATTCTATCAGTGCAAATTTCCATGCATTAAATTTTTTCTATTTACCTCACAACATTTACAAAAATTAACTCAAAATGGATCAAAGATTTAAATCTCTGAGAAGAAAACATAGAGCGAAAGCTTCATGACACTGGATTCAGCAATGAATTTTTGAGATATGACACAGAAGTATAGGCAACAACAAAAAAATAGATAAATTGGATGTCATCAAAATCAAATAGTTTTGTACATCAAAAGACACTATTAAGAGTGAAAAACATTCCACAGACAAGTAGAAAATATTTGCAAATCATATATCTGAGAAGAAATTAATATCCAAAATATATAAAGAACTTCTACAACCAAACAACACAAAGCAAACACACTAATTAAAAACTGAGCCAAGAAACTGATAAACATTTCTGCAAAGATCATGTACAAATGGCCAATAAGCACATGAAAAGATGCTCAACATCACTAATCATCGGGAAAATGCAAGTCAAAACCAAAATGAGATACCACTTCATACCTATTAAAATGGCTATGATCACGGAAATAAATAGCAAGTGTTGAGAAAGATGTGGAGAAATGGAGATCTTTGTGCATTGCTGGTGGGAATATAAAGTGAAGCAGCCACTGTGAAAAGCAATATGGTGGTTCCCTGAAAAATTAGACATAGAATTATTATATAATCCAGCAATTTGACTTCTATATATATACCTAAGAGATTTGAAGATATTTGTACATCAATGTTCATAGCAGCATTATTTACAACAGCCAAAAGGTAAAAACAACCTAAATGTTCATCAATGGATGAGTGGGTAAACAAAGTGTGGTGTACACATGCAATGAAATATTATTCAGCCTTAAAAAGGAAGGAGATTTTGATATATGCTACAATATAGGTGAACCTTGAAAACATTATGCTAAGTGAAATAAGCCAGACACAAAAAGACAAACATTGTATGATTCCACTTATATGAGTTACCCAGAGTAGTCAAATTTATAGAGACAGAAGGTAAAATGGTGGTTGCCAAGGATAAGGGGAGGGGAAGATGGGGAGCTATTATTTGATGGGTACAGAATTTCAGTTGGAGGAAATGGAAAAGTTCTGAAGATAGATGGTGGTAACAGTTGCACAAAATTGTAAATGTACTTAATGATGCTGAATTGTGCACTTAAAAATTATTAAAATGGTTAAATATTATATTATGTATATTTTACCAAAATAGAAAAATTCTAAAACTTATTTGTAAAAATTCTATATTTTATTCTAGTTTTACAGCTAATATATATTTCTTATAGAAGACTTAGAAAATTAAAAGTAGTCTTAATTGACTTAACCTGGAGGTAATCAAAACAGAAATCTTTATAGATTTTCTTCTTTATATTTACGCAATTGTGTTTACAAATATGAATTACACTTCACATGCATTTATCACTTTTATATTACGCTATCGTAACAAAGTTAACAAAGAAGTAGTAACTATTTTCCTATTCACCTCAATAGTTTTCTACATTATCTTTCATTATGATTGGTATTTTCACTTCTGACATAATATATATTGTGTGCATGACCATCTCATCTCCACCTGCCTCCCAAAAAAACCAGAAAATTTCCAAATAACAATCAAAAATCACCTGTAACTTTACTAACATATTTATCACAATTTATAATTAAATATTTATTTGTGGGATTGCTTATTATTTTTCTTCCCACTGGACTACAAATTCCATAAGCAGAGGGATCATGCACGTCCCTACCACCAGCACCTAGCATGGTACCTGCCATTTGTTAATTGTTACAATAACTCTTCAATGGCCATCTTTATATAAACATCTTTGAATATATCTTTGATCATTTTCTTTGGAAAAAATTCTAGAAATGGAAATTCTAGGAAATAGAAACTACATATTTAATATAATTGTCAAAGTAGGTTAAGAAAGGTATGAATCCATCTAGACTTCCAGGATTAGTGTATGAAGAGTACTGCTTTTCCACATTCTCAACTACCCTAGCTGAGAAGTAGGTGAGAGCTTCTATTCCTGCTCTCTTATTTCCTGATTCTGTGAACTGAGGAAGCACATGAATAATCATGATTTCCAGTGAACAATGCAAATGGAAATCTTTCTGCTTCTGCTCCAAGTAGAGAACTTGGTTTGAAGTCTTACCTCCTAGAATTCAAGCAGCCCCATCACCACCACCCACCTGGCTCTTTGCTGGAAGCTGATATATCTGAATGGACGTACAAGAAGTGAATGCAAAGATCACAATATTCACACCTATGAAGGAAAAAAAATGATGAGAACTTACAACCATCTAAAAGCTGCCTGACAAACATGTGGTATAATACACAAAGAATTTACACAAAGAAGGCCGTTTCTCCTACTGTCTTTAAGGTAGCTGGCTCAGCCCTTTTTCTGAGAAGTATGGTAAGCTAATTGCTTTCTTAATCCAGCTACATTGGCCTTATCTTACAGAAATCCTTTCTATAGTCTGTTATATGGTTGTCTATTAATCTAAAATTTAATATTCACTTTTTCTC
This sequence comes from Homo sapiens, assembly GCF_000001405.40. Lineage (NCBI taxonomy): Eukaryota > Metazoa > Chordata > Mammalia > Primates > Hominidae > Homo > Homo sapiens. The sequence continues at coordinate 61,232,119 of NC_000018.10, forward strand.
TATCGTTTCCTTAGTATCTCAATGGCGAACTAGAAGGGCTGGCAACAACGTTGAAGACAGTGTAGGGAAAGAGACTATCAGTCAGAAGGAAAACAACTACAATCATAATAAAAAGAGATTCAAAACCTGAACAGAAGTTGTGATAGGAACTTTGTATAAGAAAGATAAGAATTAAGGATAAATTGTTGGCTTTATAGATTGGACACCTCAGGAAGTTAAGACAGTGTTAGCCAAGAAAAAGAAAAGCCAAATAGTGCAGCTAAAAAAGTAGGAGATGCTATGTTTTACCAAGGATGCTGACTTTGAAATGACTCTCTGGTGTCTGCACTGAAGACAATATGGAGTTTAGATCAGTAATTCATAATATGTAGATTCTGAAGGGACTTGTCCTCATCTCTCTTTATTTCTCACCCTTTAATTTTATGCTCCAGTCTTACTGAACTCTTCATAGTTCCCTGAATATGCCACCCTTCTCATGCCATTCTGTCTTTGCATGCATTGGGTTCTAGATTTACAACTCTCAAGCACTTTTTACCTGTTTAATTTTTGCTTAGTCTTAAAAGTTCAAATTAAACACCACTTCCTTCAAGAAAGTCCTCATAACCTGTACAGTCAAGGTTAGAAGCACCTCCAATGAGCTCACATTGTGCCCAACAGGTAAATCTATAAGACACATTCTCAACTGAGGCAGTAGTACTGCTAATGAGGAGAAAGTCAGTTCTTTGGAGGGGAGAAAAAGAATCTTAATCCTTATCTGTATAAAACACAGATGTACATATGGAACATAAGCACACAGATATATGGTCTATTTATCAGTGGTATTAGGCTTTCGTGAGAGGAACAATTAGGTAAAAACTGTCTGAAATGTTTCATTAAGGAGGCAATGGTGAAAAAAGTTTGAGAAACACAACTCTTTAATAACATTTATTACACATAACATATTGTAATTTTCTGTATTTTTCCTTCCTCTATCCACTACTATACATTACGACTTTTTAAGGGCAAACAATCCTGTTTTGCTCATTTTTAAATCTTTAAACCATCTATTATAGCATATACTTATGTTAGGTATAAAATAAATGTTTGTTGAATAAAAAAGCAAACATGGAAGCCACAGCATGAGTAAATTTGAACAAAGATAAAAGCAACCAAGGGTAGTCGCTAACTTAAGGGTCAGGTTCAATTATGAAAGAGACTAAAGACCAGTAGTTGGCAAAAACGTAGATGGTGTATTAGATTAGAAGTCCATGAAATAAGATACTATTTCCCCAGAAAATAAGGCTGTCAAGGTACTTCAGAAAGTTCTGTCAAGGATACTAGTAAATTATGCTGAAATTCCCTTGAATTAAATGGAGAAATTTTCCTTGTTTAACAAAATAAAATGATGTTTGATCAATTGACTACTCCTATTGAAAAAAATAAAGCATGAATTTTGACCAGACCTCGCATGATATATAAATATTAACTCCAGATGAGTCACAGATCTAAATAGGAAAACTAAAACAATGAGGGTTTTAGAAGCAAACATAGGAAAACATCTTCATGATCTTGGGGTAGGCAAAGATTTCTGAAGCAGGACACACACACACACTAGTACTAAAGTAAAAGATTGTGAAACTGGATTACACTAAAATAAAAGATGCCTATTAACAAGAGACACTCAAAAACGAGTGGAAAAGTAAGTTACAAAATGGAGAACACATGTGTAATCTTTACATGCAACCAAGAGCTTATACTGAGTATATGTAAAGAAAAAGGCAAACATGCAAGTAGAAAAGGGCTGAAACACTTGAGTTCGCCTTCAACCAACAATGCTCTGTTTTCTGTTCTGGTGCTGGTTGTACTGGTACATTCCCTTTGTGAAAATTAACAGAGCTCTATGCTTATGATTTGTGCCTGTATATATATAGGTATTTTACATATAATGTACATGGGATATATATGTGTGTGTGTATATATAAAAACACAATACAAACATACATTAAAAAGATAGTGCCCAAATTCATATGTTTAGATTTAATTTAAAGTCTTCATGAGCAACTTCTCAGGTAAAAGGGGCAGGACCCTTCAAAAGCATCAGTGGAAGTTTTCTTCACGGCGATTTCTAATGCACAATACACTCAATCACACAATATTATAGATTTTTGCAAAACTTCATAACTGGCAACATAATATTAGTTGTCAGAAATCTTGATATCTTACCCAGATGATTTTAAGGAATATAATGTTTGGATATATAGCAGGCTTAAAAAAAATCCTACTTTAGTATGACTAAAACTAACCCTGCAGAGTTCTCCAGTAAGATATTAACAAATATGAAAGATAAATTTTCTTTTCATTTGCTTCATTCTTCCATTAAGTACCTTAGAAATCATATCTCAATCAATACATCTGATCTTTTCAAATTGAATTATCTTCTTTTAGAGAGTCAAACAAAAGATGTTTTGAATAGATGGAGCATTTGGTTTATTTTACATTTTTGTGATGAATTCTATTTAAATGCAATTTCTTTACCAATTAAATTATGTTACTACTTGCTGCAAGTTATTATTCTTTAAAAAAAAAGCAAAACTAAAATTTAAAGTGATATTCCAAGATCTCATGACTTGATAGTTTAAAAGTAAAAACTTTTAAAATGTAAAAAAATTGTAATATATTGAAGTTATTACAAATTAATTCTTATGATATTTTACTCATTAATCAGTGTCTTATTTCACAGCACTGAAGATATAATATGGGGAATAATCATAGAAAGATTCATTTACTCAAAAAATATTTATGCAGTGCCTTCTCTGAGCTGGCCCTGTTCTTAAAGTTGGGCCTTAGAGGTAAACGGAGGCAAGGTCCCTTTTGAAAAAGCTTAGCACTTACAAGAGAGAAATAAAGAAACATGGCAAGAAGGAAACCTGATGTGTGAGAGAGGCCTGAGAGGAGCTCACTTAGATTGGGTGGCAGACAAGGAGGTTGAAGGAGAAACTGAAATCCAAATCCTAGAAGCAGCTGGATTAGTGTGTCAGGGCTGTCGTAACAAAGTACCACAAACTGGGTGACTTAAACAACAAAAGCTAATTGTCTTACAGTTCTAGAGGAGAGAAATCCAAGATCAAGGTATTGACCTTTGGTTTCCACCAAGGGCTGTGAGGGAAAATCTGTTCCACACCTCTTCCCTCGCTTCTGGTGGCTGCTGGCAATCTTTGGTGTTCTTGGTTTGTAGACGCATCACCCCATCTCTGCCGTCATCTTCACATGGTGTTCTCCCACTGTGCGTGTCTATCTCTGTGTTTCAATTTTCCCTGCTGACATACTGATCTTGGATTTCCAGCCTCCAGAACTGTGAGACAATATATTTAGGTTGTCCAAGCCACCCAGTCTGTGTCATTTTACTACAACAGCCCTAGCAAACTAATATATGGAACAAAACTCAATATTTTACAATAATTTGTCTTGTTTAACTCCAACCTTAGGGAACTCTAATGAAAACCTTAAATATATTATAATCCAAGAAATGTCTGAAAGTCACTGTCTAGATGCTTTTCTGAGAAGAGCAAAGAAAGAATTCTTTTGAAGAAATCACCTCTATAATTTAGGTTCTTCAAATCGGTGAACACTTGGCATTGTATTGGTCATCTATTTTCTTCTCAACATTCATTCACACAGTTTGATATCAATATAGATACATTCTAATTGCATATTTTATAATTAGAATAAGTTAGTGGGGTCATTAGATTTCATTTATTTGTCAATAGCTATTTGGTTATTGAGTAAAGTTGTTATTTTATTTATTTAAGACTTTTTATATTAAATTGACATAACCCATCAACCAAATAGAAGCCATGGAAAATTTTTAGTCCCCTCTTGACAAAAGGCAGCAATAAAAGAAGCCACCACTATCACTTGTCAATGCAAAAGCCAGATTCTCTTCCTTATCTCTTTACCCAACCCTAGATATCTCTACAGAAAGTTTATAAAAATTATTAAATTAAGAATTTCTTACAGGTTATTTTCCTAGGAGATGATTCCAGCCTGAATGCAAGGTAGAAATGCCACCACCCTCTAGGTTGTAATCTGGAGATCCTGTGTCTGATCCATAAACAACAAAGTGATTGTTTTTTCCAACAAGCGACAGGATCCTCTAAGTCAGTCCACAAGTGGAGGTTTCCCTTGGAAATTGCCCTCATCAGGTTAAAAAAAAATGACAAGAGCAAAAAAATACTCCAGAGAGCTTCCCTTTTAAGCTGCTGGATCAATGTGTCTGTCATCTGACCTCGTGTAAAATGTGAAAACTCAAATCTTAGGTAGCATAATTACCCTGTTATCCCGTTCTACTGCCCTAAAGTGGCCATCACTCAATTGTCGTCAGGTTAGACCATCAGTATCCATGAACCGAAGGAGTAGATTTCTCTCTTAATTTCTGACTGCAATCCTTTTGTCTTTTCCTGCTCTCTGTGACAAAGGCAGTACAGTGCTTCTGAGATGAATAGCAGAAGACAGTACAACAAATTAATACAAATGAAGTCATTCCTGAGTGACTCCATCTGCTTTAGAAATAAGGCTCGGACAATAACGTGGCCAAGATCCAGATAATTAGGCCTGACTCCAAATGAAGGCACACAGGTAACTTACAGCTTCATTAACTCTCTTCAAGAAGGCAGACATCCAGAAACTAACCTTAATAGAGGCAGCATATGATCCATTGACAATCTGTTTGATATTAAAAAATGAACTTTGTTTTTGCAACGTTGCATGAACAGTAGGCAAATAACATATGCAACTCAAAATATCATGGACCAAGGCATGGTTTAGCATCCTAGATGCCAGTCTCAAAACTTGGAGAACAAAGCCCTTAATTTTTGTTTACAGAATTTAATCAAAAGGCATTAATAATCTAGCAACTAAGAAAGGCACATAAGGTGTCTGCAACTGCCTTCTCTCTGTAATCAACAGGAAGATTATTAGGCAATAACAAATGTTATTCATCTTCATAATGGCTAAATGACAGCCTGTTTAAAAATAACAAATGACTACTCCTCATTGACTATTACAGGGTGAACATGACCTTCACGTATTTTAAGCAAACAAGTCCTCTTTTCAAAGACTTCAGGAGTCTTTTAATTGATAATGATGAGATGTTTTATCTTTACCAAGGGATGCTAAACCTTGTAAGATGCTGTTTAAATTGAGATAATTTTATCCAGCCCCCTGAGTTAGAAAAGACCCTGAAGGTCTCCCAATTATTTTTTTTTTCATAAACAAGGTATTAGTGAACCACAAATGTAATTAGTTAACTGTACTGTGTATAGAAACTTTATACATATTTCTGTTGTGGAACAGTGAGTTTCAAGTCACAGGTCAAAAAAATAAAAGATCTTAAAATTGGATTTTCAAAGATTATCCTTACTTACTTTGAAGTACAAGCATTGTATATTTCTCATTACGGTGGATATCAAGGCTTCGACTGAAAGCCTGAAAGCTCTCTATGGCTTCTAAATAGTTTTGACAATCATAACAAACCTAACTCACAAATGCCTTTTATAGCACTTTAAGTTTTCAGCTTTCTGCATCTCCCAACCAGCACTTTCAGTGACATAACATGACGAGTTGCTCCAATGTGACACAGCAATTCTGACATGCAGGGACCAGCGAGGGAATCACTCAAAGATAACCTGCTAACCTTCCTGACACAACCAAGTCAGCAGAGGAGCGACTACAACTGCTGCTATTGTTTCAACATCATAAGCCAAACAAACTGTAAACTACCCGCAGTACCGGGGGCCTTATTCATCTGCCAGAGCCCTGCTGTGGTAAGCAGAATAATGCCACCCACCAAAGATGTCCAGGTACTAATCCCTGAAACCTGTAAATACATTGTCATAATGCCTAAAGAGACTGCAGATATGATTAGATTAAGGACTCCGAGATGGGAGGGGTTGGAGTGATGCACTTTGAAGATGGAGGAAGGGGCCACGAGCCAAGGAATGCAGGCGGCTGCTATAAAATGGAAAAGGCAAGGAAACAAATTCTCCTGTGAAGCCTCCAGAAGGAGCACAGCACTGCTGACACTTTGGTTTTAAGCCCATTGAAACTTTGACTTCAGACTTCTCCAGAAATGGATGAAAATAAATTTGTGTTGTTTTAAGCCAATAAGTTTATGGTAATTTGTTGCAGCCACAATACAAAATTAATACACCTACAGATGTCTCTGGGCTCAAAACTAGCAAGTGGCTTGGGCTTCTGATGGTAAAGTCATCCCTCTCTCGGCCAAAAAACCATCACTATATAAGTAGGCAGGACAACGACAGAATTCCGTGGGTAAAATTTTTTTAAGCTGAAAATTAAGTATCACCAAACTTTTATTTGGAGGCTAGAGCCACTGAAGCATTTATAATAAGAAAGAAGTACATATTTTCTCCAAACACAGGTAAGATACTTTGTATTTTAGGCTGGAATTTCTTCTGTAAACTTACAGAGCCCAACCAAATGTTTTCCTAGCTCTGAGATCCTAAGTCTCTTGCCCACATCAGATTCGTCTGCTAACTTTGATATTGTGTGGAGGTATTTCACTTTTATTTACAAGGAAATAAGTTTTCCTTTGTGTTTTATTTGATGATAATCCTGATTATTTCACCTCAGGTCCTGTTTCCTCTAAAGAGAAAATTTAGCTGCAAATCAGCAAAGGTTATTTATCATCGACTTGCCTTTTCTCAGGGACTGAGTATACACATTGATTTTGTAACATGGTTATCAAATTATCTTCATATATCAGCTAATGGCTAAACAAACAATGTCACAAACAAAAGTAAAAGACATCTTGGTTTTTAAAGGAAGTAATGGGCCTGCATTTCCAAAAAGCTATGTGATGTACACCAGCCACTGTAATTAAAAGCATTTTTTAAAGTCCTTGTCCTGAGCTCTCAGGACAAATTAGGAGACTATCATGCTTAAGTCTGTGACTTTTCTAAATGAATTCATCTAAAGTAGCATGTCAGCAGGGAGATGGAAAAGGAGTTGTTTTCTGATAAAGCTTGAGGCACATAGTTTAAGTTAACGAGACATGGCAAGAGCAGGTGGGTAATTCGATGTTCACACAGTGTAATGGGCCAAAGGCTAATTACTATTCACTGTAAAATGAACATAAAAGTCGCAATTATGCCTTCATCCTAGTGGATATGATGTATTAAAAGCTATCAGCTTCACCTTCTGTAATAACAGCTTTTGTCTGTTTGCACCAAGATGTGTGAAAATAAGACGTATGTGGAAAAGGAGAGCTCTGTGACTTTACACAAGAGCAAACATTGGCTTCTCGTTGTCCCCATTTCTCTGCTCAAGACACAAAGGAAAGATGATACCCTGTGGCTTAGAAATGTCATTTGTAAATATGATGCTTTTCTTCCTTGGCTATGAAATGCTGCCAAGTTAACTGTTCACATAAGGACTTTTCCCTTGCCGACCCTTCATGTCAACTGTGAACCACAGATAAATACAGAGTTCACAAGGTGAAAGTCTCAACCACGAAGTTCAAGTTGTCAGAGTCAGAGTTGCATCTGAGTAATGCTGGCAGGCTGAACTGAGTGTCTACCACCATCTTTGCTAATGGCATCCAACCAACAGGGCTATTCCATCTTCCTGTTGTACAACTAATGACAACTTGTGAAAAGTGCACATGGAAGGTAAAAAAAGGAAAGATAATGGATAAGGTTCAGGGATGCCTGTATTGTAGAATAATTCACCTGTGATGCTAGAATAAAAATCTTAAGAGTACTAACAGAAAAGAAAATCATGATCTCCTAAGGAGAGGAGAAAGGATGCGGAATATCTGAACATCAATTGCAACGGGAATTCTTATTTCCAGCTTGGAGAAAGGAAAGCCAACTCTGACCTTGTCTGCCAAGATCCCACCACTTGAAGACTTCTAGGATATATCTGTTTAGTGAGTTTCTAACCATGCATATTCCATGCATCCTGGACACCACTTTCCTTCTTTACTTTGTCTCAGCTTGTTCTCTGATTAACCTTCTGTTCATCATCCCAGACCTATCACTGATTTATAGATAATCTCCTTTTTCATACCCCAGCACCGCTGAGAGGGACTAGCCAGCTCTTTCCTATCTCTAGCTTGACCTCACCCTTCTACTTGAGAGCTACCTCTCAAGCAGCCCCGGTGGGTACAGCGTGGTAGTTCCAGGACCTGTCCGTGCACCAGAGGGTCAGGTACTCAGCAAATATTAGAGAGCCGCATGTGAAATGTCAATTCATTTAGGATTGGGGAAATATAATGTATTACAGTTATATAACAACAGATCACCTATGTACACAGTCAATGCAATACTTTTCATTATTCAACTCGGAATTCTCCAAACACAGTGAAGAAAATTTTATGGGAAAAAAAGCCTTGTACTTGGTATGAAAAGATGTCAGTCTAAGCAGGGATTGTGCTCAGATGATTTCTACCTTTGCTTCAATCCATGCTTCATAAGGACTCTACCTTGATTGCCAAATTTTAAAAGGAAAGTTCAATTTAAATTTACTGATGCCATTTAACATTTCTTATTCTCAAAAGTTGCAGAGATTTTAGGATAGATCCTTAGAACGTTGGTTTTGGTTTAAAACATCAGCTTCCAGGGACAACATGGTCAAAGCACAAAGTTTTAATCTGTGCCAGGAAAACATCAGTGCCAATGATGTCTAACCCACCTGGATCTGTTGTTTGAGTTCTACCCACCAGCTCTCCTTGCCAAGAGTTGTCCCAAACCATTATATAGCTGCCAATGTGTCTGAGACCCCAGTCTATTCTCACAATGGATAAAGTTGGGAAATGCAACAATTCTAGAAGCTTCTCAGAGATACACCTGAACTACACTATTGTCATTTTGGCACATGTCAGACAAGTTGAGAGAGTTATAAATACATCTCCAGTACAAATTACATCCCAATGTTCTAATGCATTCTAGCTACTCTGTGGGTGTTGCAATTCAATATTGATTTTATTTAGAGCAAAAAGAGTTATTTGATGACAAAATTTAAATGTATACTGCATAAAAATTCAATTTTTAAAGAAAAGCTTTACTTTCAGATATATTACAACAATAAAACGGCAGCTACCAACCTCTTTAACTCCTTCATTACAATGATCTGAATGCCGAATGCAGTTCTCGACTTCTTTCCATTCTTTAAAAAATGATTTCTCTCATCAAGATAAAGCTGGAGACCACCCAGTAACTACTGACTTCCCTGGGCTAAGTATGTTGCAAGCTTTTTCGTTAATCTTACAGTTTTATAATTCGTCTGAAATAGGCTTGACTGCATTTGTGTTCCCATCATTCTTAGCTTGCCTTCTGATTTTATGCACCCTTGTCTGCTCAAGGAGATTACTAAGGTTACTGATGTGTTTTTAATGTAAATTTCTCCCCTTGTCATGAAAAGGAAAAATTATAAGGATGTCAAGTAATATTGAATGTAAATAAGCCTTTCTCACCTCAGCTCATGCTAAATTTCTACCGCTTAGTAAATAAACTGGTAGCAGAGTAGGAGTAATGTCAATGATCCACTGAAGGTTGCTAGTTTGAGGCAGAACAATAAAGCAAAGACTACAAAATACTAATGACGCTTCTGGGTGCTGATATTGCTTGCTTTCCATGGGGATTCACAGATCTAAATGCTGTTTTGCTGGCATTAACATGGCTGTGGAGCCATTGCAATACAAACACTGGCAGTTTAAAAAAAAACAAAACTATCTGGCAGTTGGACAGATGACCCAGGTGTTAGCAGTAATTCTGTGCCTCATATTTTCAGTTTATTCCCAGAAGTTTAAAGGCACTGAAGGGGACACCAATCATTCTGAGCAAGTGATCAGTCTGACCTAGCAACTAAATGATAGGGAGGGACAGACAGACATTAGTGTAAAAACACACAGACAAACAGAAGTAAAGGAAAGGGGAATTGTGACCTGAAACCAAGGGTCAGCGATGTGTCACAGCCTGTTATACGTGGCCTACAGAGCCAAAATATGTACTATCTGGACCCTGCCGACCCCTGTTCTAAACACTCCAATGTGGAAATCCTTTTGTGTGTGCTCTTGGGGTACTTAATAGGCTGTGGATATTTCTGCAGAAGCCAAGCACGCCTGCTAACCAGGTGTGTGAGTGTGTGTGTGTGTGCGCCCTAGTGAGGAACCCTAAAAGCAGACATTGAGATGAGAGTTTGTGTGCAAGTGATTTTTTATGGAATGCTCCCAGGAAAAGCCAGTAAGGGTGTAGGGAGACAGGACAGGTCAGAGAAAGAAGCAAAGCTAATGTGGGATTTTAGGCCAAGCTTCAGCTTCAGCCTGATCCTATAGTGAGCTCAGGAATGTAAATTACACTTCAGAATTGGTCCTGTCTTCCAAGGCAAGGAAATCGGATTCCCCACTCATGTAGCAAGCATTGGTTGTGAGAGGAGGGAACAGATATAAACATTTAGGGGCTTTCTGCTTTCTGGGTGTCTAGACCAAACTGCCCCATTAGGGCAGGGCTCTGAAGAAAACCACCAGTGTGTCACTCCAAGCAATGCACCTGGAGCTGGATAAAGCACAAAGGAACCCACAGGACATCAACAGGCATGAGTGGACGTGGGTGGAGCACAGGCAAGCCCGATACCAGGTGTGCGTGCATTAGCAAACACGAGGGATTTCGCAGATAGGATTCAGTGCAGAGTGGCAAAAGATGGGATGCACAACTTTATCAAACTCATCTAGAGGCCTCTGCTCTACCTTGACACCATGAAACACCTCTGTCCCCAGCATGAAGCAAAATGATCATTGTAATCATGGTTAATATTTATTGAGCAAGGTCAAAATATACTGAGCCCTTTGAATACACTATTTTATTTAATACCATAACAACCGTGCAAAGTTGGTATCATTGTTCCTTTTTCAGGGATAAGGAACACCATGCTCAGAGGGGTTAAAACAGCTGAATGATCCAAAAGATAAATGACCCAAAGATACTTAGGAAGTAGGAGAGATTAAATATAAACCCAGATGAAGTCTGCCCTACTCTGAAGCCCTTAGTCTTCCCACTCACCTACCTCTTGAGTTGGGAGAACTGAAAGATATGCCATTCTCCAGAACATTCTGAAAACAAAACTCAACTGTGTCTCCTCTGTGACACAGTACATGGGAAAATCTCAGAGGGTGAGAGTGTGGAGAGAGAGAGAGAGAGAAACAGACAGTGAGCTGATATAACCATCTCATGCAAGAGGGTGCCAGGACTCAAAGGGCAACTAGAATGAGATGATTCTCTGTGGTTTGGGTTTTTCAATCTATTTTTAAAGAATGTAAGCTCAATGTTTAAATAATTCAGTGATCAGCTTTCAAATTTGTACAAGATTCTGAGGGAGAAAGGCCAGTGTGTATGGGCAGTGATTCTCAAATTTTAATGTGCTTCCAAATTCCCAGGGAGTGCGTCTCAATGCTCATTCCCAGACTCATCTCTTAGAGATTCTGCTTCCAAATGTCTGGCTGAAGGCCAGGCATCTGGATTTCTTCTGGAAGATCTGAGGCAGGTCATCCATAAGTTGTCTTTTGAGAAACATGGTTTTAGAGAAATGGGCAAGAATGACTAAAAGAATCCGTGTCTACCCGAGAATAGTTGCCTTACCTGGAATTACGATAATTTTACAGCTTTCTCCCTCTCTCTTTGTATACATAGAGAGAGAGGTAGAACTATCCAGGCTGACCAGCCAGGAATGGTAAGAGATTTCACTTACAGATGAGTTAGCCATATGTGACTTCTCAGTATCAATCTGATTCTGATCTAGAGTTGGAAATTAAAAGTTGTTAATTTCTGATATCAAGTGCAATGAACTAGATCCAGATTTTTTTGAGTATAAATATGTGCACCAATTCAGTGTGATATTTTTTTTTTTTGAAATTCCAAGATGAGTAGGAGGAAGAACAATTTGGTATGCTGGCCAAGTTCTATTCTGGGGTAATTAAAATCTGCCTATTTAAAATTCTTTTTGTAAATTTCAGTAGCTATAGGCTTCTTCTTTACTTCCTGTTCTAAAGGGCCATAGAACAGTGCCAACGTTAGCTGACTGTCCTATGACTGCCAGGTGACACTCAGTGTAGCAAATGTGGGGCAGCCACATGTAAATCCAAATGTGAATTAGACAAGCCATTAATACCGGTATATTATATGAAAACATATTCAAGTAACAAGTCCATGTTTGGCTTTGATTCCAGAGCCTCAAAAAGTATATTTCTAAATGTTGTTATACATGTGCCACATAACAATGTTTTGGTCAACAACAGATCACATGTACAATAGTGGTCCCATAAGATTATAATAGAGCTGAGAATTTTCTATTGCTTTATGACACCATAGCTGTTGTAGTGTGATTACTTTATGGTTTTTACAGATTTAGTGTAGTCTCAGTGTACAGTGTTAAAAACATCTACATTAGTATACAGTAATATCCTAGGCTTCACATTCACTTGTCACTCACTCACTCACTCACTCACCCAGAGCAACTTCCAGTCCTGCAAGCTCCATTCATAAGCACCCTAGGTAGGTGTACCATTTCGTATCATTTATAGTGTTTTTACTATACCTTTTCTATGTTTAGATGTGTTTAGATACACAAATACTTATCATTGTGTTGCAATTGCCTACAATATTCAGTACAGTAACATGCTATGCAGGTTTATAGCTTAGGAGCAATAGGTTATATTGCTATATATCCTACGTGTGCAGTAGGCTGTACCATATAGGTTTGTGTAAGTGCACTCTGTGATGTTCACATAACAATAAAGTTGCCTAATGACACATTTCTTAGAATGTATCCCCATCATTAAGTGACGCATGACTGTATTTGGATCTTGTAAGGATAGCTTGATATAGCCAAGGAAATTCATGATAAATTATTACACATGATTGATTGGATTGCATCTCATTATCTAGATAAATAGCAACTTGTCATAGGGCAATTTCGTGCTGTTTGTTGCTGTTGTTCCTGAATCATTCCAATGTGGCCTTAGAGTGTTTATTCAGAATAGAAGTTATACCTCTCTTCTTTCTAAGGATTTTAAAACACTTTCCATACTTTAATGATTGACTTTAATAATGCTCTTAATAAGACAAACAGCAAAAAAGAAAATAAGCAGGTAAGGAGGAAGGGGACTCAGTGGATGAAAGGGGTGGACAAATGAATGGAGAGAAAAAGAGAGAAAGAGAGAGAGAGATAACACGCAAACTAGCACATGGTCCATAAATGAAGACAAAAAGAAAAACATGCCACCAGATGGCAAGTGGGGCAACAGCCGCTCACAGCCATTAGAAGCAGCAGCACTCACTGTAATTTCTGATATTGCTTTTCTGTCTAAATATGGTGATAAAACCTCTTTTGACTGACTTTAGCTTTTGTGATGCAGCAAGGAAACCCCTTTGGCAGGAGGAGGACCCATGGCAGAAACAGAAGGCAAGATCCCACAGGGACTCAACGGGTCTGTGGAAATGCAGACATCAAACAAAGGCCATAGATTCAGATTGCTGATTTCAAAATGCTGGAGAGGACTACCTTGGATTCTAGAATGGAAATTTACAAAGCTTCAATACAGAAACCAGTCTTTGCTTCCACTAGTTCAAGTTACTCCACCTTTTAGCAACAGGCTTATTTCAAGCAACAGTAACTCTCAGATGTGGCTCTCAAGAAAACAGCCTATGGCTCTTCTGAGCTCTTATATAAACTTAAGCTTTTCAGACATCAGATCAAACCTATTTTCTTTTAGCAACTATGATGTTTAAAAATCTAAGTACACTTAATATCAAAATAGAGTACTCTTAGCTGGATATAGATAAGCATAAGAGCAAAAGGGAAGTGAGTTTAGAAATCAAAGGACACCAAATAAAAATAACATTAAAAATACAAAAGGCTAGAAACACATCTTAAACATCTCATTCATATGTGTAGTTTTGCACTTTAGAGAGATTATTAATATTTTTATAAAAATAATACTACTCAATTCTAGCAAATCAAAAGTGTTTAAAATATAGAAAGGTTGAATAGAGGACTTCTGGTTGAGAAATATTCAGCTTTTTTATTTGAAAATGCTCAGTAATGCCTTGGTTGATTGAAATTGCTAATCAAGGTAAAAGATGTACGATTCAAGCAATTATAGAGCAAATATAGTTTCTTATTTTCAAGACACACAGTACATGCCTAAACAGGATTTTAATAAACCTTTTGAAATACTTTACACTTTAGATGTTTTCAATTACTTACTATTTCTTCTTTTTTCCTTTTTTTCTTTTCTTTTTTCCCTTCATCTCTATTACATGACTAGCTAGCTGTAACTATAACAATATGTTCCAGATTTTCTCTTACTTCTTGCATATGCTAGGTAACCAATAAGTGTTTGGCACAAGAATAAATAAGTGGTGGATGAGTGGATAGTAGGTGGATGGATAGATGAGTAAACAGATGAATAAATAAGCCAATGAATGAGTGCTGTCTTAGGTCAGGTGTTATGAGGTATAGATGAGAGATGGAGATTGCTGTGTGAGGGATTATTGAAGACTGCTCTCACTTACAAAGGAGTGAGGGAAGTAAGATGGATTGAGCAAGGAGCTAAACAGTGATGCAGTCTTAATAGAGGTCTCAGTAGTTTCCGGAGGGAGCTCTGGAGCTGGGATGGGACCACCCTTTAGAGTTGCTCCATGTTGAGGCAAATGACATGGGCTTTAAATCACACATCAACCAAGAGGGGAGGTGGCATAATTTTGGACAAGTCAGGTCCTTCTGTGGAGGACAAATCCCAGAGAAAGTTTCAGCTGACGGGGCATTGGTGACCAACACTTCAGAGTTTGAGAAGTGAGTGCTTGGGTCCTGAATGGGAATCAGGGTGGTGACCACAGCACCCACTAGAGTACATTTATATGAATTTTTTTAAACCAATCAGAGAGTTACCAGGGACTAATGAGTACCCTAGGGTTAGCTGCATCCCTGGTTTTCCAGGAGCAGCTAAGTCATAGATGAACTAAATGCATGTCATTTCAAAGATAGTATTGAGTTCATGTCCTTTGCAGGGACATAGATGAAGCTGGAAACCATCATTCTCAGCAAACTAACACAAGAACAGAAAACCAAACACTGCATGTTCTCACTCATAAGTGGGAGTTGAACAATGAGAACACATGGACACAGGGAGGGGAACATCACACACCGGGGCCTGTCAGGGGGTTTGAGGGTAGGAGAGGGATAGCATTAGGAGAAATACCTAATGTAGATGACGGATAGGTGGGTGCAGCAAACCATCATGGCACGTGTATACCTAGGTAAAAAACCTGCATGTTCTGCACATGTATCCCAGAACTTAAAGTATAATAAAAAAAATTTTAAAGATAGTCTTAAAAGCTACCAGTCTATGTCATGAAACAAGGCTCATAGTCCAACATGTGCACCTGAGACCTAATGAATATAAAACAAATAACATTACCACTCTCCACTTGACTTTGATAAGAGTTTGGCAATTTAAGGTTGTATTTTTGCCAAAGGTCTGTATGAAGCAGTTTTGTGCTGATGACTGCGGGCAGATACACACACTGCAGACAAACTATAAAAGAGTAAGATAGAAGTTCACAGATGGACACTGAGGAATTGCACCAAGCCTCTCACCTGGATGATGGACAAGAAATGCCCACAGGTGAAATTAGGATTTTTCTTAAGAAACACTTGTAGGTCCACTCTCCGTCTTGAGTGACTAATCAATTAAACACTCAAATTCTGAACATGGTCAGGTGATTTTAGTCTGAAAAGGAAAATGCATCTTGTAAACCCATATAATGGTGGAGGTAATAATGAAAGCACAAATTAGAGTCACATTATTAGCTTTCTTCCCTACATCATTGCTTGCTATTGATGATTTGAAGATATGGCTCATCAGTGTTTCCAGATTCTAAAGATTATGCGCCATCGATAAAGCAAGCACTCTTACTATGAATTATTTAAACCATTATATGTTTCTAATAATAATAAAAAATGTAATTTCAATCTTTAAACAGCATTTTATAAATCATTATAGTTGTAAGTAATCAAACAGTAAAAATCCACCAATGGCCTTGAGTCTTGTCACAAGTCTCTACAACACTGAGGTTCCAGTGGACACTCAGAAACTACTGCAGGCTGAAAGGGAGAGTCTGCATCTTAGCTGCCAGAGGCTCCTTTGATTTGAACCCAAACTTTACTTCACTCCAGGCTACATGAAGCAATGCCTCTCCAAGACAGAAAATATATATTTTATAACTTGTATTGCTGAAGAAGGTCAAAGCCACCCTGTACATCCCAAAGTAATCAACACAATTAAAGGGAGAATGGGGTGGGAGGAGAAGGAGGAACAGAAAGTTAAATTTCACAGATCTGTGTGTGGGTTAGATCTTGTACCAGTCACTTTATTATAACCACACTATTCCTAGAGACACCTCTATTGATGAGAATTTGTCCTAATACAAAACCCTTCTTAACACCTGAAAAAAAATCCATCATTCACTATCTGTGAGCAGATAAATTCAGCCCAGAGATGAGTCTGCATGAATTATACCAAAATTCCCGTCAAGAATCTTTTTCACAGGGAGTAATGTCTCATCGTATATAACTTCGTGGGAAAATGAAAGTACACAGAGTTACTTGGTATGCAAAGCAGGCCCCAACCTACTGTCATAAAGGGGTGAATTGTGAGGTGACACTTCTTCTCCTTGCACTTCAATTTCTCCTAATTACTACAAATTTTACAGGAGCCTAAAATGACTTAAGTCTAGATTTTCAGTCCAACACTATTATGGTCTATTCATCAACCAGTTACCACAATTATTATATGTGGGAAAATATTATCCCTAAATGGTTTCCATGTTCCTGTGTTATCAAAGTAATAAATCCAATGGCTAACTCCTTCCCTTTTCAGGTGATATTTGCTTGGCGTAATATTCAAATGTAGAAATAAGGTCATTGCAGAAATAAAATTATAATTAGGAAATGTTTTCATTAAAATTAATTTCATACCAGAATTTTACGTAAAAATCTAAAATGCAATGATTTACTTTTATAGTCACTAAAAATAATGAAAATTAATAAACTAAACTTAATAAATGACAATAATTTTACTTAAAACTTTAGGCTATCAGAGATTATCTCTGCTTTGTAAAATTGCTTATTTTATAATATTTAATATTCAAAAAAGGTAGATAATTCACATTTGACTACTATAAAATTCTTCTAAAAATACTTTTGGAATCTAATATCACCACAAATAAGTTATTGAAGATAAATGTTACTGAGAATTCTAAAATAAATGACTGCAAAAGACTAAATTGGTGTAAATGTCTTTTATCCTTAAGATAGTTTATCTAGCCATGTAATTTTTTTCTGTTTTAAAATGCAATAATAATTAAAGCTTGGTAAAGGTCCCTAGTTTCCAAAATTGATTCTTCAAACAATGTTGTAAAGGTTTAACATTACTGGCTATAGAGAGGGCAACTGATAGAGTTATTTTTTATTAGTTCCCTTATGAAACAAGTCAAACATAAATGTTATCGGTTTATGAATTCAATATATCCCAGAGTTTGTTGACTTTAAAATGTCTTTTCCTAACATATGGTAATCACTTATTACTTGTGTCTAACAGACAAACAAAATAAACGGTTGTCCACTTATTTGCTTAATTTAGAAGCACCTAAGTCACCAACAGTGGAATTAAATTTCGAAAGAATGATCGTGAGCTTCTCATTTCAAGGACGGTGCTGCAATAGCTCTTCACGGAAAGTTCAGTTTAGTGTAGTGGTCACAAGGGTGGATTAAGCAGCCCATCTTCACAGATTTGAACCTCATCTTAGTCACTTATCTTTAAAATGTTTATTTAAACTCTCTTGGCCTCAGTTTTCTCATCTGTAACATGGGATAATAATGGAAACTGTTGTGTAAAGTTGCGAAGACTAAATGAGTGAATACACATCATGCCCTCAGAACAGCCCTTTGTAATCAAGAGCTACTTTACATGCTATTTTAAATCCCAGAAAAAAAAGTTTCTACTTTAGTGCATCTGAATTTAAAACTTAGAATAGAAACTGCTTTGCATATAAAATCATTGACTTTATTTTAAATGTACACAACATTATTGCCTAATATTTAGTGAGAACCAAGTAAGAAATGACTCAATTCTGAATCTATTCTGAGGCTGTTCTCAGGCCCCAGTAACTATGATCATGCCCAAAATATTACATGTAAGATTCAGTCTTTTACCCTGGTTTTAGTCATTGAGCCTCTGACTTGTTCCTCTAGGTCTGAGTCCCTTCCTTCGGTTTGGTCCATAATACCCTTTTGTCCCCTCAGGCCTCCTGCACAAGAGAGCTTTATTGCTGATCAGTCCTTCTAGTTCATTCTTAACTTTTTCCTGACCCTCTTGCTTTGTTTCTTCTGGCATTAACTCATTGCTTCAATCATTAAATGTTTAGTTAGCATTTATTATCTTAAAGAAACTGGTTTAGACTTGGTAGTATGGAAAAGAAGCAGCAGACACACGGAGTCATACTTTCTTCTGCAGGGTTTTGCTCTCCTAACTAGATACCCACTAGGTACTACCACCAGATATTCCTTCTTGGACTGGCTGCCTGGAATCCCCTTCATTGCTTGTTTCTACAGCATGTCTTAATGCATCTGTCAGACAGACTTGTTATAATTTATTCAAGAAGTCAAAGCCTTCTTTGATCCCCAGAAAATCAACCACAGGCTTCATGGAAAGTCAGTGAACATGAAAGGATAAACGTGGCCTTCTACTTAGCATCTAGGCTACTCAGAATTCCAAGCATTTGGGACCAGGCCATTGGCTGTTTAAACATGAATGTAATCTGCTCACCTGCCTACCAGCACCAAATCACTCCAAGCCTCTACATGTATCCATTGTTCCTCCTCTGCTCAACAGAACTGCATATGGAGCACTGCTCACATGGTGCCTTCACCCATCTGCTTTTTCCTGAATCCCAAGCTCAGCACTGCCACCTGGATTCAAAGGTCATCATCATAATACAGGACTATGCTTACGCACACACGTGTGCCTCATGAAGCTGGTCACCTGTCCCCTGAACCCAATTTGCAGAGACACAAGGTTCAGAAGAAGGGGCCCAGATAAAGAGAAATCCATCCATGTCACTGCAGTCACCCTGAGGAAGGAGGCTTCCCTTTAGGGAGCCCTTATTTCCTGAAATACACACAAATCCAGCAGAGAAATGCTATGCCTCCCTCTGGTAGTCAGCATGTGAGAGAAGACACAGCATGTGGGAAACCAGCTTTTGTTGGAGACATCCCAATGTGCAGGGCATCATAATGGATGTGATTCATATCCAATCTCACTTAACTCTTGAAGATGCCTTGGATTAGGTTTATCAAGCCCATTTCATTGATGAGGAAATAGATTCAGAGAAGTAAGCAGTTTAGTAGATCATGTTGAGCCTGTGTAGCACAGCTGGGAGTCTTTCATTGACATAAGGCCATCCTTCCTAGAAGGGTACAGCCACAGAACCTCTGTGGGGCAACCTTCATAAAGAGGAGTCAGTAATCAACTCCAGGTGCTGAATGAAGCCAGAAGGACCTTTGACAGTTGGAAAAAAAAAATAAAAGCAAAACAAACCTAGGAGCTTCTGGGCAATGAATCGTTATCAGCTTCCACCTGAGCCTGCCAGTAGTCATGATCCAAATTGGTACTATCTGTCTGGAAGGAATATAAATCATAGGATCTGAGTATCCCCCAGCCTCCCTGCTGTCTCCCAGTGAGTGTACACTAGCCTTAGAACCATTTTCCTCTTCATCTCACGAGTAGCAATGACTCTTAATTCTGTTCCAAAAGTCGTAACCCTTCAAGTTTATGTGTGTATTTACTAATTGAATAAATATGTTTTGAACCATGAGAGGAGTTCTTGGGCCTTAGACATGAGATCAACGAGATTGGATCATTATCCCTAAAATATTCACATTCCGGTAATGGAGACAAGTAGTTGAAGAGGTGAGCTCAACATAATTTGCAAAGTGCTATAAGAGGTATTACAAAAGAAGTGTGAGCTGAGGGGTTTTGTGGGAGCAGAGGAGAAAGGGGTTTAGATTCACCAACGTTTCCCTGACAAGGCAACATCCAAGCTATATGTGAAGGATGAATGATATATATGATTATTAATTTATGTCTCTGGATGTGGTTTACAATCCAGGCGATCAGAGATAAATTCCAAGCAAAGTGGGGAATTTTTCTTCATGAATGTTTATAACATACTTCTTATCTTGAACTAAACGGAGCTACTGGTGTTTTTCTTCTGGCGTTTTTCATGAACACTTATTCCATTTTTATCCCAAATCCTTCAGCATACTCACCAAACGCTGTGACTCTGGCTCAGGTAGCATTTGGAGTACCAACCTCATGAGCCCACACAAATTTAATCTACGCCCCAGCTTGGCACACTACTTTTTAACTCTAGCGCATATTTATTTCCATAGAGTCTCCAACAACAACAACAACAACAAAAAACCTCGTTAGGATTCTTTTAAGTAGCACTCTCAACGCTAAATACAAATAAAAGCTGTCTTTTATATTGGTTTGAAACTTAAAAACAGACTGGCAAATATTCTCTGGCTAAAATATAAATATTCCAAGTGTCAGGACAGCAAATGCAAAGCTTTAACACTAAAACCTATCTGATTAATGCTAAGAGTCTTTGAGAGGTTCTTGGTGTGGCAGCTGTAGGGTATGTACTATCTGCAGGTCCTCGAGGTAGAAGCCAGACCTCGGAATGCTCTAAAGACTGAGTGATAACAGTTTCAAATCACCATGAAGCTTTCCTGCAAGGCAAGGTAAATCCTTCCATGAAGAAAATATATGCAGATTTAGCTAGTTTCCAAATGGAAAGATGAGCTGCAGAGCTTTATACTGTTTGGAGGTTAAATTTGCCCAGTGGGAAGACCAGTTAAGGAGAATTACAGTAGTTTAGGCTTGAAAAAATAAAAAAAAGGAAGGCAATGAATCAATGCTCCTAGATTGAGAGCAGTGCTTTTAGGCTTAATGTTATAGTAAGTTATTTTTCCTCTAGAATAAAAGAAATATTTTAAATTATATTATTATTGTGATTCATAAATAAGAATATAGCACTGAGTTATTTTAATCTGACACTGATGCTACCAGTAATTACAGTTTTCCATCGCAGCAGACGGGTGCTACTATAGGAGGTAAGAAAAAAGCAGGCATAAATAATATCAACATATCTATGTTTTGACCATTAAGACTACTTTTAAAAGAGTTAATAAGAAATAAAATGAATCTAGTCAGCAAACATTCTGATGTTCTGTCTAGTTAAAGGCAATATTGATGCTGTTCAATATATGTGTTATACAGCATGTAATACAGACAGTTCCCAGCTTACAATGGTTCAACTCACAATTTTTTGACTTCACAGTAGTGCAAAACTGTCACAGTTCCAACGTAATGTCCAGTATTCAATATTCAATAAACCCATTGTAAATTTAAAATATCCTAAGGTGGCCAGGCACGGTGGCTCACACCTGTAATCCCAGCACTCTGGGAGTCTGAGACGGGCGGATCACGAGGTCAGGAGATCGAGACCATCCTGGCTAACACAGTGAAACCCTGTCTCTACTAAAAATACAAAAAATTAGCTGGGTGTGGTGGTGGGCGCCTGTAGTCCCAGCTACTCGGGAGGCTGAGGCAGGAGAATGGAGTGAACCCAGGAGGTGGAGCTTGCAGTAAGCCGAGATCACGCCACTGCACTCCAGCCTGGGCGACAGAGTGAGATTCTGTCTCAAAAAGAAAAAAAAAAAAGCTAAGGCAAAAATGCATTTAATACACCTATCCTACCGTAGCCTACCTAGCTATTACAGCTTAGCTGTCATAGCTTAGCCTATGATAGGCTACGGTAGGACAGGTGTATTAAATGCATTTTTGCCTTAGGATATTTTTAATTTACAATGGGTTTATCAGGACATAACCCCACCATAAGTCAAGAAGCATCTCTATTCTCATTTCCAGAATAATGGTACCCTAGGAAGTGCCTAGTCTTGATTTTTGTCATGATGGTGGTTTTATGGCTTTGATTTAGTTTTTACCTGATGGCATGTATTTGGAGAGGAACAAAGTAAAAAGAACAAAAAACTTGATGGTCTCAACAAAGTCCAAAACAAGTACCTTCAGGGTTTGACCTGACATTGAGGGCAAAGCTTCTAATCAAGCCAAAAATTTCCAGTTGAGGTCAAAGTCAGTTCAGTTTAAAAAATTTTAAGGAATGTTCTTGTTCCATTGTTCAGCGTCCCAGTTTTTTAATCATATAGTAAATAACTAATTTCTACAGATATTGAAGACATTCAAGTAAAACCTAACTGAGCTCTTGTCTTGAAACCTATGCCACAGGATCAAGTGGTTTGGCTTGCAGATTTTGTACAAAACTAGTGTCAGAGGATACTTTGAATATGCTTTAAAACTAGCCTGTTCAAAGTCCAGAAGCTTCCATACCCAAAACATTCACTATGCCTTTGTAGATCATTTTTATCCATTTTTCAAAGAAATAAATGCTATCAGATATCAGAAGGGTGATTCATCCTCAATAATGTAAATGTGATCAATCTTTGACTCCATCCCAGTAACTGGAAGATTAAACATATATGGTTCATCACTTTCTTTAGCACAGTAGAGATAATTTAAGGAAGAAGGATAATAATGGAGGCATGCAATACTTACTCCTGTCAGAGTGGAGAAGGGAATCAGGAGAGTACTCAAAGACAGCTTAGAATAGTTTGCTCTCTTGATATCAATCATTGATTCACTATGGAAAAAAAAAGAACAATCCTGATGTAAATATGTCACTAAAAAGCATTGCCAAACATCCCCAACTTTGCTGCATTCACTGTGGAAGAAAGAAGCCTCTTTAGAAAGGGAATACAAGAAATTCCATTCTAAAAACAAGGTTTGAAACTCAGCTATCTATTCCTGGTCTCAAATGTGCTACATCCCAGCTCTATTCAGCCATGAATCCCCAGTGTCTAGGCCAGCACTAGTAGACATAAAATAAATGTTTAAGAATAAATGAGTGAACTACTTGTAGGCAAAATGCATCTAACTATGTGAAAGCAAACAATAGTTACACAATTATAAAACAACTAACAAAAGCCTGGAATGTTTTTATTTCCAGTTGCCCTTACAGTTGCCCACTCTGGCTTTTCCTTTATATGCTAACTGTTCCAGTCCTTAATTTCTCCTTCTGGAAAATGGGGCAAACCTATTGTATCAGAGATGCTCATGACGAAAACAAGCAAACAATGACAACAACAACAAAACCAAGTAGGCTCTGTTACCTACTAAAACATACCCAGAAACCTGGAAAGGCTTTTCAGTAGACAGAAAGCACAACTGCAGATGTGACTGGATACCAAAATACTAAATCCTAAAAGAGTTTTTTTTAAGTTTCTATTTTATTTATATGTATATATTATGCCTTTGTATACTATAAAAGTATATATCATATATAGTCAAGTATATATGTATCATATAATACATAATATATATTTAGTTAAGTATACATAGTTAAATGTAACTATATATCATATGTATTTATATACATATAAATTGCTTTCTACATAATCCCTAAATATGAGGTCCCACAAGAGTGTATCCAATGTCTTTGGAGATTAGAATTCCAGCAGCTCCACTCCGTGGATGTACTACGCAGTTTCTTCATCTCATATCTTGCCATTTCCTCATGGCTTTGTCAAGAAGTGACTCCTGCTCTTAGAACTCACAGATGTCTACCATTTATCCACTTTGGAAAAAATCTCTCCCTTCCTCTCTTACTACCCTACAAAGAATACCCCTCTCAATCCTCCTTCTTAGAGATATGCGGCATCATTTCTTCAAAGAGCTTTGGCATCTAGAAAAATAAGAAAAGCCTTTGGTTTCAAGCAGTTTCTGCTTTCTGTTCACTCACTTTAAGCTTTTCCTGAGGTAAGAAACTACAAGGTATTGATACCTGCCCGAAAAGATAGGAAGGAAAAATGTGGAGAGAAAAAAAGAAATATTTCAATAGCAGTCACAACTTTTCTGCTTTTACTATCTCTAAAACAACACCCTAGCCCATGTTCACCAAAATCATTCATTCATTCATTCAACAAGCATAGATTAGGACCTTCCTGCGTACTCAACGCTTGGAAGTATTCCGTGTGCATAAGGCCAACATGGTTCCTGCTCTCCAAGAGTTTACTATCTAGTGACAGACAGAGACCAGACGACAGGTAAATGAAGACAGGGTAAAAGCGCTGAGATAGGGAACTCAGAGCCAAAGAGGGGACAGCAAAGCCCAGTCATAAGGCCTGGGGCCAAAGAAGGTTTCCCAAGTAAGTGACATCTAAGAAAAGCATGCAGGAAGAGTGAGGATCAACCAGGAAAATGAAGGTAGGAAGAGAGAGAGATGAAGTGAAGGAAGGAAGATTTCAGGCTTTGAAAAATAGCCTGTGCACACATTCAGAAAGTGAAAAAAAAAAAGCAGCCAAAGATCTAGAAGACAGTCCAATCAGTCCAATATGTCTGGAGAAAAGAAACCTGAATATGTGGCTGATAAGCAGGTGTCAAATCCAGAAAGGTCTTCAGCCTGTTAAAGAGTTTAGGCTTCCTACTAAGGGCAATGTGTGCTTTAAGGGGTTTTAAGCAAGAGAAAAATGGCACCTTAGCTGTGGTGTAGAGAACGTAGAATCAGGGAGTCTGGTGTAAAATCAGTTGCAGTTGTCTAGGTGAGAGATGATGGAGCATAAACTAGATTAGTGGCAGTAGAGACATCAAGAAGGAGAGGTATTTGAGAGACATAGAAGAGAGCCAACAAATCTAGAAGCAAATCTGGGTGTTTGCATTGAGAGGAGAGGGGTCAAGATTAATCCATCCACTTAATAAAAATGTCCTGAGGCTGGGCGCAGTGGCTCACACCTATAATCCCAGCACTTTGGGAGGCCAAGGTGGGCAGATCATCTGAGGTCAGGAGTTTGAGGCCAGCCTGGTCAACATGGTGAATCCCCGTCTCTACTAAAAATACCAAAAAAATCAGCTGGGCGTGGTGGCAGGCACCTGTTACCCCACCTACTTGGGAGGCTGAGGCAGGAGAATTGCTTGAACACAGGAGGCAGAAGTTGCAGTGAGCCAAGACTGCACCACTGCACTCCAGCCTGGGCGACAGAGGGAGACTCTGTCTCAAAAAAAAAAAAAAACAAAAAACAAAAAACAAACAATGTCCTGAGTCCCTTCTATATACAAGCACTATTCTAAATGCCAAGAACACAAGGATGACCAGGAGAGTCACACTTTCTAAGGTGAAAATATCCAGAGAATCACAAACTAAACCTGTAGCCACCAAAACAAAATTATAATTAAAATCATGTCAAGAGCTATGAAGAAAAACTAAAGAATATGGTAAGAGAGCATAATGGGGAACTTGTTTAGATTAGAAGGTTAAGGAAGACTTCTCTGAAGATGTAACCTTAAAGCTAATTCCTGAAGTGTTGAGCCAAGAGACAAATAGAAAGAAGAGTGCCCAAGGCAGAAGAAATAATGTGAAGAGAAGCAGCAGTATTTATTAAGGAGATATTCAAAAGGAGTATCCATAAGCCTGGTGACAAATGGAGTGTGTGGACCAAGGGAGAAGGATGCCTAAGGGATCATTCCCAGATCTCAGACATGAACAACTAAGGGGCAGCCCCAGATAATAACGAGCTCTTTCACCACAATCTCTTTCTTCATAACAAACTGCCAAGCATCAGGCATCAAACATTTTTTCTGCGTGAGACGTGATGACACAACTCATTGTCTTCAGACAGGCTGGCCAGACTCAAAGTTAGAAAAAAATGGGTGTAAAATATTTGTTTCAGCCAGGCGCAGTGGTTCATGCCTGTAATCCCAGCACTTTGGGAGGCCGAGGTGGGTGAATCACTTGAGGTCAGGAGTTTGAGATCAGCCTGATCAACATGGCGAAACCCCATGTCTACTAAAAAAAAAAAAATACAAAAATTAGCCAGGCGTAGTGCTGCACACCTGTAATCCCAGCTATTCAGGAGGCTGAGGCAGGAGAATCACATGAACCCGAGAGGCAGAGGTTGCAGTGAACTGAGATTGTGCCACTGCACTCCAGCCTGGGTGACAGAGCAAGATTCCATCTCAAAAAATAAATAAATAAATGAATAAATAAAGAATCTTTTTGTTTTCATACAGAGAATCCATTCCTCATCTTTGCAGCTTTTCTCCTGAGTATGGCCATGTCACCTTCTTGAGTCTCTACAAAGACCAAGGCCTTCAACTGAACTGTAAGCACTGCTCTGCTAAGCCCCATTTGAGAATGATTCTGATTAATTGGTAATGGTCAATAAGGTACTAGCCCTTTCAGATGACTGATTTACATTTCAAAGGGAATATTTCATGCCTTAACCTACTACTGATTTTCACACATTTTAAACAGTAAAATTCTTTTATGAAACTTACAAATTTATTCTTACAAAGAAGCTCAGCCAAGAGACAAATGAAAAGGGAGCAGTTCTGGAGGAAGCTGGGGCAGAGGGTCCCGAGCCTCACCCATCGTTCTCCTCACCTCCTCGCCTCTCCCAAGTTATCCCTGTAGCATTTAGAGCTTTTGCCCCAATTCAAGGTTAAGTTGGGGGAAAATAGCAGAAATCTGGGATCAAGTAAGAAACAGGTCTTCTCAAATCATAATATTAAAGCTAGCAAAGAATAAAAGGAAAGTAAACCCAACAATTCTTATGATCCTTTTCTTTCTATAAAAATTATATCTTAAATATCCATTATAGTACGTGCAAAATGACAAACAGAACAGGCAAATCATCGGTCAGGGGCTTGGCAAGAAACAGATGGGATTCACAGTTTGGGTCATTTAAGGAAAGTTGAGTAAATGCATACACCCATGTGAGAGGCACAGGAATAACAGTGAATCCCATTAAAGCAGGCTGCAGTGATCATCTCTGGGCTATGAGGAGAGGCCCACTCAGGACCAGGTTCCCTAAGTCAGGGAGCAGCCAGCCTGGGTACCTCCTTAGGAAAAAGGCTGAGGAAAATGCTGTTACCTTACTCAGATTTAAGTGTGACCTATACCCAAAAGCCAGAAAACAAAGGAACCCATTGAGACATACCCTCAGAGCTGAGCGAAAAAGGGTAGAAACTAAATCTGGAGCAAGACACACGAAAAATGCAGCAGAGGCAATTAACATGACTTGTAGGTGCATGAATATTTTAATGTAATTTGAATACTTGGATTACAGTAAAACATAATATCACAGCATCCGACATTATATAAAATAGAAATTCATATAGTGTTAAGTTCAGGAAAATGAGGTAAGCTCATAAATGCTAAAAATAATACCTGTGACATCATGGGGCAATTATTTGGGTTTTTAAATATTTCTCCCTTGGGCATGTAGGAAAATTTGTTTGACCTTTAGTTAAAGACCATCTCAGGCAGAGAATTGATTGCATCTGCCCTCCAAGGTGATCATAAAGACAGTTTCACAGCACAATTGCTACAGAGAAGCTTTTTCCTCAGGTTTTTCTTCGAGTGATTTGGTAAAAATACTTAGGTGACAGAATCATGGCCAAATGCCTCCCAAACCTGCCCTCCAAATTTTGAGGGAGTTAGTACTTAAGCTGCTTTGTGAGTATCTTTATTTCGCCACTGTGCTTGGGGACCAGCACCCACATACATGTTTGATTGGCATGCTGACCAAACACAGGATGAATGCAATTAAAGTATGCCTTATTTTTTCTTTTCTAAAGTTTCTTTGGATAGGCTGCAGGTAACTTGGGGTAACTTGTATATTTTCCACCAGTAACACTCTGACCGAGGCTCCCTTCTCCTGGTGTCTGTCCACTGCACTAACAGGCTTTCACTGGAGTCCCCTGCCTGACAGTCCTCCCTGCCAGGACCTGCTAAGGCTTCATGAAGTTTGCTCTCCTCCCAGAAGGGGCCAAGATGGAGTCTTGAGGGAACACTCCCATGGCAAAAGGGAGTTAACTCTAGGTCTCTGCTCTCCTTTCTCTCTCCCCACCCCACCCTGCCCACGCCTCCCTTTCTCCTCTGCTCTCACTCTCTTCCCACCTGCTCCTCCCACTACAGGCCATGCTGTTTTAGCTTTCACAAAGTGAAATCAGGCACCAGACCTCATGTCCCCAGCTCCAGGAAACTGGGCTTTTCAAGAGGCCCCTCTCAGCTCTCCACCTGCAGTACAGGAAAGCAGCCAGACTCTCCAGTGGGGTCCATGCAGGAAGGCATCTCTGTCTTTTGTGAATTTCTGAGCCATCTCACCAGTTCTCAGTCACTGACATTGAAATTTCCTCTTGGAGTTTGGCATCTCACTTTTAAATTTCACATCTATTCTATTTCAGTGTCTTGGACAAGATTTAAAAGTTAACATTCTATTATACATTCATATGTACATTCACATATACATCCATACTCGATTTCATACTTTATACATTTACAGCTTTGAGATTTTGATGGTTCAACTCTGGGACTTCACTAACTACTAAAAAACCTGATTGCTGTCTGATGGAAGCTTTCATATAGTAAATAGGAGCAAGTCTAAAACTTAACTACCTATTTATCTATCATTTCGTATGGAAGGAATTTAAAGATGGCTGTAAATATGCAATAACATAGTTTAATGGAAGACATTAGGAAAAGCATTAGCTGATTTTATATAATCCCTTGAGTTGGGTTGCATTTTATTTAATGACTTGAATGTGAATAATTAAATAGGTGGTTATTCTGTACTACTGATTCTTCTGCATATATAAAAATCACATGGGGGCCATTAAAATTAAGATTCCTTGGAATCTCTCCAAGCGTCTCCATTTTATTAAGGTGATTCTGATGCATAGGTTAAAAAAATACATTTGAGAAATTTCTATATATCCTGATGATATGCAGACCCTAATAATACACCTATAGGTATATTCAGGCATGACACAGGGACATCTACTTTCATATACCTAAAAGATGCCTTTTACGAGCCTCAGTCAGCATCCTGACCAGCTAATCAAGAAGATTATTTAAAGCTGAAATCATAAAAACAACGGAAACAATCCACATCTCTCTTTAACTTCAATGGGGATAACATTTACTTATTCACCAGTCTTTATGGGGCTATCTTTTACTTTAGTATGCTTCTTCTGATTATTCTAATAGACCATTCTTTCCCAAGCGACACTCCTAATGTATTCCCTGCAATTCCCAGTTTGAGTTTCTTTAAAGTGGAGTCAGAACCTAAATACAAAATGAATGCAAATCCTTTCTTTTTTTTTTTTTTAATTTTTTGTTTTTGAGACCCAGTCTTACTCTGTTGCCCAGGCTGGAGGGCTGTGGCACAATCTCAGCTCACTGCAACCTCTGCCTGCTGGGTTCAGTGATTCTCCTGCCTCAGCCTCCCAAGTAGGTGGGATTACAGGCATGCACTGCCATGCCTGGCTAATTTTTGTATTTTTAGTAGAGACGGGGTTTCACCATGTTGACCAGGCTGGTCTCAAACTCCTGACCTCAAGTGATCCACCTGCCTTGGCCTCTCAGAGTGCTGGGATTACAGGTGTGAGCCACCGTGCCTGGCCCATTTCTTGACTTCTATTATTTCCTTCTAGTATTTTATAGCTATATAAAATATATAAACTTATAGTACACACCTAGATTTATAGCAATACATTTTAGTTACTCACCTCAAGCATCTTCAAAACACTCAACTTAGTTTCCATAAAAATAAAATCCAAAATCCCTATTTCCTTATTGAATTCATAGGGCATTGGTTGAGGTAGGTTCAATTAGGTTAAATGATAGCAATAACAAGAGTAACTGGTACACACAGGTTTGGGTAAGAAAAACCACTGACTCTTGGTAAGAATATGACTCACCTGTGGGGAGCAGCAGTGCAGGGTTGCACTAGAGTAGGAGTTGGCAAATGTTTTCTTTAAGAGCCATATCATAAATCCTTTATTCTGTCAACCACTCAACTCTGCCTTGTGATATAAAAGCAGCCATAGGCTCTAAGTAAACGAATGGGTGTGGCTGCGTTCCAATAAACCATTTTGTTATAAAAAATAAGCAGCTAGTCCATAAATATGAGTTGGACAACACTTGGACTAGATCAATGGATTTCATGCATTAATTAGTGTGCATCAAAACTAGCCAGCATTTCTAATTTGGTTGGTATAGGGTGAGGCCTGAGAACTTGCATTTCTAACAAATCCCCAAGTGATGCTGATTCTGCGGGTGCTGGGCCAGGGATCTCTCTTTGAGAACCACCAGACTTGTATTTAACTGATTGGCTGTAGATGCCCAGTGTGCTGTGAGCAATGGTTAGTATATTTAATGAAGGTGTTTTATCCCAGGCTCCCTTGAAAACTAAGCCCTAAGAAAAACTTATTAGCTAATGCTTTGAGAGGCAGAGGAACCCCAGGAAACAAGAATAAGGGAAAAGGAGAAGTGATGGGGGAAATGAGTGAGAGCAAAAACATGAAGGTATGTTTCTAAATAGGCCACAACTTCACAACAAACATAGCTGGTTGCCTGATCTCACAGGTTGTCTCCATAGAGCCTATTAAACTACTATTTTTTAAAATAGTCTTTGATGGGGAAGAAGGACGAGAAGTAGATCTGCTGGCTTCTTCCCTCCTTATTGGTTGAAACTCACCAGCATGTCCAGTTGTGTTTTCTCTCCCTGCCACGCAGTTGCAGAGGTAGTTAGAGCTTCCCTGTGTCCTCTCCATCCACTCTGCAGGGATGGTAGACGCCTTTGTAACATTACTTTAGCTTGTACACTCAAACCCATGTGTCTTGTCACTCCTCAAATGTGGCTATTCTCAAAATGTTATCTGCACTTCTTTTTTATTTTTTCAGAGATACCATTCATTCTCATGACTTCCAGTGACATCACTCTGTGATTTATTCAAACGACTATCTCCAGCCCTAATAACTTACCTGAGTATACTACCAGAGCAAGCCTTGGCATCTTGTCATGCCCACTTCAGTTCTAGGGGAAACCACTCTTGATGCTTAGGAGGTTATATTTTATATCACATGATGCTGACACCTCTAGTGACAACTCATCAGACCTGACCCAAAGAAATCAAGCTGTTTTTGGATCATCATGGCAGATGGGAGGCAGGACTAGATTGCAGCTCCAACTCAAATGGACAGAGCAGTGTACAGAGGCTCCCATAGTGAATTTTAGCTCCAGAATGACTGCAAGAACAAACCAGGAATCCCAAGAGGGCCCACAGACCCTCTGAAGGAAAAGGACTGCTCCTGTAGGACCTGGGAGACACCCCAAATACTGAGTGCCCAAACTACAGAAGTGGGAAAGAGAGATCCTCTGCTCTAAAACACACACCCCTACTGGGGAAACTGAAGGTCTAGTATGCAGAAGTTTTCGACCTTGCCTGAAGCTGAGTCAATTTAGAGAGCAGAGTTAAATATAGGGGTAGAGGAAGCAGCGGGAAAGGCCCTGGGAGCTCACTGGGTCCCCAAGCAGGCCACTCCTGCTGACACCACAGGGATCCTTCGAAAGGGTGCCCAGAGGCATGGGGAAATTGCCACAGAGAGAAGGAGGTCTCCAGCTGAACTTTGTAACAGTTTGAACTGGGTGAGAAGCCTCCCAGCCAGAACTCTGAGGAGGGCACGAATCCTGCATGCAGACTCCAAGGGAGGGACAGGAACCAAAGCCCTTTTATTTTGCAGCTGGGAGGTGGGTAGCCTGGGGCAGGTTCTCAAGGCCTGCTCACTCACTGCCTGGAAAAAGACTTGGGGCTAATGGGGGGCATGGTTTGAGTGAGACCACCCCTTTGGATTGTGTGGGAGCTGGATGAGGCCTGTAACTGCTGGCTTTCTCCCACTTCCCTGACAACCTGCATGACTCAGCAGAGGCAGCCATAACCCTCCTAGGTACACAACTCCATTGACCTGGGAACCTCTCCCCCATCCCCCACAGTAGCTTCAGCAAGACCCACCCAAGGAGAGTCTGAGCTCAGACATGCCGAACCCTGCCCCAACCTGATGGGTCTTCCCTACCAACCCTGGTAGCTGAAGACAAAGGGCACATAATCTTGGAAGTTCTAGGGCCCTGCCCACCACCAGTTTCTCTCCATACTACCACAGCTGATGCTGTCTGGAAAGTGCCACCTCCTGGAAGGAGGCCAAGCAGAACAAAAATAGAACATTAAACTAGCAAAGCTAAGAACACTCAAAGAGTCCATTTCACCCCCGGCCACATCCCCCAGAACAGGTGCTGGTATCCACGGCTGAGAGACCCATAGATGGTTCACATCACAAGACGCTGTGCAGACAACCCCCAGTACCAGCCCAGAACCAGTTAGACTTGCTGGGTGGCTACACCCAGAAGAGAGATAACAATCACTGCAGCTTGGCTCACAGGAAGCCACATCCATAGGAAAAGGGAGAGGGTACTACATCAAGGGAGCACCACATGGTACAAAAGAATCTGAAGAACAGCCTTCAGCCCTAGACCTTCCCTCTGACAGAGCCTACCCCAATGAGAAGGAACCAGAAGACCAACTCTGGTAATATGACAAAACAAGGCTCTTTAACATCCCCTAAAAAAATCACACTAGCTCACCAGCAATGGATCTAAACCAAGAAGTAATCCCTGATTTACCTGAAAAAGAATTCAAGAGATTAGTTATTAAGCTAATCAGGGAGGCACCAGAGAAAGGTAAAGCACAATGCAAAGAAATCCAAAAAAAAGATTCAAGAAGTGAAGGGAGAAATATTCAAGGAAATAGATAGCATAAAGAAAAAACAATCAAAACTTCAGGAACCATTGAACACACTTATAGAAATGCAAGATGCTCTGGAAAGTCTCAGCAATAGAATTGAACAAATAGAAGAAACAAATTCAGAGCTCAAAGACAAAGTCTTCGAATTAACCCAATACAACAAAGACTAAGAAAAAAGACTAAGAAAATATGAACAAAGTTCCAAGAAATCTGGGATTATGTTAAACAACCAAACCTAAGAATAATCAGTGTACCTGAGGAATAAGAGAAATCTAAGTTTGGAAAACATATTAAGGGAGAAGACCACCCCTCATACTGTCTTATGCCCAATTTTTGCCTCCAAATTAAGAAGAAGTAAAAACTAAAAGGCAGAAATGAAATCCACAGGCAGACAGCCCGGTGCCGGGCCCTGGGCCTGGTAGTTAAAGATCGACCCCTGACCTAACTGGTTATGTTATCCATAGATTCTAGACATTGTATGGAAAAGCACTGTGAAAATCCCTGTCCTGTTCTGTTTCGTTCAGATTACCAGTGCATGCAGCCCCCAGTCACGTACCCCCTGCTTGCTCAATCGATCATGACCCTCTCATGCAGACCCCCTTAGAGTTGTGAGTCCTTAAAAGGGACAGGAATTGCTCACTTGGGGAGCTCGGCTCTTGAGACAGGAGTCTTGCCGACGCTCCCAGCCGAATAAACCTCTTCCTTCTTTAACTCCGTGTCTGAGGAGTTTTGTCTGCAGCTCGTCCTGCTACAATATTTGGGGGAGTAATCGAGGAAAACTTCCCTGGCATTGCTAGATACCTGGATATCCACATACAAGAAGCACAAAGAACACCTGGGAAATTCATTGCAAAAAGATCATCACCTAGGCACATTGTCATCAGATTATCTAAAGTTAAGATGAAGGAAAGAATCTTAAGAGCTGTGAGACAAAAACACCAGGTAACCTATAAAGGAAAACCAATCAAATTAACAGCAGAATTCTCGGCAGAAACCCTATAAGCTAGAAGGAATTGGGGCCCTATCTTCAGCCTCCTCAAACAAAACAATTATCAGCCAACAATTTTGTATCCAGGCAAACAAATGCTGAGGGAATTTGCCACTACAAAGCCACTACTACAAGAACTGCTAAAAAGAGCTCTAAATCTTGAAACAAATCCTGGAAAAACATAAAAACAGAACCTCTTTAAAGCATAAATCACAGAGAACCTATAAGACAAAAATACAATTTTAAAAGCAAAAACAAAAAAACCAAGGTACACAGGCAACAGATAGCACAATGAATGCAATGGTACCTCATATCTCAATATTAACATTTAATGTGAATGGCCTAAATGCTCCACTTAAAAGATACAGAACTGCAGAATAGATAGGAACTTACCAACCAACTATCTGCTGCCTTCGGGAGACTCACCTAACACATAAGGTCTTACATAAAGTAAAGCGGTGGAAAAAGGCATTTCATGCAAATGGACACCAAAAGCAAGCAGGAGTAGCTATTCTTACATCAGACAAAACAAACTTTAAAGCAACATCAGTTAAGAGACAAGAGGGACATTATATAATAGTAAAAGGCCTTGTCTAACAGGGAAGTATCACAATCCTAAACATGGATGCACCTAACACTGGAGCTCCTAAATTTATAAAACAATCGCTAAGGGACCTAAGAAATGAGATAGACAGCAACGCAATAATAATGGGGATTTTAATACTCCACTGACAGCACTAGACAGGTCAGCAAGGCAGAAAGTCTACAAAGAAACAATGGATTTAAACTATATCCTGTAACCAATGGACTTAACATATATATACAGAACATTTCATCCAACAACCGCGGAGTACACATTCTATTCAACAAAGCATGAAACTTTCTCCAAGTGAGACCATATGATAGGCCATGAAACAAGCCTCAGTAAATTTTAAACAACTGAAATTATATCATGCACCCTCTCAGACCACAGTGGAATAAAACTGGAAATAAACTCCAAAAGGAATCTTCAAAATCATGCAAATACATGAAAATTAAATAATCTGCTCCTGAATGATCATTGGGTCAAAAACAAAATCAGGATGAAAATTTAAAAATTCTTCAAACTGAACAATAATGACACAACTTATCAAAACCTCTGGGATACAGCAAAGGCAGTGCTAAGGGGAAAGTTCATAGCCCTAAACACCTACATCAAAGAGATTGAGAGAGCACAAGCTGGTATTATAAGGTAACAATTCAAGGAAGTACAGAAACAAAAACAAACCAAACCCAAACCCAACGGAAGAAAGGAAATAAATAAGATCAGAGCAGAACTAAATGAAATTGAAATGGAAAAAAAAATTCAAAAGATAAATGAAACAAAAAGCTTGTTCTTTGAAAAGATATATGAAATTGATAGACTACTAGCAAGATTAACCAAGAAAAGAAGAGAGAAAATCCAAACAAACAAAATGGGAGATATTACAACTGACACTACTGAAATACAAAAGATCATTCAAGGCTAATATGAACACCTTTATGCACATAAACTAAAAAACTTAGAAGACATGGGTAAATTCCTGGAAAAATACAACCCTCCTAGCTTAACTCAGGAAGAATTAGATACCCTGAACAGACCAATAACAAGCAGCGAAACTGAAATGGTAATTAGAAAATTACCAACAAAAAATGTCCAGGACCAGACAGATTCACAGAAGAATTCTACCAGACACTCAAACAAGAATTAGTATGAATCCTTTTGACACTATTCCACAAGATAGAGAAAGAAGGAACCCTCCCTAACTCATTCTATGAAGCCAGCATCACCCTAATACCAAAATCAGGAAAGGACATAACCAAAAAAGAAAACTATAGACCAATATCTCTGATGAACATAGTTGCTAAAATTGTTAACAAAATACTAGCTAACCGAATCCAACAACATATCAAAAAGATAATCCACCATGTTCAAGTGAGTTTCATACCAGAGATGCAGGGGTGGTTTCAAATATGCAAGTCAATAAATGTGACACACCACATAAGAA
This sequence comes from Homo sapiens, assembly GCF_000001405.40. NCBI lineage: Eukaryota > Metazoa > Chordata > Mammalia > Primates > Hominidae > Homo > Homo sapiens. Next base: position 61,267,967 of record NC_000018.10, read on the forward strand.
GAATTAAAAACAAAAATCACGGGATCATCTCAATAGATGCAGAAAAAGCATTAGACAAAATCCAACATTGCTTTATGATTAAAACTCTCAGCAAAATTGGCATACAAAGGACATACCTCAATGTAATAAAAGCCATCTATGACAAACCCAACAAAATACTGAATGGGGAAAAGTTGAAAGCATTTCCTCTGAGAACTGGAACAAGACAAGGATGCCCACTCTCACTACTCCTCTACAACACAGCACTAGAAGTTCTAGCCAGAGCAATCAGACAAGAGAAAGAAATAAAGGGGCATCCAAATTAGTAAAGAGGAAGTCAAACTGTCACTATTTGCTGACGATGATTGTTTACCTCGAAAACCCTAAAGACTCCTCCAGAAAGCTCCTAGAGCTGATAAAAGAATTCAGCAAAGTTTCTGGATACAAGATTAATGTACACAAATTAGTAGATGGAATCATATATAATATAATATAATATAATATAATATAATATAATATAATATATACGATGGAATACTACTCAGCCATAAAAAGGAATGAATTAATGGCATTCGCAGCAACCTGGATGAGATTGGAGACTATTATTCTAAGTGAAGTAACTCAGGAATGGAAAACCAAACACTTCTTTACACCAACGGCGACCAAGTGGAGAATGAAATAAAAAACTCAACCCCTTTTATAATAGCTGCAAAAAAGAAAATAATAACTTAGGAATATACCTAACCAAGAAGGTGAAAGACCTCTACAAAGAAAACTACGGAACACTGCTGAAAGAAATCATAGATGACACAAACAAATGGAAACACATCTCATGTTCATGGATGGGTAGAATAAATATCGTGAAAATGATCATATTGCCAAAAGCAATCCACAATTTCAATGCAATTCCCATCAAAATACCACCATCATTCTTCACAGAATTAGAAAAAACAATTCTAAAATTAATATGAAACCAAAAAAGAGCCCACATAGCCAAAGCAAGACTAAGGAAAAGGAACTAATCTGGAGGCTCACACTACCCAATTTCAAACTATACTATAAGGCCATAGTCACCAAACAGCATGGTACTGGTATTGATGGGTGCAGCAAACCACTATGGCACATGTATACCTATGCAACAAACCTGCACGTTCTGCACATGTATCACAGAACTTAAATTATATTTTAAAAAGTCACATAGACCAATGGAACAGAATGGAGAACTCAGAAATAAACCCAAATACCTACAGCCAACTGATCCTTGACAAAGCAAACGAAAACATAAAGTGAGGAAATAACATGCTTTTCAACAAATGGTGCTGAGATAATTGACTAACCACATGTAGGAGAATGAAACTAGATCTTCATCTCTCACCTTATACAGAAATCAACTCCAGATGGATTAAGGACCTAAATCTAGGACCTAAAACTATAAAAATTCTAGAAGATAACATTGAAACAACCCTTCTAGACATTTGCTTAGGCAAGTATTTCATGTCCAAGAACCCAAAAGCAAATGCAACAAAAACAAAGATAAATAGCTGGGTCTTAATTAAACTAAAGAGCTTTTGCATGGCAAAAGGAACAGTCAGCTGAGTAAACAGACAACCCGCAGAGTGGGAAAAAGTCTTCACAATCTACATATCTGACAAAGGATTAATACCAGAATCTACAATGAACTAAACAAATTAGTAAGAAAAGATCAAACAATCCCATCAAAAAGTGGGCCAAGGACATTAATAGACAATTCTCAAAAGAATATATACAAATGGCCAAAAAACATATGAAAAAATGCTCAACATCACTAATAATCAGGGAAATGCAAATCAAAACTACAATGTGATACCAACTTACTCCTGCAAAAATGGCTATAATCAAAACACAGTAGATTTTGATGTGGATGTGGTGATCTGGGAACACTTCTACAATGCTGGTGGGAATGTAAACTAGTACAGCCACTATAGAAAACAGTGTGGAGATTCCTTAAAGAACTAAAAGTAGAACTACCATTTGATCCAGCAATCCCACTACTGGGTATCTAACCAGAGGAAAAGAAGTCATTATACAAGAAAGGTACTTGTACACACGTTTATAGCAGCACAATTCGCAATTGCAAAATCATGGAACCAATCCAAATGCCCATTAATCAACGAGTGGATAAAGAAACTGTGGTATATATATATATATATATATATACATGATGGAATACTACTCAGCCATAAAAAGGAATGAATTAATGGCATTTGCAGCAATCTGGATGAGACTGGAGACTATTATTCTAAGTGAAGTAACTCAGGAATGGAAAACCAAACACTGTATTTTCTCACTGATATGCGGGAGCTAAGCTATGAGGACACAAAGGCAAAAGAATGATATAATGGACCTTGGGGACTTGCAGGGAAGAGGTGGAGTGAGGTGAGAGACAAAAGACTACAAATGTGGTCCAGTGTATACTGCTCGGTGATGGGTGCACCAAAATCTCATAAATCACCACTAAAGAACCTACTCATGTAACCAAATACTACCTGTACCCCAATAACCTATGGAAAAAAAGGAAATCAATCTGTAGGCTGGCAATGGCCTATGCACTTCCCTGATGAGAAAAGATGGAATGACCAAGCAGATTCCTCCAAGGAATGTGAATATAGAATTTCCAGAGGTTGAGCAGTGGACATCATCAGGTGTTGATAATGAAAAAAAAATGAGATAAAGTCAAGTTTACATCAACCCCAAACTCAAGCTGAAGCAGTAAATGGAAAAGAAATCATAAGTAAGAAGAAGAAACTAGGTGATGCAGAAAGGAGAAGAGAGCAGAAGAACAGAGACTAGGCAAGAATAGTCTGGAGCACTTGGCTCCTGGTGGTTTTCTGCATCCAGTACCCATGAAGTTCAGCCATACCTTGTGTACCATACTGTGACTTTTGTCTTTGATCCTCATAAGGTCATGGTTTCTGTACTAATCTACATGACTGTCTGTAATCTGCAGCAGGATGCCATCTAATCATTCCCTAAATATAAATCTCATGTTTTTGCCTGTGTAGTTTCCTCTCCCAGTTGTATCATCCACCAAAAACCAAGCATCATCAATTGGAATTCTCTCCATCTTGCTTAATGACACTCTACTCATTGCACCAATGTAAAGTAACTCCTCTCTCCCTCCTCTACACTTTCAAAAAACTTTGTTCTTATCATGTGTATGAGTCTTAAACATATTTTTCACTTATATTTCTTGTGAATTATCATATCCTACAGGATACAGACAATATAAACATTTTTATCCACATTATATCTTACACAAAATAAATGTTCAATTAATATTTGATAAATATTTTATGGAATACTTATTCTAATTATTTTATGTATTAATTCTACTTCTCCATACAGCCCTAAGATGATCTCATTTGATCATTATATTTATGAGACAGCACTAGAACTTCATCATTGTACACATATAATCTTATTCAGCCTCATAAGAGCCCTGTGGAATAAGCACTACCGCTATACTATCCCTATTTTTTTTTGGCAAGGAAAGTGAGGCACTGTAGGTTTAAATAATCTGCACAAAGTTACATGTAGGCACTGGAATTTGAACGCAAGAAGTGAGGGGCCAGCATCTATACTTTTTGCCACCATGCCATCATGCTAGGTATGGTTTAGGCTCCAATGAACAATGGTGCTGGTGGGAAACAGACACGCTACTAACACAGCAATTTCATTCTCTTGAGAGAAAATCCGCAAGCCCAAATCAAGTGTAGTCTTTCAAATTCCAGCCTAGGTGCTAATAACCTGGATGATACATGCATGATATAGAAAGCAAAGACAGATAATAATGGACCCTGAAACATAATCCTCTCCTTTAGTACACCAAAGCTGGGGGAGCCCCACTGATCAGCTGCCCTAAAACCCAATTTGATTGGTACTAGAACTGCAGGAGACAATGGCTGAGCAGCATAGATAACTGGAAGGAGTTCTCTATTTTTTTTCTTGACAATAGAGATCAGAATATTATATCCAAATTTCTAACACCTTTTTGTGTTTCCTTGGAAACAGTCCAGCCTAAGGACAAAGACTCAGGAACAGCTGCTGATGGGAAATCAGCCTGCAGAATTGTGTGCACAGAGATCTCTGCCACCCACCCCATGCCAATTTCCAACTCCTCCATCCCTATACCTCAACACACACACACATACATGGTCTGGTGTGAGGATGTTATACAGATGTTTTGACCGTGAGCTTTTCCTTCATTTCCTTCAAGCACTTCACTGAGAGTGTTCAAAACACCACCTAACTGTCAGCACAGTTTTAAAGAATTTGGCTCTGGAGTTGCTATTCTTGGGGTCAATCATAGCTGCCTCTTATCAGCTGTTTAATTTTAAGTTAGTCATTTTGTCCTATCTGGTGTTCAGTTTGGAAGTCTATAAAATGGGAATCGTAATATTTCTTTCCATTGGCCGGTGGGGAGTGGATTTATATTAGCTAATACAAATGAATTTTGTAGAGCTCTTAGCTGGGATAGTAGAGCTTAACATATGACAGCTATTTATTAAATATCTAAAATGTTCTGGCTAATTCTGGCTGTGTAAATCAGAGAAAACTTGTTTAACTTCTCAAACTTAATTATTTATTTGTAAAAGACAGATGACATCTACTGATTATGGTTTGGGGAAGCATTAAATGAAATAACGTAAGTAAAGATTACTTAGTAGGCACTGAATTAATGTTAACTGGTTCTCAAGCTTTCCAGGTATTTGCTCATAGGCAAGACTTCAACGAAGTTAATCTACTCCTAATGACCCTGGTATAAAGTCTCCAGTTTCTCCCCTCTCAGGCAAGAGAAGCACTTTGAATGAGTTTTCCTATTCTTGAGAAGTCTGTCAAACAATTACTGCAATTTATGTAATAGGCTAGTTTTTAAAAATCTGCTGGTTACTAATTGCTCACAAATATTTTGTGTCATCTTCTGAATAACTCAGTGCTACCAAAACTTTTTTAATATAAGCAAAGTAAGCATTTGGTTCAATATTTACTATTTATTTATTTATTTATTTATTTATTTATTTATTTATGTTTTTGAGACAGGGTCTCTCTCTGCAACTCAGGCTGGAGCGCTATGGTGCAATCATAGTTCACTGCAGTCTTGAACTCCTAGGCTCAAGGGATAGTCCCATCTCAGCCTCCTGAGTAGCTGGGACCGCAGGCACATGCCACCACACCCAACTAATTTTTTTTATTCTTTTTTTTTTTTTTTTTTTTTTGTAGAGACAAGGTCTTGCTTTGTTGCCCAGGCTGGTCTCAAACTCCTGGGCTCAAGCTATCCTCCCACCTCAGCCTCCCAAAGTGTTGGGATTAGAGGCATGAGCCACCACCCTGACCAGACATTTACTCTTATGTGTTAATTTCAAACAAAGATTTTTGAACACCCACTTTGCAACCAAAGACGCTAAACAAAAAGCTGACAACTAGTGACTTGAAGACTGAGACAAAAATCAGTGTTTGCTAACCGGGTGATACATCATTCCGCACAGAACTTCAGTGTGTCCTCAGAATATGAGGAAGAGAATTATCACAGTATTAGGTTTTTAGACTTTCTTCATATTAAACAAGCCCTACAATGCCCATTGATCTGCATTTAGACAAGTTCTGAATTTAGACAAGAGCCAGCATCTGGGCGGAAATGAAGAATCATGAAACAGTAAATTATATTCACAAATTGCATAACCTCTGTTCTTTGGGGTTCCAAATGAATACAATGAGCATTTACGTGCCCATCAGATGCTCAAGATAACGATAGATTTCCAGAAATCAGGGAGATTAACAATTTTGTTGAGTAAGACCAGACACAGATTTATAAAGGAAGAAGGATAAAGATCAAGGCTTCAAAAGAATAGAAGAGCACCATAAAAATCCTAAGCCATTTAAAATATTTATTCATTTTCAGCTCTCTCTACAGGCACTTGAAGGTCATCTGAAGGAAAACTAAAATAATCAAACTACATTCTCAGTGTAGGAGCTTTGTAGTATAAAGCAGGATTTAAAAGTGCCAAACACAGATTCGAAGACGAGAGAGTCATATTAAAGCCCTACATAAAGGACAGCAAGGAAGTTACAAGGGGAGGAGGGGGGTGTTAAATGTGAGAATTAATAGTTATGCTTTTTCCTGGCCCCACATACTTTGGCCTCAGAGTTAAATTAATTAGAAGATATAAAAACATAAAAAGGCTTTCTATGTATATGTAACACAGAGAAGAGAGATTTAAAACTCCCATGGGTCAGAAACACAATCATTACAAACTGAATTTCTGGGCCATTGTGGCTCCTCTCTTTCCAGCACAAAGCCTTCTGTCTCTGCCCAAGCCACTGGACTCTACTTTTAATATTCCCTTGGAGATGGAGTGCTCTCTTCTTTCACCATGGCCTGTGTCTATAACCAGGAACTTGTTTCAAAAGTCTGAGCCAATGATGGTTTTTGCATTGACAGATATATGAGAAGCTACTACTCTGCATTAATCAAGATGGCCTTAAGGCTCCCCTCAGCTTGACTAAAGTTTAGACAGGTTTCTTCCTAACTGTAGGCCCTGACCTCCCTTTTCTTAAAGCATTTACTTTTAAAAACCTGTAATTGCAAATTCTTTCTCTGGCCCTTTGAAATGTAAATAAATCTTCTTCCAGTCTTTTACCAGTTTTACAACTCAGGATTGTCTTTCTTAAGGACCTGGGAGCCATCTCTTTGAAATGAAATCATCAAGAAAGACAGTGTTTCTTCCTCCCAGTCTCTGAGGAAGGGTAAGAGCCTAACTTCAAGTGATAAGCATCAATTAGTACACACAATGGCATAATCACACTGACTAACCCTCTCACTAAGTTCCTCTAGGACTCTTCCACCAGCTTACCCCAGTGCTTAAAAACTCCTACCTTTTGTTTCAGCAGAATTGAGTTCAGTCTCTCTCCCCTATTACAATAGTCTTAAATAAAGCCTTTCTTGCTGTTTAACTCTAAACTTAAAATCTGGTACAATTTTTCCTTGATGGAATACAGGGTTTCTAATGAATTGTTGGAGATCTTTTACCTTGTTAGACAATTTCATAATCAAGTAAAACAAAAATATTTAAAGTATACATGCAATAATGCATTTGATGCCAATATTTTAAGTGACAAATAGTTACTTCAATATACTTTGAGAAAAGTGACAATTACAGTGTGGCACAGGACAGTATCCTGTCTAGAAAGCTAAGGCAGTAGAGACATTTTAAAAAGACAGAATGATCAACACAGTCACACGTACAGAGCCGCCCAGTACAATAAGGCAAAAAATGACTGTCAGAGTGACCTTTCCAAAACAATTCTAGTTAAATAGTGTCCTTGAATATAAGGCAAAAGAGAAGAAAAGGAAAAAGGAGGAATAAGCCAGCTTCCCATGACAACTGCTGACATAATGACAAATCTGGTATTTTTGTCTTGGTTCTACAATGTCTGAAGGATAAGACCTGGAATACGAGCCTCACATGGGGAAGCACAGCACATATTTCCAAACGCAGCCTCTAATAATCCAAGTGCCTTCCAAGTCAGTATGCAGAGGACTGAGGCAACAAAACAATTGTTGAAACAGCTGAGTGGGATGGAACTGAACACATCCAGGAGGCAACAACTACATGGGCCGACAGTGAAATTTTAACAGATTACAGAAAGAAAAAGAAACTGCTCAACTCTGTTGCTTATATTTGGTCCACAAAGGAGTTTGATATTCAGGGTGATAACCTGATAACCACTGACCAAACATTGGTAAGAGGGTAAGAGGCAAATGAAGTTTATATTTGGTGGAGAGGTTGTTAGGGAATAGCTGCACTAAATAAGAGTTCAAATTCTTCTTCCCATTGAGTAACCGAACAGGGTCCCAGTGACTCTGTGATGGACAGTGAAAAACTAACATTCTTGAAGAACCAGAAAAAGCAGAAGTTGCAGAGAACTCAAAGGTAATTCTTTTGTAAAAATTAGACCTCAAAATATCATTCCAAAAAGTACTTACTCAGTACAACGGAGAAAAGGTATCTCTACACTGGAGAAACTTGGTGGACAGCCACTTTAACTAAGAGATCAACTTAAAATCACCAATCATGGGACAAAGAGACATCACCTGTTCCCTAATGTAATACACTTAGAAAGACACATCAATTATGTAGTATTCTTGACAAAAATGTTTCACCAGAATCTGATCATGAAGGAACAATCAGATAAATCCATATACAGAAATATTTTGCAAAATAATTGTACTGAACTCTCCAAAATTCTTCAGTGTCATGAAAGCTGTAAAAGGCAGGGAAACTACTTTAGACTTAAAGAGACTAAAAAGACACAACAACTAAAAGCAACATATGAACCTCATTTGGATAGTGCTCTGAAAAACATTATGTGGCAGTGGATAAATCTGAATGTGAACTATGTATTACATAATATATTAATAATACATTTCTTGAGAGTGATCATTATATTGTAGTATATTAAAAAATTCTTTGCTGTCTTCCTCTTGTTCTCGAGCAATTCAGCAAAATTATGCATATGTATATTACAAAGTTTAATTGTAAGCAAGATTCTATTAAAAAACTAGCAAGAGCTTAGAAGAAGAAATCAAGTTTACTAGAAACTGGTCACATACTTACTAAATTAAGTTAGACTCATTTTTGAGAGCTTAGAAAAGATATTTCAGGGAAATCAAATTGAATTTAGTTTTTTATTCAAAATTCAAAAATGCAAGTAATGACTATCCTGATATCATGTAGACAAACTAAAGAAATATGAGTTGAATGGTCATATAGCAAACTGAATTCAATTTTCTCTGAATGGACATAATTCGAAGGGTTGACATTGGCCTGAAAGGAGCTCTCTAGTATTATGATACAGGATTCTAACCATCCATTGAATGAAAACATAGATGGCATGCTAACAAAATTTGTTAATGATAGTGACAAATATTCTCTGTGGTACAGTTTTAAATCCCAAAGGTCTTGATAGACTAAGTGGGCCGAAACCATCAACATGATATTTAACAAAAATTAATCAAAGGTCCATTATTGTCAACTAGTCAATATATATACATATTGGACATATGCCAGAAAGTGGGAATAGAAAAGTAAATAAAAAGGTCATAGAGCTTTTAATCTTGCATGAAAATTATGCATTTAAAACAATTATGATTGAGATGAGTACATAAAGGTAGAAGCTCAGAGACCTTGGATGTGTGTTTCAGGAAGACCTAACCTAAACAGAAAGTCAGGAAAGGCTGCCCACAGGATGCAGTGTATACATGCAAAACTTTAGGGTATTCTGGGAATAAATAATCAAAGAGAAATATGTCATAGCATAGGAGTGAGGGGAAGTAGAGCAGAGGGAAGGGGAATACACCAACATGGCAGAGGGAGTATGTGCAAAGGCCCTAAGGATGTGTAGCTATGGAATATTAACCTGCAAGAGAGATCCAGTGTGGCAAGAACAGAGTGAGTAAAGAGAGGTAACTGCAAAGAAATATAGGATAGAAGAGGCAACCCTAAAGGCAGCATGAGCCAAATGGCATCACAGATTTAATTGACTCTAATTTCATCATGATTCAATATCGCAATGAAGCTCCTCCAGGTTCCAACATCCAAAACAAGGGTAATGAGGTTCTGCTCTGAGCATTGTCAATCACACCCAACTGTATTATTGTTTTTTTGAGACAGAATCTTGCTATGTTTCCCAGCCTGGTCTTAAACTCCTGGCCTCAAATGATCCTCCTGCCTCAGCCTCCCAAGTAGCTAGGACTATAGGCATGTGCCACTGGGCCCCACACATCCAACTTTAAATTTGTGCTAACATTGGGCACACTGGGACATAAAGATGGGAACAATAGACACTAGGGACTCCAAAAGGTGTGAGGGAGGGAGTGGGGCAAGGGCTGAAAAACTTCCTACTGGGTATTAGCTAGGGGATTGGATCAAGAGAAGCCCAAACCTCAACATCATGCAATATACTCTTGTAACAAACCTGCACATGTACCTCTGAATCTAATTTTTTAAAAATGCTGACATATAAGAAATTAAATAAATAACAAATCTCTGCTTAGTTCAAACAAATCCATAGCACTCTGTGTGTTGAGGCCAATTGAAATCCCAACAAGGTATTACAGAATTAGGAAGTACATCACCCAAAGAGAAGAAGAGGGAAGATTCCAGGAGGCATGATAACTATCTTTAAATATCTGAAGAGCCATCTGTGAAATAGAAATCCTAGCTGGTATGTGTTTACCAAGAGTGAATGAATGGGGTTCTATAATCAGTCTTGGGAAGACTTACTAACAGGTCCTGGCTGAAGATGGAATGGCTGTCTGGGGAAATGCTGAGGCTCCCAGGCTGACTGATAAATGGGCAAGGAATTTTTACAGAATTCTTGTCCTTGATCTAGATCATTAATAGGTCTTCCTCCAATCAATCCAGAGATTCTATAATTCTGTGACAGTGCCATTTCCATTACATTGGCAACATACAAAAGAGCTATTCAGAACATTCCAGTGGGAAGAATTTAAATGTGGCCAAACTAAAGAATTTGTAAAAAATTAAACTTATAACTGACACCTGTACCACAAGGTTAAGACTGAATCATAAAAGTAACTTTAAAATCTCAAAATGTAAAATAAAGGTAAAATTCATTTTTGTGATGAAGGTAGCCTAGCCACTGGAACGTGAACTTTGGAGCACACCCGTGTGGCCTTGGACAAATTTCTCAGCCTTTCTGTGTTAGTTCCTTACATGTGAAATGGAGATTTTTTAAAAATTGGTTTATTACACTCGTGAAAATTAGTATGTTAACAAATTTAAAGTGCTCAAAATAGTGTCCGGCAATAGTAAACCCTATAAAAGGATTTGATATCTGTGATCAATCATATTAGTTGGAGTAGAGGTTGTAGAGTCAAATTTGGATTAAATCTTAGTTCCATCATTAACTGGTTAGGTGACATTTCCCTCTCAATAAAATAGAGATGAATGTATCAACTAGTCAAGATTTGGTTTCAAACACCAGAAACTATCCTAACCAGCATAATCAGATGGAGATTTAATGCTGGGAATTAGGACCTTATGAGAATTTATAAGGCAGTGCTAGAGGAGTCATTCTGAGTTGTGAAGTGAACATACCCAGAATAATACCTACTGCAGTTCTGGACTGACACAGGAGTTGCTGTCTCTGGTACAATTTGAAATCAGAAGAATGGCAAAGCCACTGTCTCAACTGCTAATTCCATACCACTTCCACCAGGATCTAGAGATCTAAAACTGCTACCACAACTGTTGGCTTCCAGAACACACTCCTGAAGATGGATGCCTGAACTCAGCCTCTCTATAACCACCTTGTTATCACTGTTGCAAAACAATAAATGCCTCCATTACACTGCTTCAGAAGCAACAGAAGTGTGGATTCCACCTCATGTCTGCATTCGCAATACCATGGACAGACATCTGCTTGATAGAAGTTAGGTCACACACAAACCTGCATTGTAAGGAAGTCTGAGAAATGTAGGCTTTTAACTTGCCAGCTATAGCAGCAATATAACATTCGGAAAGAGATACAGGATGGAGATAAAAGAGCTAATCTGCAACATCTGTCTCTCTATCTCATATCAGCAGAGTGATAATTAAATGGGAAATAATGTATGTATAGTATTTAGGGATCTATTTGGTATATGGTAGCCACTCAGTAAGACACTCATTGACTTCTCATATAAACATGGCTAAATAAGAATTACCTTTCCATTTCTCCTCCTAAAAATTAAGAAAGAAAATGAAAACTAAAACCAAAACTCCACTTTCATTAAAACTAGCAGAAATACATAATCAACTGACTCATAAACATACATAAAGTCCTTCCAAATTAGCAAGAATAAAACAGAAGCCACACAGGAGGTCACACAGAAAGGAAGCAGTAAGGATTCTGAAAGAGCCCAATGGGGCAGACCATATAAAGCACTGGAAAAAAAATAAACTTCCTAAAAGGGAAAACTCACACTGAAGCACAAAAGCTATATAGCAGGTTGTAAAAATGGGCGCAGAAATGGAAATAAGAAAGCTGACAAAATAAACTTTCCTGAATGAATTGTATTTTATTTGGAGACACAGAGAGGAAGAGAGCGCCCTAACCATTCTCTTGCGGGAGACATGGCTGTGGAAAGCTGTCTCTCTGTGGCAGCAGAGCAGGAGAGAGCCTTGGGGTTGAGAAGCATGGAAGGCTGCTAGGAATAACACACACACACACACACACACACACACACACACACACTCCCTCTCTCTTACACATGCCACACACATTCACACACACTGACTCATACTTACACACACACAACTCACACACTCATCTACACTCACATATATTCACTTACACTCACACACACGCCAGACACACCACACACACACTCACAACTCAAACACACACACACACATACACACACACAGAAACATTATACAAAGAAATAATCCAGGAAAATTTAACTTATTCAGTGAGTAATATAAAAGAAATTCTCACAGAATCAATATGAAAATATGATTTAAAAAATACAGAGGGAAACAGCAAATTTTACAATTAGATGAAGAATACTGACCACAAAATGTAGCAAAAGGAACAGACTCAAATAACTAAGTACTTTGTCAAGAATTCAGGAAAAGAATTAAATGATGTAATCACTTGTTGTAGGCTGAACTGTATTCCTGCACCACTAAAATTCATATGTTGAAATTCTAATCACCAGTACCTCAGAATGTGACTGTATTTGGATATTGAGTCCTTAAAGAGCTAAAGTTAAATTAGGTCATGGGGTGAGCCCAAAGCCAATATAACTGGTGTCCATATAAGAAGAAATTAGGACACAGACATGTGCAGAGGAGACATTATGTGTAGACACAAGGAGATGAAAGCGACCCTGCCAGCACCTTGATCTTGCACTTCTAGCCTCCAGAACTGTGTTGTTTAAATCACCCAGTCTGGGGTGCTTTGTAATGGCAGCCGTAGCAAACTAACACATCACCTCTCTAAAGAAAGATTACAAAACAGAAATGCAAAATCTCAGGAAAAAGGTGATGAGAAAACAGAAGAAATTGAAATACTAGCTGACCAAACTCAAGAAATGAGTAAAAGGTAGAGGAAAAGGTATCTATGAGGAACAAAATGAACAAATAGACCCTATGGAAAGCATTATTTGGGACACAAAAGATAAAAATAATAAAAATGAACAGAATGCAGAGGAAGTAAAAGAAAAGTTTAAAAGAATTAGAGGAAAATGATTATAGAAAGCAGTCAAAGCAAATCCAAAATATGCATAATTGGAGATTCGAAAGAAAACCAAAACAATTCAACAGAATAAATATTTAAACATATAATTCAAGAAAAACTTCCTGGTTCTCCATATTAAAACTTCCTGGTTCTCCACATGGCCAACCATGTGTCTGTCAGTATGATGACAACAAAATACATCCTGGTAAAGTTACTGGAGTACAAAAATAAAAATAGAATCTTTGGGCAGCCAAACAAAAAGATTAAGTTGCTTTCAAAAAGGAAAAGCACAAAGCATTCTCAAATTTCTCTCCAGAAACATGCAGTGCCAGAAGTGGAGCAATACCAAAAGATAATCAAGAAAAGACAGTGTGAGTCAAGGATTAGGTGTGCATCTATTCATAGGAGATTCAGATGCAAAGTTACAGACAAATGTTTGACCATGCAAATATGCAAGGAATATGCACTCATGGGTTCTTCCAGAGCACTCTACTAGATAACCAAGAAATACTAGGGAGGAAAAAGGTAAGAGAACTGGCAACGAGAATTGAATTGACTTTTTTATAAAACTAAGACTAAAACAAATGTGAGGATCCAGGTAATAAAAGAAAATAAAAAATATTATATTTCCCTACAATGTAGGAATGATACAACTATTTGGAGAAAAAGGAAGTAAAAAGGTTTGATATACAGGAAGTTTATTACCTCATCTATATGGTTTATAGTCAAAGGGTTTCATTCAATACTATTATTAAAATGATTAAATATAAGCATAGTTTAGCAATACAAATGTAAACATTAAGAAAATACAAATAATTAAAATTGAATTGTAACAAAAAGAGAGAAGAAGGGGAAAAACGTGCTCATGGTACATGGTAGAAATCAATACATTTAATTTTCTTTTCTTTTCTTTCTTTCTTTCTTTTTTTTTTTTTTTTTTGAGACAGAATCTTGCTCTGTCACCCAGGCTGGGGTACAGTGGTACAATCTTGGCTCACTGCAACCTCTGCCTCCCAGGTTCCAGTGATTCTTGTGCCTCAGCCTCCTGAATAGCGGGAATTACAGGTGCCCACCACCATACCCAGCTAATTTTTTGTATTTTTAATAGAGATGGGGTTTCACCATGTTAGCCAGCCTGGTCTCAAACTCCTGATCTCAAGTAATCCGCCCACCTCGGCCTCCCAAAGTGCTGGGATTACAGGTGTGAGCCACTGTGCCTGGCCAGAAGTCAATAGATATTGACTAAAGAAAGGTAAGAATATGGGTATCACTATATAAATATTTAATTAGAAAGATAGTTACTGGAACACAAATATAAACATCTCTATTATTTTAAAAGCCATTTAAAAAGAAAACAAAAAAAAAAAAACAAAAAAACAAGACACACACCCAAACACAACTAATAGACCCACAGGAAATGTAGTTAAGATTTTAATAATATTATAAAAACAGAAAACATTACATAAAATGACAGGAATAAGACCAAATACAACTTATGTGTCAAATGAGTAAATGTAAATAAGTTTAATTCACTTACTAAAAAGATATCTTTTAACACTAGATCAAAATGGAAAACTCAATTCTTGATTTTTATAAAACATAAATTAAGACAAAGTGAGACAAAAAGATGAAAAATAAAACAATAGGCAAAACTATACTTGGCAGAGATTGGAACCTCCAGCTGTTGTGGGGTAAAGAGATTGGAAAATATTTACCAAAAACAAAAAGTGTGAAACTGGTCAAAACTGTCAAATCAACTATTCTAGGGCTCTGGAAAGAGAAAAGGCAGACAACACATAGGAAAGTCCTTACTCTAGAAAAATTACTAAAGTTTCTGGTAAGAACAGAGAGCGTCTATGGCTTTGTTGCCTGGGGTTGCTTGCATTCCCACCCTACTACTCAGCAGACAAGAATGGTAGTCTTATCAGAGTGTGATTTGCTGGAAAATCAGCCACTCTGATCCAAAAAGGGGTGTATTAGTCCGTTCTCACAGTGCCATAAAGAATACCTAAGACTGGGTAATTTCTAAAGAAAAGGGGTTTAATTGGCTCACAGTTCTGCAGGCTGTCCAGGAAGCATGGCTGGGGAGGCCTCAGGAACTTACAATCATGGCAGAAGGCAAAGGGGAAGCACGTGCATCTTACATGGCCAGAGGAGAAGGAAGAGAGAAGGGGTTGGGGGAGTGGGGTAGATGCTAGGCACTTTTAAACAACCAGATCTCGTGAGAACTCGTTCGCTATCACCAGCAAGGGGGAAATTAGCTCCCATGATCCAATCACCTCCCACCAGGCCCCTTCCTCAAAATTGGAGATTACAACTGGATATGAGGTTTGGGCAGGGACACAAATCCAAACCACATCGGGGGCAATTTTTATTTGGAAAAAATAGCATTTAAACAGATGAGGTCCCTCAGTGGGATGACTGAAGCAATGGTAACAATTCCTGGCATTCAATGGTGTGAGGATTTCTAAGGCTTTCATTTGTGGTTAACTGGAATGGGGTGCAGGTAGAAGGTGAGACACTGGACTACCAGGTGGCTATTGCCCTTAATAGGTACAGAGCAATGATGATGACGGGAATTGTGGAGAATGTCATCTCACTTTAAAGAAATTGAAATCTTTGAAAAAAAATAGACTCTGCAGTACAAATAGTATGGATAATAAAATTAGAGAATAATAAAATCAGAAATGAAAAAGGCCCTTCCAACACACACACACATACACACACACACACACACACACACACACACACACACCGGGGTTAGCTGATTCTTACACTAGGCAGTACTTTAGCCCAACAATGGAAGACGAATCAAATGGCATCTCGGATTCCCATGAGCTGCTACAACAGTAAGAAAAGATCACCTGGAGTACTCAATACAAATACAGGCTGTCCTGGCCTTCCAGGATCATGGAGGACTGACGAATTATTAAGCTTGGTGGAGGACAGTAATGGACACACACACTGGAAACTCAACTGGGATTAGAAGAGTGATAGTTAATGTGTAACAATGTATATGACAACGAGTAAAACAATAAAAACTGTCAGAGCAATAAGTGACTAGAAAGATGGAACATGCTTGCCAGATGAAAATTATCTTCACTAGTAATACATTTCCTGCCTTAGATTAGCCTCTAAACATCTCACAGGCTTTCACTAGTCAAACCTAGAGAAACCTTGCTCAATTCGGAGGAGCAGGTTGGAGGTTAGCATCGGGGTGAGGGCAAGGGAAAGAAAGAGATGACCAAGATGGTGTCTCCCTGCTCCATGTAGTGTCTTGAAGCAGCCCCTCCTCATCTGGGAGCTCACACTTAGTCGGCCACAGCCACTAAGAGCTTTGTTGTATCTCCTGCCTATGCTGCTTCTCTTTCTTTCTTGAGCCTGCCTGCCTTCTGAGGGCATCACCCGTCGACAGTTATGTTCCTGCCTCCTTCCTGCAGCTTCATGCATGATCCTTTTCTCCTAGTGATGTCTTCAGCTCTCTCTTCATTTTTGCTTCCCTTCTTCTTTATTTCAAAGCACTCACAGCCCTGGCTAAACAGAATCCTCCGCAGGCAGTTTCCCATCCAGACTGGTCTCTATTTGAGGATGAATCCAGATACGAACACGGCAGTTGAATTACGAGCAGAAAAGTAAAGAAGAAAAAGACGTTGGCTTAGAGTACCAGAAAACCGGTCCAGATATTGTGCAAGGATGGTATTCGTACAGATTTAAGAGCTAGATTTATATGAACCCAAAAGTTATTTCCTAAATAGTTTTACAGATTATAACAAGTGCTCTAAAAAAATGAAGTAGCTGCCTTTTCATAGCAGAGCTATAACTTCCCAATATGCCTCTGGCTTCGGTTATTTATGTATTTAACCTGGGTACTCAATAAATATTTGCTGAATGGTGAATGAATGGGTGAATGCTTGTAGTTTTTGATTAGACAGATTATAGTAGTTGGTCCTTTCATGGCAGTTGATAAAGATAACAATGTCATTTTGAATTATTTTAAGACTACATCACTGGAATTATATGAGTAGGGAAGGCCTCAAACCGGTTGTGCCAAAAGATTCCATTGAAGAACTGGATTCATTGGAGTTAACTACTTCATTGCAGACTTCCCACCAACACAACAGCTCTGAGCTGTGACTGAAGCTTACAAAATCAGAAAGTTGGAGTGGGGATGGTTCCTAGCCCCACCTTACCCTCTCACTATAGTTCATAAGTAAAATTTCCTCCTGGCTCCTCAAATAAACATCAGCTAGCTCATTCCTAAGCCTGTTGGGCTTGCCATTCTTTTCCTTTTCTTCAGTTTTCTCTTCTCTAATCCCCTAGTTTACTTATTTTAATGTGAACGTCTGACTGTTCTATACCTTCTCTCTCCTTAGGATCTTTCTTCTGCTCCAAGTCAGTCATATCTCTCCATCTTCTGTTCATTCTGAAAGGGTCTTTTCATTATATATTAATTGCATTATTAGCCCATGGCTGTTGGTTTTGCACTTAAGACTTTAGCTGCTAGATTTTATCCAGTTTGAATCCCAGCTCTGGCTTACTAGCTATGTAACTTGAGAAAGTTACTTAATTCTCTCTCTATCCATTTCCTTAGCCAGAAAATGGAGATAATAATAGCAACTTCTTTAAAATGTTTTTGTGATATGTACATGAGTTAGTACATGAAAAATGCCCAGAACAGAGCTTGGCACTTAGTAAGTCTGGAGGACTGATTCCGTTTAGCAAATATTTAGTAAGTACATACTACAAGAGGGCACTGTGTGTTAGGAAATGGAGACATAAGAAGGAACAGAACACAATGTCTGCTCTCCAAAAGCTTGTAGTCTAATGGTTCCACAGCAGATCATTTGCTTTTTATTAAAATAACATTTAAGCACTTGGCACCAAGCACTATGGCAAACCCTGTAGCTATTCTGTCGACACTCTGGCCATGAAAAAGATAAGCTGAGATATTTTGCACAGAACATCTTCAAAGTGAATGGGAAAACTGCATTTATTATTTGGGGCTTTCAATGAGCTACATATTTCATTTAGACCGAAATGCTTTTCACCCAAGTTACTTGAAGAATTTGTCTGTCTTCATTTCCTGAGGCATGAATGAACCAAGCTCAGGGATTCAAATGCTAATTCTTTACATGGCTTCCAATCTCTCATTGCACCTAAACTTGCAAGAAGCAGTGTGACAGCTATGTCAACCCAAAATCTGTGCAGGTATGGAAAACATAAAGATAAAATTTCACATAACCAAGCTTCAGTGGGAGAAGTCCCTAGATTCAGACACAGATCTCTGATTAACATCATTATAGAAAGCAAGTTGCTAAATTAAATTGGAGAGGATGGCATGATTGAGACCTCTGAATCCAGCACTTCCCTCCCTGAAATTATAAAATTGCAACTTTAAAAATGAAAGTGACTGAAATCCACTTATCTTCAGGGATTGGCTTACAGATTATTCCATAATAGGCACACAAAATGATTGCAGTAATTGAAGTTGAGACAAGGTAATATTAAGTAGGCCTCCCACCGGAAATTTCCAAGGAAGCTGTAAGGAATTGGGACCTTTTTCCATTTCTTTCAAATATAATAATGTCCAATTTTTCTAAATCAGTTATAAATGTTAGTATCTGAGATGCAGGTTAAAGGGACAACAAAATTTTGTTCCTCAGTTTTCTTCCCTGCTGTGGAACAAGAACGAACTTGGTGTAAAAGATGTTAAAATAGTTATTTAATAGGAATTTTCTATTTCTATTATTTTCTGCTCCTTTGCAGTACATCCTGTAGCCTCTTGTAATAGCACAAACCTTCTGCAGGACCCAGTCAGTTGGATGTTGTAACTGTGATGTTACTCGTTCCAACCTGCTTAAGAATTCCAACTGACTGAGTGAGACTCCGTCTGAAAAAAAAAAAAAAAAAAGAATTCCCTATAGGAATTCAGTCACCAACAGAAATGAGGAGTTTGCAGCCTAAAGGGAAAGTGTGGTGGCCTTATAAATGGAGTGGAAGGTGCACCTACTCCTTCAAGCTAAACGGATGGTGATCAGGAGAAACACTGAAGGAGAATGGAGAGTGAACAAAGGAGACTGGCCTCTCATTCTTAAACTGTACACTTGCAGAAATGCAGAACCTGGTTAGCCCACCTCACTGTGTCGTCAGAGCAGAATACAGCAACAGGGTTCTTGAGCAAACCTGACATGTATCCTCAGTAGAGTGAGGCATATATGAACATAGAGACTTATGAGCCCCTTTTCTGGAAAATTCTGAAGGGAGACCACAATCCATAATAACACAGAAAGAGAAGGCAGCAGTGAGTCAGTCTGAACTCCCACTATGGGGTATGGCAAGGATGATATGTTTCCCTTGGGCCAAGTGAGTACTCAGAGGGAAACAGGCCTTGGGCTATCACTGCAGGTACTTCAACCAAGAGGGTGCCAGCAGGAACAATGAGAATTCCCAGTAAGAGGCTACAGGATGTACTGCAAAGGAGCAGAAAATAAGAGGGTTTGCAGAAGGTTAGTTAACCAAAGAGAGTGATACCAATGTTTTGGAACTGTCCAATGTGGTGGTCTTTGGAAGGCCTTTCAAATTACTCAACATGGACCCTACAAGGCAGCTTATCACATCCACCTGCAGAATAGACAGACACCAGTTATATAATGTTTCATTCCCTTGTTCCTCTAATTGTCTACCCCTACAAAAGTCAGGAAAAAAAAAAGAGAAAGAAGGGAAAGAATAAAGTATATAGAATGTACCTTTTCTTACTACAAAGAGTAGAGATGATGTCACTTACATGTGATGAATAATTTTTTATTTAGGCTGCATATTTTTAATATTTGAAGGACTCACAATTACAGAAAACAGACTGTTCTTTATTACAGAAAAGGAATTAGATAGTTACATGATCTGCTTAAGATCTGATCAAGAGGTAGAGAACATCTTAGATAGGGGTTGGAAAAAAGTCATTTTCTATTAGTTGTCTAAGACATTCAGACTATCCCATAAACAATCATCAATCAATCAACCAGGAAGTTTTACTGAATACAAACTCTATGAGAGACTGTGTGTTCTGAATAAACAATTTATAATGCCTTTATTCCACCAAGCAAAATTGGGCTAGACAGTACATGAAGCTGTATTGCCTAGTAGAGATAGCCCACTGCCTCTCTATATCGTTTGGTACCTATGTAACCCTTCTCTATATGAATGGGAATGGAATAAGTGAGGATACTTGCTAGACAGGTATTCCTGTTAACTATGTGGACTAGTACAGTAGTGGAACCTAATGTCCCTTCCAAAGATAGGAAAGTTTCGATTAAAATAAATAAATGTAGAGAAAAAATAGTAGCTGGGGGTAAGAAATTTAAAAAATGGTTATATATTAAGGCAAACCCTATTGGATATTAAATTGGTAATTTCAGAGATGTTCAAAGCAAGAGAAAGATATTGTCCCTTAGCACAATCATACCAGATGCCCAAAACGATGAACCCATGTCTGCCAAGACCACCCCTGCTTTTGGAATCTGACAAGGTCTAATGGAACCCGCAAATGTGTGCAGCCTCACTCCAGGAAGTATTGTAGTTATATGATATGATGATGAATGAAACCAATTGCTGATGGCTGAGTGGAACACTAGTAAACTATCTTTTGACTCTTATTTTTCAGGCTGCAGCTACTATAAAGGACATTGTTTAGGGAGAAGTTTCCAGAAGCTACTCCTCAACAGGCCATGCAGTGTACAACTCCCAATAGACTGATCACTGTGAAACTGTAAACCTTGATGTCCAAATGCTGAGAAAGGTCTTTGGTGATAATGCAGAAAATGTAGCAGCTGCATTTCTGAGATGCCACAGTATGCTTCTTAGAAGAATGTTACTGTCCTCATTTTTTTGGTGGAAAGCTATAAAACAGAATTTTTTAAAAATGGGTTTCAGAAAAGAATAAAGCAGTAGGCTTCATATGCTGAATTCTAATTTCCCTAGGGAGCAGCCACAACCTAAGACAAGGAAGTCCATGGGAGGCCTTATGGCATACTCAAACTATCAACTAACCCTAGCATGAGCGACCCAACATTTTGAGATACAAAACATGTATCCTTACTGCACTCAGCCTACTAGTACACAATGCTGTACTAATGTGTGGTATACTAACGGTATACTAATACATGGTGTACTAATTAATATATTGGTGTACTAATACGTGGTGGATTAAACAACTTTTGGCCTACAAAACAGAAAGCGTTTGGGGGAGACAGGAAGCAGCCTAGACATCATGCGACAAATTAAATTCACTTTTAAATAAGAAGCAGTATTCGGAGGAAAAAGATGTACTAACTAGAATAAACAGATTTGAGGAAATTCTTTTCCAGGAAGGACACAAGGGATAGAGGTCATCTTGTCCAGATGATGAGGCTTTAGTGAAATGAGTGAGGAAGACTCAACAAATAATGATAGATAATGCCAGGATCCAGCACTGGGAAAGGGCTTGTAACCTGTGCCCCTTGACTATTTTAGTACAGATCGAGGCTGAAGCAGCCATGAGACCTTGGCCCTCTGTCCAAGCTGCTGGGGCTCTAGGGGAACCCGTATAGGATCCTACAGATCTCTAAACTTAGGGAAGTTATTGGGAACTATTGTGATTTGCACTGATGCATAACGACTGCGCTCACCTGAAGAATAGATCAGCTAAGAATTATATATGTGCTACACACAGTTAGCATGGATAGGGGCTTTTCTCAGTAATACCCATGCCCTCCCCATAGGAAGGAGGTGAGTCCTGTTATATAAGAGCACACAAAGAAACCCGTCTCAGTACAAGACTGTGAACAAAGGCAGGGTAACTGGGTTTGTCCCTGCCTGGCTTGAAACCTACAAATAACCAAATCATGACCAACTGTAATGATGTCAGCCCACAATAGTATCTGGCATATGGGCAGAGGCCAATTCAGTTGGGAAGGCATCACAGATACCTCTGTACTTCTTACTGATTTTTCATGTAATAAAACTGAATTGTACCATTACTATATTGCAATATGGTAAAAGACTGGCTTTGTTAGTAAGATTAAACTACCTTATATAAATAATTCATATAATATTCATACTAATGATCAAACATATTAGAAGAGGGAGTTCAAACCTCCCCAGGATGTACTCATGAAAAATGACAGGTCTGAGGAAGAAATGGATTTAGCTAAACATCAGCTTATTGCTATGCCAAATAGTTCTGCACAAGTTAATCACAAGATATGAGTAAAGGTAGATCAAGGGGTAAGTCAGCAATTAAATTAGTACAAAAATACGCATGTATTAATGCCCTTATAAGGTGGATCCACTGTTTCTTCAAGTCTATCCCTACCCTACACTGGCTCCTCCAAATGTTCAGTATCTTCATGCTGATTCTATTGTTTCAGCTATTATATAAATGCTATATAAGTAAGAGGCTCGGAAAGTTGTATCATTTTAGTAAGAAAGCTAGGCAAGGAACCAGGGGTGTGGCCTGTGTGGGAAGGAGGTAACGGAACAGGCCTGGGTTGCTCAAACCCTGCACATTCCCAGTAAATGCCTGCTTTGGGATTGGCTTTTGGCTGGCTCCTGGTAGGTGAGCTCTGAGCCTTTGGAATATTCCGCGTGATAAGAAGGCTTTTGTATGCCTGAGGCCTTGGGCCATCCAGTACCAGTTTGAGCAGATGGTTTATACTAACAATGCGATTTATGGTGAATACCTGTTTTTGCTCTAGGGGGCTGGAGTCTGAATAGTTGAAATCATATGTGCCTATGTAACTGAGGTCAATTAAAAAGCCTAGACGCCAAGGCTCATGTGAGCTTCCCTGGTTGGCTACACTTTGCACATGTTGTCACACAGCAATGCTGGGAAAGTTAAGTACATCCATGTGACTCCCCTGCGAGAGAAACCCTGGAAGTTTGCACCTGGTTTCTCCTGGATTTTACTCCATAGACCTTGTGCCTTTGCTTAGTTTAATCTGGATCCCTTCACTGTAATAAACTGTCACCATGAATATAACCATGTTTCTGAATCCTATAAGACCTTCTAGTGAATCATCAAGACTGAGGATGGTTTTGAGGGTCCCCTAACCCATGATGTAACTGGGAAAGGCTACATAAAGGAAATTGAATACAAGCTGAGACTTGAAGGATGGGTAGACATCCTAAGGAAGAATAGACAATTCAAGACAGGAAGGAGGTTGGACATGTAAAAGAAAGTCCTCTACTGCAATTAAAAATCTTGAAAGAGAATAAAGAAAAAATTTCATCTCATCTAGAAGTTTTCGGCCTGCCTTATGGCTTCCTGGAGATTTCTTTATGACTACTTTCTAACCCTGGCAATAATTACTATGAAACTGCATTTTTGTTTTCTAAATTATGTTTCATAAGTTTGGAAGCACATCATTAACTACTCTCCAGTTCATTCATCCTCCTTAAAACAGAACTGAAACTTGTTTCTATTTTGAATGTTAATAAGTTGTGGATTTTTTCTTTCACAGAATCTAGTTCTTTTATTTTTACAGATAAAGCCCGCCTACAAATACAGGCCCTGTTGACTGTCACTTTCTTGAGAAAATTCACAAATTGTGCCATATGATAGAACATGTACTATAAAAAGTTATTCCACATCATCTGTCACCAAAAGCATCTGAATTTTTTTCTTGTTTGGCCAAGGCTTTTTGCCAAGCAGCTAAAAATGTTTTATCATGGACAATTGATTTCCTAATAAAGCTTCTAGGTCATACATATAAATATATATAAAAACATATTTATATAAATTTATTTGTATTATACAGTCCAAATTTGCCTGGTATTCTAATTATACCAAGATCTGCACCACAAAATACCCTTCTTTGGGTATTTTTATCACCTCTGCTATTAGCCTTTTTTGTGACTGCCTCCAAATTGAAGAAATTCTTTCTTGGCTCTCTAGCTCCCAAATCCAGTACTTTGAGCTGTCAAAATGAAGACCTTCCACAGATATTTCAGAAGGTTTTTTTTTTTCTCTGAAGCACCATGAAAATTATGGCTAACTTCTCATAGAAATTTTTTCTTCTGTATTTTATATAAAAAATATAAAATAGGAGTGATGGAGGAAAGCAACTCTATAGCAGGTAATCAATTGAAGAGTATATCTCATGAGAGAATGTTGAGCTCAATTGATTCCTCTGATTTGCTTCCTGTTTAAGATGTATCTTTCAGGGACCTAACAGTTCTCCTGAGTTCATACACATAACAAGACTTGTAGTAGCATAAGCCAGCTTGCTAAACCACAGACTGAACACCCCAGAGCTATCAGTTCTCATTCTTATATTAAAATATAACCTGGTCAAAGCCCAGTGACCTACTTCTGCTCCTGTGTCACCAGGTGGGCGACAGTGCCAGGAGTACTAACCTATCTCATTGGGTTGCTTGAAAATTATTACAAAGGGACATTCCAAAGAATTCTCCCAGCATAAAGCATTATACCAATGCTAAGTAAAAACACATCAGTGATTTTAAAATATCATGGTGAAACTGTGCTATAGTAGAGACTATAACAGCCTCTCACATTTTGTATTTACACTGGCAAGAATGATATTGTTGGCAGATAATCTTTGTGAAAGTAACAACAATAGTTAGCCAAGGACTTGCCTTGAATGTGAAAGCAAAGCAAGATGTCTTGGGTACTTCCGAAGTTGGCACTCTCAACTACAATTCATCTCTAAGCCCGGCAGATACATTTAACTTGCATGAATTAGTTGAAAATGGAGTGCATTTTACCTGAGACTTCGCCTAATTTTATGATTTGCTCTGTTCTTTAGGCACCTGGCACCTGACAGATTCTAATTTCAATATTTTAAAATCATTAGTAAGATTGCACTGAGCTTTACTTTTAAATGTCTGTAATCACTTGCTATACTCTGTTTCAGCAATTTTTTTAAGTTTTAATATTTTTTGGCTGTAAGGAATGAGTGAGAAGGAGCTTCCTTGCCCAGAATCTATCCAGAGCTTCTTTCGCTAAAAAGATAAGAAACCTGAAAGTCAGCAAGCACAAACAACCACAGAAAACAACAAATCTGCATTTTCTAAAAATAACTATTGAGAATCTAGGATCAGATAATCCCTTTACAAGAATAATTCTCCTTTAATGCCTCCTTTATGGTTTCTGAAGCTGACAAGTGCAGAAAGCATTTGATTCTGAGCTACGTACAGAACATACTTGTGAATGATGCTCTTTTCAATCACATGAGAGAGTTCCTGCTATGACCCCATTCCACCCAATGCCCAACTTCTCCAAACTGCATCACAGAGGAATTCAGCCTTAGTAAATAAGCATGCCAACAACGTCAATGTAGAAAAAGTGGCAGACTGTGTCCACACTCTCTCCACAGTCCCACTTCCTCAAGCGGGAGAGATGTGCTGTTCATTCATCATTTACAACTTGCTGCCATGATTCTGCAAAGTCAATACACATTCCTACCTTAAAGGGAAAAGAAAAGAAAGTTGAATTTCCTCTAATATGTACATATACCTACCTATAGTGCAAACACATTTGTTTAAACATATATGTTTAAACATATATGTTTAAACATATATACGTATATATGTTTAAACATATATATAATGTTTTCCTAAATTAGTATATCTGCATATATATATGCCTTTAATCACTTGCTTCTCATATATATATGAGTAACGTTTGTGACATCTCAGATATATGTGTATATATATGCATGTATATATGTATATGTGTGTGCTTATATACATATATGTATATATATGAAGCAAGAGTCTGACCAAAATTTAAGATTAACTTTTATATTTCTGTTGAGGCTGGGGTATGGCAAGGACCATGCAGAGAAGAGCCACAAGAAGTAAAATGTAGGCAATTAGCAAGGTGTCCATGAACTCTTTATCCCAGATACAGTGCACCTGCCTGGAGAAATTTGATTTTACCTAAAAACACAACTTAACTTTGTAATAAAGAGTCTGACTCCAGTTTTTATATTTGGCTACTGACAGCTTTTAAGATCTATGCCTTGTCTCCCCCTTTTCCCCACTGGCTGGGCAAGCTGGTAAGAAAGCCCAGGGCTCCCTCCCTTGCGGTCAGCAGGAAGTTCAAACAGGGAAGTCCCAGGCATATGAGGGAACCTTCATCCCAGCTCCATTCCCTAACCACAATAAAAGCCAAGTCAGTGCCCTTCCCCGCTCTCTAAAGCCATTTTTATACGCACTCACAAGCCTCCCCTGTCCTCCCCAGAAAGCCTCATTCTGTGAGTAGTAAACCTTTTTGTCCCTTCTTGGTGCATGTATGACATCAGTTTCAACAACAGAACCAAACTTTGGGTGGGTGACAAAGTCCACAGTGTCTTTGGGGTAGCCACAACAAGCACCATCTAAGTGTGATCCTTATTATTAAGGTGAACTAGGACTTGAGTCATTATTCCTTTCACTGTTTAGTCCAGCATTTTTATTTGTCAAGGAAAAACCAGTAACCAGTATTTTATGACATTACTTATGTGAAAGTGGTTGTAACTCTTTGATAATGACTATGGGAATAGGGCTCTAATTTTTCTCTGGGAGTATCACAAGTCCCTTGCCCCAAGCTCTCCAGATACCTTGGGAAACTTTACTGGGCAGCTCAGTATTTTTAACACCAACTCCTTACATTGTAGGCACACAGAGAAAAATAAATAAGATCAAAGGTTTAGTTAAATAAAATTTAAAACTATCAAGCATCATCCCACACTACATTATAACCTGTCATAAAGTTTTCTATATCTAATTAGTAACTTACTTCCAAAGAATAAAATGGCCTTAATAAAACAAAGAGATGATTTGGGGACATCCAAAATCAAGAAAAATGGGCTTCTACCACAATCTCAATCTGTTTCTATCTTAATAAAAGCAGAACAAGCTGATACAAACTAAATAGGAGACACTTATGAGACACATAAGTGACACCTGAGTCTTGGGCTAAGAGTGACTACCACAAAGAGAGGAGAATAAAAGGCAGACAGAAATATGAAGAGTTCACCCAAGTATTGTACTCTCCTAATGGAGGGTGGGGTAGCAGAAGATATCTCCCTTCTTTGGAAAGACACTAGTGGTATTAAAAACACAAATCAGGATAATAATGATTAGCTTGCAGTTATGAGCATCATACAACTTTACGAATTGAAAATGCTGTGTAAACTTAAGCACTGCATAACTTGTAGTTGTGACTGTTTCTATCTCTTCTATATCCTACATGGATCTCCTAAGAAGCCATGATAATTCAAGTCATACAAGAAGTTCAGCTTGATATGTTCTTCTTATTACCTTTCCATTTGTCTTCTTAAATTCCTGTGCATGTCTGCAACAAGCAGATGTCGTATATTTGTAATACAGAACTAAAAACAATAAATACAAGTATAATAGGGTCAATTTTGTCTAGTGATGAGAAGAGACTTTCTAATTAAATCTGCTCTACGAAGAAATGGGCTTTCTCAAAAAAGAATTGAACTTCCAATGCCTGGAAATACTCAGATAGAAGTCATCTGTCATGGGGTTGCAAACAGCACGTCTGCATTGGTAGGAAGATTGGAATACATGATTTGTAAGGTCTCTTTCCATTTATTACTAAAATGTGGTGACTGACTGATCACATGAACAGAAAAAACATATCATGAATATGAACATTATTTTTGTCCCCTTAAAAATTTTTTAAAATCTCTTTTCCAAAGGAATGTTCCTAAGGCATGTGGTGTTGATCATCCCCTGGAGGAAAGACAAACTACTCAACCTTGATTTCTCCTCTCTAAGACATAATTTCAGATTAAGAGCCAGGGGTGGGGGGTAGTGGGGAAAATAACATAGCTAATAAACCTTATAGCACAGCCAGCACCATCAATTCACCAACAGCTGCATATTGAGTAGCTATTGTGTTGCAGGCATTGCAGGAAATAAAGGATGTATAAACACAAAGTCCCTGGCTTCAGTGTCCTTGAAATATGTTTGGACAAATAAGACATAAAAAGTAAATGCTTATAAATAAATAAAAGAGGTTGCAAACAGCCTGCCAGGGACTAGATCCAACCTGCATGCCTCATTTGGCCAACAATGTCTTTAAATTTTTTAACTTAGAATGGCATTAGGTAGGATATATACCCTTCCATTCACCATGTTACCACTTCTCACTTCTTATACTGGCCCAACTCATACATTGACATCAAACACCTGACCCTACATGCATTTGCATTTTCAGCATGCTGATCTACAACATGAAAGATGGATAGCAGCAATAATATAGATTGGCATATGGTTACCTTCAAATAAATATTACAAATCACAAATACTAGACAGGTGAAGAGACCGGTGTGGGCTATCTTCTCCAAGACTTCATTTGGAAGGGAACATCTAATGTGACTTTTAAAGAAAAGAAAATACTTAAGCAAAAAGAAGAGGAGAAGCAACCCCAGGCATCATGACAGAAGAAAAAGTCAGAGGTAGAAAAGTACAAATTATAATTAGGAAGATATGTTGAGAGCAGTAGAGAGTAAAAGAAAAAGATGAGGGTGAGGTTTGATCAGATTGTACAAGGGTTTGAAAGCCAAGCCATACTAATTAGAAGAATTAGCTAAAAGTGACAGAAGCCCAAATCAAAGGAGTTTAACCCAAACTAGGAATTCACTGGCTTCCCCAATTGATAAGTGAAGGGTAGAACTAAATTCAAATACAGCTGGATCCAAGCACTCAAATGACGTTACCTGCTCCCTTTTTCACTCTTTCCTTCTCACTCTTGCATTTACAAAAGGACTCTGAGTCCAGGAAAATAGGGTCCTGGGTCATATGCTGACCACTGTGGTTGGAGGAAAGCAAGTCTGTTAATAAGAATGATGTTCTGGCCGGGCGCGGTGGCTCACGCCTGTAATCCCAGCACTTTGGGAGGCCGAGGCGGGTGGATCATGAGGTCAGGAGATCGAGACCATCCTGGCTAACAAGGTGAAACCCCGTCTCTACTAAAAATACAAAAAAAATTAGCCGGGCGCGGTGGCGGGCGCCTGTAGTCCCAGCTACTCGGGAGGCTGAGGCAGGAGAATGGCGTGAACCTGGGAAGCGGAGCTTGCAGTGAGCCGAGATTGCACCACTGCAGTCCGCAGTCCCGCCTGGGCGACAGAGCGAGACTCCGTCTCAAAAAAAAAAAAAAAAAAAAAAAAAAAAAAAAAAAAAAAAAAAAAAGAATGATGTTCTATGCTCTGGGCAGTCATAATAAAGGAAGGGTTTGTTTCCTTTTTTGCTCACCCAGGTTCAGGTTATGGAAAGCCACTGAAGTTTTCATACTGGAAAATGCTATGACCAAAGCACTCTCTTAAAAAGTCTGCATGATGAATTGAGGAGAAGATGAATGAACTTGGGGAGACCAGTTGAGAGGCTCATCTGGTGGCCTAGGAATGAGAACATCAAGTTCAGATTGAAACAGAAGACAATGAGAAACATACAGACGCAAGAAATACTAAGGAAGAGAAATCAATAGGATATGGAGATTGATTGGCTATGGGAAAGGGAGGTTTCAATGATAATTCATTCAAGAAATAGTCATTGAGTGCCACTTCTGTTTTAGAGACTGCTCTAGGCGCTAGTGAATAAAGTAGACAAAATATTTGCATCATAAAGCATACATTCTTCTGGGTAATACTAAAGAGAGATACATAAGCCGATAAGTAATATAATTCCATTTTCTAATAAATTCTCTGAAGAAAAAAATGTGTAAATGGCATAGAGAGAAGTGAGTGGAAGGTACTGTTTTAGGGTCCTCTAACAAGGCCTTTAAAGGAGGTAACATTGAAGCTGAGGGCTAAATGGTGAGAAGAAAGCAGCCATACGAGGATACGAGAAAGAAGTGTTCAGGCAGAGGACCAGCAAGTCGAAAGACTCCAAGACAGGAACAAGCGTGGCAGAGTAGTGAGGCAGGAAGAAGACTGTTCAGCTGGAAAAGAGTGGAACAAGAGAGAAGGAAAGGAGAGGCAATCAGAGCTGGGCAAGAGCCAGATCCAGCCGGGCCACCAAAGCCATGGAAGGCAGGGTTTTATGCAAATTGTCAGAGAAATTCACTGGGCAAGGAAAAGGCAGGATCTCATTTGGGCTGTATGCAGATCACCCAGGCTTCAGTGTAGAGACTGGCCCATACGCAAGAGGAGAAGAAGCAAGGAGGGCAGACATCAGGTTACTGTGAAGGTCCAGGCAAGAGAAGATGACAACTTCTGCTGGGGTGTTGGCGGTGGAGATGATGTTACATGTTAGATGGTCAGAGAAATCCCAGATGTTGTGCCTGAGTATAAATGGCATTACCATAAAGAGAAAAACAGAAATGAACTAAAGAATGTTTTATACTTAAACCTGAATGTATCTGCTACTCAGGAATGTATAAACTGTTGGATTGTATTCCCCTTACAAGACTAAAGGCAGACAAGTGTTTCCTTCTAACTCTGTGTAAAGTGAGAGAAACATTGAGCTTCCGCCTAAGAACTGCTTTTGACTAAAAGTTTTCACCAACAGTGGAAGACTGTTGACAATAGCTATTTCTGATCTGGGAAAAGCCCTAAAGGATATCCCAAAGAAAGAGAAAATATAAGAAAGGAACATAAAAAATAAATCAAAATGAAATATTTAAAAGAAAAATTATTTCACAGAGGATTTTTTGAAAACTTCATAGGAAAAAAATGAGTGTTTTCGGCCTCTGATTGTGACAAATTTTGTACAACGAAAAAAAGACATGATTCCCTCTGTCTTCTTCACCTTATTCTTTCTACTGAATTTTTGGTGATTTTCCAGAACAAAATATATTACAGAGACATTTCTATATAGCTATTTAAAGCATAAACATGTACAGATAATCTGGATGGGATTTTGGCAGAATTTATAAAAGAAAAAAACATGTATATCCTCTAGTCTGCTAGTTATAGGAATTTGTACCAAAAAATATATTTTTAAAATTTATATTAAAAGTTTATAATTTATATTACAGTTATTAATTACAGATCACATATATTCATTAAAAATCTGAAATAACCTAAATGCACAACAGTAGGGGATGAACATCCTTGCCATCAATGAGTTTTCTGTATCCTTGTTGTGTTAGGTACAAACACACATGGGCAGGAGGAGAATGGGGAAATCCAACAGAACGGCCCTTCTGGAGTCTCACTGGGTAAGCAAGCCTCTTCAGGTGGTACCTGGTTCATGAAAAAAACTGAAATTCTGGCCTCATCAGAGGAATTCCCTGAATCATTTATTTCAGATTTCAAATTCCAGTTTTGAAATGAAAATAACCAATAAAAAGAAAGGACTAAAAAAGTAAAAATCCTGCAGAACTATAGGCTCGTCACTTGGGGGTTAAAGCCAACTGGTTAGCACCTGGAGACTAAAGATGTAGCAGCTCTGTCAACCATATTTGTTTGCATTTTGATCCTGGAATCATCTGTGTTTTGCAGTGTTGTTTCTCTCAGGCATTCCTTGGCTGTATCAGAGATCTATTGCTATATCAGAGATCTGTTGCTATTTTGTTCCTTGAAATGTCTAAAAATCTTTACAGTCTCAGCCTTTATCAAGTTTAAGGAAGGTGCCCAAGGAGCCACACAAAGAGGATAAAAAGAATTAGTTGTCAATGGCTGTTTCAGTTTCATGTTGAAAAAGAAAGAAGGGTGGGAAGGAGAGAGAAGACAAATGCATACAAAAATGAAGCACATTTTACAACTACCTTAACGACTGCCTATGACACTAGCACCCCCTCCTCATCTCCTTTGGGCCACTTCTGAATTATTTTTCACAATTAGTGGGAGAAATGAATAAATAAATGGCAGAAAATTTAATTGCAGATGCTAACCCTGAGTGCAATAACTGAGGCAGAGAATTTAATCTGATGGCTTCAGGTACTAAACCAAAAAAGAAAGGAAACACAATGTGTTTATATTTTAATGATTTTCATTTTTAATTAGTGACTTCAAAGAATTTTAAAAACCTGAGCTTGACCTCAAATATTATCTCATTTTAATTAGTTTCCAGATTTCTCTAACATCGTGAAAAATAATGTTCAGGCTTTATTTTCCTTTGAGTGACAAACGACTTCATGCACTGTGACAAAGCCCCACTTCGGAACTTTAAAAAATACAGATGTGTTATAAACAAGGTTTACATGCTGGTGACTCTGGTTTAAAATCTGTTTAAAGGTAACCATGTGCCCTTGGTTATGATGACATTTGTACCACACTCATTCGGAAAAATTCTCAAGAGACATCATTCATGTTTAACGAAACACATTTGGTGCAATCAAAGCTGTATTTGAATGTTCTCATTTGCAGTATTGTCTCATAACATTGGCCTCTGCTTTGGAGGCTGAGAAAAAAGAAACAGACAATCCAGATCCTATTTTTCTTTGCTTCCTCTGACACTTATTAGTTTGCCATGATTTTAAAACAGGACTTTTTGTTTCTTTATGCATTATGATTTAGGTTCCTGCCTGGAGACCACTTTTTCTATCACTGAGTTTCCCATTCAAGGAATGAGAGGATAATAACCCTGCCATTGGGTTATTATCCTGGATAATATCTGGATCTATCTAGGTGTTTGAAGGGACATTTTCATCTTAATGACAAAAATGCATCCACCTCTTCTCCAGTTCTTACACTAAAAGGAAGACTGTTATAACCAAAGATCCAAGTTCAATGAGGAATATAATCATCGTTTAAGCTGTGTGAACAATTCTCACTCATATGATTGGGTCGCCAAGTACTTTTTGGTTGGATGAGCAATCACTCAAAGGTCACATTGTCCCCACAGAATCATGGTAGTCAAAGAAATGAAAGTGACGGCCCAACGTGCACCCGTTTGATATTGGTTGAGAATCTGAACACGTCCATAGCATGGCTTGTGAGTATTTATTTCAGAATATGCAGTGGTGAGTGACTATGGCCATTAGCTTTTTCCTATTGTGATCTTCCTTTTTTCATTTTGTGTGAGATTAATTTGTGACTGAGATTTATTAGCCTCAAGGAGGCTGGGGTTCATGAGATTTTGTTGATATACTGCACAGAACACACATCAAGTCAAAGAGAAAAGATGAGAAATTGAAATGATAAAGTTGTACTGCTAGCTTGTTGCTGAGGTAATTGAAGTGGCTTGTGTTGTGCTGTGTTGTGATGGGTAGAAATAAAATATGTATGAATTTATCTAGATCATACTTCTGAAGAAAGGGATGACAAAATATATCCCCTTTCTATGTATGTGTTGAGAAAATCTCCCAAGCCTTTTTTGACAGTGATATTGAAGCAAAATGAACACAAAACCCATTCAGAATGAGATCCAGAAGTGAAGCCAGCTCTATGTTATTCATGGGAATATTCTAAGGGTTAGCACTGATCATTGAAATATGAGCATAATGTAAAAAAGGTGTTTTGTCTCCTAGGTGAAACCACAGGTCCATATAATTTCTTTTTAACAAAAGTGAAATAGGGCAGCAAAATGGATTCATTTTATTAACCTGCCCAGCTTTCCCTCAGATGGAGAGTCTAATCACCAGTGAAATGCCTAGAAAATACATAATCACTAGAATAAAAAAATATAGAAAAAGCAAGGGTCATGACATTCATGAGGCACTAGAATATCAGCTGCACAATCACAGGGATCAGCAGCTCACTGATGTGTCCCAGGCTCCTGGAACTGTGCTGGCACAGGAAAGGTGCCCACCGGGACTTTGCTGAATTAACCAACTGCACACTCAGTCCTTTACTGTGAAGATCTGACTGGTTGGCATGGTACGATCACAAATCTTTCTTTACTTTCCAGAGTCACCTGGCAGATACACATGTCACATGAGAATCTGGTGCATCAGAGAAGTCCCGCAACACATGGTCCTGGATAATGGACCACAGTGCAACTCTAGTGGACACCCCCCTGCCAGGGTTGTAGAGGTTTCAGAGACTGACTGATGTTCTCCCTGTGAAGCCCATAGTGATATTCCAGGATTGTTCTACAAAATTCTATTTCTTTAGTTCATTCAAACACATAACAGTGACCAGGTAATAGAGGACAGGGTGATATGGCTTGTCTGTGTCCTCACCCAAACCTCAACTTGAATTGTATCTCTCAGAATTCCCACATGTTGTCAGAGGGACCCAGTGGGAGGCAATTGAATCATGGGGGCTGGGTTTTTCCTGTGCTATTCTTGTGATAGTGAATAAGTCCCCCAAGATCTGATGGGTTTATCAGGGATTTCTGCTTTTGCTTCTTCCTCATTTTCTCTTGCCATGTAAAAAGTGCCTGTCACCTCCTGCCATGATTCTGAGGCCTCTCCAGCCATGTGAAACTATAAATCCAATTAAA
The DNA here is from genome assembly GCF_000001405.40 of Homo sapiens. NCBI lineage: Eukaryota > Metazoa > Chordata > Mammalia > Primates > Hominidae > Homo > Homo sapiens. The sequence continues at coordinate 61,302,566 of NC_000018.10, forward strand.
CCTATTTTTCTTCACAGTCTTGGGTATGTCTTTATTAGCAGCATGAAAAGAGAATAATACAGTAAATTGGTACTGGGAGTGGGGCATTGCTGAAAAGATACCCGAAAATGTGGAAGCGAATTTGGAACTGGGTAACAGGCAGAGGTTGGAACATTTTGGAGGGCTCAGAAGAAGAAAGAAAAAATGTGGGGAAGTTTGGAACCTCCTAGAGATTTATTGAATGGCTTTGACAAAAATCCTGATAGTGATATAAACAATAAGGTCCAGGCTGAGGTGGTCTCAGATGGAGAGGAGGAACTCATTGGGAACAGGAGCAAAGGTGGCTGTTACTATGTTTCAGCAAAGATGCTGGTGGCATTTTGCCCCTGCCCTAGAGATGTGTGGTACTTTGAACTTGAGAGAAATGATTTAGGGTACCTGGTGGAAGAAATTTCTAAGCAGAAAAGTATTCAAGAGGTGACTTGGGTACTGTTAAAAGCATTCCATTTTAAAAGGGAAACAGGCATAAAAGTTTGGAAAATTTGTAGTCCGATGATGCAGTAGAAAAGAAAAGCCCATTTTTTTTGAGGAGTATTTCAAGCTGTCTGCAGAAATTTGCATAAGAAGCAAGGAGCCTAATGTCAGTCCCAAAGACCATGGGGAAAATGTCTCCAGGCCATGTCAGAGACTTTCATGGCAGCCCCTCCCATCACAGGCCTGGAGGCCCAGGTGGAAAAAGTGGTTTTGTGGGCCAAGCCAAGGGTCTCCATGCTGTGTGCAGCCTAGGGACGTGGTGCCCTGTGTCCCAGCAGCTCCAGCCATGGTTGAAAGGGGCCAACGTGCATCTGGGGCTGTGGCTTCAGAGGGTGGAAGCCCTAAGCCTTGGCAGCTTCCACGTGGTGTTGAGCCTGCAGGTGCAGAGAAGTCAAAAATTGAGGTTTGGGAGCCTCTGCCTAGATTTCAGAAGATGTATGGAATCACCTGCATGCACAGGCAAAAGTTTGCTACAGGAACAAGGCCCTCATGGAGAACCTCTACTAGGGCAGTGCAGAAGTGAAATGTGGGGTCAGAGCCCCTACACAGAGTCCCCACTTGGGCACTGCCTAGTGGAGCTGTGAGAAGAGGGCCACAATCCTCCAGAACCCAGAATAGTAGATCCACCGACAGCTTGCACCATGTGCCTGGAAAAGCTGCAGGCACTCAATGCGAGCCCATGAAAGCAGACAGAAGGTAGGCCATACCCTGCAAAGCGACATGGGTGGAGCTGCACATTACCATGGGAACACACCTCTTGCATCAGCATGACCTGGATTTGAGACCTGGAGTCAAAGGAGATCATTTTGGAGCTTTAAAATTTGACTGCCCCACTGGATTTCTGACTTGCATGGGCCCTGTAACCCGTTTGTTTTGGCCAATTTCTCCTATTTGGAATGCAATACCTGTACCCCCATTACATCTAGGAAGTAACTGGCTTGCTTTTGATTTTACAGGCTCATAGGCAGAAGGGATTTGCCTTGTACCAGAGGAGACTTTGGACTGTGGACTTTTGGGTTAATGCTGAAATGAGTTAAGACTTTGGGGGACTGTTGGGAAGGCATGATTGGTTTTGAAATGTGAGGGAATGAGATTCAGAGGGGCCGGGGTGGAATTATATGGTTTGGCTGTGTCCCCACCCAAATCTCAATTTGAATTGTATCTCCCAGAATTCCTATGTGTTGTGGGAGGGACCCAGTGGGAGGTAATTGAATCATGGGGGCCCATTTTTTCCGTGCTATTCTCGTGATAGTGAATAAGTCTCAGAACATCTGATGGGTTTATCAGGGGTTTCCACTTTTGCTTCTTCCTCACGTTCTCTTGCTGCCACCATGTAAGAAGTGCCTTTCACTTCCTGGCATGATTCTGAGGCCTCCTCAGTCATATGGAACTGTAAGTCCAATTAAACCTCTTTTTCTTCCCAGTCTTGGGTATGTCTTTATCAGCAGCATGAAAATGGACTAATACACAGGGTTAAGCAAAACATAGTCTGGCATCAGTGTCTTCTCCATCCTTTTATTGACCTGGTATTCTCATATAAGTGAAATGAGGTTTAAGTCAACAAAACGCCTTGAAGAGGAAAAACTAAAAGTATGAAAAGAACCTCTGAAAGAGGTTTATGAAAGCAAGTGTGCTTCATTTTGATGAGTGAGGGCTATAAAAACTGATAGCATTTCTGAGACTCCAGATTTTGGAGGGGGCAATGGGAAAAGGTCTTTTTTGTGCAAATGGGAGTCATTTCCTTCCACTTCAGACTGCCCTCCACATAACCTTTGCAGCAAACCAGGGGTCTGTAGCCCCAAAGTGTGTCTACTTCAATGCCCCAGGGAAAACTACAGCCTTAACCAGGGAAGAATCCACTACTGTTTTAGTACCTATTTATTTTAGTCTTTCTCACAACAGCCTGTGCTCCAAAGGGCACCTGGAATACACTTCACATTTCTTGAAGAAAGGTTCAGCTTGCACCAAAGGACCCCATTATGGCTCTGCTCTCGCTCAAGATAGCTCTGATGACACCAAGGAATACCTAAGACCCTTTTCTACATTAATCTCTGAGAGGACATCTAAGTCTCAAACTGCCCCAGACAGAAGAAGCGTCTCACAAATAGAGGAATGGCTAAAAGTGCTGGCTCTGGAAATTTATTAGCCAGGCGACCTTGGGCAAGTCACCTAATTATTGCAAGGTGTATTCTTCTTTTCTTAAGTTAATTGGAAATATAACACACCAGTACCCACCTCTGAAGGCTGTAGTCTTGATTAATACACGTAAGATATTTAGCACAAATGAAGTACTGATCCATGCTACAACTTGTATAATCCTTGAATACATTATGGTAAGTGAAATAAACCAGTCACAAAAGACCACATGCCGTATGATTCATTCATATGAAACCCCAGAATAGAGAAATCTATAGAGATAGAAAGCAGATCAGTGGTTGTTTCAAGCCGGCAGGGGGATGAAAGGATGGGAGGGAATAGCTAAAGGGTAGATTTGAGAAAAATTCTAAACTAGATTGGTGATGGTTGCACACATCTGTGAATATACTAAAACCATTGACTTGTACACCTCCAATTAGTGAATTATTTGGTATGTGAATTATATCTCAATAAAGTTGCTTAAAAAGATATTTAGCAATGCCTATCACACATTAAATATTTTAAAAATGTCAGCCAGTATCATGTATTGATTCACTCAACAGATATTTATTAAGCTCCTATTATAAAGCAGGCACTGTCCTTCTTGTTCTTATAAATTTTTACCAATTTTACGTTTTAAACTCTTGTATGTATATGAAATATGCAAAGGTTTTATTATTGCAGGAAGACTCCAGAACACTGTCGTGACTAAAATGCTTCACTTTAAAAGAAAAAATTAATTTTGTGAATAAAATTCTTTAGGTATAAAGCTGTTACTTTATAGTCATATAGTCATGACAACCCTGCAACCATATGAGCATCTTAAGAATACCAACAAAAAAGTTTTCATTAACTTAAAACTAGATAATTTATTTATAGTCAACTTAGAAAGTTTTCCAAATGAGAAATACAGAATTTAGTGACAGCATAGCAGTTGTATGTTTCTGTGGATTTGAGCATTTCATATTTAAGAATCATATAAATAAAATGTGCATTGAATGGTTTAAATCAGATAATGAGTTCTAAAAGTCATATTTTCAACTCAGAAGACATTAGACAATTATTTGAAGTAGCTCTAGAAATGCCATTGCCCTTACTATATTTCCCTTGACTTTTATAAAGTAATTAAATTCTCTTTCCCCTTACCCTTTCCTCCATCATCAACTCCCTCATTTCAATTTTCCAAGAAAGACTATGTATAAAAGGCAAAATAATAGATTTATAACCAAAATTATTTAGTAAAGAAAAGGGCAACATAGAACTCTAAAAGCTATGCCCAAATGGTAAATTCCATTACAAAAAAAAATGGATCTGCTTTGGCAAATGCAGAGATTTAAATGGTGTTGGGTTATGCCAAGTTGGTGTGTGCGCCACCTGGAAGCTGCCTTCACCAGCATTGTGGCCTTAAGCACAAAAGAGAAAAAAGAAGCAAACTAAAAAGACAACTCCCTCAGCAGCCAGATTACCCTCTGCAAATCCTAACTTCTTTGTTTCTCCTTTCTGATCAGGTAGGCTGCCCATCAGAAACCAAGGAAGAATGGAATGCATTGAGGACCCCTGTAACCTAATTTCTCCTAGAGAGATTGACTGAGATCTTGGCTGCAGGAGCTGGAACCCAGGTACAGAAAGTAAGTCTGTGCTGGTGCAGGATTTTTAAAATAATGCTCTCTTGGCAACCTCAATTCTTCCATAAACACAACATGGTTTTGTTCATTCATACTATTTACTACATCAGCAAAAGTCATTGCAAAAACGGGGGGAAATCACCCTGAAAATAAAGTATTCTAGGAAGTTTTAACTTGTAGATGTATTCAGGATTCCTTCACAAGCACAGATTCTGAAGTGAACCAAAGTAAAGAAATTTAAAAGACTGAAAAAGCAGGAATTCACTCAAGGCTTATTACCAAACTTCCAAGGCTTATTACCAAATTTCCATGAGGACCACACTACTGTCTCTACTCCTTGAACACCTGACTAACTTATCCTGCTATATTAATGATGTGGTAAATTCAAATAATTGAAAATTTTCAAATTATTACAGAAGAACACTGTCAGTTTTCTTTTTATAGATAAACCAGGTAATATAAAGCAAACTCATCATTATTACCATCATCATCATCACCAACACCACCATCATCATCTGAAGTGATTTTTTCCTTCTATTAAGACTTTTTTGATGAATTAAATTTCCTCTATTACCAATAATACACCTATGTCCTTGTAGACACAACTACATTTACCTTAATATACTTGTCAGAAATTTTTGGCAAGTATCTGCTTGCAATGGTTCTAGGTCATTAGCTCTATCCTAAACTTCTTGAGGAAAATAACTCTGTCTTGATACTTTTTATCCCTTGGGCCTCACACAGTATCTAGCACATAGTATCAATTCAGAAATTGTTTGTGAGATAAGTGAATCACCACCTAAGTTAATAATGTATACTTGGTCTAGTTTTAGAGATCTATGACCAGTTAAAACAACTTCTTTCATAAAGAGTCAGCCTAAACCATTACCAGGATTTCACGGATTGATACTCAAAATATCATTGAGAAGGGAACTTCACTTTGCTTTCCTCTTAAGTAGGTTTTGTTATTTGCTGGGAAAGAGGAAAGTCATTAAATGATCACTTTACTCCATTTCAGGAAAATATTTCCTGTTACTTTGAGGATTCAAATATAATAAGAATATCCCAGTTGGGTCTTAATGTCCCCCAAAATTGCACTTGCCCATCATTTCCCACTTTGCTGCCAGATCCAGAACCCCAGCATGGAGTGGGCCCAGATGTGGGTAGATAGGAATTTAGACACATGCTCTTCCTATTTGCTGGCAATCAGTGCCTGTAGCAGTGAGCCTGGGATGGATGGAATGAGTGTCTAGAGCTCCTGACAGTTGCTGGACTCATTTGCTTTCTCTCTGTTTCTTTCACATGCTTCATTCTTTGTTTTCTGTTAAGGATATGTATTGACTTTGTGGAACCACTGCAGTGAGCCGTAAATGACGCATTTAATGAAAATCCTTGCCTTGTGCTCTGAGAGAGAACACAAACAATGTAGTGCAATCATTGCTGGGCAGTGAGGGGTGTTGTAATATCACATGCATCTGATCCACCATCAAGACAAATGTGCCAATTGGAAATATTTCAAAAGTATATAGTAAAAAATATTAACTAACGTTTTAATCATATTCATTATTTGTTGTTTCTCCTGTCCCTATGGCAGTAATCTTTTATTCTTAAGGAATGGTTACTCTTTTGTCTGAATGCCCCAAATCCTATATCCTAAAAGAAATGCACAAAAGGATTTTGAAAGCTTACCCTTTTTGGAAGGATTATATTAAAATGTTGATTTTCTGCAGAGCACTGTATTTATTGCTACCATGCTTATATTTCAACGTTGAATTTCAAGTTATTGAAAAGAGTATTTTTCTTCAAGTTTCTCTTTCTTTTTTTTCTCTATTTCTCTCTTTAAAAACAAACAAACAAAATAAATAGGATTTGGATTTTTCTAACAATGCCGTGAAGTACAGTCTGAGTGACAAAGTCCAATTAAAAGAGGCACTTGCCAGTGACAGAAAAGTCTCACGGCAGAGTCTGGTCCGAATGAGGCTGGAGACAGTGACCAGGGCCCCGGGGCTCCTGTGGTGTCCTTCACACTAATGGTGAAGGAAAGTGCTGTCACTTGATTTCATATTCCCCAAGATGACTACACACAATGCCTTGGCACGCCATGCATGCGCTTCCTGCTGCAGAATGATTCACAGTCCACCAGCTGGTGTGTTAAGAGGCGCCCCCCATCGCTGAACAGCCCTGAAACAACATCCACACGGTGCAGTCAGTGACAGCCACAGGCTAAGCAGACTACAACTCTTCCAGCTTGCCCTTATCCCACATCCTGCTGAAATGGAGCTTTGCAGGCTCAGAGAGAAGAGCTGGCTCAGTGATAACAGCCTGCAGGTGCACATGCCAGCCCAGCCCCTAACCGAGCAGGCTGTCTTGGTTTCCCCTGTACGGAGCAGAAGTCACAAATGAACCAGTTGACTTGTATTCACATAACTTGAGGCCCTGTCCTCCCTGGAGACAGTATCTTCCTGTAATGCTCTAGTTTTCAACTACTTTCTCCTCTAATAAGGTATCTAAACTCCAGCCTAACAATTTGTCTTCATCGGCATTATTATTCACTACATGAATGAAGGGACAAACTTTCTAGGGTACTATCACTAATGCACAGACTGGGTTTGATTTTGTTTGTTTTTTGGCCTCATCTGACAACCAGAACACATGTCCAAGTAAAGACAAAACTATTCTCTATGTGATACCTGACTAAATATTAGGTCAATTATGATGAAAAAAAATTAGTCAACCACGGTTTGTGTGTCACATAAATAAAAATAACTGGTTGACAGGATTTTGTTGTTATTTATTATTTTGGCTTGACATTGACACAGTGTGAGTTTTAGAAATGGTTACTCATTTTTTTCTATTTATGTCTAATTTTGACAGGTTTCCTGGATTCTCCAGAACGGCATGCTCTACCTCCAGGTATCCTAGAGCATACCCGAGCCTTCTGAGAAGCCTAATTAAAATTGTAGTTAGAAAATCTTACTTTTAGGCATATCTCATCATGGAAATGTTACCATGTGAAGATCCGTGCAGGATGACTAGAGTCCTGTTCATGCCAAATATTATAGAATGCATTATGTTTATAAGATTTTTACTTAAATGACTCCCGAAATTTCCTATAATTGAATAAATTATAAAAATAATACACATACAAGTTGTAGATGTAGAGTTTCCAAAACTATATTTCTAGAAATATATGCCACATCAATTTCTTACAAACTCAATATGCTCATATCTCATTTATTTATTAAATCATCATCTGCTTTATCTTTACTTTTCTGTTTGTTGTATTCATCTCACTAGTATTTTTACAGTTTAGTATCATTCATAATCTCTCACATTTAAGTTATATGAGACTGAAGAGAGTTTATCACCCCAAATCTTTTTTTCATGCTCTTTCTCTTTCTTTTTAAAAAACAACTTCTTTTGGTCATTTCTACTTGCCTCTTCTGTCCCTGATAATTTTGGAGCCTGTGTGACTCCAAAAATACTTTGCTGTGTGATATTTGGGCTGATGAGATGTTTACATCACTTCCTCCTTACGCTGTCTTCCTGGATGAAAGGGATCTCCTTGGAAGCATTATATTGGCTTTATGCAGAAACCTGCTGTATGAAACATCACATATGTAACTCCAATACTTTGCCCTAGTTTTTCTGTTTCCTGAAGTATTTTAAGGATGATTTGGATGTACTCACTCTAAGTCCATCACATAAGTACAAACCTTCTTCGACACTTTTCTGTGACATCTTGATAGTTTTCTTTATTATTATTACTATTATTACACTTTAAGTTTTAGGGTACATGTGCACAATGTGCAGGTTAGTTACATATGTATACATGCGCCATGTTGGTGTGCTGCACCCATTAACTCGTCATTTAGCATTAGGTATATCTCCTAATGCTATCCCTCCCCCCTCCCCCTACCCCACAACAGGGCCCAGAGTGTGATATTCCCCTTCCTGTGTCCATGTGTTCTCATTGTTCAATTCCCACCTATGAGTGAGAACATGAGGTGTTTGGTTTTTTGTTCTTGTGATAGTTTACTGAGAATGATGATTTTCAATTTCATCCATGTCCCTACAAAGGACATGAACCCATTATTTTTTAAGGCTGCATAGTATTCCATGGTGTATATGTGCCACGTTTTCTTAATCCAGTCTATCATTGTTGGACGTTTGGGTTGGTTCCAAGTCTTTGCTATTGTGAATAGTGCCACAATAAACATACGTGTGCATGTGTCTTTATAGCAGCATGATTTATAGTCCTTTGGGTATATACCCAGTAATGGGATGGCTGGGTCAAATGGTTTTCTAGTTCTAGATCCCTGAGGAATCGCCACACTGACTTCCACAATGGTTGAACTAGTTTACAGTCCCACCAACAGTGTAAAAGTGTTCCTTTTTCTCCACATCCTCTCCAGTACCTGTTGTTTCCTGACTTTTTAATGATTGCCATTCTAACTGGTGTGAGATGATATCTCATTGTGGTTTTGATTTGCATTTCTCTGATGGCCAGTGATGGTGAGCATTTTTTCATGTGTTTTTTGGCTGCATAAATGTCTTCTTTTGAGAAGTGTCTGTTCATGTCCTTCGCCCACTTTTTGATGGGGTTGTTTGTTTTTTCTTGTAAATTTGTTTGAGTTCATTGTAGATTCTGGATATTAGCCCTTTGTCAGATGAGTAGGTTGCAAAAATTTTCTCCCATTTTGTAGGTTGCCTGTTCACTCTGATGGTAGTTTCTTTTGCTGTGCAGAAGCTCTTTAGTTTAATTAGATCCCATTTGTCAATTTTGGCTTTTGTTGCCATTGCTTTTGGTGTTTTAGACATGAAGTCCTTGCCCATGCCTATGTCCTGAATGGTAATGCCTACGTTTTCTTCTAGGGTTTTTATGGTTTTAGGACTAATGTTTAAGTCTTTAATCCATCTTGAATTAATTTTTCTATAAGGTGTAAGGAAGGGATCCAGTTTCAGCTTTCTACATATGGCTAGCCAGTTTTCCCAGCACCATTTATTAAATAGGGAATCCTTTCCCCATTGCTTGTTTTTTTCAGGTCTGTCAAAGATCAGATAGTTGTAGATATGCGGCGTTATTTCTGAGGGCTCTGTTCTGTTCCATTGATCTATATCTCTGTTATGGTACCAGTACCATGCTGTTTTGGTTACTGTAGCCTTGTAGTATAGTTTGAAGTCAGGTAGCATGATGCCTCCAGCTTTTTTCTTTTGGCTTAGGATTGACATGGCGATGCGGGCTCTTTTTTGGTTCCATATGAACTTTAAAGTAGTTTTTTCCAATTCTCTGAAGAAAGTCATTGGTAGCTTGATGGGGATGGCATTGAATCTATAATTTCACGATATTGATTATTCCTACCCATGAGCATGGAATGTTCTTCCATTTGTTTATATCCTCTTTTATTTCCTTGAGCAGTGGTTTGTAGTTCTCCTTGAAGAGGTCCTTCACGTCCCTTGTAAGTTGGATTCCTAGGTATTTTATTCTCTTTGAAGCAATTGTGAATGGGAGTTCACTCATGATTTGGCTCTCTGTTTGTCTGTTATTGGTGTTTAAGAATGCTTGTGATTTTTGTACATTGATTTTGTATCCTGAGACTTTCCTGAAGTTGCTTTCCAGCTTAAGGAGATTTTGGGCTGAGACAGTGGGGTTTTCTAGATATACAATCATGTCATCTGCAAACAGGGACAATTTGACTTCCTCTTTTCCTAATTGAATACACTTTATTTCCTTCTCCTGCCTAATTGCCCTGGCCAGAACTTCCAACACTATGTTGAATAGGAGTGGTGAGAGAGGGCATCCCTGTCTTGTGCCAGTTTTCAAAGGGAATGCTTCCAGTTTTTGCCCATTCAGTATGATATTGGCTGTGGGTTTGTCATAGACAGCTCTTATTATTTTGAGATATGTCCCATCAATACCTAATTTATTGAGAGTTTTTAGCATGAAGCGTTGTTGGATTTTGTCAAAGGCCTTTTCTGCATCTATTGAGATAATCATGCGGTTTTTGTCTTTGGTTCTCTTTATATGCTGGATTACATTTATTGATTTGTGTATATTGAACCAGCCTTGAATCCCAGGGATGAAGCCCACTTGATCATGGTGGATAAGCTTTTTGATGTGCTGCTGGATTCGGTTTGCCAGTATTTTATTGAGGATTTTTGCATCAATGTTCATCAAGGATATTGGTCTAAAATTCTCTTTTTTGGTTGTGTCTCTGCCCAGCTTTGGTATCAGGATGATGCTGCCCTCATAAAATGAGTTAGGGAGGATTCCCTCTTTTTCTATTGATTGGAATAGTTTCAGAAGGAATGGTACCAGTTCCCCCTTGTACCTCTGGTAGAATTCGGCTGTGAATCCATCTGGTCCTGGACTCTTTTTGGTTGGTAAGCTATTGATTATTGCCACAATTTCAGAGCCTGTTATTGGTCTATTCAGAGATTCAACTTCTTCCTGGTTTAGTGTTGGGAGAGGTATGTGTCGAGGAATTTATCCATTTCTTCTAGATTTTCTAGTTTATTTGCATAGAGGTGTTTGTAGTATTCTCTGATGGTAGTTTGTATTTCTGTGGGATCGGTGTTGATATCCTCTTTATCATTTTTTATTGCGTCTATTTGATTCTTCTCTCTTTTCTTCTTTATTAGTGTTGCTAGTGGTCTATCAATTTTGTTGATCCTTTCAAAAAACCAGCTCCTGGATTCATTAATTTTTTGAAGGGTTTTTTGTGTCTCTATTTCCTTCAGTTCTGCTCTGATTTTAGTTATTTCTTGCCTTCTGCTAGCTTTTGAATGTGTTTGCTCTTGCTTTTCTAGTTCTTTTAATTGTGATGTTAGGGTGTCAATTTTGGATCTTTCCTGCTTTCTCTTGTGGGCATTTAGTGCTATAAATTTCCCTCTACACACTGCTTTGAATGTGTCCCAGAGATTCTGGTATGTTGTGTCTTTGTTCTCGTTGGTTTCAAAGAACATCTTTATTTCTGCCTTCATTTCGTTAGGTACCCAGTAGTCATTCAGAAGCAGGTTGTTCAGTTTCCATGTAGTTGAATGCTTTTGAGTGAGTTTCTTAATCCTGAGTTCTAGTTTGATTGCACTGTGGTCTGAGAGACTGTTATAATTTCTGTTCTTTTACTTTTGTTGAGGAGAGCTTTACTTCCAAGTATGTGGTCAATTTTGGAATAGGTATGGTGTGGTGCTGAAAAAAATGTATATTCTATTGATTTGGGGTGGAGAGTTCCGTAGATGTCTATTACGTCCGCTTGGTGCAGAGCTGAGTTCAATTCCTGGGTATCCTTGTTAACTTTCTGTCTCGTTGATCTGTCTAATGTTGACAGTGGGGTGTTAAAGTCTCCCATTATTACTGCGTGGGAGTCTAAGTCTCTTTGTAGGTCACTCAGGACTTGCTTTATGAATTTGGGTGCTCCTGTATTAGGTGCATATATATTTAGGATAGTTAGCTCTTCTTGTTGAATTGATCCCTTTACCATTATGTAATGGCCTTCTTTGTCTCTTTTGACCTTTGTTGGTTTAAAGTCTGTTTTATCAGAGACTAGGATTGCAACCCCTGCCTTTTTTTGTTTTCCATTTGCTTGGTAGATCTTCCTCCATCCTTTTATTTTGAGCCTATGTGTGTCTCTGCATGTGAGATGGGTTTCCTGAATACAGCACACTGATGGGTCTTGACTCTTTATCCAATTTGCCAGTCTGTGTCTTTTAATTGGAGCATTTAGTCCATTTACATTTAAAGTTAATATTGTTATGTGTGAATCTGATCCTGTCATTATGATGTTAGCTGGTTATTTTGCTCGTTAGTTGATGCAGTTTCTTCCTAGCCTCGATGGTCTTTACAATTTGGCATGATTTTGCAGTGGCTGGTACCAGTTGTTCCTTTCCATGTTTAGTGCTTCCTTCAGGAGCTCTTTTAGGGCAGGTCTGGTGGTGACAAAATCTCTCAGCATTTGCTTGTCTGTAAAGGATTTTATTTCTCCTTCACTTATGAAGCTTAGTTTGGCTGGATATGAAATTCTGGGTTGAAAATTCTTTTCTTTAAGAATGTTGAATATTGGTCCCCACTCCCTTGTGGCTTGTAGAGTTTCTGCCGAGAGATCCGCTATTAGTCTGATGGGCTTCCCTTTGTGGGTAACCCGACCTTTCTCTCTGGCTGCCCTTAACATTTTTTCCTTCATTTCAACATTGGTGAATCTGACAATTATGTGTCTTGGAGTTGCTCTTCTTGAGGAGTATCTTTATGGCGTTCCCTGTATTTCCTGAATCTGAATGTTGGCCTGCCTTGCTAGATTGGGGAACTTCTCCTGGATAATATCCTACAGAGTGTTTTTCAACTTGGTTCCATTCTCCCCGTCACTTTCAGGTACACCATTCAGACATAGATTTGGTCTTTTCACATAGTCCCATATTTCTTGGAGGCTTTGTTCATTTCTTTTTATTCTTTTTTCTCTAAACTTCACTTCTCACTTCATTTCATTCATTTCATCCATTTCATCTTCCATCACTGATACCCTTTCTTCCAGTTGATCGCATCGGCTCCTGAGGCTTCTGCATTCTTCACGTAGTTCTCGAGCCTTGGTTTTCAGCTCCATCAGCTCCTTTAAGCACTTCTCTGTATTGATTATTCTAGTTATACTTTCATCTAAATTTTTTTCAAAGTTTTTAACTTCTTCCCCTTCGGTTTGAATTTCCTCCTGTAGCTTGGAGTAGTTTGATCGTCTGAAGCCTTCTTCTCTCAACTCGTCAAAGTCATTCTCAGTCCAGCTTTGTTCCGTTGCTGGTGAGGAACTGTGTTCCTTTGGAGGAGGAGAGGTGCTCTGCTTTTTAGAGTTTCCAGTTTTTCTGCTCTGTTTTTTCCCCGTCTTTGTGGTTTTATCTACTTTTGGTCTTTGATGATGGTGATGTACAGACGGGTTTTTGGTGTGGATGTCCTTTCTGTTTGTTAGTTTTCCTTCTAACAGACAGGACTCTCAGCTGCAGGTCTGTTGGAGTTTGCTAGAGGTCCACTCCAGACCCTGTTTGCCTGGGTAACAGCAGCGGTGGCTGCAGAACAGCGGATTTTCGTGAACCGCGAATGCTGCTGTCTGATCGTTCCTCTGGAAGTTTTGTCTCAGAGGACTACCCGGCCGTGTGAGATGTCAGTTGGCCCCTACTGTGGGGGTGCCTCCCAGTTACGCTGCTCAGGGGTCAGGGGTGACGGACCCACTTGAGGAGGCAGTCTGCCCGTTCTCAGATCTCCAGCTGCGTGCTGGGAGAAACACTGCTCTCTTCAAAGCTGCCAGACAGGGACATTTAAGTCTGCAGAGGTTACTGCTGTCTTTTTGTTTGTCTGTGCCCTGCCCCCAGAGGTGGAGCCTACAGAGGCAGGCAGGCCTCCTTGAGCTGTGGTGGGCTCCACCCAGTACAAGCTTCCCGGTTGCTTTGTTTACCTAAGCAAGCCTGGGCAATGGTGGGCGCCCCTCCCCCAGCCTCACTGCCGCCTTGCAGTTTGATCTCAGACTGCTGTGCTAGCAATCAGCGAGATCTGTGAGTGTAGGACCCTCCGAGCCAGGTGCAGGATATAATCTCCTGGTGCTCCGTTTTTTAAGCCCGTCAGAAAAGCGCAGTATTAGGGTGGGAGTGACCCGATTTTCCAGGTGCTGTCTATCACCCTTTTCTTTGACTAGGAAAGGGAACTCCCTGACCCATTGCGCTTCTCAAGTGAGGCAATGCCTCGCCCTGCTTCGGCTCGCGCATGGTGCACTGCACCCACTGTCCTGCGCCCACTGTCTGGCACTCCCTAGTGAGATGAACCCGCTACCTCAGATGGAAATGCAGAAATCACCCGTCTTCTGCGTCGCTCACGCTGGGAGCTGTAGACTGGAGCTGTTCCTATTCGGCCATCTTGGCTGCCCTCTCGACATTTTGATAGTTTTCTTTGTAAAAAGTCAGCCTTTATCTCTCGTGGACCATCATCTTCCTCACCAAATCCTACCTGTCTCTTTCTGCTTTCCAAAACATTTGTTCTCCTGCAAAGACTAGCTTTCTACCTGGCAGGAAAATAAGAAGCGTGTTCCCCCAGTTGTCACATGCTACCATCCTAACAGATAATCATACAAAACCCAGTAGCAACTCACTACAAGTTACCACTTGCAGAAAAATGGGGCATTAATTTTACCTGGATCTCCCATACGGTAGGCATGCCAGCCAACATAAAATTTTCAACAAATTTATTGCACGAGGATTATACACAAGAACTTTTTCACACTGGAGTCACAGATTAGCACTAGGTAACAACTTAAACAAACTACTACTCCTAGGCCCCAGCAAAAAACATGATTGGAAGACATGTTCTCTAAACTTCAGACAAAAATAATGAGTAAAGAAAATATTCTAAATCCAGCTATTTTTTGCTTATGTTCTACTGTGTTCTCAAACAATGGCTTGTAAATATTCAATATCTATTTTTTCTGCATCTTTATTTTTACTTCTATTTAATTTTGTCTCTTTTTTCACTCTAAACTCCATGCCCAAACTCTTCCTGTCTGCCCTTACCCTTACTGAATGGATTTTTACAACTTTCCATTTTCTTTTATCTTTAGAATTTTTCCCTTTGAGGATCACACAGTCAGTTTTCCTGGCATAACCATTGCATTTCAAATACTTTTTTTTCTCCTTACTACAGGTGGAGCATTGTCCATGTATGTTAATATAAGATACTGTTTGTTTTCAACCTTTACAATTTATTTGCCTCAGTGAAATAATTATTTGTCTCTCTAATTTATCCCTTAAAAAATTAATTCACAATATGGAAAGAGCTATGACACAGTTTTTATTCCCATAATTTTTCTTATCCACCATTGAGAGTAAAGATGGATGCCTTTCACTTTTGTATAGAGACTCTTCATACATTACAGTAACTTGGCTCTCACTTACGGCTTTGAATGATCTTGAAGAAAAAGCGTGTTTGCTGGATCCAAAAGTTGTTCTCAGTCTAAACCTAATAAAATTTCCTCTTTGGCACCTTCCATTGGTTTTTTCCTAAGGCTAACATCAGTCATCTGTCTTCTGCCACATAAACTAGATGTGTGGAAGTGCTTAGAAACCTGTTTAATACTCTTTGCTCTTGCCAAGCTCCCCAGTAGCCAAAATTCTCCCACAAATTCTGTAATCAGTGCTTGAAATATCCATGAAATCAAGTTCTAAGACCTGCCTTCTCCTTCTCTCTGCTGGTCTCCCATGTGCTAATAAGAACTTTGAACATTTGTTCACCCAGGCTTCAAAAATGCACTTAAATTAGAAATGTTTAACATCTCTAAGAACTTGATACACTGCTAACTTTGAGAAGCACATACACGATGTTTCAAAAGAGGCCATCAATAATGACGTTCTTTGTAGAACTGTTTTAATGGCAAGAAACTAATTGGCTTCCTTTAAAATACACACACACACACACACACACACACATACACACACACTTATACACTCAGACCCTCCTGTTATCCTCTCTTGGTGATTATTTCTATCCTGCAGGCTAGGAGAATCTGGGCTTGGTTTTATAAACTAAGCTGAATTTCACTAACAAATGAGATCATTGAGATGACCAGGAGATGACCAAAGACCAGGTGACTCTGAAAGAACCTGAGTTAGGACATCAAGGCCCAGCACCCCCCGTCATAGAGAATCTGCCTCTTTTCTTCTCTTGGAGGCTGAGAGGTGTTTTTTTTGTTTGTTTTGTTTTTTGTTTTTTTTCATTAACTGCTTCACTTCTCTGGTATTTCCTCCATCATTTCTCCACCTCCTTTAATCTTAGAACATAGCTCTCCCTGCTCTTGAAACAGTTCTTAAAAGTGCTTCATTATTCACATCCTCTCTTGCAGCACCATCCAAACCATTTGTTTTCCTCTCCAGCAAAGCACCCCCTTTACGACTGGCAAATCAGAGGAACTTCCCTTTGCTCCTTTCTTTCCCAATCAACTTTATCCTATGTGTAAATTCTTCCTTTATTTGTTCCTTGATTTCTGTTATTCGTGCTCTATTTTTTCTATACAAATAAATTTCTTCATTGAAAGCCTTTAGTCTCATTTCCTGCCTTGAAAGTATTCTCTCTTTTGCTTAATTAAGACATGCTTCATCCCTTGATGATCTTTTTAAATGGAGTTTCTGCTTATAATTTTTTATTTCCACATATCCTAAAGCGAATTTATTCCTCCTACATAGAACTTTACTAGAATTTTCAGATTTTGAAAATCAATTTGACTATTATCTTAAAATTAGAAGGAAAAAGGAGTATTCATTCAGATGTCAGATATATATATATATATATATATATATATATATATATATATATATACACACACACATATATACATCCAGATGTTATTTTTCAAAAGACAAATTATTTACTGTCTGTGGTAGATATGGTGCTAGGCATTTGGGCTATACTGTTGACAAGTGGAGACTGACTCTCCACTCCCAGAGTTTTAGGGTTTACTCTGGAACTAGGTATGCGAAGAAACAGCAGAATCCTATGAAGTTGCACCACCATGAGGAGTACAAGAACCCCTCATCAGTAGGAAGTGATCATAGAGGTCCCAACAGGAAGAGGAAAGTGAAATTGACAGAGGAGACAAAGTTTGCCAAGCAGAGAGCTGAAGAGCAGGTGGGAGAATGGACAGAAAAAAGGCCTTCCAAACAGAAAAAGGAAAACAACAAAAAACAAAAACAGCATCTTCCAAGTTAAAGAAGAGTAGAGAGCATGACATTTTTAGGGAATTACATGTGCTAATTGCCTTAACAGAGATAAAATCCGATAATGCAGCCAGCCTGTTAGCAACAATAGCCCCTATTTATGGAAAATTCACTTTCTGTCCAGGAGTTTATGTTATCTTACTTAGTCCTAACAACTTTACAGTAAAGACATCCCCATTTTATGGATGAAGAAACAAAGGCTTGAAGTATTTTTTAATGTGTCCAACCTCAATTAGCTAATAAATGGTGATGTTGGGATTGAACTCAGCTGTGTATGACTCCATAGCATGCACTTCTTCAACTACGCTAGTATCTCTTCCAATTTTCATTCTGTAGATGTAGGGGAGCCAGCATACAATTTTATACAAAGGAAAAACTTGGTCTTATTTGCAGAGAACTAGTTTGAGAAGAGATGAATTGTAGGTAAGGAGTCCTTTATGCAGACTATTTTAATAATCTAGCAAAGAAATTACAAGGACCTTAATTGAAATAGGCAGCTATCAGGATAGAAAAAGAAAATGTAGCTCCAAAAATAACTAGGAATTAGAAGGAAAAGACCATAATGACTGGCTAAGTGTTAAGGAAAACTAAGGGGGAAGCGTTTCAAGGGTGTCTCCTGGATTTCTGAGTTGTGCAAACTGATGGTCAGTTGTGCCCCCTAATATAGAGGAGAGTGGGGTGGGACAAAATGTGGCTGGTGAATTTGGGTTTTGGCCAGTTTGTCTATGGAGCAGGCTAAGGTGTGCTACAGGCAGGAAATTAGGTGGAGGCTCAAAACTGAGGTCAGAATTAGAAATTAAAAATGCAGGTAGAATGAGTTTGAAGCCATGGGAAGGTAGGATATTGACCAGGAAGCATATGAAGTGTGAAAAAAGACAGATAAAGGCAGACAAAGGAGGGAGCAGAGAAGAGAAGTTGATGGAGTCTAAAAGGCCTCCATCACTGCAGGAAGTGAAAAAGAGGAAAGTGGAGTTGGAGAAACAGAGACAAAAGCAATTGCTAAGATAGCATAATCATGGCAGTGGCCAGGGCATTCCCCAATGATGATGGCACCTCTGGTTCTCAAGATCTGTGTAATCCCCTCCCTTAAATGGGGGCTAAACTGAGCAGCTTGCTTCCCACTAACAGAATATAGCAAGGGTGAATGAGGTTAGGTTATAAAAAGGCTGCACTTTTGTCTGGGGCATTCCCTTAATCTCTCTTGAATTGCTCACTCTTGTGGAAGCCAGCTGCCACACCTTCAAGCAGTCTTGAGAAAAGGGAAGCCAGCTTCCAAGTTAGCAGCCTGGGGATAAGCCACATGGCAAGATACTGAGGGCTGCCGGCAACCACGGAGAGAGTCAGAAACAACACTCCACCACTAGAGCCTTGAGGTGGCTGCAGCCCCCCGCCAACAGCTTAACTCTCACCTCATGAGACTCAGAACCAGAACTACCCTGCCAAGCTGTCTGTAGATTTCTGGTGTACAGAAACTGTGCAATAACAAATGTTTCTGGTTGGTTTGTAAGCCACTAAATTTGGGATCATTTGTGTGCAGCTATAGGTTACCACTATAATAACCCTGCAAATGTAGCCCCAAGAGTAAGATAGGACTATAAGGGCCTCTGCACATTCTGCAGTCACAATTTATATTTTTGTTATACATACATCTGTCCATTTGGGGAGGTCATGTATCATTTCATTAACATATTTTGGCCTATAAAGAGGTGGATAGATACGCACTAAGAAGCAATCGAGTATCATGGTAATGGATATAGACTGAAATCCCAACACTTGAACTGCATTTCCTGCTTTAGCTCTTACTACCTGTATAACATTGAGTGTGCTTTTTTTGCCTCTCTGCCTTTGATGTCCTTTTTCACATGAAGGGCAATAAGAGTAGCACCTCTAGAACTGTCAGAAGGAATACATGAGCTAGTGCATATGACTCTTAAAACAGTTCCTAGAGCATTGTAGACATTCAGTCAACATTAACTACTGCTATTATTATCGTGGTGGGCTGGGACACTGAGGTGGATGTAAATAAAGAAAAAGAAAAAGAAAAAGGAAGAAAGAAATACTTCAATCTATTTTCTTACATTGACTAAACTGTCACCTCTATCAGTCAGTCTTTTTTTCCATTGCTTCACCTCTTCTCCCGAGATACACTTCCTTATTCAATACATTCACAAGCTTGACCTTTTTTTGTTCTTGATTCACTTTCATATAAGCTCCTTCCCAGATTTCATCTCATGCATCTTTAGGACAACTATTCATTAGCCCTAACCCAACTCTAACCAACCCACACCTAACCCCAAGCTTAATCATACTGACAAGTGTTATAAAACCACAGGCCTATGTTCTTAATATGCAGAAACCCCCACTTAGTACTTCACCCCTGTTCTTCAGGCTACATCTTTGCCTGGTGTTGTGTGCTGAAGCCCTCCAGGAGCCAGCTTCACTCACATCTTACCTGCCTGAGCTACTTGCTTTAAAATTGTAAGAAGGGACAGATGACTTTTCTTAGATCCACAAGGCTTCCTCCACCTTCTCCTACTTATCCTAGGGGATACACTAGTTCTCTTCTCCTATATCCTTACCTCTGGGGTTTGGGTCCCATGTTCTATGGATTAGTCATTCTCATGGTCTTGGATCTCTGCAGTTCACACCTCTAGAAGGCCCGTTCACTTCTTTCTTCCACTATGGACCCGTCTTCTGGGGCAATGGATTATCATGTCCATTGTTGAGCAGGGCTGTCTTAATCCCATGCTGTTGACAGCTCTTCTGACTGATCTATATAATACTCACCACCTCCCCATTTCCCATCCTCTCTGCATTTTGCCTTCGGTCTTCTGTGGCTCCCCTCATCCTATCTCGCCTTACACCTGTAGGTGGCGCCCATGCACCGGTGAGGGCAGATGGCGCCTGTTCTGTCCCTCCTGTCTCCCCCTGGCTGGGCTCAGACAGTAGGGAAGATCGGCCCTTCTTCCTCACAGAGACTCTCCATCAACATAAAGACATCACTTCTGGGTCCTTGTTCTCCACACCTGGAAGGCTTCCACGAACAGCATATTTCCTGGAATAATTTCTTAAGCTGCACCTATAATTTGTTTATCTTTGGACTTATAAAATAAGCTTAACATGTCTCAGCCTGGCTGTCCTCATCTGTGGAGGCCATCTTAAATGGTGGTGGTTTGACAGGTTATTATTTCATCTTAAGTGATATAATGTATGCAATTGCTGGGTACAGTCTCTGGCACATGGTATACGTGTAGTAAATGCGTTGTTATTATTACTGTTGGTGTCATCCTCAACATCATCAGCCCCATCATACACAAACCCATAGTCCTTTGCCCCTTAGGTGAAAAGTTCCTGGAATGTGGTTTAACTCCAGCTTCTCCTGCAGTTATAATTCTATATCCCCAAATCTGTCTTTTTCCTTTCCAAAAATATCACCATCCCCAAAGAAGGCCCGATTGTTTCAATCCCACTGCTTTATTTCTGGAAAGAATGGTGAGAATTTTTAGCCCTAAACATGCTAAATAAAATCACAAATTTCTTCTAAGAGTTCTGTCCCTTTTTCTCCTATACATTCTCCAAAATAAATCTATTTTCTCTATTGATCTAAAGCTCACAACAAACTTCTTGTTGAAAAATATTTGATTTACTGAAAAATATTTCCCTTGGCTACCTCCTAAGTGAACTGATAGGGTACCCAGCCACATAATCTCTTGTTGGACAGCTCTTCTTTTCATCAAAAGAATCCTTGCAACAAAAAGCACCTGGAATGGCAGGTTACGATGCTCTCCTCTTCTTTCGCAAACTTTCTAGATTTTCTTTCCTTCTCTATTCTATTTCTTTTTACTTATGAACTATATGAAAGGCAAAACAGACAAACTGGCCATTAGGATTTCAATAATTCCCTTACTTTCTCCTCCACATTCTATTTTCCCTTACCGTTATTCACCCTCACCTCACTCTTCCACATTTCTGCTGTCTCTTCCCTTCCAGGTGCTCACTGTAGTGGACCCTAACCATGCGAAAAAGTCATAGCCAAAATTCTCTGTTTCAGCACACAGTACTCATACAGATTACTGACCCCAAGAGGTTGTATGAATTGGGCATACTCCTAGCTCTAACTGCCTCTGTTGGCCTCTTAGTCTCCCATTGCAATTGAGATGACATCTGCAACCTCTTCCTGGTATATCTCTCACAGATGGATCTGTTTTGAGTTCCTAACCATCCTGGGAGATAGTTTGATCAGATATCAGATTATAGATTAGACAATGCAAGCGAAAGAAAAGAACTTGCCTGAAGTCCATTTGACATATAGAAACCGGGATAAATTTACAATCTCACTACTTTCAGAGGTAAGCACTTTTCTTCTTATTATTTTTTTTAAAGAAGTCCTTTCCAAATATTCACAGTTGGATGTTTCAGTGCATGCTGCCCTTGTGTGAAAAACATTTCAACTTCCAATATTTTGTCCCTCTCCCCTCTGTGTATCTCACACTGACAAAGCCTGTTCCCCCTTGTAAGAACAAGAATCAGACTAATTGGCTCTGTAGGGTTGATTTGGTTTACGAATCCACATGATTCATGAATATGAATCACCCAGTATGCACATGGAGAGGAATAAATGGTGTGACTTTGGGCAAGTGTCTTTGACTCTCAAGTTTAGTTTTATCAATAATCAAATGAGAAAGTTAGATATTTGACCCTAAGATCCTTTATATTAGAAAATTTTGTAATTTTGCTATTTTAACAACAGCACAAATGATATTAAGCAAAATATTTCAATCTCCTTTCTTGATGATAATGATACTAAAAAACATAAAAGCATGGGGATATTTATAAGTCTGTATTAATAATAGTAACAAATATCACTTGTTCTCACTCATATCTGGGAGATAAAAAAATTGATTTCATAAAGGAAATGAATGGAATGCAGGTTACTAGAGACTGGGAAGGGTGGAAGAGAGGGTGGAACAAAGAGAAATTGGTTAATGGTTACAAAAATACAGTTAATAGAAGGAATAAATTCTAGTGTTCAATCACATAGTAGAATGATTATAGTTAACAAGAATTTATTATATATTTTCAAAATAGCTTGAAGATTTGGAATGTTCCCAACATAGAGAAATAATATGAGGTGATAGATACCCCAATTACCCCAGTTTAATCATTACAGACTGCATGAATATATCAAGATATCATCTGCAGCTCATAAATATGTACAACTATTATGTATCAATAAAAAATAATAACAGTGGGTAATCTCTAACGTGTGTTTACTCTGTGCCAGAATGTGCTAAGCAATTGTCATGGATGGTCTAATTAAACCCTCATAAGAACCCCATGAGTTATGTACTACTATTATACCTTTCTTTACAGAGGAAGAAACACAGGCACAAAGTTAACTAACTTGCTCAAGGTCCCTGGCAAGTAGCTGAGCCCAGATTCAAACTCAGAGACTGGGAGAATCCTCAGGCAGACTTCTTAGCCACTACACTTGACTACCTTTGCTTTCCTAATGCTTTTCAATGACTAACAAATAGATAAACAGTGGCTATTAATTTCCCAGTGTTATACAGTATTAATCCTCTAATTTAAGTAACCTGCAACTTTGCCTTTAATGGGTTATCAATAGCATATTTAGAGCTCTTTCTTGCAATTAGTTGTTGCATAAGAATTTCAAAATAACGTCAAGAATAACAAATAGTTTTTACTTACAAAGAGACTTGCAAATTGAATTTCCTTCATCTGTAAAACCTCTCCACATAAAATTAGTCATCCTATTTTATACTTTATTTTTAGGCTGCTTTATGTTCTCTTAACATTCAGTGTCGTTGAATATCAAAAATTGCAGCAATTCTATCTATATGTGAAGACTTTACTCACTTCCCAGAGGTTCCTGCTCAAAAATTAAAGTCCATGCTAATTTTAGGAATTAATGTATTTTTAAATAACATGCACCTTACCCAGCTTTTAAGAGATTTGTTATGAATAAGGAGTAATCATCATGCATATGTATCATGCTGAGTGTACATGTGAATTTAACAGTGAATATATTTCATATGATTTTTTTCTGCTATTTACTTTATGCTTTGATGAAGCGCCAAAACTAAAGTAATAGTCCAGACCCATACAATGCTAAAACATAGAAACTGCTACTCAGTTACTGAAAATTTACATTTTTATATAAAGATATAACACTTAATATTATTACTCTGTTGAATTATTAATCAGTTCACATGACAAATGTGATACAAATAACAATAATGAAAGTAGAAAAGAAGTTATTTAAACCCATTCATTCAAAAGACATGCTACTCAAGAGTGAAGTATAAGAAGGACAATTTGAACATGATTGTTTAGTTTCAGTGAAACACAAATTGGGTGACTCAAACAAGATTCTAAACACGCATTGTGATCTTCATGCATTGATGCTGTATTTCACAACTCTTGAGATGCTAGCATTATACCTAGGAGTACTGTCTGAGGGGCTATATAGGAAACTTAATTTAAAACCATGGGTCTCCTTGTTACACACAGTGTGACATAATCCAAGAACATACACTCTGCCTTCATACCACTAAAGCTGTCACATACATTATTTTCAGACCAGGATTGGGAATTTTATAACAAAACATATTTCTATAGTTGAATCTCAAGACATCATATAACTGTAGCTCATGTAGCTTGGGCATTGAGTACCCTAAAATATTACATCTAATACATCTAAAATAGTAAGCATGCTGGTTATCCTTTCTGTATTAGTTTTCCATTGCTGCTATAAAAAATTACACAACCTTAGTGGCTTAAAATAGCACAAATGTAATATCTTACACTTCTGGAGGTCAGAAGACATTGATCTTAATGTGACTTATTAGAAATAAAATCAAGGTGTTAGCAGAGCTGTGATCCTTTCTGAAAGCTCTTGGAGAGATTGCTTCTGTCTTTCAAACTCCCAGAGGCCACCTCCATTCTTTGGCTCATAGCTCTTTCCTTCATTTTCAAAGCCAGCAATGGCAGCAGGGTCCTCACCTGGTATCAGTCTGACTCAGCATCTTTTGTCTCCTTTTTCCACTTTGCAGGACCTTTGGGATTACAATGGACCTACTCACATGCTCCATGATAATTCCCCTATTTGAATGTCAGCTGATTAACAACCTTAATTCCCTTTTGCCATGTAACATAAAGATACAGGTTCTGGGAATTAGGACATAGACATCTTTATAAAACCATCATTCTGCCTACCATATCTTTTAAATGATTAAAAGAAAACCCTGATAAAATGTTTGCCAGATCACAGGAGAAGTTTTTTTCAGACGTCAGAGAGGAACTATGTTCTAGCCACGTGGTTTTCCAGCTATGCTCACCATCAGATCTGCCAGATGTTTTCATCTTCTCCGACATTTCCATAATCAAAAGTCATCTTCAACCCCAGGCCTGCTCTTTTTTCCAACACCAATTAATAAAGGACATAGGAGAATATTTGTAGCTGGCCTACCAAAATCCATCACTAGCCAGGATTGATATTTTACAATTTCTCATTTTTCTTGATGCCCCACATCAGTCGCTTTTAATTCCATTCAGCCAGCAATTATCTAGTGCCAACAAAATGCCTGGCACTGCACTTGGTGCTGAGGCACAAAGAGAAACACTCAAGCCATACTCTTGAAGAGCTTGCTATGTGTGTGCGTATTGCATGCATGCCTGTGTGTGCAAGTGTGAGATACACGGGTCTACGTATATATGCATGCATGTACGTATGAGTGTGTGCCAGAGCGTTGTTGAGAGTGGGGCATCCAGGACAGGTAGGTAGAAATGTTATTTCAGTGTAGTGTTCACACACACATACTGTGATTCTTTTCTATCTCCACTCCCCTTTCTCGTCCTGCTTCCAAGTCCCTGGTTCAGGCCATTATCACATCTTGCTTCAGTGACTACAAGTCTCCCACCTGCACCCCATCCCTTCAGTCTCCCACCTGTGAAATGTCCCACTCTCGAATATAAAAACAGCTGTAGTCGTGTCACTCACCAGCTCAAAAGCAGCACCATCTTCATTGCCTTTAGAATAACATATCCATTTCTCCACAAAGTGTCTAAGGCCCTCTGGGCTCCACCTACCTTTCAAGTCTTATCTCCTTTTAATGTCATGTGTTCCAGGACTCAATGCAATCATAGCCATCCCTGAAATCCCTGCTGTGTTTTCCCAGCTCCGTACCTCTACCACTGACAGTCACTCCACCCTTTTCCCCTTATCCAAATGATGTCCATTCTTCAGAAACCAGACCAACAATCACTCCTTCCATGGAACATTCTTCTGTCCCTCCCCTACTGAAAAGAATCTTTCTCTACTTACGGGGCCCCCACGACCCTTCATTTTAGATCCTTTACTAGGAAATCTCCATTTCTGCCTTAGATCTTTTGTTTTGCTAAATATCAAGGCCCCTCTCCCAGATTATAAGCTCCTTGAGAGCAGTCATTGGTTTTATTCCTCTTTGAAACATTTACAATCACTTGCACAGCACCTTGCCCATGGCAAGGACATCGTGTTCGTTTGTCAGATTCAACTGAATGGATCAGTAGTGTCAACTTAAGAAGGTTGTCACAAACACTGTTTCTACAGCTAGTTCTTCTTGGAGGTGATGGTGGTGAGATACATTTTTTCTCTATTTTATTCACGAACACAGTGAGACATAGACAGGAATCGACAGACATCTACAGTGAGGGAACCAATTTCTTCTTCTGAAAATGACTGAAAGTCACTGATTAACCCATAAATTTAAAGGACAAAATAAGTATATGTTACACAAAAACAAAAGTAAGATAACACAAAACTGCAAATGTCCTTAATAAAATCAGTCCAGAAACATCATCTGAATTACATACAACTGCTACAGAAAATAAAGAACCTGTAGATTAGTAGGAATTCCTAACTTTGTGAATGTTGTCTGTGTGTATTTTTTTAATCAACTGTTCATTAATGAATATGTATGGAAAAGACAGGCTATGAAGGCATAAAAGTGTTTTTGGTGTGTCATTGTCATCAGTTCTACTAAATAATTATCATTACACATCCAAAAATATCTTGAATGGATAATACTGAATAATCTAGATTGCCAAATTGCATTAGAAGGGTATTAGCTGACTCAGGAGACTAATTATAATGAGATATTGAACTGCTTATCTCTCATCTCAATCTTAAAACCATAAACCACACTGTATGGGCAATGGCTGCCAATCAAGGCCAGTGTGGGGTAGTGAAAATAGCCTTGAACGAGGGGTCAGGAGCCTCAGCTCTGTCATTAACTCTGTAACCTTGGGAGCGCTTCATAAAGATCATCCTATATGAGAAAAGCAGGGCCCTTCTTTAGAGAAATACAGCTGTACTAGTGGCTGAGACTGCTTATTCACGAAAAAATACTCTTAAAATGCAGAAAGACTGCACACACACACACATGCACACACACATACACACACACACACACACACACACACACACACTGACTCACCTCTCCCAGACGAATACCTTCTTGCCTAATGGGCCAGTTTAGTGCTACTATTAACCAGATGATTATAATTTGAGCAAGTGTTATCCATCCATGTCCCCAAAACAGAAGCTGACATAAAAGTTATCAAATGCTTTTCTCACCCATAGAATTTATCAGCCAGAGGTCAAGGCTGAAATTATTATATTTGTTTCGGAATCTACTTTTGAATAACAATAATATCGTTATATGGTGTTTTTAAATTTCCAGACACCTACCAACTATTTCATTTATTCCTGATAGCCCAGTAGAGTCAATGGAACACATTTTCAGAAGTGTGCTAGGACTGGTGTTGGTGCTGAGTGCTTCCCATTCAGCTAAATTTGGGGACACAAAAATTATTAAGACAAAGTTACTGACTTCAGTTTGCTTTTGATTACTGGTAGAAACAACACATTGCGTTGTAACAATTTATTTACACATCTTGGATGTCCTAAGGGAGCACGAAGGAGGGAATTGTTATTTCCACTGGAAAAAGAAGTGTGTGTGTGCATGGCAGGGCTGAGGGAGGGAAGGCAGAGGGAGATGTCAAACACAGTTTCACTGAGAAGGTGACTTTGTTCCTGGATTAAAGTCCCTGTTCTATCCCTTCCTAGGAGAAGCTCTGAATGCTACCGAATCTCTGTGAGCTTGAGATTCCTCATCAATTAAATATAGATAATAATACTGAATTCATAGGGTTGTCAGAAGGATGGAATGAGAAAGCATATGGGAGAGCAATTTGCAAGTAGCAAAGCACTCAATAAAGAGTGTATTATTCTTTCCACTTTGCACACTCACTAACTTGGTTCACTCCAAAGGAGAATGGCTTATCCAAGAGGGCCCACACCTGCAACAAGGAGCCAGTGTCCCCGCTCAGACTCCAGTGGTCTTCCCCTGACTCTGCCCACTGAGACTCTTGAGGAAATATAGAAAGCACTCATCCTGATAACATTTTATGAGCTCTAAAATCATGTTAACATATTCATATAAATACATATTCTAACATCTAAAGACATTTCTGTGAAATGCTGCTTCTAAATCCTAAGTGGATTCTCTCTGTAAAAGGAAGAACTAACAGAGCATTGTAAGGGAGGAATCATGATTGGGAAAATCATCAGTATTTAATATGAGAATAAAACAGTCATACACTTTTTTAACATAAAAAGTTTTAAACTACCCAAAGTTTCAGAGAATAAAATATGGCAGATCCTCAACGTTTAAAAGGGATTTAACTGTGGATTTGAACAGAAAACATTTGAATAGACATGTGCCTTGCATTTAGTGGGTACTCAACAACTGTTGAATTCAAAGATTTAACCTGATCATTCTTATCCCTAAAATTATAATACTCAAATTTCTCCCTTTATATAATATCTATAAATTTTGCTTTAATCTAATATATTATAGTCCATTTTCAGTACTTGAAAGATAAAATGTTATTTAAATCTGGTAGTCTCACCCATGTTTAAAAAAACAGGAAAAATAAAATTGCTCTTACCTTATTAATAATAGGCCTGGAAAATCTTAAGTAAAAAAACTGCACACTGCGTACCAATGTATTGGGAGATGGAGACATTTGATATCCATGGGAGATTCACAAATAGTTGTGTTTACTGAATATATCAATTTGTATTAGTTGAAGTTCTCCAAAGAAACAGAACCAACTAAAGGTAGGTAGGTAGGCAGGTAGGTAGGTAGATGGGTAGATATAGTATAAGGAATTGACTCATGCAATTAGGGAGGCTGGCAAATCCATAATCTGCAGAGATGATGTCTGAGTTTGAAGGCCATCAGGCCAGAAAATTCTTCCCATCAGGCCAGAAAATTTTACCATCGTAGAAGATAAGACATTTCTCATCCCAAAGGCTTTTCATAAGACCTATAAAAATATGCAAATATCTAGTCCTAAAAACTAGACACAAGCTCTGTGCAGAGAAACAGCACTTTATAATGTGCTGTTTCCTTTCAGTAAATGGAATATAATTTTGGTAAAAAAAAGTTTTCAAACACACGTTTGTAGAAGGTAAAAGAAGACATCTTTCATCCCAAAGACTTCTCATAAGAACCTATAAAAACATGAGAAAAGCCAGCCCTTATCTGAGGGTAGATCAACCTTTTGGTCTATTCAGGCCTTCAACTGATTGGATGAGGCCCACCCACATTACGGAAGGCAATCTCTCTCCCTCATCCAGTCTGCCAATTTAGATGCTAATCTTATCCAAAAAACACTCTCACAAAAACTTCCACGATAATGTTCCACCAGATATCTGAGTACCTTATGGCTCAGTTAAGTTGACCCATAAAATTAACCATCACACTATCCAAAAAAAAAAAAAAAGACTCATGATTTTCTCTAAATTTTGTGTAAGAAATTGATCACCAAAAACAAGTCACTTCAACAAAACACCAAGAAACTGATTTTCTTTTTAGACAAGAAGACAGTTTAAGCTGCTAGAGACCGGAAGGCCCTGGACCACTAATCAGAGTCCTTTGGGTCAAAGTTGATCTCCCCACTTATGAGCTATATGACCTGGACACACTACAGTTGATCCTTGAACAACAAAAGTTTGAACTCTATGAGTCCACTTAGACATGGATTTTCTCCCATCTGTCATCCCTGACAGGGCAAGACCAAGCCTCCCTCTTCCTCCTTCTCCTTCACCTGCTCAACATGAAGCCAACAAGGATGAAGACCTTTATGATGATCCACTTCCACTTAATGAATAGTAAATACATTTCATTTTCCTTATTATTTCCTTAGTATCATTTTCTTTCCTCCAGACTATTGTTAAGAATACAGCATATAAAATGTATAGCATATAAAATATGTGTTAGTCGACTGCTTATGTTATCCATAAAGTTTCCAGACAACAGTAGGCTATTAGTAGTTAAGTTTTTGGAGTGAAAAGTTATATGCGGATTTTTGACTACACGAGGGTCAGTGCTCCTAACCCCCATGTTGTTCAAGGGTCAACTGCCCTTACTTTATTGAGCCACATCTGCATCATCTATTAAAATAGAGAAATAATAGTCTAGACTGAATAGAGTTGTTGGAAAAATGAAATGAAATAACATGTGTAACACATGTCTGTCACATAACAAGTTCTCCATAAACATTAGCTATTCTGCTATTAATAATCATTGTTATAACTATGAGTTCTAATTCTAGGCCTGCTGAAAGCTATTAAAATATGGCATGACTGCCTTAACTGGGATACTATTTCTATTGTCACACACTTGGGAATCTTATTGGATGTTTATATATATCATTTTATCAGTTCTTTACACACATTGATCATTTGGCCACAGAGCAGTTGTACAAATAGATTATTTAGTAACCTATCAATTCAATCAAAATAACTTGCTCTATTACAATCAGTGATGGGGGAGGAAATCCTCCAAGCACCTTGCTTGAAGAGAAATGTAGAAACCACATCGGGCAAAAAGTCCCCCTCCAGCCACTGTGAAACCCAAGTTGTCGTCAGTAACTTGACATTCTAGGGTAGGAATCAGGACAGGAGAGAGGTGATCTCTCCTTTTGACCTTGTGTATTCTGACCTCAGAAATAAGAGCTGGAATTGCCTTCTGGAATGGGCCTGTCACAGTATTGTGTGATTTGGGGGACCCCCTTCATCTGGGAGAGAAGGGTGGTCTCAGCTTCCACCTCAGAAATTTCTGACCCTTAATATACCTCCACCCCATCTCTAGTTAAAGGCTTAAAACTCTAAGATTTTCCTATGAGGACAAAAAGAAAAGGAAATCTGAGCATTTGAAGAAATTCTTAAAAGTCGATGAGTGAGGTTTCCCTCACACATGCCATCTTCCCCTACCTCTCCTCTTGAAAACAATGTCTTTTGCACCCTCAAGGTCAAGGTTAAACCCGAGTTGGTACTCATTTCCTTTCTGATTTTATTTGCCTTATCCTGTTCTACTCCTCAATTGCCTCTTCCAGAATCTGTGCAAAATAATTACCTCAACTTCAGGGGAAAGTTTAGATGTAAATACCCCCGCCCCCCTCCCCACGTCCACACATCCCCTTTCTTCTCTCTCCCTCTTAACATTTCCTTACGCTCTCAGCCAATAGAGGAGTTGAAACATTTAAATGCGGTATCTAAACTGCATTTAAAGAATTAACCCATTTTGCCCCTCACTGGTCTAAACCACAGGGTGCCAACCGGACGTTAATTGCTTTCATCTGGTGGGGTTCCAGACAGCTCCTCAGAAGGAAGGAGCGCACATTCCTGGCACCAATTGGCTAATTCAATTTACTTCAGCGGCATTAGCCTCTGTCAGAATATTCATGAGCAGGGGAATGAGGACCCGCGGTACAGGCAGGCAGCAGCCACTCCTGCTAGGGAAGGCGCGAGGGAGGGGAAGCGGACCGCGCGCCACGCTCGGGGGACGGTGACCGCGACCAGGGGGCTCTTCTCACTGGACAGGCCGAACGCGGTGGCCGCGGGAGGGCAGGGCAGGGCATCGGCGGGGTTGGTGCACTTGGCAGTACCCCCCAACTCCTGGCAACCGCACGGAGACTTTGCGAAACATCCGAAGGCAGAAAAGCTGTGACACTTCTGACAGAGGGGGTAGGGGGGTGGGGGGCGGGGACAGCGCCGCGAGCAGGGGTGAAGAGACCCAGCGGGGCACCAGCCGCCCAGTGGGGGAGGCAGCTACGTGAGCAGAACGCCCGCCCTGGAGCAGTTAGGACCGAAGGTCTCCGGAGAGTCGCCGGCGGTGCCAGGTAACGCAGAGGGCTCGGGTCGGGCCCCGCTTCTGGGGCTTGGGACTCCGGGCGCGCGGAGCCAGCCCTCTGGGGCGAAATCCCCGGGCGGCGTGCGCGGTCCCTCTCCGCGCTGTGCTCTCCCAGCAACTCCCTGCCACCTCGACGAGCCTACCGGCCGCTCCGAGTTCGACTTCCTCGGACTTAGTGGGAGAAGGGGTTGGAAATGGGCTGCCGGGACTGGGGGAGCTGCTCTCTGGAAGCAGGGAAGCTGGGGCGCACCGGGGCAGGTGGAGGACGTGGCGCGCTGGGAGCGGGGACTGCGCGCGCCTGGGGATGGTGACTGGGGATCCAGGAGCGCGGCTTGTGGGGGCGCTTGGCACGGCTTCACCCTCGCTGGCCCCGCAGGCGGTGGCGCCTCCCTCCGCCTGCAGAGGGGACAGGGTGGCCGCGTCCCTCGCACAGAGATGTGCGCCGGGAAGGGGACCAGAGAGCCAGGCTCCGGGGAGGCGCAGGCACCTACGGGGCCGATCCCTGGTCCGTGCCTCGCGCCGCGCCCCCGCCGGAGCTCGGCTGTGGGAGGAGAATGTGGTGGGTACTCGAGTCCCCGCCACCTGCCGGACTTCGCCAACTCCCCGGATTTCCTGTCCTCGGGCCCTGACACTCCCAAGGAAAGCTCTGAATTGCGCTCGCTGTTTGGTTTTTGCTTGTTGTAGTTACTCTGGGGGAAGAGCCGGGGGCAAGGGGGTCAAATGGGGCTAAAGTTTCAGATTTGCAAAGAGAACGTTACCGAGGACTCTCAACGTGTCCTTAGCAATCGGAGAGACTGCAGCAGCCTTTGCCTAGCTATCCGCCTCTGGGGCAGCAGTGGGGGCTGAAATCTGGAAGGCAGCCCGGAGGCAGCGTCAGAGCCTTGTTTTGTTTTGTTTGTTTCTGCCGAGACCAGGCTGGAAGTGAGAGGGGATAGTACCAGACAATCGGGGAGTTGGTCGCCTGGTAGATTCAGAGTTTACTATGTTGTTGCTATTATTATTAATGCTCTTGTTATTGGCACGAGCACCAGGAACAATTTTTTTTCTGATTGTTATAAATCGCCTGCAAATTGAACCTGCAGCCGCCTCCCCTCAAATGAAATGTCCCCGGACCTCCTCCAGTCTCTGATGTGTGTCTTTCCACCAAAGGAAATTACCCACTCAGAGCTGTGGTGCTGTCAGGGACTCAGCTAAGGAATTGGATCTACCTAAGAACAACAAAAAGTTGAAACTAGGATGAGTTTGAACCCACGCTTATAGATGAGTATTATGTTCCTATCTGCTCACCTTCCTCAGCCGCCTCTGGCTGGGGAACCCTGAAGGCATAGCCATCTTGAGAGTTGACCCAGCGTTTCCCTTTCATTTATTTATATAACCTGGGAAAATCTTTTCCCTTTAGTGTCACCCTTGCAGTCTCGTTGGACATGCTGAAAGGATTCAGGTCCTGACACTGGAGGAATCCGTAAGGGCACCTGTGGTTGCCAACTCTTGGCTTGACCCTGTTCAGATGTTGCCCAGGGTGCAGGCTTGGGCAGCTGATGCAGCAGAAAGCTGGGCGAGGGTGTGGGAGAACAGTATGGCAGAGTTAAGCTGAGTGCAGGAGATGAGGTCAAGCCTCCACGCTGGCCACATCCCTTCCTGCCAGAGAAAAAAGAGACAAATGAAGAGCAGGAGGGAAGTGTTATAAATTGGAACCGAGCTCTTAGAGTCTACTTAGGCTGTGAACCAAGCTCTCAGCATCTACTGAGGCTCTGGCCATTGACTTTGGCGTGACCTTTCTTTTCAGTGCTTCTGATTTTCGCTCTCTGCAGATACTCAAGTAACTGTGCCTTTCTAACAGGACAGTTGTCGTGAGATGATCTAATTTTGTATCCAAAAAAATACTTTGAGCATCCTGGGAAAGGACAGTCTATAAAATATGCCATTTTAATGTTTTGTGAAAAGTTTGCTACACTGCAGGTTAAGGAGATACATTTTTAGCATGTGTGCCATGTGGCAGTATAAAATTAAAATGGAAAAGGAAAGTACAAACATAAAAATGACTTAGCATTCTTGACATTCTTGTGCATACTTGTAGAAAAATTATCTTTCGTTTGGGGAGAGTTGCCGGGAAATTTAATCAGTGTTTATACTACTGAAACGCCCCCTTCTACCTTTCTGCCCTGTAAAATTTTATGACCCAGTTCTCACCGGAAAGGCGTTGTGACTGTAGTAAGTGCTGAGGGTTGAGAGGAGAGATTGAGAGTTGTTAGGGGAACTGTTACACAGGGTTCAGAGACTGGAATCGGAAGGAAGACGCCACTATCCTGAAAGAGCAGAGCAATGTTCGTCTGGAGAAAGCAGTTGAGCAGCATAGGATAACAGATCTAGCATTGCTTGTCCTCTGCTCTCAGATTCAGGAAGAGGACTCCCTGAGATAGCCCAGAGGGCTAACCAAGGTATTTTTCCCTCCTCCATTGGGTAAAAGCACTGCCTCCTTCTAGACTTTGGATTGGTATTAACTTCTCTCTTCCTGTCAGTCATAGCGCAGTAGTCTTCTCTTACCATCTCCAAGAGACTCAGATGTACCCTCTACCCTCTCAGACCCTTATACATTTGTAAATATCCCCCAAGTTCTGAAGCTTCTCAAAGACCTGCAGCTGTTGGTGGATTTAAGTAAATAGTTGGAAGTCATCAAGAGAGCCACTGAAAAGTGGACATGTTTTTCCCCTGGTGGAGAAGTTATTGAATGCCTTTTGAGCTAGAAAATTAGCAGTTCAGAAAAGCAGGAGGGAGTCCCTTGACTTCCCTCTACCCATAAACCAGTAGTTGTATTTTTCTTTCCCTCATAGTAGTGAGCACTGTTTGGCCAAGCATTTTTTTTCAATTTTGGACTTAAAATGGGGTTTTGCTGATGGTGTTCTATGGAGAAAGGAAAAACGTAAAGAGACACGGAAGGAAGAGCTGCAGTGGCGAGAACATAAATCAGCCAGAATATATGGGGGGGGGTGATGAGAATAGGTCTTTTCACCCTAAAAAAAAAATGTCCACTTTGGAAGAAAAAGAAGTCTGATTATTGGCATCCAGGGCTGAAACCAAGGCAGCTGATGCCGAGAGGAGCCAAAGGGCAGTTCTTCTTAGTTTAGAAACAGCAAGACAGCCTCTGCCAAAGATTGCTGTAAACACGGAATAAAGATTTCATTGTGGGTTGGTGTGACTCGAATAATTAGACAGTTAATTGTTCATTCTGATCTGGTGGTGCTGCCATCAGTAGTGCAGGGTGGCGAAAATAAGAGCAAGAGAGAAATAGAAAAGTAGCATTTATCACTTTTACATTCATTTGTTTTACTTTGATGGTACTTTGGGAAATCCTCGTTATTTCCCCTTTCCCCCAAAGGCATACCCCCAGAATACCAGAGAGCTAAGACTCAGGGCTGCCACTTTTTATTCCCTCCACATTCTACTTCGGATATGGGGAAAATTTCTTGCCCTCTAAAAACAGCATGTGAAGTTATAATAAAAATAAACGCATTACCTAATTCTAGTATTAAATATATTTTATTTATATGTAAACTCCATGTCAACTCAATCAACATATATGCAAATAGCACCAGATTGTTATGCTTCTCCAATACTTTTTTCTCGGACATATAAGACTTAAAAAGTAAATATTTCATTTTTGACATTTGTTTTCTATTATGAAACAAATTGCTACAGTGATTAATCTTTCACATTTAATTGAAGAAACAACCTCCTCTGTATTTTCATACTAATTTAGTGACCAAGAAAACATATTTTATGTAATAAAGGTGGTTTTAAGCAACTGAGCATCTACAGGTTTTATATTCGGTAGACTGTGACTTATTGTTATTTACTAAAAGAAGGCACTGTCATCAACTCCTTCTGAAATGACTACTGCAAATGAAGACATAAGTAAGGGACTATACACAGCATTAAGCACATGGTATCTGGGGAGGGGTAAATGAAGAACCATGCGTTCATTAGGTTCAGCCCTCCCTGAATCCTGATATTGACACGGAATATAGAGCAAAGTTGTCATTAGTTGAATATAAAAAAGGAACATCTTTAAGTGTCAATGTTAAGTATAATTGTTCTGGGAATAAAAGCATTGTTATAAAAGCATTATACATTAGCATAAATATAACATAACTGTATAACATAAGGTCATACAGTCTCATAAAGAGAAATACTTAGTTTCTCCAAAATATTGTCTGTTTGCTTAAGAGGTGCAACACTATCTTTACTAACCTTTAGTTTATTTTATCCATCACAAATCAAAAGGGATTGCAAAAGCAGAAGACTTACTGAAGTGCTAAATAGCATAAGTAGTACAAAATTATGAAACTAGCTCTCAGAAGACAAAATTTTGCTTTAAAAAATGCACTGTCTACAGCAATTAAAAATAGAAAATCATATTACCACATTAAGTTATTGCAACAACCTATTTTAAAGAGAATTTTATTCTTTTTTTTTTATTTAATTGCTATCCATGGTTTGCTAACTAGTGTTTCAGAATAATCTGCCAATCTCTTGCTAACCAGGACTCTCTAGTTAAGAATGTTCCTAATTACATATGGATTAACTTAATTTTAGAACCCTGAGAAGATTCAACTCAAAACATTACTCAAGTGCAATGCAAAATAGAAATGATCCAATTCACCTCAAGGTATATGTAATTTTTCTTTTGTTTTTAGCTTAAGAGATCATAAAAGAGAGGTTATCTGGCCTACAAATATGTCATTGAATAACCACTATAAAAGAGTAAAGGAAGCTATAAACTATTACCTCCTTAAAACATAAAATTTTAACAATACCACTCATCTCTTCTTCCTAAGCAATAAGGGCCAGCATGTAAAATACCATGCAAAAGTGCACATGTCAGAAACATGCACAGCATAGCCTGAAATGGGGGTATCCTCGCTATTTATAAGAATGTTTAACAATCAAATCACAAGTTTAGAGTGTATTCTGACTAATGCCATTACCTCCAAAGAGTAAAGAGGTATCTTGCATGGGAGCCCTTTCTTCTTCTTTATAGTTCTACAACTCCTGACTAGAATCTTGCTCATAATAGATTCTTTAAAAATATGTGTTGATTTGGTTTTTAATAAGGAATATAAAATTGAATCAATTGAATTTTCAAGTTAAATAAATTTGTAATATTTAATCAAATATTTAGTTAAATATTTGAATGGTTCTTGTTACTTTGAATTATTTCTTTCAATTGACAAGACTTGCCTGTGACCGTTAGTAATAATTATTGGTGATATTCTGGTGTGGACGTGAGGGGGGTGAGAAAGTAGGAAATCTTTAAGTTAATGGGTTTTTTTCTTAAGTTTTACCTAACTCTTAAATGTGCGTATGCATATATGTTGTTAAAATGTACAATATCTCTTTATAAAAAAAGTGGTATTATCTCTGAATTACTATTTACCAGTAGTAACATAATCAGATTCTACTCTTTAAGTACTGAGTCTTTTTTATTTTATTTTAGATTCAAGGGGTACATGTGCAAGTTTATTACACACACACACACACACACACACACACACATATATATTGCATAAGGAGAGATTGGACTTCTAGTGTATGCATCACCCAAATAATGACCATTGTACCCCATAGATAATAATTTTTCAACCACCAACTTCCTTCCAGCCTTCCCACTTTTGAAGCCCCCAGTGTCTACTCTTTCCATCTTTACGTTCATGTATTAAGTGCTGAGTCTTAGACCAATCATGACTAAATAACTGCATGTCCTCTGTTATATCAACTAATTAAAGGGTAACTAATAAAGTGATAATTTGATTCCATGCAATGGATACATCTGATGGTCATAGAAATTTTTTTTTTTTTTTTTTTTTTTTGAGATGGAGTCTCGCTCTGTCGCCTAGGCTGGAGTGCAGTGGCATGATCTTGGCTCACTGCAAGCTCCGCCTCCTGGGTTCATGCCATTCTCCTGCCTCAGCCTCCCAAGTAGCTGGGACTACAGGTGCCCGCCACCATGCCCAGCTAATTTTTTTTTGCATTTTTAGTAGAGACAGGGTTTCACCGTGTTAGCCAGGATGGTCTCGATCTGCTGACCTCGTAATCCGCCCGCCTCGGCCTCGCAAAGTGCTGGGATTACAGGCGTGAGCCACTGAGCCCGGCCAGGTCATAGAAATTTCTTTGACATGTAGCCCCCAACACCCCAACACTCCAACCATACAACCACAACTCTGTGTTCAACATCTGGCAGGATAACAAAAACTTAACTCTTAATACACTCCTACTTATCTGTTCCTGCACCTGGTTTATAACTAAAATAAGCAATGTTAACCTTCCACCCAAAATGAAAAACAGATGCTTGTTAGGAACTAAATTGTCTTTAGCTAAATCTTCAGCCTTCTTTTTTTTTTAAAGGTCTGACCTTAGCTGAATGAACAAGGTAGTCTTAGCATTTTCCCAGAGAACAGTACATAGTGTAATATGTTGGCATAATTGGGAGCTAGCAGTCAAAAGAAAGCCAGGATAGAATTAGCATGAAGATTCAATTACCACTTGTTCCCAGAGAGGGTTGTTTACTAGGATTAGAGTTAAGGTTGTGGGCAAAATAGCATGGAAAGAGGTACAGGAAAGTTTTTTTGTTGGTGTTCTTTAGCTGGTATCTTTGGACAGAACCAAATTTTGATTTCCGCTTTCCCCCAGTAATTTAAAAATACAGCTTACTAAATAGCAGCTTATATAAATTGAGCACTAAGTGTACTCATAAGTATTATACATATATTTATACAAATCTTTGGTCAAAGCTATTAATACAAAATATTTTCTGAAGGACTAGCATACACCCTTTATCATATTCACGATTGTTTCACTTGGTAAACTCAGCGTCTTTGAACCCCTCACCAATCCTAATAAGGGATTAAATTGTACATATTATAAATAATTGATGAACTTAACCATAATTTGTTTTTAAGCCAACAGACGTAATTTCCTTTAGCAATTTAATTAAAAATTGGATAAAGAAATTTCATTTAGAAGTAATCTTATCTATATTTGAAAGGGCTACCAAATATATGTTTCTTTTTAATTTGAAAGGTGTTGAGCACTAAAATAAGAGTAACAAAATAGATAGAAATGAACATTTAATCTTTGCATCAAAGGATATCTTTTCCTATGCAAATGGCTTGAATAAACATGTAGAGTAGGCAGTATCACCTACCTACCACTGTTGAAGGTCAGAGAAGGACTGGGAGAAACTAACTGGGTGATACAGCCATCTCCGTACCCACCTCCCACACGGGTGCCAATGTTCTCTTATGTTTTACTCTGTCCAGGCTGAAATGACAAAATCCCATAGACTTGGCAACTAATAACAGAAATTTATTTTTCATGGTCCTGGAGGCTGAAGTCCAAGATCAAGGTGCCAGCATGGTCCGTTTCTGGTGAGGGCCTTCTTCTGAGCTGCAGACTGCTATCATCTCATTGTATTCTCACATGACAGAAAGAGGACAAGAGAGCTGCCTGGGGTCCCCCTTTTTTTAAGGGCAAGAATTTCATTCATAAGGGCTGTATCTACCCTGATTACACAATGACTGCCTTGAGCCCCCCCCCCGCCTAATGCCGTTCCATTGTGGGTTAGGATTTCAGTATATGAAATTGGGGGAGACACAAACACTCACAGGTCATTGCATCTCATCTTCATTTTCTAATGCAAGAAACAATACAGTTTCCAATATTTCTTTTTCAAATCCCTTGATTCCCTGCATCAAAGACTTCACATCAATTTGCAGAGGCACCAACCATCATTACCTCATTGAAAGCAAGCACCACACTTGAGAGCATGTGTCTTGTAGGCTTTTTTGGAATATTAAGTAAGAATCTAAATGTATGCCTATACTTTGCACAAACTGGCAAGATCTCCCAAGGATGTTCGTCTTATAAATAAAGATTAAATAACACTTTTGTGCTACCATTAATATCAAATTGCATTTAAAGCAAATAATAGCTGGCAACCAGGGTACATCTTCATTAACATCACAGTTTTGAAGTGTTATAGTTGCGTCTACCTTTATGCTTAGCTGATACCCTCATCTCCATAATATTGGGAGCATTTATTTCAGTCTAAAAATATGAGGCATACTCATATTTGAAAATAAACTCTTTGAGCAGTCATTAAAATATTAATCCATTTGGCAGTTAGCATCTCAGTGGAATACTTCAGGCAGCTCAGCACAGAGGATATTATTTGACTCATGGAGCTGGCTAACATTTGAAGATCAAATTGTTTCGAGTTGTTTCTTTAAACACAGGAAAACAACAGATTTCTTCATGAAATACCAAGTATTATACATTTCTCTGGCTACATCTATCTATTTCACTCATGTCAAAACATGTAGTATTCAGAGGAAAAATTGACAGAGCAAAAAAATAAATAAATAAATAACCGCCATTTATTTAGCCATACCTCTCTGCCAGACACTGTGAGTGCTTCATGTGCATTACCTCTCTAACCCTCTCTTTGAATTCAGTATTGTTACCATCTTCACTTTGTAGATGCAGAAACTGAGGCAGGATGAAGTGGTCACCACAAGAGGTTTCAAACACAGGACTCTCTGGCTCCCACGCCTGTGGTCTTCACCACTCAGTTCTACTGCTTCCTCTTCCCAAGCAGGGTTTCTCACCCTGGCTATCACTACTGACATTTTGCCTGGCAAATTCTTTGGAACAGGAAGTCCCCTATGCATTGTAGGATACTTAACAGCATCTCTGTCTTCTACTCACTAGATACCAATAATATCTTCCCACTTGGGACAACACAAAATGTCTCCAGACATTGCCAAATGTCAAATCCAGAAGCAAAAGTACCCCTAGTTGAGAACCACTGCCATAGTAAAGTTCAATTTTCATGTATTCCTTATTATAGTATACATTTTCAATTTAAGAGTAGGGCATCTATTTTCCAGATCATAATGTAGATAGTTCCCATGGTTACATCAGCCACATTATATATGATTTGTAAAAAAGATATATATCAGACAAAACTTTAGGAGAAAAAAATCATTAAGTCAACATGCCTTCATTAAGATCAGGTTTTTCCCTACTAAACTGGTTTCCTTTGGGACCATACTGGGTGATCAGGGGATTGCCATGTTTATATCTTTGTACCAACAAAAGCTGGAACAATGGTTGTAAGGGCATTGTCCACAGTGCCCCCAAAAGCCCATTAATAGATGGTCTATTAGACTCCAAGCTCCTTGAGGGTAAGGACAGGAACTCTCTTGTTCATCTTTATATGCCCTGAACCCAGTATCTTACCTGGCACATAATCAGTGCACAACAACTACTTCTTTAATAAACCACTGAAGCCCTGGTTACCCTACTGCAGGTTCCCAATGCTCTGCTCTGGGCTTCTAGCTGGATTTGCAATGTATTACATTTTGCTTTAATTTGTGGCATGGACATGCACATTATGGTATGCCAGTCATACAAATTTAATGAAACCTGAATGAATAGTTTATATTAGATGAAGAAATGGGGTCAAAAAGGCTGATATGATCCACTATATATGACTAGATAAAATTTAACACCAACATGTGCCAGTGAGAAAAGCAAACAATGTAGAGGTTGAGTGCCTCTACCCAAGACCGCTCTGCTGGAGAAAGGCAGACCCAGGATGCAAATTCAGGCCTTTAGATACCCAGTGTTTCCAGGGATGGCTCCAACCTGCTTTACTTTCTCTTGGTCAGGGTGCACTGTGATGTCCTGTTCTGTTCCACTCATCACACTGTACCTGA
This sequence comes from Homo sapiens, assembly GCF_000001405.40. Classification (NCBI taxonomy): domain Eukaryota; kingdom Metazoa; phylum Chordata; class Mammalia; order Primates; family Hominidae; genus Homo; species Homo sapiens. Next base: position 61,343,615 of record NC_000018.10, read on the forward strand.
GCTGTGTAGAAAGTAGCCACTGGCCAGGAAAGGGCTCAACAACATGCCTTCCACATGAGAAATGTTTGAAAGTCTTCAAAATAGCCGACCTGACACAGAAAAGACTTAGAGGGAGCACAATAATCCTCTTCAAGTATCTGAAATATCTTCATGTGAAATAGAAAATATATTTATTCTGCATTGCTGTGGAGGCCTGGACCAGGGTCAATGAGTGGGAAGCATATTTTATCCCAAGGAAGCATATTTTATCCCAGCAAAATGATGAGCTTCCTAATGATGAACTGCCCTACAGTGAAGTGAGCTTTCCTGGAGAGCAGTGAGTTCCCAGCAGCCAGAGGGGAACGTGCAGATGACTGGCCTGTAGGAGTCTGAGCACAGACATCAGATCAGGGAAGGTATCAGAGGTCCTCCAAGGTGCTTCCTAGCCTGTGGTGCATGTGAACTCTTTCTTAGAGGCTATTGGTTGACCTTGTAAACTACTCTGTGTAATTTTGTTAAGAAAAGCAAGATGTACTATTTTCTCTAACCCGCAAAGTCACTCAGAGGGGTAAATTAGAGAGAATACACAGGAAAGAGGATCCTACCACATGCCATATAAAATAAGAATCACTTGCCATAGGCCAAGCCCTGTCAAAAGCACTTCATCAGTATTATCCCATCTATTCCTGATAATGCCATGAGGTACAAATATCATCACCATTTAGTAGCTGAAGAAATGAAGTCACAGAGAAGATAAATATGTTGCCCAAGATCACATAACTAGTTATTCTAGCCTTACTGCTTGAACCTGAGTCTGTCCAAAATTATGAAGCCTGTTTTGTAACTATAATACTACAGTATACCACCTCATCCTTTCAGCAGGGATGCACTATTTAATTTGAAATGTTGCCAGTTTCTAGAGTTTGAGACATATGGCTATTTAAATGCAGATACCTAAAATATCTTCCGAAGAATAAAATACGTCATTTTAAAAATTATTTGCTGCTTTCTGTTAACCATGATATCACTTCCTTCAAATAGTGCAAATTACCATGAGTTAACTTTAAGTAAATGAGCAAAATAAGGTTTTTAGGGCTTAAAAAAATGTCTATGGAAGAAAGATTGGTAATGGCATTTCAGATGCTGTTCTATAAATTAGGGAATTAGAACCTAGGTCTCCAGACTGGAAGGTACTAGTGCAAAACAAGATCATGACTTTCATTTCCACAAGTTCAGAAAATTCCAATGGTCAAGGGTTTTTTTTAAAGATAATTTTATCATTGGAGATCATGCTCTCTTCTGATTATGATTATCTCCTTTGGTTATCTTCTGTCTTATGATTATTTTGGTGAACATTTCATAAAACCAAACTGACTTTGAAAACTACTTTCTCTGCCTTTATCATTTCAATGCCAGAAAGACACTGAAAACCTCTAAACCATTCTGCCAGTGAACTCTGATTTAGTTGAGGTTAACGTTAACTTTGCAAATTAAATCGGGTGACTTCCTGTTCTTAGGAAGGACTGCTTCATGCCCACCAATCCGGACAATATTGAGCAAAAGATTTAAAACACTGTTCAGCATTTGCTTTCTAAAGTTATTGCTGCCCTGGCGCTCACATGCACTTAAACGTTTATGGAAGTCCCTAAGTCTATGTTTACCATTCTTGCAAAGTATCAAGATGGTTGTAGGAGGGAGCCCAAGCACTTGTCATAGGACTTAAAAAGCATCTTATGCAGCTCTTGGTGGGATGGTTATTTTGCCAAGAGGCAGGAGGCTTTGCTGGGCCTTGTGGCTTGCAGAGTTGAGGAAAGGCCTGTTTCTTCACCTGTCAGTGACCAGGGTCATCTGCTGTTAATGAAACAGTTTTAGACTGAAGGTTCACAACCCGCCCAGGTACATGTCTAAAATAACTGCCTCGATGAACCCCTTACCATAACATTTGCTCATTAGGGTACCATTCCTTCATGTCAAATTGGGGCTTGAAGAACATTTATATGAATTTGTGAAGTGGAATGGAGATTAGCACATCGATGTTTCTCCCCCTAGGTTTTTACATTATTTCTTAGGGGAAAACCTATATAAAAGAATGCTCTCAGGATACTTCATGATGGGAAATGTTCTGAATCAAGAACCCAGATGTCTTAATGAATCATGGGAAACATCTCTGAGAAGTATGCAGGATAGAGTGCGAACTAGGAGAGCAGCACTTCCATCCTCCACGAGCCACCCAGAATGTAAGATCTGAGAGGTTGTTTGGGAATTTGGACAAAACAGACTAGGATTGACATGGGAAGGAAACAGGGGTGCCACCCTTTCTGGATTCACCAAACTTAAGACCAGACGGATCCTATGAGCACTGAAGAATATTCCAGGCAAGTGCTGCCAGTACCTGGGCCCTGGGCTTTCCAAGTTCCTTGAGCCAATGTGTGACAGAAGTCATTATGGCATCCATCTCTACCCTTATGTCTAATTCTGGAAAGCGTAGCTGACCTCAGGTGGTGGCACCTTTAGAAGTCATTGGCTAGGTATTTGAATAACTAGGACAGGAGTAAGTGAGAAATAGAAAAGAAAAAGAATGACCACTAAGCCATGGTCTTGTTTATCAGAAGGGAAGAGAGGAATTGCATCGTTATGAGTTATTTCTATTACAATATGCAGTCATTAAGTTAGAGGGATCCGCTAACTTCCTTCCGCACCTTGACCCCACCATTATTAATTTCCCATAGAAGATAACAAAATAACTTGCATCCTTGAGATGAAAGGAAACCTTTTATGCATTTGATTCTGGGCAAAAGAAATATTTATACCAAATTGAAGGCATGAAAAATAAGTAACTGCATTGAAAAGTCACAGCCACATTGAACAATAAACAATTTATGGAAGGAGCTTAGAAAAAAAATTGTTTTTTAAAAAATTGAAAAGCATAGCTCTGACAAGTATTCTTTATTTATGAGAGTAAGTAGAATTTTCAAGGAACACGAAAATATTAAAATAAAATACAAGTTTGACACACGTTTCTCTTTGAGGTTTTGCAAAAAAAGAAAAATCTAGGTAGATATGAGGTTAATTACATAGTTTAGTTCAATTATCATTATCTACACTAATTGAGAGAACAGAAGAGGTCGGGATTGTGTGAAATTGTAAATGATCTGAAATAATTTACAGTTGAGTAGGTGAGTGATTTTTTATATTTCAGCTGAACACAGGTAAGCCCTGGATCTAGCAATTTAATTTTTCAAAAGAAAAGTCAAATAAGTGAAGTCCAGGCGCCCAAGCTTGGAAGTTGCTCTTATTCCCCTTCCTATCTCATTTCAGCTCCTCCCAGCATGTCCGTCTGGGGTGCTGGCATGCTGTACCCACCTGGCCAGTGCTGGGCTTATCTTCTGCTGGGTGTACCAGATAACCCAATGGTCCATCGGTTCTATTTTTGCTCTTGCTTTCTGTTCCTTTATAGTTGCTGTGATTTTATAAATTTGATAGTCTGAGAGCAAGGAATGGGAGAATATGTGGAAAGGGTTAACCGAGGAAGTTTTTTGCCAACAAATGTTAACTATCAAACACACAAAAACAGGCCAGGCTCAGTGGTTCATGCCTGTGATCCTAGCACTTAGGGAGGGCAGGGTGGGTAGATCACTTGAGACCAGGAGTTTGAGACCAGCCTGGCCAACATGGTGAAACCTTGTCTCTGCTAATATATATATATATATATATATATATATATATACACACACACACACACACACACACACACACACATATATATATACACAAAAATTAGCCGGGTGTGGTAGCACACACCTGTCATCACAGCTACATGGGAGGCTGAGGCATGAGAATCACTTGAACTTGGGAGGTGGAGGTTGCAGTGAGCCAAGATCGTGCCACTGTACTCCAGCCGGGTTGATGGAGTGACACCCTGCCTCAGGGAAAAAAACAAACAAACAAAAAAAAAACCACACACACACACAAAAACACAAAAACACAAAAACACATGCTTTGTTAAACGTTTCTCTGGTTCCAAGGCAAATTGGAATATGCATTGTTTCAAATTCTATGCACACAAAGTGACTAGCTGTCAACAAAGATATAATTAAGGATGTGTTGTCAATAAATTTGAAATAATAATTTACCTTGGAACAGCCTCTCCTCAGAGGGCCTCCTCTAGGATAATCTAGAGTTTCCTCAATAAAACTAGGAGGGGAAATGCCATATGTAAGTTTTTAGAGACTTTGAGAAATTCATAAACAATACTTTTTTTTCAGATGGACATGTGGCTAACATTTTCTTAAAACTCACGATGTATTTTTGGCCAAATATTATCAACTGACCCCTCCCACACACATAAAGAACTCAAACATAGTTTTATTAGTTGATAATTATAGCAATAAAGATAATTCCTGAGCCTATAGAACCTTACCTTTGCAAAGTTTGGCTTCACGTGTATTATTTCATGTTTTCAGAGCTACCTGCCATCAACCTTTCTCCTGGTTATAATTGATTTCATTTTTTTGGGGGGGTGGTCCACTGGAACATTTTAGGTCTCAATTAATGTTTTTAAGTCAAAGTGTGTTTGTGCCAAATGTGTTACTTTCCTTATTCTTAGGAACTGTTTCTGCCACAGGCTTGCTCCTATCATTCCCACACCTTGAGGAAACTGTATTTCTTTTGAACTATCTCTGATCCTTTTCCCAAAAGATGGTTCAAAATCACTCTGTCTGAATGAGACCTTAATTAGTCATAGATTACTCTGCCCCACCCCAAGACTCTGATGTTCTCCCCTATATTAAATTACACTTGTGCACCATGTTTTATGGTATCCTCACCAGTTGTTATCTTGGGTGTTGAATTTCTCTCCCACCAGCTGAGTCATAACCTGCTTCAAAGCAGACTGGGTTTCTGATTTCTGATGGCAGAGTTCTCCATTCTGAATGGTGGGGCACATGGATACCAATGGCCCAGGGCTTTACAACACCCCTGAAACATACCACTGTGTCAGTTCAGTGCTGGGAAGGTTCTAAGTCCACATTCCTGTCAGTCAGCCGATTATCCAATCCACATAGCCGTAAAAACATGAGAAATCTAGATTGTCACCCCATCTAAAGAAAGGAGGGATTGCAAAGGTAGAAAGTGGGGGTAAGAGAGCACAACTAGCATGGAGAGAAGAAAAGGAACATTCGGAGGGGAATTGGGAGGGAGCAGTAAGGCAAGATTGTGTGAAAAAGGAACAAACTTCAGCTTGGTAAAACTATGAATAACTACATTTTATTTTTATTCCTTGGAATCTAGGTGTAGCTTTGTGGGGCAGTAAAGCAGGATTGTGTGGAAAGGGGGAAATTTTTCAGCACGAATAGCTAGATTTTGTTTTTACTTAGAATCTAGGCGTTGCTTTGTAATGTGTTGGAGGAAGTATATTTATTTTTAAACTGCATGTAGGCTGTGCTTTTAAGACTGTGGGGGTTGAAATGTGTATTCTTTTTAAATGATCACTTTAGAGTGGCTGTTAGAAACATTGGAATTACCAGAACAACTAACCATGGTCTCCATCTCTGAATTCTAGACAATAAATGGCATTTTGGCAAAACTGTTCTGTGTGCCCTAACAGCTAAAAAATCTCCTGTTTGATTTTCACCATCTGCTTCCTCCTAGCAGATCCAACCCAAATCCAAAAATGAACAGGTGAATTTAAGCCCTAGAGATTGGTGCTTTCCCAGGGAAAACAGAAGACTTTCATGAACTGTTAGCAGTTTGAAATTCTAATTTACAGGCTGAACCCAGAGGACTCCTTCTCTGAATATGTCTTCCCAGGTTGAGATGTATGAATATGAGACATCCAGGAAATAGGCTAATTTAGAAGGAATTTAAGTTCTTAATGAATGTTTCCTACAGATTCTATAATGACTCCATTCTGTTTTTGCCATGCAAAGAAGTATGCCCTTTTCACTGTTGTTGGCATGAACTTTTTAAAGATTCACTCCTACACAGCACAGTGACAATTATTTTTCCATGGATATCTACGGATTCAGCACCTAGGAGTTCTGCAATGAGTATTAGAACTGCTTCATTCAAGCCATATCTCTCCTAAGACTAAAAATCCAAATGCAGCAACATCCTAAATTAGGCCAGAGAGTATATAAACTTCTAAATTGTCACATGCAAGTGACAGATGAAAAAAAAAAAAAGAGAGAAGGGCAAACAATATCAAAATTAGGTGTTTTAATCTATCTCACGCTGCAGGTTGTCACATGTAATTCGGCTTATATTTCCACAAACTACATGAGCTGAAGATTTAAATGGATGACTAAAAAATCAAGGCAAAGGTGCCATTTCCACCAACAAAGCTTATTAGCTAATGTATTTGTTACATTTACATTGACTCAAGCACGAAGAAATCACTGCATGTTGTTTGGAATCCACTGAGTTTAAGTGACTTTCCTAGCAGTCACACAGTAGTTGACTAATCTGAAACTAGATTCCAGGAACTCCATGCCGTTGCTCCTGCTTGTACAGTATATTATCCTCCCACTAGGTCCCCTCTCTCCCTGCTAAACTGCCTGTATACTACTTTGGTGGACACTGCATTTCACATTGCTTAGCAGTGTTTATTGCTGTCTTCTTCAGACATACCCAAAGAATCTATGTTATTCTCTCTATTCTACCACTTTATGTTCTGGCCCTCATCATTTTTATTTAAATTTCTATAAAAAATTATTGCTGATCTCCAAGCCTTCATTCTCTTCCTTTTTTCAGGACATTTAACTTCCTAATGGGACTGCACTCCCTTTAATAATCACCTTGGTTGTAGGACAGGACTTCCAGCGGTCTTGAGTTAATATATCATGGTAATTATGTAGATGGAGGGCGATTCCATGCACGATTCCACCCTTAATCCAAAGGAACCATAAGTGAATCACTAGAACTTATTATTATCTTCTTGGGAAGAGGAAAGTGTGCTATCTGAGGGTTCAAACCATTACTGCAAACAGAGTTGAAGTGTGAACTGCCCGCTAAATAGGGTAATATATGCTAGTTACTCTAAGAAAAACACCAAGTCTCAGTGGCTTCACACCATAGTCGTCTATTTCTTGCTCACCTCATAGTTCAGCTTTATGTCAGGTGATCCTTCTGAGTACTTTTCCTCTAAGCAATGACTCAGAAATTTGGGCTGCTTCCATCTGGTGGCTCTGCCTCCTCTAGGTAGAAGGCAGAAATCTTTCCTCAAAGTCACCAGGGGAGCAAAGACAGAAAGTGCAGAGGATCTTTCAGTGTTTCACAGTTAGTAATAAAGATGCCTTTCATTGGCCAGAACCCTGCCTCAACCTAACAGCAAGGGAGGCAGGCAAATGTTCTCTTCCTGTGTGCCCAGGAAGAGGAAATGTGACACATTAGCGTCTTCCAGTCTCTGATACAGCTCACAACCTTTTCTTCATCAGCAAGCAGCATCTTGGTGCCTAAGTGAATTCTTGTAGTTTGATGGCACTGATGGTGGGTGAAGGAAGTATACCAACTAATTGTCAATAAGTCCACATTAGCTATAACATGAGATGCAAACTCCCTAACAAATCTTGGAAGACACAATGTAGCAGTACTGTGTAATGGTTAAGTGCACTGTCTACCGAGTAAGACCATCTGGATATAGATGCTGCTGGTCCCAGGGTTACTTATTGAGAGCCACTGCCATAAGCCTTCCCATTTCACTCCCCCCATCCTCTGGTAAGCTCCTGTAGTCTCAGGTGGGGGTTCAGCCATGGATGTTGCAGTCTGGTTGACTTTAAATCATGCTCTTGCCTCTCCCTGAGCAAGTTACTTAAATTTCCAGACAAGTTACTTAATCTCTTTGATCAGGTTCACTCATTTGAAAAGTGGGAGTAATAATGCTGATCTCAAAAGAATTACATTTGATTATCAATATAAAACATTTTGTACCTTGCCTAGTGCATAGGAAACACACAATAAATGGTAGCTGCAAATATTATCAGGAGAGAAGAACTTGTTTAGTTTGCCTCTATGTTACTTTTGGACAGCAAAAATAACTGCAAAGTCTAATTAAAAAAAAAAAACAATTTTCAGGTGATATGGGGATAGTTTTAAAAAGCAGCACCTTTGGGATGCCTAAATCTGTGTACAAGCTCTGTGATATTAGCCAGGTAACTTGATGTCTTTCTTTAAAATATATTCCTACTACCTGTGTCATGAGATTGATGTCATGAATACCTGTGTCATAAGAAAACTTGTAGATACATCTAGTATATTCCTGTCACATGGTAGATTCTCAATACATGTTGAGTTACAATTATCAACCTCCCCTCAAAATGCTTCTGCAATGAAAAATGATTTTCAAACTATGAGAGCGAGATAAAGCCATGCATAAAGACTTATTTTGAGAAAATAAATGATTATCATTTAAAAGTGCTTATTAAGATGTTTTTGATCTTTGACCTTCATCACTGCCCACTCCCTCCTTGGAGAACAGCTTCTCGATGCCTCTATTTAAATGATAATCACTGTGCAAAACTCAAAGTCTCTTCATTCAGGAACTTACAGTACACATCTTAATAAACCATAATGAACTGGAAACATGAAGAATAACTGGATAAACAGGCCTCTGTCTCCAGCTGTCATGTCTGTTTGTGACAGCAACTGGTATTTCATTGTAAAAGATGCTAATTTCAATCTGAGCTGTAGCAGCATTGAGAGGAGCATAAAAGGAATTCTTGATTATCTATATCAGTAACTGTGGTCCCTGGGGATGCACTCAGAACTTCAGATCACATATGGCAAGAGTGCTGTGATAAAATATGCATCAATGGAGCTTTGTGATTTATGATAATAAAGAAATGGAAAGTTTTGCCCTCTATGATAACTATTTGTGGCTGGTATTTCTCTTTTTACTATTTCTGGAGTTGTAAATGACATTTGTTGTACTAATTATTACAGCATTCAGTACCTGGATCACCGTATCATGTCTATAACTTCTGTCAAGTTCCTGAGGGCCTGCCATGATACTGTTTTACTGATGATGATTCTCCCAATCTAAATGTAATAAATAATAATTACCTTAGTTGCTGGACCACATTGGCAAATAAGACCACAATATTCTTACTTGACAAAATTAAATGTTAGTAACTCTGACTCCTCCCTTTGGCTGTTTTGACCAATTCTTGAAATTTCAAAATCTAGAAACTACTTGGACTCTTTCCTGTAACTGCCCAACACAAAATCCTTGGGTGGCCAAGGGCTTACTCACTATTTCACAAGGTATCTGTTTCATTCATAGAAGTTCTCATTGTTAGGGACTTACTTGTTTTATTGATCAAAATTGGCCTGCATAAAAACACTACCTTGGCCCCTTATAGTGCTGCATAGAATAATTCTCATTCCTTTTGATATAATAGCTCTTCAAACATATAAACAAAGCCAACATGGTCTCCCAGTCAGCCTCTTCTCTAGCAACCTTCACATGCTGTCCATAGCTTCTATTTTATGGCTACCCTGGTCACCTCCCCTGCAATCACCTCCATGATGTGTGCCCCAACAAAGGCGCGGGTCTGATACATCAGTTTCTAACTTAGAAACATTCATTTAATTGTCTACATAACAAAGCTCAGAGTTTTTAGCGTGGCATTAGTTTCTCCACCATCTACATCCAGATAACTCTCTTGCATGATACACACCAATACACATTCTTTCCTTTGTTCTTATACTTCTCTGGCCCTGGGCTTTTCTCATCTACATGCTGTTCTCAATCTCTCTACATCTGACTACTCATCAAGGCTCACCTCTCCACAAAAGCCTTCTCAATTTTATGGGTCAATAGTTACTTCTTCTTCCCCTAGATTCTCATAAAATGGACTTCATATTGCAATACCAGTACTAATCATTTGTCTACTTGTGGTCCTCTTGTTTTTTCTAGAAGATGATCTGTAATTGTATAGACACAGCTTTACTTGCTTTTGAATATCCGACAGTGTGTATCACAGTGCTTTGCACATATTTTAGTGTTTGTTAAGATTTTGTTCAGTTAAATTTAATGGACCCTCAAATGTAACGGACCACCACCTATCAAATGCCCTTCGACCAACTCCAAACCCACTGAGATCACTCTTGATCTTGGCCTGCACTAGCCAATACAGCAGCTACTAACTACACAAGGACGTTCAGCTTTAAACTTATGTTAATAAAAGTTAAAAAAAATCTTTCAGTTCCAGCCAGTCATGGTGGCTCATGCCTGTAATCCCAGCATTTTAGGAGGCCGGGGCGGTTGGATTGCCTGAACTCTGTAGTTCATAACCAGCCTGGGCAACATAGCAAAACCCCATCTCTACCAAAAATACAAAATATTAGTTGGGCATGGTGGCGTGCACCTGTGGTCCCAGCTACTTGGGAGGTTGCAAGTGAGCCAAGATTGGGCCACACACTCAGCCTGGGTGACAGACAGAGACCCTGTCAAAAAAAAAAAAAGAAAAAGAAAAAGAAAAGAAAAAGAAGGCTTTCAGTTTCTCCATCTCATGAGCCACATTTCCAGGGCACAGCAGCCATTCAGGGCTGTTAACTCCCACACTGGATGACACTGATCTGGAACATTTCCACCTGTGCAGATGGTTCTCTTAGTGAGTGCTGGTCTCGACACCATTCTACTTTTCCAACAGTGAAAACACTGCCTTCTTTCCTGTGGAATTATACACTATTGGCAAAAGTCACGCAAGCCTCTGGCAAATTAAAACCCCTAGGTCTCCCGGTGTGGTGGCTCACGCCTGTGGTCCCAGAACTTTGGGAGGCCAAGGAGGGCAGATCACCTGAGGTCGGACATTTGAGACCAGCCTGGCCAACAGAGTGAAACCCCATCTCTACAAGAAATACAAAAAATTAGCCGGGCGTGGTAATAGGCACCTGCAAGCCCAACTACTTGGGAGGTTGAGGCAGGAGAATTGCTTGAACCTGGGAGGCAGAGGTTGTAGTGAGCCGAAATAGCACCACTGCACTCCAGACTGGGCGACAGAGTGAAACTTCATCTCAAAATAAATAAATAAATAAAACCCCTAGGTTTTTTTTCAAATGAGTAGCTAAACTTCCCTCATGCTGTACTGAGACAATTACTTTTGGGGATCTAAAAGTAACCCCCTGTGCATGAAACCCTAACATATATTGATATTATTTTTTCTATTTTATTTCATCCGCTCAGCTTATCCAGATCTTTATTTTTAATTCTGTCATATTTTGGGCTATTCTATTCTAGGTTTGAGCTACCTACACATTTGTAAGTACTTCTGACATCATATCAGTTGTTAATAAACATGTTGTCCATAAATAGGGTGACTATATAATTTGTCATTCAAATGGGTACACTTCTCAGAGTGAAAGGCAATGCCGTAAAAAACTGTGCTTAGGCGCTGGCCTTAACTGGTACTGTCCGAGGCTGACCAGGAGAGATTGCACTCCACCCTTAGAAGGCCACATCTAGAACCACTGCTGCATCACTGGAGCCCTTCCTCCAGATGAGGACTAATGTAACATTCAATAATCTGTTAATATGTTGATGAAAGTTTACCTTATTTCAGATCATACTGCTGTTTGTATTTATATGATTATCATGAGAAATAAAATATTTTGCTTAAGTTCAAATTATTCTACTGTTTTTAGCATTCAATAGAAGAACCAATGTAGCTTTTTTTTCTTTTTTCAGAAGAAGAAAACACACTAGGAAATAAAATTATTTATACATTAGGACAATTTGAGCAGAATAAATGAATTTGTAAAGTTTGATATAGTATCATTCTTACTGGGACTAAAGGACTCCAAAGGTTTGCAGAATATCTGCCTGTACATGAGAGGCTAACAATGACCAGTAGCTACGTTTTAGTATTTACACACAAGGAAAGAACACATGTAGCCAAGTATACTTGAGAAAGTTGTTCAACATGTATCACTTTATTTGTGAAAGTGTCTATATGGAGGCAAACCACAGCTGATAGTGGTCATTAACTATTACTTGCCATTCATCTATGGCTAGTGGACCAAAAAAGTCCTTGTAAAACTCTAAACCATAAAACACGGGCTCTGATTAAAATAAACAAGTAAATATAAACAAAAACAAGTACAGATGCTGAAAGAATGAAGAAAATGGAGTAGCACTGTCAAGCCCTCAATAAAATAAAATTAAAAGATTTATGTGGAATTCTGTTTTCATGGATTTTATACACAGAAACATTAATAAATTTGGGCAAAAATTGGGCAAAAAATCCATAGACTAATGTAGTAAAAAGTCAGATAAAAGTCTTAGCATAAGATTGAAGGAAAGAGATAAAAGTATACTATTAAACTGAAACCAGAGGAGAGGGACCAACTTTGAGCTCCACTTCTAATTTGCTCTGTAAACTTAGTCAAGTCTCTCTTAATCTCTGCACTTCATTCTTCATCATTCAAGAAACAATTCTTGGCCCTCAGGGTGGGCTGGGGAAGAGTAAAGAGTGATTCCACCCCTCAAAATCTACACTCATGGACTTGAACCCAAGGGTTCTCCAGCTTTAAAATTCTGTAATGCTAGACATGAGTTTAGAAGGAAATACTTAAGCTTCTCATATCCATTGAAAATACAGTTCTAAATTATAACTGCAATAAACTCTTTTCAGAGTTGTGATTTATTTCATGGATCTTTGCAATGTGCAGCAAATGTATGCATTCTACCTTTTGTACTTTTAAGACATTTTTAAAGCACTATACAGTATGACTCCACTTATTTCTTCTGCTTTTTAAAATATATTTTTCTCACACAGTATTTTTCTTAATTTTTAAATCAGGCATTTGTAATTAAGTACTTATAAGTGAAATATTATTTCAACAAAATCTTACACCTTTAATAATACTAAAATGAAGGTTATATTATCTCTTAAGAAAATACTTATTTTCCTCTACCGCCTAGATATACAAAGGAAAACAATTTACCAACCCATAATTTGTGGAATGAGTATAAGTTATTATTTTACTTTGGTTCTTATTTTAATTCCCAAGCTAATAGCAATTCACAGGCAGTTAAGTAACTCAATTTGGTCAGTTTTCTAACTTCCTTGTTTTTCATTAGGATGATCCTTAAGGCAGGTGGCTTTCAATTAGTTTGGCTGACAGCTCTGGCTAATGTTTTAATGATCCCTAGCAAAGGAAACAAAAAAGAGGGGAAAAAATAAGGTAGAGGGAGATTTACAATGATGAGGATAATCTAGATCAGGCAGGGAGACAGAGTACATAAACCACTAATTAACGTTCATCATCGTCATTTAAACATCTGCAAGCTAAAAGGAGATACCCAAGTATCCCTATACTGCTGACAAAGTTCTTGAAGTATTTAAAGAGTGTCTCCTAATTCCATATTCTCAGACATGTAGAAACTAGTTCAATAGCCTGCCTGATAGTACTATTACAACATCTAATTCTTGAAGGCTTAACTATACCAAGATACTTTTAGTAAAACAAATGGAAGGGACAACAACTGTCTCTTGCCTTCTAATTGTTCTCTCTGCTTCCAACTTGCCTCCCTGCTGTCTCATTTACACCAAGCAGCCAGAATACTCTCCAAGAAAAAACTAGATTTTACCCGTCTTTTGCTTAAACTCCTCTGAAGGCTTCCTGTTGCAATTAGAATAAAGTGCAAAAATCTTTACCATGGCAAATATAAACCCTACAGAATCTGGCCCTAACCATTTGTACTTTTAGCTGCATGAATCAGAAACCCATCTATAATGGCTTAAATATTCTAACCCCTAAACAAGCAAGAGATTTAAACTCATCACCATTAAACAACTAAGAGGGTTTTTTCCCCCCTCCTATAACAAGTCTAGAGGTTGACAGTACAGGGCAGATACAGCTGCTCAACAAAATCATTAAGGGGCCAAATTCTATCTGGATTTTTGCTCTGCTCTACTTAGCATGTGGTTTTTGTCCTCGTGGTTGCAAAATGGCTGCGTTGTCTCCAGGACTGTGTCTATATTCCAGGCAGGAAGAGAGAAACAGCAAAAGGTGAAAGTATTGCATGCCAGCCAAGTGTGTCTTTTAATCAGGAAAACAATTGTTTTCCTAGAATAACCAATAGTCTTCATCTCATCAGCCAGAACAATGTTGCAAGGCTGTTGAAACCCAACAAAATCAACTGTTTGTTTTTTTTTAAGTGGGTACATGACCCCCAAACACAAATTTTGGGTAAGGAGAGGAGACTGAAGAGGGTAAGCAACTGGCACAGCTGCCGCCCAATCTTTCTGACTTCATCTCGTGATCTCTTCACTCCCTTTTCAAGTGTAGCCTCTCTGGCCCTCAGATACCCCTTCTTCATTCCTGCCTCTTGATTCTAGCAGTTGCTGTTCCCTCTGCCTAGACTTCTCTTCCCCGAACTGCTGCATGGTTCATGTCTATGCACCATTCAGATTTCTGCACAAATCGTCAATTCCTACAGGAGGCCTTATCCAATCCCTTCAGTGAACATAGTCTCATCCCACCTCCAATCACTTTCTTTTATTTTGCTTCTGTTATTGTTCCTTTTTTTTTTTTTTTCGAGATGGAGTCTTGCTGTGACGCCCAGGCTGGAGTGCAGTGGCATGATGTCTGCTCACTGCAAGCTCTGCCTCCTGGGTTCACGCCATTCTCCTGCCTCAGCCTCCCGAGTAGCTGGGACTACAGGCGCCCGCCACCACACCCAGCTAATTTTTGTATTTTTTTTTTTTAGTAGAGACGGTGTTTCACCGTGTTAGCCAGGATGGTCTCGATCTCCTGACCTCGTGATCCTCCCACCTCGGCCTCCCAGAGTGCTGGGATTACAGGCGTGAGCCACAGCACCCAGGCTGTTCCTTTATTTTCTTTATAGCATTTCTTGATATTTGAAATATTTTATTGTTTTTCTTTATGTGCTTCTCTTCTACCCCTTGTATTTATATACGTAATGGTGTGGGCTCCCTGTATTTTGTCTGCTACATACAGTGCCTGGAAGAGAGCCAAGCATAGGGTAGGTGCTGAGTTAATAGTTTGATTCTGACTTAATGAATGGATCAGTGGTTTTCCTGACCTGTCCTGAACTGTTGACCCTTCTCTTCACTACACTCTTACCCATTTTTGACTCTGAAATGAATAATACCATAATGCTGCTTAATTCTATTTGAATTTTTAATTATATTTCATGTTTTCTTGAATTTCCATATTGCTTAGTTGGCTTATATAAGCATGATTTTTTTGGTCATAAAATATATTTGAGGAAATGATTTCAAGTTGTTTGATATATTCACTGGACTTTTGGTTTCCCTGTTTTATAAGCCTCTGATTTTAATTATTCTATAATAAATACTGGTGCAATGGACTTTTTTTTCTGAGTGACTATATTCTGGGGTTTATTATTCACAATTGGTCTCACAACCTTCTGTTTTTAAAATCTAAGTGCACACATTAAGTAGTTCCTCACAAACATCTCTAGAAACCTTTCTGAAATAAATAATTAAGACATTCAATTTTCACATTCTACTATCAGACAAATCTCTAAATCTTTGAATACTAATATTTTTAGCTATCTGAGTTTTGTTTCTGATTCCAACTTGGTAAATATAATAAGTGACCATAATGTGATGTTCCTTATTCCATCTACATTTTGCATTCCCTATAATACATTTTGCAGAGCATTTTATAGGGACTCAATTTTCCTTATCCCAAAGATTTAACATTTATTATGCTTAAATCTTCTAAAGATTTTTTTGGCATAGACTTTTCCTTTATATTCATTTGTTCTGCTGCAGGGACAAAAAGCTAGGTGAGCAGCAGAAAAAAAAAATAAAATAAAAAAGAAAGAAAGAAAAAAAAAGAAACCCGCAAAGCTTAGAAATCTTTTTCCCTTTCCCTCATGGGTATAAATGAGAACCTTTTCATGACCAATCTTCTAAGAATTCACTTTTCTTTTCACTCTCACTTCACTGAACAAGGGTGGGGAGCATGGATTATGTGGTAAAGTAGAAATAAAAATAGTGCTAAACTAAGATATGTGCTTCTTGAGAAGCTTGAGGCACGGTTTATTTAAAAAAAGAAAGTTATCAAGTTGTCTCCCATCCCTGGGGATAATTTCTAAAGAGTCAAGAGCATTTGGATATACTGACGTGAGTTTAACATGTTTGGAAACAATAGATGTTCCTTATAGGTGACCCAAAATTGATCTTTCTGGCCTTAGGTTCTAGTCACTGGTGATCATGAGTCATCCATAATTACAGCTATTTCTTCTGCAGCCTATACTGTGTGGTAGGTGCTGGGCTGGCGTTCTGATTTCCAAACTCCATCTATGTGCACCAAGTGACAAGAGATACAGGCAGCCATTCCTTGAGCAAAGTCAACTCTTCCAGTCAATTACAGAAAATTGTTAGCAACATCCTAAAGGAAAAGTTGCCGTCAAATTTAAGTGTGTATGAGAATCACCAGAGGGCTTGTCAAAAATGCACCCATTTCCCTTTTCACTTTAATTTCAGTGAATAAGAGTGGGGAGCATGGAGTGTCTGAGCAAACAGGCAGGAAAAATAGTGCTGAACTAAGATCTGATATTCAATGGGTTACTGTGGAGCCTGGAAACCCACATTTAACAAGCTCTTCAGACAATTTTGCTGCTAGATGATCTGTAGGTTACCCTTTGAGAAAAAGTCCCCAAAACTACTTAAGTGGGCATAAGGGAATAGCATGGCTCATGCCTCGACAAGTCAGCTTGTTCTCAAAAGTTGGCAATAGTAGATATTAGATTGATGAATGGATGGGGGAAAAATGCATTAATGAACAAATGAATGGTTTTCTTCATTAACACTTAATGGAGGGAATACAAAATGAAAGACCCAATTCCTGCCCTAGAAGTGCTCAGGGTCTCTTGAATGAGGCATTTGCAACCACCACACCCCATGTTAAGTGTGTAAAGGAAGAGCCCAGGCAGGAGGCGAGGGGAGGGGAGGGTAGGGGAGAGCTGAGATTTATGGAGCAGTTAGACTGTGCAAAGCACTGAGGAGGCAGAAACTGTGAAGGCTCTGCCTTGTGGCACTGAGTCAGACCTCACAGGGGAGATGACATTTGAAGAATAGACAATAATTTACCTGGTAACTAAGGTAGGAATAGTCCAGGGAGAAGGAACAGTGCATGACAGGTTAAGTGAATACCAAAGCCCAGCCAGGCAAAAGGACCCAACACATTTCTAACACCACTTGCCCCAAGGCTGGCCGCAGACAAAGAAGTGGGGAACAGCATTTGCTAAAGTGGCCATCAAAACCGTAAATGTCTTCCCACATTCAATACTTCCTCTTTCTGTTTTAGTTTCAGTTCGCAGACATCATGTTATATTTCTCATACTGATGTTAGCAATAAGCAAATGACTGTGATTTATGCCTCAGTATTTTGAAGCAAGTGTGCATGTTAAATCTCAGTCGGGGTTCTTGGTACTATATCATTAAGGTGGACAATTAATTTGATTATCATTCAGACAGATTATTTTTCTGAACATATGTAACAAACCCTGTATGGTGACTACAAGTATTTCAATTAGTTTGCAGAAGCAAATACCACTCCCTTCTCCCCTTTGCTTTGTGGGTACCTTCCTCTTCTGCTGTAGGTTCGCTGCGTGGTGGTAACAGAGCTAGGGGGAAGGAGGTAAACAGATGAACTCAAGGACATCCATTATACCCATACTTAACAGATACCTTTGCTGTATGTGCTGTACACCTGAAAGAAACTTTAACATGAGGTGACAAATTATCTTTCTAGAAAATGTACAGCACTGTACCTTGTTTTCAATTATTAGTTGTTCAATTTGCTAGATTTTGTTTATAAATTTTATCATCTGGGCAAACTGGCAGTAAAAATAGTGCTGAACTAAGATCATCTAAGTCAATCAGCCTTTTGAAATACATGTATAAGGGAAAATTACAACTGTTGAGCTAAGAACAGATGAATATTTTTTAAAAATGCATCTCTTTGCTCAGTCACTCACTGGATAGTAATAGGACCAGAAGAATCATAAGAGGTCACCTAAGTGCCAACCAGTGCCTGCCCATGACCAGTTAAGTATAGAAATTGAGAGTAAGCTTAGCAATATTTATAGCAATTTGACAGAAATACTTTGTCTGTTAAGTCTAAAAATAAATTTAAAACTGTGGCTTATTTAAAATTTTTTTTCATTTTGTTTTTCTAGCAAGTCATTTTATTGTATTTTATAAAAGCATGAGAACATAATAGATTAGAAAATAAAACCAGCCGTTCCATAAGAACCAATGATACAAGATGCCCTCATCTAAGATGATCTCTGGCATTCTACAGACCTATAATGATTATAATTACAGTATTAGTTACAGTTGTGCAGTGCTTTATGTTTTTCAAGCATTCTCTTGGTCTTATAGCAGCTCTGTTAGTTATTAATCTCCATTTTACAGGAGAAGAAATTCATCTCCAGGGAGGGTGAGTGAATCACCCAGGGTCACACAGCAAGTCTGAGGCAGATGGAGGATCAGAGCCCATAAACCCACTTACTCCAAGAAACGATTTTCCTATCTTCCCATAACCCAAAACCATCACTTAAAAAGCGAAATTACAGAAAATTTAAGAAAATCTAACAACATAGGAACACATGATTTTACATTTTTTTAGGGTAGGGTTCAATGTAGTGTTTAAAAATTCTTTTTTCTTTATATGTGAGTAACCCACATACCCCCTTTTCTGCATTATACATATGGAAACATAGAGACCTAAAAACAGAAATGCTGTTTAGCAGCAGAGTCAATGCTGTACAGATGCTAAGTCTCCTGGCCCAATGTCCTTTCCACTTGTCAGCACTTTCATGAATTTATTCAACACATATTTATTGAAGATCCGTGATGCACCAAGGGCTCTCCTCAGAATTGAGGATACAAACAAACAAAAATCCCAGCCCTCCTGCAGCTTGCATTTTAGTGGGGACAGATAATAAATATAAAAAATAACTAAATTAGACATTATGTTAGACAGTAATAAGTACTACGGAGATGAAAGTATGAGGAAGAGGAGCATGAGAGCAAGAAAGCAACAATTCTAAGTAATCACAGTAGACTTAGTATGACTAAGTACTATGTAGTATGTACTTAGTACTATGACTACATAGACTTACTACTATGACTAAGTACTACATAGTAGACTTAGTATGACTAACTACTATGACATAGTAGACTTAGTATGACATAGTAGACTTAGTATACAAAATTACCCATATGCTTGAATATACATATTTATATTACATATATACATGTTTAATTTACTTATCCAAAATTTCTCAAAAATGTCATCACTTTTGGCCAATGATGAAATGCATTAGGAGCAAAATCATAGTTAACTAACCTCCACAGAAGATAAAGCCTGTGAGTCAAGAGACTGAATATTTAAATGTCCTGGAGAAGTTGTCTTCTTGCCATCATCGTGACTTAAGGGGCAGAAATTAAGGAGAGCAGATGCACCTTTTATGATTAATTAATGAGTGTTTATCTTGGGCCCTTAATATGCCCAGATCTGTGCTTGATTTGTGAGGAAAAGAAAAAGAAGATATTTGATCTTCTCTTTGGAAAGTTTACCGTCTAGCTTGGATGATAAAAAATAACATACTTAAAGCATCTCAGGAGCCACTTGGGATTCAGGTAAGCAGTATTGGCAGCTACACAGCATGGTATATTGTGCAGGTTGTTTACAGAAGCCCTCGGTGCAGATCTCTTTATTGAGCTGTGTACTTTTTATGGTACCCAAGAATTTTCCTGCTTAGGAATTCTACTCTCCATCAAGTAATAATGTAACATGGCATAATATCATCCTTTCTATTATAGCTAACTTATAGTGGGGGAAAAAGTATCTCTCATGGATAAGAACTAAGACTAAACATAGATGAATAAGAGACGTCAAGAAAATTAAAATATAGCATTCCTTTAATGTATTTGGTATTATTTCAATTAACAAATAAAAAGGTGTGTTTTTAGTAAATTTGAAGCATTTTTTGTTCTTCTGGCTGAGAGAGTGTCAACCTTGAATATTCGTGTTGTTTAAAGTGATGCTTGTGTTCTGGACTTGTGCTACATGCCAAAAGAGAATAGTGACTTACTTATTGCAGATTTATGAAGAAGGTCTATAAAATTTTATTTCGTCTTACTTAAAACAAGAGTCAGGGAATTCATCCCACCGGATGGTAGTAACAGCCTTTTATTACATCAAAGTTGGTGGTAGCTTACAGAGGAAAAATTGGCCTTCCATGGTGTGTAACTTTATGACCTAAATGAAATGAGATAGATGATCCTCCCCCGGGTGAATTTTTATATTGTTTTACAAAAGAATAGAGAGAATGAAAAGAAGAAAGAAAGGGAAGCACTAGTCAAGCTCATCTGACTGCACAGGTGCATCTGTGCTGCTGAGTGAGGTGGTACCAGATACACTTGGAACTGCACCTTGAGTCCAGCTCACAAAATGGCCATCTCTATCTTGACGTTAAATTTATTATAACTCCCTGGATTATATGTGTAAAAAGTCAACTGCTGGTGGGGGGGAACATGATGAAGCTATGGTGCTATAGTTTGGATGTCTGTTCCCTCAAACCTCACATTTAAGTTTGGTTCTCAGCATTGGGGGTGGGGCCTAATGGGAGGTGTTTGGGTCACCAGGGCAGATACTCCCTGAATAGATTAGCGTCCTCCATAGGTGGAGAAGTGAATGAGGTGTGTTTGTTTGTTTGTTTGTTTGTTTTAGACCGAGTTTCGTTCTTGTTGCCCAGGCTGGAGTGCAATGGCGTGATCTTGGCTCACCACAACCTCCACCTCCCCCATTCAAGCGATTCTCCTGCCTTAGCCTCCCTAGTAGCTGGAATTACAGGCATGCGCCACCACACCCAGCTAACTTTGTATTTTTAGTAGAGATGTGGTTTCTCCATGTTGGTCAGGCTGGTCTCGAACTCCCAACCTCAGGTGATCTGCCTGCCTCAGCCTCCCAAAGTGCTGGGATTACAGGCGTGAGCCACTGTGCCCAGCTGTGAGTTCTTACTCTATTTCCTGAGAGAGGTGGTTATTACCAAGTGCCTGGCACCCCTTCCCCACCACCTGCTCTCCTGCCATGTGATCTCTGCGCATGTCAGCTCTCCTTCCCCTTCCACAATGAATGGAAGCAGCCTGAGGCTTGGCCCAGATGCCAGTCTTCCAGCCAGCAGCACTGTGAGCCAAATAACCCTTTTTCTTTCAAAATTACCCAGTCTCAGGTGTTCCCTCAGAGCAACACCAGTGGACTAAGACACGGCTACAGCTAATGTTTGAGAAATGAGTCATTCTAAATAGCTACACTAAAGTTGAGGTATAAAACCTCAATTTTAAGCATCTAAAACTATTTTTATTATTTTAATGTTGACAGAATCTCATTTCCTTAATCAGGGAAAGCCTGTGCTTTCCTACTATTATGTCTCTACTTCCAAGGCATTTAACTCACTATCTAGAAATTACTTATTTTCACATCTGTCTGCCACCCCAATAGATCTTACATACACTGTCTAGGAGCAGACACTGTCCTTCATTCTACTTTGCTTCACACAGAGGAGGTGATCAATACCCTTCATAGAATAAATCAACAGTGGCTTTGCCATTACTACTGCAGCATCTTGGAAAGGATTCCCTCCATGAGGAATGAAAGACATCATTATGAACATTCATTATTGGGTTAGACTACAACACAGTAATTCCATCTTCTGTCGGGTCCCACTGAGGATTCTGAAAACTGTCTGCCTCTATATTAAATGGTCCCAGATGCTATGGGTTTCTAAATTCCTATTCTAAATTTTGGAGTTTTAGCTATTTCTAATCTGCTGGGTAAAGCAGATAATCACACTTTTTTTTTCCAGATGCCTTGGCATAGAAATGGGTTTCCAGTGAGAGTACCAGGAATAAAAAAGGTCCACTGAGTAAAAATAGGAGTTTTAATCAAAGGTTTTTTAAACTCACTTCTGGCAACTCAAAACAACCCCCTTCCGCTTTTTTTTAACCTTATATTTTAGTTGTCAGTTATGTATCAGAAAGATAAGGTTGCTGACTGTATAGCTGAAATGTTATATTTTCCAATCCTAAAAACTCCTGTAGTTCTAGTAGGTTTACAGGTTCCTGGTAATTGAATCCCTAAGCAGGCAAATGTTTTCTGGAATTCATGGATTCTACAAACTTGTAAGCTACTGAAGTACTAAAAGTTCTTTGCAGTGTGATACAACATTTGGCCATACCCTAGCTATCACAAGTCTTAAGTCTCTTCACAAAATAAAAATTGACCTTTGAGGGTGTAGGTGTTTAATATTTCTAAAATATTTAAAACTCCTTAGGTAAAACTTTTTTGGTTGAAATATTGGGGGGTTTTGTTACATTTATCACATTAAAAAAGAACACGACTTGCAACATTGCACGTTTTAAGCCTCTTACAGTTTTCATATGCATTATCTAATTTGATTTTCATAATAATTCATAAATATAGGCTTTTGTGAGATCTTTATCAATTAATCTGTAATGCTGAACTCTCAAATTTCATTTGGTTCTAAAACTGACCTCCTAAATTCTCTTATCCTACATATTATTCATTTCTTGTGTAAATGTCAGGGGCCAGAGAAAAATAAACTCACATTCTGCCGCTTGGTATAAAGTAAGGAATCTAAACCAACATCATTAGTGTGGACAGTATTTGTGGTAAGCACTGCAAATACTGAGAATGTTTTTTAAAGTTAGAAGGAAAGGGCTTTTACTTCCCTTATGGCCTTCCTCTGACCATTTTAAATTTCCTTAGACTTTATTAAAGTACATCAGTTACATAGTTAAGAAAATTTAAATTAATGTTTGTAATATGAATATGGTATTATATCTCCAAGATATACACTAAAGAACTGGACATTACATAAATCCTTATTCTTTTTTATAACAAGTGTTTGATTTTTTAAAAGATTAGCAGGTGGTATGAGTTAAAGTAGGATTTGTATTTCTTAATTTTTGATGTGAAATTAATCTGAGTAGCTAGCATATCTGATTTTAGACATGCCTTAATTATAATTTAAAATAATTTGTTATACAAATTAGTCTAGAAAAATTTGAATGCTACTTGAAGATTTATAATGTTGCCCCTTCCCTCTTCCCTCACACACATCAATTTTTCATAATTCCCTTTTCCAATTTCATTTCCAACAGTGAAACAAAGCAGAGACGTTGTAAAAAAATCTCTTCCTGCATAGTTATATTTTTACCTAAAGATTATCTATTAATTTTTCCTTTATACAATGCTAAATTACCTTGAAAAACTGTGGGATTATAGATGAGGCTTATGAGAATATACGATGAATATATTAGGGCGCAAACAGGTAAAATCAATTCCTAATTCTTATGTCCATCTGTGGTATGACTTAGAGGTGCATCTGGGATTATAAAGTAATTTCAGACAGGAAGAGAGAAATAAGAAAATGAGTCTATTGTATGCCTTAGTATAAAGGGCTTCTCTAGCCTTTTTACAAAAGGTGCACACTTTTAAAACATTTCCTCTCATGTAAAGGGAACATCCTAAAAGAGTTTGCCAATTCTTAAGAAAGTAAGAAGAGAAGCACGGCAAGTTCCTTTAAAAATGTTTTACGTGTTCTCTACAATAGCTGACACGGGAAAATGAGTAAGAGCCCAAATGCTTTGAACCCAAAAGAGATGAAACCAGCACGAAAGGAAGTCAAGTAAGATCCTAAGGAAGTCAGATTTCATACTAAGAGAAATTAAACTCACTCACTGTATATGTTTTCTATGGTGGCTGTAACAAATTATTATTTCGTGGCTTGAGATAACACAGATTTATTATCTCACAGACCTGTACTTCACAAGTCTAAAATGGTTCTCACTGGTCTAAAATCAAGGGGTCAGCAGAGCTTCGTTTATTTCTGGAGGTCCTGTGGGAGAATCTGTTTCCTTGACTTTCCCAATCTCTAGATGCTGCTGGTATTCCTTGGCTCATGGTCCCTTCTGCCTTCAAAGTCTACAATGGCCAGTCAAGTCTTTCTCACCTTGAATCATTCTATGACTCTTCTGCCCTCCTCTTCTACATTTAAAGAACCTGCATTAGTTTCCTGGGGCTGCCTAACAAAGTACCACAAACTGGGTGGCTTAAACAACAGAAATATATTGTCTTACAATTTTGGAGGTTAGAAGTCCAACCTCCAGACTTCTGGGTGTAGGCAGAGCTGGTTCTTCCTGAGGGCTGTGAGAGAAGGATCTGTTCCAGGTCTCTCTCTTTGGCTTGTAGATGGCCGTCTTCTCTTTGTGTTTTGTATCATTTCCCCTCTTGTCTTGTACTTGTCTGTGTCCAAATGTCCTCTTCTTATAAGGACACCAGTCATATTTGATTAGGACTTACTCTGATGACCTCATTTTAACCTGATCACCTGTGCCAAGAACCTATCTTCAAATAAGGTCACACTCTGAAGTACTGGGGGTTGGGACTTCAACATATGAATTTTTTGGAAGACACAATCTAACCCATAACAGGACCCTTGTGATTACATTGGGCCTGCTTGGATAATCCAGGATAATCTTATTTTAAGGTCGGCTGATTAACAACCTTGACTCCATCTGCTGCTTTAATCGCCCCTTTGCCATATGACATAACATATTCACAGGTTCTGGGAATAAGGATGTGGACACCTAGGGGGAGGGGGAATTATTTTACTGATCATACTCACTGTCTCCTTTTCTTTTCTTCTTTTTATTTAATTTCAAGTGTTTATTAGGAAATCTACAGTATGATGGTGCCTTAGATATTTTAGATAATTGATAAAAGGAGACTGTTGGAAGGACTGCTGGGTCGGGGGTGGGGGGCAACAACTACTAAATGTAACAGACTGACAACATATGTTTGGGGGTAAATAGATATTTTTACAAATCACAAAAACAGATGTAATATACATAATATTTTAAGAGATTAAAAACAAAAATTTTTGGACATTAGAAGACTGTTTTACACTGATACTATTATGTCTAAATATCATATAATGTTGAAAAAAACTGTATGGTGCTAACATTACATACCTTATCTCCCATTAAACACAATTAGTAACCAATTGCATCAAAGTAAAAGTACACTATTTAATAAAAAATCACTTTCAAAGACATGCTTGTGAAGAAGAAGACAGACATTTTCTCAAATGTCAAAAACAAAACAAAATCTATAAGCTGTAGAGGTCATATAAAGCCAGGCTGGAATAAAGTAAAATAGAAACTAGTTCTTTTTCAAAAAAAAAAAAAAAAAGTTCCAAATAAGTTGGGGAGTTCTATAAATCATGCTTTCCCATTCTACTAGTCACATGAAAAAGCTGTGCCTTGCATGTAGTAATTTAAAAACCTAGTTTCTGATAAATGATATTTTACCGAAAATAAGTCATAAGATACAGATAACTTGTAGGACCTGGAAATGTTCTATAGAAACTGGGATTTGGGATTTGGGTTCAAACAAACCACCAAGAGGAAAAAGAGAAGCAGCACCACTTATTATGTAGGTCTACTCTGCATCCGGTGGATATGTATATTTCAAATAAGGCTACAAAGTAGAGAAGGAAGACTTACAAATGTGAAACTGAGGTTCAGAAAACTTGCGTGATTTATCCGAGGTCAAATACTTGTAGGGGTGGAATTGGAATATAAAGTCAGGTTTGTCTGACTGCAAGGCCCATATTCACTCCATGCAGCTTCCCTGGATCAGAACAAAATATCCAGGATAGGTTTTTAATCCCTTTAATTGTATGACAGACTTTTAATGGGAGTCTATAACTCGAAGCATAATATATATTCAAACTAAATAATCTAAAAATACCCAGCTTGAATGTTGATTACTATATACTGAGCATCATAGTTTTAGGCAATGTATTTTAAAAGAGGTGTATATTCCATGTTTATATTGTCATTTCCTATCATTTGACCCAGGAGTCTTGTTACTGGGTATATATCCAAAGGAATATAAATCATTCTGTGGTAAAAACACATGCACACGTATGTTCATTGGAGCACTATTCACAATAGGAAAGACATGGAATCAACCTAAATGTTCATCAGTCATAGACTGGATATGGAAGATGTGGAACATATACACCATGAAATACTATGCCATAAAAAAGAATGAGATCATTGTCCTTTGTAGGAACATGGATGGAGCTGGAGGCCATTATCCTTAGCAAACGAATGCAGGAACAGAAAACCAAATACCACATGTCCTCACTTGTAAGTGGGAGCTAACTGACAAGAACACATGGACACACAGACGGGAACAACACACACTGGGGTCTAACGGAGGGTGGAAGGTGGGAGGAGGGAGAGGATCACGAAAAATAACTAATGGGTACCAGGCTTAATACTTGGATGATGAAACAATCTGTACAACAAAGCCCCATGACACAAGTTTACCTATGTAACAAACCTGCACATGTGCCTCTCAACTTAAAAATAAAAGTTAGATAAAAATAAAGTAAAATAAATTTCCAAGAGTTGTCCTTTAATTGTGACTAAAAATTGCTGCTCTCACGAAGAGAGTTAAAACTTCATGGGGTGCTTTTTCTGTTGTTTTGTCCATGTGATTTTCTTAGTAAGTCCTTTGTGCTAAGGAAATGAAACAATATCAAGTTTCCCATCTTGGGGCATAGGGTATGGTGCTTACAAAGACACTATCCTAAGTTCATAGGATGCTTGCTGCCTGACATGTCCTTTTCCAAAAGGCATTTCAGGTGTAATTTAATAACTTAGATAGCTTAAAAGTGAATATATCTATGCTTTAGGTCCAGGTAAGTCTAAAAGCTACTGGATATAGAATAGTTTTCATAATTGATATTTTAAATGATCACCATATTACTTCTCCTATATTAACATTTTTTTCTTTTCAACAAATAAAAATTGTATGTATTTAAGGTGTACAATGTGATGTTTGGTAAACACATACATTGTGAATAATCACCACAAACTGATTAAAACAACTCATCACCTCACAAAGTTATTATTTTCATGTTTTTTTCTCTTTTGTTTTGTGGTGATAGCACTTAAAATGTACCCTCCGCAAATTTCAAGTATACAACACAGGATTATTAACTGTAGTCTGATTGCTGTAAACTGGATCTCCAGAATTTATTCATTTTGCATAACTGAGACTTGGTGAAAGAGTACAAAGTCTCAGTATTAATATTTTCTTTGCAATATTGGCTCTTTCAATAATAGATCAACATCAAAACTATCTTTTTTGAAAAGTATTCAGTGACAAATCAATTTTTAAGTCAAAAACCACAATCAGGACATTCTTTTTAAATAGTGATGGCATTTTCTCCAACTATAAAAAAGTTAGACTAGGCATGTAGCCCCTGAAATAGTTATTGATGGTAATAAAATCTATGTTACTGAACAACAAAGGAACATTTTTAATACAACTCTTTGTTGATGGGGCCATGATCTCAGATCAGAGCTTCTGGATTAAGAATGAATTTTACCAACAAGAAATATTCTTTTAAAAGAGAGATTATCTTCCCTTGCATTTGTGTTTTCTAGGTTTTAAAAGGGGCAGAGAGGATTAGTAACCTGTAATTAACCTGCTGTATTTTCAAACTTCTCATTCATCAGAGCGCTTTCACTTGTACCTGATGAGACAGAGCAGCAGGGTAATATTTTTTCATTAGTGCTGGTTGACTTGTTTTTGGTTTCTGTTTCCTACTGAACAAAAAATTAACTGGTGATGATGAAATGGTATCTGTCTTGAATTGTCCCTTGTTATAGGTGCTGTATAGTGAATCACTACAATCTTCTTTGAGGTTGTTATCCATGTATTGAAACATGATATTGAGTGAATTAAAGAGGCCGGACTCCAGAAAATGAGGTCACACATATTTTGGAATCCATCTATATGCATGGATATAAAATATGCATTGTCTTAGATATAAGGAGAAAAATCTTTTAAATAAAACTAAAGAGAAAAATGAGGTATTTTCTTTCCAAAAATATTCATGCCCTCTGTGTCACTACACAATAATGACTGACAGCTGCCCAGAGGGTTTGGTCTCAAGAAAGGCTAATAAATGGCCAAAAGAAAAGTAGCTCATTAGGAGTTAGAGAACAATGATTTTTCATATCCTACAGCTAAATTTGTGACAAATATGATTATTGGCCTTATATTTTCCAAATGGTCTTCCTTCTTTCATTCATTACGGTATAGGAAAATACATGCCGCACTGCAAGTCAGCATCTCTTATAGATGACTCCAGTAGAGGACTGCTAGGTAGCAGGTAAATACCTTGATTACTCAGAAATGTACTAACTTCGAAAACAATATTTTAAATGCAGTCATTTCTCCCTCATACTTTAAGGTTATGTTCTTAAATATCCCTGTGAGAGTTAAATTGCAAGTTGAAGAAACTATCACTGTAGTAAAAACATGAGATTGGAGTTTATAGTCAGGAAAGAACCTATAGGAACCCTTCTACTTTTCACTCACACAATATGTGTGTATGTAAATAGTGCACACTAAATAAAAGTTATTTTTAAAGTTTTATGCATTTTCAAATTTGAAATAATGGGTACTATACTATTAATTTATATTTGTCTTTCCTAGCTCTCTAGAAGTTTTTCAGGATTTCTTCTCCCCACAATTTTACTAAATTCATTTCATTTTGTCCTAAATTTCATTTTGTTCTGTTGCACAGAATACCCATGCTAAAATATCTTCTGTGTCTATTGATCCTTTCAAATGCTCAACTCATTTTTAAGTTTGATAATGCCTTATCAATAAAAGAAAAATATTTATTATAAAGTAACGGGTATTTCAGCATGTAAATACTCAGGAAATACTTTATCAGAAGACAAAAAATATTCCTAGAAATTATTTAAATTCTCCCTAGGGAGCAATATCTACCCCAGTAAGAACCTCTAATTCTGACCAGAGGTCAGTCAACTGTGGCCCACTGGTGGTTTAACTAGAACCCACAAGCTTAAGAATGGATTTTCATCTTTAAATGGTTGGGAAAAAAATCAAAAGAAGAGTATTCTGTGACATTAAAAATTCTATAAAATTCAATTTCAGGTTCTGTAAATAAAGCTTTATTGGAAAACAGCTACGCTTGTTGATTTATGGATTGTCTATGTCTGCTTTTGTTCTGTAACTGCAGAGTTGAGTAGGTGTGACAGAGACTGAATGGTGCACAAAGCCTAAGGTATTTCCTCTCTGGCCCCTTATAGAAAATGTTTGCAGACCCCTAATTTAGACTAAAACTTCCCCCAGTATATCATCAAGTTGTATATTCTCTGTCCATGATAATCGTATGACAAAGCCTATGCTATGAACGACCTCTCACTGATAGAACGTAATTCTTCCAGTACACTCTAGGGACCAAAAGGAGGCTGAATGGACAAGTACAAGAATGTTTGGACCATCTCTAGACTCTGTGGGCTCATGGTTAACTGATGGTGAGATTATTTCCTTGCTAGTAATGCTGGCCTCAGTTTTGCCTTTCGTTTTTCTTATGCAAAGTTGTCTTACACAGATGGCATGTGAATGCATGATTTAGAATAAATGACAGATGAAAAAAAAAAAGAATGTAATTCTAAGGCAGGATTTTACTTTGTCTTCTTATATTTTCCCCCTACCCCACCCCCATCTCAATGTATCTAACTTTTCTACTTTGGGGTTTTGTTTTGTTGTCTTGTTTTAATTCTCTCCAATAAGAGTGACTTTTATTGTGCATAAAACCCACAGATTGCTGACCCTATTCAATAATAGATTATATGTATTTTATATCCCCTAATGACTATTACCCGAGACTACTTCACCTAACTGCCAGAAATGCATCTTCAGCAGATTTCAAACTATTGTTCAGGCCACTGCCCTCCATCTTCCCTCATGGCACTGCCCCAACACCCACTCTGATTTTGAGTTGTTGACTATCTTCTCCAGCGCTCCTTCCAAAGCATGGGACACACCTTAATTCCCCACCATATGTGTGTATGGGACCAAGTCTTTAATGAAGGCTCAGGGATGACAGAAGAAAGTATAACACAAAACATAACTAACAACTACTGCTAGAATGGCTACTTTAAAACCTGCCCAAAACCACTCATTTCCAGGAAATCACCACCTGCCTCCTTCTTGCCTTGGCATCTGGGACCAACTGAGACCCCACCAGATGTGGAGGAAGTTGTCCTTTCCAATACAGCACCCACTTCACATTTTATGTCATGTCTGGGAAGATCAACTTTCTCCCCAGATATTTATCTTCTCAAGGGAAACAAGTTCCTCAAAGACAAGGGACTGAGTTGGCACCATGGCTCAGATAACAAAAGCCCAAGTCTTTCAATACAGTTTTCCCAAAGTCTGAATTGTCTTCGACGCTTTGTCAGTCTTTTCTGTAAGATTGAGTGACAAGGAAATCAGGTATGCTCTTCTCTCTGAGTCTCTCATGATCGTATCTAAATCAATTCACAATTTTCAGGCATACAACAGTCTGTATTCAAATTCAGAGTGTGTGTATATTGGGGCAGGAAGGGAAGGGGAAAGATTTTTCACCCTTGGTAGCCATATACCCAGTCTCCATCATTAAACATAACTCTTAACACCTCCGTATGAAACGCCTTAATTGAGTTGTCTTGTCAACACTTTCTGAGAGTAGTGAGTAGGTGCATAACTAACTACACCTACCATCATAGGGGCTTCTCCAAAATTTAAAGAAACAATCTTCCCCAAATGAGGGGAAATTTCTGTAACTCTTTAAAAGGTCATTTTTCCATCTAAAAACAAAAAACAAAGTACAACTCCAGGTCCAGTCTTTTGAATGGAAACTGTAACCAAAATTATTACCATTTACAAAAGAGTATATAGAAACAAATTTGTGCACATTACTTTCCCCAAAAATGAAAATTATTCTATTAGAGAGAAATATTTTTGTATTCTGCCCATGTTTGTTTTTCAAAACATTAGGATGAGATCGACTAGCATTTTGCACAGAATTATCTACTCATCTTTTTCAAAACTTATATGAAATTTTTATGTTTAAAATGCTTAAACCATTTTTAAACACTTTCAGAGTTTTTAGATTCTTATGGACTTGAATACCTTGGCTTCCAGTTGTGTGTTAAAGAGCTAATTTTGTCCTTGCAGTTTCAGATACAGGTCACTAGATGCACCTGTCTACACAAAGCAAGCACAACCAGAAGACACAGTCTTAGAGCATTTTGTAAAGGGTGTTTCTTTCCTGGCTATCTACCCTGGGCACAACCTCTTATTTTATCATTTGTCAGTTTCCTCACCCAATTTACATGTCTTTAGCAATCTCTAAAGAGGTTATTTTATTGTGGGTGTTTATAAGGACAGCAAAAAGATTAGATTAGTTGAAAGTTACTGAACTCATAGTGCAGGGTAAATCTTACAGAATTTACTAAAAAGTATTTAGAAATGTACATCAATCAAGTAATATATAATGTGAATCTGGTTTTAATTCCCATCCCTATTCATCAGAGAGGCTAAGGGACATGTCTCATTGAGCGCCGCTCTTCATCTGGGGTTCCGTCCAGGCCAGTCCACACTGGACCAGTCACTTCCTAGCATTAGAACTGATATAGCGGTAGCAGATAATCTCCAGGATTTATCTATGGTTACTGATAGTTCATAATTGAAGTATTCACAGAAGTGTTTAAAAGCTCTAACTTTGTTCTTACAACTACTGAAGCATTTCATGCAGCGCTGAATTCTGCAGGGTTCATCCTTCCACAGACCCTACAAATTTCTGCTCTAGTTGGAAATGCCTGGGAGTGGCTTTTTTCTCTCTCTTGGCTTATACAGACGATCTTAGATTTTAGTGAAAAGAAAGTTGCCATGCTGAATGCAGTGAAAAACAATCCTTCGTGCTACTTCGTGCTACTTCCACCCTCCCTTCGTCCATCTCACAGACTTCCTGTAGGTCACTGAACAAGGAAGCCGTTTCATTCTTCAGTATTTTGTATGTGCTATTCTCCACCTGGAATGCTTCCTTATCTTCCCCTTCCATCCATCTAGTCAACTCCTTCTTCATCCTTTAAAGACCAACTCAAGTGTCACCCATTACCCCGTTCCCTCCCTAGGAGGTACTATTCATTCATTTAATAACAAACTTTAATTAACAGGATACCATATGCCAGACACTGCCCTTAAATTTTTTTTCTCACTTTTAATAATATCAGGAACCAGAACAACCATTTCACTACTACTGTCTTTAATCTCTTACATTTTCCAGGGCTTATCTTGTGTAAAAGAAAAAAGTTAAGTATCCAACTGCATTATCCTTCCACCACCATCTTTCTTTGTATAGACTTAATTATTTAAGTTTTATTTAAGATTCAATGATTAAAATTTAATTATCAACATTTAAAATAACACCTAATAGTAACCTAATAGTACATTGACTGCTTAAAATATATGAATTATTGCATTTATTAACAAAATAACTTCATCTATAATTCTCAGAAAGGTTATTTATTCATTTTTGCAGAGAATATTATAGAATTTGAGCCCCCTAGTAGTCTAGTGACTAGGATTTTGTTCCTTATCCTGATTTTCATATCAAATGTATGAAAGATACAAAGCAGCACTACTAAAATCACTTAAGGCAGCATTTCTACAAACCAACAAATCCCTTAATTTAAAAAAAGGAATTAGGGTTATATATTTTTGTTGAATTTTTACATGTACATTTTTAGGAATTTTGGTTCACATTTTGATACAAAATTTACCTATCTTGCTATTTTTTAGAGAGTTACTTTTCTCCAAACTACTAGTAGTACTGTTCACATTATCTAAGAGAGATTTCTAGCATTAAATATGGAACATAAATGGAGAGCTTCTTAGATGCTGATTCTTTTGAAAACTGAAGTTTTCCAATTTGATATTTCCTTCAAAAAAGTTGCCTTTTATTGGACTTATCATTAGTTATTCTAAATTATTATTAAAAACACATACAATGTATATGTGAGACACACAAAGAGAAAATAAAAAGAGAAAATAAAAATAAACATATTAAAAACCTTAAGCCCTAAACTTTGATGGGATTATTGATGAGAAAAGGTACTCTGAAGACAGTTTCTTTATGAGTAAAATAAGTTTAGCATGTGTGTGTATTTGGAGGTATAACTTTAAGTTATTCACAAGATTCTTCTTATAACTTGTGAGCTATCTGAGGGTGTAACAGCTTTCACAAGGTCAGGAATCAGGGAGATAATGGCTAGGAATAGGTGCGTATGCAGGCAGAGTTGGTTATGTGTGGAGGGGAGGTATCAGAGGAGACAATGAGGTAAACTGAAGGATTCTTCTGCTGTTTCATTAAGAAGGATAAGTAGCTGTATTAGCTAGGCTCAATAAAGGCTTAGCTGATACGACCAGAAAAGTAGAGAATAATTTATTCTTCTTTCATGACAGAAAGTGAGGCAGCTCTGCTCCATGAGGTCATTCAGGGACATGAGTCCCACCCAGCTTGGAGCCCTTAGAATTTACACGGTCAAAACTGATTCATCCCCATTGCCTTTTCCTCACCAGAAAAGTGAGAAAAGTAAGTCTGAACCAGGTAATTTCCTTCTGGGCAATTTGTTGTAGAGGTTGTACTTAGTACACCCATTCACATTTCACTGGAGAAACAGAATTTCATGACCATATTTAGCCACAAAGGAGTCTGGGAATTTGGCCTCTAGCTGGGCAGTCAAACCCCCAGATAAACCCTATTACAATGGAACAGGGGAGAACAACAGGGAGAAAACCAGGAGGCAGCCTCAGTAGAACTGAAACATTAGACCTGGCCACATAAGTTTCCATTACTTGTATCTTGTTCAGGTTTCATCAGACACGCGAAGCCTCATAAGTGGCCAGCCTCTTAGCCTTCCTTCAGATTGTCCACCGAGAGCCCAATCCACTTTGAGTTTTTACTTGGCCGCATTGTTAAGTCTTTGGTGACCACTTCAGAAATATATTTTATTTCTTAAATTAAAATGAACTAAAATTAATATTTTTAAATATTTTACAACCAGCGCACACATCCCTTTTTTTAGTAAATGGAGTTTATTTGGCTGTCACCAAATCAAGATTAGGGATTCCTACCTCAGCAGCTCATTTGCACATTCTATCATGGGTTTCTTAATATTACGATATATCTGTTTTTTACATTGTGGGCCTACATCTTGAGGGAAGAAATTATGTATTGGATCTATGTTACGGTTCACTCCACAGACCTGCACATATTGGGCCACTTACTAACTCTTATACTAATTAGACTGGTTCACATTCTGACAACTAATGACTTATTTACTTCACATTTTTGAAATGTCAGGACTTTAAGGAAGGGTCCACCCAAGCAGGAGAAATCTATACCTTTCTTAAGCTGAGAAAGTCTGTGGGGGACCCAGGAGTTCCTTTGATGTCCCCGTTTTCCTAGTAGATTCCCAAGGGTCAACAGGGCTCTGTTCACATCAGAAATGGCTAAAATACTGAAGAACAGATTGCTCACTATTGGCTCATTCTACCCCAGGAGCAGATTAAATACTTGTATGGGCATTCTAAATTAAATTTTAATATAATAGGTGTATGAAACACCTTCATTTTCAAAATTCTGTGGACTTTCATCAGCTGATGTATTTGCCATGGTACTCTAGTGAAACAGAACCAATGGTAGACGTGTATCTGAGCCTGAGAAGTCTCAAGATCTGCAGGTAGCAAACTAGAGACCCAGAAGACT
Source organism: Homo sapiens (assembly GCF_000001405.40). NCBI lineage: Eukaryota > Metazoa > Chordata > Mammalia > Primates > Hominidae > Homo > Homo sapiens. Next base: position 61,378,341 of record NC_000018.10, read on the forward strand.
AATGGTGAAAGTTCCAGTCCAAGTTCAGGTCCAAAGGTGGGAGAAGACTGATGTCCCAGCTCAAAGACAGGCAGAATGAGCAAACTTCCCCCTTACACAGCCTTTTTATTCTATTCAGGCATCCAACGGATTAGATGATGCCTGCTCGCGTTGGACAGAGCAAGCTGCTGTACTCAGTCTACGGGCTCAGATTTTAATCTCATCCAGAAACATCCTCTTTACTCAGTCTACTGGCTCATATTTTAATCTCATCCAGAAACACCCTCATGAAGACATCCAGAATAATGTTTGGCCAAATGTTTGGCATGCCACAGCCCAGTCAAGTTGACGTAAAATTAACCATTACGACTGGTGACTATTCTTTTTGTCTTAGTAAAAGCTCTGATTTAGATCAAATGTAACAAAACTTTCAGGTAGATAATAAGGGAAATAGTTCTGCTTTTTTCAAAATTAATTTCTAAAGAACTGGCATTTGGTGCTTCAGCTTAGATGTGACTTGGGGTGTATTTTAAGGAAACAACCACACTCTAAGCACAATTAATATGAGACACTCAGGGTTGTTTGCCAGGAATAGAATATATACTGCAAGTGATTTAAGAAAATATTATAATAAATTAAATGGTGGCCTTTTTCTCCCCTCTCGGTAGTTTTCGTATAGTATTAAAGACTTCCTGAGATTACTTAGATAAATATGATATAAAAATAAAATTTAAGAAGAAAATCTACAATTAGGTTTTTCCCCTTATAATTTTCAGGCTTTTAGGCTGTATCTCTTGAAATGATATATAAAAATGATAATGACTCAGATATGGTTAACACAGATAATCAGCTTAGATAATTACCGCAGAAGAGTGGCTCTCTTTATTTCAACTGGCTATTTTAATAGATCAGCTAAGCCTAATAATAATCAAGCAATTTCTCCTTAATTTGTGCTGGGCACATAAAATTTCAACAGCTGTGAAGCATTATTATGCTCCCTTCAAATTTTTCTTAGGGCTCTTTGAGAAACTTGTAATGTTGAAATATTAATCGCTTTATTGAGGATGCCAAACCTTAGAACATTAATAGAAAAGTCCCTTCCCAGGATTGCATTGACTTCTCTGGCTTTAAGATACAGAATATACAAACTTAGAGTCTTTTCTCTTTCTAGGCTCCACAATATAAAGCTTACTAGAGAAAAGGAAAGTCTATGGAATATTCTTTAGGGCCACATAGACAGAGTATCTATTATTAACTGATAATTTTTGGTATCGTGAGATAGTTCCCAGTATGAATCCCAAAGATAAAGTTTTAGTGGGCATTATGTAGCTAAGAAAACATCAGAAAGGGGCCTTGCCTGCAAAACTATGGGCTTGATATTTACATTTATTTCCTCATCTAGTGTCTTTGTATACAAAATAGTATTGTTGGAGTGTCCTGATGTAATTTGCTGACTGATCCAAGAGTTTCACATACATGAGATAACTATTACAATTGAGAAACCTGTCAAGAGGAGGAAAAGCAGAGAGGTAGGTCTTTGATGGTTTCATTTGGATTTTAACATCCTTAACCATTCAAAATTAGACTTCAGGCCTTATAGCTACTCTCCCTCAGCCACTGAACCAAGGCAATAAGCAAAGTGTTTCTAAGGACTGTCAGCTTGTAGTTGATACAGGCAAAGCATCCTTGTCAGGATTCTTAATGCAGGCAGACACGCGGATGTTTATTTTAGATCATTTGCTCTGACAAGACTGTCGATTTAGAGTTGCTGCGACTGTGGGTTAGGGAAGTACTGAAAGTGGCTGCAGGCAGATAAAACCCCCTGAAGGGGGCTTCAGGGGAGGAAGGCCAATATCCTGATGAAAAGTCTTCTTGAATTTATCCACAGTTAGCTTTGAGCTTGCAAAAACTAAAGTGAAATCAGTGTATTTTCAGGAGTTAATGCAACAAAGAAATAACCATGGCAATTTCCTGCATTTCATGAGACCGTGGAAAGAAAAGGGGAGGAGGTGAATTCAAACCGCACATATATATTATAAATACCATAGTAAAATTAAGTAAGAAACACTGGAAAGAGTGAAGTATATGAAAAACAGAGGACAAAGTATGGGTTGCTTTTGTGTTGTTGTTCACCCAAGTAGAAATTAAAGCCAGTCCATATTTTCATGTTTTAATTTCTGCAACTTTTGTTGTAAAAATTATCAAGACAACCGGGCACAGTGGCTCATGCCAGTAATCCCAGTAGTTTGGGAGGCTGAGGTGGGTGGATCACCTGAGGTTAGGAGTTCTATACCAGCCTGACCAACATGTTGAAATCCCGTCTCTACTAAAACTACAAAATTAGCCCAGCGTGGTGGCACATGCCTGTAATCCCAGCTACTTGGGAGGCTGAGGCAGGAGAATCGCTTGAACCCAGGAGGCAGAGATTGCAGTGAGCCGAGATCGTGCCACTGCACTCCAGCCTGGACAACAAGAGCGACACTCCATCTCAAAACAAAACAAAAAAAAGACTCAAGATTTAGAAAAAAGTCAGCACAGAAATACTTCTTGGTCAGTTGGTAGCATATATTGCTGAAGTAATATAAACGGCTTCTGATTTTGAAAAGCAGTTATTTTGCAGAAAGCATATAGCCATACTTTTAGTGTGATGAACAATGTGTTTACTATAAAATGCTAATTAGCCCTTCAAATTATTAATGTAATTATTGTTCATCTAACGACATAAATCTGCCAGCCCCTAAGGACAGGGGTGTTTCTCATATTAAAGAAGCATGCTAAAGCACTTTTGTGCTTACCTATGTGCTTATTTTAAACTAAATCACACTTAAAGAAGAAATTTAAATATCACCAAGTTGTCAGTCATTTGAAGAGGACAAAGATGCTTGGAGCTAAGAAAAAAGATTCTGAAACACACTGAAACTTGTAATTATAAGTAAGACATTATTTTTAGGCCTAACAAGCAGATTTAAAGGTATGTACTGTGAATTTCTCATTTAATCTCTGATCAGGCATTTTACTTGGGTACTCACTGAAAGAATCATTTGGGCAAGGAATAATACAAAAAGTAATGTTAGTCTGTTCCCTAAATATAGAAAATTTTGGAGTGGGTCTATTTATTTGTAGTTCTTACAAAATTCCAAAGTTATGCGACCTCAGGGTTATCTTGCTCTCCTATCCTACCTGCCTTCTTTGAATAGAGAGGTACCACTCTAGTTGTCTGCAATAAATAAAATTATCTTGCTGCAAAGATGCAAAGCACATTAGAAATTCACCAATCATGTTCTATGGGAAAGTAATTTCAAGAGAGACAAAAGGGAGATGGATGTTAGAGAGGCAATCCAAAAATGTCTGATATACAAGACAATACACCTTCATCAAAAACACCATTCAAGTTGCTCATTAGGAACCTGTAGAATCTCTAAGAGCTGCAAATATTGTCAGAAGACAGACCCTCATTTTCAGATGTCTGAGATTTCTTCTTGAACATCCCACAAGTTTAGCACATTCAAATGTTTAAAATAAAACTGACCTTCCCTCTCAAAAGTTGTTTCATCTTTTATATTCCGCATCTCAACACATGAGATCTCTTCTACCAATTCAAATAAACTGGAAATTTCAAAGCTGTCCTTGACCCTTCTGTCACTACTACCCCCCCCAGTATGGTCACAACTTCTGCTACTTCCATATCCAAAACGTCTCTTGGCTCTATCTCTTGCTCATCAATCCCATTTTCTTCCCCTAATCCATGCCACATGCTCTACTGAAACGATGCCTTGCTGACTTCTAAACTTCAGACACATCTAACTCCAATCCATCATTTCATTGCTATTAAAATTACAAACATCATGGACTGTTTTAAATCACCCTTCAAAAAGTTTCTTATAGTATTATTGATATAAAGCCTCGGATCACTTTCCTCCTTAAGTCTACACTTCAAAACATTCTTCTAAATGCATCATAGTGATTAGGCTAACAATAAGAAAGATTACTTAAATTGAAAAGTGTTTGCTAAAGAAACTAGAGTAAAACGTAATGGCCAAAAAGTAGAACGAGAAAAGGGCTTTGGAGTCAAGAAGTCCTAGGCTATTTCAGCTTACTAGCTGAGGGTAGATTCATCAAATCCCTTAACCTTCCAGTGGTAGTTTCCCACTCTTAACATGGGGAATATAGTCCCCACTTTGGGAGCTGTCCAGGGCTTTAAATGTGGTAACAGGGTTAAGTATCTAATGTAGAATGTCAGATCTCAACACATAATTGCTATTATTATTCTTTGTACTAGGTACTTCCAAAATTCTGGTTTTTCTTCCTTATCCAAAACTAAACCTATTGCAGAATTCATACTTGGTGATGGTACACAATTCTAATAAGTTTTATTCTGATTTTCCAGCCCAAATCCTGTGAATGGCAGCAAATTGAAAAGCAGGAAGAGTAAAAATGTTGAGAAATAGTAGATGATAGCAGGGAAGCTTAAGGAGACATGTTAACATACAGATGTAAGAACTCACAATGAACAGTAATAAGGCAAACAGCCCTTGCCAGCCCAGAGGCATCCACCGTGTAAGGCAGGAGGAAAGAATATAATATGGTGGTGAAGGCACAGATTGTGAACTCTGGCAGCATGGGTTTGAATCTCAGCTTCTCTGCTGACTAGATTACGGTCTTGGACAAGCTTCTCAATCTCTCTGGGCCTCAGTTTCCTCCCTGTAAAATGAAGGCAATCATGGTACCTATGACATAGAGTTATATTTAAGTAAACATAGAAGTAAATAACTTATTTGTTGAAAGGCCCTTAGAACAGTGCTGGACCCATAACGAATGACCACAAAAGCACTTACTTATATTATTATAGCACAGTATCATCAATAATGCTTATCTGAAAGACTGAACCATCAAAAGTTCAATTATGTTCTGTATCTTCTATTTTTAAAGAGAAGTGGCAATACCTTTGGGAATTAGTTCAATAAAAAATGTTACATTCTGGCCAGGCGTGGTGGCTCATGCCTGTAATCTCAGCACTTTGGGAGGCCAAGGCAGGTGGATCACCTGAGGTCAGGAGTACAAGACCAGCCTGGCCAACATGGTAAAAACCCGTCTTTACTAAAAATACAAAAATTAGCCAGGCATGGTGGCATGGGCCTGTAATCCCAGCTACTTGGTAGACCAAGGCAGGAGAATCGCTTGAACCCGGGAGGCGGAGGTTGCAGTGAACCTAGATTGTGCCACTGCACTCCAGCCTGGGAGACAGAGCTAGGCTCTGTCTAAAAAAAAATAAAAAATAAAAAATACATTCTAATGAAGGTCTGGTGCTGAAGACAGAAAATTTCAGTTACCTGAAATATTTACATATCTGAAATTCTACTGAGAGTAACAGAAAAATGAGATACATTTAGAATCTGAATTTTTAAGTTGATATTATTTTCAGTACATTAAAAAGAGTCATTTTGTTTTTCCATGCCTCCAGAATTGAAAGGAGAGACAGACTCTTTTGAAAAGAGTTCCTGAGCACAGCCATGGTGAGGCTCAGCCTCAGTGGAAGTTTCTAGGATGGGGAGAGGGAGAAGCTGAAGTAGTAGGGGAAGAACGGGACATGATTCAAATGTTCCTAAGTGACCTGAAGATCCCATATATGAGATTGCCAGATCTCAGAAGAAGCCTCCCCTACCATGCACACAAGTGTGTCACAGACACCTTTCTTCTCTTTTCTGAAAAGAAACCATAAAACAAATCTGCTTATTCCTGTTCCCTTAATTGAGAGAAACAGGGGGTGGTGGTTCTCGAATTTTTACAGATGGGTGAAAATGGCTTACAAAACTCTTGTGAATAGACTGTCTCAGGCTACCAGGTATCTTCACATTAGAGACCTTTAAAAATAGTAAATCATTCCAAAAATGCTGCACTGAATGTTCAATCCAAAAGAAGATTAAAATCGTTTATCATCATCATTCATAACTTTTTCATTGTATCTCATCAGGAGAACGAAAATAAGAATTGTATTGATAAATGGCCCCAGTTCAGGCTAATTCTGACAATAAGTTAACACAGGCTTCAATATTTCAATCTCAATTTTTGGAATAAATCTTCTGAAGGTAGAAAGAAATGCCTGCCCTATGCCGAGAAAACTTAAAACCAGTGTGCTGTCTTACAATGTAGCATCTTTTCTCAAGTAATCCCTACCAATAATATTAGAAAACCTAAACAAAAAGGTTGCTAGGCCTTTGTAGCCAAAAAGATTGGCTGTCATTGTCTTTCGACTATAGTTGTGAGCACTAAATAAGTATCTGATAGGTAATTCAAGGAGATACTGATTTTATTTCCTTACAGAATCTACAGGATTCTCTTAGCATTCATGGCTTAGCCCCAAATAATAACCAATTTTTTTCATGGATAACATCCAGCTTAAGGATTATTAAAAGCCCAACATTAATATTTACCTTTAAAAAAACTAAAAAGCAAATTTGAGAGCATATAAAAATAAAAATCCACTGAAGCCAAGTACTTTATCCCATCAATACAAGAATATCTATTAGTATTAAGCGTGATATGATTAGCTCAATAAATACAGGGAATTTCACAAAATTCCCACCTTTTTCTAAGAATAGCAAAAATAATGGCTGACATTTATTAAACACCTCCTAGTTTCCAGGCCCTAAGCTAAGGGGTTTAGATGCATTATCTCCTTTTACCGTCTCATTAACCCTATCAAGAAGATAACATCACAGACTCCATTTAATAATTAACGTTTAGAAACGCTAAAGAACATGCCCAACATCTTACCTCCAAACCTGCCTTTAATTCATCATAATATACAAATTTTATTTGTAGTAGAAAAAGGAATATAAGTCAACAACTTTAACATAATAAACTATATTTACCTTAAGCTGACAGCCAATATCTACTAATGGCAAACAAAATAAATCTATGCTTACTATCACCATGATTATGTGAGACTGTCAGTAAGCTCTTGTTAACGCAATAAGACAGAACAAAAAATAAAACAGATTTAAACATAGAAAAGAAACAAGAATATAGATTAAAATACAAATAAATATCCATACTTAGGTTAGGAAGATTCTTTAATTGAAGGAGATACATTTTATAAGCATAAATATATGAAAGGAAATATATACCAGTGATATATTTCACTACACTCAAAACATCAAAATCAAAAGGCAAAAATGGACAGTAAAAATATGTAATATCAACGAACATAATGGACCATACCTCAAGGAAAAAAAATGAAATGAAAAGGCAAAAAAAAATTTGGGGAAAAAAAACCTTACCATAGTTATGAAGAACACAAAGACCCTGTATAAAAGATATTAACAGTTTACAGCTGGGCGCAGTGGCTCATGCCTGTAATCCTAGCACTTTGGGAGGTCAAGGTGGGCAGATCACAAGGTCAGGAGTTTGAGACCAGCTGGCCAACATGGTGAAACCCCATCTCTACTAAAAATACAAAAATTAGCCAGGTGTGGTGGCACGTGCTTGTAGTCCCAGCTACTCAGGAGGCTGAGGCAGGAGAATCACTTGAACCTGGGAGGTGGAGTTTGCAGTAAGCCAAGATTGCACCACTGCACTCCAGCCTGGGCAACAAAGTGAGACTTTGTCTCAAAAAAAAAAAAAAAAGATATTAACAGTTTACATAGAAAATGCAAGTGGATTAACATGTAAAAAAAAATTAACTTCACTAGTAATTGAGTGTAATCTTAAAAAATAAGGTATGCTTTATACCTACCAAAATAGCAAACATTTCAAATATTTTTTGAGGATATACTGCAACAATTACTTGTAAAAGGGTAAATGTTTCTAACTTCTCTGGTCAGAAATTTATCAATAAATACAGACTCTTAGACACTTCCTATCCTTTGCTATGGTCTGAATGTTTGTGTTTCCTCAAAATTCATATGTGAAAACCTAATCACCAAGGTAAGGATATTTGGAGGTGTGGCCTTTGGCAGTTGACTTAGCCATTGATTAGGCCCTTTTATAAGGTCTCACAGGGATTAGTGCCCTTTTTAAAAAAGGCCTGAGAGAGACACTCTCACCCTTCCTTTCTTTTGAGGTCTCATGGAGAAGGCACTATCTATGAACAATGAACTGAATCTGCCTATGATGTGATTTTGGACTTCCCAGCCTCCAGAACTATGAGAAATAAATTTCTGTTGTTGATAAGCCACCCATTTGTGATACTTTGTTGTAGAAGCCCAAACGAATTAAGACACCCTTTGGTGTAATAATTCCTGTAATACATAATTCCCCTAAGGAAATAATTAAAATTTGGATGATAATTTACATAGAAATATGTTCTTTGAAATTTTATATCTAGCATTGAAAACAGTGAAACCAGCCTAGCTATTGAACAATAGAAGAATGGTTCAATTAATTTTATTTCATCCTTTTGACAGAATGTTAAGCTTTTAAAATGTTTGAATATTTACTTACTTAAAAGTGATCTATCTCAAAACGTAAATATCAAAAAAGCTAAATTAAAAAAGGATAGAATATTTATATACAATATGATCTCATGTATCTGTATATTAAGAGAAAAAGATTGAAAGTAAAATATATGAAATGTTGTGAGTCAATATTTCTGTGTGGCAGGTATATAGTTGATTTTGATTTATGTTTTTATCCATTTCTACATTTTACAAAGTTTTCTACAAGGAACTGTTATAACTCTTATACTTAAAAAAAGTTATAAATATGAAAGTGCCTAAATTAATAGTATCCTGTGGGTGAATAATTTGGTACTATCTCAATTTTTGTCAGCCAGGAACTCTGGTATCATTGATCTATTTTCATCCATACATCTATTCAACCTTCACAAATAAAACAGCTTCCATGTCATTGTTGATGTTTATTAGAGTGAACTAATGCCAATGACCAACAATGTGGTCCTGATGGCAAGCACGCCTCTCAGACTGCAGCTCTGGAGCCCAGCTTTCTTACCACAGCAAAGACTGTCAGTCCTACCAAAAGAAGTGGAGAATGGAAGAGTGGGAAGCCAGAGGTAGACAATTACCAGGGTCTGAACTCAAAGTTGCAGCAACATGTTCTTCAGTGCAATGATGAATCTGTCAAGGCAACATGGTACTCGTTCCTGATTACCCTCAGGAACTGTGAGAACCTACAGGAGCATGTATTCACCATTTGGGATATGTGTCAGTTTGCTCAATTCAATAAATAACCTGTTCTCACTTGACAAAACAGTTGGAATTCATTAAAGTCGGCTAAATTTTGTGATAAGGACGCATGTGATTTACAGAGTCAAGTGCCTTCATGAAATACTTTCCAAACAGGCTTGTCCATACTTTGAGCAAACCCCTTCTTTATTCTAAATATCTACAGAATTGTGTGTGTATACATAGACATCATTATATGTCTGCCAGCCAACTGCACTGTACATCAAGAGTTATACAGAGACAGAGAGATTTACAGTCTTCTAGTGCTTTGAAATCAACAATGTCTACCCAATTAAACTCAATGCTTGTCCACGGTGGAGGAAACATTAGATGAATTATTTCAAATTCTAAGCCCTGATTGTATAGGGGCAATGGATAAGTGAAATGATTCTTTTTCATTTTAAATTCTGTTGCATTTTCCCAAATTTTGTCTCATTGAGTGAATGTTACTTTTATAGTGGGGAAAAAAAAAAACCCTTACAATATTTAATGTTCTCTGCCCTTGCAGAAATTAAAACCTGGCAAGGAAGACAGATTTTATAGCTAGCTATACGGTAGTGTAAAGAGTGCTATACCTACAGTGCAAAGTTCCAGGGGAGTTCACAGGGGAAGGAGAAGATTAATTCTGTCCAGGAAGGAGGAGGCGCCATGAGGATGAGTGAGCTAAACAGAGGAAGCAGTTTATGAAATGAGCCTTGATGGATGAGTAATATTTTTATCTGGCCAAGAAGAGTGTTCCAAGAGAAAGATCAGCATGTAGAAACTCAAAGATGAGAGTACAGAACATACTAGGGGAAGGACAGTTAATCTGGAGTGACAGCCCTTATCTGATGTGGCAACCCCAATTGTCAACCCCTTCCAACTCAATGTTTAGTCTTGATTAACTTTTAATTTCTCAGTATGCATTTGGGTTAAAACTGATTTCTTATTTTACTATGGTTGACAATAAGTAGGACTGCATGCCTCATCTGTCTCAATCTGAAGATTATTTCAAAAATTGAACTAATTTCAAAATTAAACGGATTTAAGTGCTCAGCCAATTCATTTGATTTGCATTTTGGAGATTTCTGTTGAGAAATTATAATGATTCCTCACAGCTCATTATTTTTCACAATTTGATTAAAGGTTCTGTAACTTAGCTAACTCAGGTGTGGAAAAACATTTAGGCAAACACTTTTAAGTGGTTTTATGACATGCGTGTGGATGCGAACAGTAATACAAGTTAGAAATTCTTTCAGGTATTTTAGTCAGAGTCTTCCCTGAACCAACAGAAAGCCAGTGAGGGAAATCATTTGACGGCAACAAAAGGACTGGGGCTTTCATCTCTGCTCCTCCATCTACTAGGCAAGAAATTACAGAAAATGATAAACTCTGAACCTTGTTTTCCCATCCGTGAAACAGACATAATAGTACCATGCACTCTTTACTTCACAGGACGATTAAAATCACATCAGGTAGCACATGCCATCGTTTATGCAATTCTTAAAGACCTTAGAGATCATCTTATGAGGTCTGTAAATTTTGCTCCGAGAAGTTCCATTCAGGGTCCCCTCACAGCAAAATGAAGGCAGGGTTGAGACAGGCTCAAGGACACTGCTGCAGGATGGGTGGGGCTCCCCCTCTCACATCTCTACTTTCGTCTGAGGAGTCCTCGATTACCTGCTTTACATAGTAGGCTCCAGAAAACCTTTCATACGAAGAAAATATCCAATGGTTTAAAAGGATTGAAAACCACTGATTTATCCCAATTGGCTCATTTTACAACGAGAAAAGTAAAACCCAGAGAAGCTAAATAACTTCCCCAGCTTTAAGTAACTACAAACTGGCAAGGCAGATGATTGAATCCAAGCCTTCTGTTTCCAAGTTCAATGCCTTTTCTACTACACCATATGGTGAAGTTACAAATATTACATACTGACATGGAAGTACTAAGAATCAGGACAGTTTTGTATAGGAGATATGACATCACCTAGACAGTATGAAAATTCCATTCAGCAATATAAAATGAATTTGTATACTTATTCAATAAATATTAAGTGTCATATATGTCCCAGACATTGTTCTAAGCACTGCTTTCAGCCCCATAAAATTCAGTTTCCAACAAAGAAGTTATGACATCTAAGCTTAACACTGGAATAAAACATCCCCATTCTTGCTGAAATGGATGAATAATTAGTATAGTAGTATAAATGTGGTTATTGCCCATGCAAAAACACCTCTTTAGTTTCCACAGTGAAATAAACACTAATCTGCTTGTACCTGGGCCCACTCTTTCTAAAATTTCTATTATTAATTTGCTCCTTCTATCAAAAGCTAACATGCCACTTGTGGAGTACAGTCCACCTACTTTCACCTTGAAGGAGCTGGATCCTGCAAGCATCTCCTTTCTCTTCTGTATATTTATTTTCTCTCTTTCTGGTGATCATTTTGCAGCACATAAATATGCTCCAGTAACAGTCATCTTAAAAATAAAACAAAAACCTTCCTTGCCCCCATGACCAACTGCCACTCAATTTCCTTTCTTCCTTTCCAAGCAAGTATTTTTGGAAAGACTCGTCTGCAGTCACTGAGGCCTTCCCACCCTTACCCCCACCCCATCTATTGTCAAAGGCAAGCTCCACTGCTTCTGCCCTCTGGAATATGAGAACAGGGATCCTGCCCATTCACCATGTATCCCAGTACTCGAAACAGCACCCAGCATATGCTTAGCTCAGTAAATATGTGTGGAATGAATAAATCATCTAGAACCATATAGTGATTTAGTGAAATACATAATATACAGCTTGCCTGTTTCTCATATATTTCAGAAAGATAGGTCACAATATATGCCAAATTTTACTTGATTGCAAATTAAATTACTTCAGCCACTATTTGAAAAAATTTGTAATGGCCCAGAATGCTAGAGTAAAGCAAACGTAAAAATGTAATTTAAGTCCTACCAAACTTGCGACAGGATATTTTTGTATAAGTTGGGAAAATAATTCTAAAATCCATTTTGAAGAATAAATATTTAAAAATAACCAGGAAGACTTGACAAAGAAGAATAATGTGGATAAAACTGCACTGCCAGATATAAAAACTGTGTTACAAAATAACAGTAATTAAAACAGCGTGAATCTGGCACAGGGGATGAGAGATCAAAAACAGAATACAGAGTTCAGAATTGAGCTCAAATGTATTTGGGGATTTGGTAAATAAAAAAGATAGCATTTCTAATCAGGGAAGGAAATAGTGGTTGTTCAAGACAGTTGCCTAGGTTAGGGAAGGAAATAGTGGTTATTCAAGACAATTGCCTAGGTGCTTGCTAAATAAATAAGTATCCCTCCCTTACTCCTCACACTGAATTCCAAATACATTCATAATAGAAAATATAGCATTGGAAAACCTTTTTCTAGGCTTGGAGTGAGGAAGGCCTTTTGAATATATCAACAAAACTACAACCATAAAGAAAACCACTGACAGATGACAGACTCTACTTAGAAGTGAAAAAAATATACATATGGTAAAAGCAGAACAAAGTAGAATAGGAAACCCTGTCAACAAGATTAAAAGGCGAACAAAAATCTAGCAAACACTTTTGCTATGTACATATGACAAAGGGTTACAAAAAAGTTATGTTTCATCAACAGGGAAAAGAATATCCTGAGATATAAATAGGCAAAAGAAATAGATAATCTACAAAATAATAAATATAAATGGTCAGTAAACACATGAAAAGATGGCCAGTCTCATGAGTAATCAGAAGAATGCAAGTTAAAATACTGAATTTTGTTTACCTATTAGCCAGCTAAAATTAAAAAGATTGACAATACACTAGGGTTTGAAAGGGGATAGACAATGGAAGTCTTATGCACTATTAGTGAGAGAATAAACTAGTATGTTTCCGAGAGTTGGTTTGGCAACTAATATAAAATATCCATTAAGAGAACAATCAGACAATTAATACATAATACAATTTGCAGAGTCATTTGTAATTGAAAAAAAGTCCATCGGTAGGAGATTATTGAATATGTAATAATTGATCCATACAAGGAACTATCATAGAGACCTGATTATGGAGATCAACATTTTTGAAATGTAGAGACAGACCACAGTGCTCGCTTCAGCAGCACATATATACTAAAATTGGAATGATACAGAGAAGATTAGCATGGCCCCTGCGCAAAGATGACACGCAAATTCGTGAAGCATTCCATATTTTTACAAACCTGCACATCCTGTACATGTATCCTGGAACTTAAAATGAAAAAAAAATACAAATGAAAAAGAAAACATAATAATCCAATAAAAAATGAAATCAGGCAAAAATTTTAAAAAAAATAAAAAGACAGAGATTCACAATATGTCAAGTGGAAAAAGCAGATTCTAAAACTATTCTACCTCAATATTTCTTGACCCAATCCCCTTCCTCCATCTCCTTCATTACTCTGCAACATCCTCTCTCTCCTGGTCCTCCAGCCTCCTCTCATGCCTTCCTCCTGTTGATCTTCCACACTGCAGCTGTGGGGAAAGTCCTACAATGCTAGCCGAATCTTTTGCCCCTCACTTAAAAATTGTAATAGCTTACCATTGCTCAGAAAGATTACTGCCCTTGCCTGATCTGCTCACACCTCCAGCCCCCTCTCTTGCCTCTCTCTCCCACTTGCTCTAGTGACCTTTTCAGTTCTGCTCCCACCCCACCCCACCCCCTACTCCAGCCTTGCTCCTTTGCACTTGTTCTCTGTGTGGAACCTTCTTGCTCACACTCTACCTCCCATCTCCACATTGTGCCCATTAATGCCTCTAGACCTTTATGCACTCAGCACAGATGTCATGTCCTCAGGGAAGTCTTCCCTGTTTACCCACTCTAAATCAGCTCCCTTTTATATACAATCAGTATCTGCAGATGCAGAAGCTGTGGATACAGGCTGGCTGTAAAGGACTTGAGGGGTTGAAGTATCCACAGGGAGTCCTGGAACCAATCCCCATGGATACAGAGGACAGGCTGTAGTCTCACAGCTCTCTTCCTTCTTCCTCAGTCACCTTGTTACAGCTTGGAATTATGTATTTCTAGATTATATCATGACTATCCATCTCCCTCTCCATGCTGAGCACAAGGACCATGTCTCTTTTCCCCATCATTATATCTCTGCTACATATTAAACACATTTTAGAGACTGACGTGATCAGACACTGAAGCATCTTGAGTGAACGAAGGAAAGGCTAGAATAAGGATTTGCTGCTCTATTACTTGACAGTTGGTAAGAAATAGATGAAGAGCTATAAGAACTTTTTAATTACTATGGTAAAAAAAAAAAAAAAAAGGTGGATAATTCATCACAAATTTTGAACCATGAAAGCAGCAAGGTATTTTTTTCCTAGTATATTTGTCCTTCCCAAATCAGAGACTCAGTGGTGCACTGTCTGGCTGTTGCACCTCACTTCCAGAAACAAGAGGGCAGTCTCATCCCCAGTGGCAGGATCACTGCCCAAGTCAAATTTACAGCAAACTCTGGAATTCTGATGCTGAGAACCAGACCCTCTTGAACCTAGTGGCCTTATTTCCTAAATGTTGCCCATAATAAAGCCAGTTTTATTTTCCATTTGTAAACTGTAAATCAGAAATTCAATGTTGAATTGATTCCAGATTTCTTCTTCTTACTCTCTGTTGCCATGTTCCTAAGATAGTCTCACTTTCCTGAAAAATTTCACTAGAAACCAGAAAAGGGGAAGATCAACTACCCCTTCATCTTCTTTCTCTTTTCCTAGGCTTTCCACACCACACTTCACAGTGCCTGCCAAATCCAGCCATACCCACCTAGGAAACTCAGAACAGACATTTTGCTTCCCACAGTTATCAAGTGGCTCCTAACTCAACACTGTATTTTTAAAATTTGGAATTGTCAATGTTTATCTGTCAATGCAGTGAAGAATCCAGGCCTTTGCATAGAGCCCAGCCGTTTCTCCCAGGTAGGCTACTCTTACCTCACTTAAGAAGGTGAAGGATATTTGAAAAAGAAGACTGCAGTGGTTCAAGGTGGCTAATGGTTTTATTTTTTAAGGATGCAAGAAACTTACAGTGTATTTTGGCATCAAATACAAATTATATAAATTGTGTATAGCTGTAGGCAGATTGGCACCTGTGGATAGTGGGTGGTTGAAGATTTATACTCAATATTTAGTCAACAGCTCAGTCACTGTCATAGAAATGTCTCTGACTTCTTTTAAACATTATTTGCTACTTCACGTTCATAAGTTTAGGTAATCATTTTCCTGACCAGTTATATAAAAATAATTTTTAAAATAATACATCTCAAAGATGTTTGACATAATAGAAAATGGGGCTGGATGTGTGTTTATATACATAGTGTAACTGAAAGAGCTTATTTCCAGTTGGCAGACCTGCAGCAGGCCACTTAACATTTCTAGAACTAAGATTCCTTACCTGCAAAATTTAAAAATAAACCAAATTAGGTCCAAAGCCCCACTCTCCTTCTCATTAATTTTTTAATTTATGTAATAATCTGATGGCGTCTCACTTACAGCATTAATCAGATCTGACTTGTGTTTTAGGCATCTGAGTTTGTCATACTTTACCCACTCTCTCTACCTCCCCCAAGTTCAGGCCCTGGAAGCCAGGGATTTTGTTTCATTCATTTGTATGTTCCCTGCTATACCCAGAAAGTGCCTTGAATGCTCAGGTGCTCAGAACAGATTCCCAATCAAATGCGAGTGGCCAGGAGTGAGCAGAGCCCCTAACACCACGGTTATATAGTCTGGAATGTCTCCCCAAAATTCCATTGTTGAGGTTCTACCCCGCAAGACCTCAGAACACAACTTTATTTGGAAATAGGGTTCTTACAGATGTAATTAGTTGTTAAGATGAGGTCATTAGGGTGGGCCCTAATCCAGTATGACTGGGGTCCATATAAAAATGGGAAACTTGTGCACAGACACACACACAGGAAGAATGTCATGCGAGGATGAAGGCAATGATTGGGGTGAGGCTTCTACACCCCAAGGCATGCCAGTGATCACCAGCAAATGTCCAGAAGCCAAAGGAGAGGCCTGGAACATCCCTCAGAAGGAACCAACCCTGCAAACACCTTGATCTTGGAATTCCAACCTCCAGAACTGTGAGACAATAGATTACTGTTGTTTAAGCCACTCCATCTGTGGTACTTTGTTACTGCAGCTCTAGGAAGGAATATGCTCACTGCTTTACCACTTGCTGCCTCAATAGAGGTACAGCAACGAACTCCTCATGGCCTCCATGGTGTTTACCAATGTCGCTGCCAGAGGGCCGAGCCCACCTGGCAGTTGTCACCAGTATCTTCATCCTCATGTAATCTCTGCATCTGGCTACCTCCCTCACCCTGTCTCTCTCCATCCACCCTCCTGCTTGGCCTTGGGGTATTTCAATATTCTCCACCTTTTCTTAGAATGGTTCTTCCTCCTCCTTGCCCGAAGAGGAACCTGTGTTCCCCTAGAAGAAACCACTGTCTAGAATCTGCAGCTACCTTCAGTGGAGACTGTTGGTCATTCACACTCCTCATGCCTCAAGGCCAAGACTTTGAGTTGTTCAAGACTACTTCTTCCTCTTCCCCTTGCAAAACCTCCCACTTCTTTAAGTTTCACACTGTACCCTCTGCTCTCTGTCCCCTGGCCATAGTTACATCATTCACAGATACTGAGAGAAAAGTGGTAAAGAATGCAGGCTCTGGAGCCAGGCTGTCTGGGTCTGAGAACTAACAGACTTGACACTCACTAGCAGTGGTGCTTGGCAAAGTTTACAAGCCTTTGTAACCCTCACTGTTCTCATCTATAAAATGAATGTAACAATAATATATAAAATTCATAGTGCAGTGCCTGGTACTTGATAAGCACTGAATAAATATTAGCTATTATTATGTGAGTTTTTAGGACTGAGTCATCTTCATCTGCACCTTAATGACCGTCTTCTTGGTCGATGCCTTCCATACATGTGTGGATGACCCATCCCAAACCTGGATTACTGGTTCTTTGATCTCCTTACCTCCAAAGACCTTCTCCCTCACATCATCTGAACCACTGATGCCCCTGGTCACATTCCAGCCTTATCAACTCCAAAATCTGTATTACCTCCAACTTCTGAAATTAAAAAGATCCCATACTCCAATCACAGATGTTAATGTTTTGTCATATGTGCTTTGTATTTTTTTGAAATAAATTTTTCTACTAGTAAAAACATATATATTTTCAAATACTCTCAATATAAAAATTATATGACCTTGGCCAGGCGCGGTGGCTTATGCCTATAATCCCAGCACTTTCGGAGGCCAAGGCGGGCAGATCATGAGGTCAGGAGATCGCGACCATCCTGGCCAACATGGTGAAACCCTGTCTCTACTGAAAATACAAAAATTAGTTGGGCGTGGTGGCACATGCCTGTAATCCCAGCTACTTTTTCGATAGTGTTAGAAACCATCTCCCTCTGAGACTGTGCACCAGCCTTGCAGTGAAGTGAAGATTGTTCCCCAATCTCTCTCCAGGCATAGTATCTCTCCTGTGCACTCACAGAGTGTGTGTGTGTTTGTGTGTGTGTGTGTGTGTTCATGCACGCACACCATGTGGAGAGGTACATCTTGGTAAATTAGGAACAAGCACCATTGAGGGGATTCAATTCACTTTAACCTTAATAGCTATTTCTTAGAGAGACTACAGAAGAGTGCTCTCTCTCTAGCAGCTGCTGCTATTAATAGTATTGCCCTTTCCTCTCCTGAAAGAGTATTAGTTCATTCAGAAAAATCACCATCCAAGTTAGAAGCCATAAAAATCATTTTCCAAACTCTTCCTTTCTAGGTATTCTTTTGGAAATCAATAATTTAATTTACTAAAAATTAACAATTTTTTAAAACCTCTGTGGGTACCTTCACCTGTTCATCCTTTTTTTTTAAGACCAGTTTTTATCTGCTCAGAGGGCTTAAAACATTCTCTTATACTTTTTCAAACTCAACCTCATCACAGCCCACTGATATTTCCAGAATCAACAGTGACTTCTAGGAATGGAGCTCCTTTCTGTTAGACAGCTCTCCCACAGGGTTACACATGTTGCCTCCAGATGACTTGGCTTTCATCTTAGAGTTTGTAATCAACCCAGGATGTGGATACACGCTGCAGGTGAATTTTTAGCAAACCTGGAAGATATCTCCACATGAAGCAGGTAGGAACTTCAGTCCATAAATGCACATGTGCAAGAGACCAACTTTAGTTTTTCATTATTCCCTTTCCATTCTGAGCCTCTATCCTGCAGAGGTAGCAGGCAGTTAATCCCCAGCAAACAGCAACTCTGCTTTTCCTGGGGTTGACCTAACATCCTGGGGCCAGGGGAAGCCTTCATAGTAGTAAGACATTGCTGAGGGCATTTGCAATTTGTCCACACACAGTCTCCTCTGAGACATCTCTCATTGCTGTCTGTTTATCCCTTCAAGCCTGGCTGTTCTTGCTACTACGTATGTTCCCGGGGACCATGAACTATTTGGTTTCTATGCTGTACTGGGGCACCAGAGTCTCTGTGAAACTATCCAAGACCCAAATATAACGTGCTGCCAGTTACTCTAGTGGGAGAGGTAGGTGTTGCTTCCATGGGCATCTAACCTAGGATATAAGAAACAGATTGCCCAACCTCAGTATCTTCTGGATTCTTGGGGGTTGACTCCTTCCCTAAGACTTTCTCTGGAACCCACCCACATCTCTGCCCTCCTTACTCCCCTTCCATCTATTTCCCATCGTCACCCAACCTCCCCATACTGAAGGAATATTTTATCTCATCCAGGAGAATAATTTTCTCTGCCTCATAAAATTTCTTCCAGGCATTTTTCCTGGAGTCCTCCTGGCCTGGCCTACCCACTCCTGAAGCAACAAAGCACATGACTGCCTGCTGCAGCCCCGCAGCCCTGTGGAGTTTCTTGAGCATCCAAGGCCTTCCCAGGGTCTGGATACTCTCAGGGCTCCCGGGCTGGCTCCTTTTAACCAACCCTGCCTCCATGTAAATGTCACTTCCCTGACCACCCTATGCAGCCACCCATCACCCTCCACTACCCTGCTTGTTACAGCTCATCATTTTTTGTTTCTTTCTTGCTCACCTGTTTATTGTCTGTATTCCCTCTGGACTGTAAATTCCAGGAGAACAGAGACTACCTCTGTCTTGTGGTTAAGAACACTAACTTTGAAGCCAGCCTGCCTGGGTTCTAATCTCAGCTCTGCCACTTACTAGCCGTGTAACCTTAGGCAAGTTACTCAACCTCTGTGACTTAGTTTCCTCATCTGTAAAATGAGGGAAACACACCTCATAGAGTAATTATGAGAATTAAATGAGTCAATGCCTGGCACATAGTAAGTACTATAAAGTGTTTATTAAAAGAAGTATTTAGCACTTAGTATGATGCCTTAATCGTAAGAGATGCAGAAAACGTTTTTGTTGAATGTAGGAATTCATAAAAGAATGAATGAACGCTACAACTCCAAACAAATGTAGTCTCCCAACTGTGATTCACTTGCTCTGCTAGCTAAGTCAGAGTGCAACAAGATCAAGGCTATTTGCTTGAATCCTAACAAGGGCAGCATAACTTATGGCTTTGTACCAACTAACTACATCCCTAGCCTGTGTAGCCATCTAGCAATTGCATTGTGCTGTTTACAGGTTGCAATGAATGAGAGTCTGAACGGGTCACTATTTGTCTGTCACAACTAGTATACGAATCATACATAGTACATGTCTTATTTACTCTAATTTTATAGTTTTATCTGCTTTGTAATTGATAGTTCTTGTTTCTAATCATCCTATAAAAACTATGTAATTTGCCAACAATTCCAGAACCTGAAAAGAGTAGTATCAATTTAATTATGGTCTTCTTAATTTATATACATATATCTATATGTACATATTTACTCAAGTAGCTGGTTATGATTAGGAGATCATAATTAGAAGATTAAATGATAAGCCAAGTATTTAAGGGATAATCTATGGAAGTGTCTGAAAAACCTTTCTGCTGATCAGCATATTGACATCTTATTTTCAATGTGTAAAAACAACAACAAAAAAGGAAAATGTAAGATATTTAAGAAGATATAAAAATGGTTCTTACAGATGAGTTATTATGAATTTAAGATGGTCTCCCCTATCTACAGAGCACAGGCCTTCTTGTGTTATCATTTGTGGGCATTGAGACTCCTGAGTATATACTTTTCTGTTAGGTTTGCTTTTCCTCTGTCCACTCCAGGTCACTCTACAGGAATCAATGGCATTGTCAGCATGGCCCAGTCACAAAGAAGCATGGCCCAGTAAGAAAGAAGATTACGCTAATATTAACAAATAGAAATGAGTTAGAAGGATATATTTACTGTGGGAAGATCTGGCCTATATCAGTATGTTCTGAGTGGCCAGCACAAGTCTGCCAGGGAGGACAGGGTAGGCCCTTTGATCCCACGATGAAGGGAAAATTACTATTTCCCTGGCCCAAACTTATCAGCTTTTGAGGAGCACAGGGTTGTCATGGGTAAATGAGAGTCCCTTCATTTACCTGTTCATACAGTACATTTGAAGTTTAGTCAAGGCATGGAAAATATGAAACTTTTATCAACATGACTAATGGAATGAAGACATAAGTCAGACACATTTTGCAGTGACCAACCTCTCCGATCCTGACTGCATAGTCATTCATTGCTAATTCACATTGGGTTTTCAGTGGGGTTCATAGAACACCAGCAGTTGTCTGTACCTCACAGAGCAGGACGTCTGAGAAGTTTAGTGAATGTTCCTCACAGCAACATGTTCTATATTCCACTATTAATTCCAGAAAGTACTCGAGTAGCCTAACTTCTAATTTAACCTCTTCTTTCTGCTTTCCTTGGGTCTCATTTTCCAATTTTAAAATCCACATAGCTAGAAGGCCACATATGGAAATGATATCTCCCTGTTACACTTGGCTTTGTGTCAATATTATGATTCATTTTATACATTTCTTCTCCAGCCCGAAATCCCATCATGTTTTGTTCAGCTCACTGGATCAAAAATACATCACCCTATCATTTCCCCACTGGAAAACATACTACTGCCATTTTTTTCATGGAAATCAGTCTTTAATATTTGTTCACTGATCTTCACCTCCCCCACCAATGCCTCTCTCCACCCCTGCCTAAAATTACTCATCATTCTAATAAGTTAATATATTGGAATGGAAAAAATTTGCTTTCAGTCTCAGGGATCAACTTATGATCATCTTAAATCAGCCTCTTTTTAATTGATGAGTCTATAACAAATTGCATACTTTGGTTTACTCTGTAAAAAATACAATTACACTAAGGCAAAGCTGGTTATGACTCATGTATAATGAAATGAAAACAGTATCATCATTAAGCACCAAATAAAGCCATTGATTCCGTGTATTATTCTGTCAGTTTTAATTGAATTGTATTTCCCCCTTTCAGTTCTTAATTATGCAGTTCATGCTGAATCTTTATTTTTATGCACAGAATAGGATAATGTTCTTTTCCTCCTTACCTTAGTGTCTAAAAATATAAGCCTATTGAGAACAGAAAAGTCTTTGTTGGTCTTAATTAAAGCAAAACACCTACTTTTATCCTAGGAGCTGAATGTGTTGCTGTACTGTGAGACTGTTACCAAGTGAGGGGACAATAGGGCTGCTTCCTGTTGCATGTCCACCTCCCTGACCTGTAGTCGCAGCCTCTTTCCAAATTCTATCAGAAGAAGAAAACATCACACTATCTGGCAAAGGAGGTCCATGGGGCCTCTCCAGCCTGCTAATGAGCATTAACTCTTGTCTAGACTGTCAGGTCTAGACAGAGCAAGGCAAAGTAGATACTGCTTAACTTGGGGGCAGATGTGATTAGTGAGATAACAGTCAATCTGAAAATTCATTCTTTTCTTCAGTTAACTTGCGAAAGACCTAAAGGCAAAAGCAGGACTCTCTTCTCTGGTAATATGTCACATAACTGAGATTATGTGCAAGTGAAAATGAGCAAAGGGAGATGGAATGTCTATCAAACCTAGATTTAAAGGAAATCCTGCTACCACAGTGTAATTTCTGTAGTTGAAAAAGAGACAAAGGGAACACAACCTCTACCCTCCTCTCGTTCCATAATTGTGTTAGCTGTGTCGAAAGTGCTTCTGCCAGATTCAGGTAAATGCATCACCCTAATACCTGCACAATTTTATTTCTAGGATTCAATTCACAGGAGGCAAATGTTCTTGTGTAAAGATATCAAGTGATAGTGTTAGGAAGTTATTCATCTTGGACCATATAATAAAGGCTATCTTGGAATTCAGAACCAAAGAATGAGCTCTGGTCAGTCTTTGGTGTCCCAATAGTATTCGATATAAACTGAAAGATTATTATCATTGGCTTGAAACCCCAAATGACAAGGGCCTGACTCATAATAAGTATTTAGTGGGAAAGAGGAAGTGGCTGCTATTTAGACTTAACCTTAGAGTTGAGGGATTGTCCTCCTCGGGCTGAGAACATTTGATCTAATGCGTTGAAGGGCTGGCCCTCCCTGGAATATCTCCTACCTCTGGCATATCAAACTATGCTCTCCGTGCAGCTGCATCTCCAGCATCCATGCTAATAGAGGACACTATCTTGGAATGAGAAGAGGCACTAATCATTCTCGTACTTATTTTACCCATGTTCAAACTCATCTGCCAATATTTCCTTGTGCAATGTGCTGCAAAGCATTCTAATAAGCTTATTCCAGTTCCATCTTTTTTAAATTCCCAACCTATCCTTTGAAAAAAGTGAGGAGAGAAAGGAAAATGCCCAAGAAATAAGAAAAGGGATTTAGGATGGGAAGAGGGAACTCATATTTATTGCGTTATGTTACAGGCACTATTGGGTTCTATACATTAGTGACCCGTTTTTGTTGTTGTTGCTGTTGTTTTTATATCAATGATCAGGTGTGTGTGTGTGTGTGTTTACACACATATATTTATGTATAGGATAACAGGGAAACAAGATAAAGTGACTTAGATACTAGACAACCAAGGGTTAAATGTAAATTCTAGGACATGACTCTACATATTTATAATATCCCTGACTTCAGATTCTACAGTAACAGGTAGCTGGTAAGTCTATAAGTAATGTTGATTTTCCATGTTCATTGTTCCTAATGTTGCAGACTAATGCATATGCCATGGTAACATCTATTTCAAATCAATTTCCTACAAATGCCTTTCACAACTATTTTGTTTTTATTAATAAATTAAAACACAGCATACTTGAGCAATGTATTTTTGTTCCGTGCAAATTCACAGAGATCCAAAAAGATTATGAAGGAGATAAAATTTGCATTTACAAGAGACTCTCCTTCAGAAGAGTGAAAGAAATTATTCTTTCACTATTCAAAATAGGAAACCATAAAACAAGGAGATTATAATAAATCCTTGGCAAAAATTCACATGAATACTTCCTGCCAACATTTTAATTAAGGATAATAGGTTGGTTTATCAAATATAATTGAGGGAATATTGACCAAAGGTTGGTTTGTCTAAGGGGCAGGCAAGGGAACATGAGGTTCTAGTCACAGCCTCTCTCACATTTCCCCTTGACTCCCTTTGCAAAGAGACATTTTCCCTCACCTTGACTTCTCAGACCTAGAAACAGATAAATCAGAAGGCGCAGCTGGATCTGACCCCCAGGTTCTGTGGAACTGGAAAGCATTCTGGTGCTGATGGAACTTTTGAAAGTTAGACACTAAAGGTATCCCCATGCCTTTGGGGATCCAGTAGGATTCTCATGCCAGAGGAAGGCTCATTCTTCACCCTGCTGTAACTTGGGCCTCAGCAAATTCTCTGATAAGATTTACTGAAAAACTTCCAAATATAGGACAACATAGATTTCCCCTGCCAGCACAAAGGAATAACTTTCCTGAGATTTAAAAACCATCATATATTCAAGGGGAAAAAAAAAGGAAATTGACTAGCAAAACTACTTCATGAAATACATCCCTTGATTCCCTAATGTCATCCTCTTTATGAACCAGATTTTCTCATGGCCTAAACTACTCCCTGATTGTAAATTAAGCACCATATGAATAACCTGCCTGATGGTATTACAGTGATCTAAGGTTAATGTTTAACTATTAACTGAAAATAGGATTCCAGGTACTATAACCTGAGAAGAGTACCATTAGGGTACCATTTAGAAAATTCTGTTTAAGTCTTATAATAAAGGAGCAACTTAACAGCTAGAGAAATTTGAGCCAATGAAAAAATTGATGTGAAATGAATCTATCCCCTGGGCTGGGGTATTTTATGTTTCAATATTGAAACTTGAACATTTTTTTACACCAGAAAAGTTATTCTTAGTAGTTGGCAGAGTAAATCCATGTTATCGTGCATTCTGAAGCAGTTCAGCTGAATCTAATTAGAACATCTGCAGATTTATGCAGCTTTCTGTATATTAAAGTCCTAACCCTTGTGAAATAAATATTTCTCCTCAATCCTTTATTTTTACCCTTCTCAGGGTTAATCAGACTAATATGGTATAAATTTTAACAACCATTTTTATGATCCCAGGATGAATGGTGCAATACAAGTCTAAAATATCAAGATCTTATAAATAGTGTCAGTATGTACTGGCTTTCAATGCCTTCCTCCTGGCCATCAATTTTGGCTTAGAGAAAGGGAAACAATTATGAACTCAGTCACTTGCTTCTTTGTATTAGTTTTTCAGAGATTTTCAAGGTGATCCATGCATTTCTGGGATGTTGAGGAGAACGTGTTTGGTCTTAACTGTCTCTCGATAGAGAATTCATTGAATCATGTAGGCAATTAAGCTAAAAAGGTCAGTTTGGTTTTACCACTTAGACAAATTACTCAAACTCATGTAGAAAATGAGTGTTTTGCTAGAGTTATCTTTAAAATACTTCTTGGGAAACAAGACTACCATGTTTCTTTGGTAACAAAACACCTAGATGTAGCACTTCATATTAGGACTTTTGTCTTAACCAGCCTTCTATGTTAGATCAGGCTGATAAGTAATTTCTACTTCAGTCATATAATACCTCAAGGTGTTACCAAGTAGTCTTAAAATTAGTTTTATCTCAGGCTGAGAAGCACTGTAGCAAAAAGAGGCCTAATCCTGGAGTCAGAGAGCCCTGTGGAAGCACCAGCTATATCACTGGTTAGAAGTGAACCACTGGGCAATAATCACACTACCTGGAAAATTAGATAACTCATGGGTAAAGAAATACCATTTGAACCAACAATCCCATTACTGGGCATATATCCAAAGGAATATAAATCATTCTATTACAAAGATACAAGCGCACGTATATTCACCGCAGCACTATTCACCATAGCACATTAATGACAGACTGGATAAAGAAAATGTACATATACACCATGGAATACTATGCAGCCATAAAAAGGGATGAGATCATGTCCTTTGCAGGGACATGGATGGAGGTGGAAGTCATTATCCTCTGCAGACTAACGTGGGAACAGAAAACCAAACAACACATGTTCTCACTTATAAGTAGAAGCTGAAGAATGAGAACACATGGACACAGGGAGGGGAAGAACACACTGTCAGAGTGGTAGGGGGCAAGGAGAGCATCAGGATAAATAGCCAATGTATGTGAGGCTTAATACCTATGATGGATTGATAGCAAACCACCATGGCACACCTTTACCTATGTAACAAACCTGCACGTCCTGCACATGTATCCTAGAACTTAAAATAAAATTCAATTGAAAAAATAAAGAAACTACTAACAGAAAATTCTATGATTCCAGAGTGAGGAGTAATGCATGTAATCAGAGAAAAACATGGTTTATTACTTAAAAACAGATAGGCGTATTTTGTCTTTGAATCTTGAATTTTAAATATTTGTTTTGAGAATAAAGGCCACTAACCCACCAAAATATAACAAGGTCTGGTTAAGGAGGAAAACCCCTAGGGAAAGTTTTCAGCCGATTTCTTCAATATCATATTAAAGACTCCCACATATAGAAATCCAGAGTAGATCTGTAGGGAGCAATGAAATTCTACATCGTGATATGAGGCACGATATTGAAAATGCTGCATGAAATCTTGGTTCTGTCGCCCAAGATACAATAATAATCCACGGGTAAAATAAGGATTTACCCAGCAATTTTAAAGATTAATAAAATCATATGTATAACTAGTACATGCTCAATAAATGAGAGCTGAGATACAGAGATGGGACCTTTAAAAATGGAGCATGAAAAAAGAGACCCTTTTCCTTGGCAGTTAAAAAAATGGAACATTTGTTTAATTAAAAAAAAATTGTCAACTTTTTTTTTTTTTTTTTAACAAGCACTGGCAAATTTTATTAAAGGGAAATTTTGCATGGTTTATTTTTCACCAGTCTGTTCTGGCATGCTTCTAATGGTGTCAGAATCACCTGGATCAATGATAGCCAGTGTGCATACTCTGTAGTATTTTCCTCATGCTGCGCCCAGTTCAATATTATTGCCACTGTAGTGATGGACACCAGTTTTGACCAACATTGCATAGTACTCCATTTCTGATTTCTTCAAAGTTGGACAGTTGTTACAGAGAATGACCAATTTTGCTTTGCCTTGTCTGATCATCTTCAGAGTCTGCTTGTACCCCAGCACATGCTTCTCACTTTTTATAACAAGTTAGAGCCTAGAATTGATCAACTCCAGCGACTTTTTTGTCTTCTTTGCAGCCACCATCTTTCTGCCTTAGGTGTGGGATGGCCCCCAACCAGGAGCTGCTGCTAAGATGGCCCGGGAGCGAGAAAGGCCATTGTCAACTCTTAAAAGACTGATATAGGGTTGGGTTTGGTGGCTCATGCCTTTGATCCCAGCACTTTGCAAAGCCAAGTGAAAGATGGCTTGAGGCCAGGAGTCTGAGACCAGCCTGGGCAATATACCAAGACCCCCATCTTTAAAAAATAAAAATAAAAATAAAACCCTAAAAATTAGCTGGGGTAGGCCAAGCTACTCCAGGGGGCTGAGGCAGGAGGATTGCTTCAGCCCAGGAGTTCGAGACTGCAGTGAGTTATGATCACACCACTGCACTCCAGGCTGGGTGACAGAGCAAGACCCCATCTCTAAATAATTAAATAAAATAAATTTTAAAAAACTATTATAAACAAATTCCATCAGGTTCTTCTAGTCAATCAGTGCTTTAAAGCAGTGGTTCTCAAAGTGTGGAGCCTGGATCGATGTCAGCAGTATCATTTGGGAACTTGTTAAAATGCAAATTCTTGGGTCCCAAGGCCTACAGAATCTGAAACTTCTAGGATGAGGCCCAGCAGCCTGTGTTAACAAGCCTTCCAGAGGACTGTGCCACATGCTTAAGGTTGAGAAACACTGCGTTAAGCCTTCCTTCAAATATCAGCATAACTTCAAGGCTTCCACTGTCTCAACGGTCTTGCAGAAGGTCCCTTCTTTGTCTGTTAGGATGTGCAGATTCCTAGTAGATTTGCTGAACAATCTGAGTCTCCACTTCCTCCTTCTTGGCATTCATCTCCTGCTCTTTATTCAGGACTAATTGATGTTCACACTGGCCAATTAGTCAATGCTACAATTCAAATGGCCCCAGCTGTATCCAGAATTAACATGAAAGCTTTCCTAAAATATTTGAGTGGGTTTAAAAAAAAAATCACAGATTTTCCTTTTCAAAACAAGCATTTGGGCCCATTTTTGTTCAAGTATGAAGGTGAATTTTTCATGTATTATTTCCTCAATATAATTATTTTATGTGTTCGTTAAATACAGAGACTGCTAAAAACTTGTTTGTTGAGACTTCCACAAGTTGATAAGTAATAGGATAAAATGTGCATCTCCATTATTTAACTACCCTAACCTGCTTATCAGTCTCATCTCACTCATTTGTTCATTCTACAAATATGCATCAAGCACCTATTATGTGCCAGGCACTGTTCTAGGTATGAAGGCTTCAGCCATAAACAAGACAGATGGGGTGAGACTGGACAGATTGGAGGGGAGTCTCTTCCTGCTACAGCTTGCATTGTAGTGGAGGACAGAACACTATAAATAAATCAACAAATTAATAAGTACAATAATTACAGGTTGTATGAAACACTCTGCAAGATAGAAACAGGATAATGTGATAGAATCCCTGGAAGGGGTGGCTTCCTTAGACAGGGTGGTTGAGAAAGGTGTCTTTAGGGAGATTATATCTGAACTTAGTCCTGGAGATTGAAAGGAGCTACTTAAACGAAGAGGTGGAGGAAAGCGGAGGAATTCAGGCAGAGGATTATACAGCAAGCAACAGTTTTGCACTTTATGAAACATGAAATAAAGCCATAGTAAGTCAGCGGGAAAGAGTGTTGGGGAAACATCATTAAAAACAAAATCTCCTCCCAACACAGAAAACCTCTCTACAGACTAGAAGAGAAAGAAAGTAATCTTATTATTGAAAAAGCATTGAATAAGAATATGATAACTATCACAGGTAATCCATTAAGAGATTCCAAAATTCAAAAGACATCTCATCCTTTTACCATGTGGTACATACTTGCCATCAAGATAAAGAATAACTGCTCCTCAAGTAAGAGGACTTGGCAACACCATTTGTCACACACAGCTCTTCCTAAATTTCCTTGGTAGTTGAGGTGACCATCTGTGTTAACTATTGGCTTTATTCAACAGAAAAATAAAGTTCTCTTTATGATAAGAGACAGTTTTGCAACTTGGAGCGAGGCACCTGCCCTCCCACAGAAATGGGGAAATAGGGGCACTATCTTCCTTGATTCCATTTGAAAAAGATGGCTCCCAGGGCCTTGAGAAAGACATTCCTGGGTCTAAAACTGGCCAGAAGCTTATTTAGCTTTCAAAAAGATTTACATATATTTCCCAGAGACAGAGAAAGAAGTTAACAATTACAAGTTTTCCAAGTAAATGCTCTAAGAATAAGAGGTTGGGGTGGGGGAAGTCCTTCCTTCTATTTTCAACAACAAGAATTAAGCCTCTTAATTTTAAATTGTATTGGCCCTTACAAAAGGCATGAATTAAAGTAACAGGGACCAAATTACGCAGGATCTTAGAAGAGTTTGCCATTTACCCTCAGAGAAATGGAAACCCGCTGAAGGTTTGTAACATGATCAAATTTATATCTTTACAAGGCATTTAGCCCCCGATAGAATGTACTGAGAAGGACACAACGTCACTTTTGTGATAATTCTTGTTAAAAATGCATAACCCAATGCAGTCATAGAAAACAGCAGATGAACCTAAATTGGGGAACATTCTATCAATGAACTGACCAGTACTTTTAACAAATGTCAATGTTATAAAAGGAAGGCTAAAGATCTGTCACAAATTGAAGGACACTAAAGAGACATGACAAGCAAATGTAATGTGGGTCATTGGATTGTATCCTGGACCAGAAACTTTAGTGGAAAAACTGGTGAAAATTGAATAAGGCCTGTAGCTTAGTTAATAGTATTACATCAATGTTAATTTCCTGCTTTCCAAAATTGGTTATATATGTAAGATGTTAAAATTAGGAGAAGCTGGATGAAGAATATATGAGAACTCTCTGCACTATTTTTGTAACTTTTTTATAAAATCAAAATCATTTCAAAATAAAAAATTTAAAAGCGAAAGAGCTTTAAAAGCATTTTAAAATATCATTTATGATACTGAGTTAATAAATTATTAAGGGGGAAAATAGAAGTGGGGAGGGAAGATAGGAGGCTAATGAAAAAAAATGCAGGAAATAAGAGTTTGAAGATGGTGGCAGCAATTATAGAGAAAATTAAGAATCAAGATTCATTTTGGGTTCAGAACTGACAGTACTGGTGTATCTACTGAGTGTGAGAATTGAAGGACAAAGGTAGTTTCTAGAACTTTGCATAAGTAACTGTTGGGATGTGCCATTTTTTCAAAGAGAAGGCACTAAGAAAGACATAAGGTTTTAGGCTGGATGATCTCTGGTTTCAACCTCTCCTCTACAATGTTATATCACAAATCCAGCTCCCTCTGAGAAAGCAGTGAGCGTTGATCAATGTTATAATGAACGATATATGATTTTGACATTATTCTTCATAGAGGTGGCCACAGACACTTCAAATCCCAGTTTAGACCTATGTACAAGGTACAACCATCAAGTAAACTAGTCTAAGACTTGTTTCTTACCAGCATTTAGTTTTTAGATTGATTTTTCTTTTCCTCCTCTCACCCCATTACTTTAGACAGCAAACTAGTCAGCAACAAGTTGTTAATCAGAACCCTGGCTAAACCATTTGGTCCTCTTAATTTAGCCAACTGTGGAAGCCAAAAAACAAAACAAACAAACAAAAAAACCCACCACCTTTTTACTCAAAAAGTCAAATTGCACTATGTGGACTTACAGATTGTCTAATTTTAACTAAACTAAACTTCACAAGTATGGATAAAAGATAATACTAATACAAAAAAAAATGACAGACCAGACCTTTTTAATTCTAGCATCAGCTCCTCATCTGCCACACTACAACTTAAAAGTAAGCACAAATTTAATCAGAAAAAGCAGTAGCATCTGACTCTGTATTTTTAAAAGAATAAATAATTACAACTTACCCCTTCCAGGGAAGGATGACTTTTTACAGAAACTGAAAATGTCTTTACTTTTGAAAAGAAGTCTATGCTATGCCTCCAACCCATTCTGAGCATTTTTGAACTGGTTGCTTAGAAATGTTTTCATTAATACATGATTTTGCCACCATAAACCACGTAAGTCTTCCAGACGGTTCTCACTGTGGAGAAGGGAGGTCCCCACAGTGCTTCTGTGCCCCCACCCCGCATCCTCATCTCCAGTTTTCCAGAGATTTTAAGACCCTGACTTTTAAGGGGACAGGCACCTGTTTCTGTCTTTGCTAGCCTGAGCCTGGGACAGGCTCCTTCAACACGGTCCTGTGGCAGTCCTGGGGAAGGGATGGCACATCTCAGCAGACCCTTCGATGGGGACATTTGGACTCAGAAGTCACACCACTTGGATTCACAAAGTGGCCCAGCCACTTGCCAGCTCTGTGACCTTAGGCAAGTTGTGTATGTCCTTGAGCCCCAGTTTTTCATTAGAAAGTGAGGATGGACATAATGCCTCCACACAGTAGTGAGAGGATCTCATAAGCCAGAGAATATAAAGCTTTTAATACAAAGCTTAATAAAGGTTGGCAACTGTTAAACTAAATTAAAATTGCGCGTGAGGATGCCCCTGTCCTGAGTCCTTAAGTAATGAACTGCAACATAACGTAGTACATTAACTAAACCCTAACTTAGGAGTTGAAGTAACGAATATTAATAGCTGGTCTCAGTCAATCACAGATCACAGTAGCTGAGCTCCAGCCAATCACAGTCAGCCAGTTGATTTGAATTAGGCAAAACACCAACCTGTTGCCTATGACAGTGACAGGGAAGTCACTGTCCCTGTGACTTCCGTTTTCTGACCATAGATGTCTGACCACATTGCAGCCAGGGAATTCTTTGAACCTTTTCTGGTTCTGAGAACCAGGTGCTAGAATCTTCTTTATGATTTTTAAATTGTAAATAAAAGCCAATTCAGATAATGAAAGTAAATGTGTTGTAATTTTGCCTTTTGACACTACTATTGTCCTACTATGTTTCCTAGAGGCAGGGAGCTCCTTAGTTTTTGGTTTCAGAATTGTCCTGTCCTGGGTCAACCACTGTGTTCTCCTTAGTTCAAGCATGAGCCATTTCTAAAACACACAGGTCTCCTAACATGAGCACATTAAACTGAATAGAAAATATTAAAAAATAACAGCAAAACTTAATGACAGTATCAAGAAGAGCTCATCTATCCTAGTAATCAACGTACAATAAAGCTTATGACATACCATTTTTATCTATGAAATTTGAAATTTTAAAAAATACATGAAAAACATATTAAATACATATGTACAAGTATTAGTAAGGTGAAGCGAAATAAGTATTTGCATATGCTTCTAGTGAAACTGTAAATTAGGGCAGCCTTCCCAGAACCCCAAATCAATTTGACCCAACAATTTTGCTTGAGGAAGTAACGCCATTTTCTTCCTTCCAGATAGCAGAACACGTTATAAGGCTATAATAATTAAAAGAGTATATGATTTAAACACAGAACAGAGATATGACCTTTTGATATATTAAGTTGATATTTAAAATCAGTGACAAATGATGGAATGGAAAATAAATGGTTTAAAAACAACTAAATATTATTTGGAAAAAGCATGAAGCTGGATCCCCTCCTTTTACCATCAAGCAAAAACAAATTTCAAATAGATTAAATATCATAACATAATAGCCCTAGAAGGAAACATATGTAAGTATTTTTATAATCTTTGAAAGGAGATGGCCTTTCTCAGCATAGGCATAAGACCTAGAACTCATGAAGAAAATGACTGAATTTGTACTGCAATTAAAAATATGTATAAGGCGGGGCTGAGCGCGGTGGCTCACGCCTGTAATCCCAGCACTTTGGGAGGCTGAGGCGGGCGGATCACAAGGTCAGGAGATCAAGACCATCCTGGTTAACACGGTGAAACCCCATCTCTACTAAAAATACAAAAAATTAGCAGGGCGTGGTGGCGGGAGCCTGTAGTCCCAGCTACTCGGGGGGCTGAGGCAGGAGAATGGCGTGAACCGGAAGGCAGAGCTTGCAGTGAGCCGAGATACGCCACTGCACTCCCGCCTGGGTGACAGAGCAAGACTCTGTCTGAAAAAAAAAAAAAATGTATATGGCAAGAATGGCCATAATAAAAAAATGAAAAAATAATAGATGTTGGCATGGATGTGGTGAAAAGGGAACACTTCTACAATGCTGGTGGGAATGTAAACTAGTACAGCCACTATGGAAAACAGTGTGGAGATTTCTTAAAGAACTAAAAGCAGAACTACCATTTGATCCAGCAATCCCACTACTGGGTATCTACCCAGAAGAAATGAAGTGGTTATATGAAAAAGATACTTGCGCATGCATATTTATAACAGCACAATTCGCAATTGCAAAAACGTGGAACCAACCCAAATGCCCATCAATCAATGAGTGGATAAAGAAACTGCGATGTGATATGTATGTGTATATATGTGTGTGTGTGTGTGTATATATATATATATATATATATATATATATATATATATGTGAGATATGTATCCACACACACACACACACACACACGCTATGGAACACAACTCAGCCATTAAAAAGGAATGAGTTAATGGCATCTGCAGCAACCTGGATGGGATTGGAGACTATTATTCTAAGGGAAGTAATTCAGGAATGGAAAACCAAATATCATATGTGGGAACTACGCTATGACACTGCAAAAGCATAAGAATGATACAATGGACTTTGGGACTTGGGTGGAGAGGGAAGTTGTGGGAAGGGGTAAGGCAAAAAAGACTACAAACTGGGGTCAGTGTATACTGCTCGGGTGATGGGTGCACCAAAATCTCACGAATCACCACTAAAGAACTTACTCATGTAACCAAATACCACTGGTTCCCCCAAAAACCTATGGAAATAAAAAATTTTAAAAATAATTTTAAAAAGTGAAAAAATGAAGAAAACACATTTATGGCAAAAAAAAAGCACTATAAGTAAAATTAAAAGATACATGATGGATTGAAAGAACACATTTGCCAGGCATAGAAAACAAAGAGTTAAAAGTTTCCATAAATCAGTTAAAAAGATATAATTTAATAGAAAAATATATACATAATTCAAAGAGAAAATTCACTGAAATGGAAATACAAATGGACATAAACATTGAAAAGATTACCAGTTTTAAAAAGTATTATGGCAATATAAATTAAGCAACATATTCTGCTTATAAGGTTGGCAAAATTTTGTTATGTTACAGAAAGTGCAGAAAAATGGAAATTCACACTGCTGTTGAGGGTGTAAATTGGTACAACCTTTTAACAACAATTTGGAAATATTCATCAAAATTAAAGGGCCACATATCTTGTTACTCTTCTAGGAAGCTGTATTATATAAATACTCAACATGTACACAGATACATGTCCAAAAAAGATTATAACAGGTTTGTTTATAATAAATAGAAAAACAAACAAAAAAGAATAGTCCAACAACCCATCTGCTGGAGAAGTATGGGTGGAGCAAAAGACACAGTGATTCAGCTGAAAGGGGATGTGGAATCAAAAAAGATTTTAAATAGCAATTAAAAAATAAAAATAGCTCAAGTGTTATAATCAAGCTATTGCTTTAAATAGTTCATCTATAATAAAATACAGCCATTAAAAATGATGCTTTTGAATATTTACTTAAATAGGAAAAGATTCATGGTATACCAATTAGAATGAGGCTATCATAGCATATGTTAGGTATGACCCATATTTGCAACATACATACTCCAAGGAAGGATACACACAAGTATGTGAACAATGGATCTCTCTGGGTCGGGTAGGAAAGAGGTTACAAGGTAGTTTAATTTATACTTTATGTTTGTATTTTCCAATTTCTTCAATAGTCACAATTAACTTTTGTAATTAAGAAAGTGAAAGCTTAACAACAACAAAAAATGAAGTCAGGAGACGGAGACGAATCCCTGAACTAAAGCAGAGTACTTATTTTATCTTTCTCTGCAAACCCCAACTACCTAAAATGAACTGCTTTATGTTTATCTTACACATGCAAATACAAAATGTTTTAATTTTATCTTCAAAGCATCCACTGTACCATCCACATCCACATCTGTTAATCTCTTATTTTGGGGTTTCGGAATTCATATGGTGGGATTTATGAAATCCACATTCTGCTGTCAGTCTTCACACTAGGGGTTTTAGAAAATAGCATGAATGAAATGTGCTAAACCTGGCCTTGGAATGCAATCATTCTACAAAGTATATTTATTTTTTATTTTTTAACCAAAGGATCAATAGACGTTTCAGCTGCTATATAGAAAAATACTCGCTTTCAATATGAAAGCTCAGCAGCAATGGGAAGAAAATATAATGCACTGCAAGAAAAGTTTAAAGTTATAAACTTGTGTGGCCATGCATAAAAACTCCTAAAAACTGTGACCATCCAAGGGTTTCTTTCTGAATGGGTCTTTTATTCCAGTGAGTTGGCACAGTGAAGGATGTGCTGCATTGTTCTGACATCACACCAGGGTGAAAACACATAGTTCTGTTGACATCAATACAATGAACTACAATATATTTTTTATATCCTCTGTAGGTGTTCTGAAAGGAACCTATTGGTGGAAATGTTAAAAAAAAAAAAATTGCAGGGAAATCCCTGCAATGAATGGAGTACTAAAGCATTTCAATTTCCTAGGAAAAACTGGGGCCTACTTAAAAATGTGATGGTAACATGAAGCATACAAATGGAGAAGAATTTTCAAAGGGAACATA
This sequence comes from Homo sapiens, assembly GCF_000001405.40. Lineage (NCBI taxonomy): Eukaryota > Metazoa > Chordata > Mammalia > Primates > Hominidae > Homo > Homo sapiens. The sequence goes on from NC_000018.10 coordinate 61,413,858, forward strand.
CAGAACACTTTTCCTGTGTCACAGTTTATTGTGCAAATTCCATATAACTTAATATAATGCAGTATGCATTAAAAAATTAGGTTGTCAAGAAACCTGTTCATAATACACCTCAGTAGGTCAAGAGAAATGTAATTTTGATGTAGACATAATTTGATTTCTCACTCTGCTCTGTTGTTTTCACGCTTTCTGGTCTTAATCAAAATTGTCTTTTATTTGAATTCTTATGAATGAGTCTTCTTGTAGACTGCATGGTCCCTCCATCGTATTTTAGAAACTAAAAAATAATTACCAAATGTCGATGTGGTTGGTACTATAGATAGCAAGAGATGAAATAAAACCAGTGGGAAGCCAGACAAGTAAGGAACAGATGCAAAGTGTGGACTCTAAGGGGTCTTGGATACTGAATATTCAATTATAAGATCTCAGAGTCTTGTTACATGCAGCTTGATTCAGAAACAAGAGAAGCACAAGGGAAGCTACTCAGCAAAACTAATTCATCTCAGCCATGTGAATGTATTCGTCTCCTATGACCCTCACATTGTGCAAGACAGTAGCTCCAAAAGAACTAAAGGAATTAGGGCACGTCATCATTTTCTAGTTTAATTAGATTTTTTATAGATATTAATTGAAAACAGTATAATATAGTGTGCTCAAATTAATATAGCCTGCATTGTATACAAGTGTCAAAATGAGTGATTTGGGATTCTCTATGCAAGCATTTGCTTTCTTACATGAGCCTATCTGTATAGTATAATATCCATATAGTATAGTAATTCTGTCTAAAAATGTGGAGAACACCTAAAATAAAGGCATGAATGGGACAAATCTTCAATGAAAACATTTTATAGAAACCAATTTAAGTTTTAATTTGATTAATGTACATGATTGTCAGAGAAGAGGCGAGAATTTTTTTATGTTTATTAAAATAATTATTAAGAATTTTAAATATTTATAATTGGATAGAATATAAATAACATAGAATTTACTATTTTAATTATTTTCAAGTGTTCAATTTTGTGGCATTAAGTACATTTTTATTGTTGGGCAAACATCACCACCATCCATCTCCAGAACTTCGTATTTCCAAACTGAAATTCCATATCCGTTAAACAATAACTCCCTACAGTAAGAAATTCTAAATGCAGGAAAAATATCAACATGTATACAATGACATCATTTGCAAGTCAAAGTTAAAATAATGAGAAGAGGTTTTGATGTGATGTGTTTCCCCAACTATATATGTAACCTCTTTTGTGGCTTTTTGCTATATTCTAGCATTTTTATTCACTAGTACTATCATTAACTGTATATTTATCATCTAATTAGCTCCCTATTTTCAATTAACCCCCAACATACCAGAAAAAATCATCGTCATTTATCATCTGAGTCCAATGGGTCCTTTTTAAAATATATATTTTAAGTCATTTTACAAATAATTTATGGAACAATAAAGAGATAATGAAAAACTTATTTAACATTTCATAAGAAGTTAAACACAGCACACCTCACTGGGTCAAGTAAATGCTGGAGCACAGGCATTGTAAAGGATGAAACAGCACTGTCACACACTTTGTGTGAGTCCCATCACAAAATATTGGTGGACTAGACTGAATCCTTCCTGATTGAATGACAAACTGAATGAAAATACCATATTTTCTTTTGTGCCCCTAGAAATGTATTGTTCACTCATCTTTTCTTGAGTTGGAGAAAATTCAGGCAGAATATCACCCTCCGAAAACTCATAATCTCAAATTTTGTGTGTATGATTAATTTCAACATCATCACTCAAAAGTAGAATGCTGCTCTCCACCTCTTTGCATGTATGCATTGATTCATCTTAAATTTTTGAACCAGATTTATCTATCTCTTTCCTTTATCATTTTGGGCAGAAAATATAAACTTTGAAATTCTTCACTCTTTTTAATGGAAGCTAAAAGCAGCGGACCACAAAGATGGTGTCTTCCATCTCCTCTTATACTATTCTTAAAAAAAATGATATAATACTTTGGGCAATGTAATTAGAAAGCTGAAGAATTACTAATATATTATTCTTCAGCCTCAAATTTAGGGAATTCCATGATTCTTATGTCTTATTATTTTAGTCTGCTTAGCCTAATTGTTAATAATTGATGAGTAATGATGAAATAATTCCTAAGATGATGTACTAACACAATGTTCCAAGATGTAAAAAAAAAAAATATTAAGATCACTATAAGAACTCATTATGTATCTTGGATTTTCAAAAGAGTTTAATGGGCCTCTATAGTAACTGCAAGATTTAATTTTTTTCTGTTTAAAGTAATAGTAAATTTTCTCTTTGTTCTTTGGAAGGCTTTGAATAAATAATAACTATCAGTCCTTACAAATAGTTAAAACCATTTTTAAAAATTTCAAATGCAAATCAGATCCAATGGGCCTTAATGGCATACCAATGACATGGATTTATTTTAGTGCTAAATTTTATATCACTAACATGGGAAAACCAATAACATTTGCCATTTTGGTTATGATTGTGTCCCTTTATATACTCCACCTAAAGTGACAATGGCTTTAACAGATATATTTCTCACAGAAATGTAGTCCAGAGAGAGACAGTCCAACCTTAGAAATGGCAGCATCATGGCCATTAGGGACAAGTATCCTTCTACTTTTCTGCTCTGTCATTCTCAGGATTGCCTCACTATCCAATTTAGCTGTTGTTGCTCCAGCCATCTCATCTATATGACAGGCAAGAAGGAAAAATGGGCCTAGGGAAGAAAGTGTGCGTGCCCTAGATTAGTCAGTGTCCTGTGAGCATTTTTACCAGGTGTCACCAATGGCATTTCTGCTTATCTCACTGGCCAGGACAAAGACACATGACCACACCTAGGTGCAAGGAAGGCTAGGCCTTACAGCCTTTTAGCTGGTACACTGCCACTACCAATAATGGGATTCGTTAGGAAAGAAGAAGCAAATAATGGATACTGGATGGCAAACAATAGTTTATGCCACAACTACCAAAAACAGAAGATGACTACAAACACATACATGAAAAACAAACTATGATTAAACTATAGATATATACCGTTTATAACTAAAGTTCAAAGTCCAAAATCTTCTCACATTTGGTTTAAAAGGGAAAATATAAAGCACCAGAAAAATATTAAAAATCTTCTCTTTGACCCCAATCAAAAGCACTGAAAGAGAAAATAACTATTTTCCTTTAGTGATTTGATAATTTAGTGATTTAGTATTATTTAATGTCATATTTGTGTAACATGTAAAAATCACTTTCTAAATGACCAGTGGTATGGAGCTTGCATTTGGGGAAAGTCTGGCTTTCACAAAGAAATCATGAAAGGAGATAAGATTATAGAGGTAAAATGAGGATAAAGAGTAATAAAAGACTTTGGTGCTAAATCAAAAAATTCTAAATTAGAATTTTGGAATTTATACCTGTAAGGGTATTTAGACATTATCCAACCATAGAATCATAATATCACTGTTTATTGCAGCACTGTTCACAATAGCCAAGATAAGGAATCAACCTAAGTGTCCATCAATGAATGAATGGGTAATGAAATTACATACATATATACAACAGAATAGTATTCAGTCATTAAAAAGAGTGAAATCTTGTAATTTGCAACAACATGGATGGAATTGGAGGACATTGTGTTAAATGAAATAAGCCAGGCACAAAAAGAAAAATACTGTATGTTCTTACTCAGATGTGGGAGCTAAAAAAAAAAAAAAAAAAAAAAAAAAATTGAATTCATGGAGATAGGGAGTAGAATAATGGTTACCAGAGGCTGGGAAGGGTAGTGTGGAGGGGGCAGATAGAAACAGATTGGCTAATGGGTACAAAATATAGTTAGATAGGAGGAGTAAGATCTACTGTTTGGTAGCAAAATAGTGTGACTATAGTCAACAATAATTTTATTGTATTTTTCCAAATAACTAAGAGTAGAATTGCAGTGTTCCTAACACAAGTAAATGATAAATACTTGAGGTGATGGCTACCTCAGTTACACACATAGGCAGTCACACAGCATACGCTTGCATCAAAATATCACATGTACCTCATGAATATGTATAACTGTTAAGTATCCATAATAACTAAAAATTAAAAATCTAAAACAGTTGTCCTGATTTTCTTAAAAATATGTCAAATTGACTTGAAATAATCATAATAAAAATGACAAAAATTAAGACAATAAAGAATATCATAAGTTAAAAAGCAACAACAAAAAGTATCATAACCTTATAAAGTTGAAATTTATTTTAGAAGTAATCTTGCCCGTTGAATAGAACAATTCTTTTTAAAACATCTTTGGAACCTAGTTATTTAAGCTGTTTCAACCTTTTCAATGAGAATAAAATCAATAATAGGCAACCAATTCCATTTTAAAACATTTCTAATCCTAAAACATCCTGGCCGGGCGTGGTGGCTCACGCCTGTAATCCCAGCACTTTGGGAGGCTGAGGTGGGTGGATCACAAGGTCAGGAGATCGAGACCATACTGGCTAAGATGGTGAAACCCCGTCTCTACTAAAAATACAAAAAATTAGCCGGGCGAGGTCGTGGGCGCCTGTAGTCCCAGCTACTTGGGAGGCTGAGGCAGGAGAATGGCATGAACCCGGGAGGCGGAGTTTGCAGTGAGCCAAGATCGCGCCACTGCACTCCAGCCTGGGCGACAGAGCGAGACTCTGTCTCAAAAAAAAAAAAAAAAAAAAAAAGCTTCCTTATATGCATGTAAATAAATTTTTTCTAATACAATTTACCATTTCTCCCCTGGACCAATAATAAAGCAATTTAACAAGTTTTCCAGGTATAAAGGCTATATAAATTCTATTCACTCAGTTTTATTTATTTATAACTTCCACTTATTGGTTCTTATAGAGACCTGAATACATTTTTATGCAAAAAATACAATTTATACAAATAAGGAGCCCTTTGACTCACCCTTAGTCCTACTTAGCCATTATTGTCAGCTTGTTATGAATTATTCCAGATATTTATCTCTTTATGCACATAGGGAAATATTTTGTTTTATGGATTTTTTCCATAAACCATAATACATATATATTATCTGCAACATGCTTTTATTTGAATTTGATAAATCTTGCTGATCTCTATACATCAGAACTCATATATCTTCTTTCATTTTAACTGCTGCATGGTATTCCATAGCTATGATGTATATAACATAATTATGATACGCCCTTAGGGTATCTTCTTTTTAAGACAGGATCTTGCTCTGTCACCCAGATTGGAGTACAGTGGTGCAATCATAGCTCACTGTACTCTGGAACACCTGAGCTCAAGTGATCCTCCTACCTCAGCCGCCCGAGAAGCTGAGACTTACAGGTATGCACTCCCATGGCCTGGCTAATTATTACATTTTTTTGTAGAGACAGGGTCTTGCTGTATTGCCCAGGCTGGTCTTAAACTCTTGGCCTCAAGCAATCCTACTGCCTCAGCCTCTCAAAGTGCTAGGATTACAGGTGGATATTTTCAGTTTAGGGCAATTAATAAAATTGCTAAACATCCTTGTAAATGTTTTTGTGTATGTACCTTTGTGTATATTCATTTGTGTACAAAAGTTTTCAAAATTACATATAAACAAATGTGCATTTTTAAAGTACTGATCATAACAAATTACTCTGCAATACAACCATGCAATTTTATACCCACTAGCAGATTACAAGAATCTCCATTTCCTCACATTCTCACTAATACTTTATATATCAGTATTTGTATCTTTTCCCAATCTGAAACTTTTTTGAAGTCATATGCAATATTTCTGTAAAATCTCTTTTTTTTTCAATACTCTCTGGTTCTTTTAATCCCATCTTTATAGGTCATGATTTTCACACCTTCCACTATCCCAACTTGCCTCCCAGAGATACTTCAATTTATCAATGTTTCTCTTACAATGTATTTCCAATAACTGATTATAATGGTACAAGTGTACTTTGACCTGACCTGCGTACAAAATAGAACTATTACCTACCTTGTTCTGAGCTAATAGATCTTAATATTTTGTGAGTCACTGTTCTCATTGAGAATCTAACAAAAGAAATGAGCTTTTCTGCCCTCCCCCACCCCACCAAAATACACAGGCATGCAATATGTACACAAGGTCAAAGATTTTGTGAAGCACAGACCCAACATTAATCATTTATTAATGCAGCCCCATATCACATTTATATTTTGGTAGTGACCTCACAATATTGTTGATTTGTATTGAGTTTGCAATCAACTACATCTCAAGTCTTGTTTACATTAACTACTGAAACATTACATCTTTCTCAGCCTATATTTTTTAATACTTTTTAAAGCTGGCTACTGAGCGTTTGCATTATTCCTTTTAATTTTGCCTGTTCCATCAGCCCATTGAGCTGTTTGTTAACTGTAAGTCTGCTGCTAACCTAATTTATGAATGTCTTCATTCATGTCAATGAAAATGATTTCAGTAGGAGCACAACAACATGTCATTCAGCCTGTCTTCACAGGCTTTTTTTTTTTTTTTTCAACAAATATTTTTTGAGTGACCTCCGTGGGCCGGGCTATGGAGTAACTATACTGTGACCTAACACACTTTGCTTCCCTGCAAATTGTTCAATATACTTGCTGAAATTCAGCTCTACTTCATGCGTGGTACCCACAGTCTACCAAATTAGTAACCTAAACACTAGAATAGGAATTGATATTAGTTTTCATTTCCTGATTTGTTTATTCTTTCAAAAAAATTTTTGAGTGGTTTCCAGGGGAGAGGTGCTGTGCCTGGGGCTGGAACTGCAGTGGTACACAGGACAGAATGAGGCCTCCTTTTCAGCTTGAACTCTTGCAAGGAATTGCAATGCTCAGGCTGACTCCTACTCATCACCACATTCCTTGCTGATCCTGCAAAAACTCCTATTAAACAATCTGGCTGGGCGCGGTGGCTCACTCCTGTAATCCCAGCACTTTGGAGGCTGAGGTGGGTGGATCGCCTGAGATCAGGAGTTCGAGGCTAGCCTGGCCAACATGGCAAAACCCTGTCTCTACTAAAAATACAAAAACTAGCTGGGCGTGTGGCGTGCCTGTAATCCCAGCTACTTGGGAGGCTGAGGCAGGAGAACTGCTTGAACCTGGGAGGCAGAGGTTGCAGGGAGCTGAGATTGCACCACTGCACTCCAGTCTGGGTGACAGAGCGATACTGTCTCCAAAAAAATAATAATAATACATACTAAAATTTGCCAGCTATAAAGAACAAAGGGAGAGGGTCATGACCTTGCTCTTTCCAAACTTAAATAGCTAACGATTAAACTTGACATTATTTGATCAACAGAGTGGTAAAATTAATGAAATGGTGTCTAAAATAATGTTCGAGAAATTTTTTGTAAATAAATGAAGCAGAGAAGTAAAACAAAGGGATAGCAAAAATATTGCAGCTAATACAGAACATTAAAAACTAGTGTAATCTAATCCATGGGCCATGAAGATAAATTTCACTTAATGAAATTCATAATATTCTCTCTTATTATCTTTTCAAATTTACTGTTATCACCAGAGGCATAACTCCTACTTTATATTCCAAAAAAGAAGTCCCAGATCTAAATCTCTGAGTCTCTGGCAATCGGGCTTAAATGTTTCACTATCTAATCATGTCATTTATAATTATAAAGTGTACAGCTCTATTCCTGGATTTGTGGGTCTCTTACAAATATAAACTATCACCTGGTGTTCAATTGATCAGTAGAGTTACTATAGTTAACACGAATCAATTATACATCTCAAAGTAGCCAGAAGATAATATTTTGAATGTCTATAGCATAAAAAAGAATATTTGGGGTGGTAGATATATATACCAATTAACCTGACCTGATTATATGAATGTATCAAATTATCACATGTACCTCAAAAATATGTATACCTAATATGTATCAATAATAAACCAGATGGATAGATAGATAGATAATCATGAGTCTTGCTTTTCCAGAGGGGCACATAACATAGAATTAATTCCAATTCCACTGGAAAAATTTTATTTGGTCTGATTAGTGTCAATGAGGGGGGAAAATTCAGTAGTTTTCATCTAAATAGTCACAAATTCCATTTTCAATAACGCTCATATCATACAATGAACTAATTTTTCAAGCAACTTTTCAAAAATCTATACATTACCATGCTTACTGTACTTACTATCTAAAATAACAAAAGAAGCATACTGATTTGGGATTAATATGGCTTCTAGTCCATGCATTCAGGGACCTTAATGAGGATGGTAATATTTTAAAAAATACATGAAATTCACGGTTCTTTAGCTCCATGGGACAGAAAAGTGATTTCCTACACAAGCTTAAAGACATAATTAAACATATATTTCATTTCTCTTTCAAGAATATTCTTCTGAGCTTATCGAATACAGCTGCAGGGAAAGCAACTGGCAGTTTCCAGGCAAAAGGAAAACTATCAGTTCTTTATAAGCTGCTTTATGGGTTGTCAATTTCTCTATCTTTCCACATTGGCATCTTCTGTCTTGATATCATTTAAATTAAATTAGAAATTAGTGTTTTACTGGGAAAAAATAATGTTGCTACAGGGCAAAAAATAAATAAATAAATAGCCACATTAATGAGAATTTTTCTAATTACTTTCTAGTTAGCCAGGCAGTTCTGTTGACCTTTGCTGTGTTTTTAGGAGAAGCTGTTATCAGAAGAAAACTCCACAGTTATAACTGCACATTACATTTTTTAAAAAACCTCAAACTTTCTATGTTCAGGGAAGTATTTTTACTCAGCATGGGAGCCAAGATTCTGAAAAAGATTATCATACTGTGAGCTTTTGATTACATGACATTTAATAAAAAATTACTCACAGTATACAATATAAAGAGAACAAAAAATACTTTTGTTAAATGTTTTAAATATATAAAATATATTTATAAATATATACTTATATAAATGGTCACATTTTATACAATAGCTACCAAGTGTGAACGAGCCCATAATTCATAAATAAAACTGTCCATGACTCATCTAACATAAATTTTATGAAAGAGTAGGAGAAAGTAGTTCCAATGATTATATTTTGCTTTTGACTATGTTTATAACGGAATTCTCTTTTACACAGAGAGCGCAATTGTTATTTTTGTAATTTAGGATAAGTCTTGTGGGTAGATGAATGATTTAGCTACTAAATAAAAATACAACTTTATCATTGTCAGTTGGTTTTTATTTCTTTCTGTTCTTTTTATCAAGAATATTCAATGGCTGGTCCAATGCGAGAAGAAGAAACAGGGCAAATCCTGGGGAGGTCCCAAATCACGTCAAGTGTGGACCAGTAAGAATGTGGTCAGTAGCGTCAGATCAGCATCAAAGATGCAGAAGGATGAGGTATACAGAGCACAGGGATAAGGATTTGGGGAGGGCCCCCTGCCCTCTCAGGGTCTCTCTTTTCAGCTAGGGCAGCCCCCATCAGAGCACTCAGTGTTATAGAGACACAGCCTGGACCCTCTTCCTGCTTGAGCTCCTCTAAGTGTGTCTGAGGACTCATGCCTTCTTGTAAAGAACTCACTTATCTGAGAGTCATAGTTTCATAGTACAATCCCATTCACTTGTTTGTGAATAATCTCTGCATCATCCATCAGGGCCAAGGCCCTATCTTACCTTTACCCTGACTCCCCTGAATATGCTACACTACAAGATTAAGCATCTATTAAGTCCAGGCTGACTCTCTCTGGAAATTTCTTTTTTTTTTCTTTTTAATTTAATAGATCTATGCTACATTTTATAACATCTAGCAGTAAAAGCCACTGTTTAATCATGATGTATATCAGACTCCCCATTCCTGCTTCTCTCCAGCCTTCACCCCATAAAAAAATTGCTAAATTCAAAGCTTTTTGAACTCATTCTATAAATCTGAAGTTCTGGAAAATTATTTTATTCAATATAAGCTGTCCATATTTCACTTCCAAATGCTAGATTAAATTCTTTCAACGTGACAGTGTTTTATAGTTTTCTAAAATACAAAAATTAATTAAAGAGTATAGCATATGCACAGAGACAATGATATCATTTTCAAAGATTTTAATCCTTTCTAAATGTTTATATTTTTTCTAATTTTATCTTCCCTCATTCTCTGGCAAGTATACCCTTCTTCGCTTCCTACGCTCATCAAAAAAATGGCAGCAAGACAACCTCCAGCACTGCATTCTATGCAGACTTGAGTATATGCAACAGTGTCTTCAACTCATGTTTGTTTTACTAATACATAATTGTACATACTTACGGGGTACATGTGATATTTTGATACATGCATATGATGTGTAATGATTGAACCAGAGCAATTATGATATCCATCACCTCAAACATTTATGACTTTTTTGTGTTGGAAACATTTCAAGTCCTCTCTTCTAGTTCGTCTATTTTGAAATATACAATAGATTATTGTTAGCTACAGTGAGCATTTCACCAGCAGACTTAATCAACTTGTGTTTACAAGCAGTGTGCTACAAGCACTGAAGACTTGCCTGCCATCTTGTGCAATGTTTACTAAATGGGAGGCCTACAGAAACCAAAATGTGTCTCTCTGAGCATTGGAAAGTATGGCAGTGTTAGCACTGATTATTATTTGTGCCTAAATTAGACTTAATTTGCTCTAGGTTAGATACTATACCCTTCTCAATCAATACAATATTTGTCATGCTATGGAAAATTGTAAAATATACAGTGATTGCTGAGATCTCATCCATCTAGAATTTGTATGTACTAATTTTATTTAATGTCAAATAGCATTGATTTAGAATTAGCCAATGTAGTATGGGAAAAAACATTTCTCAGAATGCATATTCTTTTTCATATTTACTTTGAGGTAGACTTCTTAGTATCATTGGGATAATATTGGAATCCAACCTGATATAAGAACCTACCCTCTGCTAATAAAATTTTAACTCATGTATTTCTTCTTCTTCCTTCATATTTTTGTTTTCTAACAATAAAAAATATGAAATAAGAACCTAGCCCTGGGCCACAAACCATTTGGGGAAATTCCTCAGTATTAGCATCTCAATTTTTTAACTAGAGAGAAAACAAATCAATAATTGGATTAATAATTAGGTTCTTGAGCTTCTAAAATGTCTCTCATTACTTGATGGGTTCTTTATTTTTTTCTCCTTCTTCCAGTTCCTCTCCCTCTCTCTCCCACTTCCCCGCTCCTCTCTCTCTCTCTCTCTCTCTCTCTCTCTCTCTCTCACTCACTCCGGCTCTAGGTATAGGTCTATCTCAACTCCTTCCCTCCCTGCCCACTTCCTGAAAACAACTTACTGAAGATGCAAGACAAACCTGAGGTATGTTGAGGGGAACTAAAGTCCTAGAGAGGCTTATGTCAGACCATAGGGTCTGTATTTACAGTTCAGTTTCCCCAACCCTCGTGTTTAGGTTTGTTCTCCAGCACAGGAAGATGGACCGGGAAGTGATGGGAACTTCCAGTAATGACCATCACTGACCCATAGAAAAGAAAGTATCCTATACCCTCAGAGAAGCTCTGAAGGAGACAGAGATAGAGAAGAAGGGATGTGAGGAACGGCTGAGGGGGCAGAGGCATGAGTAGGGCCCAGTGCCTCTCTCACTGCCCCTCAGACGGTGGTACCAAGGTAACCATAGCAAAGGCCTGCCCAGAGCACGTTTGTCCCAACTCACTGCAGCATTAAGTGCCCCAAAATTTTTCAGCAACTTGGATGGAGTTGGAGGCCATTATTCTAAGTGAAGTAACTCAGGAATGGAAAACCAAATATTGTATGTTCTCACTTATAAGTGGGAGCTAAGCTATGAGGATGAAAAGCATAAGAATTATATAATGGACTTAGGGGACTTGGGGAAAGGAGAAGGGGGTGAGTGATAAAACATTACACATTGGGTACAGCATATACTGCTCAGATGACGGATACACGAAAAACCTCAGAAATAACCACTAAAGAACTTATCCATGTAAACAAAAACCACCTGTTCCCCAAAAACTATTGAAATACATTTTTTAAAAAATAAATAATTAAAGATCTAAATAAATGAAAACATGTTCCATGTTCGTGGATTGGAAGACTTAATATTGTTAAGACGGCAACACTCCCAGTACTTCACTCTTTTTGATGCTATTACAAATGGAATTTAATTTGCAAATCGTTCATTGCTAGTGTACAGAAACACAACTGATTTTCATTTGTTGATCTTGTATCCTGCAACTTTGTTGAACTCATTCATTACCTCTCATAGTTTTGGGGTTTTTTAATGTTAATTCTTTGGGATTTTCTATATATACTATTGTGTCATCTGGAAATAAAGTCATTTTACTTCTTCCTTTCCAAAAAATAAAATAAAATAAAATAAAATAAAATGGGAAAAAGAGAGCCCCTTTTCTAGGTTGTTGTGAGGATTAAATGAGTTAACAAACTTAAAGCTCTAAAACAGGGCCCAGTATACAACCAACTCTCCCTCAATCATTTTATAAGAAATATAATACGGTGTACAAGAGGGCAAAGGACATAAAATTTAGAAAGGGTTTGAAAATGACCTTCAAAGCCTTAGGGGAGAAGGATTATAGGAGGAAAATGGCATTTTTAATCTTCTCGAAATATAGAATTTTTAATAGACCTAGCAAACTGGCAAGGGAGCCATTTTTCAGTTTATTTGCTTGTTTTGCTTTCCAACAAAACCTAAGTAAGGCTCCCTAACTGCAGCCTTACAGTTAAATCGGTTCCTTTGCATGGGTTCAGACTGAGTAGAATTAATATATCTGCCCATTGACTCCCAGTGTTCTCTCCATGACAGGTCAGTATTGCTTGTCCCACAAGGACTGACTTAATGGCCTGCATCAGCAGCATATTGTGTGATTCATTTTCTTTGCAGGGAAGTCAGTCATAATTTTAATAAACATTTGCAGTCACTGCTCATCTTTGCTGCAGTGCTCCTGGGACACGTCCTCGTGGTTTTGTTAAGCAGCAGAGCCTGTGTGCTCTGTCAGGACATCAAGTATCCCTGGTAATCTCTGTGATGACTCCAGCAGAGAAATTAGAGCCCTGAACGAGGGAGCGTAGTCATTGGGTCTGTGGTCAGTTAAGTGGGGACCTGACTGAGACTGCAATGACCGAAGCATGTTTTAAGAAGCAACAGTATGAAGGGGATGCAGAGCAAATCAGGGGTCAGAACAGAGTGAGGGGCAAGAACAGAAGAATTAAGAAAATATTATTATTGTTGGTAGGGGGAGATTTAGGATAAAGAGAGGAAATAGGATCAAGAAAGAAGAGTCCTCTGAGAAGTATGGGAATGTAGATTTCCGTTCACTTCCCTAAGTCTGTTTTTCACCTGTATAATTAATAACATTACATACAATAACATTACATACAATAATTGTGAGGCATTTGCTATGTGGCAGGCCCCATTCTGTTTTAAATGTTTCAACCCATTTTATCCTCATGACAACCCAGTGAAGTACGTACTAACATGTTTGTCTTTATCATAACCCATTTTATAGCAAAGTGAGGAACAGAGATTTAAATCATTTGCCCAAGGTCACCCACCTAGAAAGCGGAGGAATCATGATTCCCACCTTGATAGCCTGGTTTCAGGGCCTATGTGCTTAACCATTATGCTGTACTGAAAAGGTAGAGAACTAACTACAAACGTGGTCTCAAACTTTTGTCTGAGACTACCAAAAAGTCAGAGCCTTTGTTCTTTTCATTTCCTATCCTTCATAAAGCAAGATGACTTTAATAACACTGCAAAGATGAAATACTAAAATAAGATTGCATGATTGGATGTTGCAGCAGTGTCAAATTACAATAAAATTTCTAAATGTTTTCTATTTCTGTGCTTCTCTTATCACAAACTGATAAACAGTTCACAGCACTAGCTGGTTGATCACACTGTATGTAGCGCTAAACTGCATGATCTCTAGAATCCCCTCCAGCTCTGTGGTTCTGAAGAACAAATTTTGAAAAGCTGGCCAGGTTTCCCTCTTCTCTACAAAAACTAAATTCCAAAGGAGGTTAAAATTAAGCCTAAATAAAGCTTCTAAAACAATGCCAGGTTTATGTTAGACATCTTCCATTCACCTACAAGCATTTGCTGAGCACATACTTCGTTTCTGGTGTTGTCATGAGTGTTAAAGATAGAAGGATAAAGATATAGCCCCCTCCACAAACTTACACTCTAGATGGGAGGATAAAAATACATCAAATGCTGTAAGATTGGCACAAGCTGATGACATTTAAAGCTAAAAAAGCAAAAAGAAGAGACACTCTTTTCTCCCTCCCTTGAGTCCCTTTCAAGGAATAAAAGGAATGAATCCTGTGTTTCCCAAGTAATCCTTTTTACCTGCTGAGTATAGGGTGGGGAGGTGTCAGGGTGGTATAAAAATGGAATCTGCAATCAAGTAAGAGATCCCTCGGGCTCTGTTTTTACCCATGCTACAGCACCTCTGACCTACTGTCACCTTAATATTACTACCAAAGAAGTGTAGGCGGCCCCAGATGTCTCATGTGTGCTCCATAATGAATGTTTTTTGACATCCCTGGAACATCATGGGCCATTTTTCTTCTCCTTTGATCTGGTTCATTGTGTTGACGGCTCCTGCAGTGCAAAAGCGGTAGCACAGCCACAGATGGCTGCTGGGGTCTCCTGTGTGTGATAATGAGGGTCTTGCTGTTGGGTCAAGAGCTCCATTTCCCATCACTGTAGAAGATCCCCATCAACACTGACACCTTGCATCTCAATATCTCAGCTCTCTTAGCTTCCACTGGTTCTTCCATTGTGCCTGCCTCATTTCCTTTGTATAAAACTCAAGTTTCAGTTTACAGTGGTTGGGAAGACACAGATGGACTCTGCATAGAATCACCACATCTCTCAGACACTAGCCCATGGTTCCTGAAACAGACTTTTCCCTCTGAAATGTGCATTTCACCTCTTTGTCTGAGATAAAATTATCCAAATTCCCTTAGTTCCTTCCAATAAAACAGGCCTATAAGGGGCCCACCCACCAGCCCTCCAGCCATTCCTGATACAGGTTTACGCTAGAACACCTATTCAAGAATATGCCAAGGCTCAACCATATGCCTCCTCTTCTTTTCTTTATTTTTAATGAGTACCACTTGTCTATGCCACAGTAGTCCCCAGCTTCAGTTAGCCTCCACAGCACCACACCCTGTGACATATCTTAGGGAACACACCAGTGGAGAGCGTTATGTAGGAATTTCTAGGTGGTGAGGGGGGTTTTATCGAATTTCTGAGAGGTGTGGGAGTATGCAAAAAATCACAAGTTTTTGACTCCCTTGCTACAGTCATGGTTCTTTCTTTTTCATTTCAAACAAGGAGAAATTTTAGGAAAATCATAATGTGCTGGATTTTTAAAGTGCTAATTCACATGTCTTTAGACTTTTGTTTCTTAATTGTCCTCATCCCAGACACAGACCATTGTACTGAGTGTTGATTCTGTGACTACATTTGGGAATTTTGCAAGATACCTCCTACTTCTTAGAGTTGCATTTCCTCTCACAGTTGTTCCAACTTGACTAAAAGTTGGCTTTAGAATGAGATTGTTTGTGTGTGTTTTCTGACCTTTCAGCTGTTTATAACCCCCAAAATAATCACAATTATTATGTATGTTGTTCAAGTACAGAGCAAGCCAACTCAACTTCTCCCATGACTTCAGCTCCGAAGAGAAATCGTGTTTTTCTACTGTAGCCACAACTTAATTTTCTTTTAGCTTTTGTCAAATTTGGCTTATCTTCTCCAAACCACCTGGAGGAAGTCCAGAACACTCTACCCACCTCTTCTCCCCAGCACACCTGGACAGCCTCGTCTCCCCTGATTCTAACATGAAAGAGTCAAATCACCTCGGCAATTCTCTCTAATTCCCAGTAAGATGCCTGTCAAATCAAGAGCATAGAGATGCTTTGAGGAGTTCACTTGAGAAATCATCCCTTCCCAGATAAACAGTGATGGTTTACGATTATTATTTCTTCACTGGAATAATACTTTTCCCACTCAGATTTCAACAAACTATGTTCCTTTGTAGTGGGTACTCTGAAAAGAGGACTGTAAGCATCCTGACACTTTGGCTCCTATATATTGTGTCACATATACATGTAACTTCAAGGGAGCTATAACATCAGAGGCAACCCACAGGGGTCATCCTGACAGCACAGGCTCTATGGAGTGGCTCAGCAACCAGAGTAGAATATCCACTCCTGGCTTTTTTTTTTTTCATTGTCCCCTTACTCCTAGGCATCTTTTTTATTTTATTGTTTTTAGAAAAACAAAATGCCTGACTTTTGCAGTTTGGTCTTGGTCATGCTTGCAAGCGTAAATCTCACAGTATCTGGATTACACAGTATCTAGATTATAAACTCTCTGAGAATAAGAATATATCCCTCTGCTTTTTTTGGTCAAACAGTGATGGGTCTACATAGGGTCCTCAGTAACTACTAGTCAGTTGATTTCAGAGGTAAGCCATGAAAGGAGAAGACCACAGAGGTAAAGTACTATTCTCATCACATCATATCAGGATACATGTTGATAGTACCAACATGGCATCACTGTTGATGTTAACCTTGCTCACCTTTCTGATACAGTGTTGTCCGGTTTCTCCACTATAAAATTATTCTTTTTCCATACTGTACTCTTTGGAAGGAAGTTACTCTGAAGCCCACATTTAAGGACTTGGAAGCTATGCTCCACATCTCTGAAAGCAAAGTATCTACACACATTATTTGGAATTATTCTGCAATGAGATTTATCCCTTCTCTGCCATTTAATTAATAATTTTTTTCAGTATGAACTAATGGATATTCATTGTATACTTTGGGTTATAATCCAATACTATATCATTTATTTTATTGTTCAAATTGTTCCAGCTTTGGCCCTTGGGAGCTCTTCCAGATTGGCTCTTTTGACCCTTTGACATGCCATCATTTGTTTTTCAAGCTCTTTCTTACTTTCTGGCAGTATAAGACCCTCTGGGTCCATCTTGGGTGTTTCCTGCCCCAATCCTAGAATCAGCCATTTCTTCAAGGAGCCCTGGTTCCTTTTCCTGGAGAATGGTATTGGAAACCAAGATCTGGGCCCTAGGTGTGCTTGTATTTACAAGGGTTTTGTTACTTCTAAGATCTCTCAAGCGACAGAGATAGGAAATATATGTATATATGTGAACTTGTAGACCTATGTATCTGTAATTCTCTGTTTCTATCCATCTGTATCTGTGTTAAGCTAAATATGAGTTCATACTTATATCTTGGACTCATCCAGCACCACATAGTTCTTTCTAGCATCCCATGTTGCCTTCCTGCAACCTCCCCTTCCACAGTGAGAAATCTCTCTGTAACTCCTATGTAACCATAAGAAAAACATCAGACAAACCCAAATTGAAGGACATCCTACAAAATATCATAATTGCCAAGGTCATCAAAGACAATGAAAGTCTGAGAAACGAAAGAAATATCATGACTAAATGTAGCCTGGATGAGATCCTGGGACAGACAAAGGATGTTAGGGAAACTCTAAGGAAACCCAAATAAAGTATGGACGTTAGTTAATAATGATATATCAATACTGATTCATTAACTAATTTAATTAAGTCCATTAAAGTATGGACTAGTTAATAATAACATATTGATATTTGTTCATTGGTTCTAATGTACCATAGAAATGTAAGAGGAAACTAATAGGGTATATGAGAACTCTGTAACATCCTTGCAACTTTTCTGTAAATCTAAAATGAAAAGTGCATATCTTAAAGAAAAAAAGACCTAGAAAGTGCCTACCATATATAGTTCAATAAATGATAGCCCTATTATTTTTTACAATAATTTTTGCCATCTTGAAAAGTGAAAAGAAACATTTTGTTGCTTTAATTTGAATTTCTTTGATGATTAGCGAGGCTGAGCTTCTATAAAAGTTTGGTGTTGCTTTTTGTATCTACATCCTTTATCTGGTTTTTGTAGCTTGTTGATTCTTCTGAATTATCTGGCCACGTGGGTAATCAAACACTTCCCAGTTTCTCAGGGACAGTCCTGATTCCTGTCTGCTGTACCAACTGATGATTAACATGAACGCTTTGTATTTAGAAAGATAAATTATAGGCAGGACATGGTGACTCACACCTGTAATCCCAGCACTTTGGGATGTCGAGGCGGGCAGATCACCTGAAGTAATGAGGTCCAGAGTTTGAGACCAGCCTGGCCAACATGGTGAAACCCCATCTCTACTAAAAATACAAAAAAAATTAGCTGGGCATGGTGGCGGGCGCCTGTAATCCCAGCTACTCGAGAGACTGAGGCAGGAGAATCACTTCTGGGAAACGGAGGTTGCAGTGAGCTGAGACCATGCCATTGCACTCCAGCCTGGGTGACAAGAACAAAACTCTATCTCAAAAAAAAAAAAAAAAAAAACACAAAGATTAATTATATGGTCACCCTACTGTGCCACGGCACTGCCCTGACCAGCATGCTTTTCGTCTGTTCTCCCACACATATTTCCCAGCACCCCAGCTGCTGCTTCTTACTCCGTCCCCATCCACAACTGGTGCCCAGACCTTGGCAGTTAAACAGGGTACTTTTTTTGGTAGATAATAGTCTTCTGCCAAAAAACTCAAAACATGTTGCTAAATAACCACTCTTTGGAGGAGATACGACCTTCTATATAAATTACTATCCAGTTCAGTACTGCAATACTAAACCTTCCACAGTTGAAAGTACTCTAAACGTATAGAGGTCCCTTTCCCAAACCCTTGTGTTTTGAAGGGCATTTTCCTCTGCTCCTGTCCACCTTGTTGAACTGCATTCAATGCCACCCCTAGGGGAAGGGGTGATGGCACAGAGCTGTGCACACACAGTCTTACAGCCATCTGAGGAAGACAGCCCTCCTCTCGCCTTCCTCCTGTTCTTCCTCTCCCTTCCCTTTTCCTTCCTTCCTTTCTTACTTTCTTTTTACTTTCCCTTCTTCCTTTCTTCCCTCACCTCCTCCTACTGCTTTGGCAAGGGAAAGTTGTTTGTAGTTCAATTTATTTTTCCCCTTTATTTATTATGCAAATAATACATGTTAATTGAAGAAAATTAGAAAACACAGATAAGCAAAAAGAAAAAACATACACCACATACAGATAGCAATTAACATTTTAATGTATCTTTCCCTGTCCTATTAGGAGCAGTGTAACTACATGGAGAGCACTGTTAGACTTAAGATCTTCTCAACTTGGCTATGTGACCTTGAATGAGTTACCTCTCTAGGCCTCAGTTTTCACATCTGTAAAATGGGGATAAATGGTGTGTTATTTATTATTATAATAAAATATCACATTATTATATCAAGATTAAACAAGGTAATGTATATATATCACCAATCACCATGCCAAACACAGAATAGGTACAGAATAAATGGCAAGTGTTACTAATATGTGTTTAGTCAAACATCTCAGTAGGGGCACCTTGTGTTTTGTTCAACAAAATATAGAACTGTTTGTGATTAAATCTAGATCTGTACTATCATTTTTGGTGTTTATTTCTTTGTATTGCCTTTTTTATTTGGAAATATAATGAAGACAAATATATGTTAAAACATAATTAATAAACATCATGTATTGCCACTACTTTAGACACACTGGGAATTATCATTTCACCAGGAGTTTTAAATTTCAGTCTCACACGTGAAAATGTGTGGGGCCACTTCAAAGTAGAAACATGAGGCCAATGATATCCTTGGATACCCTTGCTTTCATAAACACCAGCTCTTCACCCATATGTACATTCTGGGTCACGGTTTGATCTTGAGGACTAATGAGCTCCAAGGAACAATCTAAGCTGAATATAGTATTGATCACCAAAATATGAATAGAAGGTGTTTTCTGAATTTTACTTGGGCACTTGCCTCTCCTGGTGCTTGCTGTTATATTTGGGAAAATATTGTTTGCTGTTGTCACTGTTTGTGTTGTTCAAGAGCAGGATTTTGGCTTGCATTGGCTTTCCTAATTGAGAAATACGAACCCAAGAAACAGTATAGAAAATGTCACTTCTGTTTACTCTCAGAAAACAGAACCTTAGAAACAAATTCAGCAGTAGAATCAATACAACACAGAGAAGGTATTGAGTTCATGGGTGTTTGACCAGATTTTCCCTGAAGAAAGGTCTGGGATGGCTGGTATTTGGGGACTACATATGTATATGTACTCTTTTAGGCCCCCAAATCTGAGCAGTAACAGCCCTTTATACTGTGACATATGATACAGGACATAAGCAGCCTGTGTGTTTCTAGATGTATTTTCACATAGCATTCTATATGAAAAGAAAATCAGGATGTGTGTAAAATCAGTGAAAGGAGGCCTCATGACATAAATCTTGTCAGTTAATTGGCCCATTTCATCTATTAGAAGAAGTCCACGATGGGGCCAACTAGCATAGCCCCTGGCATTACAGGCAATGATAGATACCCATTGAACTGATTTGAAGGTAAACTGTTAGAAAACATGGTACAGAATTCTGTATTTAGTGTACAGGTTATGTGGTGACAAACCACATTTTATGTCTTCAAAGTATCCTTCAGAATTCAGCACAATTATTAAATGCTAACTAAGTGCCAGACACCGTAATAAGTATTTTGCATGGTAACCTCACTTTATCACCTCAGGCCCTGTAAGGGAGCTATTATAATTACCAGATTCTTACAGATAGGGAAACTGAGGCCTCAAGAGGCCTCACAGCTGACAGGAGGCAGAGTGAAGTAGACACTTACCCACTTCTCCCTGCTGCAAAATTTGTCCTGGGAGGTCTGGTGGTCCATGAGGTCTGTGGGCTGCTCACTGTGCCTGCACCCCAAGCTCCCTGAGCCAGAACTTTCTTCCTAAGTCTTAATTTGTCATGAAGTTCTCCTCCTACAGCTTATTAATTATTGAGGTAAGGCTGATGATTAGTATTAATATAACACAAATTAAAATCATGATGCAGGAGGACATTTTGACCCATAAAGTGAATGTTAATTGAATTATTTCTAATTTTTATACATCTTCACAGTTCCTTTAGAATATTTTCTCTTACATGTCTAAGATAAGGACTGAGACAGAAAACACATAGTTCCTAGAGTTCCTGTGTTTACCCTTTTATTATGACAGTGTCTGGGGACAGAACTAAAACTCAAAGTAATAATATAAAGACAACAATGACAAAGTATTTTCCCCCATATTACAGACAACTTTATGCGCATTCTCACTAAATCTTCACAATTCCTATACATTAGACTTACTGTCCTTTTTCTACAGATCAGGAAATTGATCTGTAGAAAATTTCAGGGGAAAAAGAGTTATTCAGGTCACCCATCTGGGTTCACACCCTGGCTCCATCATTTACTATCTCCGTGATCTTGAGCAAGGCTGACATTCTGCCCATTACAAAATACTGCCTCTAGTGGTACCACTATATACTACACACAGGACCAATCCCAGGCAAAATCGTGATGTAGGCAGGATGCTGTCAATACCTAGCATATCCCATACTCTGCCCTTTTTCCTCCTTTCAATGTGCCCTCCTCTCCTAGGTTCTCAGGACTCTCAGACCATCCAGGATCTCCACGTCACAGAGAAAAATGCTTCTGTCCTTCCCAGGACAGTTTGCATCATAAAGAGAACCTAATACAGGCCAGGCATAATGCTAGATGCAGGTAGATAAATGGAAATAAGAAGTTGACCTTTATAAAGAACACACAATATAGCCAGGAAATGCAGGAGGGATGCCATTATCCCAGAAAGAGGAAATATCAGAAGAAGCAGATTCATAGGCAGACATAGGACAAGTAAATTCAAAGTTTTTAAAAATATATATATAACAGCTTTAAATTATATATTAATGTATTATATTAAATTATAACATAAATATAAAAAATATATTTATGTATACAAAAGCTTTGTTGAGATAGATTTCAAACACTATATAATTCCCCCATTTAAAGTGCAAATTCAATGTTTTTTAATATATTCACATAGTTGTGTAACAATCACCACAATTAATTTTCGGACATTTTCAATACCCCAAAAAGAAACCCAGCACACATTGACCATCGCTCCCCCATTTCTGCACACTCGCCACCACAGCCCTAAGAAACCACTAATCTACTTTCTGCATCTGTCAATTTGCCTATTCTGGGCATTTCATATAAATGAAATCACATATAGTATGTGGTCACTGTAATTCTTAACGTAATGTTTTCAAGGTTCATCTGTGTCGTAGCACATTTTAGGACTTCATTTATTTTCATTTCTGAATAATATTCAATTATGTGGCTATAGCACATTTTATGTATCCAATCATCAGTTGACAAATATTTGGGTTGTTTCCACATTTTGGCTATTATGAATAGCACTGCCATAAACATTCACATACAAGATTTTGTATAGACATATGTTTTCAGTTCTCTTACATAAATACCTAGGAGTGAAATTGCTGGGTAACTGTATGTGTAACCTTCTGAGAAACCACCATACTGTTTTCAAAGCAGCATTTTACATTCCCATCAGCAGTGCATGAGGGTTCCAACTTCTCCACATCCTCACCAACACTTGTTATTATCAGTCTTTTTATTCTAGCTATCCTAGTGGATGTAAAGTGCTGTCTCATTGTGGTGTTCATTTCCTGATGACTAATGAAGTTCAGTTTTAGATACCTGGATTTGACATGCCTGTGAAACATCTAGGAAGCTTCTGGAAATTCAGCTTTAAGTATACAGCAAGTCTAAACTAGGGATAGAGCCTGTGTTTACATTTGAGAGTCATCAGCGTAATAATATCAAATAAAGTATTTCTATTTGTGGGATTTTTAGGCACTGTGGCATTAGGTAGAAACTATTTGGGACATGAGATTGTCCCAAGAACCTCAGATTGTACCATGTGGGTACCTACCAGCTCCATTCACATTCAAGACCAGCCTTGGCTAAGCAAATCAGGCTTTTCCTGTTCTGCATTGAGTCTGGAGACTTTCTGAAGACTGGAGAGGCTATATAATTAGTAGTTAAAAGTACAGCCTGGGACAATAAATAGCTGTGTGAATTAGGGACACAGAATTTCACTTAACCTCTCTAGTCTCAGTTTCCTTTGCGTGTAAATGAAGAATAAAAAATGTGTTCCTATATCATAAAGTTAACATGAGGAATATAAAAGAAGTAGAACTATTCCTGGAACATAGTAGGCACTCAATGAATAATGGTTGAATGAATGTACTTAGCACAGTGTCCTGCACTTGGTAATTGTTCAACAGTCACAGTTAATATTCAATACACTCAAGCAGTAAAGAATAATGTGCGGCAAGGGCAAACATTCCATTGCCACCATCAGCCTTTGACCAGAACAAAACATAAATGGCAGATGTCTTTATAGGTTCTTCCCACTTGCCAGGTAGTTCCCTGGGGGCCTGTCAGACAAGAAGGGTTCATGTCCACAGTCTCTCAGCTCTTTGAGCCAAGCAAATGTAATTTGTGAGCTGCCATGTTCATCATCCTCTTCCATCAGGCCATTTATGGCCCTTACAACTTCACTCTTGATGAGAATGCATAAAATATTATTGGCCCTGTGTGCTTACTGTATAATATATGGAACTTAAATAGACATTATTAAATATTGTTAAATGAAGGGCTGAATAGGCACCCTAAAACACTTTCATGTTGAAAGGATTTGTTAACCCCACTGGTGCCATAAGAAATAACTTCAACATTTCCCTGATTCCTCCTTGCACAAAAGTCACTGGCAAATGGTTCAAAGAGGTTATGCAGAAATGAAGTTCTGGGTTAAGAATAGTATCCTGGAGATAGGAGCCTCAGTTCAAATATTGGCTCTGGCATTCACATTACCTTAAGCAAGTTACTTTACTTCTCTGGACATCAGTTCGTGTATAAAATGAGAGGTTGACCATTACAGTGACTAGGTTCATTTCTAGCCCTCAAATTCTATGATTCCATAAAACTATTCAGTGTAGATTTTATTTCTTCTACTCTTTCCCCCATGTGAATTTTCTATTCATTCTGTCCATACTATGTTTTCACGTTGGGTTAAATGATTAATACAGGGAATCTCGAAGTGGAATTGCCTAAATTACTTTCATTTAACAATTTATTAAATTGCTCCAACCAAAAAGAGAGGATTTGAGCAGTACAGCAAAATCCTGTGGATGATCAAGAATAAATATTTTGAGGCTAGAAAGTGAGATCAATGGTATCTAAACAGGTGCATTTCAGCTTGGCTGGCTGGTTTCCAACTCTCCTACATTCAAACTTACTATGTCTCAGTTTCCACCTATGGCTAGTCCACCTACTTCCTACTCTACATTAGCTCTCTATTCTTTGTTGCTTTTCTGCCCATTTCTTTTGTTTTCTTTCCCCTTGACTCCTCTGACAATGAGTGTTTCTAAGGAACATAACAAATTTCTTCTCTGGCATCATGTGTGCTTGGGTATGTGGGTGGTGACAGGAAAAAGAGAGGAGTTAATTCAGAGATGTAGAGGAGGTGGAGAAGGGTTCCTGGAGAGGGTATAACTCTCCCAAACACCTGTGCTCCTGCCAGAGGTGCTCTGACACTTTTGATACAGGAAGACAGACAGGCAGAGGTTACCTTTAAAGAATAAATCCACAGGATACACTGATCCAAAATATTTACAGTACTTACATTTTTTTCAAAGTGTTATTAATGATGAAAATCAAAACCACAATGAGATATCTCATGCCAGTCAGAATGGCTACTATTAAAAAGTCAAAAAAGAACAGATGCTGGTGAGGCTATGGAGAAAAGGGAACGCTTATATATTGTTAGTGGGAATGTTAATTAATTCAGTCACTGTGGAAAGGAGTTTGGAGATTTCTCAAAGAACTTAAAACAGAACTACCATTCAACCCAGCAATCCCATTACTGGATATATATTCAAAAGAAAATAAATCATTCTACCAAAAAGACACATGCACTTCTATGTTCATCACAGCACCATTCGCAATACCAAAGACATGGAATCAACCCAGGTACCCATCAATGGTGGATTGGATAAAGAAAATGTGGTACATATGCCATGGAATACTACCCAGCCATAAATATGAATGAAAGCATGTCATTTGCAGCAATATGGATGCAGCTGGAGGCCATTTTCCTAAGTGAATTAATGCAGGCACAGAAAATCAAATACTGCATGTTCTCACAAGTGGGGGCAAAACATTGGGTAACCATGAACATAAAGATGAGAACAATAGAAACTGGGGACTACTAAATGGGGGAATCAAGGGAGGGGAGCAAGGGTTGAAAATCTAACTATTGAGTACTAGGCTTAGTACCTGGATGACGAGATCAATTGTACCCCAAGCCTCAGCATAACGCAATATATCCCTGTAAGAAACCCATGCATGTATACCCTAATCTAAAATAAAAGTTGAAATTATTTTAAATGTTATTTCAAATCAGTTTTTTTAATAAATGGTTGACACTGAGACACTAGTATATATTCATTTTTAACAAAGAAAAATGGTTTTCTGTCACCTTTCCAAATAATAAATGGACACTGTTCAAGGAAAGACCTGTCAATGAAAGAAGCAATATTGAGAATCAACCATAACAAGCAATGTCTAGATTCTGAAACTCTCAGATAAAGAAGATTCCAATATACCATAAATAATAGGTGTTAGAGCACTTTTCTGTGTAACATGTTGTGTACAAGGTAAAGTCCTACATTTCTATAATAATATTAATTTAGTCTCTGATTTACCTGTTTCAATTCCATTTTCAATTCAGACTAAAAATCATTTTATAATTAGAGTGCATATTAGCCTACAGTAGCACATATGACTTTTTCTGGCTCTACAATTTTTTAGAGTAGAAGAAATATATTCCTATTTTTATTATACTGCAAACCCAAGGAAACCTCACTAAATATGGGGTAGATAAAATTATAAAACCAAGAGAAAAAACATCACATAACCCCCATATGTGGAGAACATCAAGAAAAACTGGAGTCAGGTGAGTTGGCTAAGGAAAATGAAAACATTTTTGGCATATTCCTATTTCAAAGAATTTATGTTTCAGGAAAACAATATACTACATTCATACTAGCATATTAATTGTTACAGGTCTTTGATGGGTTATTTTGGCTTTTTCTATGGCAAACTCTTACTGCATTAATGAGTTCCATCAAGTATTTCAGAAAGCAGTTTCCCCATTTTGCCTTCTGAAGAGTTCTTCCTGTAGCCAATGATGGTTACTAATTCCTTGTATCTTTCCTTAATACAGTTACACCTCACTCCTTTGCCTATGACTTTGCAGAGCCTCGAGTAGTGTAGATAAAGTATGCATAGTCACACTGGCTTTTGGCTTAGCCATGTGACTTTCCTTTCCCAATAGGATGTAAGTAGGCATGATACAAGAAAAGACTTTATATTTGCTTGCATAATTTAACTTGACTCTGGTGTTTCTGCTATCATGAGAGACATGGGCAACAGTCCTGGACCCTACCCACAGCCTGAAGTAGAGGTATCACAGCTAACCTCAACGCTATCAGAGAAATAAAAAAGGAAAAGAAATAGTAAAAACTACTACTTAGGAGTTGTTTGTTTCACAGCTTTATTGCAGACATAGCCGACTAATACACTCCTTCTGTGTCAGTTATCTATTGCCACAATAATAGTATGTAACAAAGCAACAGACTTATGGCTTAAAACAACACCCACTGATAATCACAAGACTAAAATCAACTTGACAGTTCTGGCCTCAGCTGGGTTCAGTGAAACTCACTCATGAACCTGTAGTCAGCTTCAAGCCAGCCAGGAACAGTTTCTGGTCTTGGCTAGGCGTCTCAACGTCTGGGAGCTTGCCTGGGGCAAATGGGCTTATTTCACTCTGCCCCACATGGTCTCTCCCCTTCAACAGGCCAGGCTTGTTCTCATGGTGTGAGTCTGAGATGGGGAAGAGGGAACATGGGATGGGGGAAGGGCACAGGTCTCTTGAGGTCTAAGCTTGGAACTTCTGCAGGCCAAATCAGGTCACAAGGCCAACCCAAATTCAAAGAGTCAAGGGAGCAGACTCTCTACCTCTTGATGGATGGAGCTGCAGTCACATTGCAGAGTATGTGGATACAGGAAAGGGTAAGAAATTGCAGCTACTTTTGCAATCAATCTAACAAGTCTCAAAGCACATGGAGAAATAGCAAACTAAGAAGCCCAAACAGAATATAGTGAACATTTACAGTAAATGACTGTTATTAATTGTTCTTGATCTAAGATCTTCCTACCTTCAAAAACTGATTGATCATGGGATCAGGTATAAGCTCCCTATGATATAATAGCCCTCTAATAATCCTCTCACCTTTGTATAACTCACTTTTCTTAAAATTCACCACCTCAATTTCCCAGGTGGGAAAATGCATGATGATTTTGTATACAGTTGTGTTTGGGTTTACAACTCCAATCTACTCAGTGGTGGTATTCTAATTATTATAAATTTCTAAATCCTTTTCATAATTTTACTTTTTAAATTCCCTCCCTATATTCATCTTGTAAAGTACTAAGTGAAACATATTTATGTCTCATGTGTGTAAAACATTCTGATGAATCAATTTTACTGAACTTCAGAAAGCACCAAATTAAGGGACTGGAGCTTATCCAGATACTGTCCTTTTTATTAGGTGAACCAAATAAGCAATAAATATAGACTTTACACACAGAAAGTTTCCAATAAATTATATTGAAGATAGTAAGACAAAGAAAAAAATGAATAGTTTTGTGCCTGTAAAATAGTTGTGTGGATAGGGGCCCCATACCTTTGCAAAGGCAACTTAAGTATTTGATAGTACTCAGCTTTGGTCATTCCTTTATTGTGGGTCCCTTTCAACATTTTTATATTGTTTATCCTACAGAATATTTTCTATTTAGTAAAGGTTCTTTTTCATTTGTACAATGTGTGTCTAGAAGTATATGATCTAGTTTAATTATAATGTAGTTTTTAAGACTTTCCTGTACACAACTCCACATTCTCTGCCAAGCCACCTCCCTGTGTTATGAAACTTACAAACTATATCCTTTTTGTGTTCTCTACCCGCATGTCTTGCTAAAAATCCTGAATCAGTTGGCTTTAGATTGAGGAAAAGACGACCCCAGTACCTGATTCTCCTCCTGTCTCTCTCAGTTCAGGACCCACAAAATCTTTTAGTATTTTATAGCAAGTAAATAAGTGAAAACAAGGAAAATGCAAAACAAAACCCAAATGGACATGGTGGCTCATGCCTTTAATCCTAGCACTTTGGGAGGAAGACTGCAGGAGGCCAGGAATTCGAGACCAGCCTGGGCAACATGGCAAGACTCTCTCCCTACGTAAAAAACTGAAAATTGGCCAGGCATGGTGGCATGTGCCTGTAGTCCCAGCTACTTGGGAGACTGAGGCAGGAGGATCTCTTGAACCTAGGAGCTCAAGGCTGCACTGAACTAAGATCGCACCACTGTACTCCAGCCTGCACAACAGAGTGAGACCCTGTCTTAAAAAAAAGAAAAAGAAAAGAAAAAAAAAAAAAACAGAAGCAAATGCTGGTCATGAGGACTTCCAGGCAGGGCATCTGTCTTAGAACATCACAGTGGTTTTCCAGAACTTTACCTAAGTCTGGCCAAATGAGGGCTGCCCAAAATCAAGTCTGCTGCATCATAACAAGTACTCACTTATAATTTTCAGTTTCAATTAGTATACTTCATATGGCACAGAAGAATACAATTAAGGCTTCAAACCAATGGGAAAATGGCATCAAAAAGACTCTAACTAAAACTGCAGACTATTATGTGCTTTCACAGAAGTCAGATCAAACACCATTTTGTAAAATTTGTAAGGATTAGAGGGAGCAGTGAAAGGAGAATCTTTGTTACAAGAAGATCATTGAACCATTAGAAACCAAAAGGCACTTTCTAAAGCAATACTTTGATTTGACCTGCTCTCTTGGGAAGGTTAGCAGTAATTCATCTCTGAGCAGTTAGCAATGGCACACAGATCTGGCCTTCTGAGGCCCTCACTGATTTGCCCTCAGATTTAAAGATCTAATTCCCCGGGATCCTGAAAAAAAAAAACAGTGCTTCCCAGATTGGAACTACTTACTAGTGATTTTGCTGTGAGTGAAAGAGCGTACGCATATTCATCTTTCCCAGTCTCATCACTGAGCAGCTTCCACACGATAAGTTGTAAGTACTTTTATGATGGAAAGGGTGGGAGAGAAGACCTCATGAATGGGTGAAAGAATAAAGGAAGGAAGAAAAGGGACATTCTTAATCACACTCCTACTAGGTTTTTCCTCCCAGGGCTGAGCAACAATTGTGCTTGTTCAGTGAGCCCACTGATCCTTAGGGGTTTTGAAATCAAATGCCTCTAAGGGCCAGCAAACAGCATAAATGAAAAAACTGGGCCAAACATGTCCCTTGGGTTCTTTAAAGGTACAGGCCCCATATAAAAGGGATAATCACTTCTCAGTTCCATCTTTCTTTTGCTATGTAGGAATATGGAATCTCTACATATCAACTGTTGGAGGGACACAAAGACATGATGAAGAGCTATTGAAAATGTGGAATTTTATTTAAAATATTTATATTTTCAAGTGTTGACAACGGTATGCAGGCCAAAGAAAACATGACTGCAGGCTGGATGCAGCCACATGGATCCCAGATGTACAGTCTATGCTCCAGAGCCGTGCTACTCAGAGTGTGGCCCTCGGACCAGCACCTGTCCACAAACTATTTGTTCCTAGTCTGCAACAAGACAGGGAGCCCACAAAAGAATGCAAATCAGCTGCATGACTAAGCACACCCTGTCGTTCAGATGACATTTTTTTCCATAGCGAGATTTTCTTTTATAGAGGATGCAGGGCACTGATTTACATTCTGGCATAAGCTCGTTATCCCACTGTTGGTTGCGATTTGGACAGCCTTGGTCTCTAGAGAAGCTTTCAGGACCCCTCTCCCCATGGTGCTCTATTAGGAATTTGAATGGCCCAACAGACCATGTTGGGGACAGAAAGGGAAAAGGAGAGAGTACAACACTGGTAGGGATCTGGGAAATTGCAGATGGCCCTAGATAGCCAGGGTATGGGTAGTCCACCACTGGGAATCTCCAGTGACTCCCAGTGCACAGTGTCGGCAGGAAGTCAGTTGTCTGGACCCGTTACTCTTTCCCCTGAATATACCCAATACCTGGACTCTCTCAGACCCTTTAGAGTTTGGGGCTTATAGCTAGTCAAGGTATATTGCATGTCTTGTACATTCTTAAGTAAATACTTGTGTATTTATTTATTTATGGTCCATCTCTCTGTCACCACTGCCTCCCTCCCCATTCTGCACCATAGATTTCAACCTCCAAAAGGGTAGGGTATCTAGACTAGTATCTAATACATAGTAGATACTCAGTAAATGTCAGATGAATGGGTGATGTTATATCAAAGGTATGGGTATATAAGACAGGTGTATACATTATTAGACAGATAAAACAATTTTTTAAAAATGTTTCCAGATGCTGACATATATCTTTCTTGGGAACTGTTGAGTATATTTTGTTTTTATGTCCAGACCAAAAGGGATGTTCAATGGCTATTAAATATGGTATGGGATATGCTTGAAGGCTAATACCCTTGTAAAAACAGACTGAAGTTGGCAGCTATGGGAAAAGTTGGTAAATGGAGGTTCTCAGGCATTGAGATAGTCAATTACTTGCTGGTAGTCTTTTAAAGGAAAATAGATTAATCTGTCTGAGGAAGGTCAAGAGAGATTCAACCCAAAGGGGGAGGGCTGCCGGAGAGGTGCAAGTCCTGTGCAAGTCTACATGGGTGGCTGATGTTAGAGGACACAGCAAACTACAGCCGTGAACTGTCTGTTGAATGAGGCAGAGCTTTAAACCTTCCTCTTCTTTACTAAAATTCCTCAAAATAATCCTGCTTATCAATCATATTACTTTCCTGCCAGTCTCTTGACCTCCCTTGTTCTCCATAATTTCAAATTCATTATGTTGGAGTTTTGTGGCCTTTTCTAATATTTAGAAACTCATTACTTTTTAAATCTCCTTAGCCTATTTCCTCTGATTCCCAGTACTAGTGGAAGAAAGGGGTTGCTCTAAATGCTATTCTAAGTCTTTATTCTGCTCTCATCATTCAAAAGTTTCTTCTTTGAAAATTTATATCATTTATTAATATCATCCATTCTGAAACTTCATTACTATCTTCTACTAATGCCTACCACCTTCTTATAATTCCTTCAAAGGTTTTAAAGCTTGGCTATGAATTTTCTAGTCTGCCCTACTCCTGCCAGCAGCCATAATAAGTTTAGAGTTAAAATAGTAATTATTATATTTATAATTATATCTACTATTTATTTAGTGCCTACCATGTGCTGGTCACTATGTGGTGTCTTACAGGCACTGTTTCTAATCTATAACAACCCTGCAAGGTAGGTTTTATCCTCCATTTACACAAAAAAAATCCACAAATCAGAGAAGTTCTATAACCTGCCCTAAGCCACAGAGTTGTTAGCAATGGAACCAGAAAGAAAACACAAATCTAATTGATGCCAAAGCCTAACCTCTAAGTTTTCCTAATAATAAAAAGAATAGCCACAATTTTTTAAACTGGCAGCCATTAGCTTTATATTAATTACTTCCAAATGTCACAACAATCCCACAAGGTCCCATTATTCTCATTTTAAAGATAGGAAAAATGAAGCTCAGAAATGTTAAGTAACCTATTCCAAGTCACATAAGTGGTCAAAGATTTGAACTCAGATTATTCAAAGTCCAACACTCTTGCTCTTTGGACAACCACACTGACAGATACAGATATGTCTGTTTAGTACATTGCTAAAACCCTATTCCAATTTTCTATTGCTACAAACAAACCACTCAGACTTAATGGCTTAAGACAACTATAATCATTTATCTTTCTCACAAATCTCCACTGTGGGCAGGGCTTGGGAGGGAGGGCTCCTCTGTGCTCTGCATGGCCTCAGCTGGGGCTGGTCAACCCAAGA
This sequence comes from Homo sapiens, assembly GCF_000001405.40. NCBI lineage: Eukaryota > Metazoa > Chordata > Mammalia > Primates > Hominidae > Homo > Homo sapiens. The sequence continues at coordinate 61,445,859 of NC_000018.10, forward strand.
TTTGAGGGTCTGCTTTCCAGATGGTTCACCTCCAGGACTGCTAAGCTAGTGCTGGATTTGTCCAGGAGCTCAGCCTAGGCTGAGGGTCCCAGGCTTAAGTGTCCCTGTATATAGATCTCTCCATGTACCCTGGGCTTCCTCAAAGCATAGCAGCTGGGTTCCAATGACAAGCATCCCAAGAGAGAGACAGACAGAAGCCATATCACCTCTTAGGGCCTAGCCTCAGAACCCACACAGCATCATATGCATTGCATTTTATTTGTTAGAAACATATGACTAAGGCTAGCCATACCTAAGGAGAAGGAAATTACACTATACTTCACGAGGGAAAAATATCAAAGGATTTACAGACACGTTGTAAAACTACATACACACAGTTTCACACTTTCTCACCCACTTCACCTCCATTCTGCTCAACTATTCATAAAAATAACACACCTCAACCGCATCAGCATCACTGAAGGGACCATCAAACACAAGATTTTCACTCTGGAGCTCTCCTTCTTTAACTGTTTCCTGTTCTCACCGCTCTCACTACCTTACTTGCTTCTGAACATGACCTTCTCCGCCAAGAACTTGAATCTTTTTCTCCATATCCTTCAAGTCTGTCATCTCTCAGTTTGGGTTCCATGGTCAGGAATTTCATGGCTGCCCTTTCCAGTACCTTATAAGTTTTTACACCCTCTTCATTATCTACTCTCTTTTTCATCACCTTGTAATCTTTCTTTTCCACAATTTCCCTCAGTTTATTCAAATTACTCAGATTAGGAGGTTCTTCTAATCCCCCTAATTATCAAGTACCTTCTAATCCCCCTAATTACCTTTTCTCATTTCTCATTCTTTTTGTTTCTGGATCATTTGTTATAGCTGCTTCTCTGTCCTTCTTTAAAGTTTTCTCTTTTTGATATCCTTGGATAGGTTTGTCCTTGTCTCAATTCATTTCCATTTAACAGAGTAGTCCAAACCAAACTGTCGGGAAGGCTCATCCTAAAGACAGAACTAGGTGTAAACACACGAGGATTGGTAGCACAGCAAACCAAGTTGCCACATGTGGAAACCAAGTAATTGTGTTACATCCACGAGAGCCATGAGATTTAGATGAGAAATCTTGCAATATCCAACGTTTTTCAATCTGCACAGGAGTATCTGCCCCAACCACTGGGATTGTGATTCAAGGGGAAGAGTTTTCTCTTAGGAAGAATGCAAAGTAGTTCTATATTTTTCTGGGGCCACAGAACTTTTAAAGTAGCTAATGAAAGTTCTAGACCTTCCCCTTGAGGGAAAAATTTACACTGAGAGAGAAACACGAACGTTTGAATATGGGGACCTAGTGAGTTCAGTTGGGACATATTAGATTTATTGATGATGAGATGCCTGTGGGAATCCAAAGTAGAGTTTACCAGGAGATAGTTGGACATACAGCTATGTTGCTCAGGAGAGAAATTTAAACTGAATTCACAATACTGGAGGCATTAGACAGGATAGCTAAAGCCACTGGTTGGAGTTTATAATCCCCCTAAAACGTTAAGTATGGTTATGCGGGGAAGATATGGACACTTAACATGTGTGGTAAGGGTGGACTCTTGAAACATCAAGAGATCTAAGAGAAAATACAATACACAAAGAGATTGGCGACGAGCAGCCAGGCAGTTGGGAGGACAATCTGGATTGTGTGGTTTCCTAGATGTTAGAGAATTTCAGGAGAAAAGGGAATTGTAACATTCAATAAACATTTATTAATTGCCTTTGAATTAAAGCTTAAGGATGCAGCAATGAAAAGGGTGAGTAAAGTCTATGATTTATGCGGTAAGCAGACATTTATTCATTGTAAGCTTGAAGAGCTAAGCCAACAATTCTCCTTGGGGAGAGTTTAAATTTAATTTCACATCATGACTTTAGTCACTGTCCTCTGCTCCCCTGGATGGCCAGTCTGAATCCGTGTTGCCGACTCTCACATATACATGAGGTTACTCCTTCTCTCCTAGCCTCCTCTTTTCAGTAACATTCTACCACCCCAACTAACGCTTGCTCCTGCCACTGCAACAGATGTCCTGGGCAGCCGATTTCTACCCACACAAGAGCTGCTCTCAGCAGTCCTCTGGTACTCTTAACCAAACAAGGACTCAATGCTGGTTTTGAACTCAGGCTCCACCACTTAACTAGCTATATAAACCTGAGCAACCCTCACTATGAACTTCAGTTTTCTCATCGGTAAAATGAAGGTAAAGCTACCAAATACTGACATTGCAGGGCACTGAATCAGATAACATGTCTAAGACAGAGAACACAATGCTTGGCCTAGTGCTCATTAAATATCAAAAAGGAAAAGAATAGACATGTTCAGGACAGTTCAACTCCTCTCAATTTTGAGGGGGAGCTATAGAAAGCCTAGCCCTCACCCAATTACAGCATGTATGGGAATAATGGGATTCCTTGTATTTCAGAATACTTGTAAGTGCTTTCCCCATCTATTAGATACATTAGAGAGGTCAAGTAATTTAAGTCTGAACAGAGTCTGGGGACTGGGCACAAACATCTTGAGTTTCAAAGCCATTTCAATTGATGAGAAAAGGCAAAAGCCAGATCTCACCAGGTGATATAGAAAGTGATGAATAAGAGGTGAGGAAGTGAAAATTATGTAAACTGCCCTTTCAGGAAGTGCGACTGTGGCAGGAGGAAGTTAAACTAGTTGTTATTTATTTAATAATTAGCTCATGCTCTTCTACAGTCAGTCACCTGAGCCTTCCCTGAATCGAGCTGAATTGGTGTTATTGGCCTTATTTGAACAAAACTCCTTTGTTTTCATGAAGACATGAGACATATTAAGGTTGTTTTAAATATTCTGTCCTAATCATCACCTCCCTATCCTGCCAATTTGGTGACATTTCCATATTAAGACAAGTGACTAAATCTCTCTCTGGAGGCATTTAAGAAGTGGATAGACTGTTGAAAGGATTAAACTTTGGTTTAAACAAGATGACCTCTGAAGTTCCTTTCTCAACAGCAGAATTCAACACTCTTCAGGTTCCTCTACGTAAAATCAATTCTAAGTGGCCATAGCAATCTCTTGACTGAGAAATGAAAGCATATATTCCTATGCTACCTTCCCTTGCTGATGATATCAGATGAACACCCGACTCCAGGTACTTACAGAAGCTACTGATGGCTTTCAACATCATTGCCCCATTTATATTTTGCTTTCAGTGCCAAAAAAGTTAAGAAGACCATATTCACATAGGACTTTTCTCATTAAAGTCAAACGTGAGCCCAAACCCTCCACCTTTACCACTCAAACCTATAACGACCTCATTTAATTCCAGCACAGAACAATGTCTTTCGCTTAAAATTAATGTCTTGTCCACATAAAATTGAAATACAGAATGCAGCCTTCCTGATAAGTAGAAAGCATAAAGGTGACTTTTAAGGAGATAAATTTATTCTGTCAGGGAAGGAATAAAAACCTTTTGCTATTCACCTGTAACTTGAACACTCTAAGCAATGAGTTCTTCCCTTATTTGTAGCTAAATATGATCTGTCACTCAGCCTTACCTTGCTGTCATGTGTTAAATTAAATCATTTATATATATATTGTCTCTGATTCTCACATGGTTAATGGCTCCTCATTAATAGACCAGGCAGCATGTTGGCATCCGATAGCCATGTACACAGAATAATATATTGTCCAAGCGAATAGGTGGTAGGGAACATGGCACTTTAAATTATTTAAAATAGCATAGTTGTATGGCTTCCACTTACAGAGAATATCAAGTAAGGCAGTACAAATTGTTTTAAGTTAATGGAATCATAAAGAATTAGGATGATCCAACAGAGATTTCTGGAAATAAAATTATACAATATTATTTGTGTTGCTTAATAAGACAGCCCAGATTTTAAAATAGAAAAAAATATATATATATATACACACACACATACATATGCACACTGGATAACTGAACAGGGAGGGGGTATTTTCTTTAATAAATGAAAATCAAGAGTCTTGCATTCAATCTTTTATTATTTAGATTCTGGATATGACATGGGATAAATTATATTGGCTATTCTCTAGAAATAAAGAAAACTTAGGCTATGTTTTTATTCTATTACTTTCAGTGTAGATGCAACTTGTATTTGTTGAATACTTACTAGGTATCAATATTTTAGTAAACGCAATCCCCGCAACAAATCTTTGAGGCATATTTTAGTAGCAGCAGCAGCAGCAGCATCCTATTCTGTATGTAGTAAGAATAACCAAAACCTATTCAATACCAGGCACATTATTTTACTCCATTTAATACAATAACCCTATTAAATAGGTACCACTATTACCATTATCCCCATCTCCCATAGGGAAACTAAACAGCAGAACATTTAAATAACTGGTTCAAAGTCATCAGTGAGAGAGTAAATAGCATGGAAGAGAACACAGTCTACCTCCCTCTCAGATAAGGAAAATAAGTCTCAGAGTAGGTAATTATCCCAATCAAGGTCACACAGCCAGAGGAAAATGAAGATGAAAGGCAAACCCCTTTAAAAAAAAAAAAAAAAAACTTTTTACTTTTTACCATGAGAACTTTCAAAGAGATACCCAACTAAAGGGAATGATAATATTAAAACCCCAAAGACTTAGTTTCAAGTCTAAAGCTCCTTTTCTAGAACATTCTTCAACTATGAAATAGAAGTATTTATCACAGCAATTTTTACTAAAAAGAACTTTTTTTATTATAGAGGTAATGCATGTTCACTATAAGCCATTCATTCAAAATAGAAAGGTTTGCCTCTTTAACGATTTGTACATATCCTTCCAGATTTTCTGTACACATATATGTACATGTATAGAGATATAATTTTTTACAAAATGAGATCATACTATACGTACTCTTAAAGCCTAATGGTTTTGCTTTTAAGTGTACCACGGCCATATTTCCATTACTATAAACATTGATCTCCAGCTTTATTTTTAATGTTCACTTTGTATTCCATTATATCAATGAACCATCATTTACTTAGCCAATCCTGTGTTGGTGAACACTTACATTTTTTTGACTTTTTTGTTATAATAAAAACATTGTGGTAAGCCTCCTCCTTATACATCTTTATACGTTTGTGAAATTAATTCTTAGAACTTGCTGGCCCATAATACACTCTCATTAATGTGTTGAATTAATGGATAAAATATGGCTTGGTCAAAGAATTGGTAAAGTTTATATTTTGATATATATTGCTAAATTGCCTTTCAGAAAGGCAACTAATCAATTTTCTGTTATTTATAACTTTTTTTTTTTACTTTATGATTTAAATATTTCAGGAAGTTTAAAATCTTTTACTTTGTGGTTCTGCCCCAGGGACAGTGGTATGTTGGAGTAAAAGCACAACAGCTTATGAAAGCCTACTGTCAAATTTTCAGAAATTTTCAACTACTTGTAAAATGTAGCCATTATTTTAAAATTATGGAAAATTATTAAATTATATAAAAAAACAAAGGTAATAAATACTCAAAGTATAGTAGTTCCTAATTATTTGCTATTATCTATGCTCTTGAAGTCAGTTATGACTATCACATCTGGATAGTGGGAATACCTGGCAGTGGTGTACTGCCCTGCATCTCTTCCCAATTCCACACTCAGTGACTATGTCGATAGCTTAATATTGGTCATGGTGGAAGTATTTATACTATGGAAATCAGCAAGTGCTAGAAATCAGGGCCTGATTTAGTGCTGAAGCTGAAAGAGTTTTTAATTTAATTAATAATTTATACAAGGGTGAGAAATAGTTTAACAATAAGCCACATATCAGATTTAATGGCAATAAATTTATTGGGAAAAGAGTTAGCAGACTGGAATAAGCTCCATTTGTCAAATCATGGCTGAATGTTGACTACAGAGTCAAAGAAAAAAAAAAATCAAGAGAAGCATTCTTGGAGAATCAGTTGACTGAAAAGTTTACATACTTTTTCAGAGAGCTGACAGTTAAATGTCTAATAGCACACTACTGCTTAGGGATGCTTTGAGAAGCTTTCCCTTTATAAGAACTGACATACCACATGCACTGAATTCTAAGTTCCTATTTGTGGTCACCTATTTCTGAAATTTGTGTTCTGTTCCATTGACCTTTCTGTCTGTTGTGGTCTTAGTACCACAATGATTCAATCATTATAGCTTTAAAATACATTTAGTATCTGGAAGGACAAATACTACTATTTTCCACAGTGCTGGTTATTCCAGATGAATTAAAAAACAAAAAACAAAAAACACCCCCTCCCAACAGTCCTCCAGTGATATCTCCTCCTTCCATTCAGTTCTTATATTGTTAAACTCTTATCATTGTCTTCATCTATGTCCGATTCATTTCCAGTCTTCATAACTCTAGGTATTTGATATTTTTGTTTTTTATGTACTGTATGTGTGAAATTTTATGTTTTTAAAAATTATTTATCACAGATGTTTTATCACCACTTAGAATTATCACAAAACTCTTGCACCAAAAACTAAGTTAAAAAGAGCGGTTACAAACCAATTCCAACAAGAATAATGGCTGGATCGTTCTACGTTTGTTATCATCCTTCCAACAATTCTCAGTTTTTTCCACCTAGAAATTGATTGTGTTTATTTTCTTTAAATTTTCTGTTTTATAAGAAGAAAAGTATGGGTCATTGTATTGAAAAGTGAGTTCTTGAATCCCAAAGTTTTATAATACCAGTAAAAGCATGAATGTATTTGTCTACCACGAATCGCCATATACAAACAGGTATAAATAAGGCATTTCTAATATGTTTTTTATACCGTATAATATGAAAATAATCTTGGCCCCAAATATGCACCAGTCTTTGAATTACTTGTATTTTTCCATCTACATGACAGCTATGTAACACTTGTATGTTTCCCTCTTGGCTGTGACTGAAGAAGCAATGAGCCAAGTTCTGTGTCTTCACAGTTCCTTAATTAAGACCCACAACTGTTTTACATTCTCCTTCCCTCTCCTATTTGATATTTTTATTGCACTAATAATTCGTGAATATCTGATCATTTTAAAAAATTCAAACAAAAGTATTTTCAATAAAAAGTAGGCCCCCTTTCTTTCTAAACTCTTTGTTTTGAGGAAATTATAAGTTCACATAAGGTTATGAAGAAATAATACAGTGAGATCCTGACTACCCTTTACCCCGTGCACCCCACTGCTAACTTCTTGGTAACTATAGTCCAACATCCCAGCCAGGATATTGAGATTGATATAGTCCAGATACAAAACATTTCCATCACCACAGGGCCCTTTATGTTACCCTTTTATAGCCACATCCACTTCCCTCCCACCTCCACTCACTCCTTAATCCTTGGCAACTATTAATCTGACCTCCATTTCTATAATTTTGTCATTCCAAAAATGTTATACAAAAGGAACCACATGAGGCCTAATCTTTTCTGTTTTTTTGTTTGTTTTTTTGAGACGGAGTCCTGCTCTGTCACCCAGGCTAGAGTGCAGTGGCACAATCTCGGCTCACTGCAACCTCCATCTCCCGGGTTCAAGTGATTCCCCTGCCTCAGCCTCCCAAATAGTTGGGATTATAGGCGTGTGCCACCGTGCCCAGCTAATCTTTTGTGTGTTTTTAGTAGAGATGGGGTTTCACCATGTTGACCAGGCTGGTCTCAAACTCCTGACCTCGTGATCCGCCTGCCTCAGCCTCCCAAAGTGCTGAGATTACAGGCGTGAGCCACCACGCCCAGCCGATCTAACCTTTTCATATTTGCTTTTTCACTCAGCAATTTATCCAAGGCATTGCGTGTATCAATGACTTCCTTTATTGCTGAGTATTTTCTACTTTGTGGAGGTGCCCCAATGTGTTTATCCTTTCACTCACTGAAGGACAACTGGGTTGTTTCTAGTTTGGGGGCATTATTAGTAAAGCTGATATAAACATTCGTGTACATATTTTTGGGTAAACATGTCTTCATTTCTCTGGGATAAATGCCCGAGTGCAACTGTTGGATGGTATGGCAGTTGCATGTTTAATTTTTTTTAAGAAACTGCCAAAGTATTTTCCAGAGTGTTTGTACCATTTTACATTCTCCTCAGCAATGTATGAGTAACATAGCTCCTCCACTTCCTCACCAGCATTTGGTGTTGGCACTGTTTTACGTCAGCCATTCTGATTGGTGTATGGCACTATGTCATAGTGGCTTTAATTTGCATTTCTCTAATGACTAATGATGTTTAACATCTTTTCAAGTGCTTATTGGCCATCTGGATATCTTCTTTGGTGATACGTTTCTTCATGTCTTTTACCCACCTCCTAATTAGATTGTTTGCTTTTTCCACTGTTGAGTTTTGAGAGTTATGTGTTCTAAATACTAGTTTTTTGTTAGATATGTGGTTTCCAAATCTTTTATCCCGCTCTGTTAGCTTATGTATCTTATTTTGGTAACTATAGCAAAACTCCACCTTAACACAGACAGTAGAGATACAGGAAGTTCTATTACATAAAATATGGAGTTATGAATTACAAGATTAATGAAAGCAGTGTTTGAGTTTTCGTTTTGGTTTGGATTTGGTCAGCCTTCCAGGACCTGTCTGGAATGAAAAGGGAGGAATAAAAACTTATTTTCGTTTATTTGACATGTAAGGAAAAGAATGATTATTGCAAAGAAAACACACAATGCACACTGAAATAAGAAAGTCTCAACTGAAAGGAGGAGTCACTTCCTACCTCAGTCCCTTGCCAAAAAAGATAAAAATTTCTGCCTTTCAGCCACCCTCTTCTAAAAATAAGGTCTGGGTAGAAGACTAGGACCACTTGCTAATCACATCATATCCAAATAACCTGCAGGATCTTGCTATATGTTTGTTTCACTCTCTTTTATTATAAGCCACCTCCAATCATCTTATATATAGTTCAAGTAGACACAGTACCACCTGACTTTGTAACTGCATTCACAAGACATTCTATGTGAACAATGCCCCTGCAGCATAAAACAGCATCCTCGGGGTTTGTAGGTCCCCATTGTGGTAAGGTGTTTATTGGGTAGAGACAGATGCATTATTTGCATGGTGCCTTGGAAAAGCATCATGCGTGAGGCAAAAGAACTGAGTACTGATCCTGGCCCTGCTTCAGCAGGCATCTGACTACAGGGAAGCCATTTAAGCCATAGAGGCCTTGCTTTCCAAGGCAGTAAAACCAGGAATTTGGACTCATCGATACAATGATTTCTGAAGTCACTTCCAGCTCATAAATTCTATGATTTCTATTTTTAAGGTATGAACATTTTACTAAATGGTATGACAGGCATTCTATAAAATACCTACCCAGTACTCTTCAAAAGTGTCAATATCATGAAAGACAAGGAAAATTGAAGAAATTGTCACAGATTAGAGGAGACTAAAGAGCTGGGACAACTAAATACAATGTAGGATCCTGGATTGAATCTTGGAATAGTAAACAGATATTAGTGAGAAAATTGGGGAAATCCAAATAAAGTCTGTAGTTTAGTTAATTAAAACATACAATTGATGGGTAAAATTTTTAATAGACCAGTTTGTAAGACAAAAGATTCCGGAGCCATTAATGAAATTATTTTTTGGAAAAGAGGGCAGCTCTTCTTTTTTAATATGAATATGCAAATTTAAATAACCTTAAGGAGGCACAAATTTTGAGTCATTTATTCTATGTTTTGGGTTTCTTCAATATGGCTATTTATAAAACCACTGGAAGGTCATATTCTCCTAACAATATTTTTGACTACTAACCTTAAGGAGGCACAAATTTTGAGTCATTTATTCTATGTTTTGGGTTTCTTCAATATGGCTATTTATAAAACCACTGGAAGGTCATATTCTCCTAACAATATTTTTGACTACATAATCATCTTCTAAGAGATTCTACAAGTTTAAAATTATTTGCCAGATGTGGGAATATAAAGATATGAGAACTCAAGTTGGAGAAGCAAGCAAAAGAACATGATTTATCATAAAGAGTGAACCTTATAATTCTGTCCTAAATGACATCAAAATGATGAACTTTCAATTTTATGTCAAATTAATATTTGTTATCTAAATTGTATAGGTAACAGCATCTTCACGTTGAGCATTGCTTTTGTAAAGAACTTTTCATAAATTACTGGAAAACGTTTAAATAGAGACATTTAAGTTTAAATCCTGGACCCCCTTCACTGTAGAATTTACCCTACAGAGTTCTAAAAAATGAACTCTCATAACCCTATCATTTAACAAGCTTCACCGTTTGGGGTGGCCCCATTCCACAGTCTATTGCTAACCTCAATCCTCTAGCCTATGGTTTGGGTGCCCCCATTCCTTTCTTTGCTCCTAGGTGGGTATAGAAACCAAGTGGCTGCTACATAATAAACTTCAATGTATTTGAAGTAGTAGGCTTGAATTTTTTCTTTCCTTCTTTCAGTTATCAAATGCAAAGCGTGACCTGGCCTGGATATTCTATGTTCTCTACATGATTTGGGAGTTACCCCTCTGAGGTTTTCCCATACCTAGGATTGTCTCTTTTTTTGTCATTGTTCCTGGGTAAGACCACAAGATGATGTACTTTTTATATTTGGCAGTTAAAACCTACAAACCAAATCTCCCTCCAATGCTTAAAGGACTTCTAATCTTAATAGAGCTGCTTTTATGTTTAAAAATTAAAACTATGCATGGTTAAACAGATAATATAATTACATAACTTTGTAAAAACAAACAAAAAGTTTGGAGAAAGATGTATTGGGAGCAAAACATTTTTAGCCACAAAAACCTAGTTTTGGATGGGAGACATTTTGCAATGAAACACTTTATCTTAAAAAAAAAACAAAAAACACAAAAAAAGACTTCTTGATTAATGAGTCTGTCTCAGGCAGTTCAGGCTTCTAACAGAATACCATAGATTAAGTGGCTGAAACAACAAACATTTATTTCTCACAGTTCTGAAAACTGGGAAATCCAAGATCAAGGTGCTGGCAGATCTGGTGTCTGGTGAGGGTTCTCTTCCTGGTGTGCAGGTGGTTGTCTCTTGGTTGTATCCTCAAATGGTTGAGACAGAAATCATCTCCCTTGTATCTCCTTTCATTAGGCCACTAATCTCATTTCTTAAGGCTCCACCTTTATGACCTAAGTACCTCCCAAAGGCCCCACCTTCTAGGGAGTTAGAATTGCATATGAATTTTAGGGCAGAGACAAACATTCAGTGCATGAATGCATTTCTGGTAGAACTTTTTCCAGTCAGAAACCTTCTAAATAGACCTTGTGTTCTGCTTGAAACCTCTGTTTTTTCTTCCATTGTAGAGCATCATGTGTGTTTGATGCATTCCCTGATTCTGAAAAGAGGTAGTAATCTCTGATTTCTCACTCATTCCTCAGTGGTTGTCTAATTATAGTTTAATAAAATGAGCTCTGGGATGTGAATCTAGAACACCTGGTCTGAATAGCTTAATCTCTCTTAATAATTACAGTCATACCCAGCATTTATTTAGCACTTAAGAGTTTTGCCAAATGCTGTTCAAAGTGCTTGTTGTACTATCTCATTTAATGCTAACAACCACCCTAAAAGTCAGGTATTCTTATTATCATTCTCATTTTCCTCATAGATGAGGAAACTGAGGCATAGAAAAGTTAAATTACTTGCCCAGAATATCCTGGTGGCAGAGGCACTCCCTACTTAACCACCATGAATATGACTACTTCTTCCTAGCTGGGTAATTTTCTCCAAGAAATTCAATGCCAGGTCTGTTTCCTCATTTGCCTTTTGACTGGATGACACTGGTATGAATGCCTGTTCCTTCTACTTCTCAGACTTGTTGGAAGGATCAAATATGATGGAAGGATAAAATAATATGTTTGGAGGTTTTCCCTATCATTGGTGTTATTTTTTTTAAATATAAAATACGTAAAATACGTGGCAAGATCTTAGCTCTTTGGGAATTGAGGAAAACCAAAACTTAAAACAGAGAAAGCTGAGAATTCTCCAGCCTCTACCCCACCCCGTTTTCCATCCAGGCAATCCATAGCTGGCTGTGTCCCAGTTGACCTCACACAGCTGCTACCCTCTTATGTCCTAATTTTAAAATGTAGATTATCAGTGAATAATCTGGGTTATCAATCAACTCCTTTTATGAGTAAAGGAGCTAGTCTTCCTTCAAACACTCTTAAATAAGACCCATCTACAGCATAATGTGTGTGTTTAAACAAACATGACTGTCTTTCTGATCATGGCATTTCCTCTTCATCCTGCCCCTTCTCTCCAGCTCTGCTTCTCTTTTGTTGTCTGCCTGAGTCTTGCTATGAGACCTTCTCCATCTGGTTGCCTTCTCATTCCCTACAACCTCCTTCCTGTGTCCCTCCATCCTCTTATTTTACTGTAAGTGATAATATTGAAACATTCTGTAGTATTTATTCTATTTCAGAATAGGGTCTTCCTTACTGAAGAGGAATAGTGGAACATTCTAAAAATCCTGTTCTAAAAAGAACTCCAAAACACCAAAAGTTGTTAATGATGTATTTGGCCCTCAATCATAATTTATTAGGCCCATTCTTTGCCATATTTGGGGGAAAGCAGGGTCAGGAAAGTTGCCCATCAAAAAGGCATCTTGGAAAATATCTCTTCCCACACGAGACCACCACAGCCCTCTCCCTTCCAGAGCCAAGCAGCTGGGTCTGAGTTCTGCCAGACAATTGGCAAGCAATTGTTCTCCACAAACCCCTTTGATTCTGTAGGCAGCAATAGAGCCTCCCTCAGGGTTGGGGAATCAGGCTTAAGGCTTATGATGTGTATAACCTGTGACTCCTTCAGGATCTGAACAGACGCTAAAGGGCCCTATAGGCAGCAATTTAACTTGAAGCTAGATTGCACATAAGCATCTGAAAGCAGAAATCAGCCCTGCAATTGCATGTGAATTAATGAAGGCAAATTAGCCCAGGATTTGTGTTTGTTGTGTGGGAAGGTGATGGCAGAGTAAATCTTCCAAATTTAAGTATATTTTATGTTAATTGCATAAAGTAGCATAGATTTGTTGCTTTAAATCTCATCCATGGGGAGCTGGAGTTGGCTTGTTGATTTCTTTTATTATCCACTAAAATGACTGCAGTCCTTGTTTGTATTTACTTGAGAAGCACAGATCTATTTCTGAACAGCTTTACAACTTTAAGTGTGTTAAGAAACTTCTTTTTAATACCATCTAGTTAATCGTACAGTAATAGCTCCTAAGTGGAACATTATATCTATCAGTCTTAAGTGCTGCTGTGGATATAATAGCTTTGGTCGTATTATTATCATCTTTTTTATTTAAAGCTTTTGAAAAGCTGAAAATTAAATATGTCTCAATTTGCTATCATTGTGGCTATTACTTACCTTAGTGCTAAGTACATAGTAAGGACACTCTATCACCTCTGGTAAAATTATATTCTGAATTTTTTGATGATGGGATATAGGTTCAATGTAGATAAGCCTCTTCCCTTGTTTTCTCACACTCACCTCAATTAAAAATGTTTGTTCTGCAATGGCAAGTTTCTATAAACACTGATTTTTAAAATACCAGTTAGTGCATCTCGTGGGGAGAGATTTGGGATGAAGGGGGAAGAGGAAGTGGTGGAATGACATCCATGTGTGGTAGATACTAATGCTAAGTCCTATATGCACACCACCATACTAAGCCCAGAAATGGCCAGGTGTTGGGAGAAAGTCTGGACCCAAAAAGTTGACCTAAACTAGATGTTCTCAAAGTGTGCCACTCCTTGCTACTCAAGATGTGGTCCACCAACTAGCAGTTGTTGGTACCACCTAGGAGCTTTTCAGAAATGCAAAAGCTCAGGCCCCACCCCGGGGTGACCTCAGAAAAATCTGCAGGCTGACACGACCCTCAGAGGATTCCTATGCACTTTCAAGTCCGAGAAACCCTGTCTACACCACTCCAGGAGCCTTCCCTGGGAAGATGGAAAAGTGTTGTTCCCCTCTGCCTAACCTCAGGTTATTAACTAGGAATACTCTAATCATTCCTCTTAGGAGAGAATGGTGCTATACTGACAACTGAGAGTGAAAGGCTGTAACTCTTCAAAAATTTAAATCAGGCATCGAGATTTGGTGTCTGGGGAAGGAGAGACAGGGAAGAGGGAAAGTGTCCCATACTCAATTCCAACCAACTGTTGAAAAGAAAAGCTCTTGTTGGAACAATTTGACCTTCTTCTCTGTGTGATGTTATTGGATTTGAGTTCCTTTCTTCTAGAGGAGGACACACTGGTTTTAAAAACAAACAAAAAAAAATGACCTAAATTCAGTATTCCATCCAGATGCTTTCAATTTGGCAGGCGGGAAGCAAGTTTTGCATAGAGACTGAGCTCACTGAAAGGGATTAGAATTTTCAGTTTAAAATTCCAAAGGCATTTTAAAGTCAAGAAACTGTTTAGGGGGGAAAAAATAAATACAAGTGACCTTGATATGATTCTGCAATGATATTCACATCTCAGAGCCATCTTGGAATGAACTCCTTTGGGTACATTTGCATTTAGTCTTCCTGGCATTGAATTCAAAACAACAGACTTTATGATAAATTTCACTTAGGCAAATGACAAAAAAGTAAGAAGCTGAGTAAGATCCAAAACACATCTAATTTAACAGGAGGAGCAGCTCACAGAAGCCTTATGCAGGGCAGGGAGGCAATAGCATAAACAGGCAACCACCACTACAAAGGCTGTACTTACTCAGCTAATCACATCTCAGAATTGTGTGTCGTCTTTGCTGTTTAAAACAGTCCTGGAAGTCATACGCATGACAGACACCCATGGGAGTTACTAGGGTAGCACCACCATCTTTCCCTGAAGGTAATTTGCAGGATCAGATGGACTCTGGTCTCAAAATAAATTTGAGACTTTTGATATCCCTTGACCATATGGTTTATTTATTGCATAAGCTGTTTTGCAGAGGCTTTTTACTTAGCCATTTGTGATTTTCTCTTCTTTTTGCCATTGTTTTCAATAATTAGATGTCCTAGACACAAATAGTGACTGTCAGGCAATATTTAAAAACTTTCTTAAAAGTATTTATTTTGAAGTAATTTTTTGATTTAGGAGTAAATATATCTTTTGGTATTTTTAAGTCAGAATCTTATTTAGAATATCTCAGGTAATAAGTACTAAAGAATTATATGACATTGTTATTTATATTTTCTGTTCACTAACGGTAATACATTAATTTTTTAGTTTTAAAAGGAAAATAGCAATTTTGCATTTTGTGAAAAGGTAAATTTGAGTCATCACATATATAAATGTTACATACGTGGCCTATACAAGTAGGGTATTTGAATTTAATATTAATTGGGAAAATATTTTGGATTTTTATTACTCACGAGTATTCTATCTCAAACAGTATATAAAACTACAGAACTCATTCAAAATCGGATCAAAATGATTACTAACTATAGAAAAATAATTATTCATGGTGTATTAGTTCCCTAAGTTGACGTAACAAAGTACCACAAGCTGGGTGACTTAAAAAAAAAAAAAAAAAAAACCAGAAATTTATTTTCTCAGTTCTGGAAGGTAGAAGTTTAAAATTAAGATGTTGGGAGGACCATGCTCCCTCCACAGCCACTAGGGGAGGAGCTGCCTTGGCTCCTCCGGCTTCTCATGGCCCCAGGCATCCCTTGGTGTGTAGCATCATGAGCCCAAACCCTGTCTCTCCCATCTTCTCATGACCTCCTTCCCTGTGTGTCTGTCTGCTCCTATTCTTAGAAGGACATCAGTCATATTGTTACCAGTGGAGGGTGTCCAGGTTCTTGGCATTTTGAACAAATAATTGGACAAAATGCACAAACAAAGCGAGGAAAGAATGAAGCAACAAAGCAGAGGTTTATTGAAAATGAAAGTACACTCCACAGGGTGGGAGCAGGCCAAGTAGAGGGGCTCAAGAGCCCTGTTACAGAATTTTCTGGGGTCCAAATATCCTCTAGAGGTTTCCCATTGGCCATTTGGTATACACCCCTTGCAAATGAAGTAGTGGCCCTCAATCAGACGCTGAAGTGAAGTTATAAAGGTTACACTCCTATGCGAACGTCTGATTGGTTGCTTTCCACAACCAATCAGAGGCTAAATAGTTACGAAGTTGCACTCCTATGCAAACGAAGACTTGGCCCGCATTCAGAGGCTGCAGTGAAGTTACAAAGTTACACTCCTATGCAATTGGTTTGCATAGGAGTACCAATCAGAGGTACTCTCAATCTTCCATCTGCTAGGCAAAAAGGGGAGGGGAGTGCAAAGGAAGCAGCCTCTGGTCCTTTTGTTACTTAGGCGTGAAAAGTTGGGGTTTTCCTTTTCCTTCTGATTGCTAAGACAGTAAATTTCAAATGTTCTCACCATTAAAAAGAAGAAGACTGTGAGGTGATGGATATATTAATTAGCTTGCTTTAGTCATTTCACAATGTATACATATATCAAAACATCACCTTGTACCCCATAAATATATTACAATTATAATTTGTCAGTTAAAAATAAGGAAGTCAGCATGAATCGGCCTTAGGTTCTCTGCCTTCAGACCCTATTCTCCTGCCTCAATATTGGGTTAAGGACCCATTCTAACAGCCTCATCTTAACATGATTATATCTGCAAAGACCCTATTTCCAAATAAGGCCACAGTCATAGGTACTAGAGGTAAGGACTTCAACATATCTTCTAGGAGGGACACAATTCAACCAATCACATATGGCTAGCATTTTCTCAGTGATGGAATATAGCCAGTAACTTTACCAAAATGACATATTATCCTCTCTGCTCCAAAAATTGAAATAATTTTTTTTCACTTCACCAAAAGGAAACAGAAATCAAACAATAGTTGTTAATGTAAGATGCCTGACTAGTATCCAATAATGAATATCTTACAAAAAAAAAAAGGGGGGGGGGGCATCTAGGGCATGTCAATGGTGGCAGCACCAATAATAAGGGCTAATAACTCAAGATCCTTGAAGTTTTCTGGTAACACACCTGCCTGGATGGCATAGAGTTCAAGAAAACAAAGTTCAAAAGGTTCCTCAGGGGAAGAGATAAAAGCCTTAGTGCCTAAAGTCATTTGCTCCACAAATATAAATAATTTAGCATGGCAATTATTCTTTGATAGCAGTTGAATGTCTAGAAAGCGTAATTCACACTAAGTTATATACCATTCAGGATTCAACATATTGTAGTAAACAACTTCTTGTTATTGCAATTGTGTGTTTTTATCTAAATACCTCACTTTCTTACCCGACTTAATTGTCTTCCTGGACTTAGAATTTCCCATCTCTCCCTTGGAGTACCATTTCAAGGGCCCTTTCTGTTGTCTCTTTTCCCTTTTCCCCTCTGGGATCCTTCTCGCTTCCTTGTAGGCACCTTCATGAGTGCTCTCAGCACTGTTCTCCTATCCTTGCTTCTTCTAATCTCAGCCCCAGCTCCTCACCCCATCCCGGTATCATCCTCAAGAGAATCAATGGCTGATAGACTCTCAACTACCTCCCTCATCCTCCCAGAGCTTTTCCTTGGTGGTCTGTGTGAATCTCTAAATCAAGGAATGTTAACCTGAAGTGTAAATATTGGTACATTTTTCTGAAGAGTGTAGTCAAGATTGTTGTCAGACTTTCAAAGAATTCCCTAATCCCAAAAGATGAAAGAGCCAGACTCTAAATAGTGAAATGCTATTGTCAATGAACATGTTTGGAAGGGCATAAGAGGGGTGAAGGTGGTGGGGCCTTCTCTGAAACACACCCTTTGGCTTCCTTCTCTTCTCTTTGGGAGGCTGTGCGTTGGGGGAGAAAGAGGAGAGTAGTGCTGGGGGCTGCAGTGAGTCTCCTGTTCACATTCTCCTCAAAAACCATTGACTTACTCTGAGTTCTGCTTCCTGGTTTTCAAGCAGAAATCCCATCTGAAGGTAGGTTCGGTCAACTCCCAACTCTGGGCACTGTGTCCTCACTCTGTCCAGGGGTGACGAAGATTCCAGGGCTCAGGAAGCACACATTCCTAAACCAAGGAGATGTGACAGATGCCTGGACCAATGGGAAAATATGTGCCCCTGACAAGGAAAAGAGAATTCTGCATCTTTAGAAGGGCCCAGAAGTATCATTTCTCCCTCCTCTGCCCACACCGAGCCTGGAAACACCTTGTTAGCTATCCATTAAATGAGATAACATATGTAAAGCACCCAGCATGGAGCCCGGCAGATATTAGGGATTCAATAAATATTAGTTACCTTCCCTATTAAAAGTAACACCAGCTACAGTGTTTATGTGATTCGCTTGCTATTATTACTATATAGCACAGTAAGAAGTGTGTGCATAATTAAATATGTACCACTATGGTAATTCTGTTTTAAAATTTTATTGATAACATCATTATATGCTTTATGTAAGCTCAGAGTTTTTGTGCTTATCTGGCATGTTTATGCTTCTAACTTTCAAAAAAAATCAAGGTCACAGCTGAGGGAAAAAGAGTTTGGTGGTTTAGCAAGGTGTTAAAAAAAAAAAAGTTAACATATTGCACAATTCTTATTATTTTTCCTGTCCAAACCTAGTCTCACCCCTTCCCACTGATTTCTCCACCAACCCACTGTCCTCTCGGCCCATCACACAACACTCCCTCCCTTTGTCTCCATTAAAAAAATTGGTAGATAAGCTAAAAAACTTCACATGTCACTGCTAGCAAAGACCAGGCTATGTCCAGGAATATCCCCTCCCATCTGTTTTCTGGATGCTTTGATTCACTGCACTGGTCAACTTAGAGTATGGGAACCCCAGCAGGGTAGAGCTTGCTGCAGGAGCTGACAGTTCCCTGCCAAAACTATCCTCACTACAGAATCACTGATCAAAACACTGGCTAGAAGTGAATGTGGGCTGTGACTCAAAGCCACAGGGGACTGAAAGCAACCACACCCATTTATCAATATCTAGGACTAGGAGGAAACATTAGCATCACAGTGAATAATAGCCAGACCTCTCAGACTTGAAAGCAGACATTAATGAACCAAGCCCAGAGCTGACGTTGAAGTCAAGGTTGTGGCAAAACCAGTTAGAATCCTCCATCATGGTCTAGATGTGAATGATTAGTACTAAAATAAAATGTAGGAAGCCACTGGACATATTTAGAAAATCCTCAACAGGGTCTGTCAATGTTTAACAATAATCTTGACTCATAACTTCAGGAAATGACACTATCCACAAATGGAATCAATCATTTCAAAATAAGCCTTGTAATATCAAACAACTTCAGCTCCCAAGTAAACCCTCAGGAGTATTTTAAACATGCTCTTCACAGAGCTCACTAGAAATAAACCAGTTGGCCTGGCTGCCCAAGAATATGCCCTAGATATTGTTTTCAATTGAAATTGAAAATAGGGTCACTGTCTGCAGGAACTGGAACACCTTACTTTCTACACATATACCCCTACAGCTGCTAAAAAGAAAACCAAAAAAAAGCAAAGAACAGCACCAAATCTATTAACTCTAGTCATTCTCCAGCCCCCTAGCCTCTCTCAATCATAACTTTGGATCTGATAGTTACAATTGTCATTTTTTACAAAGAATGGCATGTTGGCTCATCTTCTAACTGCATGGACCTTTTGCTAGTAGCACACATACTTCCCATTGTACTAAATAAAATAAAATAGAAGTAGCAATAAGAATCTCAGAGTTTTTAGAGTTACCAGATTTGCAAAACTGAATTGACACTTTGATCTCCAAAACATTTTTAAATTTTGATAGCTTGGAAATAAATTAACTCTCAGAAAGAATTACATGGGGAAAAAAAAAAAAAGAACTACGTGGGTTGGAATTTTGTTTTCAAATCAAGTGAATTGTAATGGTCCATTTTGAAAATTAACATTGAAATGAAGCAAGAAGGTCAACAGCATAGAGGATCAAAGCATCCAGAAAACACAGGGAAAGGAATATTTATGCATTTCTAATTCTATTTCTAATTCTACAGAGAAACTTAGTGACCCACCAAGATATGGAATCTGCTCTGGGAAGGAGGTATACTAGTCACATAAACAATATAAGGCTCCGACCTGGGCAACCTGGAGGAACCATGTCTCTAAAAAAAAAATTTACAAATTAGCCAGGCATGGTGATATAGGCCCGTAGTCTCAGCTACTCAAGAGGCTGAGGTGGGAGGATGACTTGAGCCCAGGTGGTTGAGGCTGCAGTGAGCCATGATTGTGCCACTGCACTCCAGCCTAGGCAATAAGGCAAGACCTTGTCACTTAAATATATATATTTTCTCATTAAGCTATATATATATATATATAGCTATTTATATATATAGCTTAATGAAGACATATTTCTCAAGAGAAGCAAATAGCTTCTTTTTACTGTGTGAATAGTAACATTACTTTTTTTGAAATAAATGGTAATTTACAAAAGGTAAATAATTCCAATAGTGATTCTCTATTCACCGTTTTACAAACAATTCCTGTTAGTATAGTTGTACTTACAACATTTACAATAGAAACTTACTATTTTACAAACATTTACAATAACTTACAACATTTACAATAGAAACTTACTATTTTACTTAAATGCTATATCATACTGCATTTCTTTAAAAATGAGTATTCAAAAATCCTTTCATGACATGATGTTCTAGTCACGCAGAGTTACGGGACATGCAGCTCATGATGTCACCACCATTTCTTCAAGGGCCGTCTTGTTACGACTTTACCTTCCACAGTTCACCTAATTAATAAAGGTGTTCGAAACAATCTAGGGGACAGAGAAGAGGATTAAGTCCATGGAAATCTCTCAATGGTTTTTCCTTGGATCCACAACTTGAGGCCAGCTTCCCATGAGGTATCTATCTAGGGACTAACCTAGTAAAGTTTTGGGAACTCCTCCTAGTAAAGTTTAGGTCTGAGGGAAACAACATTCCCTCAAGATGGCTTTAAGGCAAAGAAAGAAATTAGCGCACAACTACAGAGGTAACTCAGAATCCACACACAGGAGTTTGGGCTCAGCCTCCAGAGGGACTGAAACAAGGAGCAAGAGCCTGCCCTCTTCCCATGCCCTCCCCGCCTCCCTCTTCTCTGTCCCACTTCCTCTGCTCTGCTTCTGCAGGGCACAGCGCCCCAGCCATCCTTGCAGGTTCCCTTCCATACTCCCAGCAAACAATGTGCTTGGCCTGGCTTGGCTCAGTGTCCATCCTGTTCCAGTTTCAGCCTGGGGGATGGGCAAGTTCTTTGTTACAAACAAGGCTGCAGGGGCCAGTCCTTTAAGGATGGAAGGTCAGTTCTAAGACAGAAATATGCTAGACAGACACTCCTAAAGGTGTCTGGTACCATCTCTAATGACAGTATATATATATATAATGATCAGCTGCCACTGGGGAGACATATTGCCATGATATCCCCTCAGATTTTCTCATTAGAATCATGTGCAAATTGTAGTATTGGAAAATCAGTTTCCTATTCTCTCTGTATTTGGAGAGGCTTGTGAGGCCTAATTTGCCTTCTTCTCCGCTTGAGAATCTGACAATTTCCACATCATCACAATGAAGAAACATATTTATGGTGTTTGGGGTTTTTTTCCCCAAAAGTCAGGTATAGAGTGTCTTTTTGACAAGCCAGTTACAATTTTATGTCTCATTACTAACAAGCTTCCATTTCTCACTATCCATCAAATACAGAGTTTGCAACTTCAATCACTTTGAGGAACCACCACTCCTGGCCAATAACTACCATGAAATCCCAAGTTAGAAAAATTCACTCCCTCCCTCCAAAAATAATGAAGGAAAAGATCCAAACAATTATGAGGAAAGATGAACATGATAGTTTATGCCATAGGGATATTTTCTTCTCTACTTTTGGAAAGACAAACTTTTACTGAGCATCTCTTATGTTCTACACACGGGGCCTTCCTGTGGCACACAAGAGGATTTCATGCTTATAGCAACCCTGCAATTCTATGCATTGGAAACCGTCTGGGCCTCAGAAATATTAAATCATTTGCCAAAAAACACAGAAGTAGAATCTAAAGCTGATTCTGCCTGACCCCAAGGCTTACGTTCGCTTACTAGTACTAATAACTAGTATCTATTGAGCATTTGCTGTGTGCGAAGGCTCTGCCCCATTACCTCACATATAGTGACTTATGTAGTAGACATAGGAACTACTATTAGCTTCGTTTTACAGGTGTGGACTCGGATGCACAAAGAGGTTAAGTACTTGCCCAAGTTTACACATCCTGTACACAGTGGAGCAGAGGTTAGAACCCAGGCAATGCAGCCATACTTCCCATCAAGTTGTCTCCCCTGGAGAATGTGATTCTGTACATATCACGGGTCCCTTTGTGATTACTCTCAAGTTAATAGGCCTCAACTGTATCTGCAAGAGCAGCCGTGATCCAATCACCAGCGTCAAAATGAAATTAAGTCAAAATTGCATGGTTTGCCTTTCACTGCATGTGTGGAGAACAGAAATGACAATCTTGATAGCCAAGATTCTCAAATCCTTATTTCTCCCTAAAACAAGTATTTTTCTTTATGGCCCCAAAAGATTCAAGACATCAAGATACGCTAAGGATGTTCTGAGTGAAGGAAATCCCTTTTCATTTCTGTCTGTAGGGATGTGTAGGTGTGTGAGTGTGTGTGTTTGGGGAGGGGAAGGACATACTGCTAAAGAATAATGGTAAATCTTTTCTAAGAATATTCTTTTTCTTATCTCTCCTAAGCATATTTAATGCTGAGAGACTTTTAATGCACTGTGTTTCTCTAGTATCCCTTTTTCCCCCCTACTTGCTCCACTAAGTGTCTTCCAATTTCAAGTCACTACAGTGCAACTGGCTTAGATAATGTACTGTCATCCATACCTCATATATCGTGTCCAGGGAACTCGCCTTACTGTAAGCATCGCTTCCATTGCAGCAAGCTGGCTATGGGCCATGACCTGTGGGGGCCCCAGTGCCCATTTATTGTAAACTATGGATTGTGGGTGATGCTAATGAAGTTCCTCAAAAAGCCACATTTGTATGACTTTACATTTTGCTGTGTTTCCTTAAAAATTGCCAGTAAAAGACTGGCAAAGGTGTTCTTTATTATGAATTTGTTTCCCCATTTCTTGATCTCTCCTGTATAGGGGAAACTAGTTCCATTCATCCCACAAATCTCAACAAATCCCTTCATAACCACTAAAAATCAAACCCCTCCCCTCAAAAATCCTAAAACACAAATGTGGTCATTACCTCCACATTTGGAGCTTTATATGCAAATTGTTTATGACATTCACAAAGCTAGGAAGGAACTGCAATAGCACTGTGATTCTGGAAAGATGAAGCCAACTTCAGAATTCAATTTTCAAAAGGAAATGCTATGTTTGTTTCATGTCAGCCTCTGCTTCAGATCAGAACAACAACAACAAATGAATAAAGCTAAAACCATTGCTCTGGCTGGTTATTTCCAAGCAAAGCAGAGGCAGATGGAAAGCCACTCAGTTGGCTGTAGCTCCTCATGTCGTCTACTTCCAGTCACTTTGAAAGCAGCTGAGCAAAGCTTAACCCCAGTTGGATGAGAATGAATACACACACACACACACACACACACACACACACACACACACCCCTATATAAATAACATTATTTTAGAAATACAGACTGGGTTGTCACACACACAGGTGATCTGGCTGCTTCAGCAGTTTCGAAACAACAGTCTGGCTGCCCAGTTAGGGTAAGGCCTTGTCTCCTCTCCCCTCTCAACCATCCTATAGTGGGCAACACAGGATACAACCTTGGTTGTGTATGTGACCCTCAAGCAAATCCAACACAATATCTCATTAAGGAAAGATTTCTAGCAGGGAGCTTGTGGCATTTTGTAGATTTAGAATCAACCTTTGGAGTATAAACATACGTATGTATGTAAAGAGAAAATCACCCATGCCATTGCATGTTTGCATTTACATTTATGTATATACATTATCATTTCCAGTTACCTATATACACATGAAATTAACAAAAAATGTTAGTTACACATACACATACATACACACATGCTTACTACACCGAACACGGGGAGAGGGATGTAGGTACATGAACTATATCAATGATTCATAGAGATTCTGATAAAGACTTGTACAGGGAAAAAAAGAAAGTGTAACATGATTTTTAAATGAGTTTCTTTCCCCTATATGTTCAGATTTCTTACCAAAGACCATTTTTCTCATTGCAATCTGGTGAAAACAGTTTGAGAGTTGCCTCTGCTGGTCTTCACCAGATGCAAAAAGAACACAAGCACCAACCCATCACATCTTTTGTTCTCACCTCTGCCGGCGGTCTGTGTGTCAGTTCCAACAATTCCCCTGCCAACGGCTATAAATGCGTATCATACACACCAGAGCACCCTGGGGGGTGTGGAGAAATCAGGGCTCGGTTAGCTGTGTGATTACAGGGTCGCATCTTATCATCCCTGTACACAACCTATCCCGTGACTGTTTGCAACAAGACTGGGCACTGGCTGTATCCAATCTATTTCTACGCCGTATTGTTAATGGTCAAAACTGGCCTTGTTCCCCTATTCCCTCCATTTTCCAACGGAAAAAGGAAAGGAACCGATAAGCCTGAGCTCAATTTGTTCTGGCAATTATTGCAAAGTTCCTACTGTGAGGGAGGCCCTGCCCGTTGGTGCGGAATGACACGCAGCCATCCAGGGTCCAGACAAAAGGAGACCCTGCTTTTCACCAAGTGTATTCAGCCATGTATAGACATATTGGCTGAGATGCCTGCTCATTCACGCCTTAACGGGAAAAAGAGACAAGAACCTGGAAAGAAAAAAAAAAGAGAATGAAAGATTATCAAGTGACACCAGATAGAGAAAGGACAAAAACAAGAGGTGAACTTGGTGAAGAGGAAGAAAGGAAAGAATTTTGACCACAGAACAGTAGATCACTGATATAATATGGGTATATACGTTTTAGTACTATTGACCTAAATTATGCTTTTATTACAGATAGAGGTTTCTATAATGATACTGAAACGTGAAATTGAGGAAAGTTATGCTTGGAGGTTGGATTATATGAGCCTTCTTCTATCTTCTCCTCTTTCTCTCCCTCCCTCCCTCTCTCTCCCTCCACTAAGCCACAGCTGCACATTAATTCAACCAAATGAAACTGTTGGAATGAAATACCACCAAGACGCATTCTAAAGTGTAATTTTTCTGAAACATGTAACTTGATTAAGAAACCAAAGTACCAGTCAAAAGGTGAAAGAAATATATTATATTATGATGAAAAAGAGGTCATTTAAGAAAAGGCTGAAATAGTACTTCTTTTTGAAATGGCATATGGAGACTTTTATAACTCTGAAAAAAATGTGACTTTTTCTTAATACTTGTCCTTATTCTCTGCTCATGAACAGAAGGAAAATGTTTGTAGATAAGGTCACTTTAAATTCTAGGCCATAGCACATGTTGCTCTCTGCAGCCAAATGCCCTCATCTGTCTCCCTTTCAACTCCATCCAGTGATAATTGTTCCACCTACCTAACTCTCCTGTCTACTAGGAAAACAGTTGACAAGAGATAATGTCAGAGTTAGGTCCGTGACATACCAGAAATTATATCTCCCAGCAAAAGTCATTTATTTCAAAGGATAAGTAATATAATGAACTGGAGGAAATTAAGTTAATTTTAAAATCTGTTATCAATTGCTTCTCTTTAGTCATAATGGAACTGGGGGGAAATTACAGATTCAATAGCAACATGCATTTTTTCCATTATGAAGAATGGCTTATTCAATGGATGAATCATTAGAGAATGATCCCTGTGGCCCTGTGGAACTCCACACGTAGAAGCAAAATGCAAAAGTTTAAGATGTAAAACATACTATAAAATTGTTGGAAAAAGTGAACTACAATCCCCAATGATATTACCTCTTATGGCAATTAAGATCCCGTTTGTCGGAGCATTTATAGCCTCAGGCAAACTCAACAAACCCATTCCTGGCTGTCGGTAATGACAGGTTTCTTAGGGAGTATTATTTAATTAACAATAATTTGAAAGAGAAGCTCAGCTGAGATACTGCATTTACTTACTGGAAACACTAAGTAATGGTAAGTGAAAAAGACATGTGATTTGTTAGCCTTCCCATTATCTTTTGTTTCTGAAATGCATCAGTAGCTGATAGGTATTTGCCACTAGATATTTTCAGCTGTCTGTGAGGACAACATGTCCAAAGAACTTTAGCTCTTACTGTACAAGGCTGCACATAGTCCTGTGCTGTTTGATTCCGTTAAGAAATCCCCCAGGGCCTCAAATGTTCAGGGCCAGCATTCTTTGTCCTTCCCCCTCCAGACAAGGGCAACTGCCAGCTCCCCTTCCTTGTATACCAGGCTCCCTCCCACCCCCATACATCATTTGCTGCTAATCACCTAACTTAAGAGATGCCTTTTGTTCCCACTCCCTTCCTAAGTCGCTTTAGGCTGCATCAGCAACTTGGGGGCTGGCTGGGTCTTACTTCCCCCCGAGAGACGTGCTCAAACCCCACGGCATAGGCAGCAGGGGAAGGAAAACCTTCTTCCCTCAAAGTTACTGGGCTGATGTCCTCGCATCCGATGGCCTCTTTCATCCCTGATTCTAATTTAAAGACTAATCTGGAACTGGCAAAAGGAGGGCCACTTTAAGTTGTCCTGACATACAGTGGGAGCTGGCAGCAGGAAGGGAACTCCACCACTCAGGGGCAAGCTCGGGAAAATGCAAAAATAGCGCACTCCGTGAAAGGAGAAAAGTAAGTTATAAAACTTTTCATCTTGTCTGTTATTTCTTTGCCATATCTTTACGAAATGTTCAAGATTGGTCAATGAAATAGAAAGATTGTCTTGGGAAATGAATGTGTCAATGTAATTCCTGTGGGAGCCAAACAAAGTGATCTGAGATAATCATTTTAAATTATTATTGGGTGGCTGTTAATTGTAGTCACTAGTGCCCGTTAAAATTCCTGCCAACAGAAAATCTTTATCTCGACTTGATTTGTGATAAACTTAGAAATGAGCAGTTGGTGTGGAACATGGTTATTAAGCAAAGCAAATTTCTTTCATGGCTTCTGAAAAAGACAAATCTGAAATCCCAGCCAGTTAGGTCGTGCTTATGTCTGTGAGTAGATTAGGACGGGTTGTGTACACAGCACTAGTTTCCACCGTGGGTTAAGACTGATTGCAGGAGCAAAAGATTTTTCTCTTTGATTCTTTTGAGTCTAAAGTAGTTTTTGCTCAAATAATATCAAAGGCATCTGATTAAACACATCTCCCAGCAGGATTCTATCATAGGGCATACTTTATTATGAACAGTATAATCAGATTGATGTAATATGGCATCAGCCAGTGAATGTCTTGTTTTGAAACAACTTGGGGAAATAGATTTTTATCTCTCTCTTTAATCCTAATTTGATGCTATTAACCAATTCTATTATTTAAATTGACTATTAAGATTGGAATCCGTCTGATGTATCAGAATGTATCAGAATGTATTTCCCATTAATAAGGCTTTCTTTTTAGCCTCCTTCTTTAACCTTCATTTACTTTTAATACCGTGAAGAGAAACGTTTGCAAAATCTTTTTTCCTTATTATGGATTAAAGCATGTGGCTTGGTTCCTGTTAGACTGTTCTTAGCCTCATAAGAACAAAAACTGGTAAAGTTTACACGGGTTTCTTTTAGTAATTAGTTACTATATGGAAAAGATAAAAGGGATTATAGGGGAAAAAATAATAAATTTTGCAATAACAGCATTTTCCATTCCAAGGAAACCTAAATTCTTTTACCAACATAGAAAAGAAACATACAGCAATTTTAACTGGTAATGCAGTTTCCACTAGAAACATTTGAACATCTTTGTGGCTTCATTACATGGTATTTACATATCAGAAAGGGGAAAAAATATCAGCATAAAAGCAGTGGAAGCTGACTTGTAATTCCCAAATAACAATGATTTTTCCAGGCAGCAGAGCTAACAATTTTGCCTTGCTCCAAGTGCTACCTGGGATCAATCAGCAGGTCATAAAAAATATCTTTTTAACTGATACTTTATAGCCAGTAAGAGTAGGAATATCTAGAATCAAGCATCATCATCAATTGATTGCACTTGGAAAAGGTAGCTCGTTCTTTTCACTGTATGCTTGTAAATTCAACATTTCTCCTAGGCAAAAATGAGTGAAATGTTATAAATGCTTACTACTATGTAAAATCAGCATTTTAAAACACCATTGATTTCTAGTGTTTGTAAAAGACCCTAAAATCCTTTGCTTCCATCTCCCACCCCTGGCAGGTCTTCCTGCCAAAGTCAGTGTTACACTTCCTCCCCTGCAGTCTCTTGTCCCTATCATCACTCTCTACCGAAAGAAGGGCAGGAGATTTCTAAATCTCCCTAAGCAACCTGTCCCAGTTTATGAGCTTCAAGAAACCTGATGTTGTTTAAATTTCTTCTGCCACTGATTAACACTGTCTTCCCTGTTCCTGGTTCCTAAAGAGATGCTCATCTTCTGTGAAGATGAATTTTTAAAATGTGGATATCATTATTAAGCTGCACTTTGACCTTTTCTCCTCTTGCCTTAAAGATTTCCTTTTTTCAGACACTTAGATTTCATCTTTAGGGCTCCATGGATTTCTTTGAACCTGCTCCAAGTTTCAAGCCGTCCTCATTCTCCAAACCTCTTTTCGTTGTGTAGCTCTCAGAAACTGACAACTTCTGGAGAGGATCCCAGTCCCACCTGCTGGTTCCTCGGGATTCTACTCTTTTAATATTGCGGTACAAGTGCCAAGATTCTCTTCAAGATGAGAATGTTATATTGCTGAATCGTTGTTCACTTTTTATTTAAATAATTCAACTCCAAGTTTTATTATATTCCTGTTGGTGCCGACACCATGCTAATGCTGAGAATACAGAGGTGACAGCCACTGTCCTCAGAGAATTTGCAGGCTAGCATGAAAAGCAACCATGTGGGCTGTGCTGGCATCATGACCAGAGTGGCAGGGGGCACAGAAGACAGGCCCGGGGATCAATAGATGTTCCCTGGAAGAGAGATTGCTTAGCAAGGAAGGGCCGGGGAAAGGCATCTGTCTTCGAGCAAAAACATGAAGAAGGTATTAAAATACAGCATTTATAGTTTATCAGAGGGACCCCAAAAGGTTGAGGAACAGGGAAAGATGAGACAGAATGGTAGAGGGGGAGCCAGATTGTGTAGGTCCTTAAGGTCCTGTCAAGTATAGATTTTATCAGTTAAAAAATGAGGATCCATTAGAGACGTTTAGCAGGTGAGTGGTCCGATAAGATCACTCTGGCAGATAACAGGATAGATGAGAACAGGAATACCAGCCAGAGGGCTGCTGAAGGGATGGAAGTTACAACACCAGAACTATGGCAATGGCAGAAGGAATGGAGAGGAAAGACAGATCTGAGAAAGACTTACAAGGTAGAAATGGTAGAATTTGACAGGTCTAAGTAGCCAGATATAGGGGTGTGAAGGTGGGGATGGAAGAAATCTTACCCTGACTTCTGGATTTTGACTTGGATGGCTAGAAGTGCCAATCTTTGGGCTAGAATAAGCAGAGCAAAGGAAGCTCTAAATAAAATCAGGAGTCAAACTGGAAATAAATGATATCCACTGTGACTCACTAATCTTACATTGTTCAATGAGTATCTCACTTCCAGAAGTTACTAGGTTTTATTTTATTCATCATCACTCTGTTTATCTCCTAGTACTTCTCCAGTGATCCATGTGTCTAAAGCCAAGCCACAGATTTTACCATCGCTTTTACTTGTTGCATATTTGGAAAAATCTCAATGCTTAGTGACCATGACTTTAGACATCCTTAAAAGTATGAATAGATATCATTGATATAGAACCTACTGTATAATAGCATGTGTTATTGCACTAAAGTGGAAAATGATCAATTGATAATAATTCTCCACTAAGTACTGAACCATCAGGATGTTTTCTCTTTTGTTATGCCTGAACAGACATAATCCGAAGTTTTGTACATATAGCCTGCATAGAATTCTCTTCTTTAGAGACACCTGTCACATCATAAATGAAAATTAGACCAGTCTGACTAAACTTGTTCTGTTTTTTAAATAGAAAATAACTTTTTCTTACCCCCTTCTAAATGCAAGAACTTGCCTTTTCATCCTTGAGGGGGATTGGCTCCTTGTATTCTGAGATTGCTAAAGTTCTTCAACATTGAACTCAGTGGTCCTGGATGCCTGTCTGGAATTCCAGGTGTGGCAGAGTGCATTTTCTAAAGAGAGCCACAATATTATCTCCCACCCCGCAGGCTCTTCTGGAGTCTCGCCACATCCCCGTTAAGATGCGTGTGGACTTTCAGTGACTCATAACCAAGAGAATGCCGCAGAAGACATGGCTTCTGCTTCAAGAACAGCAGCATTCACACCAGAGCCTTGATTGCAACTGCCATCCCCAAAGTCATCACTCTGTGACAAAGCCCAAATTAGTGCATGTGGAAATCACATGTAAAGGTGCTAAATGAGACCATCTGGAGAGACAAAGATGCCCGGCAGCCCCCAGTGGCACCAGACCCCCACTGTCCAAGTTCTAGCCACTATCTGATTGCAAACACATGAAAAACCCCACACCAGAATCACGTAGCCAAGATATATCCAAATTCCTGATCCATAGAAAACTGTGAAAATTAATAAAATGACTGCTGTATTAACTACATTTTGAGGTGATTTATTTTATAACAAGAGCTAGCTAGAAAATATGATTTAGTGCCAAAATGATCCAGTAGAAGGTCGATGATAAAGGACCACTGGATGAAATCTCCCTTCCCTCATTACAGGAGAATACAACTGTGGCCCTTAATTCAGGCCTTGGTCTAGTTGGTTACCTTGATACCAAAACTAGGCTGGTTTCTGATGCACTTGAAATGGCTGAGAAGATTCTGACTTAAACAGTTCTCATTCCTGATGGTGCCAGTCACTTCTGGGATTCACGATGGCTTCACTTTGCATTAATGTATACCTAGTTGCAGATCAATTTGTCTTGGGCCATTTGGGAATCTCTCTTTTTTGATAAGTCCTTTGTTAACATAGAACTTCCCAAGAAAAATTAAAATGTAAGTATATATTCAATGATCTTATCAGAGGCTAACTGGACTGAACTTTGTGGGGGCACAAGCACTCGGAATGTACTGAGAGTCCTCATTGAGAACACCTCGCACACTTGCTTGAAAGGTGGTTCCAGTTACTAAACTAGAGAACACTACTGAAGAACCATCGGGGAATTAAAAAAAAACAGCCTCGGAAAATGAGGACATTGAGCCGATCCTTGCCCCATGATTTTATTACTATGATATAATTAGAGGCAGGTTGCTGCTGCAGTCTCTAGGTCAAATAACAACTCTTATCATATACATGTGGCTGGGCATGGTCTGTTGGAGAGATCCAAGACCCAGTGGTACTAAGGAGAAGACAATGTTGCATCTCAGGCTGATAAACAACACCTTCTACAATTATCTTCCATAAAGGTAACTGGGATCTGTAGATAATGGATACTGTCACACTACCAGTCTAGGGTCAGCTAATTCCAACATAACTTGACTTACTGTACTAGTTTATTCTGAAGTATTTCTATAGAATAGATTTTGTACTTATAAAACTGCAAAGTGGCTAAATTCTGTTTTCTGCAATTAAAAGGTGTGTGGCAACAATGTTAGAAATTGATAATAAACAGCGTTCTTGAGAACAGGTTTAAAACCAATTCTCTATCTTCCTTCCAAGACAGTTGCATAGTATTCCGATGCATGAGTATGTCATAATGTTTAGAATCATCTATTGTTGCAAATATGGCTTACACTGATTTTTTGCTCTAATAATGCTAATAAAAATTAAAATATATATTATAATTAGCTCCTTAAGATCCATCAGTAATTTTAAAGACGTGGCACATCATGCAAAATTGTCTTCCAGAAAGCTTTTATCAACCCACACTCCCATCCATATGGTATATGAACAACATATGCTCAGAAACATTGGTTAGCTTAGTTCTTTTTTAATGTTTGCTAATTTAATAGGTTGAAATGATATTTTATTATTTGTATTCTTAAGCTAATTGTGAAAGTAAAATGTTTTTTGAGGCCAGGCACGGTGGCTCACTCCTGTAATCCCAGCACTTTGGGAGGTCGAGATGAGCAGATCACTTGAGGTCAGGAGTTCAAGACCAGCCTGGCCAACATGGTGAAACTGTGTCTACTAAAAATTAAAAAGTTAGTCAGACGTGGTGGCACATGCCTGTAGTCCCAGCTACTTGGGAGGCTGAGAAAGAAGAATCACTTGAACCCAAAAGGTGGAGGTTACAGTGAGCTGAGATTGTGCCACTGCACTCCAGCCTGGGCAACAGAGCGAGACTCTGTCTCAAAAAAAAAAAAAAAGTAAAATGTTTTTCATATATTTATTGATCATTTTATTTCTGCCTTTCTGAATTTTTCTTATTGTCATTTGATCACTCTTTTTTGGAATAATATTTTAAATGTTGAGCATAAAGATTTCTAAATATGTTAAGGACAATAAGCCCTCGTTTTCTCTTGCATGTTGCCTGTTTTTAGTATATAAAATATAACAATTTCTAATAACTGTTTAATTCAATATCTCAACATTTTTCTTTTCTACCTTTGATAAAGGTAGGGATAAAGGTTCTCTGGGAATCTTTCCCTACCTTTCTTATAATACTGGGAACGCAGTATTATAAAAATAGTATTCACCTGCATGTTTTCTCAGTAGCTTGTTTTTGTTTTTCCGTGTATTCTACTAACCCACATGTTGTAATTGTTCCCATTTAACTATTCAGTGCATGAGGAGTAAACAGTGGATGGTGAAGAATAGAGATGTAGCCTCTTCTTTAACCCCAGTTAACCAACTTAGTGAAGAAGTCTTTTTTCCCAAATATGTAACACAGATGAAGGTGGAGCTTAGTAAACGGGAAAGTGGCAATAAAGAACGGGGGAAGTAAGAAGACAGCTGAGCCTAGAAGTTTCATAATAGATCTTGAAAAAGCTTTAGAATTTCTAATGTCTAGAAGAGCATAGTTCTGAAAATCTCTGTACTAAAGTATTTCCACTTCCTTGATCCTGTGAAACTGCAATTGAAAGACACCATAAATATAAATTTATATTATATAAATATAATAGTCTCAAGTTTTGGAGGAATAAACACACTAACATGTAAGTGTGTACACTGATATATCCATTCTGCTCTCAGAAACACTTAAAGTGTGGAAAAAATAGTTCTGAAGTATATAAAATATCTTCACTACATCTATTTCAAACCTTTCTTTTCTATTTAATTCCTTTATATTTATTTTGCTTATTTGAATATGTTCTTTTAAATTTTTGAGTCAGTTTTTATTTTATTGCAAGTAGAATATTTGCATGGGCCAAAAAAAAACCCAAGATGGCTCTGAAAGACTTATAATAAAAGGAAAAACCATCCCCTGCTCCAACCTCAAAACCCAATCTCAAAAGGTAAACCCCAAAGTTATTTATTCGAGTATTTGCCAATACATTTCTAAGTCATATGCTTATATATATTTATTGAAATACCTATTCTAGATATTAGCAGTTGGTGTTCCAGTGGGGTAATTGAGCTCTTAGTTCTTTTTACACATATTCCCATCCACTCTCCCCTCCTTCGCCCTTCAACAGTTATATTTCAGTACTAACTAAAAGAATAGCCAATGTTTATTTATTATGGATAAATGTTGTTTTCTACTGAGCAAAGTTATACCTGAAGATTTAATGCCCTTCTTATAGAACTTTGTGTTTTTCTTGGTTAACAATTGCCTAGGGTTTTCTTTTCTTGTCTTCTCTATGTGTGTGTCACTATTTTTCCCCCCTAATGCTCAAAAAATCTGTCCTGTGCCTATCAATAATTTATCCAAATCCTGGAAGCTTCTCAGTCACTCCAACACTTCATTTCTTTCCTGGAGCCCTCCCTCCCCTCACCTGGCTGCTGTACTCACAGCCTGGTAAGCAACTGCTATTCTGGGCCTTCTCCCTGCCAGTCTCCTTTGTTGGATCCCCTTTCTCTTGGGTCCTATATCTTTGTAAGTTTACCATTTTGCTAAAATACACTGAATTTCTCATTAGTAATACTAGGTGCTAGAAGACAGTGGAGCAATTTTCATCATAGACTTCCATGGTGAAAGTCTATCTTGAAAAAGCTGTCACTGAAATGAAAGGGTAGAATAAAAACATTCTAAAAGGAAATGTGAATATAGTCTTATAGTGAGGATTGGACTAATGAAGAGATTACAGGTTCAAGGAAAAGGGAATTACCAAAGAATAGGTGGAGGCTGACCTTGAAAAGAATTAGAGGAAAAAAGATCTTCTCATATCACCTTCCCTCCCCCAAATTAAGAAAGTTAAAATCTAAGCCATCAGAGGTAACTCTGACGGTCATATCCCTTTAACTTAACAATATTACATATTATTAGGTGTGAACCTCGAATATCTGAGACAGGTCTTAGTTAATTTAGAAAGTTTATTTTGCCAAGGTTGAGGACTCATGCCTGTGACACAGCCTCAGGAGGTCCTGACGACATGTGCCCGGGATGGTCAGGGCACAGCTTGATTTTATACATTTTAGGGAGACATGAGACATCAATCAATTTATGTAAGATGTACATTGGTTCTGTCCAGAAAGGTGGGACAACTCGAAGCAGGGACAGGACTTCCAGGTCACAGGTAGGTGAGAGACAAATGGTTGCACTGAGTTTCTCATTAGCTTTTTCAAAGGAGGGACTCATATATGCATTTATCTCAGTGACCAGAGGGATGACTTCGAATAGGATGGGAGGCAGGGTTGCCCTACGCAATTCTCAGATTGACTTCCCTTTAACTTAGAGATCTTGGATCCGAAGATTTATTTTCCTTTCACATAGGTCACTGTAATTTCTCAAATCCCAATTTCCTCATAAGATTTCCAAGTATTTCTGCAAATGATGCTTTAACTTTACATTACAAGTGATCTCACAGTTCTAGTAGACTTCTGACACATAAGGATTATGTTGTCTGCTCAAGAACAAAAAAAGCATTTGTGAAAACTCACTGCTTTCTTGACTTTTGTTGACTTTGTATTGTCTTTATCTCTGCCTCTTAATATGTTCACTAATTGTTGCAGGTGTGAACAGACATTAAAATCAGTATGGGAATACACTGATTAAATCAAAGTAAAAGCTTGAAGGTAGAAAGAATAACATTAAACTGTTAAATACTTTTCTACCGTTTAAAAATACATTGACAGTTAATATTTACTGAGCACCTAGTATGTGCCAAGTACTGCCCATAGATACATGGATAAAAGATATTACCCATGTCTTCAAAGAGCTTACAATATGGAGAAAAAACAGACAAGTAAATAATTACAATACAGAATAATGAAGTGCCAGGAAAGAAAATGCACAAACTGCTTTGAATAGATAGATAAAAAGGGAAACATGTAGGAAGTTAAAAATACATATATATTTTCAACTTAATCTATAGTATTAGGTCGTGATAATCTGTAATACTCCTTTAAAGAAGATTATTATTCTCATATTTGAGGCTCAAAAGGATTAAGCAATATATTGGATGTCACACATCGAGTGGCAGAGCTGGAATTGGTCTTAAACCGCGATGTCCTGATTCCAAATGATACACTATGTTCTAAAAGAGATTTCTTTTCCTGAAAGCATGTATTAGAAGACAAGGTTTTACTTTCCTTCAACAAGATACATAATAAACATCAGTGAGATTTTTGGTTTGTTTTGTTAGGGCATTAAAAGGCAAATTTTTCTTTTTCTTGAACAGATTGCCCCTTTCTTTTGTTTTCTTTACATTTATATGGCATCAGATGCCATTGCCCATACACATTAGTATCATATTAATTTTTTTACATATATATTTTTTAAATAGAGACGAGGTTTTGCCCTGTTGCCCAGGCTGGTCTTGAATTCCTAGCCTCAAGCAATTCTCCCCATACCCAGCCTTCCAAAGTGCTAGGATTACAAGTATGAACCCACCATGCCTGGCCCAACATTACTTTGGCATGCTCAAAAACCTTCAGTTGCTCACTATGAACTATCAAGCATATTTCAAATGTTTCAAACCAATATCCCCAGCTCCTAGCTAGACCACATTATTCTAGCGTGAGAGGGGATTGTGTAAAGTAAATAAGAACTGAGAAATAGACAAATAAAAAAAAAAAAACCCTAGCTAAGTTGAAGTTAAAGATAAATTTTACCAGGTTAGCCACAGAGAAGCCACGTCCAGGTACAGCACCAGGACAGGGAAGCTGGATTCAGAGCTGTATCTCAGGGAGGGGTGAGGTGTGCTCTAAGAAAAAGCAGCTCACATTCGTTATGCCCAAAGCCCCTTTGAAGTGTGGACGAAAAAGAGAAAGTTCCTGCCTCTTTAAATAATCAGAGTAGAATGATGAATTTTTTATTCCTGCGTATAAAACCAAATTTATCACGTTGGCTCTAACTAGCACCTCCTCCCAACTTCCTGCCCTAACCCAGGCACAGAAGTTTAAGTCATGATTGTTTCATCTTTTCCAGTTCCAACTTTTCTTCATATCCAGTTAGTCTGCAAGTGTTAGAGACTCTGCCTCCTTGATGTTTCAGACGTCTGGCCAATCCTTCCCTCCCCTGGATCCTTGGTTGAAGTTCTCCTTACCAATTTTCCCTGGACTCTTAACTGATTTTCCCACCTTCTCTCCAGAAACACTACTAAACAGAGATTTATCAACATTACTTTGTTCTCCTTTTTCTTTACACATATATGGCCTCAGATGCCATTGCCCACATATATTAGTATCATATTAACTTTACTTTTTTTTTACATATATATATTTTAAATAGAGACGGGGTCTTGCCCTGTTGCCCAGGCTGGTCTTCAACTCCTAACCATAAGCAATCCTCCCCCAACCCAGCCTTCCAAAGTGCTAAGATTACAAGTGTGAACCACCACAACTGGCCCAACATTACTTTGGCATGTTCAAAAACCTTCAGTTGCTCACTATGAACTATGGAGTATATTCCAAATACTTCAATCCAATATCCCCAGCTCCTAGCTAGTGGTTTTTATCTGGATTTCCTGCCTCCCTCATCCCTCCTCAGTCTCCTAAAGTGACCCTATTCTCTAAGCAAATTAAATTATTATTAATCTCCCAGACAGGCCCTTTGCATCCTGCATCTGCACCATGGTATCTGCGTTTTCTTTAACTGGGAATGCCCTTTTATTTTTCAGGGTCTAGTTCATATGTTCCCTTAAGCCTTTCTCCTCCTGATGGAAATCATTTCTCCCTTTTCTGATCTGGCCTAGCATTTTGTTTTTTAAGGGGTCCTGTAACCCTCATCACCAATAGATCTGTGCCAGTCAGTCACGTGCTAAGCACCTCTTGTACAGTCACTCCTGACGAAGAATTCCAGTTCATCCTCTTCCTAACTATGTAGCATTTGCCAATACCCATGGTATAAATACACCATGGCCAATTTCAAGGCATTGAGAGGCCTTGAAAGTGAGAGGCTTTGAGGCATTGAGAGGCTCCGGTGAAAGGTGATAGGAGTTGACCCCACCACCTCACTGTTTGTTTCTTTGTAAACTGAGGAAACAAAACATTTTTGTGGAATCCTTGTAAGGATTAAATGACAAAGTAAATGTAAATTACTTGACACAGCCTGGCGTAAACACTCCATGTCATTACCTCTGCTGTTATTGCTTCTGTTGCTGCTGCTGCTACACTATTATTGTTAATAATGGTATGTATACCTATGCCTATTCCTATTATTATTTCTATCACTAGTATTAATGGTAATACCTCCCTCCTAAACTGTAAACTCCTTGAAGGAGGAAAAGGAAACCAATATTTATTGAGCATCTACTATTTTACAGGCACAAGACTTTAACCATCTCTCAAATGTCTAAGAGTTTCATATATACTTTTTTCTCACTTAATTACAATCACCCTGTGAGATAGAGTCTATAATTACCTCCAGTTTGTAAATGACAAACAGAGACATAAAGAGATGAAGTCACTTCTTCAAGATTGCATAGATAGTAAGTGGTAGGGCTGAAACTCACTGAAGTTTGGCTGGCTTTCCAATCCATTTTTTGATTAAACATATTGATACTCAAGATTTAAGTCTTACGTTTAGGTAGCAAACTTACCTTTGCCAAAAAATCTTCTTCCTGTGAATTATTTTTTATGGGTCAAGGAAAACTGCAGGATTTTCCTAACTTCCTAAAATGCTGTACAAAGGCAAAGTCATAAGAGAAAACACTGAGTAGCAATTACTTGCAACTTCTTAACAAAGAAGAATGTTAGCCACATAATTTCATTTTAAATACATGCTTTTTATAAAGAATGAGCACAGATTTAATGCAATTATAAATGTCACATAAAACAGGAAATTAGTAGGCATGTGGAACAAGTCTCAGAAATCAAAATTGATCATTCTTGTCTAACTGTAGTCAGAGAAATTGCCCATAGACTGGGCTGTAGTTTCATTAGCTTGATTAAAAGTGAAAACTGGAGGAAGGGTAAAGTAGGTCAAAAACTTCCTGACTCCTTGAGGATTAAAACATTTACTAGATACTAAGTATGGGTGAAAGGATCAGTAACAATCTATTCGCCAGCCTTGGCGGATACGGAAAGAAAGACAGGGCACCCTGGACTGCAAAAATTGATTATAGCAAGAATGAAAAGCACAGAGGAATTGGGCATGAACTCTAGAGCAAGGATTTCTAAAGTGAAAATGCCTTTATTTATGACCCAAGCTAGGGAATTCATAGCTAGAGGGTCAGCATGTATACAGGTAACATATGGCAAGTTTTATTATGGGACTGACCAAGTTTTTCAAAGCCAGGGCTCTTAATTATATAATTCAAGCTTTCTACCAATTTTTTTTGCTCTACTCCACACACACACACACACACACACACACACACACACACACACACACACACATCCCTACCATTATACAAAACTAGATATTGCTCCTAAACTGCAATTAAGCTACTGTTTACCTTCCCCTTACCCACATCCACCCCATAGTTCCATTTATGAGCTCCCAGTCTCATTTACAAAACAGCACTCTCGCATAAACTGGTTGGGTGGTGGGAAGGAGAGGGAAAATAAGTAGGAGTGGTGGGAAAGAGAAGATTTCAGAGAACTGACAATGGCCTGAGTGAACATGATAACAGCTGAACTTTTAGCCTCAGGAGTGCCACCATTTTTGAGGAACTTGATGGAGAAGGAATTCATAGAAAGATAAATAATGAGAATTAGAATAAGCAAGAGTGGTGACCACCTTTTCCAAGAAATCTCCAAGGAAATTAAGCATTCCTTTTCTTCTTCTGTTCAATTTCTTAAAAAGGTAATACTGTAATTCTTCGATTCTCCATACACCATCAATGTATTAACAGCTTCTCTGAGGAGTGAGGAAAGCCTACTATGAGAACATTAAATATGTAAACATTGATTTTTAAGATATATCTCATTTCAGAAATGTTAAGTTGGGAGGAGGGGTGTGGTGAAGCAGGTGAGAGTTAGGTAGGGGAGTGGAAGTGAGAGTACAACTCAAAATTCAGCAAATCTAGTGCCTGGACTACCTCTTCTGACCCTGTTGGGAGTTGGTTGCCTCCACAGATGGGTGGCTTTGGGTAGGCTGGTGAGTTGATGACCACAAAAGAGCCATGGAGCTTCCACTCACCTAATGACTGTCCCAGAAGAAACTGGGATGGATAGAACCTCTGTAGTAAATGAAAATTAAGCTATCACTTTTACTTATAGAAAGAGCCTCAAAAATGCACTTAGAAGAGAGCCTTTATGGAGATCTTAGATATTACAAGAAAACATGACAGTATATCATAAGGTGCATCAACATTAAATCAGAATACAGCTCAATGTCATAGTGCTATTCCACCTCCCAGTCAAGGTTCTCTCTCGAGAAATAGAAAAAAACCCATTTTGGCCAGGTGCGGTGGCTCACGCCTGTAATCCCAGCACTTTGGGAGGCCGAGGTGGGCGGATCACGAGGTCAGGAGATCGAGACCATCCTGGCTAACATGGTGAAACCCGGTCTCTACTAAAAATACAAAAAATTAGCCGGGTGTGGTGGCGGGCACCTGCAGTCCCAGCTACTCGGGAGGCTGAGGCAGGAGAATGGCGTGAACCCGGGAGGCGGAGCTTGTAGTGAGCTGAGACTGCGCCACTGCAGTCCAGCCTGGGCGACAGAGCGAGACTCCATCTCAAAAAAAAAATAAAATAAATAAACAAACCCATTTTACTTAGGAGTTAAAATCCTTCTGTATAGAGTACAGAAGAAATAAGAACTTAGTAAATGAAAACAACTTCTGGTCAGAGAACTGTGTCCCCTTTCAGCATATAAAACCATACTATCCACCCTGTCCAAGACAGATCCCTAGTGATGGACTTTGGTCAGTAGCAGAAACATACACAAACAAATCCAGAAATGTTGAAAGTTTATTTAGAGGAGCACTCGAACTATTTTCTTTATGGGATTCTACAATGGGAATATTATTGTTTGTGAACCATACATACTGAAATACACGAACAACTTTTTACTCCAATTTATACTGGTGACCACCTGTGTCATTCTCTGGGGTTTTGTACTCTATACAAAAGGATTTTAACTCCTAAGTAAAATGGGTTTGTTGCTATTTCTCAAGAGAGAAACTTGATTGGGAGGTGGAATAGCATTATGACATTAAGTTGCATTCTGATTTAATGTTGATGCACCTTATGGTACACTGTCATGTTTCATTGTACTATCTAAGATCTCCATAAAGTCTCTCTTTTAAGTGCATTTTTGAGACTCTTTCTATAAGCAAAAATGATAGCTTAAGAAGTTTGGCTCTTAAAACCATGACACCACTGTCTGCATTTACCTCTCTTAAAGGCATTAGGCCACATCAGAACCTTAAAACACCCCATCTTCTTAAACAAAGTCACGGAGTCGACTGACTGCTTCTATAGAGATGTCATTTGAGCTTTGCTAAGCAGTAGTTCCATTAACCATGAAAAGCTCAGGAAAACTGGAATAATGAGGAAAGAAATCAGAGCAAGACCATAAAAGCCCAGTTCATTTCAAGGAGAAAGCAGTAACCATCCCTCCCCACTACATTTTAAATATCACAACGAATTTACGTAACAAACTAAACAATTCACTGAAAGCACACTTTATGTACAACTTTAATTTCTTCCTACTGTGTTCATTACCAAGCTGTTTTCTTTCTTTAGGGAGGATGAAGGGGAAACTTTTAAAAGACTCATTTAACACAGAAGTCAATTTCCACTAATGTATTCTTCATGTGGCATATGTAGTCTTCCAAAGCAGATCTATATATACAAATACACATGTATCAGTATCTTCTTTTATAAGAACAACAGCAATTAGCCCACCCCAAACACATTATTGCTATTCATATCCTCTAGGGAAAAACATGAATATGAGAACCACCTCATTTATAATAAATGCAAACTGATTAGTATTTCTGATAGAACTGTTTTGTAAAAAACACCTCTAATTGTGAAAAGAATAATGCGACTATTGTATAACCCAGCTTTTACCTTCTAGAAAGTTAGGCAGGGAGTCTTTTTCATGCATTCATCCCTAAGGAAGTAGAAATAAAGTGCTTTGCACCAACTGTTGCTATCAAGTTATATAAGACAGAAAGAGTTGGTACGACATTGCGGTCTTTGTGATTTGGGGTGTGTAAAGGTACCATCAGCTTTCACAGAATCACCAAGGGCTCCCCCGGTCAAGATCCCAAAGTCACCTTTGTACGTGTTCAGTGGAGGGGAGGAAAATAAGAATTTGCACTAGTGTGTAGGAGGCCAAAGTAGA
Organism: Homo sapiens; assembly: GCF_000001405.40. Classification (NCBI taxonomy): domain Eukaryota; kingdom Metazoa; phylum Chordata; class Mammalia; order Primates; family Hominidae; genus Homo; species Homo sapiens. The sequence goes on from NC_000018.10 coordinate 61,487,690, forward strand.
AAAGAGGGAGAGATGAAAACAGGCAACCTGACCGCCTACAAAATATTCATCACAGATTTCAAAGAAGGCTTTTCTCCTTGAGCTCTTCAGATCATGCCTCAGGTAGGGGGATAGGGGGTTTTAATTGGGAGGAACACATGCCTAGTTAGAAATGGGGAATATAAAAAACACTACTTACAATTCCTCAAATCTCATTCTGTACATAAAATGTAGCCAGTGGAAGCAGAAGAGGAGACATCTGCACATAGCACACATGCATGCACAGGCACTCTTAGATTCAAAGCAAGTTGCTACAACCAGCCAGAGAAAATAACAGACATGTGTGCTTAGGCAAAATATAGGTAAGAAACAAAGACATTAAGGGGAATACACTAAATAGAATACGTACATACATATATATATATATGTACGTATATATGTATGTATAGTGAGTTCTAGCTTTAATCAACGCAATCCGCAAAATAATTTTCTTTACTATTGAAGAGTTTTCTAATAGCTAGCCCTTGATTAAATCTCCTCAAATGGAACGCAAGTGTTTGGTTATTACAGAATTAGACTGAGCCAGAATCTGCTACCAGACGGGACTTATCACAGATGTAGAGATCTGAAAAATAACAGATATATATTATAAGCCCTTTCAGAATTCTGGCCCCAAAGGTATCCATAAAATATATATTTCTGGCTTAGCTCCATGATTTTTACATATGACCCAGGTACTTTATCTGACTGTTCAAATGTCGGTTGGCACCTTAGTCATTTACAGGGCACTTTTTTGCCTGCATGATCCCATCAGACTCTTGTGATGGTCCAGTGAGGTAGGTGGGAGAATTATTGGCCCTGCTTAATAGATGAGGAAACTGAAATTCATACAACTAAATAAGTCAGAGGTAATGAAGATAGAACCAGTAACCAAACTGTCTCTTAGTCTAATGCACTTTGAGGAATTATAGATACATTGTGTCTTACAATATACAGAATATTGCTTTTATGGTTTACTAATCACAGCATTCTGGCAGTGGCTTTTTTTTTGTTTGTTTGTTTGTTTGTTTTGGCAATGCCCTTTAGTCTGCCTTCTAGGCCCCTAAAACAGCACAGCTATTTCTCACTAATCTTTGTCATCAATTCGTTTCCTGGGTTAAATTCCTTCTTCCCAAACACCTCCCTGTAGACAGGGATCAGAGAAACATGAACTGGGCTTCTCTGTTCCCTAAGGGAAGATGTCCACCAGTCCAAAGAGAGAGAGAACAGCTAATATTTGGTAACCCACCTGCTAGCAGCACCATTGTTCTTTATTAGCAAACCCATTGCCCTCAATGAGGTGCACCTGGCTTGCTTTTTCTTAACACTCAATCTGCCTTCAGAGCTGGAGCTCATAAGAGGCACAGCCTCCCATTCTGCTACAAAAATTCTATAGTCTCCTCAGCTACTTTCTCTATCATTTCTCATTAAAATGATTTATTATACAGAAATGAAATGGCATATTGTATTAAATAATTATAAAGTAGTTTAAAATTTCTTTTGTACATTTCAATCATGAGTATTTGAGAGGAAGCTGAAACCAGTTCTGATGACAGGTGGAAGGTAGTAACTAAGTTAGCATCAATGCATTCACTTCAAACCACTTGAAGAAATGAAGTGTTATTTAGTTTCACAGAGCTGCAATCTCCAAATACACACATTTGTTCTCAGATGACAGCAGTTCTTCGAATTAACAGTGAAAATATTAAGCCGAAGGAAGACATTTTGGTTGTCTTGACAGGTTGACTTGAGTGTTATGCCATCTCATTAAACCAAGCCAAGTAAGGGAAGAAAAGATTGATGAGGCCATAGCCCAGAAGTGAGGTCACCAGCTAAATGTGACCACATAGCAACAAAAGAAGTTTGACTGATAAAGATGTGTCCCCACGGTAGAAGTCCTTTTCCCTAAATGAGTCCTTCAGGTCAAGAAAGGAGATTTGTTGACTAGATTCTCTTAGCTTGCTCCCATAGGCATGTGACTAATAGCACTTTAAAGTCTGTTGTGAAGGATATAATGATCAACTGACCATTTAAATCCTGGAAAGGTCACATTAGCAGCCCCTATCAGTGCTTCGGAGCCAAAACAGTAGAGTGTGAAACTTGAAATCCACTGTGAGCTCAGAAAATGATTAAAGTCAGAAGTGAGCCCTGGCTGCTTATAAATGAAGTCCAAGATTTCTAGCATTATCAATAACAGCAGTAGGCACAAGATCATTGTGGGTGACCAAAAAAAAACAAGGTAGTTGGATTTTACTATTTTTTTAATAAGCAAAGAAAAGCAGTTGGGCTAATGGAAATATTAGTTATTAGCTGTAAATTTTGTAAATGAATGCTGCTTTTAAGAGTTTAAGAGCCTGTCTGATCATAAATATTTCAAAGAGCACACTATTAATTCAAACCAATCAATAATACAGTATAACCCTCCAGCTAAGTTACCAATGAGAAGAAATTTATTCATCAGTTTTATTCCCACCGAATCTATATCCAAAGGTTTGGGATTGATTATAGCAAGATGTGTTGTCTTATTATCAAAATAGTATTTATTACTCAAACATTTCTAAAGCAATAACCTGTTATGACTTTTTAACTCATTGAGTAGAAAGTTGAATATTTACTGACATTTCTTGAAAACTTGCAACCCGCCTGCAGGAAAGAATCTGACATCATCACACTGTGTTTTCCTTAACTTGACAGGAAGTCAACTTCAAGCAGATTGACTTGAAACGGGATCTCATTTAGGAAGCATAAGTGTCCAATCAAAAACTGTGTATTTTTTTAAATTTGGAAAATACTCAAGTTCCAGTTGCTTATCATTCTCCTTCATTTTCTGAAAACCTGGCAATCCCATGTGGACTTCTGGTAGAATGAGCAATGCAAAGAACTGGCTTGGACTTGGCATGTCCTTGTACTTCTGGGGGCTGATGGACCTTACGACCACCGTTCTCTCGGACACCCCAACACCACAAGGTGAATTAGAAGCACTCCTGTCAGACAAGCCACAGTCACATCAGCGGACCAAGAGGAGCTGGGTTTGGAACCAGTTTTTCGTTCTGGAAGAGTACACTGGGACCGACCCTTTGTATGTCGGCAAGGTAAGAAATGCCAAGTAGAAATGACCCGGGTATTGGATATTGAAATTGAATATGAATTGAGTATCAAAGTTGACCTAGCCTTTATCTGAGACCTGAGAAAAACTAGAACAAGTGGTACGTTACTTGACACCTAGCTAAAATGTAACTTCTGCTTTGTCAGAGACCAGTCTGAAAGGAAAGATTTATTTCCTTGTCCATGTCTCTGTTATGAATGGGAAAAAGTGGGAATTGGGATTTGGAGGAAAAGGCTCAGACCCTGCAAGAGCTATTCAAGTCCTAAAAGAGGCAGCAGCAGCTGTCTGGGAATGACAGAATGGGTGAGAGGGAAACTTGGAAATACAAGAAGAGTACAGAGTTTTTTGCTTTGTGTTTTTGTGGGGTTTTTTTCAGAGCATTTCCAGAGGTATTGCCTGAGGTGCAAATTTAATGAAAAAAATAAACATTTTTCATTTCAGAAGATCTTAGCATGTGCTTTAGGATAGTTGGAGACAATAAATATATTTATAAATGTTATATTTGAATTCTCTTGATTTAATCTATCATTATTTCATCTTTAATCCTGGATTTTTCCTGTGTTTACTTTATTGGGGTGTTAATTACAGACCATTTTGTGAAAGCAACCAAGTGAGAGAGAATGGGAGACAAGAAACTAATTAGAAAATAACTAATTCATTCAAATGGTAACTTAAACGCTTGTTTAGCACAGAGGCTGGGAGCATGGGTTTCAGATTCAAACACAGGTGGGTTCAAAGCCCAGCCCTGCCAATTATTTCTAGAGGAACTTTGGACAGGTCACCAAGCCCTGCTCATCTCGGCTTCCTCAAATTCGAATGAGATTGAGAGAACTGCTCCTTCTCAAGTGTTGTCTACCCAAGTTCTTTCCCCAGTGTCCACTCACTTCTTAACCCAGGTATCTGGCTTTGGTCCCTACCTCTGACCCAAAGCTGTGTTTTCATTGCTTCTCAAGACCTCTCTACTGCCCAATCACACCTCCCAGTCACAACCTCAGACACTGCTGACCTGTCTCTCCTTGACTCATTGTCCTATCTGTGCCATGACCTTCACAATCCCGTTTTTCCTTCTTTTTTCTCAGCCGCGTTTGTGGGTCCTCTCCTTCCACCTGACCCCATTTGTTGGTGGGCTTGTCAGCTTTGCCCTAGCCTCTTCTCCACACACTCATTCCCTGGGTGGACTCGCCACCTCTGCAGTTTTGAATGCCATGTCTATGCCAATGAATGCAAAACCTCTATCTCTGGCTTAGACCACTTTGGGTTATAAATTCTACTGCACATGTGACATCTCCACATCTACTCATAGGCCTTTCCAATGTAGTGTGTCCAGTAAGAAACTCTTGTTTTTTTTCTCCTAAACGTAGTCTGCCCCAACACCCACCCATTATTTCCTAAAACCAGAGAACTGGGGATCATTCCTCCCTTTCCCCTGCCCACACATTCTCTCCCTCTGCAAATTCTGCTAGTCCTATGCCAGAATCAACCCCAAATCCTGCATTTCTCTTATCCCTGCTTCCACCATCATCTGTCACCTGGGCAAGTACCTAGCCTCCCAACCAGTCTCCTCATGTCCACCTGCACCTCCCTCCCATCTGTTCTCCACCATGGTCTTTTTAAAATTTAAGTCACATCATGTCACTCCTCTACTTACGTCTCTTCAATGTTTTCCCACTGTGCATTGAATCCTCCAGACACCTCCCCACAGCTAACAAGACCATCCCTTTCTGGATCAGCCTGCCTCCTGGCATCCACCCATGGCCCATGCTACTCTCTCCCTCATTCTCGCGTTGCAGCGGTATGACCTTTGACAGTTCCTACAACCTGTCAAGCACTGCCTTTACTGCTCCCCCATAATGAAATGCCCTTCCCCTGGCTTCTCTCATGACTTCCTTGGCCACTCTCTAAGGCAAGCCCCTCTGTTAGACTCTCTTTCACAGCCCTAATCACAACCACCATATTTGTTTCTTATTTACATGTTTATTGTCTGAAGCCTCTGACTAAAACTAGAAGCTCAATGAAAGCAAGAACATTGCTCCCATTTTATCCCCAAGGCCTAACACAGCATTTATCTTATAGAAGGTGCTCAAGATGACATTTAATAAATGAATGTCTCACTGTGGAGTAAGGATTAAATAAGCTAATGCATGTAAAGCACTTTGCACAGTACTTAATCCAGAGTAAAACTTTAATTATCCTTAACCTGTAGTAGTAAATAGTACTATAGTAGCAATAGTATTAATAGTGGTAATAGTAACAGCATTTAAGGAGTTCATTATGGGAACTCAACGCTCAGTAATACCTAATGCAGCTGCAAATCCCTTGGCCTCAAAACCTGTGACTTTTCATTGACTTCTCCTTTCCTTATCTCCTTTTACCTTCACGTGCAATCGGTCCCCATATCTGCCAATATTTCTGTGCCAGTTTCTCTCGGATGCATCTCCTCCTCTCTAGGCTCGGTCATGACCATGATCCTTTGCTCTTCCTGATTAGATTAACTATGCCGGTGCTGCCTGTCTCCCTGTGAAAAGACTCTTCCCATCCCTCCTCCAGGATGCTCAGCGCATTCCTCTCCCTGAAGCACCCTTTCCATCATGTTGCTCCTCTGATTAAGAAAGCACTACAGTGCTTTTGAATGCTATCAGAGCTCCTAGCATGCAGTTCAGGGACTTCCTCCTCCCTCACTCAGCCCTCGTGCACAATTTCTCAAATCAGGTCCTCATCCCAATCAAGCTGGACCTCCTTAACTGGTTCTGCCACACATACCACGTTTGTCCCTGACCCCACATGTGTGCCCACGCTGCTGCCCTGCCCAGGACAGGCCCTGACTTCCGCTCATCAGGCCACATTCAAATTCCTCAAAGTTTTAGCTTAAAATCAGACAATTCTATCATGAACATATCTTGTATCTACTCAGAATTCCAAAGACTTCTAGCTTCTCCATATCTATATAACATTTCTTCCAAATAGACATACATGGCCACTGCCAAGTTCAAGAAAAGAGTATGTTTGTATTCAGCAATTTTCAGTAATTACTTATGTGCACATAAAATTTAGGGCTCTCTTCCCTCCTCCCAAGGGTAGAAATTGAGACGCCACTCACCAACTTTGTCTACACCTCCCTGACGCTGAGTACTTGGCACAGAACTGGCCACACACAAAGAGTGCAGAAGGGTAGCTCACGTTTTATTGGACTACCACAGTACTATGTGTCGGTCACAATCACATCAAAGCAGATCATTTAATCATCATAACAATGCTGTGAGGTGAGTATAACACAGGGAGCTAGACTCAGAGAGGTTATTTATGTTCATTGCCCAAAGTTAGACCGAAGGTAGCAGGGAAGCCCAGACTGAAATACACATCACTCCTACCCCAAAGCCCCAGCTTTCATTTACATTGCCTTGTCTGTGGTCAGTGGCTTTAGACTAAGCCCAGAGGACACACACAGGAGTCAGTGGTGTTTAGGTGGGATCAGGAATCTGAGCCAGGCTGCTTCCTGAACCCTTGATCTCTCATGCTGGGTAGTTCTTAGCTGTGTAGCACCCTTGCATACTCACAATTAGTGCTCGCCCTTTCCAAATAACCCCAACCAAGATACAAGACACCCATGCATCTCAACAGTCATCTGATCCAATCCTCATACCAGCAACCAAGCGAAGATTTTTAGCCTGCATTAGGTGTGTTACCTCTACATGAAGAAGATAATTATATATTCACTTTTCCCTTTTACTTTCTTTTGAAAGGGAATTCATCCACTTTCATTCTCTTTACCCAGGGGCATTCTGCTTGCGACCTTGAGCTCCGGAAGATGTCTGTTTAGAGAGCTTGCCAGAGTATTTGCTTATTTCAGAAAGGAGTATGGCAGCAATTATCAGCTGTAATTGGTATGGCCTTACAAAATCCACACTGGGCTTTCCAGGGACAAGGCAGTGTCAAGTTAAAGCTAGATTATATTGACATATGCAAAGAGAGGGATGCTGAGAGCTTGTGCACGAATCTGTGGGTCCAAATCATGCCGAGGTTAACAACTACATGGAAGCTGCCTAACCACAAACTGTAAGCACTCACTGCATACTCGAAATTACTCAAGGTACTCTGAAAGATGACAAAAGGAGTGAACATCATTCTTGTTTTTGAAATCCTCAATCAGCTAAGATTCTTCAGGACCTGCTTGTACTTCCCATCACTCACTACTCCCTTGGCTGAAGATCTTAAAAACTAAAGAATGATTAGGATAAGTGAGACATTCACTTGTCTTATTCTGCCTAAAATATTTTTTTAGGAAGGAAAAAAAACATTTTCCCAAGATGTACGTAACTGTGCTGCTGACTCTGCTCGGAAGCTTCTTACCTTCCTCCAAATAGCTGGTGCGCAGTCAGTGTTAGTTGAATTAAATATGGGCAAATATAAAACACATTTTTATTACACCGCCAATTTGCTGAGTGACTTGGAGAAAAGCTGTTAATGTCTGTTCTTTGCCATTTTTGAAACCAAATGTGTATTCTACGGCTGGTAAAGCGGAATATTAAATGTGCATTGCTGCACGGGTTATTAAGCTGGTGTCTCTCAGCCCCATGCTCACCTTTCCATACTCTGCTTTGGGTGCTGGGGCTGAAACTCTCCAAGCCGTAATTTCTCCTCTTCCAACCATCTCCTCTCCCAGGTAGGTTCTGCCTGCCGGTAGAAGGTACTAGAGGGAGCCCAGGAGGCAGGAGGAGGGAGGAGTGACTTGCTCCTCATCACACCTACTTCTAAGAGGTCTGAGTCCCAGGGAACAGGGGCACCTCCTCGAAGCTCCTGCGGCCCCAGCCCAAGGAGCAGCACTGCTTCCTCAGGGGTCTCAGGCCCAGCCTCAAGGGGCTCCGCTCCAAACCTGCAGATGCCAGAATCCCCACCTCCCTTGTGTGTTGCCCCAGCCAGAGGGGCACTGGCTGTTTTTCCTGGAGCTGCGCTCTCTCTCTGATGCCTCGGGGCTTCCTTCTGGCCTTTCAGCCCTCCACTCCAAATTCTCCCTGCTGAAACCAGGTGTGAGTTTTGTTCCCTGACTACACCAAGAACTGATAGGCTTATGGGCCTCAGAAACCACCTCTGTGTAAGTAGATCCTGACATGCTTCAAAGCTGAGATGCTTCCTGCTTCCCTGGGGCTGTTCTCTACCCGCTCCCCACTCCTTTTCCCTTTCCCCGCCTTCTTCCCTCTCCCCTCCACCCTTCCTCTCCCACCTCTCTCCTCCCTTCCTCTCCCCCCTCTCTCCTCCCTTCCTCTCCCCCCTCTCTCCTCCCTTCCTCTCTCCTTCTCTCCTCCCTTCCTCTCCCCCTCTCTCCTCCCTTCCTCTCCTCCTCTCTCCTCCCCTCCTCTCCCCCTCCCTCTCCCCCCCTCCTCCCTTCCTCTCCCCCCTCTATCCCTCTCCCTCCCTTTCCCTTTCCCCCCTTTCTCCCCGCCTTCTCCCTTCCTCTCCCTTCCTTTCCCTTCCCTCCTTTCTCTCCCCTCCTCCCTTTCTCTCCCCCTCTTCCCCTGCTCATGTGCACACTTGCACATGCAGACCGGTGCTCCGAACCTCCTGGAAAGCTGCTCCTAGCTCTGTTAACCAGGGCTAGCACCATCCATACGGAACTTTCGCCCTCCCCCAGACCCTTCTTCCAACACAGTTTCATTGCGCACTTACAAGACGTCAGGCCCACATCAAGATGAAGGTCACACGGAAAGCGAAGGCCTCACACTCAAGCGTCAGCCCAGACTCCAGGGCACCAGCCAGCTCCCAGGAGTCAGGGGCGCCCTGTGGTGAGCTCTGCCGCTGTCGCTGTCGTTTCTTAAAGCGCTTAAAGCGCGCTCACCTGCGGCCTGCCGGGATCACAGGTGTGCTGAATATTTCAAGGATCACGGAACAAACAGTTTTATTTGATAAATAGAGCACCTCGGAACAGTCCTGGGGTGGCCTTTCTGTCAGCTTCTGTTTTTCCTTCCCTACATCATCAGCAGTGCCCTAAATTAAACCAATTTCATTAAAAGTCCTATGCCACATGCCATAAAATTACATACATACACTGTTATATATATAAACATACACCTATATGCATACGTATACATGTTTTTAATTTAAAACACCTTCTGAAATCCTTGTTCTCCCCACACTTCTGTTCCTCTGCCTGAGAACACAGGTCCAAATGGAATAGATTTTCATTTGTTTGTGCCCAGGTCCAAATGAAATGCCTTTCTATTCTACACAACAAGAGATGGGCACCTCTACTTTTTTAACTGCATAAATAGAAGATTTGGATTGTAAAAAAAAAAAAGAAAGAAAGAAAGAAAGAAAGAAAAAAGAAAATACTGTATACGAAATGAGGAAATGTGAGAACTTCACATTCTAAATAAAATAAGTAGAAAAAAGCCCACAACTATTTTTTCGGTCAATTTTATTCCCTTATTTCTCTTTCTAGATAAGACGCAGCTGAGTTCCCCTAGGCAGCAAAACCATTGCCTGCATGATTTGGCCTTGAGTCAATCTGAGATCAGCTCAAAGCCAGCCACAACCTCCAAACCCATCCCTGTCGGAGGCTGTTGTGGATGCATTTGCAGGTGTTTTATTGGTGTTCATGCTGTTTAATCCTCAGAGTAACACTGTCTCAGCCATGCTTCAGGCGGCCTTCTGCAGCTTTTACCATGAGACTGTGCATAACAAAAAAGCCAACAGGTTGTTTTTGCCTCTCTGCCACCCTCCTGGAGGTCTGTAGGGAGTAGAGAAGAGCTGAGTGTGCTAATACCCTTTTCTCTATGCACGTGTATCATGGTTGGCCCCATTTATGGCCTTCCTATAATGGGAAAAGCACTGTGCTGGGTGCCTCACGTGCATTAATCTCTAATGATCCCAGTGAACCTTCAGAATAAGTATTAGTGCTGTCCTCACACTTATAAGGAAATTAATGGTTATAAACATAAAATAACTCATCAAGGGCCCTGAATTTATAGCTGGCCTAGACAGTGTTCAGGCCAGATATATTGGCCTCCCTGCCCCAAGCCTAATCCTGGCTGTTTTATCAAATAATCTCATGAACTTCACCCTGGACTATGCAAAGTGCTAACAACCCAGGCAACAATGGAGTGGCTGACTAAATTTAACTAACTGTTTTGTTACCACCTTTAGAAAGAGACCATTACCTATAGGGTTGCTCAAAATTACAGGGTTCTTGCCACCCATACATACTATCTGCAATTAATTAGATATTACAGATGCAGAAATATGTTTATAGGCCTGAGATTTTAAAAATATAGTACTCCTGGACTCCTTTTGAGAGTTATTAAAAGTATTCTGGCTGGGCGTGGTGACTCACACCTATAATCCCAGCACTTTGGGAGGCCGAGGCAGGTAGATCACCTGAGGTCAGGAGTTCAAGACCAGCCTGACCAACGTGGCCAAACCCCCACTCTACTAAAAATATAAAAACTAGCCAGGCATTGTGGTGCATGCCTGTAGTCCCAGCTACTTGGGAGCCTGAGGCAGGAGAATCGCTTCAACCTGGGAGGTGGAGGTTGCAGTGAGCTAAAATCATGCCACTGCACTCCAGCCTGGGTGACAGGGCGAAACTCTGTCTCAAAAAAAAAAAAAAAAAAAAAAAAGGATTCTGAGAGCAAATATAGCTGCATGGTCAGATAAAAGCATGTCCCTAACTCAACCATCCACATATAGATTTAAGTGACTCAGTTATGAACCCAAGAACCAGTCCCATCTAAAGGAGACACACACCGATGTAAAGAATCATAACCAGCAGTTAAATTCCATTTGACACCTGAAACACAAGCCCAGTCCTACCGAATGAAACTACAGAACTAGGATCACAGAATGGGAGGAAGAATCCACGGAGGTCATTCACTTTTCTCACTGCAGTGCCCTTAACCTTTTTATAAACTACTTCCATCAGCTTATCAGCCAACTTGAATTGTCATAAAACTGTTTGATACTCCAAAACTTACGGCAATTTCTTCATTTTAACACGTTTAGGCTTATCCATTTTATTTTTATTTTTCTTAAGTGGAAAGGCAGGAATCCTCCTTATTAAATTTGTTCTTATTCTAACATTGGGGATCTTCACTTTCCAGAGTTCCTGTTTTCCATACTTATCAGGGAGAAGAATTTTGTTTAAATAATGGTAAGTTCAGGATACAGAATGGGACATGGAAAATTTTACTTAATCAACCTACACCCACTCCTTGATACAATCGTGTCCAATGCATACTAGTTCTTTGTCGACAAACTTATTAAACATTTGAAAAATCTCCTTATGTAAAGGGAGGTTATAAGTTTGTAACAAACTGAAAATCAATGTGTTTTCTGACACCTGTTGACATTCATGATGAGAATTAGGTGCTTTCCTCTCCCAGCTTCATTCAGATATGGACAGGGGAGACGGATCCATCAAATACATCCTCTCGGGAGAAGGTGCTGGCATCGTGTTTACCATCGACGACACCACTGGAGACATCCACGCCATTCAGAGGCTCGACCGAGAGGAAAGAGCCCAGTATACTCTAAGGGCTCAAGCCCTAGACAGGCGGACGGGCAGGCCAATGGAGCCCGAGTCAGAGTTCATCATCAAAATTCAAGACATCAATGACAATGAGCCCAAGTTCCTGGACGGACCTTATGTGGCCACTGTGCCAGAAATGTCCCCTGTGGGTAAGGTGGTGACTCGCTGATTTTCACAAATAGCACCTCCTATATATATACACACACACACACATATGCACATGCACACACACATGTAGATACACATATATTCAGAACAGGAGAGCATGAGAGGAGAAGCTCACCAATTATAAAGCAACCAAAAATGACGACCAAGCCCTTTGGCTGGCAGGAAGCTATATAGACATTGGAATCAACCAGAGCAAGTAATAATAATAAGCCTATTAATGTTTTTTAGTTCTGATTCTTTAAAAACAAAATATTAGCTAGACAGATTTGTTTCATAAGGGAGAAATATTTTGTTATTATCAAAAGAGCAATAGGGTTAGGCGCGGTGGCTCACGCCTGTAATCCTAGAACTTTGGGAGGCTGAGGCAGGTGGATCACAAGGTCAGGAGATCCTGGCCAACATGGTGAAACCCCGTCTCTACTAAATACCCTGTCTCTACTAAAACACCAAAAAAATTAGCCTGGTGTGGTGGTGCGCACCTATAGTCCCAGCTACTCAGGAGGCTGAGGCAGGGGAATCACTTGAACCCGGGAGGTGGAGATTTCAGTGAGCTGAGATCACGCCACTGCACTCCAGCCTGGCGACAGAGTGAGACTCCATCTTAAAAAAAAAAAAAAAAAAAAAAAAAAAAAAAAAAAAAAAAAAAAAAAGCAATGAAGAGCCCAAAGGCTGTGTCCTTATCAGTCATTCAGAATTTAAAGCACAAATAACTCTTATCCCTACTAAACAGGTACAAGATAAGAGTTATGGAAGCTTGACCTAGAAAGGGGACTCTCCCAATGAAGCAAACACATTTGCAAATGCTTTAAGATGGACCGCTCAGGATTGCATCCAGCCTTTAGCTATTAGACTTGAACAGGTTTCTACCTCTTCTCTTCCCCAGGTACCTCCGTCATCCAAGTGACAGCCACAGATGCAGATGACCCGACCTACGGCAACAGTGCCAGGGTGGTGTACAGCATTCTTCAGGGCCAGCCATATTTTTCTGTGGACTCTAAAACAGGTATCTGATACAAGGGTCGAGTCAGAGGTGTTTATTCCCTGATAATTTATAACTGCTGCTATGACAGACCCAACTCTCCTTTTTAAGGACTCTCCAGGGAGTGTATTAACCAGAGAAGACTGCTCTTAGCTTTAGGATTAAGAGAGCAAACTAGCACTGCCCTGACAGGTAAGAGCAGCACTATGCATAGACAGTGAGCAGTGTCTGATTGGAGAGGCAAAAAGCCCCTCTGCGCAAACACACACAAAATAACTCCCCAATAGCCTTCAAAAAATCCTATGGTTATATTTATTCCCAGGGACTAAGGTCTTTTATAACCCCATGAAGACCCAACAGGATTGACACATTCACCTGGGTCATTAGAGAACTAGAAGCATTGATTGTGAAACTGGAAAGAGCCTTGGGGGAATCATCCAGTCCATCACCATTTGCTTATCAGATAAAGCAATTGGGAAATTGAGAGCTACTAAAGTTCATCTAGTGTAGAGAGGTCTCTTGACATGTGGTCTGATGTTCTTTCTATTGAACCAACCACTGTGCACTCAGCAGAGAAGTCCAAAATGAATGGTTGCTGGGGCAGACAGGTTTTGATGAGGGAGGAAAGACCAGGTGGGATGTGGCCCCCAAAAGGCAGGTCCTGATTGGGAAGCTCTCACAGGGAGGACATCAGAGAGAACTGAATGGGCGAGGAGCAATGCGGCAGAAAAGACAAACAGGAGTTTGGTGTTTTGTTTGCTTATTTATTTCTGTCTTACCCGAGAGCTTTGACTACAGAATTTACCTTTGGATGTATGAAAGATTTCATTTAATATGTTTGAGCTTGGCAAAGTTATTGTGATATCATTATTATCTTATACTTGTGCCAGGCTTCCCCTCTTATTAATACTTTCATAAACATTGCCATATTTGAGCTTCCCAATAATCTTGTAAACTAGCAAAAGATATAGGAAGTATTATTACTTCCATTTTATATGAGGGTAAACATGGGACCTAGGAGTAATTAACAAGGAACTTGAGTAAAGAAACTTACAGCCACAGAATAAAGTTAATGGTGAACACTCAAAGTCACCTCTTTATTTGAAAAAGAAAAAATACATTTCTATTATTAGCAACCTGATCGAATTTTTTTCCCAGAAGTCCTGAGGGAAACCAGACATTCAGAAAATTGTATCATAAAAGTAGTAAGGGAGTGTAAATTAGGAGGAGGAAAGAAAAAAGATTGCAGTTAGAGACTTCTATAAAACAGTAACTTTAACAATTCTACTAAGGGCAAGGGGGAGAATGAAGAGAGGAAGGGTGCCCACAGGGAGGAAAAATGCAGGGAGGAAGAGGGTAATGTGTCCTTTATATCCTAAGAAGAGTCTTAGATTATTTTGACAGCTCCCGGGGGGCATCTGTAGTGTTAAGGTCAAAAATACATGAACAGAGAGTTATAGCTGTGCCCATGGGGGGCCTTTTAAAAAAGAAAATGCTGCATATATCACTGGAGAATGTTATACTACAATGCAATATATACATTATAGGGGTAAACTGGGGACGGATTATTGTTCCCAGTCCCTTCCATTTTCATGCAAAAGGTCTATCTAGCCAAGAGTCATGTTGTAAAGCTGTAGTAAGTAAGCCTTTAATCTTTGCCTACAGTGTAGAGAAGTCAACTTTTTTAAGTTGCAGGGTTAAAAGGGAGACAAAACATTACTGTACAGGCTTGGCAGGATCACAACACATTTCAACGGATTTGGTGTAGGCCTCTCTTCTTAAATGAAACCGTATCTGCTGCTTGCTCTCTGGGGAAATTCATATCTTATGCATGGTAAAAATAAACAGCTCACAGAGCATCTTTCATGTCCTAGCTCACAAAATTAAAAGCACAGAGGTAAACAGAAGAATGTCACAAAACAGAATGAATATGTAACAACAGGAAAATCCAATTAGAATTCCAACCCTGCTTACAGGTAGTAGGGAAGCAAGAAAAAGCAGGAATGAGTTACCTAAAGAAGAGCCATTCACACTACAAGGGCTCTAGGGGCTGAAGAAACTGAGGGAGAATTATCTAAATTCACAGATTTGTAGACTTATGAGGCTTTGTTTTCTGGACCCAAAGCCCCCAGTTTTCCTTGGTGAGACAGCACTGTCTGAAATCGCCTTGGACCACAATTTCCCAGATCTGTAAGAGAAACATTGCTGCCACCTCCTGTTCACTTTCAGTAATGTTGCCAGAAGAAACCAGCCCTCTGAGCTCTTCCTGCTGGAATAAAAGTTTTCATTCACCACTGGTTTCAGTACAGCCCATTTTTGAAGCTGAGATTTTTTTACCTCAAATTTAAAAGCACAGGTGACTTGCACCTCACTTCTAGGCATTAATGGTGCACCAGGGAGACACCTAGAAACCAATCTTTAAAAACTGGACCTGTGGTTTTATTTTTATAAACAAAGTCATTTCTATCCTCCAGGTGTAATTAGGACAGCGCTCATGAACATGGACAGAGAAGCCAAAGAATACTACGAAGTGATTATCCAAGCCAAGGACATGGGAGGGCAGCTTGGAGGATTAGCTGGGACCACAACAGTCAACATCACCCTCTCAGATGTCAATGATAACCCACCCCGCTTTCCCCAGAGTGAGTACCTAACCCAAGAGAGCACAGACCTCGGGCCCAGAGGGACGCACCCGTTGCAGAGGTGCGGGAGAAAGCCCAGTTTGAGTTTCCTCATTAAATTCAATTATCCATAGATTCCTTTCTTACATTCATCATGCAATTCTCGCATAACTATTTGCCTTCAGTGTTCCAGCTTCCCATAGTACTAAACCAGGATTTCTCAAACATATTTTTCCATTTTCTCCTCCCTGTGGAATCTTTTTAGACTTTCTTTCCTGATTGCCACGCCCACCCACCCCACATAAAATGCAATACTAAGGAATAAGTTTTGTTGGGTAGAACTGACCTTTAGTGGGCCACAAACTAGTAATGCTGAGACTTTTTTCATCACAGCCCTGGAAACCTATTTTTGCCCCCAGGGGGCCATATTGATCCATTGAGAATGCATTCACTGATACCCAAAGCTGTAGATGGACACACCTGCCCATGTGACGATCTTCACCAATCACTCCAGTAGGTACCAAGCACTTGCTTGGTGAGACCCCTGGACATGAAGGGCACAGGAGGCTTGGAATCCTGTCTCTGCCCTTGTGAAGCTTCAAATCCACTTGGGAGGACACATCCTACACACAAGAAAAATTAAACCGTAGTAGCATTTGCTGCCACTTGAACAGTGCAAGATGATGCCTTCACACAAACTGAGATGAATGAAGCCTCCACAGAAGGATGAGATTTCAACAGGGGGCTAAAGAATATAACAGGTTTACATAGGCAGAAAAGAAAACATTCCAGAAGGGGAAGTCATTCATTTACTTATTCATTCAAAAAATATTTATTCCAGGCACTATTCTATGAATGGAACACAAAGCTGTATACAGACAAAACAACGTCTCTACCATCCTGGAGCTCATTTGAGTAAAAACCTGAATGGAAGAAAAAAAAAACTGCTGCCTGGAAATAAGTTTTCACTGTCACTTTACGTTCAAAGACTCCTAAAATTAAAACCTGCTCTTTCAAATGTGCTGTATCTCCAGTGGAAGCCATAGAAACGTTTTTGAGCAAGAGGGAGACATAAAGAAAGGCTAATTTGGTAGCCATGTAGAGGAGGGGTTGGCAAGGGCAGAGACTAGGAGCAGGGGAGTCGGTTAGGAGGCATTTAGAGTGGTCCAGACTTGAACTGCTAAGGACTTAAGGAAATAGCAGGATGAGTGGAATGGGACAAATGAGGAAACATGGACTTCTGCCTCTTGATTTCCTGGCTAAGGGAACCATGGCAGAGGGTGGAGTCAAAGATGACAATGACGTTTTCACTCTGGATGACAGGGAGAAGGATTGTACTACTAATAAAAATAGAGGACGCATAATGGAACGAGTGGCAGTGAAGGAGGGAGACAAATTCAGATTTGAATATGAAGTGACAGCAGGACAATCAGGTTGAATGTCCTTAAGGAAAGTGGAAATATAGAGCTATGAACGTGGAACAGAGCCCAGGAATGAAGACGTAAGTTTGAGAAGCAGATGCCTGAAGGAAGCAGCGGGAGAAATGAGAGCAGGAAGTGCAATTCCAGGTGAAACACTTAGCTAGGGAAACGGGGCTTAAAAAAGAAAAACTAAACTAAAAGGAGGAAGAGTCTAGCCAGACTAGCCAGACTGTCAGATGAATAGTTGCATTTTGAATCAGCCAGACCAAGCTAACCTTCCCTTGTATCTATGTAAACACAGGAGATCTCAAATATTTACATGCAAATGGAATACACAAAGTCCCCATGAGCATTCATGATGGAAAAAGCAGGATACTAGATAAGCATTTCACAAAGGGTGCAAGTAACTAAGTTCCTAAGTTGCTTGGTCCAACAGTGCAGAATTCGTATTCTGCATCACAGAACAGTTTGTGAAATGCCACATGGATGGACTTTGTATTGCTTTGGTGATTCTGTGGGTTCCATCTTCATTACTTCATGAAGGGCTCATATTACTCACACTATAGACTATAAATTCTTGAACACCCTTGAACTACTTGGCTTTTTACATTTGACACTAGACAGGTGTCTCTGATGGAGGCAGAAGGGACAGTAGAACCAGCTAATTACATAGCTCAGGTTATTACATAGCTCAAAGGTAGATGGATTCGGACATATTGCCGGGAGTCATGTTACCCCAAACATGGCAGCTTCACAATAGCAGAACACTATACAAGGATTACTGGGGTTTTAGTCTTGCCTCCGAAACCAATATCTTTTTTTTTTTTTTTTTTTTGAGACAGGGTCTTGCTCTGTCACCCAGGCTGGACTGCAGTGGTGCAATCACAGCTCACTGTAGCCTCAACCCCCAGGCTCAAGCAATCCTCCCACCTCAGCTCCTGAATAGCCAGAACTACAGGTGCACACCACCATGCCCAGCTAATTTTTATATTTTTTATAGAGATGGGATTTTGTCATGTTGCCCAGGCTGGTCTTGAACTCCTGGGCTCAAATCATCTGCCTTCCTCAGGCTCCCAAGGTGCTGATATTACAGGCATGAGCCACCACACCCAGCCTCAAGCCAACATCTTAATACCATTCTAAAGCACACATTTTAAGTTGTCACTTTTTCAAAATATAGTTTTAATGGAGACTCCAGGATAGAGTGGAAGCATGGATTATGTTTCATGGAAGACAAAAGAGAAATATAAAAAAGTTTAAATCTCTGTGTCTCTATGCATTCTACACACGTTATCGCTGCTTCCTCTTTTTTGACCTTTTAAAACTTTGCATTCTCTCTTCATTAAATAGTTCCCCATCTATTTGCTAAAACTAAGTTTAGATGACCTTGATATTCCATAAACCTATCTTGGCTATACTCTTATGCCTAATTAATCTAATGAGTCTTCATTGTAGGAATTCCATTTTGCTTCTTTTTCACAAATATTACTATAACTGATTGTGGAATGTTGACAAAATGATACACCTACTATTTTACATTGAATAAGCTAAGCCACCTTTAATAGAACCAAATATAATGAAACATCAAGATCTCAAGCTATTTATTTATAATATAATGTATCATGTAGAAATTGTATGTAGATGTTTAAACATATAACATAGCTTTATTGGGATGAGGAAAACTGTAGGCAGATGCTTGTTTTTCCCAAAAGTTCTGCAACAGCAAAGTGTAATCCATCAACAACTTTGGAAGTAAATGGAAAGAGATCATGAAATCCAATTCCCTGCCAGCTTAGTACAAACTTTAAAGATTTCCTGGCTCATGTTTGTAAAGAACAAGCATCATTTCTTCTCCTGCGCAAGGCAGGGTGCTGTGAGCTGGCTGGGTGCTGTCAACCTCCCTGATTCTTTGTGAAACTTGAGCCCTCACACCTGAGGCTATAGCTTACAAAGCATATTAGAATAAAAGGGAACACGTACATATTGAAAATGTGATTGTGTGATTTTTCTTTGTTATTTAGTCAGTCACATTATGATTGACAAAATAACAAAAAACGTCAAAAAGTTGAGCCCCAGAAAAAGTAAGTTGGTAAAAATACGAATTCATGGAGATGAAAGTGAACTAAATTTAATTGTGAGCTCAGGATATCATGTCCAAAAGGAGATGTCCAACTCTGAGCTTCTTACATATGTGAGAACCTTTTTAGTATTTTATTCTGGAATAAGAAAACAAGAAGCATGAAGGGTCTGTCCATGGAGAGGCAGGCTGGGGCAGTCTGGGGTGTAAGGACACACTGAGGGGCAGCACATGGAGCTGATGGAGCTTGCTCTCCACGGCTGCCCCCCCTTTATAGATCACTGATCTCCATGACCTCTGAGCAGGTGTTGCTGGAGACAGGCACTCAGCACACAAGCCAGGCCATGAAAAAAAAGATGGACATTTGAAGCGTAAACAGAATAAATACGCACTTTGTGACCACAGTGTTTATCACTCTCAGAAGGAACTGCAATTTAAGGAAATACTTCAGTTCACTAGGAAGCACTAAAAGATTTGAATCCAAGGTACTTCCTACCACTCAAGCTACAGTCACTAGGACTAAGTCGTTTTGCTTTCACCCTGTTCTACTGAAGCCTTTTTGACTCCTCCTTATTGAACATCCAATACAGGCTATGGCCTGTATGACCGTTTGCTCAGCCTTTCTGGACCTTAGTTTTTATCTGTAAAAACTCAAGTTTTACTTTTTGAACCCAGAAAAAAAGATATTTTGCACAGCACTCCTGATATGATAATGATGAGGCATTTTTTATAGTGACGGATTATCAAGAATGCGTGTCCTGGCTTTTCTTCGTAGAACATTACCAGATGAGTGTGTTGGAATCAGCTCCAATTAGCTCCACTGTCGGGAGAGTGTTTGCCAAGGACTTGGATGAAGGCATCAATGCAGAGATGAAATATACTATTGTGGATGGAGATGGTGCAGATGCCTTTGACATTAGCACAGATCCCAATTTCCAAGTTGGTATCATAACTGTGAAGAAGGTAATCCAACTCCTTTTTCTAAACCACTTTCATGGGTGCTTTGAATGTTTATGAAATGCTAGTAAGGACTGTTGTATTATTGATATGCATTGCTTCAAATCATCTGATAAAAGTGCTTTCCTATTATTTAAAAAAAAAAACACACAGAAAACCTCTTAACCCTTATGTTTACATGAAAACACTGGCTGTGCCATCATTTTACTGAAAAGGTACCAGGTCATGATAAAAATATATTATAAATATATTTCTAAATACATTCCTTCTACCCAGCCACTTAAAAACCTGTTGTAGCTTAACTTTCTAATGATGTTAATGACTTGATCAACATTTGCACTTGAATAACATATGCATTGTAGCATACCATACCTAACAATAAAGTAAGCCATAATATTATTTATGAATCAATAAATAACATGCAAGGGTTTTTTAATTGCTTCTCAAAGATCTGTAAATTCTAATTAAACTTGAAAAAGCTTTATCAAACATAGCTGCTGAATGGCTGTTATCACTTGAAATTCCTTTGTTTTATAAGGTACCAAGATAAGCTATCAATTCTTTCTGTGACATAAAGCACATATGGATATACTGAGCTAGAAGATAAAACTTTTTAAAAATTGAATCTTTAACTCCATAGTAAATATATATCTAATGAAATACATTAATTTTAAATGATATTCTCAACAAATTTATTGAGTGCCACCTATGTGCCAGATATTGTTACAGGCATTTAATACAGAGTAAATAAAACAACCAAAAACCTCTGCCCTCATGGAGTTTACATTCTAGCAAGGGAAGAAGACAATCAAAACATCAAGTCACTAAAGTAGTTTATTAGAAGGTAATAACTGATATGGGAGGGGGAGCCAGGAAGCAGAACAGAACACAATAAGTGAGGCCAGGAAAGCTAAGATGATTTCAAACTTAAATTGGATGGTTGGCTAAATGCCCATCAATCAAAGAGTGGATAAAAAAACTGTGGTAAATATATATAATGGAATACTACACAGCCATAAAAAGGAATGGACTAACAGCATTTTCAGTGACCTGGATGAGATTGGAGACTATTATTATTATTATTATTATTTTTCATGTTCGAGACAGAGTCTCACTTTGTCACCCAGGCTGGAGTACAGTGGCGCAATCTCGGCTCACTGCAACCTCCGCCTCCCAGGTTCAAGCAATTCTCCTGCTTCAGCCTCCCGAGTAGCTGGGACTACAGGGGCACACTGCCATGCATGGCTAACTTTTTGTATTTTAGTAGAGACAGGGTTTCACTGTGTTACCCAGGCTGGTTGTGAACTCCTGAGCTCAGGCAATCTGCCCCCCTCAGCCTCCCAAAGTGCTGGGATTACAGGCGTGAGCCACTGCACCCAGCTGATTGGAGACTATTATTCTAAGTGATGTAACTCCAGAATGGAAAACCAAACATATTCTGTTTTCATTGTTATGTAGGAGCTAAGCTTTGAGGGCGTAAAGGCATAAGAATGATACAGTGGACTTTGGGGACTTGGAGGAAAGAGTGGTAGAGGGGCAAGGGATAAAAGACTACAAATATGGTGCAGTATATACTGCTCAGGTGATGGGTGCACCAAAATCTCACAAATCAGCACTAAAGAACTTACTCATGTAACCAAATACTCCCTGTACCCCAATAACTTATAGAAAAACAAAATTAAATAAATAAATTGGGTGATTGGGACTGGTGTCACAGAGAAGTGGCGTTTATGCAAAGACTTACAGTGAGCAGACTCATACCACTGAGTTAAGCAGGTTGACAGTGTGGGAGGTGCCCTACAAATGACTCTTTGTGAAAAGCATACGTGGCAGTCCTAGAGAGAAGAAATGGGCATGAACTATTGAGGAAAGCGTTCCAAGCAAAAGGACAGCCAGTGCAAAGGCTTTGAGGTGGGACCATGCCTGTTGTATTTCAAGAACAGCAACAGTGGGGTCATAAGGCTGAGTGGAGGGGGGAACTCTTAGGAGATGAGGTCTGAAAAGTAACAAAGGAGCCAGATCATTTAGGACCATATAAGCTAACTATAAGGACTTTGGTTTTTACTCTGAGTAAAGTGGGAAATGACTGAAGGATTTTTAACAGATGTATGACATGACTCGGTTTTCATTATAAATACTCAGTAGGCTGTGTTGAGGTCAGGGGAGTTTAAGGAGAAAAGGACAGAAAGAGGGAGACCAGCTGAGAAGCTATTGCAGTAATCCAGGTAAGAGATGATGAGGGTTTCACCTAAGTAGTGGGAATGGAGGTGATAAGAAGTGGTCAGAATCTGTACATATTTTGAAAGCAGAGCCAACAGGATTTCCTAAAAACGTGGATGAGGATATGGAAGAAAGAGAAGAGTCAACCAAGCAACAAGAATGGAATTGCCATTAACTGAGACAGGGAAGTCTGCAAGTAGAGCAGGTGGCAGGGGTGACAAGTATTGGAATTCAGTTCTGGACATACATGTGACATTTCTAGAGTCTATTAGACATCAAGTAGAGACATGTCATGGCTTTGGTTATAAGAGCGAGGAGTTTGTAGAAGGGTCCTGCACTGGAAATATGAATCTGGGAATCATAAGCATATAGATGGTACTTAAAGCAAATAAAACAAATGAGATTCCAAGGGACTGAGCATAGACAGAAAAAGGACAGTGAAACGAGCCCTGAGGCACACCAACATGAAGAGGTCAGGGGAAGTGTAAGGACAGGCAAGGAGACTGAGGGGCGACCAGGGAGGCAGGAGGATAATGGAGGAAGTGCAGTGTCCTGAAGGCATGAAGAACGTGCTCCCAAGGGATGGAGTGATCACCTGTGACAAATGCTGCTACAGGTCAAATAAGAACATCAGGAATTCACCACAGACTTTAGGAACATGGAAGCCACTGACAACCTTGACAAAAACCACAGTTATAACATTAAAATGTAACTCAAGTTAATGGGTGTTTATAACTTTTTTCTATGCTATTTGATAGAACTGAATTAACACTGCTTCAGAAGGGAATAAGGGACCAGTTCATATGTTTGTTCTGTATTTATTTAAGATGCAATCAATCACAGCAAAGGAACAGAATCACAGCAAAGGATCCAGAATTCCACCAACCAGAAATCTTTCTATCCTGTAAACAATGACCTTGACACAATGCAAAAGGCTGAGATTGACTTCTAAATCATCAAATAAATCTAGATGTAATTAAAATACTATAATTTCTTATTCTCATTCTTTGAGAATTAATAACACATGCTAGAATTATAATAGGTGATTAAAATAACAATACTATTTTGGTATATGTCATAGGTTCCCCTACTATGTGGCATGCCTCAAGTAAACAATAATACATTGCTAACCATAACTAGTAACTGTAAATAAGGGAAATGCTCAAATTTTTGAATTATTGGGTTTTTTCTTTCTTTCTTTCTTTCTTTTTTTTTTTTTGTTTATTTGTTTGAACAGAGTCTCACTCTGTCACCCAAGCTGGGGTGTGGTGGCACAATCATGGCTCACTGCAGCCTTGACCTCTTGGGCTCAAGCAATCCTTCCACCTCACCATCCTAACTAGCTGGGACTATAGGCATGTGCCATCACAGCCACCTAATTTTTGTGTTGTTGTTTGTTTGAGACAGGGTCTCTCTCTGTCACCCAAGCTGGAGTGCAATGGCATGCTCATGGCTCACTGCAGCCTGTAGTCCCAGCTACTCAGGAGGATGAGGTGGAAGGATTGCTTGAGCCCAAGAGGTCAAGGCTGCAGTGAGCCATGATCATGCCACAGCCACCTATTTTTGTTGTTGTTGTTTTGTTTTGTTTTTGTAGAGACAAGGTCACCCTATGTTTTCCAGGCTGGTCTCAAACTCCTGAGCTCAAGTGGTACTCCTGCCTCAGCCTCCCAAAGGGCTAGGATTACAGGCATGAGCCACCGCAACCAGCTTTACTGTTTCTTTAGTACGAAAACTCTATTCAAACAATTAAGCAACCAGAAAAAGAACTTTTGGGATTCTCAATATTTAAATGTTATCTTATGTCTTAAAATAATGTCTGAGATAATTCTAAATAATAAAATATTAATTTATGTTAGATTATCACAATATAGTTTAGACTGTATTACAAGCCATTTGTTTTAAAAAGTCTATTACCTGTAACAACTCTGTCTCTGAAAGAAATCTCAAAATGTGTTTTCTTCAGCTCCCTTACCTGCAGAAAAGATGAAGCCTCTTAAGACAGAGTACTGTTTTTCACTGTCATTACTAAAACGATATCCATGTTTAATCAAAATACATATCAATTTTGCCAAGGTCACTTTGATTTCTCTTCTGAACTTATGAGCTGCCAGAAAATGGAATTAAGAAAAAGGTCAATAAGTTGGGTAGATGGACAAATCACATATAATAAATATTTTAGAGGCCACTGACAGCTCAGTCTACGCCTTTGCAACAACATTCACTCAGATGTCTGCTCCACGCCCATCTTCCCACTTTGTCATTAATAATGTCATATAAAATTGAAACAAAAGTTCTGCTTTTGATTTATTTCCCTTAGGCCTATTATTTGTCTAAGAAGCCCATACTTTTTCAAAAAGAGGAATTGATAGAATTGGGTCTTCAGGACCCCACACTGATTACTACCCAGTACCTTGGGTCTTTTTAGCTTTTAAGTAATCAATCAGTCGATTTTCAGTCTCTTAAATGCTTGAAGTATAACTTGAAATATATAATTTTCAGGATGTTCTTTATTCTGAATAAGCATGATGTACCATTTTCTAGTCTTCTGCATATCTTCCATCTTACGACAAGAAGAAGCAATTGTTTAGAGTCCATTCTCTTCTTAGGCAGGTCATAAAGAATAAAAATTCTATATTTCATCAAATCTGAGATGTCATGAATTATAAATCTCATCATTGTCTTATGGGTCATTTAAGAACAGTTCTTGCCAATTTAAATAATACAATACTTTCTTATTTCTTAGTTTAGTGTCTATAAAGTACTCTCGTAGGCACAGTTAGACAAATTTGTTTCACCAATGTTAGATTCACTCCATGCCGCTGTTTCCATGCCATTCTCCCTACACAATAAATCTTGTTTCAATGCCAAATCATAATATAATATATTTAAAGACATTTTAATGTGTCCCAGAGATTCTGGTATGTTGTGTCTTTGTTCTCGTTGGTTTCAAAGAACATCTTTATTTCTGCCTTCATTTCGTTATGTACCCAGTAGTCATTCAGGAGCAGGTTGTTCAGTTTCCATGTAGTTGAGCGGTTTTGAGTGAGATTCTTAATCCTGAGTTCTAGTTTGATTGCACTGTGGTCTGAGAGACAGTTTGTTATAATTTCTGTTCTTTTACATTTGCTGAGGAGAGCTTTACGGCCAACTATGTGGTCAATTTTGGAATAGGTGTGGTGTGGTGCTGAAAAAAATGTATATTCTGTTGATTTGGGGTGGAGAGTTCTGTAGATGTCTATTAGGTCCGCTTGGTGCAGAGTTGAGTTCAATTCCTGGGTATCCTTGATGACTTTCTGTCTCGTTGATCTGTCTAATGTTGACAGTGGGGTGTTAAAGTCTCCCATTATTAATGTGTGGGAGTCTAAGTCTCTTTGTAGGTCACTCAGGACTTGCTTTATGAATCTTGGTGCTCCTGTATTGGGTGCATATATATTTAGGATAGTTAGCTCTTCTTGTTGAATTGATCCCTTTACCATTATGTAATGGCCTTGTCTCTTTTGATCTTTGTTGGTTTAAAGTCTGTTTTATCAGAGACTAGGATTGCAACCCCTGCCTTTTTTTGTTTTCCATTTGCTTGGTAGATCTTCCTCCATCCTTTTATTTTGAGCCTGTGTGTGTCTCTGCACGTGAGATGGGTTTCCTGAATACAGCACACTGATGGGTCTTGACTCTTTATCCAATTTGCCAGTCTGTGTCTTTTAATTGGAGCATTTAGTCCATTTACATTTAAAGTTAATATTGTTATGTGTGAATTTGATCCTGCCATTACGATGTTAGCTGGTTATTTTGCTCGTTAGTTGATGCAGTTTCTTCCTAGTCTCCATGGTCTTTACATTTTGGCATGATTTTGCAGCGGCTGGTACTGGTTGTTCCTCTCCACATTTAGCGCTTCCTTCAGGAGCTCTTTTAGGGCAGGCCTGGTGGTGACCAAACCTCTCAGCATTTGCTTGTCTGTAAAGGATTTTATTTCTCCTTCACTTATGAAGCTTAGTTTGGCTGGATATGAAATTCTGGGTTGAAAATTTTTTTCTTTAAGAATGTTGAATATTGGCCCCCACTCTCTTCTGGCTTGTAGGGTTTCTGCCGAGAGATCCGCTATTAGTCTGATGGGCTTCCCTTTGAGGGTAACCCGACCTTTCTCTCTGGCTGCCCTTAACATTTTTTCCTTCATTTCAACTTTGGTGAATCTGACAATTATGTGTCTTGGAGTTGCTCTTCTCAAGGAGTATCTTTGTGGCGTTCTCTGTATTTCCTGAATCTGAACATTGGCCTGCCTTGCTAGATTGGGGAAGTTCTCCTGGACGATATCCTGCAGCGTGTTTTCCAACTTGGTTCCATTCTCCCCATCACTTTCAGGTACACCAATCAGACGTAGATTTGGTCTTTTCACATAGTCCCATATTTCTTGGAGGCTTTGCTCATTTCTTTTTATTCTTTTTTCTCTAAACTTCCCTTCTCGCTTCATTTCATTCATTTCATCTTCCATTGCTGATACCCTTTCTTCCAGTTGATCGCATCAGCTCCTGAGGCTTCTGCATTCTTCACGTAGTTCACGAGCCTTGGTTTTCAGCTTCATCAGCTCCTTTAAGCACTTCTCTGTATTGGTTATTCTAGTTATACATTCTTCTAAATTTTTTTCAAAGTTTTCTACTTCTTTGCCTTTGGTTTGAATGTCCTCCCTTAGCTCAGAGTAATTTGATCCTCTGAAGCCTTCTTCTCTCAGCTCGTCAAAGTCATTCTCCATCCAGCTTTGTTCCGTTGCTGGTGAGGAACTGCGTTCCTTTGGAGGAGGAGAGGCGCTCTGCTTTTTAGAGTTTCCAGTTTTTCTGTTCTGTTTTTTCCCCATCTTTGTGGTTTTATCTACTTTTGGTCTTTGATGATGGTGATGTACAGATGGGTTTTTGGTGTGGATGTCCTTTCTGTTTGTTAGTTTTCCTTCTAACAGACAGGACCCTCAGCTGCAGGTCTGTTGGAATACCCTGCCGTGTGAGGTGTCAGTGTGCCTCTGCTGGGGGGTGCCTCCCAGTTAGGCTGCTTGGGGGTCAGGGGTCAGGGACCCACTTGAGGAGGCAGTCTGCCCATTCTCAGATCTCCAGCTGCGTGCTGGGAGAACCACTGCTCTCTTCAAAGCTGTCAGACAGGGACATTTAAGTCTGCAGAGGTTACTGCTGTCTTTTTGTTTGTCTGTGCCCTGCCCCCAGAGGTGGAGCCTACAGAGGCAGGCAGGCCTCCTTGAGCTGTGGTGGGCTCCACCCAGTTCGAGCTTCCTGGCTGCTTTGTTTACCTAATCAAGCCTGGGCAATGGCGGGCGCCCCTCCCCCAGACTCGCTGCCACCTTGCAGTTTGATCTCAGACTGTTGTGCTAGCAATCAGCGAGACTCCGTGGGCCTAGGACCCTCGGAGCCAGGTGCGGGATATAATCTCGTGGTGCGCCATTTTTTAAGCCCGTCGGAAAAGCGCAATATTCGGGTAGGAGTGACCCGATTTTCCAGGTGCTGTCCGTCACCCCTTTCTTTGACTCGGAAAGGGAACTCCCTGACCCCTTGTGCTTCCCAAGTGAGGCAATGCCTCGCCCTGCTTCGGCTCGCGCACGGTGCACGCACCCACTGACCTGCGCCCACTGTCTGGCACTCCCTAGCGAGATGAACCCGGTACCTCAGATGGAAATGCAGAAATCACCCGTCTTCTGCGTTGCTCACGCTGGGAGCTGTAGACCGGAGCTGTTCCTATTCGGCCATCTTGGCTCCTCCCCACCAAATGTCCAACAATGATAGACTGGATTAAGAAAATGTGGCACATATACACCATGGAATACTATGCAGCCATAAAAAATGATGAGTTCATGTCCTTTGTAGGGACATGGATGAAATTGGAAATCATCATTCTCAGTAAACTATCGCAAGAACAAAAAACCAAACACTGCATATTCTCACTCATAGGTAGAATTGAACAATGAGATCACATGGACACAGGAAGGGGAATATCACACTCTGGGGACTGTTGTGGGGTCGGGGGAGGGGGGAGGGATAGCATTGGGAGATATACCTAATGCTAGATGATGAGTTAGTGGGTGCAGCGCACCAGCATGGCACATGTATACATATGTAACTAACCTGCACAATGTGCACATGTACCCTAAAACTTAAAGTATAATAATAATTTTAAAAAAAAGACATTTTAGAAGGCAATAAAGCTCAACATGTGCAGTACCAACAATGTGTAGAACTCCCCTAAAGTACAACATGGACAGCTTTGACTAGGTCTGGCTTGCATGGGCAGTAACAACTACTGCTTAGAAAGATCCCTTTGCCTCCCTTTGACACTAGGGCACTTATAAGGTGTTATCAATTGGAGAAGCAACGCTATTTCTAAAATATCAAAATATGAAAAACTGTGCATCTTACTTTACTGAAATACATTAATAAAATCTGCATATACTATCACTCAACCAGTAAATGTTAATACTCACATTGGGAAACTTTTTGCACTGTTCAATGTAACAATTTTTTTAGGTTTTTGCTACGCTTTGAGTTTCTGGTTTTGCTAGGCAGTGGGGAATAAAAATCTGACTAAGTCATAGCTTTTGCCCTTGAGTATGGGGAGTGGGATCAACACAGAAAGAAATATTTGTAATACAAAAGAAAAGCTATAAAGGAAGTATAATAGTGTGCTGTGAGAACAAAGAAGGGAATACTTAATCCTCCTTAATTAGTAATTGAAGTTTCATTACTATTTTGTGCCATAATTTTCATGACTCAATTTTTAAGGATATAATGGCTTTTTGTTTTTGTATCCTCTAACTTGAAGAAGTTTCTTGAATTTGGAAATTGGATTCTCAGATATTATTACTTTTTTATTTTCTATTATGAATACAGAAATAAATAATTATTTGATATTTAAAATAAAAAGGACACAAACTATTCAAGAGGAAAAAGCCAAAACTCATTATCAAGTGTGGGCAATTTAAATGTTAAGAGCTGAGCAGAGTGGTTGCAGCTTCTTAGGATGGAGGTGGGAGGATCTCTTAAGCCTAGGAGTTTGAGACCAGCCTGGGCAACATAAGCAAGAGTTTGTGTCAGTACATAAATAATTAAATAAATAATAAAGTTTAGACAATTGAGGGCAATGTTTTGTTTCCATTTTAAATGTGGAAGTGAGGGAGACAATAATCTTAGATAGTTTTAAAGTCTTAAGTAACTTACTTAAAAAGAATTTCAGTAATAATTAAAAACTCACGCTAGTGCTTTCAACAGATGCTGGAACAATTGGATACCATTTGCAAAAAAAATAAAGAAATAAACCTCAATTATACCCCCACAAAAAAACTCAAAATGAATCATGCACCTAAATGTAAAAACCTAAAGCTATAAAATTTCTAAAAGGAAACTTAGGAGAAAATCCTTGCAATCCTGATTGGACAAAGATGTATTCCATATTACATCAGAATCCCAACCTACCAAAGAAAAAGTAAGACTTCATCAAAGTTAAGAGTTTCTGCTCTTCAAAGGACACTGTTGTGGCAAGATGGCTGAATAGGAAAAGCTCCAGTCTGCAGCTCCCAGTGAGATCAATGCAGAAGGCAGGTGATTTCTGCATTTCCATCTGAGGTACCCGGCTCATCTCAATGGGAGTGGTTAGATAGTGGGTGCAGCCCAGGGAGGGCAAGCTGAAGCAGGGTGGGGCGTTACCTCACCTGGGAAGTGCAAGGGGTCAGGGAACTCCCTCTCCTAGCCAGGGGAAGCCATGGGGGATTGTGCTGTAAGGAACAGTGCATTCTGGCCCAGATATTACGCTTTTCCCATGGTCTTTGCAACCAGCAGACCAGGAGACTCCCTTGGGTGCCTACGCCTCCAGGGACCTGGGTTTCAAGCATAAAACTGGGCAGCTGTTTGAGCAGACACCGAACTAGCTGCAGTTTTTTTTGTTGTTGTTGTTGTTTTGTTTTGTTTTGTTTTGTTTTACCCCCAGTGGCACCTGGAATGCCAGTGAGACAGAACCATTCACTCCCCTGGAAAAGGGGC
Source organism: Homo sapiens (assembly GCF_000001405.40). Taxonomy (NCBI): domain Eukaryota; kingdom Metazoa; phylum Chordata; class Mammalia; order Primates; family Hominidae; genus Homo; species Homo sapiens. The sequence continues at coordinate 61,517,796 of NC_000018.10, forward strand.
TGAATCCAGGGAGCCAAGTGGTCTAGCTCAGTGGATCCCACCCCCATGGAGCCCAGCAAGCTAAGATCCACTGGCTTGAAATTCCTGCTGCCAGCCCTGCAGTCTGTAGTCGACCTGGGACACTGGAGCTTGGTGGAGGGAGGGGGGTCCACCATTACTGAAGACTGAGTAGGCAGTTTTCCCCTAACAGTGTAAACAAAGCCACCATGAAGTTCAAACTGGGCAGAGCCCACCGCAGCTCTGCAAAGCCACGGTACCTAGACTGCCTCTCTAGATTCCTCCTCTCTGTGCAGGGCATCTCTGAAAGAAAGGCAGCAGCCCCAGTCAGGGGCTTATAGATAAAACTCCCATCTCCCTGGGAAAAAACACCTGGGGGAAGGGGTGGCTGTGGGCACAGCTTCAGCAGACTTAAATGCTCCTGCCTGCCAGCTCTGAAGACAGCAGTGAATCTCTCAGCACAGCACTCAAGCTCTAAGGGACAGACTGCCTCCTCAATTGGGTCCTTGACCCCCGTGCCTCCTGACTGGGAGACACCTCTGAGCAGGGGTCAACAGACACCTCATAGAGGAGAGCTCCAGCTGGCATCCAGCAGGTGCCCCTCTGTGAAGAAGCTTCAAGAGGAAGGATCAGGCAGCAATCTTTGCTGTTCTGCAGCCTCCGCTGGTGATACCCAGGCAAACAGAGTCTGGAGCGGACCTCCAGCAAACTCCAGCAGACCTGCAGCAGAGGGACCTAACTGTTAGAATGAAAACTAACAAACAGAAAGGAATAACATTAATATCAACAAAAACAACATCCACACAGAAACCCCATCCAAAGTTCACCAACATCAAAGACCAAAGGTAGATAAATCCATGAAGATGAGGAAAAAACAGCACAAAAAGGCTGAAAATTCCAAAAACCAGAATGCCTCTTCTTCTCCAAAGGATCACAACTCCTCACCAGCAATGGAACAAAACTGGATGCAGAATGAGTTTGACAAACTGACAGAAGTGGGCTTCAGAAAGTGGGTAATAACAAACTTTTCCGAGCTAATGGGGCATGTTCTAACACAATGCAAGGAAGCTAAGAACCTTGAAAAAACATTAGAGGAATTGCTAACTAGAATAACCAGTTTAGACAAGAACATAAATAACCTGATAAAGCTGAAAAACACAGCATGAGAACTTCGTTAAGCATACACAAGTATCAACAGTCAAATTGATCAAGTGGAAGAAAGGATATCAGAAATTGAAGATCAACTTAATGAAAAAAGCATAAAGACAAGATTAGAGAAAAAAAGAATGAAAACATATGAACAAAGCCTCCAAGAAATATGGGACTACATGAAAAGACCAAACCTACATTTGTTTGTTGTACCTGAAAGTGACGGGGAGAATGGAACCAAGTTGGAAAACACTTTTCAGGGTATTATCCAGGAGAACTTCCCCAACCTAGCAAGATAGGCCAACATTCAAATTCAGGAAATACAGAGAACACCACAAAGATACTCCTCGAGAAGAGCAACCCCAAGACACATAATCGTCAGATTCACCAAGGTTGAAATGAAGGAAAAAATGTTAAGGGCAGCCAGAGAGAAAGATGAGGTACCCACAAAGGGAAGCCCATCAGACTAACAGTGGATCTCTTTGCAGAAACCCTGCAAGCCAGAAGAAAGTGGGAGCCAACATTCAACATTCTTAAAGAAAAGAATTTTCAACCCAGAATTTCATATCCAGCCAAACTAAGCTTCACAAGTGAAGGAGAAATAAAATCCTTTACAGACAAGCAAATGCTGAGACATTTTGTCACCACCAGGCCTGCCTTAAAAGAACTCCTCAAGGAAGCACTAAATATAGAAAGGAAAAACTGGTACCAGCCACTGCAAAAACATACCAAATTGTAAAGACCATTGACACTATGAAGAAACTGCAACAACTAACGGGCAAAATAACCAGCTGGCATCATAATGACAGGATCAAATTCACACATAACAATATAAACCTTAAATGTAAACAGGCTAAATGCCCCAATTAAAAGACACAGATTGGCAAATTGGATAAAGAGTCAAGATCCATCAGTGTGCTGTATTCAGGAGACACATCTAACATGCAAAGACAAACACAGGCTCAAAATAAAGGGATGGAGGAATATTTACCAAGCAAATGGAAAGCAAAAAAAAAAAAAAAAAAGTAGGGGTTGCAATCCTAGTCTCTGATAAAACAGACTTTAAACCAACAAAGATCAAAAAAGACAAAAAGGCCAGGCGTGGTGGCTCACTCCTGTAATCCCAGCACTTTGGGAGGCCAAGGTGGGTGGATCACGAGGTCAGGAGATCAAGACCATCCTGGCTAACACGATGAAACCCCATCTCTACTAAAAATACAAAAAATTAGCCAGGCGTGGTGGTGGGCACCTGTACTCCCAGCTACTCGGGAGGCTGAGGCAGGAGAATGGCGTGAACCTGGGAGGCGGAGCTTGCAGTGAGCCTAGATCGTGCCACTGCACTCCAGCCTGAGTGGCAGAGCGAGACTCCGTCTCAAAAAAAAAAAAAAAAAAGACAAAGAAGGGCATTACAGAATGGTAAAGGTATCAATGCAACAAGAATAGCTAACTATCCTAAATATATATGCACCCAATACAAGAGCACCCAGATTCATAAAGCAAGTTCTTAGAGACCTACAAAGAGACTTAGACTCCCACACAATAATAGTGGGAGACTTTAACACCCTACTGTCAATATTAGTCAGATCAATGAGATAGAAAATTAACAAGGATATTCAGGACTTGAACTCAGCTCTGGACCAAGCAGACCTAATAGACCTCTACAGAACTCTCCACCCCAAAATCAACAGAATATACATTCTTCTCAGCACGACATCACCAATCTAAAATTGACCACATAATTGGAAGTAAAACACTCCTCAGCAAATGCAAAATAATGGAAATCATAACAAACAGTATCTCAGACCACAATGCAATCAAATTAGAACTCAGGATTTAAAAACTCACTCAAAACACACACAACTACATGGAAACTAAATAACCTGCTCCTGAATGACTACTGGGTAAATAACTAAATTAAGGCAGAAATAAGCTTCTTTGAAACCAGAACAACATACCAGAATCTCTGGGACACCGCTAAAGCAGTGTTTACAGGGAAATTTATAACACTAAATGCCCACAGGAGAAAGTGGGAAAGATCTAAAATCAACACCCTAATATCACAATTAAAAGAACTAGAGAAGCAAGAGCAAATAAATTCAAAAGCTAGCAGAAGACAAGAAGTAACTAAGATCAGAGCAGAACTGAAGGAGATAGAGACACAAAAAAACCTTCAAAAAAATCATTGAATCCAGGAGCTGGTTTTTTGAAAAGATTAACAAAATAGATAGATTGCTAGCCACACTAATAAAAAAGAAAAGAGAGAAGAATCAAATAGACACAATAAAAAATGATAAAGGGGATATCACCACTGATCCCACAGAAATACAAACTACCATCAGGGAATACTATAAACACTTCTATGCAAATAAACTAGAAAATCTAGAAGAAATGGATACATTCCTGGACACATACACCCTCCCAAGACTAAACCAGTAAGAAGTCGAATCCCTGAATAGACCAATAACAAGTTCTGAAATTGAGGCAATAATTGAGGCCTACCAACCAAAAAAGCCCAGGATGATACAGATTCACAGCCGAATTCTACCAGAGGTACAATGAGGAGCTGGTAGCATTCCTTCTGAAACTATTCCAAACAGTACAAAAAGAGGAACTCCACCCTAACTCATTTTATGAGGCCAGGATCATCCTGATACCAAAACCTGGCAGAGACACAACAAAAAAAGAAAATTTCAGGCCAATATCCCTGATGAACATCGATGTGAAAATCCTCAATAACATACTGGCAAACTGAATCCAGCAGCACATCAAAAAGATTATCCACCACGATCAAGTTGGCTTCATCTCTGGGATGCAAGGCTGGTTCAACATATGCAAATCAATAAATGTAATCCATCACATAAACAGAACCAATGACAAAAACCACATGATTATCTCAATAGTGCAGAAAAGCCCTTCAATAAAATTCAATACCCCTTCATGCTAAAAACTCTAAATAAACTAGGTATTGATGGAATGTATCTCTAATAAAAGCTATTTATGACAAACCCACAGCCAATATTATACTGATTGGGCAAAAGCTGGAAGCATTCCCTTTGAAAACTGGCCCACGACAAGGATGCCCTTACTCACCACTCCTATTCAACACAGTATTGGAAGTTTTGGCCAGGGCAATTGGGCAAGATAAAGAAATAAAGGGTATTTGAATTGGAAAAGAGGAAGTCAAATTGTCTTTGTTTGCAGATGACATGATTGTATATTTAGAAAACCCCATCATCTCAGCCCAAAATCTCCTTAAGCTGATAAGCAACTATAGCAAAGTCTCAGGATACAAAATCAATGTGCAAAAATCACAAGAATTCCTATACACCAATAATAGATAGAGAGCCAAATCATGAGTGAACTCTCATTCACAATTGCCACAAAGAGAATAAAATATCTAGGAATCAAACTTACAAGTGATGTGAAGGACCTCTTCAAGGAGAACTGCAAACCACTGCTCAAGGAAATAAGAGAGGACACAAACAAATGAAAAAACATTCCATGCTCATGGATAGGAACACGCAATATCGTGAAAATGGCCATACTGCCCAAAGTAATTTATAGATTCAATGCTATCCTCATTAAGCTACCACTGACTTCTTCACAGAATTAGAAAAAACTTCTTTGAATTTCATATGGATCCAAAAAAGAGTCTGTATAGCCAAGACAATCCTAAGCAAAAATAACAAAGCTGGAGGCATCACAGTACCTGACTTCAAACTATAGTACAAGACTACAGTAACCAAAAAAGCATGGTACTGGTACCAAAACAGATATATAGACCAATGGAACAGAACAGAAGCCTCAGAAGTAATGCCACACACCTACAACCATCTGATCTTTGACAAACCTGACAAAAACAATCAATGGGGAAAGGATTTCCTAGTTAATAAATGATGTTGGGAAAACTGGCTAGCCATATGCAGAAAACTGAAACTGGACCCCTTCCTTATGCCTTATACAAACATTAACTCAAGATGGATTAAAAACTTAAACATAAGACCTAAAACCATAAAAACCCTAGAAGAAAACTTAGGCAATACCATTCAGGACATAGGCATGGGCAAAGGCTTTGACTAAAACACCAAAAGCAATGGCAACAAAAGCCAAAATTGACAAATGGGATTGAATTAAACTAAAGAGCTTCTGCACAGCAAAAGAAACTATCATCAAATTCAACAGGCAACCTACATAATGGGAGAAAATTTTTGCAATCTATCCATCTGACAAAGGTCTAATATCCAGAATCTACAAGGAACTTAAACAAATTTACAAGAAAAAAAAAAACAAACAACCACATCAAAAAGCGGGCAAAGGATATGAACAGACACTTCTCAAAAGAAGACATTTATGCAGCCAACAAACATGAAAAATAGCTCATCATCACTGGTCATTAGAGAAATGCAAATCAGAACTATATTGAGATACCATCTTATGCCAGTTAGAATGGTGATCATTAAAAAAGTCAGGAAACAACAGATGCAGGAGAGGATGTGGAGAAATAGGAATGCTTTTTTACACTGTTGGTGGGAGTGTAAATTAATTCAACCATTGTGGAAGACAATGTGGTGATTCCTCAAGGATCTAGAACCAGAAATACCATATGACCCAGCAATCCCATTACTGGGTATATACCCAAAGGATTATAAAACTTTCTACTATAAAGACACATGCACACGTATGTTTATTACAGCACTGTTCACAATAGCAAAGACTTGGAACCAACCCAAATGCCCATCAATGACAGACTGGATAAAGAAAATGTGGCACATATACAATACGGAATACTATGCAGCCATAAAAAAGGAGGAGTTCATGTCCTTTTCAGGGACATGGATGAAACCACCATTCTCAGCAAGCTAACACATGGACAGAAAACTAAACACTGCATGTTCTCACTCATAAGTGGGAAGTGAACAATGAGAACACATGGACACAGGGAGGGGAATATCACGCACCAGGGCCTGTCAGGGGTCGGGGGCTAGGGGAGGGATAGCATTAGGAGAAATACCTAATGTAGATGACGAGTTGATAGGTGCAGCAAACCACCATGGCACAGGTATACCTATGTAACAAACCTGCACGTTCTGCACATGTATCCCAGGATTTAAAGTATAATAATAATAATAATAATAAAGGACACTGTTAAGAGAATGAAAAGACAAATCACAGACTAGGAGAAAATATTTGCAAATCATACATCTGACAATGGACTTGAATATAAAATATACAAAGACCTCCTCAAGAAGACATAGAAAGATGCATCACGAGGCAGTAAGGAAGTGCCAATCAGAACTACAATGAGATACCACTTAACGCACACTAGGATAGATAAAAATTTTAACACTGGCAAAACCAAGGGCTGACAAAGATGTGGGGTGACTAGAGCTTTCATATACTCCTGGTGGGAATACAAACTGGTACTGCCTTTCTGAAAATTCATTTGGAAGTTTCTTATAAAGTTAAAAATATATTTACTATACAATCCCACAACTCCAGTCCTAGGTATTTACCCCACTGAAATGAAATTTTATGCTCACACAAAAACCTCTATGTAAATATTAATAGGTTTACTCATAACCGTCAGAAATTGGAAAAAAACACAAATGTATCTCTAGTGAAGAATGGATAAATCAACTGTTGTGCATCCATACAACAGAATACTACGTGGAAATAAAAAAAGAACAAACTCACCAGGCATAGTAGCTCACGCCAGTAATCCCAGCACTTTGGGAGGCCAAGGCCGAGGTGGGCCTATCACCTGAGGTCAAGAGTTCAAGACCAGCCTGGCCCACATGGTGAAACCCCGCCTCTACTGAAAATACAAAAATTAGCCAGGCGTGGTGGCACACACGTGTAGTCCCAGCTACTTGGGAGGCTGAGGCAGAAGAGTCGCCTGAACCCGGGAGGCAGACGTTGCAGTGAGCCCAGATTATGCCGCTGCACTCCAGCCTGGGTAACAGAGTGAGACGCTGTCTAAAAAAAAAAAACTCCTCATTCATGCAACATGGATGAATCTCAAATGCATCATGCTAAGTGAAAGAACCCTAACTCAAAAGATTACATACTGAATGTAGTTTATCTGACATTATATGACATTCTTGCAATAGAGACAGAACATACATGAATCAGTGTTTGCCAGGGGCTGGGTGGGAGGGGAGAGGTTGACTACAAAGGGGCACAGAGAGGGTCACGGGGGTTTTGAAACAGCTCTATAGCTTGATTATCACGGTAGACACATGACTGAATACACTAGTCAAAACCTGCCAACTTTATACTAAAAAAGAAATTTTAATGTATGTAAATATATAAATGTATGTAAATATCTTATTTTTTAAAACATACAAATTTCACACAAAATTAGAAAAACAATTTAAAATTAAAGGGAAAACAAGTTTTGCCTAGCTCAAACCTAACACAAACAACGGTGTCCACAACTGTGTTACAAATACATAAAGAATTTTAAGAGCGTATAAATGTAATTTACCAGGAAAGAAAAATGTTTCGATTTAGGGAGCAAGCATTAAATGAATTGGTAAAATAGTCCTTCAAATATATCATTAATCTGACTGGCAGATTTCCCTGTTTATGAAAACCTTGCCTTTTCAATGACAACTAGGGAGGCAGGCTGGCTGGTGGAGATGGGCGTCTGGGTTTGAATGGGGCTTCTTGGTTTGGATGGAAATGGCTGGCGACTCATGAAACGGGAAGCACTATGTCTGCTACTAAGTAAATGGTAAACAAGCAGTAACCCAACAACAGCAACAAAACAAAAAAAACTTTATTAAAATTTGAAAATAACAATTATATGAATGCATTAAATTATTACATGTACCCTGAAAATATGTACATCTATTATGTATCCATTTTTAATGTAATTTTTTTGAGACAAGGTGTCTCCGTCACTCAGGCTACGGTGCAGTGGTGCCATCATAGCTCACTCTAAACTGAGCTCAAACCATCCTCCTGCCTCTGCCTCCCAAGTAGCTGGGATTACAGGCACATGCCACCACACCCAGCTAATTTTTTTTTTTTTTTTTTTTTTTTTGGTAGCGATGTAGGTCTCATTAGGTTGTCTTGGCTGGTCTTGAAATCTTGGCCTCAAGCGATTCTCCCACCTCAGCTTCCTACATTGTCAGGCTTACAGGCATGAACCACTGCTCCTGGCCAAAAAGTTGACTTTTTTTTTTTTTTTTTTTTTTTTGAGACAGAGTTTCACTCTTATTGCCCAGGCTGGAGTGCAATGGCTTGATCTCGGCTCACCGCAACCTCCACCTCCCGGGTTCAAGTGATTCTCCTGCCTCAGCCTCCCGAGTAGCTGGGATTACAGGCATGTGCCACCACACCCAGCTAATTTTTGTATTTTTAGTAGAGACGATTTTTTTTAAGTAAGAAAATAACAAATCTAGTTAAAGCAGCACCTACCGATATTTTTTTCTGAAAAGCCAAGCAGTTGTTTAAATGGGTACATGCCTCTCTCTAACATGAAATGTGCTGCCATTCAACATATTTTATGAAAAAAGTGATGTTTAGCTAGAAAAATGTAAGTTATTGCTATGTTGACACACAACTTTTAAGTTCTAGTAACTGCTTTGCTATCCACTTTTATTTTGTGGGACTTAACATTCCGAGATGTTCTGAAATACTTGTTGCTTAAAACACACATGTTCATCAGCTTTAAACAACAATAGATTAGTCTTCAGAAATAGCATTTTAAGTTCACGTTCTGCCCTGGAGCACTGTATTTATTTTGAAAAAAAAAATTCTGAAGATAGGAATAAATCAAAATAGAGAACAACCAAAAAAATTGTATTTTACGCGATGGAATTTTATAGACAAAATTAAAGTCCTTGTGGAAGAGCTGTAACCACGTCAGCATACTCCAGGCTTCTGAGCTTCCTGCATCTTGGGTTCTTCAACTCTAAAAGGTCAAATAAGGGTTTTAAAGGGGATTGTCAGCAGGGTGTGGTGGCTTATGCCTGTAATCCCAGCACTTTGGAAGGTTGAGGTGGGTGGATCATCTGAGATCACGAGTTCAAGACCAGCCTGACCAACATGGTGAAACCCTGTCTCTACTAAAAATGCAAAATTAGGCAGGCATGGTGGCACATGCCTGTAATCCCAGCTACTTAGGAGGCTGAGGCAGAAGAATCGCTTTAACTTGGGAGGTGGAGGTTGCAATGAGCTGAGATCACACTGTTGCATTCTAGCCTGGGTGACAGAGCGAGACTCCATCTCAAAAAATAATAGTAACAATAAAAGGGATTGTGCATGATGAACTAAATATACAAACATTGATCTGACACAGCACCTGAGAACCTTGTGTGGCACAGTTTCTTGAAAAGAATCAATATTGCCTTTGTACTCAAGAATAATTTTTTAAGGAAAAAAAAAAAGCCTAGGCCTCAGTTGCATGAATATTCTAATAGATAGATAGATAGATAGATAGATAGATAGATAGATAGATAGATAGAATAGATATATGGAATATATATGGAAGTTTGTGTTTGGAATACAAACTTGCTCTTAATTGTTGTGAAGTCTTTTCAAATGAGCAAGCACCTCTAAAGATAATGTGACCAACCGTCCTGGTTTGCCTGGGACAGAATAGAGTCCTAGGAAATGAAACTTTTGATTTTAGAACTGAGACAGTACCAGGCAAATTGGGCCCAGGAGTGAGGGGATTCCTGGGATCTCTCTAAAGACCAGGCTGATTGAAGGGTAGACAAGTTAAAGCCAAGTTTGCCCAGAATAAACGGGCAAACTATTATCAAACTGGCTTCCTTAACTATCTCTGCAGTGACTGATATCTTATCTTCTTTACCCAAAGTGTTGAAACTGACATTAAGACCAAGAACTACAGAACAAGACAAAGATTTCCCTTCTTTCCCGTTTACCTTTTTCCCACTTAATGAATTGGAGAATCTTCCCACCAGCCATCAATATTGGGCATCCTTTTGAACGTTGACATATTTTGAATCTTGAACCTCAGTGGCGAATCAATTTTCCTGTCATTGCTTTTCAGCCCCTGAGTTTTGAAAGCAAGAAAAGCTACACCTTAAAGGTGGAGGGAGCCAATCCTCACCTAGAGATGCGTTTTCTGAACTTGGGCCCATTTCAGGACACAACAACAGTGCACATCAGTGTGGAAGACGTGGACGAGCCCCCTGTGTTTGAACCTGGCTTTTACTTTGTGGAGGTGCCTGAGGATGTGGCGATTGGAACAACCATACAGATCATTTCTGCCAAGGACCCAGATGTGACCAACAACTCAATCAGGTTTTTCCACAGATTTCACCTTTTCCTTATATGCTGGAATCTTCCCTTCCCTTGTATGTAATTTTCTAGCACTTTTCCCTTTGTTTCTTTCTTCTCTATCCCATTTCTGGAGACTCTCCTCTTTGAGTTTTTTGTGTTGTTTTTTTTTTTTTCCCTTAAATAACATGGCCTTGCCAGGTTGTTTAGAAGTGTCATTATATTTATAACTCACTTTCAATTGGTTGAGACACACACACACACACACACACACACACACACACACCCCTTAGTTCTCAATCATGGTCCTGTTGACATTTGGGGGTGGGTAATTCTGTGTTGTTGTGGAGGGGTTCTCCTGTGCACTGAACCATGTTTAGCAGCATCTCTGGCCTTTACGCACGAAATGCAGTAGCACTCTCTGAGTTGTAACCACCTAAAATGTCCCCAGATATTGCCAAATGTCCAGGGAAGTGGTGTAAAATCACCCCAGGTTGAGAGCTACTGATTCAGATAAAGTATAATCAGACACACAGATGTCAAAATGTTAAAATCCATTGACTCTCAGTGGTAAACATAAAGGAAATCATCATGTATTCTTCCATCTTTTATGAATCTTTGACATGTTTTACTTTTTAAAACTGGGGAAAACAATATATACTACATATATTCCACATACTATAGAAAGAGCAGACATAGAAACTACTTCTGTTGTCAGCAACTTCAATGCCTTGTAGACTGGCCAGACAGATGGGTCTTTGTATGGCAATACCAAGTATCTATCTCTCCAAAGCATGTTTTGGAATTAAAGATTCCAACCAAGATGCTTCCGCTCAAGAAGATGAGAACTGCTCTTACAGTCATGGCCATCTCTCACCAACTGGAACCAAAGTGCAAATAGTTGATGGACAGGTTGACACCACAACCTTCCAGAGCAGCTGCCAAACCTATGAAGCGTGACACAAAAGATCAGAATTCCAAGGATGTCGGAAGCCATCTGTCACATTAATTGTTGAAAGCCACACAGTAAAATGAATCTGGGGCTTTAGTGCAGATAACACATTTTAAACATACCGCACTTTATCAAATGCCTTTTCCGTCAGCTGGCTGCTTCTCTCACCTAGTGCTGTTTTGTATTTAATGAAAACGTGCTTCTGTAGTTTAACAAGAACGGCTTTCTCCAGAGAATAACCATACTAGGGGCAAATTCACTTCCTCTAACCAACCAGTAAACATTTTACATGTTCAGGCATTAAAATGGCAAAAACGATTTTATTTGAATTCTGATATTTGATTTTTTCAAAGGCAACTAATGTATTATATAACAACTTTATAGATGTTGTATTTCAACCTGAAGCTTTTTAAATATAAACTAGGATGGGGAGAGATTAGTCAACCATATTATCCCCAAAGCAATCACAATGAAAACAAAACATTGTGTGTATTTTCAGAAGCCAAGAATATATACCTTCTGATCCTAATTTATTAATTATATATGTATTAATCCACCATAGGCTAATTAATCTATTCCTGTAACAAAAGACCCTATGAGAGAAACTTTAAAGAATAAAACTTTCACCACTGGCATGAAGTAAAATGAGGTAGACAAAATGAAGAAATCTTGTCTGGCTAACAGAAAATGCTGCTTCAGATGATGACCAATTGAAAACTATCAGTTGGCCAGCACATCCGTTAGCATCAGGGAGGTTCATATTGGAGTGTCTGGCTACCCCACTAGAACCCAGGCAGGATGAATGCAAGAGTGAACAGGCCAGAGGCACAGGGCAGGGTCCACTGGGCTGTTCTGGGGCAGGACTGCAGATCCTGAGATGAAAATTGGTGAGAACAAGGCCACAAGGCCAGAGGTAATAAGACACGGCTCAGGCACAGGGGGCAACGTGAAATTCCAATGATCAGATCTGGGGATAATTCTCCCTCTGCATTTTGGTTACAAAGAAAGAGAGGAATTCTTATTGCTAGGTATGAGGTCCCTGACTCTTTGTACTATCCAATAGCAACAAAGAATGGTCCCTGGACCCAAGAAGAACACTGGGGGTCCTAGACTCTCAGAGGGAAAAGCACTTAAAACTCAATGAACTCCCTGGCTCTCATTTCAAAACCCATTTGGGAATTCCTTTCTTCTGTTATCTTTCACCAAACTGCTCTTCTTATCCTTATTTTTCATATTAAAGTTACTTTCTTTTAAAATAATGTGTATAGTTATATGCTGCATGGCTAATTCATCATCTGCATTTTTGTTACAAAGAACAAATGAGATTTATATTCTTAAAGAGAAAATATCTATCAAATAATTCAAAAAATCAACACATCACCGGAAGTTAAAATGTTACAGATAAAAGGCCATTTAACAAATTATTAGGACTTTTATAATCTCCTTTCTAGAAAGTTGATGGTGTGTTCAGGAATATATGCTGGTCCTCACTTATTTATAATCCCCAAAACAAAATCACCAGATTTAGTGATATTTACATGAAAAGACAATGTTTGGATCCCCTGAATTTTTAATACATGCTCAAGGACTTTTTGGCAGGCAGGATACTGAGCCATTTGGCAACTGAAAGAGGCTTCTGCTGATGTGGAAACTGCCTGCCCCCCAGTTCCTTCCCAGAATGTGTGTGGATTTAACCAGCCTGCTCCTGACACCCCACCTCCAAATTGCTCCCAAATTCAGAGGATGTCCTCAGCTAAGTGACAAGCAGGGAGTCCGGAAAGCACCAGCTACTGCTGGCTCTGGGCAGCTTTGTACCTGCATGATGCCGATTCTGCTCATAGGAGGTTAGAATGTAATGGTTAAGAAAAGAAAACCACCTACATAATTCACGAGTGTGTCCCAATTTCCTCGTTTTCCATCTGTATCTACACCTTTAATTTTTCTCCTGCCTCCTGAAAATTAACCCAGCATCCTATTCAGGGAAACAAAGGCTATTATTCCCTCAATTCTGGCCCCATTGGGGAAATCAGAGAGGGATTCCCCTCGATGAGGGAGGCTTCTCTGAGGAAGGCTCCTGGTGTGTCAGCCCGGCAATGCTGTCAGGGGTCCTGTGGGTTAGTTATTTCTATCACTCCCTCTCCCATGCGACATTCACTATATTGCCGTAGGTCTGAGTATAGAAAGCTGCTTTCTCATAGGCTGCCTCTCCCCTTGGCATCATGCCTGCAGCCTGGAGAGCTGCCATCAGGGACATGGCTCCGTGGACCACATGGCTGGCTCTCTGCATGTGTCAGGAGCTGAAAGAGAAGACTGTCATGAGCCAATCGGTGTTTTTTTATTTTATATTAGAGAAAATTCAATTCTGAAAATAGTAAACTTTAAAAGTAAATAACAATTTATGCTTAAAAAGTAATAATCTAGTCCATTTTAAATGAACTCTGAAGCATGTGTTTTTCTTTATTAAAAAGGCAACTATTCGCTGTCACTCTGATGTGATCTGGCTCTGTGTCCCCACCCAAATCTCACCTTGAATTGTAATAATCTCCATGTGTCAAGGGCGGGACCAGGTAGAGATAACTGAATCATGGGGGTGGTTTCCCCCATGCTGTTCTCATGATAGTGAGTGAGTTCTCACGAGATCTGATGGTTTTAAAAGGGGCTTCCCCCTTCCCTTGGCACTTATTCTCTCTCCTACCACCATGTGAAGGACATGTTTGCGTCCCTTTCCACTACGATTGTAAGTGTGCTGAGGCCTTCCCAGCCATGCTGAACTGTGAGTCAAACAAACCTCTTTCCCTATAAATACCCTGTCTTGGGTATGTCTTTATTAGCAGTGTGAGAACGGACTAATACTCGTATCTTTAAAAGATAAAGTCTTGTTTCCTTAGACAATCTCTTATAGACTATGTGTCAATAAGGCAGCATGGCCTGGTGGCTGGGAGCAGAACCTGCAGCCAGACTGCCTGGGCTTGATTCCCAGCAATGTGACCTTGGGCAAGGGACCTAACCTGTCTACTCCTCAGACTTCTTACCTGTAAAATAAGGATCATAATTGTGCCTACCTCATGGTGTTATTGTAAAGATTAAATGAGTCCATATAGGTGATGTGTGCTGAGCAGTGCCTGGCTTACAGTGAATGTTCATTAAATAGGGTCACAGGCAGAGAGAAACATTAATTTTCTTCCTTAAATTTCCTAACTCTTAGGGAGTCATAACTTAAATGATTCTGATTTCTCTAGCTCTTACTCATCAGCTTTCTCTTTAATTCCTAATTCCTAAATAGCCATCCTGAATCTCTGCAGAAAAAAAATATACATTGTATTTGATACAATACATTTTACCAACGATATATATGCACAACTGTATACATGTGTGTATTGTATGTATATATATATATATATATATATACACACACACACACATATATATAAAAAACAAAAGCTTTACATCAATATTTACCCTTACTGCATGTGATAGTTTGGCATGCATATATTCTATTCTATTTCATTTTCTTTCTATGCTAATCATAACCCACCAAATTGATTTCACAATCCACTAAGCTACATCTGAAAAACAATGCACTATAGTAAAGAAAATGTTTATTCCCTCCAAAATTGCTGCTTCTCCGTCTCTACAACGTTAAGATATGGATTACAGTTGCTGGCAACTTTAAATCAAATTTTGAACCCAATATATTTCCCAGTCCCTATTTAAATAATTTTTAAGAACATAGTAGTTATAATTTTGTATATATAGCTTCAAATCAAACACAGTAGTTATAACTCCATAAAGATGGCTTCAAGTCTTACCTCTTAAATTATTACCTGTGTAATTGCATAAAAGTGACTTCAGCTAGTTGCAGTGGCTTATGCCTGTAATCCCCACTACTTGGGAGATTGAGGCAGGAAAATCACTTGAGGGTAGGAGTTTGAGGAGTTTGAGGCCAGCCTGGGCAACACAGGCTGTTTAAAAGACTTTGTCTTTTAAAATAAAAAATAAAAAAAATTTAATTATCCAGGTGGGGTGGTACCTGCCTCTAGTTCCAACTACTCAGGAGGCTGAGGCGGAAGGATCACTGGAGCCGAGGAGTTTGAGGCTGCAGTGAGTTTGGTCATGCCACTGCACCACTCCAGCCTGGATGACAGAAAGAGAACCCATTTCTAAAGAAAGAAAAAAAAGTGACTTATTTAAGCCTCAGTTTCCTTATCTGTTGATTGGGATAATAACTACCTCCCAGAGATGTTGGAAAAATTTTAAAAGAAGCTGTGTATTAAGTACATAGTAAAGTGCCTGATATTCAGCAAATGGCAGCTATTGTAATTACTGGTCTTTTAAAAACAGGATTGTTTTCTTGTTATTGAGTTATTTATATATTTTGGATATTAGCCCCTTATTTTATGAAAAGAATATTTTCTCCCAATCTGTGGGTTGTCTCTTCACTCTGTTGTTTCCTTTGTTGTGCAGAAGTTTTTAGTTTGATACAATCCCATTCATCTATTTTTGCTTTTGCATGTGCTTTTGGGGTCATATCCAAGAAATCATTGCCCAGACCAACATTGTGGAGCTTTTCCCCTAAGGTTTCTTCTAGTAGTTTGATGGTTTCAGGTCTTAACATTTAAGTCTTTAATCCATTTTAAGTTGATTCTTGTATAAGGGGTCAGATAAGGGTCCATTTCCATTCTTCTGCATGTGGGTATCTAGTTTTCTCAACACTATATTGGAGAGACTGTCCTTTCCCCATTATGTGTTCTTGGAATCTTTGTCAAAAATCAGTTAATTCACTGTAGACCCATGAGTTTTTTTCTCAGCTCTCTATCCTATTTAGTTGGTTGATGTGTCTGTTTTAATTCCAGCTGTTATAATTACTATAGCTTTGTAATATTATTTCAAAATTAGGACAAATGACCCTGTTAAAAAAAATGTGCAAAATGCCTAAACAGACATTTCTCAAAAGAAGACATACAAATGACCAACATACATGAAAAAATGCTCAACATCCCTAATCATCAGGAAAATGCTAATTAAAACCACAATGAGATATCACCTCACAACGTTAGAACGTCTGTTGTCAAAAACATGAAACGTAAGTGTTGGCTGGGGTGTGTAGAAAAAGGGAACCCTTGCACACCGTTGATGAGAATGTTAGTACAGCCATTGTAGAAAACAGTATGGAGGTTCCTCAAAAAACTAAAAAGAGAATTACCATATGATCCAACAATCCCATTTCTGGGTATATATCCAAAGGAACTGGAATTAATATGTCAAAGAATGTCTCTACTTTCATATTCACTGCAGCATTATTCACAATAGCCAAGATACAGAAACAACCTTAGTGCCCATCAACAGATGAATGGGTAAAAATAATGTGGCATACATACACAATGGAATATTCGTTTCAGCCTTAAATATTCAATACAGCTTTAGAAAAGAAAGAAATTCTGTCATTTGCAACATGGATGAATCTAGACGACATTATGCTAAATTAGCCAAGCACAGAAAGACAAATACCACATGATCTCAGTTATATGTAGAATGTAAGAAAGTCAAACTCATAGAAGTAGAGAGTACAATAGTGATTGCCAGAGGCTGGTGGGTAAAAAGGAAAAAGAATCAAAAAGTTCAAAGCTTCAGTAAGGGGTAGTAAGTTCCTGTGATCTATTGCACAGCATGGTAACTGTAGTTCATAATAATGTATTGTATATTTCAAAATAGCTAAAAGAATAGATTTTAAATGGTATCATTGCAAAAAACAAATACATATGTGAGGTAATAGACATGTTAATTAGCCTGATTTGATCATTCTATGATGTATACATATATCTAAATACCACATTGTACGCCATAAATATATATAATTATTACTTGTCAATTAAAAAAATAAAAATGGCTGGACACGGTGGCTCACACCTGTAATCCCGGCACTTTGGGAGGCTGAGGCAGGTGGATCACTTGAGGTCAGGAGTTTGAGACCCGACTGGCCAACGTGGCAAAACCTTGTCTCTACTAAAAATATAAAAATCAGCCAGGGATGGTGGCAGGCACCTGTAATCCCAGTTACTTGGGAGGCTGCGGCAGGAGAATCACTTGAACCCAGGAGGCAGAGGCTACAGTGAGCTGACATCATGCCACTGCACTCCAGCCTGGGCAAGACAGCAAGACTCCACCTCAGAAAAAAAAAAGAATTAAAAAATAAAAATGATAAAAATTACTTGGCCTTTACCAAGGACTACATAAGGTTCTCATTGATGGTTCTCAATCATGGCTACATATCAAAATCCCTTATGGAGGGTTTTTAACATCCACATGCCTGAGCCTCCATCCATATTTATTGAGTCTTCCAAGATGGGGACCAGACGAGATAACACAGGTGAGATAACACAACAGAATTGGATTGCCAAATCAGGTTCAACAGGAAATATAGATCCTACCCAGGAGCTAGTTAACTAATGGCTCAAATGATACAGACAACAGCAAAACATGAGTCATTCTCCCCTTGGAGAGCTCTGAAACTGTCAGGCACAGGTGCCTATAAATGTCCTTTTCTTGCATAAAGATGCATGTTGGTCCAGACTGAACATGAAAAGTAGAAGCAATGGACGAAGTGCATTGCTCGAACGCAAAGATCCATTTTTGTGATGGAACATTTGCTTGTTATACATCATTAATTACATAGCTTATATGACATTTTCCAGTAGGCTGTACCCCACAAATTTATAAACTCTAGGTTTATTTACAGTAAACAACCTAGCCAGATCCGGTCCATCCTGCTAAAAGCATACCACAGTTAAGGACTCTCCAGCTAGCAAATACATTACCATTATTGTATTTGCCAGAAGGTGGGTCATTAGCATGTTAAGAAAGGGCCTGGTACAAGGCTTCTTTTCTCAATAGTTGATACAAATTATAAGGACTGGAACCACTAAACTACACCTTTTCTCCTTTTCTAGTTTCAGATTAGCATTTGAGAACTCATTTGAATACAATTCTTTTTAAACAAATATATACAGGACTCGATACTCAGGATGTCCCAAAATTCTTGGGGTAATTCCAAGCATTACGTAGCATAAACCATATTTAAATAGCTTACAACTTCCCCAAGACTGTCGGCACCCTGTTTATTTCATTTTTTGAATGAGAAAATTGAAGCAATATTTGTTTTGTTTATTGGAGGAGGAGGTGACTTTTGTTTCTGAACAAATAAAACCACGAATGCAGTCTTCCAGTAGCCATAACTCAGAAGTGGTGGAACCATGTTTCATATGGTAGGCACTCAGTTGTCTCATGTGGTATGCTGTCATATGCTTACCCAAATGCAAATGATGTACGTAATCCATGTTTCTGCAGATACTCCATTGATAGAAGCAGTGACCCTGGAAGATTTTTCTATGTTGACATTACAACAGGTGCCCTAATGACAGCAAGACCCCTAGACCGGGAAGAATTTTCTTGGCATAATATCACTGTCCTTGCTATGGAAATGAGTAAGTAGCACAGTAAGTTGGTCTCCATGCAGTGACAAAATATAGGTGTTATAGAAAGTGGAAGTTTCTAGAACTTGTTGTAACAAAAATTATATCCTTTAAGGGAAGAAATGGAAATCATGCTTTATGCAAGTAAGTAAATGCGTTCAGTTCAAATACTTTTTTGAGGCTCGCTTGTATACTTAGTCCTGTGCTAGAGATAAAAGCAAACAAAACATGGAAAACAGTGAAAGACAGCATTCTTATCCCAAGGAGCTATGAGGAAAAGGGAAGATTCCTGAGAAATCTAACAGGCTTTCAATCTTTAATATGATTGTGAATGTACAAAGAGTATAAAATATTACTGTATGAAAGGAAGCATTTATAACATATCACTCTTATTATACAAACATATACATATCCATGCCCACAAGAATTTGAGATACCTTACAATAAAAGGCAAATTGATTAACGTAATAAACTTATAAATGGAATGGAAGATTAATAACTACATTAATATATATTATAAACATAATAAAAATTAGATTATGTACTACTACATTCCTTTTTTTTTCCATACTGGTGATAGTAAAGGCTTAGAAAAATGGCAGTCCCTAACCTATTGGCTATATAACTAAACAGCCATTCAGGAGGGCAGTTTGGCAATATGTATTGAGATTCTCCAAAATATTTATACTCTTTCAGGAAATCTACTGCTAGTCATCATATTAAGGAAATAATTACAGATATCAACAAAGATTTAAATGTGAAAATTTCCACTGCCATGTTATTTTAAAATAAGGAGAAAATGGAAATTACTTAAGTGTCTAATAATAGGAGACTAAATAAATTATGGTACAACCTATAGTAAAATGACAATATAATACAGATGCTTTCAAAACATATTCAATGACAAAGGATAACCTTACCCTAAAATATTAATGTTCTGAATTCAATCTTTCTATTTTGCTTAAATGTAACTTCTGTGTCAGGGGGAGGGTGTATAACTCCAATTTTAGACACCCATGTTGTATAATGTCATATATCTAATGGATATCTCTGGTGGTAGGACTGTGGATCATATTCATGGATTCATCTATGCTTTTCTGGAATTTTCATTATTCCTTAGACAAACACCACTGTTATAATGAAGAAATAAATCTTAATTTTGCTAGCATATTATGGTAACCAAGCAATAGAAGTATTTAGGGGGGAAAGAGTAGAGCATAATTTTTTGGGAAAGAAAGGAAGAAAAATATGATTCAGAAGAACAATGCATTTTGGGATTTAGTAAAATTATTAACCAAGAATAATTTCTGTGTCTCGCAATTTCTGTTTTGTCTCCTTGGGGTGGTGACCAAAACAGAAAAAGACAGGAGGAGCACTACCAGAGCTGTGAAACTGTCTCTGCATGGCAGTGCCAAGCAAAAGACACAGATCACAAAGACACAGCTCCCCATGAGTGTCTATGACCCCAGCCAAAGATATGGATTTGGTGTGTGTTTGATCCTGTAATATCCTGTTAGTCCCTAAGCAGAAATAAATGTGCAGTGTTATCTTTATTCCAGTGAATAACTCGAAACCTTTGCAAATGTAATTCAAAGAACTGATGATTCCACAGGAAGAAAGCCAAGCAGTGCCACACAGTATGCATCCGATTGGCAATGGGCTCTTTTAAAGCCCAGAATACAGAACTGACCTGCCTTTAATTCCAAGACTTGAAGTCTGAGCCAAATGGGAGACTGAAAACCTCTTTTTAAGATTCGTTTTTTGACACTTGCTCCCTTTGTCTCACCCTTCCCTTCATACTGCTGATAGCAAAGGTTCACCAACACACACCTTATTCTGTCCAAACTTCTCATGTCCGGCCACACTCTTAGTAGGCAACACATGGATCCTATGCTCTTGCTACCATCTCCATGTACTTCATCCTCTCCTTTCAAATCCAGACTCACCAAGTAAATAACTACTTTTTGTTTGTTTGTTTGTTTTTGTTTTTGTTTTTGTTTTTGTTTTGTTTTTTTTTTTGAGACGGAGTCTTACTCTTTTGCCCAGGCCGGACTGCAGTGGTGCTATCTCTGCTCACTGCAAGCTCCACCTCCCGGGTTCACGCCATTCTCCTGCCTCAGTCTCCCAAGTAGCTGGGACTACAGGCGCCCGCCACCACGCCTGGCTAATTTTTTGTATTTTTAGCAGAGATGGAGTTTCACTCCGTGTTATCCAGGATGTTATCCAGGATGGTCTCGATCTCCTGACATCGTGATCCTCCCGCCTCGGCCTCCCAAAGTGCTGGGATTACAGGCGTGAGCCACTGCGCCCAGTCGTAAATACCGACTTCTAGCAAAAACCATTACTCTTTTTTTTCTTTTGGCATTACTAAACTCTCAGATTTGGTTTTCCTTGTGTTCCCTTTAGACAATCCCTCCCAGGTTGGAAGTGTTCCTGTCACAATCAAAGTCTTAGATGTGAATGACAATGCTCCAGAGTTCCCCAGATTCTATGAAGCTTTTGTCTGTGAGAACGCCAAGGCAGGACAGGTAAGGTGGCCTGTGGGTGGTGCACTCTGCTTAACCCCTAACTTCTGGAAACAATTGTTAGATAACCAAATTCACCATCAAAGCCATTTTGACTCCAGAAACGAACAGTTCACAAAACAGAGTCCCTAATTCCCGTATATCAGGTTTCAACCATTTATTTGTTAAGACAACTATTTGAGGCTAGGTGTGGTGGCTCATGCCTGTAATCCTAGCATTTTTGGAGGCTGAGGCAGGAAGATAGTTTGAGCCCAGGAGTTTGAGACCAGCCTGGGCAACATCGTGAGACCCAATCTCTAAAAAAGTGAAAAAACAAAAAACTATTTGGAACCTACATTACCTTTTATGGCCTAAACAGCACTTTGAGGGTGGCCAGATGCACACAATGGCCGTATAAGGTATGTGTCCACCTGGAAACTGAATTGTGTAGCACCCATGGCAGTAACACCTGCTCTGAGGCCTGGAAGTGAGAGACCAGGAAGACCAGGAAAAGGAGGAAAAAGCTACTCTTTTCCCGAGTGTGGTACCAATTCCTCAAAATATCTTGCAGTAGGACAAGTTTATTTTCTATATCTTTCCACCTCCCTTTCTTAACTTCTGGCAAGAAGTACCTTATTTAGGGACTCCCTGGCCTATCTCAGAATGCTGCCACCTAGAATGACCTACCTTCTCTCCTTCCTCAATTAAAACATCCATTTTCTTAGTGCTGCTCATGTCAGGTAAGTTTTGAGAGGAAAGTAATCCAAAAGGATAAAGGTCTACTTATTTGAAATATACCTCCATAATCTTCAGAGACATATTTGTGTATTTTTTAAGTATGCCCTTAAACCTAACTGAATATTTAGTTGATCAAATTCTAAGTGGTGTAATTAAGAAACATCTGGAACTCCATTTGGAGTGCCCATGTAGCAATGCATGTCAGGCTGTTGCCTGCCCTATAATCTGTCCATCTCCTCCATTCTGCTCCTGCTTTTGTAAGATGCTTTCCTCCCCTGTGTATGACCCAGCAACCCTACAGATCCCCTAATAGTCCTCATCTACTGCCCTTCCCCACCCCAGTATATCCTGTGGTCCTGTGGATGCTGGTGCTGGATCAATGGGCTGGAATGGTTTTAACATGAAAGCTGGGGAAGCGCATATTGATAAGGCAGGGACTCATGCATTGGTAATTCTGGCCCCTGACTGTAATCTAACTTTGCCTTCATGTATTAGTCCATTTTCATGCTGCTGATAAAGACATACCCAAGACTGAGTAATTTATAAAGAAAAAGAAGGTTAATGGACTCACAGTTCCACGTGGCTGGGGAGGCCTCACAATCACGGTGGAAGGCGAAAGGCACATCTTACATGGCAGCAGGCAAGACAGACTAAGAGCCAAGTGAAAAGGGAAACCCCTTATAAAACTATCAGATCTTGTGAGACTTATTCACTACCATGAAAACAGTATGGGGGAAACTGCCCCCGCAATTCAATTATCTCCCATTAGGTCCCTCCCACAACATGTGGGAATTATGGGAGCTATAATTCAAGATGAGATTTGGGTGGGGACACAGCCAAACCATATCACTTCACTTCTCTCACTCCCTGGGAGTAGTACCTCCAGCATCTTGCTGCACAGAGAGACTAGGTCTGCATAACCAAAACTTATGTTAGCTCTCTGAACTCACCAAAGATGGACTCGACGACACATCTTTACCATTTACTCAGCCAAAGCAAAAAGTGATTTATGTCCCTCAGGGGAAGAAAGATGTTCCATCACGATTCTGATCTAAATTTATCTAACAATCCTTGAAATTTGGTGCAATGGTCTATAGCCCTCCTAAAAGATTCTTTTCAACAAGTCTAGGATAATTCTCTTTCCACATCTAGTGAATTTCTAGTCTACTAAGACCTGAAATGTTATGCAGCCAATAAAAGTTATAATGCAGAATTTACAGCCCAAGAAACGATCCATGTTATTATAAGTAAAGAAGGGAGGTATAAAAACTACACCTACATGCTTGCAGTCATGTAAAATTATGACTGCAAGTGAACAATGATCGAGAGGGAAGATGCAAAAATAGTATAATTACTGTGCTAAGGTAGTTGAGTTTAAGTGAGGAGGTTTGGGTCTTTATTTTAATAATTTTTGTTTTATATTATAAAATTTATATATATGTAATATAAACTTGTTATAAAATTATATGAATATTTTGTTATGATAAAATAAGCTAATTTTAATCTATAATACAAAGAGGGTGATAAGTAGCAGAGTAAATTAAACCTCCTTCCCCCCAAAATAAAGGGCTTCAGAGTAGGAGAGGTTGCATTCTAACAAGTGAAGAACATTTCAACTATCTCTCCTGTTTTTGTAATCAAACAAACATAGTCCCCATTTCTAAATGCATCTTTTAATAGTTTGTTATACAGTGATCTGAAGTACAGATCTTTCACTTCAAGTTCAGTCTGTCCCATTTGTCACCTTTAGGCCAAGATACTGAAAATATTAACCTTTGATTTGGGCTCTGGGAAATGTTTTGAAGATTTTTCAAAAGCATACAGCTCAGAGATACATCTGGTTTATAAAGTATCGGGCCTCCTTGTGTTTACTTGTTGGATACTGTCCTCAGCTTCACATCTGACAAGTCCAGACACATGCTTCCCTCTTAGTAAGCAGCCTTGAAGGAAGCCCATAAAGAAATCAGATAACATACTTGGTGATGGACAAGGGCGGAATGAAACCAGCTGAGCAGAATATTGCACGACAAGTGGGGCTGAGGAAGAAATCTGACCTGCTGGGAGAACAGAGAGCAGGAGAGCGGGCCATGCGCTCCCAACCCAGACTTAGCGATTTGTATCTTCACTCACTCATGCTTTAAAGCCCTGTAAGCAACCAGCTCTGTGCCTCAGGCCCCAGTCTCACCAATATATACACAATACGCAGGCCAGATATTCTGAAACGACTTTCCCAACTATGTTTATCAAATTACGTAGAATCACCTATGTGTAACATGCCTCAAGAAATATGTTACCTCTCTATGTGTTTGGCACTACAAGCAAGCTGAAAAGTGCCGGCTCTGTCTCCAGGCAGGATAGGACAGGAGGGTAATCCTGGAGTGTGAGCAGCACTGATACTAGGATTGGCTGTGAGCAAGTTTATCTCCATTAGTCTCCTGGCCCTCACCTTCCTGGGAACTCCATTCCCCCTACTTTCAGGTTCAATAGTTGGGGTCTCCAGGAGGCATACCCTGAGATGGAGTTCCAGTATAAGGTGTTTATTAAGGAGGGCCCTTGGGGCCAGCACCTGTGGGAGGGAAGTGAAGGAAGCAGGACTGGGCAAAAGAAGTCCAGCTGCCATGCAGACTAACTGCCTTAGCTGACTTCTCAGAGAGTTCCAGAACTAGAGTTTCCCCAAGTTGAGATGGGATAGCCAGACCCGTATACTATCACATTAATTAGTCACTGGATGTCGCCCTGGAAGGATGTGGTGACCATGGGTGTCTCAGTCGGTTTGTATTGCTATAAAGGATTACCTGAGGCTGGGTAATTTATAAAGAAAAGAGGTTCATTTGGCTCATGGTTCTACAGGCTGTACAAGAAGCATGGTGCCAGCATCTGCATCTAGGGAGGGCCTCAAGCTGCTTCCATGCATGGAGGAAGGGGGAAGGAAGCCAACATGTGCAGATCACATGGTGAGAGGAAGCAAGGCAGGAGGGGAAGGTGCCAGGCTCTTTTTAACAATCAGCTATCACAGGAACAAAGAGAGTAAGAACTCAACTCATCACCAGGACGACTGCACCAAAACATTCATGAGGGATCCACCTGGATGACCCCAACACCTCCCACCAGGCCCCACCTCCAACAATGGGGATCAGATTTCAACATGAGATTTGGTGGGGTCAAATATGCAAACCATAGGAGTGGGTAGGTGGCTCTCTGCAATTGGCAATCCCTAAAGGGACTGGTAGGTGACGGGGAAAAATCCTTCATTGAAGGGGGATCTGAGCAACACAGTGTCCAAAAGGCCCCGATGGGAGCTCCCCCTACCACCACCCCCAGTTATTTAATCTTCAGCATATTGTGAGAGTTAGCTTTAGCTCCCCTAATTTACAGATGAAGAAATACAAACTAAGCAAGCCCAGCTGGGACCTCAAACTGACCTTTGATGTCCTGGTTCCTATGGTGGTAGAAGCACAGCTGGCTTTTAAACAGCAGGATTGGCAAGTCTACAGGGCTGGGCCCAAGATGGGTAGGAATAGTCTGTGCTGTTGCTTGGTAGAAGAGGAAACACATATGAAGGAGGCTGCCGTTCAATGCCTCTTCTGTAACCCCCTCAGCCTGCCAGCTCCTGTTCCAGTCGTCTGTTTCACACAGATTTCTTTAATAGCTTTTACATCATGGTCTCCACAGACTTCATGCAACTTACTCCTTTGAAAAACATTATGGAAAAGGCAAAACGTGGCCAGTGAGTCCAAGAGGAAGCCACCTGACCTCCTGCTCTCCCCACTCCAGAGTTCTGCTTCTGACTCTTGTCTGTTCTGCATTTCTACTCTGGGGATCCTGTGCTATCTTTGCTAGCTCTCCCTCCTGCCAACAAAATGTGACTCTCTGTGACCCATTCCCTCATGTCTGTTTTCTGTTAACCTGACATGGCCAATGCCAATGGGTCACTCACTTCTCTTCAGGTCATGGTCATTCTTAAATAGGGGCTTCTTAAAGACAGCAATTTAGCCCTGAAATATTGGGCCAGTGATGAGGTTAAGTAGATGAGGTGAGAAGAAAATATGGGGTCAAGCAGGACTTTGTGGCACCCGAGCCCTTTAACTCAAAGTCTCTTATTTTTTAGACTGCCTAGAAACGGCTGGCCGTGGTGGAAGAATATATGTTATTTTGATGTCTAACATCTGAAGTATTTAGGTAACATTTATCCTATGCCTACTAACATACTCAAGCCCAACCCTAAAGCAAAATTAAATCCCAAGGTGTGTGATGGCATGGAGACTGTGCAGGGAAGTTTCACATGGAACGGGAGAGTTCCCTTATCCCCCTTGCAGAACAGGGGTGTGCCCTGCTGCTCAAACCCCTAGGGGAAGCATGCAGACGGGCAGGTGCAGAAGCCATGGGGAGCGCTTTTGGGCTCTGGCCCAAAGGCAGCGTCTAGGACTCCTGAAGCCCAAGTGGGCGTGTGTTACAGTGTGCTCACTCTCAGCTACGCCTTCTGCAGACGGCTTGTATTAGCTCAATAGACCCTCTGCCTTATCACAAGGACACAGGGCCAGTGTGACAGCCTGAGTTCTTGCCCAGTGAACTGGAAAAATCAGATCACACATGGGCTGGAAGGCTGAGTGCAACGTTTATTGAGTGGTGAAGGTGGTTCTTAGTTAAATGGATGGGAAGCCAGAAGCGGGGGATGGAGTGGGAAGGTGATCTTCCCCCGGATTCGGGCTTCCCAGTGGCCAGATTCTTCTCCAACTGTCCCGGGCTGAACTTCCCTTGGCATCCGCATCATTCCACCATCGCTAGTCTGCCAGTGTCTGCTGGTGTGCTCCTCTTCTCCTCTCAACATCCAGCTGCTTGTGTCTGTGCCCGCTAAGGTCTCAAGTTCATATGGGTACAGAATGGGGGGCGTGGTGGGCCAGAGTGGTCTTGGAAAATGCAACATTTGGGCCCAAAAACAGGAGTTCCTATTCTCACTTAGATCCGTGGGCACAGGCCAGAGGATGGAGCCCTCACCAGGAACCCTGCCCTTCTCTACCCAGCATTTCCCTGCCCCTCTCCCATACCAATGATATCCTTCTCATAAGGTAAAACATCCCACCATCGCGTTTCCGGGTTTGGGATTTAACTGGGCCCTGGTGCTTTTTCCTTTGGCTCCAACTCACCTGATTTCATGTCCCTCCCTCAGCTGATCCAGACAGTGAGTGCGGTGGACCAAGATGACCCACGCAATGGTCAGCATTTCTACTACAGCTTGGCTCCTGAGGCTGCTAACAACCCCAACTTTACCATAAGGGACAACCAAGGTAATCAGGTGGATGGTTGGCTATCTGTGCTTTTCTACAGCATAGGCCAGCTACTTTGGGTTACTGTCTTATGCAAACAGTGTCAAAGGCTACCTGTTCCATACCAGCAGGGAGGATGTTAATAATTCAGTGTATTTTTTTTTTTTTTTTTGAGATGGGGTCTATGTTGGCCAGGTTGGTCTTGAACTCTTGGCTTCAAGCAGTCCTCCCATCTCAGCCTCCCAAAGTGCTAGTATTACAGACATGAGCCACCGTGCCCAGCCTCACAGTGTCTTTTAAAGTTTTGTTTCAGAACAACAAACACAGAGAACCCTTTGCCAACTCTAAAACTCATTCAGTCAGTAAGTCGGCAGATGTTTACTGAGTGCCTGTCCCGTGCCAGAAACACTGCAAAGCACAGAGGCAAAATCCTTCATTCCCACTGGTAGCAGCCCTGTTCATATGTTCTGTAACAACGGGAAAAATCTGAGAAAGATAGAAAGTGATCTAGGATAAAAAATAAAATACAATAAAATAAAAAACCCCTGGGGGCACATTTCTAGGCAGAGATCAAAGCAGGAAACAGTAAAAAGCTCTCCAAACAATAAGGAGACAAAGGATAATAGAGATAACAAAGAGCAAATACAGGACCATAAACACAGTTTTGGCACTGAAACAGCTTTATTACTTTAGAATGATTTAGAGAAATACTTTCAGGTAGGGTTCCCTATCCATAAACTGCTCCCCGCTATAGCTTTGATGGAACAGAATTCTAGGCCCCTTTTTTCCAACAAGCATTCAGACCAGCTAAGGGGCTCATAGACCCAGCACACTCTTCTTTGGGCACAGATGGGAAAAGGAAGGACTTTTGTTCTGTAGCCAGATGATTTGCTTCAAAAGAAAAAAAAAGGTCAGGGCAATGGAAAAAATAAGTTAAACTGTCAAATGAACCTCATCTGTTGTTAACTCTGCTGCCAGCTAGCCAGCTGACCCTGGGAAGGTCATCACTTCTTGAGACTGCAGTAGCGTCATTTTCATTCCGATTCTAAAATATTAATTGCCGCTTTGTAAAAATCTAAGCAAAGGGTAACAAAAAGTCATGATTAGGTTAGGCACGCCTGGTTTTAGTTTCAAACATCAATTATTTGAGATTAAAAGTATTACTTCAACCCCACATGACAGTTTTCTGCTGTAAAACTTGAGATTCTCAAACCTGTTTTCTTCTAAATGGCAAAGCATTCTTCTAAGTCATCCCTTCAACCTCCTACATGTCACCATAAAAATACTATAATAATTCTGGAAGGAATGGTAATATGAATTATAAAGGCAGAAATACTTCAATTAAATATCCTGAAGTTTTTATTGGGTCAAAATTTTGAACTATTCATTTATCTGCTTCATAGGGAAACTATTCCCGCAAAAAGTGCTTTCAACCTAGGATTGGCTTTACAAAGGCAACCCTGGGGAGGGAAAATAACACATTGTAACACATTATATTTTTTCTTCAACTGTTCAGCTAAGCTATCATTCTAATGAGTGAAACAAAATGCAGCAAAATGCTGCAAATTTCTTAAAGAGGACTTTGGGCACCAATTTATGGAACCAATTCCTTAAAAAGATGGGCCACCGGCACTGGATGACTATAGTAAGACGTGACTCATCTCTTGGAAGGTTTCCCAAAACAGAAGTCAGCACATCTTCAACAGAAAGCATGAACTCTTAATCTCCAAATGACAATTTATCTCACGAGTATCCTTTACTGGGGCTCATTTTAAAACTGAACAAGTCTAGGCACAGTGGCTCATGCCTGTTACTCCAACACTTTGGGAGGCTGAGGCAGGAGAACTGCTTGATACCAAGAGTTCAAGACCAGCCTGGGCAACACAGCAAGACCCTATCTCTGAAAAACATATTTTAAAAATTAGCCAGGCATGGTGGCACACACCTGTAGTCACAGCTAGTTGGGAGCCTGGGACAGGAGGGTCACCTGAGGCCAGGAGTTTGAGATCAGCCTGAGCAACACACCAAGACCCCATCCCTAACAATTTTTTTTAAGTAGCCAGACATGGTGGCATGCACCTGTAGTCCCAGCTACTTGGGAGGCTAAGGTGGGAGGATCATTTGAGCCCAGGAGTTCAAGGCTGCAGTGAGCTATGATCAGACCACTGTACTCCAGACTGGGTGACAGAGTAAGATCCTGTCTCTAAAAAAAGCCACCACAACAAAAACTGACTAATATAGGGCAGATCTACTGTCAACTACCTCTGTTCCTGTGCCTGAAACATGATGTCCTTTTATGAACACAACAGGGCACTATCTCCAGTAAAGCCTTTTTTTACTTTTCAGCCCCAAAACATTATGAAAAGAATTATGTGTATATAGTACTTTACAGTTTCAAAGTATTTTCCCATACCTTATTTGATATTTACAATAATTCTGTGAGGCTTTAAGGAAGTTATTAATCCCTCTGATTCTTATTGTCCCATCTGATAGATGAGGAAAGTAAGCAAATGGCCCAAGACCAGAGTCAATAAGCTGAATAAGCATTAAAACTGGGATTAGAAATTGAGTCCTGTTTTACCATGCCCCCCCACTACACCCCCGCCCCACACACACAGTGTTCTGTGTCACCTCAGAAAAAAATGCTGTTTCCAAATAAGTTACTAAAGTCCTCATTATCACATTCAACAAAAATTTTCCAAGTGGCTACTATATGCCAGGCCCCTTCCAGCACTGGACTCAGCAATGTGATGCTCTGATATTTTTCTTTAATCTTAAATAATTCTTAGATCAAGAAACATATATATCGTAGGTATAATACTTTTATGAATTTCGGCTCTAGTCAGACTTTCTAAAAGTCTCATGACCTCACCTGGATTAAACCAAAAAAATAAAAAAAAAGTTCTGATTAGAGAAAAACCTGCTTTCTGAAAAAACAAGCAATTAAAACTACAAAGTGGAATTGATAGTATTTAGCTATTAAGTCTGGAACACAGAAAGGTGCACGGGTTGTTTGGTAGGTGGAAATATGAATATAATCCTCAGGTTGGCATCCTTTCTCCATTGGGAAGAAAATAAGAAGTAGCCTGTATCAAAGCAGGAAGAGGTTATGCTTATCTGAATTTTTTTTGACAGTTAATATTACTAAACTAAATAAGCAGTTATGTAGCACAATGGAACATGTACATGTTTTGGAGCCAGAGAGACCAGAGTTCAAATCCCAGCTCTGCTACTAACTAGGTTAGTGGCTTCAAACAAATAATAAAATCACTCTAGGCCTTACTTCTATTTCTGAAAACGAGTAAGATTATTACTATGTCCAAATTGTGAAGATTGAGTGAGATACTGCATGCAAAGTCCAGGTACATGGCACATGAGCCTTTAGTAACAATAGCTGTTAGCATAAAAAGCAGAGTGGAGGAAGAAAAGTTAATTAAGGGGTAATGTGTTACTCAGAATAGCCCAGATTATGCTATGGGAACAACTACCACAAAAATCTCAGTGGCTTAGCACAACTACAGTTAATTTCTTGCTCACATACAGCCTGCTGTGGGTCTGAGCTCAGCGTCCCAGGCCGCCCCGCTCTGCATCTCACACCCTGTGGTTCTTTCTCAGTAACTACAGCAAGGAAAGAGCATGGAGACTTACACACCAGCTCATACAGACTTCTGCCTAGAAGTAACACAAATCACTATTGCTCATCAACTAAAGCAAATCACACAGACATACCCACATTTAAGAGGATAGAAAAGTGTAATCCTTTATTATGTCCAAAATGGGAAGAAGAACCAGAAATATTGATAATCACTAATAATGTTTTCTTAGGTTAGGCTCTCAAAATTTTTTGTGATGTTCTAGACTCTTTCCTATGAAATATGAAACACATCCATGGGACCTCTGTGTTGGTGGTATTAGCTTTGAGAATCACTTCTTGCATGTCCTACTACATCTCTCAAATTTTTCCTCTGCTGAAAATAATCTGAGCTTTGCAAAAGTATATCTACTTTAGAATTCAAACCTACACCAGGAAACTTGAGAATGTAGATTTTAAAAATGAAAACTCCCACAACACAATATGTGAATATAAATGTAAACACACACACATACACATCCCAACTTTGTAGAAAATATCTAATAATTTGACTAATCCCCTTTAAAACTGGAGGAAAGATTTCTAGTATTGATCAGTAACAAAGTTTCACCAAGTTCATTTTAACTGCTTAAAGTGAGACCACCAACCCAGGAGAAATAACAAGGTGTGTCATATGATTAGGGGATTTCAAAGAAGCTTCTACTAAATGAGCAGGTTCTTTAGGAAACACAGGAGTTGGTGACTGCATTTCAGAAGCATAAAAGAAAATAGTAAAAGACGTGAATTCCAGACAAAGCGGCAAAAATAAGTAATCTGCCACAGTCACACAGGCTCCTCAGCATTCTTTTCCTGGAGGCGCAAAGCAGCACTGGGGCCTTGGCAAGCTGCTGAGCAGGAACAAACAGTGACCACAAGTCACCAGTGATTGTTCTTTTCTGTCAAGCTTTCCCAGGGACATTTTTGTTAGATCTGAAGTCTGACAGTTTGCCTTGGGCACTTTATGTCACAAAGGATAAGACAGACTCAAAAAAAAAAGAGGCTTTCTCTTCTTAGGCCTCAGGGTTTTGCCTAAAAGCAAGCAAAAAGCATGGTTTCTGAATCCAAATGCTGATCCAGGCAAACCCGCCATGGTTGACCACTACCAGGGAATATCTGACTATCCTCTTTCCTTCCTACACCCTGCCCCTGCCCCCTTGCTTTCCTCAATCCAAGAAATTAATTCACCTTCCCTTTTCCAATCCTGGAACCCCTCCTTCTTTCAGATAACACAGCACGGATTCTAACCAGGAGGTCTGGTTTCCGGCAGCAGGAGCAGAGTGTCTTTCACCTGCCTATCCTGATAGCAGATAGCGGGCAGCCCGTGCTGAGCAGCACAGGCACACTGACCATCCAAGTGTGCAGCTGTGATGACGACGGCCACGTCATGTCCTGCAGCCCAGAGGCCTACATGCTCCCAGTCAGTTTGAGCCGGGGCGCCCTCATTGCCATCCTCGCCTGCATCTTTGTCCTCTTAGGTGAGTAAGGGGCTGCTTTCCCTTCTGTGGAGTCCTGCCAGTGCGCACTCAGACATTTGTTCATTACCTTCCTGACACAGCTATTCAGAACTGGTCTTCCACACCTTGCTTACTCAAAAGGTGGTAGAGTGAGGCTGCACAAAAAACAGTAAAGAAATTGAGGACAGTCCCTTCTTCGAGGTGTCTGTGGCAAGATCAAAGCACATATACTTATAAAGTATCTACTATGAGCTGGGGCACCACACAAGGTGCTAGGATTAATAAAACAGACAAGTCCTGGCCTTCCTGAGTTTACTTCAGAACAAAGCAGGTTCATTTTGACATCATAGAATCAAAATTACAATTTAGACAGGATTTGATGATCACCTCTTCTAACCCCTTCATTTAAGTAGTAGCTAAGTCACAAACGGGTAAGTGACAGGCTCAAAACCAAAGTCAGAGGCACAGCCAGGGCTGAAATGCAGGCAGGCTATATACACTGGGCACCCCTGTGGCTCAAAGGCACTGCCTTTCTCCTAAATGCTCATCCCGATTCTGGAGGTGGTATTACAGGAAGGGAAGAGGGATAAGGTATCCTGGTTGGAAAAGTGACAGGGATAGACGCCACTTCAAACAGGGTAGTCAGGGAATCCCTTACTGATAAGACCTTTGAGCAGAGAGCTGAAGGAAGTGATGGTGTGAACCACACAGATTTCTGGAGAATAAGCTGTTTGGGGTGATTAGTACACCTCCTAGGCACCATGGCCATCTAACCAGGAACAGTGACTAAACAGGGTCAGTTTGCCTCTGCTGAAGAAATAAGGACATAACAGGCTAGCAGTGGCAGAACACTACTGGGGTAAGGAACCCTTCCTTCTTCCTCTCAAGTCATACTGCAAGGTGGCTCCCCAACTCCCTGGTATGTAAGGCCATCCTTGCAATTCTTTTCTAATTCCACACTCAAAAACAGTGAAATAAAAACACCTAAACCAACTCTTGCAAAAAAGAAAGTATCTGTACATATATCCTTGCTCTTCTTATTGAACTAATCTATAGCATATATATCATGCTTAGAGAAAAACAGATTTAGTAGATACTAGTATTATTCAATACAAAAGAAGTCCGAGTTTTCTGAGGGAAAAAGCCCTGAGGATTGAAATTAGAATAGAGGTACAGATATTCACATACACCCTTGATCCCAAGTTCACCTCTATACCAAGAG
This sequence comes from Homo sapiens, assembly GCF_000001405.40. Lineage (NCBI taxonomy): Eukaryota > Metazoa > Chordata > Mammalia > Primates > Hominidae > Homo > Homo sapiens. Next base: position 61,551,431 of record NC_000018.10, read on the forward strand.
ACAGACCAAAGAAAGAAGTTCCTGTGTAAAATGTCAACACTTGATTTTCTAGGTAGGTCCGTGCAATGTGCTTCTCAAAATACATTTAAAAATACAACATGTGGTTTAATTTTGTTGTTTTAGTTCAGTCCTACGTAAAGAGAGGAAGAGTATAAATAAGTAACCTTTCTAAGTTCTTGGATCCCTGTGTCAAGAGAAAATTGTTACGGTTTCTGGTCCCTGACTGCATTGACAAGTAAAACCTCCCTGCAATTCCTTGAGTTTCCATAAGGTGGCATTGGGAGTCCTTTAGCACAGAAGTGGATGACCTGTAAGAGGCCTTTGAAGAAACTTGTTCCTGGGAGGAATTTCCAGACTGGCTGTCCTTACTTCTATCTTTGGAAAATGTCGAAGTTAAAAGTTCGCCCTGGCCCACAAAAAGCCATCATTACAGAAATACTGATTTAAAGAGACTGGCTTGGAGAGGCTCTCAAGTTAAAAATGGTGTGCAAGGGACAATTTATCTTATCCCTTCCCACCCACGATGATGTCTTGTCTTTTAAACCGTACAGAAAAAGTAAACAGTTTTCAGGAGCTAAATTGAGCAGAGCTGTCATAAAATCCTCACAGTTTTAAGTACCCTTACTTCTAAGAGTACACATCCCACATTAAAAATAATTCATCAAACTTTAAGATTTGACTTGCATTTGTCAACAAAATACTATATTTTATAGACAACTAAATAAATTAATTCTGACTTCCTGGGTTTTTTTTTTTCATGTCTCATATATGTATCTAGTGCCTAGAAAATCTCATAAGCTCTACGCACCGTGCCTATAGTACACGAAGAATAAACCATCCCTAGAACTAATTCTCTTCTGTCAGAGAAGCCTTTCAGCTGAATAAGACCATTTTCCTCAAAATCTGATTTTCAGGGCATCATGTAATATTTGTTATGTAATATTTGTTATTTACCTAATTAGATTACCTTAAAAAAAAAAAGACATGTAGCTGTCTTTATTTTTCAAAAGACGGACTAGTTCTATATAAACGGCCTAATTCTCCATGACCATCAGAATTCTCTCCAGCAAGGTATTCAAAAGACTTCCAATTTTGCTTCCTAGCGTTATCCAAAATACCGCCCCTACCACTTCAAGGTCACCTCTGTGAAGCCCTACCCAGTCTCCCAGGTAAAATTCACTGGCCCTGCCTCTGTACTCTCCCAGTGACACTTGTGGCTCTAACAGCCCTTATCACTGTCTGACTTGCATTAATTATCAGCATCCATAATCTCCTTAGATTACAAGCTCACAAGAGCAGAATCCATGTCACACTCAATATTGTTTCCCCATTGCTTAGCATAGAGGATTAAAAATACTTGGGTTTAATAACTTTACTGAATCCTGCAAACACAGCATGCTCACTTCGAATCTCACGTCTCCAACCTGCATCAATCCAAATCACACTCCAACCTTTCAGGCTCGATTCAAGCCCACGCTTCCTTAGAGTCCTATTAGTCTCTTTTTCTCTAGGAATCCCACCCTCCTTTCAGTCCACGCCTCGTATTTTTGCACACAGGGAAAATACACATGAGCGTATCATCGTTTCCTGTGTATGTTTTGTCACCAAAGCTATCTGGGAAAATATTACGTATTAATGTCATTAATTGCAATTGATAAAAAAGCACATCTACATTCAAAAAAATTTTTAAATCATTGTTGTGAGTTTTATTAGTCGGTAATCTTTTACTGCATGTATGAATGTACTCCACTTTCTCCCCTTGGATAAACTGGGGTCTTATTTTGCAGTGCTGTCAAACTGTCACTGTTCACCAGCTATAACAAAGCACACCAGAAAAAAAAAAAATCAATAGCAGTTCTACAGCTAAAACCTCAACACTCTTCCTGGAAAACGTTTTCAGAGAGATAAATAGCTCAATGGGATTATCTCTATCTCTCCTTTAAACCCCAGCGAACACATTCTAGGGGGGAAAAATGCATTTGTTGGGATAAAATTTTATCCAAACCTGCAAGGGCACATCTAACAGTGTGGTGTTTCTTTGATAACATGATGAATTATATAAAAGGCCACTGCTCATTCTCTGCCTTCCATAAATACCCTTGGGTCCAGAAAGCCACAACCACCTCTTTAATGAAAGGCTTCTCTGAGGAACCTGAGTTTATTGGACCCCAGGGATCACTTATGTTCTGTTGTTTTTTAGAGGTATAAAAAGACTACAACTTTGGTGCACACTTAGTATGTGTGTCTCTATGCATATTAAGATATGATTATATACAGAGTAGAATCCTATTAAGATGCTAATATACGGAAGCAGAATTCCACCTACATAATAAGACTTTCACATTATAAGAGGATAAATGTATATTTTTCATCATATAAACAGAGCACGTGATCTGGTCCTTAGAGTATGTTGGTCCATAGCAGGCCTTTGTGCTTTGTTAGTGGGATTTTAAATTGGGTGTTAGGTGTAGACACACAATTTCAAAACAGCAAGCTGATGGTAAGCGACTATAGGCAACTTTTTCTAATTAAACCATTTGAAGAAATACAGGGCTTCATTGTCCACAACCTGACTTACAGAAAGAGGACAAAGTGGACTTAAATTAGAACTCCCCGAGGTTTCAGATATCCAAAAGCTATCTCTGAGCCCTCCACTCGGTAGCCCTTCCCCTATCCGTGGTGAATCAAGACTACTTCTAGTCACCGCACACACAGCCACATCTCCTCGGTAAACACACTCTCCTTTTTGTTCCTGGCAGTGCTGGTGTTGCTCATTTTGTCCATGAGGCGGCACCGGAAACAACCATACATCATCGACGACGAGGAAAACATCCACGAGAACATCGTCCGCTACGACGACGAGGGCGGCGGCGAGGAGGACACCGAGGCCTTCGACATCGCGGCCATGTGGAACCCCCGGGAGGCGCAGGCGGGGGCCGCCCCCAAGACGCGGCAGGACATGCTGCCCGAGATCGAGAGCCTCTCCCGCTACGTGCCTCAGACGTGCGCAGTGAACAGCACTGTCCACAGCTACGTGCTGGCCAAGCTCTACGAGGCCGACATGGACCTGTGGGCACCGCCCTTCGACTCCCTCCAGACGTATATGTTCGAGGGGGACGGCTCTGTGGCGGGGTCGCTGAGCTCCCTGCAGTCGGCCACGTCGGACTCGGAACAGAGCTTCGACTTCCTGACGGACTGGGGGCCCCGCTTCCGGAAGCTGGCCGAGCTCTACGGGGCGTCGGAGGGACCCGCGCCGCTGTGGTGACGGAAGCCAGGAGGCAGGCGCGCGTCCAAATCCAGACGTTCTCCGCGGGTGCTTCGCGGACAAGGTGCAGCCAACCACACGAGCAATACTGTGCTGGAGAGTGAGAATGGGGGTGAGCAGGCGAACAGAGCTCTCTCTGGATCAGCTTTACTTGGGTAGATTAAGTTAAATAAGCAAAAGGAAACCCAGAAGGAAGAGGGCAGAATCTTTAATTACCTTTTTTTCTTTTCTTTTTGATTTTTCTGACACTGTGTGCGAAGGCTTGGAGTCCAAGGTGTTCTGACAAGGGTGGCTTTTCTCTGCCATTCGCTAAGGCCTTTGTCACTTTTCCACCACAGAAAGGCTCTGGCCTTGGATACAGAGATGCCAATTGAAAGCAGAAAGTTCTACTCTCGTATCTGTTTTTTATCTTATCTTATTCTCCATTTAAGAGTTTTGCTGGCTCAAACCACAGAAACCAACCCACAAGAAAGAACAAAAAACTTGTTACTCAGTGAAATTAACCTACTTGTTCTGGGATGGATGGAATTTCCCGTAACCCTTTTGAGACAAGGTTAAGACTGAATCAGCCTTGCATGGGGGTGGATGGGTGGGAGGGTGGGTGAAGGAAGAGACATTGACTTTATGCTCAAGTTTAGTGGCTGAACCAAGAGATGTTGGCATTACAGCTCATCCAACGCCATCAAGTTAGAGTGCTCGTGTCTCCTCTCAGCTATTTAACTGTGCCCCTGCAAAATTGTTCAGAATGAAACCAGAAAAATCTGCCTCTTTTGCACTGTAGATGTCTCTTCCATGTGCCAAATGTGGAGATTAGATGCTACAAATGAAAGCCAAATAAAAAAGAAGTATCTGACAAAAGCATGGGTTAGAGGGCTTTCCTAATCTGTGTGAGGTCAATCCAAGGGATGTTTACATACTGTAGATAACCTACTTGAACAAAAATCAGTATTATAGAGAATAAATGGATGTAAGAAAATTACATGTACAAGTTTTGTATATTTGTTAATAATTTTGGTAATAAATATGATGTACTGCATCTCAGTACCTTAGCACTTCTTTTAATAAAAGTTAAATAGAAGGAAAAGTCTATTGTGAATTTGTTTAATTGCTGAACAGGTAGAAGATGACTTTGTAATCCTGATCTAGCCTCAGGCTCCCGGGGTTGGGGCTAATTTGTAAGGCAAAAGCAATGGAAAAGAAGTGTGAGGCTGCATTCTGTTTCAGTAGCTAACCATATGAACATTATGGTTCAAACTGTTAAGCTTTTAATGAACACCCTCCATTTCTTCATCCCTGAAAAGAGCAAAGGGTGGTTTGGTAATATCAACTATACAATGGTGAATTTAGCCCATATTTTTCATTTTGCAAAAGGTTATTACACATAGCCCCCAATGAGGCAGGCTACTGTGCTACTTACATCTCTATTTCATTGGCAAATTGAGCTCACAGATGGTTGAAACCATATTTTATTCATCTTTCCTTTTGCTACAATAGCTAGCATACTCTTCTGCATACAGTAGGTGCTTAACACTTCTTGGCTACATGATGGGAGGGATCTCTATTTGACATTCTATTACTAAAAAATATTTTACACAACTATCCTCACAACTGAGGACAAATTGTGAACAAAATCATTCCCTGAGAGCCTTGATTATAGCAACAGTTCTCAAATTTTAATGTATCAGAATCACGTGAAGAAATTGTTAAACTACCTCACCCCTAGAATTTATGATTCAGTCGATTTGGGGCAGTTTGTATTTCTAACATGTTCCCAGGAGATGCTGATGCTGCTGGTCCAGGAACCACATTTTGAAAACCTCTGATATGTAGTTACTCACTCTCTAACACATGAAGATTAAACTATGTCCCATCTGTACTGGGTCCCATCTTCCCGCAGAGTGGTGTTGTGAATTGTTTTCTCAGTAAAACATGAACAGTTTACAGAAATGTAAGGAAAGCTGATGAGGGTCTGGGAGGCAGTAGGATGTGCTTTTTTGCATATTACACATTACATGGTACCATTACATGGTACATTAACAGCCACCAAATTCTCTTCAGCCTTCAGCATACTAACCCTTTCTTCCCATGAAAGGCAGGCAGCTCTCACACATCCTCTTCAAGGATAGAGTGCAATGTAAAAATAAATACATTTAACAAAGCAAAAGAAAAAGCATGGACTTGAGTCCAAACTAGGCTTTACAATATACCAATTATATGGATGTAGGCAAATCAACCTCTATAACATTCTTCCTTCCTACCACAGCCCTGAGGATAATTTTGTGAGTATTTCACTTTGTACTGCTTATGTTACAACTGAGAACAGCTGTTATCCTAACCACAGGGCGTTATCATGCCCCACATCCTGCAAATGTGGTCCCCATGATATTGGGCATGAAGTAATTAAACAAAATCTCCTGAATCTTCTGGTCCCTGGGAGGATAGTTAATGGTGTAATACAGGAAGCGTGATTGAAGCACAAAATAGATCTATTTCAGCTTCATACTCTAAGCTAAGAGATTCCCACTCCAAATGAGTTTTAAAATTCCCTTTCTACTGCCACAATGTAATACAAATGCTGATCCCTCTGGGAATAAAGAAAAAGAAAACCATCATCATCTCTATACAGACAATGTGATCAGGTTAGGCCAGAGAGCTGTAAAATTATTCAGCCATTTGTTTGTCAACAGGTATGACAGCTAGCCTATAATTTACATGTTGGAGGGAAACAGGAGAATCTGTAGAAACCAATTGATGAGACTCAATCTGAAAATGTATTCTGAATAAGAACACAAGCAAAGATAAAAATTAGCAATGAAAAATTTAAAAAAGAGAATATTCAAGCATGGCATATAGCAAAGACAAACATGGGGTTGTTCACACAAGAAAGAATCTATGAATCCTGAAAATGGTATTCAACAAGTTAAAAATCAGTGCAGGCACATTGATTAAAAGTTGTCATTAATTCACTAATATTGCAGAACTAGGCCTTGATGACAGAATTCACAGTATTTCCATATAGTGCTGGGACTATATGAATGTAGGACAGACACACTTTACAAGCAGTTCTCATTGCAGATTGACTCACTGTCATATCCATTTGTCATTTTTACAATAAAGAACCTTCAACAGATTATTATATATAAATATCTGGATTGGGGAAGCTTCTGCTTTATTCTTAAAGATCAAGTTTCTGATAGAAGAAGTCGATAAAATTAGGCCAAGTGGTCCTCTTTTATTTGTTATTTTTTTAAGTTATACTTTAAGTTCTAGGGTACGTGTGCACAACGTGCAGGTTTGTTACATATGTGTATATGTGCCATGTTGGTGTGCTGCACCCATTAACTCTTCATTTTCATTAGGTATTTCTCCTAATGCTATCCCTCCCCCCTCCCCCCACCCCACGACAGGCCCTGGTGTGTGATGATCCCCACCCTGTGTCCAAGTGTTCTCATTGTTCAATTCCCACCTATGAGTGAGAACATGCGGTGTTTGGTTTTCTGTCCTCGCGAAACTTTGCTCAGAATGATGGTTTCCAGCTTCATCCATGTCCCTACAAAGGACATGAACTCATCAGTTTTCGTGGCTGCATGGTATTCCATGGTGTATATGTGCCACATTTTCTTAATCCAGTCTATCATTGATGGACATTTGGGTTGGTTCCAAGTCTTTGCTATTGTGAATAGTGTCACAATAAACATATGTGTGCATGTGTCTTTATAGCAGCATGATTTATAATCCTTTGGGTATATACCCAGTAATGGGATTGCTGGGTCAAATGGTATTTCTGGTTTTAGATCCTTGAGGAATCGCCACACTGTCTTCCACAATGGTTGAACTAGTTTACACTCCCACCAACACTGTAAGAGTGTTACTATTTCTCCATATCCTCACCAGCACCTGTTGTTTCCTGACTTTTTAATGATCGCCATTCTTACTGGTATGAGATGGTATCTCATTGTGGTTTTGATTTGCATTTCTCTGAGGGCCAGTGATGATGAGCATTTTTTCATGTGTCTGTTGGCTGCATAAATGTCTTCTTTTGAGAAATATCTGTTCATATCCTTCGCCCACTTTTTGATGGGGTTGTTTGATTTTTTCTTGTAAATTTGTTTAAGTTCTTTGTAGATTCTGGATATGAGCCCTTTGTCAGATGGGTAGATTGCAAAAATGTTCTCCCATTCTGTAGGTTGCCTGTTCACTCTGATGGTAGTTTCTTTTGCTGTGCAGAAGCTCTTTAGTTTAATTAGATCCCATTTGTCAATTTTGGCTTTTGTTGCCATTGCTTTTGGTGTTTTAGTTATGAAGTCCTTGCCCATGCCTATGTCCTGAATGGTATCGCCTAGGTTTTCTTCTAGGGTTTTTATGGTTTTAGGTCTAATATTTAAGTCTTTAATCCATCTTGAATTAATTTTTGTATAACGTGTAAGGAAGGGATCCAGTTTCAGCTTTCTACATATGGCTAGCCAGTTTTCCCAGCACCGTTTATTAAATAGGTAATCCTTTCCCAATGTCTTGTTTTTGTCCAGTTTGTCAAAGATCAGGTGGTTGTAGATGTGTGGTATTATTTCTGAGGGCTCTGTTCTGTTCCATTGGTCTATATCTCTGTTTTGGTACCAGTGCCATGCTGTTTTGGTTACTGTAGCCTTGTAGTATAGTTTAAAGTCAGGTAGTGTGATGCCTCCAGCTTTGTTCTTTTTGCTTAGGATTGTCTTGGCAATGTGGGCTCTTTTTTGGTTCCATATGAACTTTAAAGTAGTTTTTTCCAATTCTGTGAAGAAAGTCATTGGTAGCTTGATGGGGATGGCATTGAATCTATAAATTACCTTGGGCAGTATGGCCATTTTCATGATATTGACTCTCCCTATCCATAAGCTTGGAATGTTCTTCCATTTGTTTGTGTCCTCTTTTATTTTGTTGAGCACTGGTTTGTAGTTCTCCTTGAAGAGGTCCTTCACATCCCTTGTAAGTTGGATTCCTAGGTATTTTATTCTCTTTGAAGCAATTGTGAATGAGACTGCACTCATGATTTGGCTCTCTGCTTGTCTGTTATTGGTGTATAAGAATGCTTGTGATTTTTGCACATTGATTTTGTATCCTGAGACTTTGCTGAAGTTGCTTATCAGTTTAAGGAGATTTTTGGCTGAGACGATGGGATTTTCTAAATATACAATCATGTCATCTGCAAACAGGGGCAATTTGACTTCCTCTTTTCCTAATCAAATACACTTTATTTCTTTCTCTTGCCTGATTGCCCTGGCCAGAACTTCCAACATTACGTTGAATAGGAGTGGTGAGAGGGGGCATCCCTGTCTTGTGCCAGTTTTCAAAGGGAATGCTTCCAGTTTTTGCCCATTCAGTATGATATTGGCTGTGGGTTTGTCATAAATAGCTCTTATTATTTTGAGACATGTCCCATCAATACCTAGCTTATTGAGAGTTTTTAGCATAAATGGCTGTTGAATTTTGTTGAAGGCCTTTTCTGCATCTATTGAGATACTCCTGTGGTTTTTGTCTTTGGTTCTGTTTATATGCTGGATTACGTTTATTGATTTGCATATGTTGAACCAGCCTTGCATCCCAGGGATGAAGCCAACTTGATTGTGGTGGATAAGCTTTTTGATGTGCTGCTGGATTTGGTTTGCCAGTAATTTATTGAGGATTTTTGCATTGACGTTCATCAGGGATATTGGTCTAAAATTCTCTTTTTTTGTTGTGTCTCTGCCAGGCTTTGGTATCAGGATGATGTTGGCCTCATAAAATAAGTTAGGGAAGATTCCCTCTTTTTCTATTGATTGGAAAAGTTTCAGAAGGAATGGTACCAGCTCTTCTTTGTACCTCTGGTAGAATTCGGCTGTGAATCCGTCTGGTCCTGGACTTTTTTTGGTTGATAGGCTATTAATTATTGCCTCAATTTCGGAGCCTGTTATTGTTCTATTCAGAGATTCAACTTCTTCCTGGTTTAGTCTTGGGAGGGTGTATTTGTCCAGGAATTTATCCATTTCTTCTAGGTTTTCTAGTTTATTTGCATAGAGGTGTTTATAGGATTCTCTGATGGTAGTTTGTATTTCTGTGGGATTGGTGGTGATATCCCCTTTATCATTTTTTATTGCATCTATTTGATTCTTCTCTCCTTCCTTCTTTATTAGTCTTGCTAGTGGTCTATTTTGTTGATCTTTTCAAAAAACCAGCTCCTGGATTCACTAATTTTTTTGAAGGGTTTTTTGTGTCTCTATCTCCTTCAGTTCTGCTCTGATCTTAGTTATTTCTTGCCTTTTGCTAGCTTTTGAATGTGTTTGCTCTTGCTTCTCTAGTTCTTGCTTCTCTAGGGTGTTGATTTTAGATCTTTCCTGCTTTCTCTTGTGGGCATTCAGTGCTATAAATTTCCCTCTACACACTGCTTTAAATGTGTCCCAGAGATTCTGGTATGTTGTGTCTTTGTTCTCATTGGTTTCAAAGAACATCTTTATTTCTGCCTTCATTTAATTATGTACCTAGTAGTCATTCAGGAGCAGGTTGTTTAGTTTCCATATAGTTGTGCAGTTTTGAGTGAGTTTCTTAATACTGAGTTCTAATTTGATTGCACTGTGGTCTGAGAGACAGTTTGTTAAGATTTCTCTTCTTTTTTTTATTATTATTATACTTTAAGTTTTAGGGTACATGTGCACATTGTGCAGGTTAGTTACATATGTATACATGTGCCATGCTGGTGCGCTGCACCCACTAACTCATCATCTAGCATTAGGTATATCTCCCGATGCTATCCCTCCCCCCACCCCACAACAGTCCCCAGAGAGTGATATTCCCCTTCCTGTGTCCATGTGATCTCATTGTTCAATTCCCACCTATGAGTGAGAATATGCAGTGTTTGGTTTTTTGTTCTTGCGATAGTTTACTGAGAATGATGATTTCCAATTTCATCCATGTCCCTACAAAGGACATGAACTCATCATTTTTTATGGCTGCATAGTATTCCATGGTGTATATGTGCCACATTTTCTTAATCCAGTCTATCATTGTTGGACATTTGGGTTGGTTCCAAGTCTTTGCTATTGTGAATAATGCCGCAATAAACATACGTGTGCATGTGTCTTTATAGCAGCATGATTTATAGTCCTTTGGGTATATACCCAGTAATGGGATGGCTGGGTCAAATGGTATTTCCAGTTCTAGATCCCTGAGGAATCGCCACACTGACTTCCACAATGGTTGAACTAGTTTACAGTCCCACCAACAGTGTAAAAGTGTTCCTATTTCTCCACATCCTCTCCAGCACCTGTTGTTTCCTGACTTTTTAATGATTATTCTTTTACATTTGCTGAGGAGTGCTTTACTTCCAACTATGTGGTCAATTTTGGAATAAGTGCAATGTGGTGGTGAGAAGAATGTATATTCTGTTGATTTGGGGTGGAGAGTGCTGTAGATGTCTATTAGGTCTGCTTGGTCCAGAGCTGAGTTCAAGTCCTGAATATCCTTGTTAACTTTCTGTCTCATTGATCTGTCTAATGTTGACAGTGGGGTGTTAAAGTTTCCCATTATTATTGTGTGGGAGTCTAAGTCTCTTTGTAGGTCTCTAAGAACTTGCTTTATGAATCTGGGTGCTCCTGTATTGGGTGCATATATATTTAGGATAGTTAGCTTTTCTTGTTGCATTGATACCTTTACCATTATGTAATGGCCTTCTTTGTCTCTTTTGATCTTTGTTGGTTTAAAGTCTGTTTTATCTGAGACTAGGATTGTAATCCCTGCTTTTTTTGTTGTTGTTGTTTTCCATTTGCTTGGTGGATCTTCCTCCATCCCTTACTTTGAGCCTATGTGTGACTCTGCACATGAGATGGGTCTGCTGCATACAGCATACTGATGGGTCTTGACTCTTTATCCTATTTGCCAGTCTGTGTCTTTTAATTGGAGCATTTAGTCCATTTACATTTAAGGTTAATATTGTTATGTGTGAATTTGATCCTGTCATTATGATGTTAGCTGGTTATTTTACTCGTTAGTTGATGCAGTTTCTTCCTAGCATTGATGGTCTTTAAATTTGGCATGTTTTTGCAGTGGCTGGTACCGGTTGTTCCTTTCCATGTTTAGTGCTTCCTTCAGGAGCTCTTGTAAGGCAGGCCTGGTGGTGACAAAATCTCTCAGCATTTGCTTGTCTGTAAAGGATTTTATTTCTCCTTCACTTATGAAGCTTAGTTTGGCTGGATATGAAATTCTGGGTTGAAAATTCTTTTCTTTAAGAATGTTGAATGTTGGCTCCCACTCTCTTCTGGCTTGTAGAGTTTCTGCAGAGAGATCTGCTGTTAGTCTGATGGGCTTCGCTTTGTGGGTAACCCGACGTTTCTCTCTGGCTGCCCTTAACATTTTTTCCTTCATTTCAACCTTGGTGAATCTGATAATTATGTGTCTTGGGGTTGCTCTTCTCGAGGAGTATCTTTGTGGCATTCTCTGTATTTCCTGAATTTGAATGTTGGCCTGCCTTTCTAGATTGGGGAAGTTCTCCTGGATAATATCCTGAAGAATGTTTTCCAACTTGGTTCCATTCTCCCCATCACTTTCAGGTACACCAATCAAATGTAGATTTCGTCTTTTCACATAGTCCCATATTTGTTGGAGCTTTGTTCATTTCTTTTTACTCTTTTTTCTCTAAACTTCTCTTCTCACTTCATTTAATTTGATCTTCAATCACTGATACCCTTTCCTCCACTTGATCGAATTGGCTACTGAAGCTTGTGCATGCGTCACATAGTTCTCATGCCATGGTTTTCAGCTCCATCAGGTCATTTAAGGTCTTCTCTATGCTGTTTATTCTAGTTAGCCATTCTTCTAATCTTTTTTCAAGGTTTTTAGCTTCCTTGCAATGGGTCCGAACATCCTCCTTTAGTTAGGAGAAGTTTATTATTACTGATCTTCTGAAGCCTACTTCTGTCAACTCATCAAAGTCATTCTCTGTCCTGCTTTGTTCCATTGCTGGTGACATGCTGCGATACTTTGGAGGAGAAGAGGCTCTCTGGTTTTTAGAATTTTCAGCTTTTCTGCTCTGGTTTCTCCCCATCTTTGTGGTTTTATCTACTTTTGGTTTTTGATGATGGTGACCTACAGATGGGGTTTTGGTGTGGATGTCCTTTTTGTTGATGTTGATGCTATTCCTTTCTGTTTGTTAGTTTTCCTTCTAACAGTCAGGACCCTCAGCTGCAGGTCTGTTGGAGTTTTCTGGAGGTCCACTCCAGACCGTTTGCCTGGATATCACCAGCAGAGGCTGCAGAACAGCAAATATTGCAGAACAGCAAATGTTGCTGCCTGATCCTTCCTCTGGAAGCTTCGTCTCAGAGGGGCATCCGGCTATATGAGGTGTCAGTCGGCCCCTACTGGGAGGTGTCTCCCATTTAGGCTACTCAGAGGTCAGGGACCCACTTGAGGAGGCAGTCTGTCTATTCTCAGATCTCAAACTCCATGCTGGGAGAACCACTGCTCTCTTCAAATCTCAGTTGGAAATGCAGAAATCAACCATGTTCTGCGTCACTCATGCAGGGAGCTGTAGACTGGAGCTGTTCCTATTTGGCCATCTTGTAGCTCAGCCGTGGCCCTCTTTTAAAATGATCTTCTGGTGAATTTTTGTCTCTTGTGATTCATGTTATGCAAAAATACACATGAATACTAATTTATATACTATGTAATTAACTATAACTCCAACCCAATTTTTCTTACATCTTTCTTCCAGGGACAGGAAGCTAGCAAATCCTACCTCATTTGTTTGGCCACACTGTTGGTTTTATAAGGATGATCAGATGACTGATGATGAGAGAGTTTCTTCCACTCTATTGCTTTAGCTACTGTGGTCACCTTCCTGGTGCCTGTGATGCCAAGCTCTCTATCTCCTATCCCAGAAAGCCTTACATCACTTATCTGAGAGTAGCCACTCTCAAAAACTGGTACAACTACCCATAGAATCTTCTCTAATTTTTCGGGAGGGCTGGATCCTTGGTCTTTTTTACTGTTATTTCCATTTCTTCCCCTTCTTTCCTATCACCCGTTTCAGTTACCATTGCTGCTGCATAAAAAATTTTTTAATTTAAAAAACTGGTGAAAATGATAACCATTTTATTATACTCATACATTCTGTGGGTCAGGAATTCAGAAAGGGTGCATCTGACACTTTGTGACACTCTGTCTCTGCTCCACAGTGTCTGGGGTCTCAGCCGGGAAGGGTCAAAGGCTGAGAGTGATTCATGGGATAGGACTTGACACATCCATTGGTTTGTTCACCCATGTCTTGGTGGTTGACACTGATTATCAACAAGGATATCTAATGGAGCAACTGTCAGCCAAACCTTGGTATGTAGCTGCTTGGGCATCCTCCCAGCATGGAGGCTGAGTTACAAGAGTATAAACATCACAAGAAAACCAAGCAGAAGCTAAATCACCTTTAATGACTTAAGAAGTCATGTAGCATTACCTCTATGGCAGTCACAAGCTTCCCCAGGTTGAAGAAGAGGGAATGTGGGCTCCACCTCTCAGTGAGAAGAGTGTCAGAGCTAGATCTATATTATAAGAAATAACGTTGCCCATTGTTGGAAAATACAATCTGCCATATTGTCTTTTCCTTTTTTAATACCCTGCCTCTTTTTCTGACTCCAGGAAATCACTTTTGGTTCCATTCATCATTTCCTTTCTTCCACTCCATTTCTTCGTTGTAGAATATATTCTTATTTCCATAGATATATTATTATTCTTTGAAATTCAGCACTCTCCCTACCACAAAGTACTTTCAGAAGTAAATGAATATTTCATGAAAACACCTAGCAAAATATCTGATGTATAAGAAGGATTCAATATATATATTTTATTGAGGTATAATTGACCTCAATAAAAGGTCAATTGTATTGAATTTTTACTGAGGTATAATAAACTGCACATATCTAAAGCATAGAATTTGTTAAGTTTTGACATATGTGTACACCCATGAAACCACCGCCACAGTCACAATGGTGAGTATACCTGTCACCCCCAAAAGTTCTCTCCTGCTCCTCTGTAACACCTCCCTCCCATCCTGACCTACTCCTCTCCAACCCCAAGCAACTGCTGCTATGCTTTCTACCACTATTGATTGGTTTGCATTTTCTAGACTTTTATATAAATGGAATCATGCAATAGATACTTTTTTCTTTGATCTCGACTCTTTCACTCATCATAATTATTTTGGTATTCATCAGTGTCATTGTGTGTATCAATAGTTTATTGGGTTTTGTTGCTGAGTAACATTTCATTGTATAGCTATAGGACAATTTGTTTATTGATTTGCATATGGATGGATAATTGGGTTGTTTGCAGTTTTTGGCTATTGTAAGCAAAACTGCTATGAACATTTATGTATGAGTCTTCAAATGGACATATATTTCCTCTTCTTGGTAAATGCCTAGGTGTGGAATGGATGGAATATACAGTAGGTATATGCTTTAAGAAAAAAAAAAACCCTGCAAAACTGCTTTCCAAAGTGTTTTTACCATTTTCTATTCCCACTAGCAATAAATGAAAGTTTCATTTTTTTCACATCCACACCAACACTTGGTGTGGCTGGACTTTTTATAATAGGAGAGTTGCGGCATCTCACTGTGGCTTTAGCTTACAATATCCTAATGACTAATAATGTCGAGCATCTTCTCGTGCTTTTTTGCCATCCATATATCTGCTTTGATGCTGTTTCCAGATGTTTTGTCCATTTTTAATTGGGTTGTTTCTTATTATTGAGTTCTGAGATTTATTTATATTTTCTGCATACACATTCCTTAAAAACTTTATATGCTTTTTTATGTTTTAGATGCTTTTTAAAAATTACTTATGTGCTTTGCAAAGATATAGTCCCAGTCTGTAGTTTGCATTTTTATTCTCTTAACAATATCTTTGAAAAGTCAGAAGTTTTTGAGTTTGATAACATCCATTTTATCATTTTTTTTTTCATTTATGGATTGTACCCTTGGCGTCATTTCTAACAAACCTTTATCAAACTCAAGGTCACAAAGTTGTTTTTCTATGTTCTCTCCTGAAAGTTTTGTGTTTTTAGGCTTTACATTTAGGTCTATATTCATTTCTGAGTTTATTTTTGTAGATTGTTAGATATGATCAATGTCCTTTTGTTTTTTATTTTTTATTTTGTTTTGTTTTGCATATGGGTATCCAACTGCTCTGGCACCATTTATTGAAAAGGGCTATCTTTTCTTCACTGCATTGTCTTTGAGCCTTGTTGTGGGTTGAACTGTGTCCTCTAAAAAGATACGTTTAAGTCCTAACACCCAGTATCTGGGAATGTGACCCTATTTGGAAATTGGGTCTTTGTTTATTGACATAAAATAAGATGAGTTCAGGCTGGATTACAGTGGGTCCTAATCCAATGACCAGTATCCTTATAAAAAGAGGGAGATTTGTACACTGAGACAGAGACACAGAGAAGATACCATGTTGACGATGGAGACAGAAATTGGAGTGATGCTGCTACACACCAAGGAAGGCCAAGGACTGTTGGTAATACCAAAAGCTGGGAGGGAGGCCTGGTACAGATTCTCCCCCAACACCTCCAAGAGGAACCATGCCTGTCAACACCTTGACTTCCTACTTCTGGCCTCCAGAACCATGAGATTTTTTAGTCTTCAACTCCTAAGTTCACGGGTACATGTGCGGGATGTACAGTTTTGTTACATAGGTAAATGTGTACCATGCTAGTTTGCTGCACAAATCAACCCATCACCTATGTATTAAGCCCAGCATTCATTTGCTATTCTTCCTAATGTGCTCCCTCCTCCCACCCTCCCCAACAGGCCCTAGTGTGTGTTGTTCTTCACCATGTGTCCATATGTTCTCATCATTCCGCTCCCACTTATAAGTGAGAACATGCAGTGTTTGGTTATCTGTTCCTGCATTAGTTTGCTGAGGATAATGGCTTCCAGCTCCATCTATGTCCCTGCAAATGACATGATCTAATTCCTTTTTATGACTGCATAGTATTCCATAGAATATATGTACCACATTTTCTTTATCTAGTCTATCATTGATGAGCAGTTGGGTCGATTCCATGTCTTTGCTATTGTGAATAGTGCTGCAATGAACATACATGTGCATGTATCTTTATAAAAGAATGATTTATATTCCTCTGGGTATATACTCAGTAATAGGATTGCTGGGTCAAGTGGTATTTCTACCTTTAGGTCTTTAAGAAATTGCCACACTGCTTGCCACAATGGTTGAACTAATTTATACTCCCACCAACAGTGTAAATGCATTCCTTTCTCTGCAAATTCAGCAGCATCTGTTGTTTTTTGACTTTTTAATTATCACCATTCTGACTGGTGTGAGATGGTATCTCATTGTGGTTTTCATTTGCATTTCTCTAATGATCAGTGATTTTTTTTTCATATGTTTATTGGCCATATGCATGTCTTCTTTTGAGAAGTGCCTGTTCATGTCCTTTGTCCACTTTTTAATGGGGTCTTTTTTTTCTTGTAAATTGGTTTATTAGACCTTCGTTAGATGGATAGATTGCAAAAATGTTCTCCCATTTTGTAGGTTGTCTGTTCACCCTGATGATAGTTTATTTTGTTGTGCAAAAGCTCTTTAGTTTAATTAGATCACATTTGTCAATTTTTGCTTTTGTTGCAATTGCTTTTTGTCACGAAATCTTTTCCCATGTCTATGTCCTGATTCATATTGCCTAGATTTTCTTCTGCAAAAATGTTCTCCCATTCTGTAGGTTGTCTGTTCACCCTGATGATAGTTTATTTTGTTGCAAAAAAGCTCTTTAATTAGACTGCATTTGTCAATTTTTGCTTTTGTTGCAATTGCTTTTGGCATTTTCGTCATGAAATCTTTGCCCATGCCTATGTCCTGATTGATATTGCCTAGATTTTCTTCTAGGATTTTTATAGTTTTGGGTTTTAAGTCTTTAATCCATCTCAAGTTAATTTTTGCATAAGGTGTAAGTAAGGGGTCCAGTTTCAATTTTCTACATATGTCTAGCCAGTTCTCCCAGAACAATTTATGAAATAGGGAATCTTTTCCCCATTGCTTGTTTTTGTCAGGTTTGTTGAAGATCAGATGGTTGTAGGTGTGTGGCTTTATTTCTGAGTTCTCTATTCTGTTCCATTGGTCTACGTGTCTGTTTTTTGTACCAGTACCATGCTGTTTTGGTTACTGCAGCCTTGTAGTATAGTTTGAAGTCAGGTAGTGTGATGCTTCCAGCTTTGTTCTTTTTGCTTAGGACTGTCTTGGCTATTTGGGCTCTTTTCTGGAAGAACCATGAGATTTTTAAGCCACCCAGTTTATGGCGGTTTGTTACAGCCACCCTAAGATATATACATACATAATGTACACATAAATGTATGTAACATATTTTAATCTATTTAAACATTAAAAATACTGAATCACAAGGCTTTTATGTGCCCTTGCCACTTTGACTGTACCTACAACACATGCATCACACACACACACACACACACACGCACCAGTTTACCTATTAACTAGTGCATTCATTTTGTGAGATTTTCTTTTTAACTTTAACTTTGCCATCACACACAGTTTGAGTGCATAGAGAGGACCTCTGAATGTGCCACTGAAGTCTGGCAGGCCACAGTGGCAGCATTCCTCTCTAGCTGACTTGGCAATGTGTGAGCAGCTCTCTCACGATGCCAGACAGGGGGTAGGGAAGAATGAATCACCAGATGGCTGAAAAGAGACACTTCCATTCGTGTGACCCCGCTGATATGGGCCATGCAGAGAGATTGCTGAGAATGGAGACAGGCCCACGCTTGCTGGAAACAGTATTCAGTGCCCCTGGGTCCTCAGGTACAACAGCAAAGAAACGGTGTTCAGAAAGGTGCCCCACACCCTGCTTGACTGCAGAGCATATGGACCAGGCTGGTGAATTCCCCCTTGCCATGACTCTGTAAGTGAAGAGCTGCCCTACAAAGTGAAAGAATTAACCTTCAAAGAGCAGGCTGTGTGGTTTCCTTCTGTTTCTCATGCTTGACATTCTCTGGCTGCCCCAGGAACCTGATGCAATCCCTTGCATTTCCCTGCCAGGCCCATATGCAATGATGTTCACTCATCCTGATTTCTTTTCTTCGCTAGCCTACCGAGGGGCACTCGCAGTCTGGCCTGGTGTCTACCCCCAGGATTAGCTTCATCAACCTCAAATTTTTACATCTGCCAGTGACTTTTTGGGACTTTGGCTAATGGACTGTATGACGGTCAGTACAAGACAAGATTCTCAAATGAGAGTCATTACCTGAGGATATATATTAACTACACCCAAGAGGCACACCGGGCCTCATCAGCATTCTCCAGGCTGACATCCTCACTGCTGAGATGCAAGGTTTAGAAAAAGGAGTGGAGAAGGAAGATGTCAACTATTGAGCACCTACTGTATGGAAGCACCGTGCTAGGTATTTGCACATACATTGCCATATTAAAAAATAAACTTAGCAAAAACCTGAAACCAGAAAAGGAAACAGAGGCTGTGTGTGAAACACTCGCCTTGGATATGGATATCATTGACTCCTCCAAGAATAGTAACGCATAGAATGTTCTCTGAAAACATTACTGACCTTTGATTGTTGATACTCCCTCTAAACCTTAAGCTCTGGAGAACTGAAGATTGGCCCTAACAGTGAGCAGTAAAACCAGGGAAGGACACTGGTATGAATCCTCTGAGAATCAGTGAGTGATCATTATTTCAAAATTCCACTCTTCAGTTCTTTCCTGAAAGCATGATTTCACTATAATATGTAAAGATTTTAAAAAAAATAGATGTCAGCCAGCCACAGTGGCTCATGCCTGTAATCCCAGCACTTTGGGAGCCAAGGTGGGTGGATCACTTGAAGTCAGGAGTTCGAGAATAGCCTGGCTAACATGGCAAAACCCTGTCTCTACTAAAAATACAAAAATTAGCTGGGCATGTTGACAGGCGCCTGTAATACCAGCTACTCGGGAGGCTGCGATAGGAGAATCGCTTGAACCCAGGAGGCGGAGGTTGCAGTGAGCCGAGATCGTGCAACTGCACTCCAGCCTGGGAGACAGAGCGAGACTTTATCTCTTTAAAAAAAATAATAATAATAGATGTCATCATGTAGGATTTTGTTATCAGGGACCTTGTATACCCAGGTTAATTGTCTCTCAAAAGAGCAGGGGTCTCTTTCTGGAGGGCATGGGCACACGGCCATATTTGCAGTATGTCCCTTCCCTACAAACAGGTACAAATACTCTGTAAACTCAAGGCCACGAGCCACATCCAGACTCCGACATGGATCTAAGCATATGCCATGTACATCTCAGGCACATTTGGCAAACAGATTATTTATGGGACTTGGCAGAAAAGTCTTTAGGGTTTTCAGTCACAGTCTTCCTGACGGCACCCACTGTGACATTGAGCAGGTAAAGCGAATAATATATGCAACTTGGAAGGTCAATTCTTGCTCATATTTCTAATTATTAAATACACCATAATTGAGGGCCTCCCTGTAGAACAGTGTCCTGCTGTGAAGCTAGACTGTTCATTATTCAAAGTTGTTCTTTTGTTGCAGGCAACAATAACAGCACAGCACATGTGGAAACCCTATTGCTATTATTAGCTAGAGCATCCTTTTTTCAAAGAAAATAAGACAAGGTTTTTTGGCTTCTAGTACATGTTTCTTCTCTTTTTATTCCAGTGCCATCCTCACTGTTAGAGTTCACTGGCGAATCTCAACGCTCCACCAAAATACAACTGTATCAAGGATCATCCTTTGGTATCACCTTAATTGGTTTGTTTCCCTTCTGACCAAACATGTTTCCATGAGGAAAAAGAAAATCATGGGAACCTCCATTTGATCTAAAAGAGAAGAAACAAAATTTGAGGTTGCACAAATAGAAACTCACAGCATAGAAGTTTCTATAGGCTCTCCCTAGCCAAAGTTAGACTGTTGACGGCTGCTGTGAGACCTCAGTTCTTGTCTTCTTAGCTTAAAATAATTTAAACAAGAGACACACAGCAAAGGAGATAGAGTGTGGAACAATTTGCTGCAAAGGAAAAAAAATATTTTGAAATTTAGGCGCAGGGCTGGGAGCAGTGGCTCACGCCTGTAATCCCAGCACTTTGGGAGGCCAAGGCGGGCAGATCACCCGAGGTCAGGAGTTTGAGACCAGCCTGGCCAACATGGTGAAACCCCTTCTCTACTGAAAATACAAAAAATTAGCCAGGTGTGGTGGTGCACGTCTGTAGTCCCAGCTACTTGGGAGGCTGAGGCAGGAGAATCACTTGAACCTGGGAGGCAGAGGTTGCAGTGAGCCGAGATCATGCCACTGCACTTTAGCCTGGGCAACAGAGCCTGACTCCATCTCAAAATAAATAAATAATTAAAAAATTAGAGTTAGGTGCAGAATGGACAGTACACCCTGAGAGAGAGAGAACAGAGGGCGGGCTGCTCATAAGGATGAGTTTCTCCAGCATTGATTCTTGCTGGAGAAACTCCCTTTATGGGAATTGACATGATTATTCATAAGGAAGTAGGAAGAGGTGTTACTAGTAAGCATGTTCTGGGTGGTCCTCTGGGTACACATGCACAGTAGCTGTCCGTGTCTGTTCATACATTACGTGTCTCATTAGCATCTTAAATCTCCCCCAAGGGCTGTGTTTTTTACTATCATAATGAGCAAAGGGTCACTGTGAGGACAGGTAAAATCAAAATGCACATGCTCTCTATGGGGAAAATTCCCTATTGAAAATAGCTTTGCTTGAATGAGCTCAGTTACGATGTAAATGCTGAGATTTGTGTTGTTGATTGTATGATCACCAAGGTTGCTGCATCCCAAGAACATGGTTACTTCCTTGGATACCTCTCCTGCCTCAAAAGCAGATGTAAAAATGTCAATACAGGAGAAATGTGGCCATCTAACTGAGGGGCACATTAATTGTATTACACAACTGTCCTTGGCCAAGTTTTCTAATAAGGTATAAATGGATAAACTACATGAATAGCAAACTAAAGTAGATATATTATTTTTATAGCCTGTATGGTAACTAGCACACTTGAGAGCCTAAATTATTGAATACTAATCCTAAAACTCTTCAAGGGATGGCCATAGATCCTTTGTCCTTCTATTTTAAGTCTTTGATTACAAATAGCACTATTACCCATGGCCATGTTCTAAGAGGTTTCTCAGCATTGTATTCAGTTGTTTGGTCAAAGTTCCACACTGCAGGAGAGAGTTCTCGCTCTCCTGAACTGAAAAGAATGATGGTGCCAATGTGTAGGAACTCTAAAGCACAAGAAATCTACATCTTGATGTGGTAGTCATTAGGGCTGTTCCCAGACATTCCAGTAACTCCTCTGTTATAAACTGCATTCTTGTGTTTATAAATTCATATGTTGAAATCCTAACTTCCAATGCAATAGTATTAGGAGGTGGGGCCATCTGGAAGGTAATTAGGTTTAAATGAGTTCATGAGGGTGGAACCCCCATCATGGGATTATTGACCTTATAAAAAGAAAAAGAGACTAGAGCTTACTCTCTTGGCCACATGAGGACACAGCAAGGCAGCAGCTAAGTACAAGCCAGGAAGAGAGACCACATCAAAAACCAAATCTGCTGGTGCCTTGATCTTAGACTTCCCTGCCTCCAGGACTGTAAGAAATAAACATTGTTTAAGCCAGCCAGTCTATGATGTCCTGTTATAACCGCCCAAACTGACTAAGACATCCTCCTTCCAGGTACACAGTGGGACTGCATTTTGTCACTTCTTTATAGTTAAATATGGCTGCGTGACTCCATTTAGCTAATGAAATATGAACATGATCCCTAAGAGCTAGTACATGATTTGCTATGTGCTCTTCTCCCTGCTATGGTGAGCTTTATAGCCTATGCCGGGATGGCGCCTCTGCTGCTTGGGGTCTCTGAGCGACTGTATTGAGTAGACATAACAGCTGTCACATGACAGAGACACCAACTTTTATAGTGTTAAGCTACTAAGATTTTGGAGTTATTTGTTACTTCAGCATAACTTAGCCTATCCTGACTGATACAACAACAATTGTTAACTTCTCTTAAGAAGAGAAACTAACCGTATTAATCTATTCTCACACTGCTAATAAAGACATACCTGAAACTGAGTAATTTATAAAGGAAAGAGGTTTAATTGACTTGCAGTTCTGCAGGACTGAGGAGGCCTCAGGAAACTTACAATCATGAAGGAAGGGAAACAAACACATCCTTCTTCACATGGTGGCAGTGAGGAAAACTGCAGAGTGAAGGCAGAGGGAAAGCACCTTATAAAACCATCAGATCTTGTGAGAACTCACTCACTATCATAAGAACAGCATGGAGGTAACTGCCCCCATGATAGAGTTACCTCCCACCAGGTCCCTCCCACAATGTGTGGGAATTATGGGAACTACAATTCAAGATGAGATTTGGGTGGGGACACAGCCAAATCATATCAATAATCAATGGTATGACTATGACCAATATGAATAGGATAATGACTACTGATGCCTCATCAAAAAACATGTACCCCAGTTTTGGGTTTTTTTTTCCATGAATAAGAATGGATTTCCTTGACCAATTAACTTTCTTCTGTTTCTTTTCAAAATTAGCAGCACACATTTTTGAGATTGGAGATATCAAATAGCACTGTAGTCTGTGGCTCTTCCCCATCTCCAACTATCAAAAACATACTTCAGCCTTCCAGCTCCATCTCGTGAAGCCTTCTGATCCAGAGACAGTTACCACTTCAGAGTTCTTATGTACAGAGTTAATACCTCTCCCGGAATTCAGCACATTCACTGGTATTGTAACTATTTTGTGCCTGGCTATTTAGCATTCTTCACCCTCTGGACACAACATTTTCAGGAGTCGTAGAGATTGAGGGGAAACACAATTAAATGCACACTATTATTCCAGGAGAAAAGTCTGTCTTAAATTTCTGACTTCCCTTGTCTCCAAGTGAGCTATTCTGGAGATGTTAGAATGAACCCCAAAAGGTCCTATTTCTGTGTATTCCCAAGCCTAGAGCAAACCTAAATCACCTATTCCAGGCTTGCTTTCTCATCCTGTTCCACAATTTCTCCAGAGTTAAAGTAAAGCCAAAGCCAGTTTATCTTCCAACACCACAAAAAGTCAGGAAAGAGTAAACTGCATCTACTTCATAATATAAAATATCCCAGGGCTGAGGGCAGTGACTCATTCCTGCAATCCTAGCACTTTGTGAGGCTGAGGCAGGAGGATTTCTTGAGCCCAGGAGTTGGAGACCAGCCTAGTCAATATAGTGAGACCTCATATCTGTAAAAAATTTTCAAATATTAGCCAGGCATGGTGGCACATGCCTGTTATTCCAGCTACTCAGGAAGCTGAGGTGGGAGGATCACTTGAGCCCTGGAGGTCAAGGCTGCAGTGAGCCAAGATTGTACCACTGCACTCCTGGGCAACAGGGCAAGACCCTGTCAAAAAAAAAAAAAAAAAAAAAAGCCCCTACATTTTCCTCTGAAAGTAATTATCATATTAGTTCTGCTACAGTCCTACTTCAAGTTTCGGTGCCTGTATTAAACTAAGGGGAGAGGAATAGAAGAACAATACCTTTCTTCTCTTTGCTTCTTTCTTGGAAGTATATTGTTTCACTTCTTTACTCTCCTGCCCTGCTGATTTTGTCAACATTTGTAGGTATGTCAGTTGGTGAAAAGTTTGGTTGAATAGTGTCCCCACACATACCCCCAAATTCCCAGAACTTCAGAATGTGACCTTATTTGGAAATAGGGTCATTACAGATGTCATTTGTTAAACTGAGGTCATACTCGAGTAGTTTTAATCCAGTATTTCTTGGTGTCCTTATAAGAAGTGAAGAAAGCCAGAGATGGAAAGGCATAGAGGGATGATGGCCATGTGACAACCGATGTAAAGGTTGAAGCTATGCAGTTGCAAGCCAAGGAATGCCAAGAATTTCCAGCAACCACCAGAAGCCAAAAGAGAGGCATCTTCAGACTCTTTCTCTAAACCTCCAGGAAGGAATCAACTCTACCGACACCTTGATTTTGGATTCTGGCATCTAGAACTGTGATAAAGTAAATTCTTGATATTTTAAGCCACCAATTTGTGTTCCCTTGTTACAGCAGCCCTAGAAAACTAAAACAGTGTCTTTTAATTATGTTCTCTCTACTGCTTCTCAGACTGCTTGGCATTTTTATAATGAGTCTTTATGCAATGATCTCACACGTTCCTGCATTTTAAATCTTAATGCTTCTCGGGTCTCTGCCCTGAGTTGAGCAAAATAGGATATGAGGCCCGAAGTCTTCTTTCTCCAGATAAAAACACATCAAGATCAGAAGCAATATCTTGTTCACCTTTTAATCTCTCCTCCAACACCCTGTCAGAACCTAGAACAGCACTCAGCCCACAGCAGGGCCTCAAAAATACTTAACAAAATTACAGAACTAACACTAGATATTATTCCCATTCTTCTCTCATCTCATACCAAACAGTGATTTAGAATAACTGAATCACCAAATACGTTAGTGTTGGTTCACTTCATGGCCAATTATCAAACAATAAACTGGGTCACTTTAACATTCAGTCTAAGTCAGTCCATCCACATAAGTCAGTCCATCCACATATGGAGGCCAACTATTCCACGGTCCATTAACGCCATTCCCTTCAATGATTACATCAGGGCAACCAAATGAACATCCAATTGCCAGAGCCAGGTTTTGGGCATCTGAAGTAACAGAACATCATTAATCACTGAGGACAGAATGAGAAACCTCAGATCTAAGGGGCAAAAGTAAAAGCTAAAATTATCCTACTGATCTGACAGAGCAAGTCTCCGTGTGCACATAGCCATGTCACCAATGACTGGGTACACATGCCACATCCCTCAACAGAATTTCTGTTTATTCATTTGCTATTAACCTTAATGAGTTGAGTGGCAGGTGAAATATCTACTGGCTTCCATTTACGTTCCACTTTCTTTCCAAGCATAAGGCAAAGCCAATTTTCTCGATTGGGCTGGGAAGGAGTCCTAATTACCTAAGAACCAGCACATTTCAATCTTATAGGGACTAAGTCTCTCTGTATTGGAATGCAACCCAAACACAGTTTTCTGTTTCATGAACAAAGAGAAAGCCAAAGAAAGTCTTCTTGAAAACCACTTAATGCCTAGGAGGTTCTCCAGTCAACTTTGCCATTTGAAATCATACTCCTTACAGGCAACCAATGGTGCTCAAAGCATCTCTTTCAGCATCAATCTTCCTACTTTGTGATATTTGGGGGATGTCTTAATTAGATCAGTTACTTTGCCATTCCTTTAAGTATTATATCTCAAGTTACCTGTTGGCTTCTTACAGGTCTCATGAAGACAGCTCCATTTTTTAGAGGTAGCTAGGAAATATATAGCTGCTTTCAAAGTTCTATCGCTTTCTGGGACAAGCAGTTCATCTTATTTCTTCTCCATGGCTAGTCATTAAATGTTGAAGGTCTTGGCTAATTCTGGGTACTCTAATCTGCAGTGAATCTGAAAGAAGAGAAAATCAACTAAAAGCCAGACTGTGGATGTTCATGTACTCATTTTAGGAATGGGCTGGTCACAAGGGTAGAATAACTGACTGCATTGGGCTTCAGAAAAGGTCTTGAACTTTTCAACATTTTCCCCCACATGTTATCTCTGAAAATGCAAACACCCTGGGGGAGATAAACCTCTTTTATCAAGACTTTTTAAAAAATCCATCACAGCATTGATCAGGGTACTGAAGTGGTAATAATTTTCATAGAGCCAAGACAAACAGGGCCCTAACAGTGCCCTGTTAGGTACGCACTGTGGAGTCAGAAAGAATCCAAAGAGCTTAGAGGACGGGATCCTCAGTCTCTGAGCAGACAAAATACTGTTATCTCCATTTCAGAGATAAGACAACTGAGTCCCCTGGGATTAAAAATGGTACCCTATTGAACACCAAGAAGGCACTAGATGCTTGAAAACTTTTTTATGAGCAGAGGATAGACTAGATAGAACAGAAAAGGGCGAGAGAAGGGTGCCTAGCTTCATGATTGGCCAAGTCATCTCCACTATGTGAAAATGCCATACTACCTGGGAAGGTGACCCCTTAGGCCAGCAACAGTTGGGGCTGTGAAGACCAAAGAGGTCAGAGAGAGAGGTTTGGATGGAGATGAGAAACAAGGTACAGAGTCAGGGACATTGAGGGCTCTGAATATCTGGATGCGAATGCTGAGAAATGATACAAGTCAGAAACAGAGAATCAAATACCTCAGGTTCTCACTTATAAGTGGGAGCTAAATAATGTGTATGCATAGACAAAGAGTGTGGGCTGATGGAGAGTGGACACTCAGAAGGGTGGAGGGACAAGAGAGGGGAGAGTGATGAGAAATTACTTAATGGGTACTATGTACATTATTGGGGTGATGGCTACACTGAAAAACAAGATTTTGCCACTACATGTTGTACACATGTAACAAAATTGCTTCTGTACACCCTAAATTTATATAAATTCTAAAAAGAAATGGGAAAGAGAAAAGTCAAAGCTTACCTCCCTATTACTTGGAAACTGGCTCTAGTATTGATTTTATTCCTGCACTCAGGATAGATCATTTGATGAGTAGCTAGGTGAAAGAGTAGCCCAAAGGAAAACAAAGCAGGGTAGAAAATGAGCAAAGCCAAAGATTTTCTGTGTAAAATTCAGCGTTCCAAAACCTCTACAGTAACACTCCAGGTCAGATAATCTGCAACGCCCCCTGGACCTGAGCAACCACACCATGATTGACACAGCCATCAGTTCAGCTACTGGTATCTGTCTATAAGGAACAGAAGCAGCATGCGGATGATGGTTTAAGCAAAGATTTGTTTTTGTCACAAATAAGAAATGCCATGCTGTTTAAGGGACTCAATGGCGTTGGGCCAATGTTGCTGAATTCTCTTGGCTTCCCCATTGGTTTGTAAGATGGCATCAGCAGCTTCAAGGTTCAGATCTCAAACTGTGTTCAAGGGCAGGAAGCTGAGCATAGGGCTAGAAGATTTTCTGTGACTTCCTCTTATTAGGGAGGAAAAATTTTTCCTAGAAGGTCCAAGCAGACTTCTTATATTCTCCCTAATCTATGTCACATTCCCATCCTTAGACCAGGGACTATATCTACATTCCCTAAGAATAACTGAACCCCATCTGATGCCTGTCCAAAGTGGGTTACCCTTGCTCCATCCAAAAGGCATGGAAGATCAGGGGCTGGCACTTTTGGGGACTGTACCTTCTACTGTTAATGGGATCCAGGTAGACTGAGTGCCACTGGATCAGAGCAGAACCATCAAGGCCAGCATAAGCAGGAGGCTGCTGGGGCTGCCAGTTGAGAGAAAACAATCTGTCCCAGGCAGGCATCCTCTCCAAATTTAGAAGCAAGAGCTAGCCTTTCCAGAGGGCTCTTTGAAAATGTTAGAAAATTATAATTAGACTTTGTGCTTCTACCAAGCCTTTTGTCCCAGAAGCTCAGGGCACTTCTCTGCATCATCTCATTAATCTTCACCACGCCATTCGAGGCAGCCTGCAACTATTGTCATCTTTATTTTCAGGATGAAAGATCTGAGATGTGGAAACAGGTCAATGGCTTGCCTAGTGTCATATACTCAGTGAGGCACCAGCAGCTGAGGACAGGACCAAAACTTATCACTGAAGACCCGGGACAAGTACATGGATGGCATTTACTTACCCAGAAAGCATGAGACTTGCAAGGTGACTTGACAGAAGAATGTCAAAGCTCTGTGCAAAGAGGTGAGAGGAACAGAACACAAGCTGTGATTTACTATCCAAGGAACCTTGGGCAAGTCACTTACACTTTCTGAACAGTTCCTCATCTAAAAAATGAAAGTAACATCTACCACATCGAACTTCACTTGGCTGTTTCAAAGACAAAAGAAGTGTTTTAAACAAAACCATGTGACCTAGGACATTTTATAAAATCTAAGTCAACATAAGGCATTGTTATTTGAGAGGATTTGTAGAATCAACATTTAAAATGAGCCTGCAGCTGTTGGCACACAATGATAATCCTGAATTGCAACCAGACAATTATAGAAAATGCTTCCTAAGAGATGACTAAGAAGTTCCTTTTTGCCATTCAATGTGCTATGATCATTTTCACCACTTACTCTATGGAAAGTGCTACAAAGCATGCAAGGACAACTGGACTGTGACCCACATCCTCTAGGAAATACGGTCTGGTAGAGGAGACAGATAAACCACTCATTTCACTGTGAGGAAAAATGAAAGAAAACATGTAATAGCCAAGGAGACCAAATGTGGGGGGTCCAGAGGAGGCTTGGGTCGGTTCCCATTCAGCAGCTCAGAGGAAGCTTTTGGGAAGTTGCAGGGTGATAGGAAAAGAGACCCCAGATGGCAGGAATATTGCAGTGGGGAGAAATGGAAGCCAAGAACATACAATATTATATGACTAAAGAAAAAGGTACATGGAAGATTGTAGACATTCCAATAAAAAGTTTGTGCAACATGGTATTTAGTGGGATGTTTTTTCCTGTTGTCTTGGAAACGTGGTAGCTCCTCAGTGAAGCTGAAACTGAACACAGCTCCTAAACAACCACAAACACCAGCTATGACAGCAACACCACTACAGTGGAGCCCATCACCGCAGAAGGACCAGAAGTGGCCAGGGTAAGGCTGGGGCAGACATACTTCACTAATCTGCAGCAGAGGGTCCCTCAAGATTCCTCTTTCTGCTCCCTTCTCCTTTCCCCTTCCCCTGCACCCCACCTTCCTTTGCTCAAACAAGAAGCCACATCTACAACAGTGACTTTCTTTCTTTTTTTTTCTTTTAAAGACAAGGTCTCGCTCTGTCACCCAGGCTGGAGTGCAATGATACAATCACAGCTCACTGCAGCCTCCATCTCCAGAGCTCAAGAGATCCTCCTGCCTCAGCCTCCTGAGTAGCAGGGACCACAAGTGCATGTCCACCACCCCTGGCTAAAACAATGACTTTCAAACTTCTCTAAGCATGACCCACAGTAAATGTTTTACATTATGACACGATTCACACAATTCCAGGCAGCTGACATCTATTATCACATTTATTTTCACACACACACACACACACATACACACACACCTGAAACAGCTTTTTGAGGAAATCATACTCTATTACTTGGAATGTACTTTGTAATTTGTATTCCATTCTACTCCTTTAAAGAAAAATAAAGATTGTGACTTTCTAAATTGATATTATGAGCCAGCAATGGCTTGTGACTTGCATTTTGGAGAAACCAGCCTAGGACAATATGGGAAGGGCATGGGTCTCACACACACACACACACACACACACACACACACACAGAGCCAGGTCCATGGCTCCAGCCTCACCTGAGGAAAAAAGCTGTGCAAGGAGTTTAAACAAAATTTTAAATAATGGGGCTGGGCGTGGTGACTCACGCCTGTAATCCCAGCACTTTTGGAGGCCGAGGCAGGTGGGTCACCTGAGGTCAGGAGTTCAAGAGTAGCCTGGCCAACATAATGAAATCCCGTTCTCTACTAAAAATACAAAAATTACCCAGGCGTGGTGGTGCACACCTGTAGTCTCAGTTACTTGGGAAGCTGAGGCAGGAGAATTGTTTGAACCCGGGAAGCGGAGGCTGCAGTGAGCAGAGATCCTGCCACTGAACTTCAGCCTGGGCGACAGTGAGTTTCTGCCTCAAAAAAATAAAAGCAAAGAGTGTAATAAATGATATTTAAAAAAAAATTTTCTGAATAATGAACAGGACTGAAATGAAATTGCTCTAATACCCCAAACAAAAGGCTGGCTGTTTTCAAGGGACTTGCTCCCCCACTGGGAAGTCGTCACAGTGGGAGGGGGTGGTAGAGTCCAGTTCGAGCCTGTTCTAAAACACACACACACACAAACACACACACATTTTATGTCCCTACTCCCAATTTTGAGGCCCCGAATTAAAGTTGGATGGGGCAACACCATGAAGGCCACTGCAGGATCATGCAAAAAAAAAAGACACACTGGGGAAAGGAAAGTGCGCCCCTCAAACACTAGGCAAACACTGGAGAAGGAAGGACCTTTGGGTCAGCAATAAGAAAGCCGTCCCCCTCAGTCAGCACAAAAGCTCGCCCCCAGGGAGAAACAGGAAGATCCTTAGCTCTTCTTTTCCTTCCCCAGCGCCCATCATCCTCCCTCCTGAGAAAACGGAAGAAAGGGTAGCACAGCAGCCGAAAGGAGTTTGGGTTTGCTTTGCTTCCATCTGCGGACAAGGCTCTTTGCAGAGAAAACCCAGCCTCCCGGTGCCCGGGCCCCGCAGGCAGTCTCTCTTTCGGCCACCAGAGGGCGCTCTCCTCCTCCCCAGCCTCCAGCCACACCTGGCCGAGGGGCGTCCTTGCCCCACTCCTGCAGCCCAGAAGCGCACTCACTGCACAGCCGCGGAACCTGCAAGACGGGCCACAGGCACGCCCCGCTGCCAGCCGCTTAGCTTTTTAAAACAAGCCAGCATAGATGT
Source organism: Homo sapiens (assembly GCF_000001405.40). Classification (NCBI taxonomy): domain Eukaryota; kingdom Metazoa; phylum Chordata; class Mammalia; order Primates; family Hominidae; genus Homo; species Homo sapiens. The sequence continues at coordinate 61,582,204 of NC_000018.10, forward strand.
TCACAATTATTCTCCCCTCAACGGTGGACACTGTCAGGTCAGCAATCCCTAGGAAGCTCCCGGGAGCGCTGTCGGAAGACTTTGCCAGAGCTCAGACTCATCGGGAGGGGGAAATCGGTTCTCTGGCTGCCCCTGGCAGCGGGGCTCCCCCACCCCAGGCTTAAAATAGGGATGAAACTCTTTGACATCGAAGGACACAGGGTCCCTTCCCACTGACGTCCGTTGTGGCGCTGAGGGACCCAGGAGAGCAACAGGGCTTCCAGATCGGAGACATCACCAAAGAGGGAACGCAGCCACTTTTATTTTTGCCTTGACAATTATTAAAATACGCAGAGGAAGGAAACTATTCAGGCTGGCTCTGTACAAGGCAATCATTCCCAAATTGCACCAAATTGGCTGCTCCCCAAAGTCCGTGTGTTCTCCCCACACCCTCATATAAACACACACACCCACCAACACCCTGTGTTATTTGTCTTCAATGAGTTAGAAAGAAGACTTTAAGATAAGGCAGGGTGAAACTCTGACAGCTAGTACCCAAAACTCCCCCTCAACATTAATGGGAGACTTGCTTGTATGTTTTTGCCCCCTAAGGGTAACTGATTCCCATGACTTTGCTTTAGCCAAGGGAATGAAGTGGCTTTTGGGGTAGAAACAGCCTAACCTTACACAAACTTTGAGATAAACAAGCACTATCACAGCACATAAAAACGAAAACTACCAGCAGGTTAAAATTATCCCTATGAAGAAAAAGGAATTTCACGTTATGAAAGTTTTTTTTTTTTAATAATCTGCTAAGTACACACTAATACCCAAAACAGGCCTTAAACAGTCTGAAGGATGCTTGAGCTAAAATCTTATAAATTGCCCTGGAATATTTGTCAAACCACCTGCCCAGAACATACTGTATGTATTCATAGTGCTGTCAAACAAGTGGACTACCATCATTGGATGAGTGGTTTGTCAGCCAGAGGCTGGCTCAGACAGACCATACGTAAAGGTTTCTAACCCTAATTTTTCCCTTTAGTGATTGAGCCTGGACCCATTGTTTGGGATACTTGTGGGGACATGGACTGCATTCTGTCTTATATTGCAGATGCTAAAGAAAACATCTTTCCAGTCCCCCCTTCCCACAGCAGAACACCATGGATTAAATCTGAAACAGTATAAGTGTTCACATCTGGAAAATTGAGCTGAATCTGTCTGGAGACATCTGTATGGATCCTTTGGACTAGTATGAAAAACGATGATTTCTGTGTTTTCTATAGTGGTTTCCACCCTCATGCTAAGGTTTACATTTCTGAAATCACACCACAGCCACCCATTTTAAGGAAGTAGGAGGTTAGAAACATTAAGGAAATTAAGATTGGAGGACAAAGATTATGTGATAGTTAATCTTATATGTCAACTTGGCTAGGCTATAATGCCTTGTTGTTTGGCCACACACTAGACTAGATGTTGCTGTGAAAGTATTTTGTAGATGTGATTAACATTTACAGTTGATTTTGAGTAAAGGAGATTACCCTCAATCATATGGGTGGGCCTTTTCCAATCAGGTGAAGGCCTTAACAGCGAAGACTGAGGCTTATCAAAGAAGGAGGAATTCTGCCTCAAGACTTGCAACATCAGCTCTTCCCTGAGTTTGAGTGCTGGTCTGCTGTAAGATTTCAGATTTTAGCTTGGCATGGTGGCACACTGCTGTAATCCCAGCTACTCAGGAGGCTGAGGCAGGAGAATCACTTGAACCCAGGAGGCGGAGGTTGCAGTGAGCCGAGATGGCGCCACTGCACTCCAGCCTGGGAGACAGAGCGAGACTTGGTAAGAAGGAAGGAAGAAAGGAAGGAAGGGAGGAAGGGAGGGAGGGAGGGGAGGAAGGGGGGGGAGAGAGAGAGAGAGAGAGAGAGAGAGAGAGAGAGAGAGAGAGAAAGGGAGAGATTTCAGGTTTGCCAGCTCCCACAATGGTGTGAGCCAATTCTTTAAAATAATTCTCTCTCTCTCTCTCTCTCTCTCTCTCTCTCTCTGTGTGTGTGTGTGTGTGTGTGTGTGTGTGTGTGTCCTATTGGTTTGGTTTCTATGGAGAATATTGATTGATACAGATTTCAAGTGGGAATCTATTTTATTTTGTACATGTTATAAGTCAAAATAACGATGTGAGGTTAAGTGCTGCCATTCTACATGATATTCACATATCCCAGATTTCTGATTTTGTTTAGGTGCCTAGACCCTCCTTAATACCCCATGTGACACACTGGAAGCTGGCCTGACCCCCAGCCATAGGTGTGATCCTGATTGGTCTAAGGGTGAGCCATCCCCTTCCCAATGATTGGCTCAGGGGAGGGGTCATGTGATTTAGTAAAGACCAATGACTTTACTAAATGACTTTTAGTAAATGACTAAATGACTTTTAGTAAAGACTAAGGTTTGTAGTCATTCTTCCAAGAGGCTTTACAGAAGCAGCATTCTCTCTCCCCTGTTGGAGGAGAATAAAGAAGCAGTAGCTACTGCCATGATGCCCCCATTGTTACTGACAACCCCTGGCACCTGCCCTTTGGTAGAAAATAACATGAGCTTCTGAAAATGTTGTTGAGCTGATTGAATCTCCCAGCCCCAAAGCCTGCACTGACTCTGGGCTTCCTTTTAGGTGAACCAATCCATTTTCTTATTCTGGAAGCCAGTTTGAGCCTGGCTTTTTGATAGTTGCAGCCAAATGACCAAGTCTCCTTGCCCTTAATTTCTTCTCTACAAACTGGGAGAGTAGAATTAGATAATCTAAGTTTTCCTCAAACTCTCAATGTCTGTGAACTGCATATTCAGGTACTAGCACTAACAACATTAACACTATTTGTCAATTACTAAAGAAGATAAATGTTATTATAGGTATGTTTCTAAATAACTTTCATTTTTAGAAACAGTAAAATGACATGTTAAAGTTCATAAAGTATAATTTAATGCCATTTTTTCCAGTGGTCTTAACCCTAGTGAACCACTGTCAGCAACAATAACTTTCGCTAAATTTTTTAACACAGAAAAAGCTCTAACAAATACAGTAAAAAGAAAAACCTAATAGAAAAATGAGGAAAGGATAAGAACAAACTTCCCAGCAAAGAAAATACAAATGAGTCTTAAAATCCATTTATCTCTAGTTTTCCATTATTGGAACGCTAAGCATGTGGGAGTTATTTATATCCTACTGCTCAAGGTCATTGCTAAGGTCTGATTGCAAAAATTCAAAAAATTGCAACCTCAGGCATAAATGGGTTAAACCAATGAAGAGATGTTCAACCTCACTCATAGGGAAGAGGGAAATTAAAGAGAAATGCTAATTAAAACGATGGCAAGGTTTTTTCAACCTACAAGATTGGCAAGTTACCAAAAAGTTTAATAACATGCTGTTGGTGAAGATCTTTTAAAATCAACTTTTATATCAATAATGAGAATTATCACTGAGGACCAGCAATTGAAGGTTTCTTAGAGCATTTTTTGTTGCTGCAACAGAATACCACAGATTGTGTAATTTATGAAGAAAAGATATTTATTTGGCTCACAGTTCTGGAGGCTGAGAAGTCCAGGACTGAGGGACTACCACTGATTAGGGCCTTCTTGCTGCATCATAACATGACAGAAGGTAACACATGGCAAGGAGGTGTACCCTAGAGACAGAGATACAGACATTTTCAAAAAATTGAGTCTGAAAAATGGAGTAACTAACTCACTCACGCAACAACTAACCCACTCCCATGGTTATGGCGTTAACTCATGAGGGCTTTGCCCTCATAACTTAGTCACATCTTAATACTGCCTCAATGGCAATTAAATGTCAACATAAGTTCTGGAGGGGACATTCAAATCATAACAAGGGGTAAGAGTTAAATAGTGCAACTTTCATGGAAAGCAATTTGACATCATCTGTAAAAATTACAAATTACCCTTTGGCCCAACAGTTCTCCTTCTGGAGGCTGTGAAATCCAAGATTAAGGGACTAGAAGATTTAGTGTCAGGTGAGGGCTCCCTCTCTGGTTCATAGATGGCAGCTTCTTGCTGTGTACTCACGTGGTGGAAGGAAATAGCTGGCTCTTTTATAAGGGCACTAATCCCAGTCATAAGAGTTCTGCCCTCAGTTTACCTCCCAAGGCCCCACACCCTGAACCATCACCTTAGGGGTTAAGATTTCAACATATGAATTTTGAGAGTAAATAAACAATCAGATCATAACAATCTCCACATTCAATGTGAAATAAAAAGAGCAAGTTGGACTGGGCATGGTTGCTCATGCCTGTAATCCAAGCACTTTGGGAGGCCAAGGCAGGAGGATTGCTTGAGTGCAGGAGTTCAAGACTAGCCTAGACAACACAGGGAAACCCAGTCTCTATTAAAAAAAATTAAAAAGAGCAAGATAAAGAACAATGAGTGCATGCTGCCATTTATATTTTCAAAAAAGAACAACTAAATATATACATAGAGATAAACTAGGAAGCTATAGAAGAAACTGGGAATTGTTATTAACCTAGAGATTAATGACAGAAACTAGAAGACAGGAGTGAGACAGTGGCTTAACTTTTCACTAGATATCTTCAAAAACATTTTTTTAACACCTAAGTCTATATCGTTTATTTTTTAAGTTAATAAACGGGGAAAAGTCAAGTTATTATAAATACATTTCCTGATTTGCTGTAATGACAGTAATTCTGAAGCTAAATTACAGAGCTTATATTTTGGATAAATAATTCATGATCAGATATAAACAATGATTTGGCACATTTGTTTAATTCCCCTTTGTGTCTAAGTAAGGGCAACAGAAAAAAGATCTTCAATTAAGGGAACAAAATGAATCTTACAACATTTGAAAAACTACTTTTGGGGGCATTTGGCTTTTCCGTGCATTCTACCCTGATGTGCAGATGTCTTCTAACTCAGTGTCTTATCATTCATTTAAATCCACTTGTTCTACAAATATTCACAAAATGCTTTTCCTGCACCAGGCACTGGAGCCCCACTAGAAAATAAGCTCAGCACAACTGCTATTTTCATGAGTTCAGTTTTTTCACGATTGTCATCCTTCAAGCCATGTGTAACGGATGATGATGTAATCAATAAACTGAGAACTGCAGGTCCTAAAATATGGAGAACCCACAAGCAGAAAAGCTTACCATCTGGGAAAAGAAGACAGCAAGCACTCATGATCCATGGAAAACCATTCTAGAATTAACCTTTTTCAGTCTGGGATTGAAATGCCTTGATAAATATTTATTTTAGGAAGACAAATAAGAAGGGAGGGAGGGAGGGAGGGAAAAACAAAGAAAAGAAAGGGCCCAGCTGCAAAATAGTCCAGAAGAAATAACCTCTGAACTTGAGATGAGTACATTTTAACACATTCATTAATTCATTTGCTTGTTTGACAAACATTTACTGAGAGCATACTATGTGCAAGGCACTCATCTAACAAGCAGAGATGAACCAAAAGCCTCTGCCTTCATGAAGCTAATATGAAAGACAGATAGATAATAAGTAACTTGATGCATAACCTATTGGCAGGCGGTAATAAGTGCTATGAATAACGTAGAGTAGGGTATGAAGGTAGACGAAGGGATGGGGCTACCGTTCTAGGCAGGCACAGCGGAAGTTCTCTCTAAAAGATGCTATTTGAGCAGAGATTCTGAGGAAGTGCAGGAGCCATGTAGCTACCTGGGAGAGCATTTTCTAGGCAGAGGAAAGAACAGAACAGCAGCAAAAACCTTCACATAGATGTGTACTTAGGAGGTTGAAAACTCAAGAGGCAAAGATGAGTGGATGACTTTATGGAGTTTAGCAAAACATAGCTGAGAAACAATGTCAGTGTTTCTTCCAGAAAACACACCCAACTGTTACGTAATTTCACACAATGACCCTGGATCTTTAAAGCAGAAAAGAATCTTCTTATTTACAGACAAGGTAGGAGCCTACCCACGTGGGCCAGTGTCAGTAACACTGACCAATTGCCCTGTGACCAAGAAATATAATATTTCCCCAGCACTCACTGATCTATGGATTTCCTTCTATAAGAACAATGCTTTGAGACCCATATTTTGAAGTGAGCTTCAAAATATAAAATGCCTTAGAAAGATAATGCATAGATTTGAATTCATACCAAGGTAAAAATAACTATTATTTGATACTGCTGTGAGCAGTATAGGTTTTCTGAATTCAGGGGAGGACAGGGCATTGAAAAAATTAAACACATACAATATAAAAGCTAGAAGTCCTCAAACCAAGCCTCAGCTGCTGTGCTATTTTCTCTCAGATAATGGCTGAATAGAAATATTCTTTCTCCCCAGAGAGAAGAAAGGTATTTCTGTGAAGCTACCATGGCTTGTTAGAAGTACCCCTTGGGGACATATGACTCCCTTTGGAGTCTAATTATATATTCACCCAGCGGTATTCTGATCTAAATTTAGTTATCTGAGAAATATCCAGAAAGGGAATACCATTTGCAGACAGCTGCACTAGGTGATTACACATTGTAAATTAATAAATTGACCTTGTTTTATATAACTCCAATGTGATGAATTCTGCAAGTGTAATAGAGCCAAAGACACAAATCTGAAATAACCTAATGAATAGATGGAAGTGTCCCTGGACTTTAAATCTGTGAACTCCTTGGTTAGACCTCACTATTCTAAAACTTTTCCAGATTCAGTATTTAAGGAAAATCATTTCCTGAATGCAGACTGTGGAAGAATTCATTCATTCTACAAAAGATATGGATACCCTGGGCTAGGCATAGGATTTCTAAGGAAAAAAATAGGACCTGCCCTGCCCTCTCCACATGAGGCCACCATGTCTAGCAATTAAGCAGAGGAACCAAGACCCTCAAAGCCAAGTTAATATTCACATTCAAGATCCTTAACTACCATTGTTTTATTGTCTCAAAGAAACTGCAACACAGGAGTTACCAGTAGATCTTAGATTCTTCAGTTTGGAGCAGACCTCTTTGTTCTAAACAAGTCACTGGAGTGACCCTTTGGTGACTTAAACGTAAATCTGGTAACTTCCTCTTCTGTTGGGGCGAGGGTGGAGAGGTTTGCGCAAGAAGCACAGGCCCTCACTGAGAACTCCACCCCTTCTTGTTAAGATCCAAACTGGTGATTTGCACTCCAAGTTTCCTAGCTGATGACAGATACCAGAGGGAAAAGTTGGGGTTCAGGATGGGAAGCTTAGCAAAAGAAGGAAAGGGGAGCTCTAGACCTGTGACCTGGATCCAAACATCCAGGAGCAGACATTCATATCAGAAGGCAGGATCTAAACATGATGTCTAGTTGATGCTGATACCCACGCTGACCCAGCTGATCTAAGAAGATAGTCATTACTTGGTAAACACTGAGTGAGTGCATGTGGGAGAGAGAGAGAGGGATAAATGAAAGAGCTCATCACAGAGAACCTTGGGACCGCAGGTCTGATGAAATGCAACATGAGGATATTCCCATAAAAATGTCTGAAGTTACTATTTTGGTAAAAACGTCTGCAATGTGTAAAATGCAAAAGCCTGAGAATGACAGTTCAGCATCGCAGCATCATTCTGCTCCACTCCCCAGGCAAATGTATGCCATGCCCATACAGGCTTCATTCTCTGATACTCCCTGCACATCGGATAGCTGAAAGCCTCAGAAACTTAAGCAAAAGGAAAGTTGTTGGAAGGCTGCCAAATAGCACACAGAATCCACAGGATGACTAAAGAAGTAAGCTTGGAAAATGGTCAGGAACAAGGCTGGACAGCAGGAAGTATGGTTCCAGGACAGAGCCGCTGGCTCTGCTTCCATTGGACACTCAAGGCCAAGACCGACATGGACTCTGAACACCAGAAGGCATCCTCTCTTAGCTGTTCCTACATCTTTGTATCACTCCCTGGACATGTAAAGTCCAGGCTGGAGGGTCCTGTGCCTCACTCTGGCTGTCAACGGCCAAGGATGGGGAGGCTCTCTCAGTCTCGGGCTCTGTACTGTGAGGACGACCCTGCCTCCCTCCCCTTCTTCATCCCCGCTCTCCCCAACCCTACAAGATTCATACTGTTGGGGGAGGCTCTGAAACTAGAAAGTAGCTGTGGTTTGGGGCAGTCAAAAAATGACATTTGGATGACAGTTGGTGTGGGAAGTTGGAGATGGAGGCGACAAAGATAAAGGAGGAATAAACTCAGCAGACAGCAAATCTAAAACTCCGTGTAATTTAGACAGGACCTGTCTTTAAATGTGTAAAGATGCTGAAATGGAAAGAATGAATCCAACTGTGAGAGTAATCCTGAGAAGAACTCCTTGATTAACTACAAAAGATATCTCTACAAAAAAAAAAAAAAGACAGTCCTACCTTCCTTGAACAGTATTATGAAAGATTTTGAGAAACAGGCTATTGAAAGCTCACCTCAACCACACCTTGGAATTAAAAGTCAAAGAAATTTAATGTTGATCGTATGTTTGTCTACCTGCTAGATATGAATCAAATTTATGATATAGTAAAGTTGTATTTTTAACATGACCCAGGTGTATTTTATAATACATTAGTGCCTATTTTATATTTCAGGTATATTTTAGTCTATAATACATTAGTGCCTATTTTATAATCCATGTACTTAGTACATTTATGCCTATTTTATGACCTCAAACATAATTTTACTACTTGTATGATTATAAAGGTTTATAGATGTTGTGGTTTTACATATATTTTATATTCTCAGTCTGGTTTGTAATTTCTTTCAAACAAGAGTGTAACCTCCAAAGCATTCAAGACTGATCCTGCATTCTATAAGAATCTACATGACGGCATGGTCTCTGGAGACACAGAGCAAAAATTAAGGCCTGGCCACATGCCATAGATACTTTTATATAAAATTTGATTTATTATCATAATAAAATGGTCAGGAATTTTTGGCTGGTTTTTCCTTGAACCTATAATTTTACAAAATTACAAACACCTATGAGGGTTTTCCATAGTTTGTATTTTCCAAAATAACATGTTCTAGTAATGTGCTGGGGCTATGATGGACATTTCTGTTGACCAATATAGGAGGAGGCTATAAGGAATGTGTACAGGATGAAAAGCTGAGTGGAGAGCAAGCATGGGCTCCACTACTTACTGGGTTAATGGTTTATACCAAAGCTGATTGCAAGGAGGTATTTCAAATTGGTCTTTCCCCAGCATTGCTTTTCTATTACACTGGCCCCAAATGCCTGCCTCCTGAGAGTTCTCCAGGAGCTCAATGTTCTGCTCTGGCTATGCTGTGCTTTTGATGTGAGTTGATGACAGAAACAATTCTGGAATATACCTCAAACTCATGGAACAAAAACATGACTTGCATTTTCATAATTGCAACAGTCTAAAAGTCTACAGTCTTGGTATGATGGACTGATTTGTGTCACACCAAAATTCATATGTTGAAGTCCTAACCCCCTCTCAGAATGTGGCCATGTTTGAAGGTAGGACCTTTGAAGAAGTAATTTAGTTAAATGAGGTCAATTTCTAGAGGCTGCCCACAATCCCTGGCTCGTGACCCCTCCTACCCTCATCAAAGCCAACAATGTCACATGTGTCTGATGCTGCTTTCTTTATCACATCTTTCTCTGACCACAACTGGGAAAGGTTCTCTGCTTTTAAGGACTCCAGTGATTAGGACCAGCAGGGTAATCTGGGAGACTTTTAAGGTCAGTTGATTTGCAACCTTGATATGGTTTGGACCTGTGTGTCTGCACAAATCTCATGTTCAACTATAATCCCCATAGTTAGAGGTAGGGCCTTGTGGGAGGTGACTGGATCATGGGGATGGATCCTTCATAAATGGTTTAGCTCCATCCACTTGATGCTGTTCTCTTGATGGTGAATGGGTTCTTACACGATCTGCTTGTTTAAAAGTATATAGCACCTCCCCCACTTCTCTCTCTCTCTCTCCCTTCTGCTCCAGTCATGTGAAGTACCTCGCTCCTTTGCCTTTCACCATGATTGGAAGCTTCCTGAGGCCTCCCCAGAAGGAGAAGCCACTATGCTTCCTGTACAGCCTGCAAAACCATGAGCCAAGTAATCCTCTTTTCTTTATAAATTACCCAGGCTCAGGTATTTCTTTATAACAGTGTAAGAACAGACTAATACAAACCTTAATTCAATCTGCTATGTGACTGCTACTGTCATGTAACAACATATTCACAGGTTCCAGAAATGAGGATTTGGACATCTTTAATGGATATCAGGGGAGAGTGGGTCATTTTTCTGCCTTCCACACTGTATTACCTTGAAATGACAGAAGCTTAACATACTTAAGGTTTATTTCTCTCTCACCCCAAACTTATTAAGGTTCACGTGTTTTCTCCTTGGTGCCTCATGTCCACGTCGTGACTCAGGAACCTGGGTTCTTTTCATCATGGGGCCATCATGTCAGGACTCTCCATTTCCAGGAATATTTTAGATTCTGTGGAGCAGGAAAAATACCAAGAATGAGGATATCATGGGATCTTTTAGGGCCCAAGACTGCAATTGGGGAACACTGTTTCTACCCTTGACTTCATTTGCCAATTCTGAGAGCAGATTTATTATTCCCAAACTCAGTTATGTTGATAGGAGCCTTCTCTGCCTAACAAGATTGTTTATGCCTGGAACCCTACAATTGTCTTGCCACTTCCTCCCAAGAATTAAAACCTGCATCTGAACTCCAGCCTGATGACTAGGATTCAGCATGGGCCTGATGGTCGTACATCTCCTTCGGGCCCAAGATCTCTATATCCACTTCTGTAAATAGCATCCGCACCTCAAACTGTCCAGAACTGAACTCATGGATCCACACAAACTTAGTGCTCCTCCAAGGGACTATTTATCCATTTGCTCCAGCCTAAAAATCCTTGCCACTGCTTGTCCCTTCTGCCCCTATTCAGTCACTGTGGCCTGGTGACTTTTAAAATTTGTGGTAAAATACGTGTAACACAAAATTGACCATCTTAAGTAATTTTATCTCTGCAGCCTCTCATGAATCCATCCACTTTCCACACATCAGCAGCAATGACACAACTCCAAGACAGCACCTCTTGACCAGACTCAGTTGTTTTTCTGACATCTCAGCTCTTTTTCCCTTCTAACCCATAACTTATCAGCCAGAATGACTTTTCAAAACACACACAATGCTCCCTGTCACACACATGCACACACATGCACACACACACACACACACACACACACACCCTCCAATCCACTATCTTTAATGTGGCCTTAGAAGCACTCTGCATGATCTGGCACCTTCCCCAGGCCACCCACTCCTGGCACTTTGTTCTGCAGCCAGGTCTTTATTTACTTATTTTTGTTTATTTATTTATTTATTCATTCATTCATTCATTCTATTTACTTATTTATTTTGAGATGGAGTCTTGCTCTGTCACCCAGGCTGGAGTACAGTGGCATGATCTCGGCTCACTGCAACCTTTATCTCCCAGGTTCAAGCAATTCTCCTGCCTCAGCCTCCCAAGTAACTGGGATTACAGGCACGCACCACCTTGCCCAGTTAATTTTTGTATTTTTAGTAAAGACAGGGCTTCACCATGTTAGCCAGGCTGGGTCTTGAACTCCTGACCTCAAGTGATCCTCCCACCTTGGTCCCCCAAAGTGCTGGGATTATAGGTGTGAGCCACCAAGCCCAACAAGCAGCCAGGTCTTTAAAGGCCTCAGACTTCTTTTTCCCCGGACTTCTTTTTGCCTTGCGGTTTTCCTCTTGCTCTCCCTTCAACCTGGAACACCATCGATTCTCCTCTTTACCTAGATCATCTTCTCCTTCTCTCTTCCTCCTGTTCCAGCCATGTGAAGTGCCTCGCTCCCTCTTTGCCTTCCATCGTGATTGGAAGCTTCCTGAGGCCTCCTCAGAAGCAGAAGCCACTGTGCTTCCTGTACAGCCTGTGGAATCCTGAGCCAATTAATCTTCAGAGCTTTGTTCAAACATCACTACCTCAAGGACATCTTCCCCATGCCCTGCAGACCACATCAGCCCCTACTCCTACTCTCATACCGCTGTGTCATACGACTGTCATACTGCTGCCCTGGGTTGGTTTCCCAGGAACAAACTTTAAAAGGAAGGAAGTTCTGAAACATGCTACAACATCGATGAACCCTGAAAATACTATGCTATGTGAAATAAGTCAGTTACAAAAGAGCCAATACTGTATGATTCCACTCATATGAGGTATCTGTAGTAGGAAAACTCATAGAAACAGAAAATAGATTAGAAATTACCAGGAGTGGGCTGGGTGTGGCGTCTCATGCCTGCAATCCCAGCACCTTGGGAGGCTGAGGTGGGTGGATCACTTGAGGTCAGGAGTTCAAGACCAGCCTGGTCAACATGGCAAAACCCTGTCTCTACAAAAAATACAAAAATTAGCCAGGTGTGGTGGTGGGCGCCTGTAGTCCCAGCTACTCAGGAGGCCGAGGCAGGAGAATCGCTTGAACTCAGAAAGCGGAGGTTGCAGTCAGCCGAGATCATGCCACTGCACTCCAGCCTGGGTGACAGAGCAAGACTCTGTATCAAAAAAAAAAAAAAAAAAATTACCTGGGGTGGCCAAGCCCAGTGGCTGACTCCTATAATCCCAGCACTTTGAGAGGCCGAGGCCAGTGGATTGCTTGAGCCCAGGAGTTTGACACCAGCCTGGGCAACATGGCAAGACTCTGTCTCTACAAAAGAAATGCAAACAATTAGCTGAGCATGGTGGTGAGCGCCTGTAGTCCCAGCTACCCAGGAGGCTGAAGTGGGAAGATCACCTGAGCCCAGGAAGTCAAGGCTGCAATGAGCTGTGTGCCACTGCACTCCAGCATGGGCAGCAGAGTGGAACCCTGTCTCAAAAAAAGAAGAAGAAGAATAGGAAGAGGAGAAAGAAGGAGGAGGAGGAGGAAGAGGAGGAGAAGGAGGAGAAGGAGAAGAAGGAGAAGTTGTTATCAGGGGCTGAGGAAGGAGAAAATGAGGGGTTGTTGCTTAAAGAATATAAGTTGGGGGTGATAAAAACATTTTGGAACTAGATGGTGGTGATAGTGGCACAACTCTGTGAATATAATTAATGCCACTAAATTGCATGCTTCAAAATGGCTAAAATGACAAAAATAAATATTTACCACAAAAAAAAAAAGAATGTGAAAGAGTAGAGGGAAAGCGAGGCCATTTCTAGATGATCCCTGTTTTTCGACACTAAAAACCTAATTAGAGATCCACTGGTTCCTGCCTACATAGCCTGCAGCATCTTTTTCTTACATTAAAAGGTAAGACTCAGGTCCTACGTTCTCATTCTGAGCAAGAATATCAGAAGGGAAGCCACTCTCAGAAATCCATCAGCAGGGAGGGCGTGCCAGCAGCTCCACTGAGCTGCCACCTTCTCTTTAGTGTATTTGCTACTTGTAGGAAAAGAAAAGCCCTGTGCGTTTCAACTATGACTTTAAGTGTTCTTTTTACTAGGCAGTAGTCCATTAAATTAGATTCAATTAAAGTTGATTTGATTGATGAACTAAGGTCTCATAGTCTCTCCAAAGATAACATAGGTTTGTGTCATCGATCCAAAAACCTCTCACATTTTGGCAACCGTGCAGCAAAATGATTTATTTCCTCAGTAAAACCAGGCAATACTATTGATCTACAGAAACATCACTTTAGTCATTCCTACGTAGTAGAGGTTCTTAACTGTTATTAAATCAGCTGTTCACTGGCTGACACATCACAAATTGAAACTACGCACACAAATCACACGATTGAACTTGAAAAGCCAAATCTGTTTTTATTACACCGTGGAAAGTAGAAATGGGATTTCACTCTGCCGAGGTTATCACATGGAAATAGAAATGCAAAACACTCCTCCTTTTAAAAATAATAAATAGCATAAATCATGTGGACAGCTGACTGCTACATGGTAACATTCCTGTGAGTTTTGCACTAATAAGAAGCTGAATTAGATTAATACCTGTGCATTCTCCTAAACAGTTCAAGGAAATTAATTTAGCTCTCCACCTGTCTGAACAAAATGCTTTTGAAATATTAACTATCCGATTCTTATCACTAAAAAACATTTCCTTTACACCTATATGCACATATGACTTTGCTAAGCACTTCCTAAGCAATTCAGACTGATGGATTATATAATCTAAAAATGCAGTTTTCCTATTAAAAAGACAACCTGGAACTTGTTTATTTAAGTGCGAAACAGCACTGACTTTTTTTTAAGTTGGATTATTTCTGGTTATAAAAATGTGGGGAGGTCTTATTTCATACAAAAGATGTGTCTTGCCAGACCTTGTGTAATTCGAACTTGCATAATTCAAGAATGATTTTCTCAAGGGAATAAATATAAAATAAGACAGATGTATTCTCAGAGCACATTTACAAGTTATAACATATTTTTTGCTTTTAAAGCTGTTTTTCCTGTTCCCAGCATTACATCTAATATTTCATGGAGTGCTGTCTCCCATATTAACTGCACCATGTTTCACAGTAGTCGTTTTCCCTCCTTCTTGGCATCTTATCACATATAACTTCCCTTCAAATGCTATTGATTTGGGGGAACATTTTTCAATGTAAATGCTTGCATCCCTATTTTGTGAACATTTGAATGACATTGTTCCGAGTTGTAAAAATATGTTACATAATAATAACCGTGAATGCTAAAACAAAAACATAATAGTAACTAAAATCACTTGCAGGAGTCCCAAAATGCAAACAATAGCATGGTTTATTGAATCTTGCAAAACTGGATTGGTTTATGTGTTTACCAGCTAAAATGATCATGTTGTAAAAGTGTAAACAAAGATTACAATATTCACTCTGCCTATCAGCTTTAAAATTACATGACTCTTGATAATTTGTTTTAACTTGGTGGATTAACATCTCTTTTTTTTTTTTGAGATGAAGTCTGGTTCTATTGCCCAGACTGGAGTACAGCGGTGTGATCTCCGCTCACTGCAATCTCCACCTCTTGGGTTTAAGTGATTCTCATGCCTCAGCCTCCCAAGTAGCCAGGACTACAGGCACGTGCTAACACGCCCAGCTAATTTTTTGTATTTTTAGTAGAGACAGTGTTTCACCATGTTGGCCAGGTTGGTCTCGAACTCCTGACCTCAAGTCATCAGCTCACCTCGTCCTCCCAAAGTGCTGGGACTACAGGTGTGAGCCACCACACCCAGCCCAGATTAACATCATTTTAATCTTTATGCAAAGTAAGCTTTTACTGGTACTTTTACATGGATGTTTTTGAGTTTACATATTCCAAACTTGCAGAAACAGATTATTTTCACTTCTAACCTAGTGTGTCCTCCTCTTGATGGATTAAAGCCAACCATCAACTGACCTCCAGATGGATCCACTTTCACTTTTACTTTCCATTTATGTAGAATATGTGGTAGGATCTGGATGGGCGTCTGTAGCAGGTACAGTTAGTTGTATCTGCTTCTACTCTAACCTCCATCTTCTTCCTTCTGAACAAAACCTTAACTTTTGTTCAGTTATGCACCCCTCTGCATGGCTTAGAGGAAGATGACCCCAATGTGAGCTCCAGGGTGAGACCCTGAGAAGTCTAAGGTGATCATGGGGGTCCCAGGCCCTCGCCAGCTTAAGACTGGGTAGGCATATGGTGCACTTCTGTCTGTTGATATAAAATGTGAAATCTGCTTGGGGACAGGGGTGGGGAAGGCGTGTGGGAAATGCTTCTTCACTTCTTAGAAAGAGACAGTGGAAGTTTGGAAGAGAATGGTCCTTCTTCCTCTGGATGCGGTTATGTCCAAATATGATGCCTAGAATTATAACCCATCTTGACGCCAACCTGAGAATGAGACCAACACTCAGAAGAGAGCAGAGGCAAAAGCATCACAGAGATGTGGATCCTGAGGCCCACCCTACCTCTAGACTCCTCTTAGTGTGAGATCATTGGTTCATTATTAAGTCAATTTAAGTTTTCTCTTCTTTCATCCTCCAATCTAGCAGACACAGTGCCTCTTTCTGTCTTCATTAGCTGACACTCCTGGAAATCAATGTGTGTCCCCTCAGTTTCCCACTGGGGAGCTACGTAGTGTTGGGGTACAAAAAATGAAAGTATGGCTCTTGGGTATGCTGAGTGCTTTTGAAAATTGAAAGGCCTCAGAACCAAGGCCCTTTTAACCTTGCCTTGTTCCTTTCTCTGCCAAGCACAGGGAGCAACTCTCTACAGAATTTCTTTATCTGACCAAGAAAGCTTCTTACCAAAGGCACAAATGCCTTCTATCCTGCCTGATATGGTTTGGATGTCTGTCCCCTCCAAATCTCATTTTGAAACTTGATCACTAATGTTGGAGGTGGGGCCTAGTGGGAAGTGTTTGGATCTGGGGGTGGATCCTTCATGAATGGCTTGGTGCCATCCTCACAATAAGTGAATTCTTACTCTTAGTTCCCATGAGAATTCTGTGACACCTCCTGCCTCTCTTTCTCTTGCTTCCTTCTTCCCACCATGTGATGCCGGCTCCCCTTCCCCTCTGCCATGAGAGGAAGCTTCCTGAGGCCCTCGCCAGGAGCAGACCCTGGCACCATGCTTTTTCTACAGCCTGCAAAACGATGAGCTAAATATACCTGTTTTCTTTATAAATTACCCAGCCTCAAGTATTTCTTTATAGCAACACAGACTAAGATATATCCCCTCCCTGAAATCTCATTTAAAAAGAAGACTGAAAAATGCAACCACACCTGAATAGACTTTTTCACAAGATAATGCCTGCCTCTCAACTTCATTCAAATTCCAAAAAGAATCATTTACAAGTTCATTTCTGTGATCCTGGTCCAGTCATTCTCCTGAACAATGAGGTACTGGCCCTCGAAAGAATTGTCTTCATCTCACATCTCTTCCCTCCCCTAAGGAAAAGGGTATATAAGCTTCTGTGTACCCCACTAGGGAGATTTCCTCCCCATGCCTCCCACATTAATAAGTGTGTATGGATTTTTTTCCCTACCAATCTACCTTTTGTCAGTTGATTTTCAATGACTCTTCAGAGAGCAAGGGGGAAGTTTTCCCTTTGCCCCCCACAGTAGACACAAAGCTTAGAGTATGGACCATCTCAGGACCTCAGTGATAAACTGCAGCATATCACCTCTTGGAAACAAAACCAAGACATGATATATTAAAAACATCTGTTAGGATAAGAGCACTTAAAAAAAGAAAAACAAACTCTGAACTAAAATACGCATATGAGGAAGGAAACAGCAGATTCACTCAAGCACAAAATAAAAACTATCCAGAGCAAACATGAGAAATTCAGAAAATCCAGCAGAAGAGAAATCTGACAAAGCTGTTCATCTTCCGTTCTTTTCTCCAGTCCACTTTATTGTGAGTAAACTTTCAGAAAAAGTGATTCCAACTCACTGTACCAGCCTACTGTAATCTTGACCCTTGTCCTCAACCTTGGAAAATTCCTTGACCCTTATGGCAAGAGGAGTCTTTCAGTTGATTAATTAATTGGAATGGAAACCATGAATATAGGCAACTTTTGAGAAGTTTAGGTGTAAACAATCGCAGAAAAATAGGGTAAGTGTTGGTTAGAGGTTAAGTGGACTATTTAAGATCATCAACGTTTTATTTATTTATAATATTTTTAAATAGGGATGGCGCGGGGTGGGGGTGGTTCTCACTATGTTGCTCAGGCTGGTCTTGAACTCCTGGCCTCAAGGGATCCTCTGCCACAGCCACTAAAAGTGCTGGGAATACAGATGTAAGCCACTGTGCCCAGCTGAGAACATCAACATTTTAAACATATTCTCTACTTGTAGAGAATATTCAGACTTTTTCTTTTTATCAAAAATTATAAATTTGATTTTAAACTTTAAGTTATTTATTATATACAGGTTAATACTCTAACACTGTACTCTCGAAAAGCTTATAATTTTCAAGCCCAGAGGATCCACCGGTAACAAAATAACATCCCTCCCTGGTGAGACTTACATTCTAAAGATTTGGCAGGATACAAAGAAA
Organism: Homo sapiens; assembly: GCF_000001405.40. Classification (NCBI taxonomy): domain Eukaryota; kingdom Metazoa; phylum Chordata; class Mammalia; order Primates; family Hominidae; genus Homo; species Homo sapiens. Next base: position 61,600,155 of record NC_000018.10, read on the forward strand.
AGAGGTGAAGAGAAACAAATATGAAACAAATGTATAAAAATCAGGTGGTGGGAAAAAATAAGAATAAAGCATGTAATGTCAGATGTCAAAGTGGCGAGTAGAGACCTTAGGAAAATGAAGGAATTTGCGGACACAACTATATGGGAGGAAGCTATTACAGATACAGGAGCATCAGACGCAAAGGCCTTGAGAAGATGTTTGCTTAGAATATTGAAGGGACAGCAAGAAGTCCAGGAGGGCATGAGCAGTGTGTGACAGCTGAAGAGAGTGGTCATAAGTGATATGAGAGAGAGTGGAGGCGGGGAAAGATTGTGCATGGTGTTGTGAGTTATTACAAGGATTTTGAGTTTTAACCTGAATAAAGAAAACCCTGGAAGATTTTGAGCAGATGAGAGTCATAATTAGACCTAAAATGTTAGAAGCATCATTCTCGTTTCTGTGTTGAAAATAGATCATGATGCAATAAGTCAAAAAGAGGGATGTCAGTTCAGACATGATTACAAAAACTCAAGGCAGAGACCATGGCAGCTTGGACCAGGGTGATAGTGGTGGAGATGGTGACGGATGGTCAAGTTATGGAGTTATGGGTATACTTTGCAGGAAATTCCAACAGGCTTTGCTGATGATTACACGTAGAGTGGGGCAGGAAGAAGAGAATAAAGTTTTTTGCCTGATAACTGAAAGAATGGTTTACGCTTTTGGAGATGAGGACACCTGTTGGACAAGCAGGTTAGAGAGGGGGTGGAAGGGTGATTATCAGAAGTCCAGTTTTGGAAACATTGGTTTTGAAATATCTATTAGATTTCTGTCTTAGCTAGCGAATGCTGAGTCACAAACCACCTCAAAACTCACATATAAGACACAAAAAGCACAATGCATAAAAGAAAAAACAAGTGTTTTTAAGAAATCAAAATGGTAAGCCACAGAATAGAGGAAAAAATTCGTAACACGTGTATCTAACAACTTGTATCTAGAATCTATAAAGAGCTCTAATAATTGAAGAATATGAAGATAATTTTAAACGGAGCAAAAGATTTCAACAGTCACAAAAAGAGGATAAACAAATGGCCAATAGGCACATGAAAAGGTATTCAACATTACTAGTCCTCAGGAAAATGAATTAAAACTACAATGAAGGCTACGTGCAGCAGCTCACACCTATAATCCCAGCACTTTGCGGGGCCTAAGTGGGCGGATTGCTTGAGCCCAGGAGTTTGAGACCAGCCTGGGCAACATGGCAAAACCCCATCTCTATCAGAAAAATTAGCTGGGCATGGTGGCAAGCACCTGTAGTCCCAGTTACTTGGGAGGCTGAGGTGGGAGGATGGCTTGAGCCCAGGAGGCAAAAGTTGCAGTGAGCTGAAATCTCGCCACTGCACTCCAGCCTGGGTGACAGAGCAAGACCCTGTCTCAAACAAACAAACAAACAAAGCAAAAAAACTACAATGAGATACCCCTACCTACCCATGAGAATGGTTAAAATTTAAAAGACTGACAATGCCAAGTATTTGAGATCACCAATGTATATCCTGTCAAAACTCACTGAACCTTTTAAACGTATGCAATTTATACTACGCAAATTAAATCTAAAATTATTTTTTTAAAAAACTCAATGGGTTAAAGCTATAATTTTTATAGCTCATGAGTCTGGGGGTTAAATGAGAGTCAGCTGCTACTCGGGAGGCTGAGACAGGAGAATGGCATGAACCCGGGAGGCGGAGCTTGCAGTGAGCCAAGATCGTGCCACTGCATTCCAGCCTGGGTGACAGAGCGAGACTCTGTCTCAAAAACAAAACAAAACAAAACAAAACAAAACAAAAAAAGAGAGAGAGTCAGCTGCTTAGGGCTTGGCTCAACTAATCTCAGATGGATTTGTGATCCACTCTAATAGGGCTTGACTGAAGTTCCTTAGGAAGCTCTGCTCCAAATTTCTCATCATATATATACATATATATATTTTTTTTTTTTTGGAGACAGAGTTTCGCTCTTGTTGCCCAGGCTGGAGTCCATTGGCGTGATCTCAGCTCATTGCAACCTCCGCCTCCCGGGTTCAAGTGATTCTCCTGTCTCAGCCTCCTGAGTAGCTGAGATTACAGGCATACACCACTGCGTCCCGCCTTCTCATTCTCCTCTCAGGGCCAGAGGGTTAGCTGAGCCTTGTGCTTCTCATGGTAGTAGCAGAAGCGCAAGAGACAATAAGTGGAAATACACAAGCACTCTTGAGGACTAGGCGTAGTATGTGCACACTGATGGGGTTCAGAACATCTTACCCCAAAATATGGCACATTGGCATTTGAGAAAACAGCAGAAGCAGGAAGGTCACTATCATTCCTCCCTCACCCTTCTCCCTTGAAGCAGGTCATAAAACCTAGGAAGGTCACTCTCTGACCTTCTCCTACCCTTCTCTTCTGAAACAGATCATAAGACCCTCATTCAAGAAGTACCCTTCATATACCCAGAGAAAAGGAAACATCCTTATCTCTGAAGACACAGGGACACAGAGAAAAATCAGAATACACAAGCCTCGCTAAGTTCCTCCCAGTTTAGTACCAGCAGATCACAGCTTTTTGTCCTCCAATCATATTTCTCCATGACTGTCCACTCTTCCTACACCTAAGCATAAAAATACACACGTTTAACTATTTCTTCAGGAGGCTCCCATGCCACACAAAACTTATATTAAATACGTGTTTTTGCTTTTGTCTTTTTAATCTGTCTTTTGTTATAGGGGCCTCACCCATGAATATAGTGATAGGTGAGGAAAAGATATTTCTTTCCCTACAGTACATTGAATTTGGCCTCATCCTGTCAAGCAAGTGACATGACTAAGCCCAGATTCCACAGGGGTGGCAGGAAGAGTAGATCCTGCCTCTCAGTGAGAGGGAATGCAGAGTCACACAGCAAAGGCTGTAGACATCATACAATCAACCTCAACATCCAAATGGGTATATCACACATCCTGGAAATATGTGTCTAGGCTGAAAATATAATGTCATGGTTGTCAGAATGGGAAGGTATCTGAGGCTATAGGGACCAAAGGGAAACCTCTCCTTCACGCTCTGAAGGTTCACTGAAAAATCAACTCACAAAAGACTGGTTAATTGGAGAAAAGGCAAACAAATTTATTTAATGTATATACATGGGGAGAACCACCGAGAGACTGCCCACCCCTCAAGAGCATTCAGAAGCTTACACACCTTCCTGGTGGAGCAGGTTATGGGAGGGGAGGGAAGAGCGATTCTGTTGAGGGGATTACTAGGGAGAATGAGTGGCTCAGGGAACAGAGATGAACTTGTACATTTCCTTGGAAAAGGTTCTGTTCAGGTGTGATTACACTCTTGGACTTACAGAGAGGGGAAGAAGAAACAATTGTTCCTTTTGGCATGTCTAGATCTTAGGCAGATAAAGGTTTGAGGAGAGATGTCAGGAGTAGGGAGATGCCAGAGAGACCTCGAGGCTTCTTCAGTTCAGCGTTTAAAAGCACCACATTTGGGGGTATCTGCTTCTGACTCCTAACAAGGCCATGTGACTAAAACAGTCACCTAGAGAATGAACGATGACAGAGATGAGAAGAGAGTCAAGGTTGGGGAGATGACAGGAGCCAATGGTGGACACTGAAGTGGGGTGCAACTGCTGATAAACTCAAGAGAGAACACAGGTAAGAAACTGTTTTCAAAAAGGAGGAGGCATGATCAACTGTGGTGATTATTACTCCATGAAATAAATAAAACTGCAATCGCTGCCTGATTCTTCTTGAGTAGTCACTTCATTATGGATATATCAGTGTGTTCAACTAGGATGCAGTTCGAATCTAAAAAAGAAACTCTGCCCTGCCATACATGCCCAGCCAGGTAGATGAACCAGGTGAGATTAGCTGAGCCCAGCCAGAACTATATCTTTTGCTATATTTATTCCTTTATAGATGCTGGGGTCATTTCCAACATTAGTGAGATCTATAGTCTAATTATTTATGTAACAATATTTATTGGGGGCCTACTTTTGTCATACACTGTTCTAAGCAATGAGGCTTAGAAAAGAAAATAAGAGCTGTCATAGAGTTTGTTTCAGTGGAGGGAACAAACAAGAAACATAAACAAGTACACATATAAATAAGCAAGTAATTTCAGAGAGTGGTGAGTGCTGGGATGAGGATAAAAGAACACTGATGACTAGAGGGTGACTGGGGGAAGTAATTTTGATCATACGGTCAGGGAAGTCTTCTCCAAGGAGATGATAGTTGGCTCAGATCTAAGTTATTGAATTAGACAAATCCTTAGAGAGTTTTATTACAGTTTTTCGACCCTCCGCCAATGCTAGACTGATACTCAGAAAGAATTCCAGCATCATCTCCTCTTATCTCCCACTCTGCTGAGAGATGTCAATAAAATGGGACAGTAGGCATACCAAGAGAGGTATATGAGATGCCTCCTGGACCATGGGACCTCAAATCTGGGCTTCTCCTGCCAAAGAAGAATCCTTTTCAAGAAATGTACCTAGTCAAAGCTATTCAAAAAACAGAAAGGTCTTCTTTGGCTCAGCAAGTGTGGTTTTTTTCTGTGGCAGGAAGAAAAGAAGGTATTACACTCTGCAGAAGGAAAAATCGTGATTGACTCAGAGGCCCCTTGACTGGTCATGACCTTCCCACTTTCTGCTATCAGAGAAATGAAATGAGGTACCAAGTGATATATGTCTTACCTCTCCCTGAGACCCATTAGCAAACTCAGATGGTAGGAATAGTTATTGGAATGAAGACACTAGCTCAAAGGGACAAAAGAACTTACCCAATGTCACTCGGTTAATAAGTGACAACACGAGAATATGAACCAAGGAGGACTGGTTGTTTCCAGAGCCCCGTGTTCTTTCAACTAAATGTCTCTGCCAGGCTGCCACACTGGACATCAGAAAATAAAAACCATTCAAAGATACAGGGCAGAACCAATTCATCTGTGGAATTCTTCTAAGAGGAAAAAAAAAAGAGAGTGAGAGTAAGATTAATAATGCCATGTTGCATTTTCAACGATGGGCAGTGAGAACAGCACACAACAATTTATAGAAAAAGAAGGTATGTGTATTCCCTGGGGCTGGAAAGTTGTTAGACATTAATAGCAAGAAAATTGTTAAGAAGTTGACAAGAGGCAAAGGAAATGTCCTTCCTTTCTCCCTGCAAAAACCTTGTTGAAGGAGATGTGGGAGAGAACACAGGATGGAAAATCAAAGCAGATTTGGGATAGAAAAAAAAAAAAAGAAAAAAAAAACTCACAGGAGGGAAATATGAGAAAACTTGAAAGAAAGCAATATGAAATAAAACAATTTTGGAGTAAAAAGGAAAATAAGCATAGCTGTTGTAAGAAAAGCAGGATAGTTAATTAACAAGGGGGATAAAAATGTCCTACAGATAATATTTATCATCCTTCCCAGTTTTCCTGTGGCTTTACTTGTGCCCATCTGTCGGCCTGATCTTTTCCAAGTGTCTGTTGCCACATATACAGGCCATTAATTTCTTAAAAATATTACTGAAATTAGATTGCTTCTGGCCTTCTTATTGTTTTAACTTTTTTTAAAAATTGTGTTTGTTTGCCTGTTTGTTTTTGCATTTGGCAAACAGGGAAACATAGCCTTTCCAACCCATAGCATAAGAAAATATGGGAGGGAAACTTCTCTATTGAGAAGCATATTCCTCTACATTTTCAAACCCAGTTTGCCAAATGTACTTGTACACACATTCTTCTTCCCCTGGGGTGAGAAATCTAAACCTGAAACATTCTGACAAGAACAAAGAAAGCAATTGCAAGACTCTATTTATTTGCCTTAGGAAAGAACTTAGCAAAATGGACGATGCTTATTATGAATACGTCCAAGTTAGATTTTAAAAATTATCCATTAGACTCCCTTAGGAAATAAGCAGTTGACACATTCAGATTATACCCATGTTTATTTCAAAAACAGGGACGAAGAGCCTTCTTGTCGTCAGTCACGGGCTGATAGGAGTCTACTTTTAGCTAGGAACGGCCAACGGAAGATAATTGTGCCATTTTAAATGCCACATAATGTTCTTAATCAGCAACCAAGTGTAGAAGGGAGTCTGTAAAGGGCCTGAGGTCCTGATTCAATTTCTTCAGCTTCCCAAGCCCGCTCCCAAAGAGCAGGCAGGCCACCCAAATCCTGCAGCTTGTGAAACCGGCTCTGGCCCCAGAAGGGATTTATGAGCGCTTCACTTCAAGGAATACCACCCAGGTTGGCTGGCTGCAAATGCGGGCTGCCTATTAGTTCTCCTTCATTTCCCAGGAAGTGTGAGTGAGAGAGCTCCCCACCTCCCGATAGGCGACAATCCCAGCCTCTTGACATCTCTCGCGCTGAGCAAACTTTTCACTGGAGGATCCCAGCTGTTCGCCACCTCCCCGCTTGCTTGCCGGCAGTCTGGTGTACAAGGCAGAAGGGGCGAGACACACAGAGAAGAACCAAGGGGCTTTTGGAGGCTTGCTTTTGCCTGAAAACAAATACTTGAGGGAGAAAAATATGTTTTAAAGGCTAAAAGATGGGAAATTAAGCAATTCACTTCCGCAAAACCATTTAGAACGTGGGTGGTGGGGTGGTGGAATAGGGTGGCATTGGGAAGAAACTAGCCTTCTTCTAAGTCAGCCCCTCTGCTGCACCCCCTTGGTGCCAATGTGGCCCTGACGACAGAAGCTCCCTTACCTGGATCCTTTCCATGTTGCTCTAGAGACTGTCTTTTCCTGCTTCAAAGTCTGTGCGCTCTTGGCGGCCACCCACTAAGATCCTATTTCCTGTCTGAAGGACGCCTTGGCTCTCTGCAGGGCAGAGATAACTGATGTGCCAATGAGTGACGAGCTCAGGCATGCAGCCACTTCCCCTCTCTGGAAGGCTCTCTAGTGACTCACTGCTCTGGCATTCCCAAAGGAAGTGGGAAGATTTTCATCAGATTATTAATTTGCATTAATTTTTTTTTTTTTTTTTTTTTTGTAGAGATGGAGGTCTTGCTGTGTGGCTCAGGCTGGTCTCGAACTCCCAGGCTCAAGCAATCCTCCCACCTCAGCCTCCTAAAGTGCTGGGACTACAGATATAAACCACCATGCCTGCCCTAAATTGCACTCTTAAGATTTACACATGAGAACTATATAACTAAGGGTAGATGGTTTTAAATAGTAGGACAATTTAACACCCCCCACAAAAAACCCTTTAAGGGATGCAAGGAGCATGTAAGAGAACAGAATATGCTACCCCATAATATGCCTCTTTGGCATAGGAATTATTTAGAGCTGATTATTTCGAGAAAATGCAGACATAGGAGAAACTCTGAAAACAGAGTAGAAATTACACAAAGAAAATTTACATCTATGAAGGAAATCTCCATTTCGTGTCTCCTTTCTGTACCAGTCTAAATCACTAGAGATGTAACAGCGGAGACAGCACTGACAAATCTCAATAAACCTTACCCTGGTTTGCCGTGCTTTTCCTGGTTACCTCCCCATAACCTGCCTTTCCCACACCCTTCTTTGTTTCAGTTAAAGATGGTATTTATGCCTGAACTCAAAGCCATCTCTTTGGGATTTACTCATTTTTCCCTGGGTGACTCTCATGTATATATGAGGCAGACATGTTAATAAACTTCTATTTTTTTTTCTCTTGTTAAACCATCTTTTGTTACAGTGGGTCCTGGCTAAGAACTCAGACTGGGTAGAAAGAAAATTATCTTTTTCTCCCCTACACTTGCCTGGATGTCTACAGCCAGCCAATGCCTAATGTGGAATTGTAATGCACCCAGACCATTTCATGTTATTAAAGGATCTAAAATTTATATGCAAAAGTGATGGTCTCAGCAGTCAGCTCTTTTGCAGCCTCATTCAGTCTCAGCCTCCTTTTCCTCTGAGGCTGTGATAAAGGCCAGCGTTCCAGCCTGGAAATGTAATGTCAGCTCATGATCTATCCTAGCAAGTATCACTGTGCTTTCAGAGCACACCAATGGGAGCAATTACCTGCATTTTCAAGAAACCGTGTTTGTCTGAAAAATCTCCACATTTATTTTCCCAGCTAAAAACAATGAAAATAAATCCTGAGTGGAGAAGTGACCACTATCTTTCATTCTGCACCTGCCAACTTTGCTTTGCTACATACATCACTCAAGCCTGACCATTACAAGCACTTTCCCAGTTTTGTAGAAAGCACAGTTGTTTACTGGTCATAATTTTAACAGGGGGAAAACTAGACTCTGGGTATGAGACATAGAAACAACCAATCACTGATCTGGTTATTCCTCGACTCCAAGACTAGGCTATATTTAAAACTTACTCCATAAATTGCTCATACACAGTGTTTGTAGTACTCAGCCCTCACTAAAATGTTAGCAATCTACATGGTTACAGCTAGCCCTCCCTCACCCCAGTACTGAAGTTTCCTTCCTGAATAGTTTCATTATTTATTAATAATGAAGTAAGCTGAGTAAGATCTCCCTAGGTCTAATTTAAATAAAGCAGAATGTAAATGAGCTATTTCCTTGGATTTTATGCTATGCTGATTAAGTAACCATGTACAAACCTTCAGGTATACAGTTAAAAATAAGAAGGAATACACATTCCCAGAAAAGACTCAAGCTTGTCCTAGACAATAGCCTCAAAAGATTAAGAGCACACAGCAAATCCCAAGATTCACTTGTCTTCAGTAATTCAGTTCAGTAAACTTTTTTCAATCATCTACCATGTACAGGTGACTGGGCTTGTCATTTCGGAGGCATAAAGATGAATAAGACATGGTACCTGCACCAGAAGAACTTATCTATTTCTCATCCATTAAGGTATGGACACCTTATTAGTACCAAATTTTATTTTTCATCCCCAACAAGACTTGCATTGGACAGGATCAAACCATGTCCTCATTCTGTGGCATGAATTGAATCCCATAATCAAAATGCCAATGCTGAAATAAAGGAGGAGGGAAATATTAACAATTTTTTCCTAAGAAATTAATTTGTGTTGATTGGAATCTATTTTCCCAGGGCACATTTTTTTCCCAAAAAATTCTTGGATGTATTCTCAAATATTTGTCTTCATTGTAACTTTGCTTCTGGTTTGCTGTAAGACCTATTCTTCTCTATGTTTTATTACATGAAAGGAAAGGAATCTAGCTGCCTTCTCCTCTGCAAAACACAAAACTAGTGAGACAAGGCTGTTAAAAGAATGAATTCCATCATGTCTTGTGCAATTTGGAGAATTTCTCTTTAGCTGAAATTTTGAACACAGACAAAATGCTGAATATGTAATGCCCAGAGACAACTAATTCTAATAAGCCCTAAGAAGAGACAGTGTTTAAATGGAAATTAGCAGTATGAGATTAAAAAGGAGCATGAGGTAGGCATGTCAGGAAGGCTGAAGCCATAATGAGCAGTAACCTTTTCTCAAACACTCTTAAATCTGTTGCCCAGCCTAGCCAACTAGTCATCCAAATGCATCATCATTTGAGAAAATGTTCTAACCTGAGTCTAGATTTGCTTGGATATGAAGAGTACTAAATATGTCGCCCCCCCCACCCCAAAAAAAATATGCCACTTTGGCATGAGGATTATTTTGAGCTAAAGGCAATTGAGAACCAGCAGATGGAGGAAGAGCTCAAATTTCCTCTAACTGCCTAAAACTAAAGAATAAATTTTCCCTTTTGTAAAGAAAACTTATATTTAATAAGGAAATTCTCATTTGCAAAAGTGCCTCCATAGCAGGAAGAAAGCTACTCAGGAGACAGCTCTTATCACTGAGACACTCTTATCTGCATAACAAGGCAATCCTTATTTACTATACATTTCCTCCCCTCACCTTCCCCTAACTTGTCTTCCCCATACAGAAGCCCCAAGCCCCTTTTCCTTTGCTTAACCTAAGAGGGTGTATGAATCTCAATCTGGCTGCCTCCTTGAGCCACATTTTTTTTTTCTGTGATTGAGAGCCACATTTCTTTTCTCTGCTGCATACATATATAATTAGAACTGTTTTTTGTTTTTTGTTTGTTTGTTTGTTTGTTTTCTCTCTTGTTAATCTTTCATCAGTTTGATTTATGGGCTTTAGTCATTGAACCTAGAATGAGACAGTAAAATGGATTTTTTTTCCCTCGCCTTCAGAAGCTGCATGCATTCTAGCAAAGATGTTGATGGTTCTTTCTATGTACTCTACAACAGCAGTCCCCAACATTTTTGGCACCAGGGACTGGTTTCGTGGAAGATAACTTTTCCACAGACGCGGAGGGGACAGTTTCAATATGAAACTGTTCCATCTCATAAGGAGTGCACAACCTACATTCCACACTTGCACAGTTCATGCTCCTATCAGAATCTAATGCCGCAGCTGATCTGACAGGAGGCAGAGCTCAGGCAGTAACACTCACCCACTGCTCACCTCCCCTCTGTGGCCTAGTTTCTAACAGGCCACAGACTGGTACTAGTTGGGGACCCCTGCTCTATAACACCTCTGAAAGGAGTTTAATCTAGATTACAGGGAAACTCAAATATGCTAACATAAGCCAAGAGCTCTTCCTTAAATGGGGAAGATTAATGACAAACTTCTGGGCTGTCCAAGTTCTTGGGGCACTTCATGGCTCATACAGCTGGCGAAGCTCTGCACCATCTTTCTCATGTTTGACCTAACATCCTGTGTCTCCATTGTATTTCATACCATGTGTCTCCCCAGCCCAAATTCAAAAGAATATTTAAGACCTTCCAACAGGATCTGAAAGGATGACCCTTTGAAATGGGTCATTACTAGTGCAAAGAACAGTTTCTGCCAATAAGAATTTCCCATTTACCCCTAAAGGGCAAAGATTATATTTCACTGATATTTGTGGGTTATGTTCCCCACACCTCAACCCCAGTACGCAGCACTATGCCTAGTTCAAATTAACACAGCAGGAGTTTGTGAAGGAGGAAAAACTTTTTCTCTGTTCCTTAGGAGGCCTGCAAATTAAACTGAAAAAAAAAAGAAGAAGAAGAAGAAGAGGAAGTTTATTTGCTCATATAATGGGCATATATGCAGGAGTGCTCAGTAAATCAAAGAAGTGGTTAGAATGTGGGGCTTATGTACTTAAGTTATGAGAGAAAAGGAAGATGGAAGAAAAGACATCTATGGGAAAAACAAATAAGTTTCTTTAGGAATGATAGATGGATTTTTAGGAGAACAAATTAAAGATAAGAAAGTTTGTGATAAGTGGTCTATCTTCTTCATGGTCATGAAACTCCCTGGAAGAGCGAATCTGTGGTAGGTTAACTCTTGGTCTGTCTCCCAAAGACCTGCCCTAAAGAGAGAATTTATGGCAATCTCACATACCAGAGGTTCCTGCTTTTAGTCAGATAAGGAATGCTTCAAGAAGGCTCCTTTCTGTACCTGTTGAATCTCAGATGTCTTCAACTTAATCTTTATACCAACTCTTCATTCCAAGTGGGTCCCCATATGTTCAATTAATGAAGATGGAACTGGATGAAACACTATGTGGAGCATGGTTCCTAGGTGAGATAAGCTAAGCAAAATGATTCCCATGCTGATCACTGAAGGACTTCATTCTTTCTACGAGGCACTAAATTAGAATTCTATTAGGTGGAGGCTACAGTAACTGCCCAGTGGGTTCACCTTGCCTGCTGCCTAGACAGAGCCAATTTATCAAGACAGGAGAGCTGCAATAGAGAAAGAGTTATCCACACAGAGTCGGCTGTGCAGGAGACTGAAATATTATTACTCAAATCAGTCTTGCCGAGCATTCAGGGATTGGAGTTTTTAAGGATAATTTGGTGGGTTGGGGGCCAGTGGTCAGGAGTGCTGATTGGTTGTGTTGGAAATGAAATCATACGGAGTCAAAGCTGTGCTCTTCTGTTGAGTCAGTTCCTGGGTTGAGGGGGCACAAGATCAGATGAGCCATTTTGTCAATCTGGGTGGTGCCAGCTGGTCCATCAATTTCAGTGTTGGCAAAATATCTCAAGCACTGATCTAAGATTTTCCAATAGTGATGTTATTCCTAGAAGCAATTTGGGGAGGGTCAGAATCTTGTAGCCTCCAATTGCATGACTCCTAAACCAAAATTTCCAGTCTTTTGGCTAATTTGTTAGTCCTATAAAGGCAGTCTAGTCCAAAGGTAAGAAGGGGGTCTGTTTGGGTAAAGGGCTGTTTTCTTCTTTGTTTCCAATGATAAACTAGTGCCTCTCAATGTAAGTTTGGCCTATACCCTGGAATGAACAAGGACAGCTTGGAGGTTGGAAGCAAGATTGCATTGGTTAAGTTAGATCTCTTTCACTGTCTCGGTTATAAATTTGCAATGCTGGTTTCACTACTGAATGCATCTCTTTGGGATCTCAGCTAGAAGAACCAACTGTTCTGCTTCAACTCCAGGCCTGATTACTTGGACCAAGGTAGTGTTGAAGCTCAGAAAACAATACCACAAAGTATGGTCTTTGGCATGCTAAGCACTTTGAATTAAAGGAAATTAGAAGGCTTTAGAAGCTGCCTCAGAAGCAAGGTCTCTCTGACCTTCCCTTTTTCTTCCTCCAAACACAAGGAGGAGCTCTCTCTAGGGAAGTTAGCTGACTGAGGACAGTACTACCAAAAGAAACACAATTACCTTCAAACATTTGTCTGAAATCTCATTGTCAGGGGATTAGTCACTGAAGAAGAAAATGAAGGCTGTTCCCATGCCCATCTGTACAGACCTTTTATCTATTCTTCTGAGGCCTGTTACCTGAGAGACTTTATCAGCATAACAACTGTTGTTCACAGTACAGTTCTGTCCCTCAGCTTCCTATAACTTGTCACCATCTTCCCCAGAGCCCAGAGAAACTTTGTCCCAGCCTATTGTCTATTCTTTAAGCCCATATATCTCCCCTAAAAACCATTTACTCTTCCTCTAAAATTGTCTACATCCCCCACTTTGCTCTCCCTTACAAACAGGGCATTTCAGTTTCAGCCATCTGGCCCTTCTTCAGGTGTTCAAACTTTGTAAGCCTTTTATGCACTTGCACATTAATACTGTTGTATGCCTTTTCTCCTGTCAATCTGTCTCTTGTGAGTTTATTTCAGCAAACTCAATTACTGAGCCTTCGGAAGGAAAGTTTAGCTTTCCCTACAGTGATGATAAACCCACCTCCCACCCATGTTTCTTCTGCCGAGGCACAGGTTTTCTCTTTGTTTTGTGTTGTTTTGTTTTGAAAATTAACTTGACTGGGAAAATCAAACTATATGGACAGAACTTAGGATGACAGGATGGGTTTTGAGAGCACTAATTTTGTGGCATATTGTTTTATCCAAGTTTACTTTGCAGCTTGGTTGGCATGTATTCAACCATCCTCAGCATTACGTGGAGAGAACCACCTTCTCAAAGACCCTCATTTTAGTCTTGGACCTTTTCCTCTTCTGCTTTCTCTACTGGACACTCTCTCTACCCTACCTCTGCAAATTGGCTGAACAAAGTAGTAAAAAAGCATAAGATTTGGATACAGTTTCTGGCTAAGCACCCTAAAACTCTGTAGGCACATCTCAGCTGGTTGCCCAGTCTGAACCTTGCACCATACTCTTGTTGGAGACCAGAATATGCCACTCCAAAATATGCCTCTTTGGCATAAGGATCATTTTAAGCTAATTATTTTAAGAAACTGCAGACACAGGAGAAGCTCTGACACGTTAAAGTTACCCATTGTAAGGAAATTTACATCTATGAAGGAAATCTCCATTTGTGTTGACTGTTTTGTTGTTGCTGTTGTCGTTTTTAGAAACAAGTTATTACCATGTTGCCCAGGCTGGTCACCACCTGCTGGGATCAAGTCATCCTCTCATCTCCCAAGTAACTAGGACTACAAGCACATACCACCATGCTAGGATGGAAATCTCCATATTTAAGGTTGTCTCCCACTGTATATTAGGAAGAGAAGAATGACTCTAAATCGCTAGAAACTATGAACACAGAAGGCAAATCTGCATAACAAACTTATTGACAAATCTGTACAACAAACTTATTCTTATTTACCATGTGAAATAGTTTGGATCTGTGTCCCCATAAAATCACATGTTAAATTGTAATCTCCAACATTGGAGGTGGGGTCTGGTGGGAGGTGATTGGATTATGGGGGTAGATTTCTCATGAATGGTTTACCACCATTTACATGATACTGCTCCCGTGAGAGTGAGTGAGTTCTTATGAGATCTGGTGGTTGGAAAGTGTGTGGCACTTCCCCACCTCTCTGGCTCCTGCTCAGGCCATGTGAAATGCTTCCTTCGCCTTTGCCTCAACCGTGATTGGAAGTTTCCTAAAGCCTCCTCAGAAGCTGAGCAGATGCCAGCACCATGCTTCCTGTATAGCCTGCAGAACTGTGAGCCAATTAAACCTCTTTTCTTTATAAATTACCCAGTGTCAGGTTTTTTTTAGAGCAATATGAGAATGGCCTAATACACCATGCTTTTCCTGGATACCTCCCCATAACTAGCCTTCCCTACACCCTTCTTTTTTTATTTCAGATAAGGATGGTATTTAAGCCTGAACTCAAAGCAACATCTTTGAGAATTACTTATTTCTTCCTGGGTATCTCCAATGTACACATGAGGCAGACATGTTAATAAACCTGCTTGTTTATCTTTCACTTTGTGTTTTGTTACAGAGCTCCATCTCACTAAGAACTATGAAGGCGAAAGGGAAACTTATTTTTCCCTCCCTTAATCTCTTCTCTTCTTCACCCCAGCCTCCTCATACAGTACCCAAAAAAGAAGAGGTCATCCATAGAAATATAAAAAGAGTGACAGACATCTTCCTTCTTCTCCAGTCTCTGCCCAGGTATCACAATACTAGTAGCAACTAAGAGAACTAAACATATTATAAATGTTGGGAGTTTGGAGGAGTTCATCTCTGTGGGTGCTCTGCTTGAAAGCTGCACTTAAAGCCAGACCTTCAAGATGTCAGAGGCATTTGAGTCAGAGTGACTCCATCTTGAATAGGGGCTGGGTAAAATGAGGCTGAGACCTACTGGGCTGCATTCCTAGGAGGTTAGGCATTCTAAGTCACAGGATGAGACAGAAGGTTGGCACAAGGTACAGGTCACAAAGACCTTGCTGATAAAACAGTTTGTGGTAAAAAAGCCGGCCAAATTCCACCAAAACCAAGATGGCAGTAAAAGTGACCGCTGGTAGTCCCACATTATATGCTAATTATAACACATTAGCATGCTAAAAGACACTATCAGCGCCATGACAGTTTATAAATGCCATGGCAATATCAGGAAGTTACCCTATATGGTCTAAAAAGTGGAGGAAAGAACCCTCAGTTTCAGCAGTTGCCACCACCACCCCCCAGCCACCCCACCCCTGCTTTTCCAGAAAACTCAAGAATAATCCACCCCTTGTTTAGCATATAATCAAGAAATAACCATAAATATAGACAACCAGCATCCCTCAGGGCCGCTCTGCCTATGGAGTAGCCATTCTTTATTCCTTTACTTTTTTAATAAACTTGCTTTCACTTTACTTTGTGGACTCTCCCCAGAGTCTTTCTTGCATGAGATCCAAGAACCCTCTGTTGGGGTCTGGATCAGGACCCCTTTCTGGTAACAAATACACCAAAGGAAATGACGACAGGAGAGATGAGGAACTGTGAATATAAAATAGGCCCAGCAGCCCCTGCACTGCACAACTGCAGTGGGCACCCTTCATATTAGCCCCCGGGGTCAAGCAATAGGGACAAATTTGTGCTTCATTGAAAATCTATGCTTTGCCTAGGTTCTAGAGGACCCATCTCTGGGTTATCTGATTGTCTAGGACTTATTTTACAGCTCTATGATTGTGTCTGACTAATGGCAATGCAAAATAATTCTTGGCTATAGACATGTAAATTCTGTACTATCTGGTAGAGGTTCCATTGACTTTTATCTCCTAACGTAAAATAATCTGGTTTGGGGGGGAGGCTGTTGCACATTAATTTCAACATTCCTGTACTCCCTATGTTAGTGCTTTTTAAAACTTTTCCTTTGACTTGATTGTTACACCTTGCCAGTGTAAGTAAAATCTTTAGCACAGGTTCATATTTATATCTGTATGAGTGTGGCGTTTCACCCCACAAGTATCCAAAACTTGACAGAGGGGAAGCCTGCGCTGAGAACTTACCACTCACCCCTGCTCAGGGCACATTAGCATAACAACAGAAGCTTTATTCTCAGGACCTGGCCTTTTCCCTTTTTCCCCCAAAGGGCTCCTCAGATAAAACCCTATTACCCTGGGGAGGGTGTTTCAAATACACTGGGGCTGTTAGGTGGAAGGTTTAATTCATATCTAAGTGACTGGAAGACAAGCTGGGTTTGCATTCTAAATGTACTGGAGCCTGGACCATTTGCAAGTAAATAAAAATTTCACTCTCCTCTCCTTTTCTAATAGTCCTTAACGTCTGCTGACAAGTAGCTACTGAGAAATTTTCATAACTAAAGGGCAAGCTTTCGCTTTGAATGCTAAATAAGTTTCTTTAAAGATAAAAATCTCCCGGCTAAAACGGTGAAACCCCGTCTCTACTAAAAATACAAAAAATTAGCCGGGCGTAGTGGCGGGCGCCTGTAGTCCCAGCTACTTGGGAGGCTGAGGCAGGAGAATGGCGTGAACCCGGGAGGCGGAGCTTGCAGTGAGCCGAGATCCCGCCACTGCACTCCAGCCTGGGCGACAGAGCGAGACTCCGTCTCAAAAAAAAAAAAAAAAAAAAAAAAAAAAAAGATAAAAATCAAAGCCTTGACCCTCTTCCTATAGGTAGTATAGGAAGCACCAACTGTACTTTTTTCCCTGCCTGCCCTCCCTCTATTAGGGCTGCTAGAAGGCACAATGATTTTTGTATATTCACCAAAATAGATTTGGTGCCAAAATAGACCAAAGCTCAGCCAGGAATCTTAGCCTGTTGGAGCTACCTGGGAGTTCCTAGGTCTATTATTTTGCTGAAACTAAGAAACTCAGAGGAGATGATACAATGGATAAGTGGGCAACCAGGATCTAAAATCAGTGGCTCCAGATTCATTAGGATTTCCCCCCTACACCCTGAGCAAAGCCACCCTCTAGCACACTGGTCCTCAGAGTGAAGTGTAGGAAGAAATAGTCATTTCACTTTATTATTATTTTTTAATTAATTAATTATTTATTTACTGAGACAGGATCTCACTCTGTCTCCCAGGCTGCAGTGCAGTGGCACCATCACAGCTCACCATAACCAAGGCCCAGGTGATCCTCCCACCTCAGCCTCCTAAGTAGCTGAGACTACAAGCGCACTTCAGCATGCCTGGATAATTTTTGTATTTTTTGTAGCGATGGGGTTTTGCCATGTTGCCCAGTGTGATCTTGGACTCTTGGGCTCAAGCCATCTGCCTGCCTCAGCCTCCCAAAGTGCTGAGATTACAGGTGTGAACCACCATGCCTGACCTTGCTTTATTTTTAAGTTAACATTACTTTTAGTTTGTCTTTCTCTAAAAAAGTTTAGCATTCTGTACATTGACATAAGGTAAAAGAAAATGAGTGAAACTTAAACATGAAAGAATACTTCACAATTAAATCCACAGTTTTATACATTTATTTCACATGTCAGTGAAAACTCACCTGAGGGAAGAGAGAGACCCTCTCATATTGTTTTATACTCAGAAAACGAAAGAGAAGAGAAACCAAAGGCAGGTAGCCCAGTGCCTAGGAACCAGACCTGAAACCAAGGAACCAGACCCGAAACTAGGCCTGGCCTGCCTGACCTAAGCCTGGTAGTTAAAATTTGACCCCTGACCTAGCAACTGTTGTTATCTATAGTTTCCAGACATTGTATGGAAGGACATCGTGATACCTCCCATTCCGTTCTGTTTCACTCTGACCACCGGTGCTCGCAGCCCCTGTCACATACCCCCTGGCTTGCTCAATCAATCACGACTCTCTCACGTGGACCCCCTTAGAGTTGCGGGCCCTTAAAAGGGACAGAAGTTGAGCACCTGATGAGCTCGGATTTTAAGACGCTAGCCTGCCAATACTCCCAGCTGATTAAAGCCACTCCCTTCACTATCTCAGTGTCTGAGGGGTTTTGTCCGCGACTTGTCCTGCTACACACAAACTATTATAAAAACCTGGACAAATTATATCACAAAAGAAGCAAAAAATGGAAAAAGGTTCCATAAAAACTACATCCATGTATGAAAAGCATTGCTCTCTTGGTGTCGTCACATCCTTTTCTTCTGTGCACTGATGTAGAACACATGGTTTCTGTGGCTAAATGCAACCCCATGCTTATTCTTCAGTTGTCCATTACATATTCTTCTGCCTGCTCCAGGGCTATATTCATGTAGCCATCCAGGCAAGCCAGAACCCCTCAATAATCCACTGCAGAATTTAATTTTACCACAGTTGGCTGACCCAAGATTTGCTTTAAGAGTCACCAGAGGTTTGCTTCCGAAGACTCATTTTAACAAACCTCGCGCCTGGGATCCAGAACCCTTGCTCCAGGTGCCCTATAAGCTCATCCTCTATAGACAATAGCAGCCAAAACCTTTACTTTTATTTTCTTTTTAATATTTTATGTCTATTTTACAATATAATATAACATTCTAGCAAGACTATATCATATACAGTGGTCCTTTAATATTCTTGAAGGATTGGTTTCTGACAGAGCAGGAACATCACCATCTTGGACAAGCACTGCCATTCTAAATTTCCCCTTGATCAAAAACCTCCTAAATCCAAAGGGCATCAGCCTAATGGCTAAGGTCAGCATGACCATAAACTACAAATTACATCTCCGACCAGAAACATTCCAACCATAAGATAAACCCCTCCCTGACCAGAGACATGCCAGCCCCAAGATAACCTCCCGTCCAGCAGGAGAAATGTCAGCCCCAAGATAAGCTCTTCTCCAACCAGAGATATTCCAACCCCTCCATAAACTCCTCCCTTACACAGAAACATTCCAAGCTTCTGATAAGCTCTCTCCCCAATAAATACTCTTAATTTGTAAGAGAGAGTGCTCCTGACCAAAATTGGCCAGAAGCCTCTCTCAGGTTTATTCTCCAAAATACACCTGTCTTTGACTGTTGAGCCGCTTTTTGTGTTTCTTTCCTCTTTCTTTAACTCTTACATTTGGTGCCGAAACCTGGGATGGGTGTTGGGGGTAGAGGCTGTCTTGTAGCCCTGGAAGCAGTGGACAGCAGCTGCTCATCCTGCTGGATCCTGAGAGTCTCTGGCCACCCACCCTGTGTTGTCTCTCACTTCACTTCTAGAGCAATTTGTGTGAGGAGGACAACTAACCTGAAGGGGACTGCGAGGCTCAGGCTAGGGTTACTCTCCAGTGAGCCCCCAAAACCCTTAGGTCTCAGGAATCCACCTCTGACCACCCGCAACAGGTATTTCACTCTCTCCCTTTCTCCTCCCTCATCCTCCCTTCTCTCTCTCTCATTCTTCTAGCGCTGTCTCTCTCTGTCTCTCCTTCCTTCCCTTCCTCCCTCCCTCATGTGGCTCCAGTCCTAGAGGCCCTTTGCCAATTCCAACCAGAACATCCAACATCAGACACTAATCCAGCTGACTGGTAAGATCTGCCCTCCCCTGGCTTTCTAGTGGTAACTGGGAAAAGTAAGTTCGGCCATCCTGGTCCTCGGAGGACCAACGGGGCTAAGCTAGAGGAAATCTTGGGGATGCCCAGTTTCTTCTCAGCTTGACTGTCCTCTTTAGAAAGAGGATTCTGGGTCTCTGTCCTTTGTCTGGGGATGCCTAGAACAAAAACAGACACCCTCAGCTTCTTCTCACCAGTCCACATGGGTGCCAACAATCCCACATTCCTACATTCTTCCCACTGGACTGTCTCCTTCACAACCTTGCCAAGCTTGGCTTAGGTGTTTAGTTTTTTATTGCAACACGGCCTGGCCCCAATACAAATTAGATAATGTCAGCCAATGGCCCAAAAATGGCACCTTTGACTTTCATATTCTCAGGAATCTTAACAACTTTATAACCAGGAATGGCAAGTGGCAAGAGGTTCTCTATATTCAGGCTTTCTTCTACTTCTACCTTAGATCCCAATCCTCTCTGTGTCAAACTTGCATCCCTCATGAAATCCTTCTTAGTGAAAACCCTCCCTGGGTCTCTCCCTCTTCTGAAACTCCTTTTGACCCTGCAGATGAACTCCTTCTCTATTCTCATCCCTCTGCATCCTCTCCTCGCCCATCTGAACACTCCACGCTGGTGGCCCCTCCTGTCCCCAAGCCTTCAGCTGCAAACCCCACTCCTCCTCTTTCTCTACCTGTTACCCATTTAAAAACTGCTCAAACCACCTCTGCCCTTCTCCCTTTCTGGGAAGTGGCTGGGGTTTAAGGCATTGCTTACGTTGTTCATGTCCCTTTCTCCATGTCTGATTTGTCGCAGATTGAAGCTATGAGTATATTCAAAAGGCCTTTATGTTTTTCTCATCACAAATCTTGATTTCCTAGAAAAGGTTTTTCCCAGTCAACTGAATTACTTTCCTTTATTCTGCCTTGCTACTCCTGGTGAAGAACCCTAAAATGACTTCTGGTGGCCTGTGACTCCTTGGGAAAACAGAAAAGGCACCACAAATCCCATTTTGGGAAAAAATCTGTTTTCCTCATGGAACCCCTAGAATCAGAGGTAATAAGTATCTCCCAAAATCTGTCTTTGTCTTCCAAAGACTGTTTTCCTAGCCCTGTTCTTAAAGGGCCTCATCTGAAGGCCAATAATCCAATTGGAAAAGTAGAAAAAAAAAATCTTATAACTACCGGATCTTCTTTTGGTTGTCTGTGTGGCCATATATGTGTTATGTGTGCAATGACTATTAAAAAGGCTATAATTAATTGGCCTAAGGAAAATAAGTGCTTAAATCAAATATTTTTAAGGGAAAAGTAAAAGCTGTGAAATCTTTCAGTTCACTTGACTTTAATATCTTTAAAACTTACTGGTACAATAAGATTAAAAATGTCTTAAGAGTTGCCAGCATACATTTTTTATTTGCATTTATTGATCAAGCAATTTCATACTTATCTCTGCCAAATACTATAAGCTGTCAAAATTTGGCATACAGGCTACAAAACTATAACTCAACCCAAACAGAATAATCTTTGCTTGTGTAATTTTTAATAAATGAAACATTAATATTGGTTTAATAAAGATAGCTACATCTTGAACTATTTAGTGAAATACCCTAACTTCTAATCTTGTGGCCTTAGGCAGTCTAGTCCATAGACATGAAGGAAGTTTGTTTTAGGAAAGGACTGTTATCTTTAATATAAAAAAAAGAGAGAGAATTTATGTAAAAAGAATCTTACATGGTAAATTCTTATCCTAAAGTAAATTAACTGGTTGTTTAAAGGGAGGGATGTTTACAAGTCAGAAAGTCGAGGCATGTCAGAAATTGTGTAAATCATGAAACATTTTATAAAAGGGAATTTATGCAAGACATGTTAAACAATTTAAAAGTGATTAGGCCTCCTGAATGCGTTATAAAATGCCACTATAACCCTTAGCTGTACAACTTGCCTGGTTTACAGCTAGGTAAGACCCAGGACACATGGAGTTAAATGCTGGAATGAGTCAGACCTTATCTGCACTTCTGTCTAGGTCCTAGGCTCTATACCTAGTACATAATTAAAATCCCAAACTTACCAACAAAAGTAAAGCTTGCTAAAAGTTAACAGTGTAACATGCATGTAAGATTATTGAGAAAACAGTTTGCATATACTTTTGGCAAAAAGATTATAAAGAGGCATAAGAGTGTGACTTTTTACCTAGATTAAAAGTTTAAAGAATTGTTCTAAGTTGAATAAAATAAAAATGAAAGTTTAAGAACATTTTGGAAGGTTAATTGTAAAGGAAATGCTGGGTATAAACATATTGGCTAAAGTTGAAGGGGCATCATCCAGTTTTTCTGTAAATTGATTATTAAAGTAAGAGCACAACAGGTTTCTCTTAAAGCACTAACCTGCTCTTTAACAAAAATTATAAAGGGTTAAAAAGGGTCCATAAACATCTTACCTTACAGTCCAATATTAAAATTGGGTAAATGTGTCTACATGGTTTTATTAAAATTGAGTTTAACATTAATAGCACACTAATATAAAGGTAAAATTTGGCTTATTTGGTATAAAGTCATAACAGAAAGCATTGTCAAATATAAAATGATGTTTTTTGGGCTATATTTGTATAAATATATTATTGGTATGTGTTCCAAAGTTATAGGAGACTCCTATAATTCTGACATATCTTAGTGTATGTTATCAGTAATAATTATAATTGTTATGTTTAAATTACTGTGTGCCACAAAGGTAACAGATATCCTTGTCAATTGTGACTTTATGGCTACCTTAAAACTTTTTGTCATCCATAAACAATTGTTGTCTTGTTTTGGTCCCCTTTAAAAGGTGGTTTTATAATCAGGTATAAAGCTCTAACAGGTGCTCTTGAATGCAGTTTTCTGTTAACTTTGGAGATTGTGACATCAGAATAGAGAAAAATGTTCAGGACTCTTGAAGAGCTAAAATGTTCATTAATATCAAGCAGGACAGGAATTAACTGCATGAAGTGAACTAACAGGAGACTGGAGTGATCTTTTTGACATTTTGCTTAAAATATTGCTAATCCTTTGTTTTGCTTTTCAAAGTCAAAGAAACTTTTCTTTTGAGCTATTGATAGCTTTTAACAACTTAGTATACTCCCATGAACAAAATTTGGAGCATATTTGTTTCTCTCTACCTGATTTTCTCTGGAATTTGGAAACTATCTGTGAGTATTCTTAAGTTATGGCAATATAGTTATTTGCATAAGTGCAATAAAAATCTGTTTTCTTTTGTAACAGGCCACAATTGGAAAAACTGGTTATTTTTATCAAGGCTTTGACTGGAATGGTGTGCTTTCCTTTAAGGAATCAAACTTGCCTTATGAAGCCAATAAAGCTCCTGGAAACTGGCCTCATATTCTGTGTACACAGTCCCTGTACAGGGTGTCTGATCTGTGGTAAGTAAACGATGTCACTTTCTGAACAGGCCAGGAACCCCAAGTTATCTTGGAATCTCAAGAGAGAGGAATTCACCCAACTCATAGGTAACTGATGGTACAAATCCATGTCTGAGCTTGGCTTTAAAAAGGTCTTATCTCAGATTCCTTCTGCAGAACAAAGTTCCATCAAAGCCAATTTAAAAGGCCTATGTAACAAATAATTATTCTTGCTGTACTGCGTGCAAATAACTAAGCCAAGTATAATAAAGCAAACCAGTCCTACCATGATTTGTCTTTTAATAAAAATGGGAAACTGGAGAGAGAAAATTATGTCTCAAAAACTATAGCGCATGTGTTGTTAAATTCTAGTGTTGCCTAATATTTTTCAATTTTTATTATTCTCTACAGTTTAAATTAAATTCTATTTTTTCTGGCTACAAGTTTCCAAAATAAGCTGTGCTTTCCTAAAGCCCTATGAACTGAAAACTAGCGGTTTCAGCAGGCGCTGCCTCTAAGCCCCCTGACCATCACAGGAGGAAATCTCTTCACTGCTGGTGCTGACAACTAATAACTGAGAGTGCCTGGAATCCTTTGCCCGCACGTCTAGTGAGTCCATCACACTCAGGGTAATTGAGACAGTAGCTGTTACAGGAATCAACTTGTGGATACATCACACTCAAGTCAAAGCCTGGAAAGCTGAGGAAACAACCCCTGACACCCCAAAGGAACATTCTAAATATCAATGTAAAGAAATAGGAAATCTTAAGCTGAAAATCATAAAAAATAAAAAGTAATTGAGAACTACTCATCTTACTCAGTCTCACCCCTACCTCACCAAAGACTTTTTGTCATTCCTACCTCTCCTTTTAAGCCAAATACTAAAATTTCTAATGGAAATTATTTACTACACCACCCTTGTGGAAATTGCTTTACTCAGTCTACTATTTGCAGTAGGACTATATACTCTAGCACCCTAAGGGTGAAATATCAGAAGAGAATCTCAATTACTGTAGCATTTTGCTTAATTATTATCCTCATAGCAGGAATAATAGTTATATCAGAAAATAACACATGGGCCTTTCCAATCATGCACCTCTGCCTCTTATTAGGTGAGGAATGTTGTTTCTATATCAACCAATCAGGCCTAGTAAGAGACGCTGCTGAAAAACTTAAAGAAAGGGCTAAAAATCTAAGGAAATACCAAAACAACCAAATAGATTCTTGGTTTGGGAACAAAATCATAGCATGGGTCATCCCCATTCCTGGGCCCTCTCCTAATAATGTGCCTAGGACTAATGTTCTTACCCTGCCTAATTAACCTTTTTCAAAGATTTTTAACTGACAGGCTCATGGCCATTTCACAGACAACTACCCAAAAACATCTACAGATGGCATTACTCCCCTGCGGTCAATCTGAGACCAGAAAACTCTCCATCCCCTCGTCAGCAGGAAGTAGCCAGAAAGAATATGCCACTCCTCATCCCTTTTATAACTATAGAGTCTGAATTGACCGAGCAGGGGCATCATCATCTTGGACAAGCACCGCCATTCTAAAGTTCCCCTTGATCAAAAACCACCTAAATCCAAAGGGCATCAGCCTAATGGCTAAGGTCAGCATGACCATAAACCACAAATGACATCTCTGACCAGAAACATTCTAACCATAAGGTAAACCCCTTCCTGACAAGAGACATGCCAGCCCCAAGATAACCTCCCCTCCAGCCATAAACATTCCAACCTCTCTGTAAACTTCTCCCCCACACAGAAACATTCCAAGCTTCTGATAAGCTGTGTCACCAATAAATACTCTTAGCCTGTAAGAAAGAGTTCTCCTGACCAAAAAAAAAAAAAAAAAATCAGCCAGAAGCCCCTCTCGGGTTTATTCTCCAAAATGAACCCGTGTTTGACTGTTGAGCTGCTTTTTGTGTTGCTTTCCTCTTTCTTTAACTGTTACAGTTTCAAGTCCCCAGCATATGCCAATATCTGTGCACACTCAAGTCCAGCAGTCAGCCCTCCAGACTGGAACTCCTCCTACATGAAGAGCCAGACCTTCATATACATGCATTTTGCATCTTTCAAATAACGTATTTTCAATCAGTGTTTGGTTTTAAAAATATGTGAATATAAGTGGACCCACGCATTCCAAGGACTAAGCTATGAGTTTTTCTTATCTTGTTCAAATATCCAAGGGATGTGGGGAGTCATGCCCTGCAAACCATAAATTCTCATCAGGTGAGTTTTATTTAACCCTATGTATTGTGACTTACTTTCCAATCTAACTGGCATAACATTACATGACAAAGAAGAAAATCAAAATATTTATCCCCAAACATGTTTCTTTGCCATATTTTGAAATGGCCCTACAAAGCTGTCCTTTGTGGGGAAAAAATTGCATCTGTAAAGAATCTCTATTAATATAGCTAGATCTTTTTCTTCCAGGCCCTCCCAATACTGAAGAGATTAACTGAGAGTCTAGTACCTTTTAAAGGTCTGAATAAGAAACATTTGTCATCTATTGTCTCTAAGGGCAGCAACTATGAGACTTCAAAAGAACTTTGGTCTCCGCAATCTGAACATTTCCTTTCCATTGATCACAGATCTTTAGACAAGCTCAACCAATTGTCAACCAGAAAAATGTTTAAATTTACCTATAGCTTAGAAACACCCCACCCCACATCACCCCCGCTTTGCATTATCCTGCCTTTCTGGACCAAATCAATGTATTTCTCAAATGTATTTCATTGATGTCTTATGCCCCCCTAAAATGTATAAAACCAAGCTTCATCCCAACCACCAGGGGCACATGTTACCAGGACCTTCTGAGGGCTTTATCATGGGCCATAGTCACTCACATTTCGTTCAGAATAAATCTCTTCAAATATTTTACAGAGTTTGACTCTTTTCCTCCCTTTGTGTGTGTGTGTGTGTGTGTGTGTGTGTGTGTGTGTGTGTGTGTGTATGGAGGAAGACAGATACACACTATATATATGTATATGTGTGTATATATATAATTTATAAATGTATAAATACATACATCAGGGTTGTATGATCAAAAGTTTATAAAGATGACCAATCAAAATAGTTTATAGTCCTCTTCATTAGTGATAATGAACTTTATTTAAGCTCTGAGTACCATAAAAGTGAGGATGGTAAGGAAATTCTTCTACCATTTTGTTTCCTCAGAAAATATAAAGGACTACTAAGGTAAGAATCACCTTTGCTCTGATACAATGATTTAGGGGCCATAAATAATGGTGATGGCCAATTAGAAAGACTTAGAAAACTTAGAACAAGCAAGGGCTGGTTGTTCTAAGATGATCAGAGATGTCTGGCTCATGAATTGAGTTATTTGTTTTTATAGACTGAATTGTGTCTCCTCAGGAATTTGTACATTGAAATCCTAACCTCTAATGGGATTATATTTGAAGACAGGGCCTTTAAGGAGATTAAATGAGATCATCAGGATGAAGCCCTAATCCAATAGGACTGGGATCCTTAGAAGAAGAGGAATAAACCCCAGATCTCTCTCTTTCTCTCTGTCTTTCTCTCTCTCTCAATCTCTCTTTCTCCACCCCCTACCTCCACACACACAGACAAAAGGCCATGTGAGGAGGTAGCCATCTATAATCCTCAGCAGAAACCACCCTATGGATACCTTGATCTTGAACTTCTAGCCTCCAGAACTGTAAGAAAAGTAACTTTTGCTGTTTAAGCCTCTCATTCTGTGGTATTTTGTTATGGCTGCCCTACTAAATAAATAAAAATTTGCTGTTACAGTGGAGGAAAGTGGGGTCTCTAAGAGAACACTGAGGATTTTTAATTCTTTATAAGGAACCAGTGAAATTTTTCTGCCTCCAAGAAAAACGTTTTAAAACCCACTTCATCCTCTCCCCTTCCAGCCCACAGTGCAGGGCACTCATGATCTTTCTTTCAGTAATTATAGGATCACTCTGTATGGAAGGAAAAATATCTTTTCCTCTACTCATCTTAGGTTCATTGGCTGGCCCTTGTAACAAAAGACAGATGAACAAGAGAAAAGCATACAAATTAATTTTCATAACACAGGAGACTTTATAAGGAAATGAAGCCCTAAAGAATCAGCTAAACCTGAGTACTTTTTCATAGTAGGTTTGATGAAGAACAGATAGTCATGGAGAAATAGAATAGGGCAAGGAGTATAAGCTAATGGTAATAAACTGGGGGATACTTAGCAAGACCTGTTTATTCCGATTATTCTGTGTCCCCTTGTCTTTGGAGACAGGATGTTCCTTTTCCCGGGGCACGGGGAAGACACCACTCACAGGAGTGACTTATAATCTGCTTCACTCCAATCTTCCTGCATCTGCCATTTTCTCAAATTACATTAGTTTAAAATATTCAATATGTAGGCTGGGTGCAATGACTCATGCCTATAATGCCAACACTTTGGGAGGCTGAAGTGGGAGGAATGCTTGAGCCCAGGAGTTTGAGACCACCTGGGAGACATAGCAAGGCACCATTTCTACAGAAAAAATTTAAAGTTAGCCAGGTTTGATGTCGCACACTTGTAGTCCTAGCTACTTGGGATGCTGAGGTGGGAGGATTGTCTAAGCCCTGGAGATTGAGGCTGCAGTGAGCTATGATTGTGCTCTGCATCCTAAGTGACAGAGTAAGACCCTGTCTCAACAACAACAAAAAATTTAATATACTAAGGTGCCATATTTTGGGGTGGCATGTTTTGAGTTTCATCAATTCCAACCTGAAAAATTTCTAATCTTAAATTAAAAAGTAGGAGTCCTAAACGTCAAAAGAGGAATAATCTTTTTAAACCCCAGGAAGATATAAAGGAATGATAGTGCACAATGCATATTTCTTTTAAAATATCTGAGCTGACTAATCCTTAACCTCCCAACTTCCATCTCTCATTTGAAGCTAATCCAAAGAGCTTACCTTTTTCTGCCCTGTATCTCCTCAGGTCTTCCTCCTTAGAGTTTCCCATGGCTTCAACATTCCTGTTCACTCTTGGAATTTAGATTCCTCTCTTGTTCAGCATTCTTTATTGGCTCAAAACTTTAACCTGGCTCTTGATATCATCTCCAACTATCTTGCCTCAATATCCTTTTGCAGGCTTTATCCTGTTGTTCTGATGTCATCCTACACTGCGATCAAACGGATTGATTTTATTCCTGTCTCCATGTCTTTACTCACACTATTACTCACCCTTACCCTCTTCCTTCAGTCCTGCTTCCTGCCCTTTCTCTGTTAGTGTTCATTCTGAGAGCATTCCTCAACAACTTCCTGCAAGCTATTCTTCACGTGCTTCCTATGGACCCAGCCTGCAACACCTTGTATGTAAGTTTCACTGATGTTATGGCAAAGTGACCACCATTGGGCCTTTTTCGTGGACCTTGAGGTTCCACATAGAATTATTGCAAACTGGAGAGGAAGTATCCATAAGTGGCCCAGAGAAGCATGCTTAGACAAACTACTCTATTGCCCTGAGCTGGGACAAGGACTGGGCTTCTGGGCAACTAGAACTGTGAGGAGGTTGTGGTAGGAGCAAGGGGACGGTCCTTAGACATAATTGGTCTGTCTCTGAACCTAGTCTCTCTCTTCTAATAACATCTCCTCACTTTTAAGGATGGTTTGATGTTCATTTTGACAGCATTCAGAACACTAATCTGAGTTCCCTGTCTTTTGTAGCCCTTCTTGAGCCCGATGGTCATAATGTCTCATCTTTTGTATTAAAATTTTCTTTATTCTCCAAAGAAATTTTGTTATTATCAGCATAAAATATGAGGCTGCAGGCAACAGTTTTGGTACTTGCAGTTTGGGAGAAACGGTGATATGAGCAGCTGAAATCTAAAATGAGAATCAGATGCTTACCCAGGTCCCTCTTGGAAGGATCATACCCTAGTTACATGACCACACTGGGCCTCAGTCTTCTTATCCTTAAGATGGCCATATTCTCTCCTACACTGGAAGAAATTTTATAGGTTTGGGTTTACAAAGCCAATAATGAAAGGGCTGTTAATTTTCCCCTGCCTATTCTGTTGTCCAAGTGCATGTCATGTTTGCATATGTCATTCAGTCTCAGGACTCTGGCTTTTCACAGACAAGGTTAACTGGACTAAAAATATTACCTTGAAGGACCCATGAGTTTTATGTTGAATTTTGCGCTTCTGACATAGAAGCTGATAAAGTGATGTTGAAAAGTTGTGCAAGATAATCTCAAGAACTTCCATTCCCAGTTTGCAAGGGACATGAAGAAGAGGGCTTCTACCTAGTATGTTCTGTCTCCCTTCTGCCTTCTCTCTGGACATGTTATAAAATAGCATTTGCTAAAGCCAGGCTACCACAGAATACTGCTACTGCAATTGCCATGACCTTAATTACTATTGCCTATTATTCAAAAACATTAATTGAGTCATGGTTCCATTGCAAATATGACTTAACTTGCTGTTTTACTGCTTACTCAGGCATTGCAAAGAAAAAATAATGGCAGCTATAATTAACTCAGAATCGGCTATATAACCTGTCCCTCAGCCCATGACAGGTAAAAGTTCAATTAAAAAATAAAGTTATTAACAGAGTAAGGTTTGGTCACACATCTGTCATACAGAGTATGACAGGGCACAAATATTACCCCATGCAACCAGAGAGGGAATTACTGAAGATCTGCAGTGACTTTATTTTTGGCCCTTCAAAAGTAAAGAAATAGCTCCATATATAATGCAATTAAAATTATATATAAAGTCATATGATTCGTCACTTGCTTAAAAAGTCTAGTAGAGGCCGGGCGCAGTGGCTCACACCTGTAATCCCAGCACTTTCGGAGGCCGAGGCGGGTGGATCACGAGGTCAGGAGATCAAG
Organism: Homo sapiens; assembly: GCF_000001405.40. NCBI lineage: Eukaryota > Metazoa > Chordata > Mammalia > Primates > Hominidae > Homo > Homo sapiens. The sequence goes on from NC_000018.10 coordinate 61,629,960, forward strand.
ACCATGGTGAAACCCTGTCTCTACTAACAATACAAAAAAAAAATTAGCTGGGCATGGTGGTGGGCACCTATAGTCCCAGCTACTCGGGAGGCTGAGGCAAGAGAATGGCATGAACCTGGCAGGCAGAGCTTGCAGTGAGCTGAGATCGCGCCACTGCACTCCAGCCTGGGCGACAGAGCGAGACTCCGTCTCAAAAAAAAAAAAAAAAAAAAAGTCTAGTAGAAGTGTTTCTTGTAGACTCACAAAAGGTATAATAGCAGTAAACTACGAAGCTAAAATTAAAAAAAAATCATGAAGCAATGTTAAGAGGAATAAGAAAACCTTACCAAGATGTCTGCAAACCACCCAAAAAGTTAATTATTGGAAACCAAAAAGAGATAACTAACACAAGATACTACTTCACACCTGATAGGATGCTTGTCATCAAAAAGATGGGCAATGACAAGTGTTGGCAAGGATGTGGAGAAATTGGAACACCGTATACCATTAGTGAGAATGTAAAATCATACAGCAACTTTGAAAAATAGGTTGGTGGTTCCTCAAAACATTAAACATAGAGTAACTATATGACCCAGCATTTCCACGCTGGGTTTATACCCAGAAAACTGAAACTTTATGTCTGCACAAAATCTTGTACACCAATGTTCATAGCAGCATTATTCATAATAGACAAATAAAAGTGAAAACAACTAAATTGTCTGCCGATCGATGAATGGATAAACAAAATGTAGTATATCCATATAATGGAATATTCATTAGCCATAAAAAGGAATACAATTGTGATGTAAGTTATAATGTGAATGAACCTGGAAGACATTATGCTAGCTGAAACAAGCCAGACACCATTTAGCATGACTCCATTTAGATGAAAAGTCCAGAATAGGCAAATCTTTAGAGATAGAAAGTAGATTAGTGGTGGTAGGGACTAGGAAATTAGGGGAATGAGGAGTTACTGCTGATGGTTACAACAACCTTTTTGTCACCGGGGACCAGTTTTTTCCCCAACCTTTTTGGCACCAGGGACCCATTTCATGGAAGACAATTTTTCCAAGGGGCAGAGGTGGGGGATAGGGAGGAGATGTTTGGGGATGAAACCGTTCCACCTCAGATCATCAGGCATTTGTTAGATTCTCATAAGGAGTGCGCAACCAAGATCCCTCGCATGCATAGGACAAATAGGGTCGAGCCCCCATGAGAATCTAATGCTGCTGCCGATTTGACAGGAGGCAGAGCTCAGGAGGTAATACTTGCTTGTCAGCCACTCAACTCCTGCTGTGTGGCCCAGTTCCTAACAGGCCACCTACTGGTACCAGTCCACGGCCCAAGGGTTGGGAACCCCTGAATTATAGGGTTTCTTTTTGAGGAGACAAAAATGTTCTAAAATTAGATAGTGGTGATGATTGCAAAATTTTGTGAATATACTAAAAACTACTGAATTGTTCACTTTAAAAGAGTGAATTGTATAGTGTATGAATAACTCAACTTTGAAGGGCTTCTCAAAATAAATTAAATAAGTAAGACATTTGAACTATTCCGATTGCTACATACATGAAGCAGCTGAGGCCAGTGAGTAGTTAGCAAATGTGGGTATTGTAATTATTTGGCCTGTTCATGTGACAATCTGATGGCCCCTTGCCACAACTTCTGTCTGCAGTATAGACAGCTACCACCTTGAGGAAGCTAGCAAAGCAAATAACTGGGGGAATAAAAATACAACTCAGAGTGAAAACAGAATAATCAATATGGACATGATCCTCAATGTATTTGCCTGGATGTATCTATCATAGAGGGGTTGCAAACTTTCACCTATACACAGAGAATACAGAATTTTTTATTTTGTTCATGAGTAATCATAAGAAATCTCCTTCCCACGATTTTGATACTTTAAAACATGTTAACTAAATGACCAAACCAGTTTAAAACTAAATCTGGCCAGGCACAGTGGCTTGTACCTACAATCCCACCATGTTGGGAGGCTGAGGCAGGAGGATCACTTGAGGCCAGGAGTTCAAGACCAGCCTGGGCACCATAGTGAGACCCCCATCTCTATAAAAATAAATAATAAATAAATAAAATAAAAATAAATCCACTCTGATGATACACGCAATGCTTTAGGAAGTGTTAGTATCTCTTAGCTAAAAGTCCTCAGGCTCTCATATAGCTTCAATCTCCTCCAGCTTCTCTCCTGTGGACACTGCCTAGATGTCTGGGGGAGTAAGTGGCTGCTTGCTTTGCTGGCATTCATGGCTGAATTCTACAACTAGTGTAAACTATTATCTGGTCTTTCTTGGTTTGGGCACTGCTTGGGTGCCACATTCTGGCTTACCCCGACACCCCCCAAATTAACTCAATCCTCACTACTTTAGACCCCTCAGCCCCGGCCCATCCTCCACTCAGCCTGCCATCCTGGTGGTCCTCTGCTCCCAAAGACCTCCACCAATTCCAGCCTCAATCCTGAAATCCCTTCCACCCGCCAACGGCAGGCTCGGGGAAAGCCCCATGGCTCTCAGCTCAGCATCCATGCGATGTGGGATGTGCAGGCAGCCCAGGATCATTCCACCCTGGGCCTCTCTCTGTAGTGAGAGTACATTTGGCATGGCTGCCTCCCAGGTTGAGCTGTGCAGGTCTGAGAACTGATCCAGAGAGATTTTCAATATCCTAAGGAGTATCTTGGTTTAGAAGAGCCCTTCCTCTGCCCTTGGCTTTTTCCTTCCCCTCTACTTGAGCCAAAGACAAATAAAGCCCAAATCTGGGCACACACAACCCATTCTGGTCTACCTCCTTCTCCAAGACTGTTCACAATCCCCTTGGGCCAGAAGAGTCGACTTTCTCCCCTTCTATCACCTGGCGACACATCTCAAGCTTTCACTCTGATACCACGTCTACTCTCCCCAGCAGAACTATGTGAGCTGGGTTACCCAGGATTGGCCTTCCTATGTTAAGGTGTAGGGGGTGGGATGGAGTGGGAGATTAATTGGAAAAAATCTTAATTATCTTTCACACATCAGAATCTAAATGCTGTCTTGTCTTTCTCTGCATTCACACTGTAATTCACCAAATCCCCCAGTGCTGCACATCCCTTTTTCCAAGGCAAATTGGTCTGGGGCCAACTAGGTAAAAGGCGTGGCTCTCAGAAAGGTAAAATAAATGTGCATTAATACTTATCAAAACATTGTCCTTTACCTCATTAAAAGAAAAAACTTTTGACAAATTAAATTTAACAGAGTTTATTTGCGCAAAGAATGATTCGAGAATCGGGCAGCCTTCAGGACCCTTAGAAGTTCTGACAGCTGCTGTCCTTAAGCTGGGGCATTTATAGACAGAAAATGGAAGTGAGATACAGAATCCACTCAATTGGTTACAGCTCTGTGTTTGCCTTAACTGGGCATGATCTGTCTGATCAGTTGGCAGCCTGTGATTGGCTGAGACTCAGCTAGATGTTACAAAAAATATACTCCTAAATTAGGCTTTCAGTTTGCTTATGTACTAAGTTAAGTTGCAATTCATTATATAGGGACTCACGGTATAAGGGCAACCTCAGGCCAAATTTAGTTTAATTTAAATTATATACATACGCATTATTTGATGGTAGTATTTAGCAGTTAAGAATATTTAAAAACTCTAGCTAGTTTTGAGTACTCAAGTGTAAACCATAATGTATCATTTTTTTAGATTAAAAAGTGTATTTTGGCCAGGCACAGTGGCTCACTCCTGTAATCCCAGCACTTTAGGAGGCCAAGGAGGGTGGATCACCTGAGGTCAGGAGTTTGAGACCAGCCTGGCCAACATGGTGAAACCCCATCTCTATTAAAAATACAAAAAATTAGCGGAGCATGATGGCGGACGCCTTTAATCGCAGGTACTTGGGAGGCTGAGGCAGGAAAATCACTTGAACATGGAAGGCGGAGGTTGCAGTGAGCTGAGATTGCACCACTGCATTCCAGACTGGGCAACAAGAGCGAAACTCCATCTCAAAAAAAAAAAAAAAAAAAAAGTGCATTTTATTTTGCTAACAGCAGATGCTTTTGCATTGTGACAAAATATAGACACATATAAATGAGAGACATTTAATGGAAGAGTCCATGAGAGAGCTCAGGAACCAGACAGCCTGGATTCAAATACTGACTCTGCCAGTTCCCCTGGGTGAGTTACATATTCTCAGCCTTACTTTCCTTGTCTGTAAAATGGGAGAGAGAGTTTATAGGGTGCTTGTGACAAACAGGCAAAATAATACATACAAAATATATAGAACAGTGCCCTGCACATAGTAAAAACATGATAGTGTTCTCTGTTCATGTGTAATTACAATAATGTAATTACGATATAAATCTGACTCTCATACAGCTCTCAGTAAATATGGACTAAGTGCTGTGCTAAGGATTAAAAATTCAATATTAAGACAGACACAGTCCCTGCCCTTATGTGCTTATCAGAGCTGAAGATAAAGACCCTCTCTGGCTCATTGTACATAGACAAGATCAAGATGTTCTCTCTTAGGGAATTCCTCAGTTACCCAAGACTTTCTGGCTTCCCAGATGCCATTCAGGCCACCCAGTCTGAATTTCACCTCAGTTGGCATGTGTTTCTTTTGCCAACCCTATTTATTTATTTTTGAGATAGAGTCTTTCTCTGTTGCTCGGCTAGAGTGCAGTAGTATGATCATTGTTCACTACGCCATTGACCTCCTGGATTCAAGCAATTCTCCTGCCTCAGCCCCCCAAGTAGCTGGGACTGCAGGAGCATTCCACCATGTCCAGCTAATATTTTATTTTTTTGTAGAGATGGGTCTCACTGTGTTACCCAGGCTGGTCTTGAACTCCTGAGCTCAAGCAACGCTCCTGCCTCAGCCTCCCGAAGTGCTGGGATTACAGGCACAAGCCACCATGCCTGGCCTGCCAACCCTATTTAATCAATCGGCATTCTAGCTATTCACAACTGTTCATACATCCAGTCTTTGGTTCTGTTGGGGCTCAAAAAAACATTACCCCAAAGTATGGTGCTTTGGCACGCTGAGTACTTTGAACTAAAGGAGGAGATTGGAAGGCCTCAGACGTGGCCTCAGAAGCAGTCTCTCCTCTGATCTTCTCCTGTCTTCTTTCTCCCCCTGAAGCAAATCATAGAAACCAAAATCCCCCTTCTCCAAGGTGGGTTCTTGTTCCCTGAACATTGCTGTTATCCTGTTCTTTTTTCAGGGTGCCCAGATTTCATATTGTTCAAACACACATGCTCTATAATTTGTGCAGTTAACGCAATCATCACGGAGTCATGAGGCAACATACATCCTCCTCAGCTTATAAAATGACAGGATTAAGAGATTAAAATAAAGACAGGCATGGGAAATCACAAGGGTATTGATTGGGGAAGTGACAAGTGTCCATGAAATCTTCACGATTTATGTTCAGAGATTGCAGTAAAGACAGGCATAAGAAATTATAAAAGTATTAATTTGGGGAACTAATAAATGTCCATGAAATCTTCACAATCCACGTTCTTCTGCCATGGCTTCAGCCGGTCCCTCCGTTCGGGGTCCCTGACTTCCCGCAACAGTGGGTCATAAAGCTAAGATCCCTCTTCCCCAAAGCAAGCCATAAAGTCTGAAAAGGTCACTCTTTCCCTTCTTCCCTTTCTCTTTCCAGAAAGATTCTGCCCCATACGGGGGAGAAAGCCTACATAGAGAGGCCAAAAAGAGTCTGGACATACCTGGCTGGGTCCCCCTGCCTCGGTCTATCGCCATTAGATCACACCCCTTGTCCACTCACATTTTGACATAGTTGTCCACTCTTCATGGAACGTAAGCATACAAATAGATGGTTTTCTCTGGGTCTTTGGGTCTTCATTTGTGAAGGCTCTTGCGCTATGTAAAACTTTGATTCAAATAATTTGTTACACTTTCCTCTTGTTAACCTGTCTTTTCCTATAGGAGTGTCAGCTGTGCCCCTTATGATGGGTAAGAAAATGTATCACACCTTTCCACCCCTAGTTTTCTCCAGGTGTGTGGGCAGCCCTGGGGCTGCGTTCTTCCATCAAGAAAACACAAGGGGGCGGTAGTGGCACTTGGGCTTGACGGTGGTGGGACTTAAAATTGAGTCCTAGAAGAGAAAAATAAAAATGATAGAAGGCAAAGATGGAAGAAGAGAAGGAGCAAAGATGAAAGAAGAGAAGGAGCAAGGAAAAGAAGTGTGGTGTGAAAAGAGCCAAGAACACATTTTAATGTTTTTCCCAGAGCCGTACTCCCTCCCCAGCGTGAAACAGTGCAAAGCATGGAATTAATCCACTCCAGTGCATTGTGGGGAAGAAGGTTTGAAGTGAAGGGAGCAGGGAAAGGCCCTTGCAGGCTGAAGCCCTGTAGAAGAGGGCTGGGCTAAGCAGCCTCTGGGGAAGGGGGGCACTTAGGGCCCAGACCAGCTGGCCTGCTGTTTCTTTCCACAGGCCCCAGGGTGCAACCAGCTTCTCTCACCTTAAGAGATTTCCCTGGCTTCTGAGCCAGCTGTCCCCAGCTACCACGCCCCACCCAGCCCCAGGCAAACACACGGTACATTTTCTTCTCTGAGATTTACTACCAGGAAACAGATTAAAAGGCAACAAAAATAAGCAGAGGGTGAATTACCCAGGTTAAAGGCAATCTTGTGCAGCTCCTGTGGACAGACCTCTAGTTCTTATTTTCTTTTAAAAACTAGATTGGATTGAATGCTTTGTCTTTTTTCTGAGAGAGCTAAGGTGACCAAATGTCCAGGTTTGCCCAGGTGTGAGGAGATTCCTGGAATTCAGGACTTTGAGTGCTAACCCTGGGAGAGTCCTGGTCAACTGGGAAGAGTTGGTCATCGACAGAGAGCTCAAACAGGCCCCTCCTCACCTCCAGACCAAGCTTCTGAATGAAGCTTTGCGGAAATCTCTACCAGTCAGGGCTGAACCAAGCATGGGAGTTCCTATTGGTCTCAAGTGGGCAATTTTCATCTTCAAGACCTTTACCAGGGAACCACTGGGTAGGGGCTCCAGTCTCCCCAGATGCCACACGATGTGCATTCCCCTGTGCCTGTTTCCTTACCAAAGCAGGAAGAAGTAGGATGGGATTTCTGTCTGGGAGCTCCTCTGGCCATTTTTTAGGGAGTGGTTACTTTTCTCCAGATCAGGGGACTCTCCCGTCCCCCGCTCAAAAGCATTTTTATTTTATAAACAAAGTTAAGCAGAGTTCCTTGCTGCAGGCCCTCCACTATGGCAGTGTATGAACACCATGCATTTTCTAGAGGAGCAGACTGGTTGCAGCACCTCCCAAACTATTCAATCACTGAATTTCCTCCCTTTTCTTTAAGAAACCTGCGTTCTGAAGAGCACACATGCTCCTGGAACCTTTGTTTGATCCCACTTAAGCAGCTTTGGGACCTCCCCTAGTGCTACCCAGTGCTGTTTTCATAAAAGAATCAAGCAGAGGACTGAGGGCTTTTCACTGAGATGGACCCAGCGCCACTGGCCGTGCCAAGCGTGCGCAGCAGGTGTGCGTGTGTGTGCGCTTGCTGGCAGGCGGCCCTCTGCAGGCAGTTCTTTGCACCTCAAGCCAGGTTGCATATGCCATCTCTGCTGGCTTGGGGAGAGCTATTTAAAGTCTCTCTAAAGGCCAGTAAGCCTGCATGACTTCTCACACTTCCTAAAAATGCAGGGTCCGAATGGTGCAAATTCCAGCCAATACAGCTCTTGGGTCATCCCCTTGTGTGCCAGCATATGTAGGACTCACATCAAGTTACTGTAAACAGATGGCATGTTTGTTACAGTCTTGCTTAAATGTACCAGTATATATGCACATTTTGTTTGCTAGTAGCTTGGAAGACTTGAGTTGATTAATTAAAAGCAACACATACTTAATAGTTGTGTTTTTTTCAAATGATACATTTGGTTTTTGTAATTTTTTTAAATGGAAAAAAAAAAACCCAACAAGGCCTGATTTATATACTGAAAAGAGGTTCTTTCCCAGTAAATTAGGAAAAGTAGTTTGCATTCCTGAACTTATTTATTTTCCCCTGTAGCTAATGTTGCTTGTTATTCTAAACTGAGTGGGGATGCTAAGAAAGAAAAAGCATTGCCCTCCTGTAGAGCATGTGTCACCTGTAAATTTCCATGAGACAGTGGTGCCTCTAATCTCTGAATTCAATTCCACCAGAGCAAATTGACTTTCACCGAGGTGACTTTGAAGCCAAGTCATTTTGCAGGTTCAAGAAGTAAACTCTGCCAGCCACACCACTGAGCCCACTGGCCAGGGTGCCGCCTGCAAAGCCCCACCTTCCACCACACCCTCCCTTCAGTACTGGTTCCACTGAGCTAGTCACCAAAACAAAACAAGTTGTTTAATTAAAAGATTTCCAGCTCCTTATTTCCCAAGTGCAACAGAATGGGAAAGTGTCCCTGCTGTAATGTAAATAATGGAAATCAGTCTTCTACACATCCTGGTGAGGGAAATTTCTCGTAGAAGAGTTGCCAGCCTTTCCAATACAGCACTTTGGGCTGAAACTCACACATATGTGCTATTGAAGTTGAATTCTGGCAAGTGCTATTCCTGGTATTTATTTGAAAGAAGCCAAGTACTTAAATGGAGTTAAAACAAAACGGGCTTTTTACTCTCTTCCCTGCAACCTGCAACCCTTGGCTTCCTCTTCTCTGAGTTTTGTTTGGATTTTTAAAAATTGACTACACCCCTTAAGAAATACCCCCCTCCGGAGTCAACTGGTCTCCAGTTGGCACTGGAAATGCTGAAATATCAAAAAGATGGTTGAAACTGTCTAAAGGGCAGCTTCCTGAGAAAAAATTAACCTTCCTTGGATTCCTCTCCAGGTTTTAGGCCAATTGAGGTCATCTTTGAAAGAACAACCTGTCCACCCTTTCCACCTGCAAAAGAGGGTGGTCCCTACCAACAGCTCACATGACTGACTATGGCAGCCACACTCAGGGCCTGGCACTTGCTGGGCCCAGAGAAAGTTGATTGGGGTTAAGATGGCCTGAGCGGTTTCAAGTCAGAGTGTGAGGCAGCTAGGAGGGGCCTCGGAGAAGACCAATTCCCACACTTTCCTCAAGAAGAAGCAGAGGCCTGAGGCCATGCATCTAGCCAGTTGTGGGAAGGGGAGGAAAGGGGATGCTTACACCTGTCAATTCATCTTTGGACCACCAAACCTTCCCCACCTCCACGTCAGCCAAGCTTGGGTCTCTTTCATGGAGCCAGGGAGGGGCAGTGGGAAGGAGACCTAAGGGCTAAAAAGACAAACTGGTCTTCCAAATATCAACCTGCCGTGTGGGATGAGGAGAGGCAGAAACAGGCATGATTGTAGGCTTGAGGAATGTGTTTTCCCTGCCTTCTCACCTTCCTTCTCATTTTATTTTTCCTTTTGGACTTCATGTGCAAACGTTCAAATTAATCATACTCCTTGGATCGTGGTCCTTTGTCATCTTGGTCTTCTCAATGCCTCCTCTTGCTTAGTTTTATTTATTTTTAATTTATTATTATTTTGCTTAAGCATACTCTGAGATATTTTTAATTATATATATATTTTATATATATATAATATATATATAATGAGACGGGGTCTCACTCTGTCACCCAGGCTGAAGTAGTGGTACAATTATAGCTCATTGCAGCCTCAAACTCCTGGACTCAAGCAATGCTCCTCTCTCAGCCTCCCAAAGTGCTGAGATTATAGGTGTGAGCCACCGTGTCTGGCTGCTTTATTTTGTTAATGGAAAAATCAAACCCTGTAAAATATTTTAACAAGGTTTATTCTGATCCAGTCTGAGTGACCATAGCCTAGGGAAACACAGTCTCAAGGAGTCCTGAGAAAGTGTGCCCAAGGTGGTTAGATTACAGTTTGGTTTTGTACATTTCAGGGAGGCAGGAGTTACAGGCAAAGACATAAATCAATATAGGGAAGGTACCCATTGGTTTTGCCCCAAAAGGCAGGATATCTCAAAGCAGGGGGCTTACAAGTCATAGGTGAATTCTGATATTCAGATATCCTTTAATTGGCAATCAGTTAAAGGAACAAAAGTTTGTCTAAAAACTTGGAGTTAACAGAAAGGGATGTTTAAGTTAAAATAATGATGTCAGAGCCAGCCACAATATGACCTGTTTAGCAACACCAGTGGCCTTCGGGCATAATTTAACTTGTGCCTTGCCTGGTCCTAGGTCTTGTTTATGATTTGGTATCTTACAGCCACAAAGAGTCTGTTTTTATCAGCCTTATGATCTCTATTCTAACATTAATGCTGGTTGGTTGTTGTGCCTAAACTCAAAAAGGGATAATGAGGCGTGCCCAAGCTCCCTTTCCATCATGGCTGGGAACTCAGTTTTTGAGGATTCTCTGGAGTCCCCTTGGCCAAGAGGGGGTAGGTTCAGTTGTTGGGGGGCTTAGGATTATATTTTTAGTTTACAGTTTATTTTTTTAAGTCTCCAAATACTACTTACTTCACTAGAGGCAACCATTCTAATCTGTTTAATGTGTATCTTTTTATTTTTATGTGTTCTTGCAAAATAATATTATTGCATGATATCTATGGATATATATATATACACACACACATATATGTAGCATATACATGCTAGAAATAAAATATTTAAAATATAAAATAAAATATTGATGCTATAAATTAAAAGTTTGAGCTCTTTATTTTCCAAAAATTATTGACACCCAAGAAGTTAAAAAAAATAGTATAGAGAAGCACATGAAAAAAAGCTCAGCATCAGTAGTCATTAGATAATGCAAACTGAAACCACATGAGATACCACTTCATACCCACGACAATGGCCATTATCTAAAAAAAAAAGAAGTGTTGACAAGGATGTGGAGAAATTGGAAACCTCATACATTCCTGGTGGGGATATAATCACCTTGAGCTCCTTATCCCAAAGCCTCTAGGTCCACCTGTGGCTGAGATCAGCCACTAAGTATCAGCTGGTTCCCCAAGGCATCTTTGGACTAGATTTGCAGGTGCCACCTTCAACCAAGCCAGTGGTTTCCCTCCTGCCCACATGCCTGGGGTCTAGTAAGTACTAAAACCAACTCAGGAAATTATACATTGCTGGTGGAGGTATAGCCATTATCACTGCGGAAAAACAGTTTGATGGTTCCTCAAGAAGTTAAACATAGAATTGTCATATGATCAAGCAGCTCTACTCCCAGGTATATACCCAAAAGAATTGAAAAGAGGGACTCAAATAGATACTTGTACGCCAATGTTCATATCAGCATTCTTCACAATAGACAAAAGGTTGGAACATCCAAGCATTCATCAACTGATGAATGTTTTTTAAAAGTGTGGTATATAGTTAAATATTAATATTTTATATTTTAAAATAAATGTGGATATTATTCATCCATAAAAAGGAATGAAATTCCAATCCATGCTACAACATGGGTGAACTCTGAAGACATTATGCCAAACGAAATAAGCTGGATTAAAAAGGACAAATATTGCATGATTTCACTTATCTGAAGTACCTAGAAGAGTCAAGGTCACAGAGACAAAAAGTAGAATAGTGGTTACAGGGGGCTAGAGGATGGAGAACAGGGAATTACTGTCTAATGGGTACAGAGGCTTAGTTTGGGATGATGAAAACATTCTAGAAATGAATGGTGGTGGTTGTAGCACAATGTGAATATAATTAATACCACTGAACTGAACAGGTAAAAATGTTTAAAATGGTAAGTTCTATGTTATGCATATTTTACCACATACAAAAAAAATCTAGAAAAATATCACACGTAGAGGTCCCCTACAAGCCAGGTCCCCTACAATCCAGGTCCCCTGGTTTCCTCCAGTGTTACATAACTACTTTTTTAATACCAAAATCAGGAAATTGACATTAGCATAAAACAGTTACCTGGACTATGGATCTTAGCCAGGTTTTATCAGCTCTGTGCATGCGCTCACTTTTTTATGTGTGTTTATATCTTGATGTATACTTCTATGACACTTTATCACATATACAAATTTGTATAACTGACACTTCAATCAAGATATATGTCTATATTTTTAATTTATCTAAAAGTTATTGTGTTATACATCTCATTCTTTTTCTTGCTTGCTAAAAAAAAAACCTAACCACTAAGCCGGAAGTGGAGGCACATGCCTGTAATCCCAGCGACTCAGAAGGCTGAGGCAGGAGAATCGCTTGAACCCGGGAGGCAGAGGTTGCAGTGAGCCGAGATAGTGCCATTGCACTCCAGCCTGGGCAACAAGAGCAAAGCTCCGTCTCAAAACAAACAAAACAAACAAACAGACAAAAAACCTAATCACTATACTCTTAAGATCTATGTTCTTAGGTATGTACCTAATTCATTGCATAATGTGATCATGTAGCATCACATCTAACTCTCATCTCTCCCAGTAGACATCTAAGTTGCCTCAAATTCCCTACCACAAAAAATAATAAGGTTGCAATAAACATCCTCGGGCAAGTGTCATGATGGTGCTGTGTGAGAATTTCTCTGGGTACCTTCCTAGACGCTGAATTGCTGGGACATTACATTTTTCATTTAATCAAGGTCTGCCAGGTTGCTATCCAAAAAATGGTGGCTCCAGTCTACACTCCTGCCCACTAGCAGAACATGAGTGTTTCTCTGTCCTCACACTCTAACCAACAATTGGCATTAACAGCTTTCTAGTTTTTGCAACCCCTATAGAGGAAAGTGTCGTTTTAATTTGCATTCCTCTGATTGCTAGTGGTTTTGATTATCTTGATGGGTTTAGGACATGCTAGCCCAAAATATGGCGCCTTGGCATTTGAGAAAACAGCAGAAGCAGGAAGGTCACTCTTAGCTTCCACTCATGCTACTCCCATGAAGCAAGCCATAAAACTTTCATTCCAGAGTTCTCCTCCCATTTCTCCCTGAGTAAAGGAACATCCTTAACTCTAAAGATACAGAGAAGAATCTGAACAAACAGGCCTTGCTAAATTCCCCCCAACTTAGTAACATTAGATTATACCCCCTTTGTCCACACTCATACTTCTCCACAACTACCCACTTCTTCATGAAACTTAGCCTAAAAATACATAGGTTTCCTTGCTTCTTTATGTCCCCATGTCACATAAAACTTATATTAAATGTGTATGTTTTTCTCTTGTTAATCTATCTTTTGTTATAGGGATCTTAGCCATGAACCTAGCCATGGGTGAGTAAAGAAAGCTGTCCTTCCCTACAATATGTCCTCGCTGTTCATAAGCTTATTAGCTTTTTGAAATCCTTCCTCTGTGTCATGAGTTGAATTTTGTTCCCCCAAAAAAGATATGTTGAAGTCCTAATCCCCAGTACTTCAGAATGTGACCTTATTTTGAAATAGGGTCTTTAGAGAGGTCACCAAGTTACAATGAAGTCATTAAGGTGGGCTCTTAATTCAATAAGACTGGTATTCTCATAAAAAGGGGAAATTTGCATACAGAGACAGACATGTACAGAGGGAAGATGATGTGAAGACACCCAGGAAGAATGAATCATGCCATGTTGGAGTGATGCTGCCACAAGCCCAGGAACGTCTGGGGCTACCAGAAACTGGAACAGGCAAGGAAGTGTCCTTCCTCTACAGGTGTCAGAGGGAGCATGGCCCCACTGATGGTGATTTCTGACAGCTGGCCTCCTGAACTATGAGACAATGAAGTTCTTTTGTTCCAAGCTACCCACTTTGTGGCACTTTGTTACAGCAGCCCTGGGAAGCTAATACACTGGGAACTGCATGTCCATAGCATCTGCCTGGTTTTCAGTGAGGCTCCTTCCTTTTCCTATGAATATTCAAAAGTTCCTTGTCTGCTCCAGATTCACTTTCACTTTTTATTCCTTTCTCCCTCCTTTCCATCATCCCACCTGCTTCCCTGAGCTACTTTGAGAGTAGAATTTCATGTAGAAGGGAAGACTCACTTAGCTAGAGGTGAGACAGAGGTAGGGAGCTGGGATATATTTAGGCATAGGAGGTTTATGATGCCTCCAAACAGAAGTAGGGAAGCAGTCCCGGGTTGTGGGATCAACCTAGAGACAAGGAGAATTCTCTGTGCTTCCCTAATCACCTTGAGCTCCTTATCCCAAAGCCTCTAGGTCCGCCTGTGGCTGAGATCAGCCAGTAAGTATCAGCTGGCTCCCCACGGCATCTTTGGACTAGGTTTACAGGTGCTACCTTCAACCAAGCCAGTGGTTTTCCTCCTGCCCACACGTGGGGTCTAGTAAGTACCAAAACCAACTCAGGAAATCATGCAGCAGGCTGCTTTAGGTCTTTTGAGACTCTGTCTTCTGATTTGGTTTCGTTGAGCCCATCCCAATATTCAAGGAGGAAGGCCATGGAGTATTCCAAAGGTCTTTGCCTTAAAAAAGGTCCTTTTGTTGCCACAACAAGATGACATTGTAAGGAAAGGCTGAGACCCGCTGGAGGAAGACGTGTGGGCAGGGCCAGGGCTGCAGATGCAGCCAGTGAAGAGCCTATTTCTGCCCAGGATGTGGTTTCTAAAATGAGCCAGTTTCATCCATCATTAATTTTTACTTCCCTAAGTTATGCCATCTCACTGCTCTTGCATGGTAACTTTCTTGAGAGGCCACTTATACTTCTCCAGAGGCCCCAAACATGCAGCACCTGGATTTTTCCACAATGTTTGCAAACACTCACCAGACGAGACAAGTCCTCCCCTAAAAGCAAGAAGCTCAATGCCAACTTCATGCAAAAAAAAGAAAAAAAGAAAACCAACAAGAACACTCCATCAATATACTCTTTGCACACCAAGAGATTAAGATAAATTTTCTAAGCTCTCTCTCTTGAAAAAGATCAACTGCTGTGATAGAATATTCAGAGAGCTATTGCCAAATTGAAGAGCTCAATCTAGTGTAAATGGTTTGGTAAACAAACTGCCCTTTAAAAGATGTCATCCAACAATTTAACAATTGTTAAATTGCACACCAATATGGATACAAAGGGAATGATCAGGTAAATTATGGTACATCTATTCAATAAGTATTATGTACCTATTAAGAAGAATGAAATACCACTAGAAATCTGGGTCTTAAAAATGCTGTGATACATTGTTAAATGAAAAAACCAAATTGCAGAATAATATATACATATGGACTCATTCCATTAATACAAAACAACTTTATGAAGACAGACAAATAGATAAACAGGTGATAAAGCGATCATACATGAGTAGTAAGATGGAATTATGCATACCAACATATTAAGCAATGGGATTATCTGTTTTCTCATCTTATTTTGTAGTATAGAACTTTTCTAAAAACAACCTGTTTTAGGCTCCTCAGATCATCACATAACCTCACAGATAACGGCACAAACTCTTAAAGGTCATGGTCTAGGCCAGTAGTCTCTACACTTCCCACATCTAGCTCAGTGGCTGGCACCACAGGGAGGTTCAATAAATGCTGTTGGAGAGGATGGGACTCCACACTTCTCCACTCCTAGTGCAGAGGATAATGTGACTTTATCATGATTCAAGTTCGGCTTGAGTTATACTCTCGGAGCTAAGCTAGAGAATAGTTTAGAGACAGCAAAAGTGTAAAAGGGTGAAAACTCCCACAGACTTGGCTCACAAGAATGCAGGCCTGTCTACATGCCTGCCCTACAGGTCTGACATCCCAATTGTGTGCCTTATTCTTCGGTCTTATGTCATATTTTCAAAAGATAACATTTAATCAATGTCTTACTATATGCTATTATTACAAAGTCTTTGTGTATATCAACTTTGAATCTTCATTATAGCCCTATAAGCTACGTATAAAGTAGAAGCCTCATTCCACAATTATGGAAGTACTTGTGTGCTTAAGTAACCTCTCCAAGATCACACAACAAGTAGGACCTCTTAGACAGTGTTCCTCAAACTGTATGTGCAATCAAGTCACTTAGGCATCTTGTTTTATTAAAATCCCAATTCTAGCTCAGGAAGTCTGGGGCTGGGCTTAAGGTTCTGCATTTCTTTATTTTCTTTACATTTTTTCTCTTTTCCACATAACTGTTGTTCAGAAGGAAAATTCTGCATTTCTAACAAGCTCCCAGGGGATGCCAATGCTGCTGGTCCCACAGAGCACACTTGAGTCACAAAACTCTAGGACTCAGCCCACCTTAGTTATATCTTCAGAACCAAGATGCAAGACCAGCTCTGCCAATAACCCCCTGCCTGCCTATGTACTCCAAGAACATAGATTAACCTCTTTGTTTACAAGGAAAGATTAGGAGATGATAGTCTCTCTGGATATTGTCCATCTCTATTGTTTAATAACTATTGCAAAATTATAATAGAAAAAATGCCAGCACTGCTATGCTGGGCCACACTGAGTGCCCAGACCCTAAGTCACATGCATCCAATAAATACTCATTGGCGTTCTAAACTAGGCAGTGGGAGTTATAAGAGTTAAGAAGACAATCCTTGTCCGCATGGAGATTACAGTATTCTGTGGAATAAAGGATGTAGCCCTACAGTGTCATGCTCTCTATTGCAGAGAAAGAACAGGGTACACAATAGAGATGGCCTCCCATGGAAAGTTACATGTGGGCTGAGATGAGATGAGCTAGCCCAGTGAAGGTGGAGGGGGAAGACAGGCAGGCAGAAGAAACAGCAGGAGGGAAGTCCCAGAAGTGAGTGGGGTATTAAAGGTTATTGGAAGAAGTTAATTGTGGTTGGCCCTCAGATTGAAGGTGAAGGAGTGGGGAAAATAGTTATGAGGCTACAGCAGGACATAGCTCACAATGTATCTCAAAGACCCAGCTTCTTAACAAGACCAGTAGTCTACAGATGATGCAAAACCTTTGAGGAGCTTTAAGAAGGAAACAGATAGGAGAGGATTTACATTTTTAGAGAGTTAAAGGGTATAGAATAAAATGTGGGGAGGGTTGGGAGGCCCAAGGTTGAACACAGGGCACCAATTAGAAGTCTGTTGCCATGATCTATGTTTAAAAAAAAATCACAGTGAACTTAACTTGGATTGCAGCAGTGGAGTTGCAGAGAAAGAGAAAAATTAGAGAGACATTAGAAGAAAGAGAACTAAGTGAACAAATGAAGGATGAGAAGCTATGAGTGAGAAAAAGGCAGTGCTAAAAGATAATTTTCCAAAAAAAGGTAAAATTATGACTCATAAGGATATAAAATGAACACATGTTAAAGATTTTCTTTTACTCATAAAGAAGGTGCCAGGCAGATGTTATAACTGGATCAAGGGAGAAATTGAAAAACAGACACATTTATAGATCAGGAATATTGAAATGAATGTGCAGATGGAGGTAAAACTGGTTTCTTCCACAGTGGGGGAGAACTCAGTTGAATCTCTACAAGATAGGACAGAATTTGCACAGCTATAGCTAAAAATGATTTTGCATCCCATCAATTATGTATGGTTTACAGAGTTGTACAATAGCTCCCATAGAGTCACATAACTCAGAGGGCTGTCTTTAGACAATGCATAGTTTTCCCCTGAAGCCCACATTTTTCCTTGCAGCAGGTTAACTCCAAGATGCCTGACTTGGACACCAATGTGGATGTTGTGACATTCACTCTACAGGGAATGTAGGGAGAGAGCGCTGAGGAGCTGAGGGAGAAACAAGGATGATTAATCGACTTGGTCATATTTCGGTAGTGAACACTTCCACCTGATAGGGGGTTGGTTCTGTTATGATTTCAAGGATACAGTGGATCAGACTCAATGGCTTCAATTTTGGAGAGGCATTGCTTTAAAAGCCTCTCCCTACCGTCAGACACATTTGATATTTATTGAGCACCATTTCTACCGAGGGTTCTGGACATGGCACTATGGTACATTCCCAACAGATCTTGCCTGAAAGAAACTTCCAGGGTGGCTGTTGCAAATTTGGAATGCATTTTTCATTAGAAAAAAAATGTCACAAATGTGATCATTTTCCCAACCTAACAAAGCTCTTTTTAAATATTCCTCAATATAGGGACAGGTTTTCAAACCAAAAGTTGGAAAACATGAAGTATAAATGAATCTTCCATTTATCAAATTATAGAAAAAGATATACAAAATTTTTTAAGTTAAGTTAGTTTTATGACTTCCATGTATCAAAAATAATTAAATTGATTGAAGCTTAAGGCTGTGGTGGACATTTCAAATCATATAGCTGCTTAGATGGAGAATGCCATTTTAATAGTATATATTGATTTTTTTTTTTTACTAAGTAAAGCTATATGATGTATTAGTAACTACATATAATTAGAAAATAGGAATACAAGAAGGGAGTGGGAATTGTTTATGCACATTCTGGAAGAAATTCTGGGTTTCTCAGTCTCTGCACCTCTCCATTCCTCACAGCAAGTGGCATCTGACCCTTACCGGCAAGCCCAGCCCCGCCCTCAGTCAAGGAGACTTAAATAGAGGCGTTTGGGTCCTTCTAGGTTACCATAAGTTCTTTTTTGAGACAAGATCTTGCTCTGTCACCACACCTGGAGTGCAGTGGCACTATCATAGCTCACTGCAGCTTCCTGGGTTCAAGTGATCCTACCACCTCAGCCTCCCAAGTAGCTGGGACTACAGGCAAGAGTCACCAAGCCTGGCTCATTTTTAAGTTTTTTGTTTGTTTGTTTGTTTTGTTTTTTACATAGAAGTGGGGTGTCACGCTGGGCACAGTGGCTCACGCCTGTAATCCCAGCACTTTGGGAGGCCAAGGTGGGCGGATCACGAGGTCAGGAGATCGAGACCATCCTGGCTAACACGGTGAAACCCCATCTCTATTAAAAATACAAAAAATTAGCCGGGCGTGGTGGCAGGCACCTGTAGTCCCAGCTACTCGGGAGGCTGAGGCAGGAGAATGGCGTGAACCCCAGAGGCGGAGCTTGCAGTGAGCCGAGATTGCTCCACTGCATTCCAGCCTGGGCGACAGAGTGAGACTCCGTCTCAAAAAAAAAAAAAAAATTAAAAAAAAAAAAGAAGTGGGGTCTCACTATGTTGCCCAGGCTGATCTCAAACTCCTGGGGTCAAGCAGTCCTCCTGCCTCTGCCCACCAAAGTGGTGGGGTTACAGGTGTGAGCCACTACACCCGGCCACCATAAGTTCTGAATCCTGAATCCTGCCACATAAGCCTGGGCTGCAGAGGAACTGGAGTTCAAGGTCTGTAAACAAGACTTGCCTTGCTCTTGCCAGTCTCCACGTTTCAGCTCAACCCCAGAGATCAGGGCCCTGCTCCCTGCTGATGCACTTCCCTGAAATCCACAGCCAATCCTGCTGGACTTTGAGTATTGCCTCCCCCATCCTCCTCTGTCATGCTCTGCCTGCCTGTTGGAACATCCTGACCCCAGGGGTGAGGCCTATCCACCCACCCCATGCTGAGTGCCTGCCAGGACTCTGGTCAACATTCTTTGTATCCTTGAGTTGCTCTGTCCTGGACAGCACACCAAATCTCAGCCCAACAGCAGCCGCTGGGCTGCCACCACACAGCAATGTCACTCTAGTGGCCATCTGCTAAAGATTGGTTCTGTCCAACTGCTTCTCTGCCCACAGTTCACTTTGTCATGTCTGCCTTCACTCTGAAAATCCAGTTAATAGCAATATTGTCTAAATTTACATTAAAATCAAAGTCTGCCTTTTTTTTTTCCATAGACTCATATACTATGGAAACATCAAGGGACACTGAAAGTCTTTGGTTCAAGTTTGCTTATTCTTTGCCCAAGAGATTTGTTAAGTTTGACTTTCCACAGTTTATGTTATATAAAAAATGCATTGTTTTGTTTTATAAAAATAATTTTAAGGCTAGGCATGGTGGCTCATGCCTGTAATCTCAGCACTTTGGGAGGCCGAGGTGAGCGGTCAGGAGTTCGAGACCAGCCTGGCCAACATGGTGAAACCCTGTCTCTACTAAAATACAAAAATTAGTGGGGTATGCTGGCAGGTGCCTGTAATCCTAGCTGCTCGGGAAGCTGAGGCAGGAGAATCGCCTGAACCTGGGAGGAGGAGGTTGCAGTGAGCTGAGATCGCGCCATTGCACTCCAGCCTGAGCGACTAGAGTGACTTTGTCTAAAATAATAATAATAATTTCAGATTGAATATTCACCCTTCTCCCCAACATTAAATATCTGTATTCCCCTTGTAGGTATATAAGTATGTGTGTATACATGCACATGTGTGTGCTTACTGAATGCTTATTGAAATTAATTACACTGGGGGTATAGTTCCTCTTCTCTTGATCTTCTTTTTCATAATAACAACAGGTAACACTGACAGAGCCCTTACAATGAGCTATACACTGTGCAAGTGCTTCCCATTAATTCTCATTCAAGCCACCTAACATAGGGCCTATGAAATCAGCCCTCTGATTAGCTCCAATTGTTGGACGAGAAATCTGTTGCTTAGAGATAAAGCAATTTACCAAGCTTCACAATTCATGTGGAGGAGAGCAAGATTAGAATCCAAGTCACTGACTCTGGATTTTCTAAATCTCAACCTCATCTATGCACACCCACCCTTGGCAGGGTGCCTGGCACATAGAGGGCTCTCAGTACCTGTTTGTCAAGTAAATAAATGTTTAACCCCTCCCTTATTTAGGATTCAACACTGACTAACACAGATTATATTTCTACTTTGTACCAGCCACTGTGTGTGTGTTTTTTTTTTTTTTTTTTTTTTTTAGATAGTCTCACTCTGTCACCCAGGCTGGAGTGCAGTGGCACAATCTCAGCTCATTACAACCTCCACCTCCCAGGTTCAAGTGATTTTTGGGCCTCAGCCTCCCAAGTAGCTGGGATTACAGGCATCCACCACCACGTCTGGCTAATTTTTGTATTTTTAGTAGAGATGGGGTTTCACCACGCTGGCCAGGCTGATCTGGAACTCCTGACCTCAAGTGATCTGCCCACCTCAGCCTCCCAAAGTGCTGGGATTAGAGGTGTGAGCCACCACGCCTGGCCAGCCACTGTACTTTGAAAAGAAAAGGTAGTTAACAATTTATCTAAGATAGCTTCCATAATTAGAAATTAGAAACAATCATTGCATGGCAGAACCAAGTCTGAAACAGACATTTTTTAATATATATAAAACAGTATCACTGACTCTTAATGCTTATCAGCCGTGATAACTCAATCATCCTCTTTTGGCTTAGAGAAGACATGATAAAATTGGAGAAAAGGATTTTCTTTCTGAAGTAACTGAGGAAAATTGAAAAGAAAAAGAAAATCAAAGAGGACACGTAAACATCCACAGGATTTAATCCTCAGAAGGGATTAAATTCAGATGGGATGCCAAGGAGGAAGTCACTGTTTCCTGCTCAGGTGGTTAAAAATGTCCTCCCCTTGCCAAAGCAGAGGATGATCACAGGTCATACCAGAGAGTGTGGCTGCCACAAAGAACCTCAGCCCAGAGGACTCAGGTTACTGGGAACCTTCATCAGACACCCAAGGTAATAGCCAAGGGCTCTGGCCTTGAAACCAGCCCTGCCTGGGTTCAGATTCCATCTCCACTACTTAATAACCACATGACTTTGATGGAAAACACTGACACCCATCTTATGAGATTACATCTAAAAAACAGTAAGCAGCATTTCTTAGCATTCAATACACAGTAGCTCTTATGCTTTTATTAATTATGACTATTTACTGATAACACAAAAAGTTTTTAAAACATTTTGAAAAGAAACAAAGCCACCTGTGGAAGTCAATTGACAAAGACCCATTATTCAAAGTGCACTGAACATATTTGTTAGAAGCAAACGAAAGGAGTCCCTCGTAAGAGGCCTAAAACCAAGAAACAAATATTCTTATTCAGATGTCCTGAAGCAAGCCAATATGGAGCAACCAACCAGCCAAACAAAAATATCCTCAGACCTGGAGGAGGAACAAACTCCAGGCCAAAACCGTTTCTTTGTTGACACAAATTAAGGGGTAAAGCCAATTCCTTACTGAAAAAGAATTGAAATTTATAATAGAACTCATCTTATATCTTTAATCATTTATCATATATGATATAAAACCTGTAAATAAGCATTATTCTAGAGTGGTTTCAGTCATTTTCAAATTATTTGTTTGTATAAGATCTGGAGTTAATAAACCCCTGCAGGTATTTATTCAACCAGAGAAGCTGCCTGTGGAGCTGACTGGCCTCTCCCAGTCAAGGCCCCGGAGAAGAATGGAAAAACCAGTTCAGCTTATTTCCTACTGGGAGTGAGACAAGTGGCGCAGTCATGGGAGAAAGGTCACCTAAAGAGAAATTAACTGAACAGTCAGGGCATAAATCAAAGGGGAAAGAGTCACTTTTATACATCCGTCTCCATGATTTTCATGTCCAATTTATCAACAAGTTCTCAATTGTTCCACCAAGAGTACTTGAATCCGTCACTCCTTTTTTTTTTTTTTTTTAAAGACAGCATCTCACTCTGTGGCCCAGGCTGGAGTGTGGTGGCACTATCACAGTTCATTACAGCCTCAACGTCTCGGACTCAGATGATCCTGCCACCTCAATCTCCCAAGTAGTTGGGACCACAGGTGAGTACCACCATGCCCAACTAATTTTTTTTCTATTTTTTTATAGAGACAGGATCTTCCTAGGTTGCCCAGGCTGGTCTTGAACCCCTGAACTCAAGCGATCCACCTACCTTGGGTTCCCAAAGTGTTAGGATTATAGGCTTGACCACCATTCCTGGCCCATTGCTCTATGTTCATGGCAAACACCTCTCCTCTCTTAGTTCCCTCAAATCAATTCCCCATTCAACAGCTAGAATGACCCTTTTAAACCTAAATGCATCTCATTGCATTCACTGCTTTGACTCCCAAACCCTTGATGGCCATGGGGCTCCTGCTCACTCCTGTCAGTCACTCTCCTTTCAGTTTCTCAAACACGCCACTCCCTTGGGGGCCTTCATACAGCTTGTTCTCTCTCATTGCTATTCTTTTCTCCTGCCTTCTAGCCCCAACCCATCTCAAAAGTGATTTATTTATTTAGGTAGGCCACTGCTGACTGCCCTCATTTAATTAGATCTTTCATTTCATTTTTCTTTTTCTTTTTTTTTTTTTTTTTTTTTTGAGACAGAGTCTCACTCTTGTCACCCAAGCTGGAGTGCAATGGCACGATCTCAGGTCACTGCAACTCCACCTCCCAGGTTCAAGCGATTCTCCCATCTCAGCCTCCTGAGTAGTTGGGATTATAGGTACCCACCACCACACCTAGCCAACTTTTGTATTTTTAATAGAGAAAGGGTTTCACCATGTTGGCCAGGCTGGTCTTGAACTCCTGACCTCAGGTGATCTGCCCGCCTCAGCCTCCCAAAGTGCTGTGATTACAGGTGTGAGCCACCTTGCCCAGCCTTATTTCTCTTTCTTCATTTATTACCATTTTTAATTTGTGTGTTATATGATGCATATATGTAGGCATGTATGTTATGTTTAGATGTATGTATGCATGTGTGTTTATACATACGTGTGTGTATGTCTATGTAAATATTTTAAAATATCTGTCTCTCCTTCAAGACCTGTAAGTTCTAGGCAGGTAGAAACCATCTATTATGCTTATCACCATATACCCAGCACCTAGCAGAGTACAATATGCCATGAAGGCAGTCAATAAATACATGTTGAACAATTAAATAAATGAATGTGCATGGTTTACTTGAGAGGGAAGAAGGAAGAGGCAGAGATGTACGATTCATAGTGTAGCCACCAGGATAATGATTTTCCTGGGAGAGGAAAACAATATTTAACCAGTTGTCAACAGATGCAGGAAAATTGAAAAGCAGGTATTTTTATTTAAAACAGAAATTCTACACTTTCTTTAACTGTATGGTACACCCCTCACAAAGACTTAAATGAAGGTATGTCATCACAATTCACAAGTAGAAATTTCTTCTTCTTACAAAGCCACAAGTAGAAACACTCCTTATGCTTCTGAACTCAAAAGTGAGATGATTTGATGACAAGAACCAAGAATTTGCTGCGGAGAAACAGTGGCATCCTGTTAATTTGTGTGTTTTCTCTGCTTTCCCAGGAACAATAGGCTATTTTTGCCTGTACTTGTGAGTGCTAACCTACCACCCTAGATCTCATTCTTTTAACAGTTGGCTTTGTTGCTGATTTGCTTTTCACCCCTTTAACTGATAGGCTTGGGAGTAAGCAGAGATAAATACAGGCAGTGTTAAGGATACAGGACTTTGGCCCCCTAAGGTGATAACAAAGACTCCCTTCCAATAAGAACCTTAGAAAAGGGAGAATTGTTTCCAAAATCCCTACCCAACTGTTCTATATTCCAGAAGCTATTAATTTTCTCTGCTCTCACCATAGGAAAATGTTTAGTTTCAAGGGAAACAAGCCATTTAGGCAGTTGCTTAAGGGTGAAACCAAAATAAGTCAGGAAATTTTAATGGAGCCACTAACTGTTCCTCCTGAAATCTAATAAGGATGGCACTCGGATGGAAATTCAACAGATAGATACTATCGGTGTCAGTCATGGAATGCAATGACATACAGCCTAATGCAATCCAGCATTCTGAGGCCGGGGGAGAACACTGCCATTTGACAAGGCTTTGGGGGACAGACTTAGAAACAGTTTAAGCAGCAGAGGGCAAGTTAGGTAAGCTGTGTGCACTTGGGCTGCTGGAATCCAACAATCCAAAGCCATCATCTTCTGTCTTCTTCACATAATGGAGTCTCATAAGGTAGAGGGCTTTGGCCCACCCCTGCCTGATGGAGTGTCCTCAGCCTGCCGGACTTCTCAACTTGTTTACTGATTCCTTGAGAGTCCAGCCCTGCCCAGGTTCTGAAGGGGTTAGGATCAAAGCAGTAGGGTATGTTCAGAATGTGGCATAATAAAAAGCAGTGCAACTTTCTAAAATGTTCCAGTGAAATGAAAAAGAAAATTAAAAATTTAAGCCTCTTAAAATGTAAATGGTGCCAGTGTGCCTTGCAATTTGAAGACTCTTGCCCATTAAAAAGAAAAAAAAAAAATGATGTCCAGAAAGCTGAGTGGTTATGAGATAAAGTACAGAGAATATGAAAAGTGCTAAGAGAGAAATTAGGCAAGACCTTCATGTTGCTCCCAGTGTGGCATTATCAGCTCATGCCACGACCCTGGGTCTCCCTGTCCTCATTGGATTTAATGGCTCTCAAAAGGTTTTGCTGGGCATACTGATGACCCTAAACATCTCTTGAAAAGTGTTATAAGAAGGACTTCTATAAATTCCAGCTACTATTAGTTTAATCAATTAAGTCTCAACCCAAAATAGAGGGAGAAGAATGTCATTTTTGTTAGAGTATAATGTTTCAGGACACTTCTACCTGCTTCCCCCAAAAAGGCATATGCTAATTTCTCCTATTTGAATGAGATGGGAAACTCTGGATGACCGGGCCACCTTCCATGAATGGTGAACATATGTCTTGTCAGCCTTCGTTCAGCAATTCTTTCTGGCTATAGCCAGTCTTTGCCATCCACATGGTCTGATCTTACAGAGTAGATGCCCCCATTGTGCTCCCAGAAACCACTAAAAGCATAGCTTAAGTGTTCCTGCTTTTACTTAGCCCAGTCAGAAGTAAATGCTTCTTCTGATGTAGCCCCATATCCTCTGGGCCGAACGTCTATTTAGCATGCCCTTTACCATGTTCTCTGCATCTGTGTGTCCTGCTAGGCTAGGGGACCCACGGGACCCAAAATGAGGTCTTCTTTAACCTTATATCACTCACATTGACCAGCCTAGTGCCTGGCACATAATGGGAATTTCATTCAATTTTCCCTTAATTGAATATAATTGACTTTTTTTTTTACATAACTCTTTTGGGTTCTAGACATAACAGCTAAAAACAATATTTTGCTGCTTCAGAATTGGAAAACTGGAAATCTGCCACTGAGGTGAGCAGAAATTTCCACCAGGTTATTTTTCTTCTTTGACATTAGGAAAGCAGTGTTTCCTGACAATACTACTCTCCTATGTGATGAAACAATCCGAGAGTTGGAACAGGACTGTGCGGGGACAAACAACATTTTTTATTGTGACTTGAAACAAATCAAAAGGACTTTTTCAGCCTCCCTAACACAGGTGGCATTCAACTGCTCACATATTTAATGCTGGTATAAACAAGAAAAAAGAAGTGGTTATTTTGTTGCTTAGAATTTTTTTTTTTTTTTTTTGAGACAGAGTTTTTGCTCTGTTGCCCAGGCTGGAGTGCAGTGGCATAATCTTGGCTCAGTGCAACCTCCACCTCCTGGGTTCAAGTGATTCTCTTGCCTCAGCCTCCCGAGTAGCTGGGATTACAGATGCCCATCACCATGCCTGGCTAATTTTTGTATTTTTAGTAGAGACAGGGTTTCACTATGTTGGCCAGGCTGGTCTCAAACTCCTGACTTCAAGTGATCCGCCCGCCTCGGCCTCCCAAAGTGCTGGGATTATAGACGTGGCCACCACACACAGCCCATTGCTTATATTTCATGCATTTATTTAAATGTTTAAATGATTTCAAACATTCTTATTCATTTAAAAGTAATAAATAGTTGATGAAACTCTTAAGTAAAAATGAAACTGAAGACTATGTGTAATATAATTCACCATTGTTTATAAACAGAAAAGGTTTGGAAACAGGCAATTATCTATCAGTTAAATAGGAAAAGGGAGAGGATTATGGATAACTTGTGTTTTCTGATCTATTAACTTTACTTCTGCTTAATAATATTAAAAACTAAAATCATTGAGTACTTACTATGTGCTAGATAGTGTTTTAAGTACTTTACATTGTCCAGGTCTTCTTTAACCTTATATCCCTTACATTGACCAGCCCAGTGCCTGGCACATAATGCGAATTTGATTAAATTTTCCCTTAATTTAATATAATTGACTTTTTTTTTTTTTAACATAACTCTTTTGGATTCTAGACATAACAGCTAAAAACAATATTTTGCTGCTTCAGAATTGGAAAACTGGAAATGAGCCATGGCTCATGCCTGTAATCCCAACACTTTGGGAGGCTGAGGTGGGAGGATCACTTGAGGCGAGGAGTTCAAGACCAGCCAGGGCAACATAGCAAGACCCCACCTCTATTTTGAAAATTTTCACATTAAAAAAAGTATTTTACATGCGTTGACTCTATGAGTTAGGATTTATTATCATCCCCATTTTATGAATTGAGACACAAATTGGGTGAGAACTTACCCAAGGTCACCCAGTAGTAAATAGCAGAGCTGTCACCTGACCCCATAGTCTGGTTCCCAACTTTTAGTCACTATGCTATATTGTCTCATATTCTGTATTGGTCATGTAAGAATATGCCGACTTCCTGAGTTTTAATAATTGCAAATACTTTGGCTGAGCCGTGTGACCTTGGTTGAGTGATTCAACTTTTCAGGACTATGTAGTATGGAACTTAACCTTGCTCCAAAAGCTGCCTGGACTTTGCCCCTGGCTTCTAGGAGATAACCTTTATAGGAGTGTTTTTGCTTAGGGTGGGTATTGACCATGCCAGAAAGATAATCATGTGATTTAGGGTGGGAGATTTGGGTCATGCCCAGAGGGTCTGGGGACTGAAGACTGAGATAGATTCACAATGTGGGTAATCAGTCACTCAATCAATCATGCTCACATAATAGGGCCCCAATAAAAACTCTGAACACAAAAGCTCCAGTGAGCTTCCTGGTTGTTACACATGTACTGGGAGGGTAATATTATCCCAGTACTATAGGGAAAGGACAACAGAAACTCTGCATTTGGTACCTTCTTGGGTTTTATCCTATACGTCTCTTCCTTTGACTAATCTTAACCATATCCTTTCCCTGTAATAAACCATGACCATGGGCATTCAGGTTATGGTTTCAGTGAGTTCTGTGAGTTCTTCTAGCAAAGTATTCAAACCAGAGGGTGATGGAAACCTCCTGAACTTGCAGTTGGTGTCAGAAGTAAACAGGCAGTGAATAGAAGTGAATAGGCAGCCAAAAATGAAACCTTCTCCTGTAACTTTTTTGTTGGCCCTAACTCCTCACATTTCCTTAATTTCCTCATCTGTAAAATAACAATATTGAAAAAAAAATAATCCCTAAAGGTTCCCCATAGAACCAAATGCTCTGTCAAGAGTATTTTTATTTTAGCAAAGCTCTCCCAGAGACTAGAAACCCTTTACTCAAAAGAGCCCATGGTTGGGAGGTGGAGAAACAGGTGAGAATTTGGAATTGAAATTTCTCCTGCATAAATCACACTACTCACACCACTTACAGGTAAAGGAACTGCACAGGGATGACAGCTGTGATGGGAGGGGATTTGGGGGCAGGAAAATCCTCTTAGTTATGACTCTGTTTCTGTACCTAAATAAATTAGCCAGAGGGTTCTGTTCTATTGCAGGCTGTTTAGCTCAATGGAGCACACGTGCCCAAAATCCTGTTTCTGTTTCAGCCGCAGAAGTCAGACTCAGCGATATTCCTGGAAGGCAAAATTGCAATTTGGGACTTTACTTGGGGGCTTTCAGGTCTCACAGTGTCCTCTGATTTGGCCTGCATTCAATTGTCCCTAAACTTTGGGGAAGCCTCCACAAAGGAGCCTCTCAGCCTGGATGCCTCACTCAACTTTTGATAAAATATTTAAAATAATTTAGGCACAGAAGAAAGTGGTCTTCACAGAATTGTAGAGACTTTTGTTTTCCCAAGTTGTAATTCACCAAATGCAGGCGGTGGTGGGACCTCACTCAACGCTGCTTTGCCTATTTGCAAAATGAGGACACCTGTCACTCACTTCAGTCCTGGGTGAAGACCACAGACACCACACTCATCACCCTATGGATTCCAAGGACACTCTGTCATCTTAGTTCATGACAATAGCTTCTGGCTCATGCCTTAAATAATAATGATAATAATAACACCTACATTAACTTAGTCTTCCAGGCAACATAATCTCATTTCATCCTCACAATGGCTCAACAAATTAGATACTATTATTTTCTCATTTTGCTCAGAGCAGGAAAATGAGTTTTAAAGGGGTTAAATAATTTACCCCTGGTCATATAATGTGGTAAACAGAATAATGGCCCTCCACAGACATCCATGTCCTAATTCCTAGAACCAATGAATATATTACCTTACATGGAAAAAGGACTTTGCAATTGTGATTAAGGATCTTGAAAGGGTGAATCCTGGATTATTCAGGTGGACCCAATGTAATCACAAGGGTTCTTATAAGAGGGAGGCAGGAGAGCGAGGGCGATGATGACAGCAGAGGATGCAGTAATGTGAGGAAGGGGCCATAACCCAGGGAGTGCAAGTAGCCGGAGCATGCAAGGCACAGATTGTCTCCTAGAGCCTCCAGAAGGAGCACATCCTTGCTGACATCTAAATTTAAGAACTCCAGGACTATAAAATAATCTGTGTTATTTCAAACTATTAAATTTGTGGTAATTTGTTACAGTAGCAAGAAAAAACTGATGCATAGTTGATTGGAGATTTGAATTTGAAGAGTCTGCCTCCAAAGATTAGTTGTTATCTCTTTATCCCCATGCCAAGTCATCAGTCCCATTAAATCTGGAATCCCTATTACTGATATTTTCAACGTTCAGTGATTACAGTTCCTCCTCTACAGCTCTAATCACAGGAACTGCAAGTTACAGGAAGACACACAGTTACAGAGTTCTTCAGTCAGCAGAGCTTAAGAGGTAAAAACAGGAGAGGTGCGATGGCTCACACCTGTAATCCCAGCACTCTGGGAGGCCGAGGCAGGTGTATCACTTGAGGTCAGGAGTTCGAGACTAGCCTGGCCAACATGGCGAAACCCTGTCTCTACTAAAAATACAAAAATTAGCCAGGTGTGGTGGTGCACACCTGTAATCACAGCTACTTGGGAGGCTGAGGCAGAAGAATTGCTGGAACCAAGGAGGCAGAGGTTGCAGTGAGCAGAGATCACTCTACTGCACTCCAGCCTAGGTGACAGAGCAAGACTCCATTTAAAACAAACAAACAAACACAGGTAAAAACAAAGTCTGGCCAGATTGCTTAGGCTGTCTGAACCTCAGTTTCCTCACCTATAAAATTGAGACAATAACGGTGTGAGCCTCATGGAGATTTTGAAAGGATTCAATGAAATAGATCACTGAACACAGTGGCTGGCACAGAAAAACATACTGCAAGCATATTATTGTTTTAAATTCTATTGGGTGCTTTATGTTACCTTCTAGCCTTTCTATGGAATTTTAACTACAGAATTCCAGGTTTGCACTAGAGAGCACAAAGTTGGTGTTTTTTTTTTTTTTTTTTTTTCTTCTACGAAATGGGATCTCTCTCTCAGCCAGGCTGGAGTACAGTGGCATGATCTTGGCTCACCACAACCTCGATCCTCCCACCTCAGCCTCTTGTGTAGCTGGGACTACAGGTGTGTGCCACAACACCTGGCTAATTTTTGTATCTTCAGTAGAGACAGGGTTTCACCATGTTGCCCAGGCAAGTCTTGAACTTCTGGCCTTAAGGGATCCACCTGCGTCAACCTCCCAAAGTGTTGGGATTAGAGGCATGAGCTATACCCAGCCCAAAAAGTTTTCTAAAGAGAAAAAAATATATTCTTTCATTTTTATATAATGCTTTAGACTTAGCCTCCAGTTTTTCACTGTACGCATGAATTTTCTCCCTCAAAAATAAACTCTAAGACTTTTTTCAGAAGGACTTTACCGTCTATATCTTTGTGAGTTTAGCTTAATAATGGCTATAGAACCTGCCACTTAATTCAGTCATTCTAGAATCCAGTCAATTCTTGTGCTTCTGAAATGGGTTCTGATAACTCTTCCAGCTATAAGTGAGTTCAATAATTGTTAACCAGAGTTTGATGTTCAAGCCTAGCTTTGGCCAAAAGTTAAAGTTTTCTTCAGAGCCTCACTGGGCTTTGGGTGGCCTTCCTATCCACACATGAACACTTTCCACTGTATTTTATAGCAATACCTCCCTCCTCCCATCTTCTTTGCTATACCTGGTCTCCTTCCCTTTCATGGAAGTGATGGCGATGTGGTAAGCTGCTCCTCCAGGATTCACAGTCAAGCTCTAAACAGAACACTAGTCAGTGTAGCATTTGCAAAGGTGAAGTGTATCAGAACAAATGGTGTGCTGGGTTGGTGTCCCTGCCGAACTCCTGTCCACCCAGAACCTCAGAATGTGACCTCATTCGGAAAATAGGGTCTTTGCAGATATAATCAAGGTAAGAATTGAGATGAGATCCTACTGGATTAGGGTGGGCCCTAAATCCAGTAAGGGTTTTCTGAGAGACAGAAAAAGTATACCCAGTGACACAGAGAAGGCCATATGACAGCAGAAGCAGAGACTGGAGTCAGGCAGCTACAAATTGAGGGACTTGCCAGGGTCATCAACAGCCACCAGAAGGTAGGAAGAGGCAAGGAAGGATTCCTCTGAAGGGGCTTTCCCTAAGCTTCCCCTTCACCCTCTGCAGATCTACTGAAAAACCAACTCACTAAAGGAGATTAATTGGGAACATAGCATACAAATTTATTAATGTGTACACAGGGGAGAACCACTGAGTGATTGTCCCAACAACTCAATAGATTTCAGAAGCTTTTATACTGTCTTGAAGTTACAGAAAGAATGGGGGCTTGGATCATGGCAAAACAGGAAATGGGAGAGGAAGAAGAGGAGGCCTGTCTAGCAAAGGTGGTCTTGTTACATAGATAAAACCTCACAGGTAGCAACCCTCAGAGATCAGAGAGGGTAAATGTTTCTTTCAGATTTTTAAAATTATCAGATCCAAGTTAATCTTTCCTAGATCCAGAAAAGGGAAGGCTTTGAAGAAAACCTGGCTGCATCACACGCATTCTCTACAGATGCAAATCTTCCTGAAAAAAGACAGCTTTGCAGGGTCACTTCCTTATGCAGGACTTCTGTACAGCCCTCTCAAAATATGTCAAATATTTTGGGGTGAAATATTTTTATTTTCTTCACTTCCTTATGAAACCTGTGAAACAATATAACAGTCAGAAAATTCTGGTCGGGGGAGGGGGGAGATCTGATCTTGCCAACCCCCTCTCTCGCCTTTAGCCTTCAAGCTGCCAGACATTTAGTTTATAGTTTAAATGATAATACTTCTTCCCTGAAAGTCAATTATCTTTGTAAAGGTAATGAGAGATCACCAGGCTAGGAGGATAGAGAAGCCTGAATTCTGCTAAGGAATAGACATAAACAACTGCCAGCCATTATTCTGGAGGTCACAAGGTATGCAACTTCACCAATTACTCCAGCAGATAACATCACTATTATAGAACCTAAGACTGACCTTTGAGATATCTTTTCTGGTTTTTTGCATGTCTGACACCGACGGCTCCACCTGGACCCACCAACCACTCCTGTTGGCCTCACCCAGAAGTGATTCAGCACTCAGGATTATTGCCCACACCCCTACGATTGCACCCCCAAGCAATCACCAGCAAGCACCCAATGCCTAGCCATCCCCACCCCTTCCCCCAAACTACCTTTGAAAAACCCCTAACCTACCAGCCTTCAATGAGATTGATTTGAGTAATAACTCCATCTCCAGTGTGGAGTGGCCAGCCTCACATCAATTAAACTCTTTCTTTACTGCAATGCTATGGTCTTTGTTTGTGCAGCAGGCAGGAAGAACTCCTCAGGCAGTTACACTTCGAGCCTTAAGACACCTTGATGTCAGACTTCCAGTGCCCTGAATTGTGACAGAATAAATTTCTGTTGTTTTAAAACTCCCAAGTTTGTGACAGTTTGTTATGGCAGTTCTAGGAAACTAAAATAAATGGTGATTTTTGACGCCCCTTAAATCACCTCACTTATGGGAGTGTCCACTTCATCTACTCCAGGCTCACCCCCTCTTTTCCCAAAGAGAAGAAATATTTTGTGTACGAGAATATTTCTTCCTGATCTTCACTTTGCAGCATATGGACTGCAACAAGAGCGTGAGAAAAGCAATGCCAAGTCAATAAGGATTGCTTGTCCAGTGCACAAAACACCCTGCTTAGCATAAGAGTAACAGAAGCATTTCTTTGTCACTAGTTAGCTGTGTGACCTTAAGGGAGTGACTTAACCCTTTGAAACTTCCACTTTCTCAAAACAAATTAGTTGCACAATACATATTTAAGGTCCTTAATGTCATAGAATTACTTAGCAAATTATAGTATTAGGAGCAAAGAAAAGACAATAGGGGAAAACATGAAGAAGCCTTGGAAACTTGAGTACATCCTCCCTAAAGGAAAATAACTCCCACAAATGCTTAAAACGCACCCATTACATAGGGCTTTAATCATAGGATAATTTTGTGCCTGCAACTGCCTAATTTTTAGTACCATAGTAAATAGGTCCTGACAACAGATTGTTCTTTTAAATGCAAATGTTCCCACTATCTTGACACATTATAATTGTTCTTAGGGCTATTGACATCAACAACATCAGTATCTCAGGAAAAATGTGCTGTATGTATTTCACTACCTGTCTCGGCTAACCCATATGAACATATAGCCCTTTTTCTTCAGCAATCCTCTCTGCAAATCATGATCATAGAGGCCTCCCCTTAGCAGGACACAGCCTCTCCTAGCCATCCTGGGAATTAACTCCACACAGCAGGTTGGGTCTTGCCTACTCACCTTGCAAGCACTCAATTCAAGGTTAGAGAAAGGTGTAATTAAAGAGAGAATATAATCTTTCAATCTTTAGGTTGCATATCAAGGACCAAAGTCTCCAAAGACTCTCACTAGCTGAAGCTCTTTGGCAATGGAGGGGGAAAATCAAGGCTAGGAAGAGTTAATCCAGATTCTAGGACAGGTTAACGTTTCCCTCTTGCTTAGCCCAAGACCTTTAGCCTCTTTTTACTTCTTGCATTACCATATCAATATTCCCTTTTCACCCAAATCCCTCCATCTACAGCAACTGGTGAGCTGTAAGTTTTGTTTTGTTTATATTTGTTAGCAGCTTAACTATTTCATGTTCATTTACATATTCCATGCAATGTATCCATTGAAGTCACTAACATATTACTTCCTTGTAGATCCTTTACATTCTTTACCATATTTTTTTAGTTTAAGGAAAAATAGCCAATAATGTCCCTGCTTAAATAGAACACAAAGAAGTGAGAGTATTGATGGTTATAAATTGCTCCTGGTCTTCCAATATGGAAACCAAAAACTGGAGACTGGAAAATCACATGAAGGAAGACTTTTAGAAAAGTGATTCAACTGTTATTATGAATTCCTTGAAAATTTTAACCAATAGGTTAAAGTTAAAACAGGTTAATATAAAAGAAAAACATAAATGATTTAATGACATAGTGAGTAGAAAAGTGACACATACTTCAAAGGGAGAATGGGGATACCAGTACAGGGAGTTTGGGAAGAGAAAGTATGAACTATAGAAAGGGGAGGAGAAACTGATACAGAAGGCATGAGCTCGTGTGTTGCTCTTCAGGTGTTTGTCAGATCTAGTTACTAACAATAACAACCATGCACAAATGTCCTATGTGAGAGCAGTAAAAGCTCCTCTGGTAGGCTAGGCCACCTACCAGCTCTGTCCTGCCTCTCAAGGTGAAAGTCAGAACCATCATATTCCCTGTGCAACCCAAGGCCTAACAAATCCCAGAACAGTAGCCCTCGTTACACTAAGATTCCCGCGGTTCTCAGGTCGAGATGCCAAAGTAGGCCATTTAGCAGCCAGCTGTTCCTGGTGACTAACTTATCAGTGCTCTGAGGATTATTTTTGAAGATATAAATGAATGTTAGTCTTTGAGCCCCAGAAACACAGCTCACTAAATATGAATCATTGTGCTAATCCAGTGCAGGACTCTGTAGGTGTGGGCTGTGTTGTTTGTCCTGGGCTCAAGGAAGAAAGCAATGATATATTTAAAGCAGGGTGTTTTCAGAGAGAGCATTAACACAGTGAATTATATGGAGAATGCAAATGAAAGAACAGTGAAAGTGACCTTGAGTCCTGTGGCTCAAACTAGTTCCCTGTTAGCTAATAGCCAAACTGATCGAGAACATCAGGAGAGGAAGTTATAGATGTTCTGTTTATTAAACAGAAAACATTAACAACTTGGTTGTACATTGAAACACACTAAGACATGAAAACAAGCACAGGGCAAAAGGGAAAAGTTCAGCGAATTTTCCTGAACTTTTTTTTTCCTTTTTAGTGCTGTTTTAGCAATGGCATTTGATCAAATACAGGAAAGGAATTTTTTGTTTTGTTTTGTTTGTTTTTTTGCAGAGCTTCTTTTGTCCCTATGAGATTCACAATTTTAATGCAATCCACTGCAGAAACTGTTGAAATATAAATCTACAGGTCATATCTCAAAGTAAGATGGTAGCACATTCCATTGTTTGGGGGAACAGCAGAGACATTAGAGCTCAGAGGATGTTTCCATTTTACAGGATGGAAAATGGAGGCCCAAGAAATTCAAATGACGTGCCCAAGGTAGTCATGGAAATAAGTCTAGAATTTTGACTTCTGTCCACGCATACATCCTGTGCCTTAAGGTCATGAGTTGCCACTCATCACCGCAGTCCCTTATAAGGCTTAGGCTGGGTATAGAGAAAATGGAAGAAAGCCATTGCAAAGTTACATCTGAATAACTCTAAGCATGCTACACTCAATAAAACCCAACTTCCGAAAAACATGGCTTACAGACCAAGTTTTTACTGTTTATGGGACTGCAGTGTTCTGCACACATGACTAAAAAGCTCCAAGCACTACCTTAAATCATCCATAGTTGTAGGCTAAAGTCTGCCCCCAGCCCCACCCCTTCACCCAAACCTCTAAATGTGATCTGTGAAATTTCTTTCTACTTTGAGAATAGGAAAATGAGCTGGGCTCAGTTAAGGGCCATCACCAAGTTCCACATGGCTCCTGAGATGGTTTGTCTTCTGGGTATGAGCCCCTTCCCCCTTCTCCCTCAGATGAAGCTCTCTTAACCCACTGGACACCTGTGGGCAGCTTAGGCAAGGAGGGCAGCCTCTAGGTAGGCAGATTCAAAGTTGATTCAAACATGCTCTTGTCCCTCTGGGCATTCACACTAAGCTCTTTCACCTTTCAGCCAGACATACACATCAGGATTTCCTGACAGGAACACTTGGTTGATGTTGGCAGCTGAAGAAGCGAAAGCATTTTCCTTGGTATGACACTTCCACTGAAGGGACCAAAGGGATTCAGAGGCACTGGTGACATTTGGTGGAATTCACCATCTGACTTAGAAGAGATCAAGACAGAAATCTGAGTTGGAATCCACTTTTCCATCTGTACAAAAATCATCACTAGAGTTGAGTCAAGGACAACATTCTAAAAATTAGCCAGTGTCTACCTGGAGATGGTAAACTGCAGAAATTGAGCCAGGACACGCATGTCTAGAAAAGGGGTGGTCTCCAGAGCAACATACTCTGGGGGTTTTCAGAGGGTTGTGTGCTTTCTACATAAGCCCAGCCTGGACTTTGAGAACCCACAAATGTCAAACATGAGGTTGCCCTCAGACAGCTCCTAGGAAAACAAGGCCTTGTAGGCCCAAAGCAGGAAATGTCCGTGGGCTTGGTTCACACTGGTTTCAGGACATTGTACCTTTGTGATCACAAAAGGGATTCTATTCCCAGTGCCTTTAGGGAAGGAAATCTTACAGCGCCACATATTTCTGCTGCTGATTAATAACTCCCCATAGTCAAAGGAGACAGGGAAAAATTAGGAAGTTATCTACCAACAGACCTGGGCAACTCGTCAGATCTCCAAGAGGTAGAAACTAGGAACTAAAAGACTTGGATTCTACTCCCAGTTCTGTTTCTGAAAAGCTACATGAGTTTAGGGAAGTTCCTAAGCTCCAGTTTTCTCATCTATTAAATGAGTTGACTTACCTCACAGGGCTAGTGTGAGTGAGGTTCACAAGAAATCTTTGTGTATAAGGATCTTTAAAAAGTGGCCAGGTATAGTGGCTCACACCTGCAATCTCAGCACTTTGGGAGGCTGAGGCAGGAGGATTGATTCAGCTTAGGAGTTCAAGACTAGACTGGGCAACATAATAAGACCCCATCTCTTTTTTATTAAAAAAGAAAAGAAAAGAAAAGTTCTCTGTAAACAAGAGAAAGACTTAGTTTGATTAACATTAGACTATCTTCTCTCTTCCTCTCATTGATGAGCCTGTAGCTCCAGCTGGCTTCCTGGAGTCAGCAGAGTCATTACTCAGCTATCTACCACCTGCTGGCTCCCAGTGGCTCAGAGATTCAGGTAAACCAAGCTGCTACTGAGCCAAGAAAGAGTGGTAGCAGAAGGGACATCTCCTTGGGATGTTAACAATCACAAAGGCTCTGGCATAGGAGTCCTGTAAGCTGGTGATGGATCAGAGAGCAAGCATGCATCTCCTTTTAATTAAAAAAGCAAAAATCTAACTATGACCTGAAACCTTAAGATATCTCAAAAGAGGACCCTGCTGTTTTCCTTGTGTACTTGCTGATTCAACCTCCAGGTTTATGCACAGATCAGATGGGTCAGATTTTGGAAGCAGAACTGTAGTTCATGCAGAAATCAGGTCAACAATTAGCAACTGCAGCCCTTCATTAAGCGCTTCTCCAAGCCTGTGTTCAGCCGTGTAATGAGATTGCATAAAACCTGACTCTTACCTGAATTTAAATCAGACTCACTCTACCCTCTCAAAGGGAGCTCATTCACAGCCCTGATATTTTTTTCCCCTGCCTATTCATTCTATTACTGTCCTCTGCCATGAGAATCTGAGCTACAGAACCAGGAGCTGGCCTGAAGAGCTCCACTTCCCAAAGAGCTACTGGGGATTGCTCGATTTGTAAGAGACCAAAAGAAATTTGGAGAGGAGGCGTTATTTTGCAAAGGATAAGGAATTCATCCTTGGATGCGCTGGAGCTGCTTAGTGGAATACCAAGGGAAAACAAGTCTGTGTCTTTGAATCCTATCCAGCTGCAGCCACAAGTTCCTGAAGAGTACATGCAAGATGACATGCAAACAATCCACATGCTATTTTTGGCCAAAATGAGTGAGCAAGGAGACCCTTCTGCATAGATCAAATGAAGACTTAAGTGTCATTGGTCCTGCATGTTTCCTTCCCTTGAACAGCTCCACGAGGATTTTTAGGGCAGAGGGTTCCTCCCAAGTAGAGGGAGTTCCGGGCCCAGCATAGAATAAAGAAAAAGAAGGGAGATATATATATAGATAGATACATAGATATACAGATATATAGATATACATTTTAAAATATGATAATATATAAATATACATAATATATGTAAATATCTTTGTATATATTCCAAAGAGTCTGATACCCAAAAGATGACACTCCGCAGTGAATCAAGAGAGTTAAACTTCTGCTTCTTTCCCTCGTTGCTCCACACTTTAACACCCTGTTCTAATTGCATCCTTAATCCACATCAGAGTTCTAAACAGAGAATTTCTGGGAGGTAGAGGGGTAGTGGGGTTCACACTGCTTGAGAGATCCTAACAGCGTGGCCCAATTTCTGAGGAGAGCGATGCCTTGAGTGGGCAAAGGATGATGAGAGTACATACTTAGAGGAGTAAGGCAAAAGTAAGCAGCTGTAACAGGCTGTTCCAATAGAAAGAGACTTGATAAAGAAGTCAGATAACAGGAACAAGAATCCTCAAAGAGATCTAATTAGGGCATGAAAAAGACTTCGTGGGACCAAAAAAAAAAAAGATTAATTTTTATTTAAAAACTAAACAATTTAATTGAAGTATCAAATAGACAATTTGGAAAAGTGAACAGCCACAATCAAGAACCAACTCAGAAGCCTAGAAGAAATACATTGCTGCACAGGAAAAAATACAAAGATAGAAATCATAGGACAAAACAAAGAAATTTGAACGCAGATCCAGGAAGCTTTTTGTGGCAGAAAAGGATGTCTGGAAAAGAAGGAACAGAGACAGGGGAGTTAATAATGAAACAAATAGTGCAGAAAAAACTCCCACCCTGGAGAAAGACTTGAGGCTGAAGACTGAACGGGATAATTGTGTTTTGGATGGATTAATAGAAACACGGCACAGCTCTTGGTGAAATTCTTAAATCCCCAGAACAGAGGCAGGGGATGCTCATTTAATTGTCCCAAAGGCATTGTTTCTCAACATATAGTCCATGGACTTCCTACCTCAGAACGAAGAAACTGGTTAAAAATTCAGATTCCAGAACTTCTGAATCACAACCTTTGGTATGTTTGGGGAAATGCGAACAGTTGAGGGTGAGGAGCCTAGGGTAGAGGGTATCGGTGGTAGGAAGGATCCTCTTGAGAAATTTACAATTGTCTAATGATAGGAAGGGCACCCTTATCCAACAGAGTCTAACTACTCTTCCTCAGTGAAGCATTGCAAATTCTCTCACATGTACACACATATACACAAGGTAAGGCAACACCCTATGCTGCATTAATCTATTTGGGAGAAACAACTGGAAATTACATAAAAAACTTCATAGCTTTTTTTCTTTTCTTAAAAAACGTTCCAACTTAACTTTGAACTTTGTAAAGTAAAGGTAAAATATGAAACTGAATTATCTAATGAAACCACTTTCTTTACTACCATTTGCTTAACATTTTTACAGAGTACAAAGACCAGGCAATGACTGTGTATCTACAGTCCAGTTCTCAAACTGGGAATGAAACCATCACATTTTTCCAGGGTGAGGCTCAACTGTGGTAAACCTCTAACATAACCTCTGGAGTTCTCATGACCACCTTCTCTACTTTTGGAGATCATCAGTGTTTAGGAAATAACCATTGCTTTTTTTAAAAAAACTTTAATGAGATATAATTTATGTTCAATAAAATGCACTCATTTAAGACATACCCAGTTAAAATTTGATGAGTGTGCCTGTGAGACCATTACTACAGTCTAAATACAGAACACTTCTATCAATCCAGAAAATTTCCTAAGCCCTTCTGTGGTCCATCCCTCCTTCCATCCCTAGGTCCAGCCCATCATTGATCTGCTTTCTGTTACTAGAGTTTAAATTCTCTTTATATAAATGGAATCATATAGTATATTAGTTTCCCAGGGCTGCTATAATAAATTAGCACAAGCTGGATGGCTTAAAACAAGAGATATGTACTGTCTCACAGTTCTTGAGGCTAGAAGTTCAAAGTCAAGATGTCAGTAGGATCATGCTCCCTCTGAAAGCTGTAGGGGAGGATCCTTCCTTGCCTCTTCCAACTGCTGGTGGCTCCTAGAGCTCCTTGGCTTGTGGCCACCTCACTCCAGTCTCTGCCTCTGTCTTCTCAGGGCCTTCCCTCTGTGTCTGTGTCTCTGTGTCCTTTCTTTTATTAGGACAGCAGTCATTTGATTTAATGACCACCCTAAATCCAGGATGATGTCATCTTGAGACTTTTAACTTAATTTTCTGCAAAGACCCTATTTCCAAATAAGGCCACATTCCTAGGTATCAGGTGTTAGGACTTGGACATAGCTTGTGTGAATATACCATAATTGAATTATCCACTCACCTGCAGATAGATGTTTGAATACTTCTAAGCTTATTTATATTTATTTATTTTTTTGAGATGGAGTTTCACCTTGTAGCCCAGGCTGGAGTGCAGTGGTGCAGTCTTGGCCCACTGCAACCTCCACCTCCCGGGTTCAAGCGATTCTCCTGCCTCAGCCACCCAAGTAGCTGGGATTACAGGCGTGGGCCGCCCTGCCCAGCTAATTTTGTATTTTTAGTAGAGATGGGGTTTCACCATGTTGGTCAGGCTAGTCTCAAACTCCTGACCTCAGGTGATCCACCCACCTCAGCCTCCCGAAGTGTTAGGATTATAGGTGTGAGCCACCGCACCTGGCCTTGAGTTTTTGACTATAACAAATAAAGTTCCCATGATCATTTGTGGCAAGCCTTTGTGTGTACATATACTTTCATTTCTCTTGGGTAAGTGTATTTTACCCAAATATGTCTAACTTTACACAATATTGCCAAGACATTTCCTAAAGTTATTGTGCTAACTTACTTTCCACTCAGCAGGGTACATGAATTCGACTTGTTCCATGTTCTCACCAACACTTGGTGTTTGTAATAATC
Source organism: Homo sapiens (assembly GCF_000001405.40). Taxonomy (NCBI): domain Eukaryota; kingdom Metazoa; phylum Chordata; class Mammalia; order Primates; family Hominidae; genus Homo; species Homo sapiens. Next base: position 61,670,898 of record NC_000018.10, read on the forward strand.
TTTTTTATATAAGCCATTTCGGTGGGCACATAGCAGTATCTCGTTGTGGTTTTTATTTGTCTTTCTCTGATGACTAATGATGATAAATATATTTTCATTAGCTTTTTAGTTATTCATATATTTTCTTTCATAAAGTATCTATTTAAATATTTTGTCCATTTTTAATCAGGCTGTTTGTCTTATTACTTTAACCATTACATTTTGAAAACTTTTTTTTTCCTCTAACAAGTATGAACAAAAATAACAAAGTATTTCTAATTTGGGACTTAGAAAGCTCTGCCAAATGATTAACAACTCAACCGAGACAGTTTCCAAACCAGGAGAGAAATTCTGTTTTGAATAGGACTGGTGATTTAGTGCAAAGAATAACTGCCGACCGGTGATCAGGAGAGCTGGTACCTAGTGCCTGCTCTGGCATTCTTTACCTTTACAATTCTAAACAAGTCACATACATCCTTGTATCTCTGTTCCTTCATTTCTAAAATAAGGGGACTGCACTAAAGTAACCGAGCTTTTCTCAAGCTCCAACATGTAAGTTGTTCCTTTTGCTAAATGTTCAAAATAGCCCTAAAGATCCTTCAAAACATGCCATATTTGAATGCTCAAGCAACTTTAAAAAAAATCACTGGTGTCCCTGAAGTCAGAAAAAAATCAGACTGAAGAAACATGAAAGAGTTGCCCTTGCAAAATGGCAGATATTAACATGTTCAGACAATCCTTGGGAGGTTTTTCCTCAAGGAATAGACTCCACATGAGTGAAAACATCAGCCCAGGGGTGATAGTGTCTCTTGCAGCCTTGTGATTACAGCACACAATAAGGTTGATTACACACCAAGCCACATTATGCTATACATAATATCCCAAACTATAGCAGTAGCATCTTTCAACAGAAGAAAAAGGAATATATCCAATACATGGACATACACATTTAATATTTCTATTTGTACAGAATATTTTCTGTGGCAATATTTCTGCAGTACTGTCAACTGCTAAAACACTTTATTAAAATAGTCTCCTACAGGGAAAATTGTTTACCACCCAGATAAGCTCTTAATAACCATACAGTTAATCCTATCAAACATCTCCTATGGCCATAAGTGAATTGTTCTTCCAAAAGTGGGGTTAAGTATGTTTGATATAAACCTGCTCTTGGTTCTCTTTTGTCACCAAGGGCACAGCTTCAAAAGATAACTCAAGGATCAGGGTTCTATTTGTGGCCATCGGATAGTTGTTTCATAAGAAACAAACAGGTCTGTGTGATAACTGAATCCATAATTCTAATATCAAGTCAGAATTATGCTACTTTAGGGTAAAGGCCATTCGGCCAACACTTCTTAGATTTCATTAGCTTCATGCTCTAGTCATTAGAACTCGCCAACTGAAACTACAAGGTTAGATTTTATATATGATGATAAAGTGGACAATCTAAAAAACATTTTCCAGGATCAGCACATCAGGAACTCGACCTTCTAACACAGCAGTAAGAATCAATATCACTTCCTCCCTGTTGAATGCCCAGACCATGATTTGAGAGTCTCTAGTTTTTTATTGAATTTAGCCCTTGTATTCATTTTAGGTTTGAAGGGCAAGTACCAGGGAAGGGCAACATCATGTATACATATAGCTATAAGAATGCAGCATGAACTTCAGAATCTTTAGAGGTAAAATTCTAGAAGTCCACATGGAGATGTTTCTCCAAGAAAATCTGGATGACATTGTCTTTTCTGTGCTTATTTTGCTGATCAGTTATGTCTAGAAGTAGCATTTCCTTCATCTCTGTCTCCTTCATCACAATCCTCATTTTTTCTAACATTGTACTATGAAAAATTTCAAACATGAAGTAAAGTTGAATTTTACCAGGAACACTCATGTACTAACCACATAGATCATACTGCTACTATTCTATTCTGCTTGCTTTATCACATACCTGCCCATCTATCCATCCCTCTGTACATTCTTATTTTTAATATCTTTCAAAGTAAACTGCAGATGTCGGCCCCTAATCTTCATTTTTAACTCTTTTCCTTCTCTTTCTTTTCAGGTTTTTGTGACAGTTTTCTTTAAAAAGGAGTTTTTTTCTCTATGAGTAATCATTAAAATGAATTTACACAGAATCCTAGAGCTAGAAAGTTTTGTCCAAACCAACCCAGGTCTCCCAATTCTGAGCAAACATTTCTCACTATACATTTTCTCCACCTTTTTGCTCATATATAAGAGCTAAGTTTTACCCACATTGACAATTTGATTACTTATATTTTTCAAAAGCTAGAAAGCTGAATAACCCTCAAAAGAATTAAAAAAAGTCCTCAATCTGTCCTTGGCATTAAATATCTATTTATATAGCTAGGAACATTCCTTGTCAAACAATAGCATTCTGTTTTTCTCTTTATTTTTTATTCCCCACTTTTGGATAGTCTCCATACTATTTCATTGCCAGGTTCAATTTTGATGTAGGATTCAATTATTAGAACAATTGTAGAAGGTTAGTTAAGAATTCTATTTAAATGTGTTGGGCTAAAAAAAATGTGTGTTTCTGTCTCCTCCTAAAATGCCACCAATATATAAGTAAAAGAATAAAAAAGGTATAAAGTCAGAAGGACAAAAAGAGCAGGCATAGGGATGAAAGCTAACAATAGATGTCACCAAGTTTGGGAGGATTAAAAATGAACAGAGGCGTGAAACTCACTTAGCCAAACAGAGGAAGTAGAAATCCATCTGCCCTCATAGGAGGCAATGATGAGAAGCAAGTCAGTTTGCTCTGCAAAACTCAGGGAAAACTCAAGGCTTGGATGTATAAGGCAAGTAGGAGTCAAGTGGGGCTAAAGACTAGGAATTTGTGAAAAGATTACATTTGTGTACCCCCAACCCATCCTCTCACTAGAGGAGAATATAGATTTTATTCTCTGAAAATAATGCATCAGAGTTTCACCTCTGAAGTAGGGAACCACAGGCACAATGGAGAGATCTGAGGCTTAATTTTGAAAATAGGGCATTAAATGAGAGTCTACATACTGAAGAGTAAAATACCATTCTCCTCTCTCTCTGTCTGCTCTTACAATGCCTGTAGCTGGGGATAATATAGAATTTGTTCTCTGGAGAAATTGAGATATCAGAGAGAAAAGATGTATGAATGCTGATATTTGGGGTTTTCCCCCAAGAAAAAACTAAAACTCTGTCAAATTATTTTATATACAGCTCCCCAGTCAACAACACCACACACACACACACACACACACACACACACACACACATCCTCCAATTAGCTTTTTTTCTTTAATTACTACTCTTCAATATAGACTGAGAACCAAGGACCAGCAGATATTTGAAGAAAATCTACAACAAGAAAGACAAAAATAAAAAGAAACAAAGAAGAACACAGAAAATACATAAAATACATGGAACAGAAGAATACTTCCAAAAGATCTACCATTAATAAAGTTAGGAAAATAAAATAGTAAACCCGTAATAAAAGAACAAGAAGCTACAAAAAAGGAATAATCAGAGACTTAGAGGGGCTATTTAAAATATGATAGTGAAATAATTTAATAGAAGCATTGGAAAATTACTACTCTTCAATATAGACTGAGAACCAAATCAAAGAAAAATCCCAGAAAGCAGAATAAAATAAGCCAATAGATAATGGAAAAAAGGACAATAAAGTTAGAAGATCAAACCAGGAAGTCTAGTATCTAAACTATAAGAATCCATAAAGAGAAACCATGGAAAATAGAAAAGAGAAAATTATCAAAATAATAATACAGGACATTTTATCTATATTCAAGTACAGAAATTCAAGATTCAAAGTGTCTACCAGGTGTACAATGTAATGAGTTAAAAAATAAGATTTAATCTAAGGGCGTCATCATAAAATTTCATTCACTCAAGATAAAAGGAGGCTAGCACAAGCTTTCAGAAAGAAAAGGATTGAGCCAATAGAAAGGGAACCAGAGTGGCATCGGACTTCTAAACAGCAACATTGGATACTAGAAGAGAGTAGAGCAATGACCGCAAAATTAGCGAGGGAAAATTATTTCAGCTTAAGTTTTTATATCCAGCCAACAGGGTTAGCTATATAATTTATGGGGCCTAATGAGAAATTAAAATGTGGGTTCCCCTTGTTCAAAAACTAATCTGTGTAAGATGCACAGATCTTACACCTATGAAGCCAGCCCTCCTAGTCAACTATCAATCAGGCGTAAAGGTTAAAGACAATTATTATTCACGAACCTTTTCTTGGAAGATGTACTTTAGCAGAATAAGGGAATAAATCAAGAAAGAGGAAGACAGGACCCAGGAAACAGGAGAGAATAGCCAAAAAAAATCAGCTCCAGGAAACCAAACATATACAGCCTCAAGGGTAATTAGTCCAGACTAGAATAGGGAGATGGAGAAATTCAAAACAGAGATTTGGGGGAGATGAAAGGAATGGGTAGATATGGATTTCTATACAATTTGGAATTGCAATTGAACATTTGTAAACATTTTTGATACATGTGTGATATCTGTTGGAGCATTTAGAAAAAAATGACCATATGTACATAGAAAACCTGACAAATAATAACAAAAACAAAAGCTAACTCCAGGAAACACAAAAAGTTTATAAGAAAGGAAATATATAACTTTCAGCAGTAAGAAAAATATAGGTAGTTTTATAATATAAATTCCGATTAATAATTTTATCAAAAATCCTGATTTAAGGCCAGGCGCAGTGGCTCATGCCTGTAATCCCAGCACTTTGGGAGGCCGAGGCAGGAGGATCACCTGAAGTTGGAAGTTCAAGACCAGTCTGACCAACATGGAGGTACCCCGTCTCTACTAAGAATGCAAAATTAGCCATGTGTGGTGGTGCATGCCTGTAATCTTACCTCCTTGGGAGGCTGAGGCAGAAGAATCACTTGGACCTGGGAGGCGGAGGTTGTGATGAGCAGAGGTCGCACCATTGCACTCCAGCCTGGGCAACAAGAGCGAAACTCTGACTTAAAACAATATCAAAAGGAAGAGGGGAAAATGAATAGAAGTGTGTAGGAAACAAAATCCTTAATGAAATGTACATAATGTGCAAAGTTGATCTCAATATATAAATTATAAGCATGTTATTAACAAGCATATTATTAATTAATGTGAATTGAAACCGGTTGCCTCAGGAAAAATGGTGAGTGTGGGAGGCAAGAAAGACTCAATACCCTGATATGTATTTCCTTATAAATCTTTTAGCAACATTTGACTTTTTAAAACTACTTGAATGTGGTACTTTGAATATTTTAGAACCATCATCATAAAAAACAAAAACGTCATCAACTAGTTCCTTTTCTTCTCTTTCTCTTCTCATTCTCTTTTAGTCTAGGAGTCTTTCATTTGTGACAGCACCTTTGCTTAACTCATTTTGGCCTTCACAATTGATCAGTGTCATCACCTAACTCTTGTTTTCTTAAATTAAACTAAAAGCCCAGTCTTTGATAATTGGAGGGAGGGTTGGAGGGTTGTCTGCAAGAAGTGGAAATTGTTGAGACAGTCGGTAACCTTCCCCCCAACCGCCCCACCCCCCCGAAAGCACACACCAGGGCCCTTAAAAATTGGCTTTTTAATTAGGAATCTAGCTATTTCCCCTTGTTAAAAAAGGACATCTTCTGTTATAAGCAAGTAGTAGATTCAGTTCGTTTTACTTGAACAGAAAAACATAGACTAATAACAAGTTTCAAAGTAGGTAGAGATATTTCTCTTAAAAGAAAAATCAAAATGCCACCTAATCAATTTGGGTTAGTGTTTAGTAAAAGAAACAAATGTAACCACCCAACAGGTTCACCTAGCCCGCTGCCCAGACAGAGCCGATTTATCAAGATAGGAGAATTGGCAATAGAGAAAGAGTAATTCACACAGAGCCAGCTGTGCAGGAGACCAGAATTTTATTATTAATATTACTTAAGTCAGTCTTCCCAAGAATTAGGGGATTGGAATTTTTAAGGATAATTTGGTGAGTAGGAGGCCAGTGAGTCAGGAGTGCTAATTGGTCAGGTCGGAGATAAAGTCATAGGGCATCAAAAATGTGCTCTTGCACTGAGTCAGTTTCTGGGTAGGGGCCACAAGACCAGATGAGCCCTGGGTGCCACCACCTAATCCATCAAGTGTAAAATATGCAAAATATCTCAAATGCTGATCTTAGGTTTTACAATAGTGACATTATCCTTAAGAGCAATTTTGGAGGTTTAGAATCTTGCAGCCTCCAGCTGCATGACTGCTGTACATGACCCCTATGCATGACCATAATTTCTAATCTTGTGGCTAATTTGTTAATCCTGCAAAGGCAGTCTAGTCTCTAGGCAGGAAGAGGGTTTGTTTTAGGAAAGGACTGTTACTATCTCTCTTTCAAAGCTAAACTATAACTGCATTCCAAAGTTAATTTGGCCTATGCCCAGGAATGAACCAGGACAGCTTGGAGGTTAGAAGCAAGATGGAGTCAGTTAAGTCAGATATCCTTCACTGTAATAATTGCCTCATTTATAATTTTTGCGAAACCAGTTTCACAAAGTTTGTATTATCAAAGAATGAAGTGTTTAAAAGAAACTCTATTGCTGCTGAGGTATCAATTAGAATCACATGACTTAAGACTTTTTACAAAGGAGAAAAGCAATCCCTATGACTTGTCTCCTGTGGATTATGTGCGTGTCTTCATATCAGTGAAGAAAGGATAGGCTTTCACTACTGGAGGTTTATTCCTGACATACAACACATGTTCACTGCAAGTCAGCAAGTTAGCTAAGGACTCGTGTCTCCTCACTAAGACCCAGGCTGCTGGAAGAGCTACAACCTTGAACTTTGCCGGGTAGAAGGAAAGAGCTTTGGAGTATCTCACATTAGCAGTTAAATGCTCTGGCCTGGAAGTGATACATGTCACTTTTGTTCATGGCTCAACGACCAGATTGGTTGAATGAACCACAGGGAGCCAGAAAGTACAATCCTAACATATACCTCCTCTGGCAAAGGGAAAACATTCATTCCCTCACTGCCTTAAGCCCAGCACAATCTGAGAACACTCATTCCATTTTATGAAGGAACATGGACACTGTGGGAACCATGGAGCTACAGAGAAGTTTAAATTTTTCTGAAGGCTTGATAATTTAAGTCTATATAATAAACTGCTAATACAAGATTAACAGGAAGAAAAGGCATAAAAATTTTATTACATGCACACATGTGCATGTGAGTCATACATAAAAATGAAAAACTCAAAGAAATGACCAGGTGGTTAACACTTCTACATCATCTTGAAAGAATGGGGGTTCAGTCAATGACCAAAAAAGAGAGTATGGTGGTAAATCAAGTTATGGTGACAAGACACGTTATGGGAGGGAAAGAAGAGGAGGCTTGGCTAGCAAAGGTGGTCTTGTTATGTAGATGAAACCTTACAGGTAGCAGCCCTCAGAGAAGAGATGGAAAATGTTTCTTTCAGACCTTTCAAGGCATCAGATTCTTACTCTTTCCTAGATCTGGACAAGCGAGAGTCTCAGAAAAAGCCTGGCTGCATCAATGCAGATTTTCTCTACAAATACAAATCTCCCTCACAATAGACAGCTTTGCAGGGCTAGTTCTGTTTGTGGGCCCTCTCAACAGCCATCTCAAAATACATCAAAGAAGTATATTTTAGGGTGAAATATTTTGATTTCCTTCAGAACACAAAGTTATGCCTACAGGCCAGCCTTACCTTACTTTAGTCTGATTGGCCAAGCCATTGCATATCCATAATCAGGCAGTTTTCAAAACCCAAAGGCACAACAAATAAGCAGCCTTCCTTGATAAACGTTGTACCTCAGATTAGAAAGAGTATGGAGTAATTATAACATATTGTTTCAGCACTGGGCATATTGAATGTTAAATATATGACCTAAAAGAAAGGAAGTCAACATACTGAAGAGATATCTTTACTACCAGGTTTATTGCAGCACTTTTCACAATAGGCAAGATTTGAAATCAACCTAAGTGTCCATCAGTAGATAAATGAATAAAGAAAATGTGGTACATATATGCAATGGAGCACTATTCAGCCATAAAAAAGAATGAGATCCTGTCATTTGCAACAACATAAATGGAACTGAAGGACCATTATGTTAAGTGAACTAAGCCAGGCACAAAAAGACAAATTTTGCATGTTCTCACTCATTTGTGTGAGCTAAAAATTAACATAACTGAACTCACAGAGATAGACAGTAGAACAGTCACTACCAGAGGCTAAGAAGGATAGTGGGGATGGTTAAGGGGTATAAAAATATAGTTAGATAGAATGAGTAAGATCTGGTATGTAATAGCACAACAGGGTGGCTACAGTCAACAATAATCTATTACACATTTAAAAATAACTAAAAGTTTTATTGGAATGTTTATAACACAAAGAAATGATAAATGCTTGAGGTGATGGATACTCCATTTAAGCTGATGTAATTATTACATACTGTATGCTTCAGAATATCTCATGTACCCCATAAATATATGCACCTACTATGTATGCATAAAATAATTTTAAAATTAAAAAAAACAGTTACATGTACGTATGTCCAGCCTAACTTATAGAAAGTAAACCCAAAAGCTAGGGGATGCTTGCTGAAGCCAATTCTGCTATGGCTAAATTCACCCAACGAATGCCAACCTCCTAAGATTTCTTCCTGAATGATTCTTGGGAATGCAGTGCAATACATCCTACAATTGGATCGTGAACCCCTCATTAGATGACAAATTACATAAAGTGGATCATGTCTTTGTATCCCTGTGCATGGTCCATGAAAGAAATTCAATAAATATTTTTTGGTGACATTGTATCCATTAAGCAGGATTTTGAAGGTCCACAGTTGGGATTTTGAAGAGATTTCTCCCAGAGGTTGAAGGGTTAAGGGAATTGACAATGCTGATCCACCCAGAGACTAACAGTAGGAAGCTCATTATATCCAACAGTAAAGGGAACTGCATTACCTGAGCCTGGTAAGCAATGCAGCCAAGGGAGATGAGTGGCCAGCATTGCATCAAGGGTTCTCTCCCATCCTCCTTCTGTTGCTCGTACTTTCCATTGGCTGAACCCAACCAGGCTGAACCCAACAATGATGCAGACTCAAGAGCATCATTGCTCTTGAGTTATGCAGGTCCAAGAGCATCAGTGAGCTGTGGGACAACCTCAAGAGGCATAATATACGTATAATTGGAGTCTTTGAAGAAGGAGGTCTAAAAATTTTTGATGAAATAATGGCCAAAATTTTTCAAAATTTAATGAATACTATCAACCCAAAGATTTAAGATAGTCGACAAATCTCAAACAAAAGAAACACACACACAAAAAAAAAACCCTACAGCCAGGACTGTCATAGTCAAACTGCTCAATGATAAAGAAAAAATCTTACAAGAAGCCAAGAAAAAAAAGGAGAAAGCAGTGAATAAAGCAACATATTTAAAGTACTAAAAACAAACAAAAAACACCATCTTATAATTCTATATCCAATGAAAATGTCTTTATTTTTATTTATTTATTTATTTGCTTGTTTGTTTTTGAGACAGGGTCTTCCTCTGTCACCCAGGCTGGAGTGCAGTGGTGCAATCACAGATCACTACAGGCTTGACCTCCCAGGCTCAAGTGATCCTCCCACCTCAGCCTCCCTACTGGGTGGGACTAGAGGCCCATGCCTGGGTAATTTATCATTATTATTATTATTTTTGTAGACAAAGTCTCAATATGTTGTCCTAGGTGGGAAAATATCTTTTAAAAAATAAAATTAAATTTGAAGTTAAAACTGTGTTACAAAGAAGAATCTAGAACCAGATGATTTTGCTGGTGAATGCTACCAAAATTTAAGAAAGAAAAAAACATCAATTTACTTAATATCTTTCAAAATTTTGAAAAAAAGGTGAAAATTTGAACATGAGATTAGCATTACCCGGATACTCAAACCAAAGACATTACACAAAAGGAAACTACAGACCAATATTCTTCATGAACATAGATGCAAAAGTTCTAAGCAAAATGTAATGAGAGTGAATCTAACGACATGAAAAAAGGGGGTAATACTTTAATAAAACTATAACTTTTCTATGAATAAAGTCAAGTTCTGGATATCTGAAATTAAAACTTTGATCAGGGCTTATATAATGACTCTTTGAAAATAAATAAAATTTAAAAGCTATTAGAACCCCCAAAACACTTTAAACCTTGAAGAGGTATAACTATGATCTGAGTCACATAATACGTTTTTATAACTTCTGCTTCTTAGATTATGGATTAACTCTCCTCCTCATTGTTCTTGTTCTGTGAATGACTAGGGGCAATCAGAGCCCAGACCTCCTCCCCTTCCAATCACTGATCTTTGTTGTAGATTAATTGCTTCCTTTATCGTCCTGTACCTAACTCAGACCAGATGGTACACAAGGCCCCATGACTGTTACATTTTCAGTGTGAAATGTTAAATATACCTTCTCCATGCCCCCAGAAAACAGACTGCCTCAACTAATCAGATTGCTTTAGCTACACATTTTATTATATTAAAACATGTTAAAATTCTGTTAGGCTTCCCAAGCTCATAAATGACCCCAAACTTCTATGCTTCAGAACACGGATTTCCATTCTTTGGAATCTGTGTTTCCTAGGCAGCAGTCCTCAAAGTTTGCTCTTAAATAAACTCTTTAAACTAAATTCTAACTCTTTTAAATTATTTTAGGTTGACAACCCTTGAATCTGTGGACAAGTCACATAAATCTAAAAGTTTATACTGTCCACAGTCCTTTCCTTTGGTCCTAATATCAGCGCCAACGTGGATTCACAGCCAAAAGGAGTTCATGATGCATCTCCCATGGAAAGAGCTTATACCTCAAACCCACAAGGCTCCCCTCTACATTCACCACATGGAGAACAGACCAGCCAAAACCTCTCAGGAGTAAGGAAAGCCAAAGGAGAAACCTCAGGAAGGGCTGGACTGGGCACATTTGGTTTCCTTGAAGTCACTTATTAGATAACTAAGCTAACTCTTCCTCATGACAGAGAAGAGTGGCTTGGGTCTCTCCCCGCAGGAAGACATGGCCAGGGGAATGAAGGTTCTTCCTCGACAGGTGTACTGGAGATATTCTACATCAATGTTTTAGAATTCTGTTTGTAAATAATGCCAGTTGAAAATGATGGTTTTTTTGTGTGTAACTAGTACAATCCAAATCAGACATTTATTGAACTCTCACTGTGTGTAAAGGAAAATACTTACCTCTGTAGGATAGAGGATAAAGAACTACTAAGATAAGCACATAATGCTTCACAAAAGTACTAAAAAAAAAATTAAAAAAGTAAAACTGTCACCTTAGAATTCTGTATTACATGAAAATATATTTATTTTTATTCATTTATTTGCTTGTTTTTGAGACAGGGTCTCCCTCTGTCACCCAGGCGGGAGTGCAGTGGAGCAATCACAGATCACTACAGCCTTGACCTCCCAGGCTCAAGTGATCCTCCCACCTCATTATTGTACATTTTTAAATGTACAATAGATTATTGTTGAACTGGAATCCAGCTAGAATCCAATTTTTAGAAACTCACTCTAAGGTAATGATTAAAATATCAGGTGTTAGTTCTATAAATCTGTCATCTAGATTAAAAACCAGATGCTTCCATTCCAGGGTGGAGTATTTGCCAGTAACTCTCTGGAGATCTGTCTTATCTGTGACCAAGACAACGAAGCTTAAAAAAAGGCAATAATGTTGGAAAAAGACATGAATATGGTCTGTATTAAATTGATTCTACTTTTTATTTAGTCATGACTCTGGACTAACTTTCAAAAAGTAAAATGTTATGCCAGCCTAGCAAATGTTCATATCAAATTCCTCATTGTTTTCTCTACTCTCCTTTGTCCTGCCCTCCACTTTTGTTTGCTTGGTGAGGCTCACCCTAAAATATGTAAAAATATGTAAAATATGTAAAAAAAAAATTTAAAAAGCAATGATGTTCTGTTGGAAGAAACAAAGGAAAGAAATAAAAGTTGCATTTAAAGGGTACAGAAAGAAATGATTTTCCTTTTCTGCTTCAAATGGGAAAAAAATGTGATGAGACTTGAAATAGTGTTTCCATTTCAAGCCCTGGTGGCTTATTTAACTTGGGTAGATTAATTTACTGTGGGTGGTATCCTGTTTTATCATCCATGGAGAGGTAATTTTAAAAATCTTTGACCTTGTCAGTTTGGGGGTCACTTCAGGTTGGAGGTGTTGTATCTGTGATGTCACCTTCAATTTTCAGGAATCTTTCTTGCCTCAAGATGTTGACCTTGCAGATCGCCAGTATTTATTGCTGGTAGTTTTCTAACTCCTACAATTCCTCTATCCCTTTGAATCTCTCATCCATTTTTCCACTTGTAAAATATATTTTCCATTAAAGAGACCTTATTTTTTAGATAATAATATAAAAAGAAAAGAGGGATAAACTAATATTTATTACACTTATTGTGTGCTCAATGATGCCCTAGGCACTTGATATATGATCTCATTTAACACTTACAACAATCAAATGTGTGATAGTGTTCTCTTTTACAAATCTGGGAAAGGTGGCTTTGCTAGCTAGGTGAGACATCATGCCCAAAGATACACAGGAAAGGGATTTAAACCCAAGTCCAATTTCAAAGACTTTTCAGTCTACCACATTTGACACATCAATATTTCTAAATTTAAAGCCTCAAACATATACAGCTGTACTGAAAATATTTAACACTCATAACAAGGTATTTTCCCTTTATAGATTATTTTTCTGACAAGCCCCCAGGAAACTGCCTAGAGCAATGAGCACCAAACTGTCTCCTTCCTAATTCATTTAAATCTCAATTTCTTTCTTGTCCTTTCAGACTCGAATCTCCACTTCAGGGTCTGTTATAACTGAATTGTGTCCCCCGACCCCAAATTCATATGTTCAAACCCTAGCTTGCAATGTAATGATATTTGGAAATGAGACCTTGAGAAATCCTTAGGTTTAGATGAGGTCATGGGCAGGGGTTGGAGGGGAAGGAAGAAACTTCATTATGGGATTAGTGTCCTTATAAGAAGAGACCCAAGAGCTTGCCCTCCCCTCTCTGTCTGCCGTTGTGAGAATACAGTGAGAAGGTGGCTGTCGGCAAGCAAAGAGGAGAGCCCTCATTAGAACCCAACCATGCTGGCACCCTGATCTCAGGCTTCCAGCCTCCAGAGCTGAGAAATAACTTTTTGCCTAAGTCACCCAGTCTACAGTACTTTGTTATGGCAGCCCAAGCTGATTAATACAGGATCCTTCTGAATTCAATCCAGGGGACTGTGCTCTTTAGACATTATTTGACTTGCTTAAATCTCTCAACATAATAATTCTTAAAGGGCAGCCCAGGATCCTCTTGCTGGGCCAAGAGCTGAACCAAAAATGCAGACTTTCTTTCTTTCAGATATTTTAAAATATCTACTAATAGCTACTCACTAGTAAACTGCTAAGTGAAGGGTTACTGAGATTTGGTATTTATAAATTTAAATGATCACTATAGAATTTACTAGAGTGATGTAGTAATGCAGATGGACTCCAAGCAGCAAAACTTGCAGTGTGTATATGTTTAGGCAGATATTTACAATCAAAGATACTTTCAGAAAAGATGTTTTGCTGCAAGTTTTGAATTAGTCTTCATTTTTAATTGTTATTTTTGTTTTTTAATTATTTTAAAATAATTATAGATTCACAAGTGGTTGTAAAAATAGTACAGAGCAGTCCCATGCACCCTTTCCCCAGTTTCTCCACTGGTTACATGTTATGTAACTATAGTACAGTACCAACACCAGGAAATTGACATTGGCACAATGTGCGTATATAGTTCTATGTCATTTTATCATGTGGAAGTTCTTGTAACTGCTACCATGATCAAGATATAGAACTATCCCATCACTACAAAGATCTCCCTCATGCTATCCCTTCATAGTCACACTACCACCCTCCCCCCACCCATTCCTGATCTCTGGCAACCTCTAATTTGTTCCCAATCTCTATAAGTTTGCCATTTCAAAAATGTTATGGTCCAACGGCGACTCAAGCCAGTAATCCCAGCACTTTGGAAGGCTGAGGTGAGAGAATCACTTGAAGCCAGGAGTTCAAGACTAGTCTGGACAACATAGTGAGATCCATCTCTACAAAAAATAAAAATAATTTGCCAGGCATCATAATGCACACCTGTAGTCCCAGCTACTTGGGAGGCTGAGCTAGGAAAATCCTTTGAGCCCGGGAGTTCCAGGCTGCAGTGAGTTGTGATTGTACCACTGTACTCCAGCCTGGGTGACAGAGTGGGACTCTTTCTCAAAAAAAAAAGAAGATTGTTATGTAAATGGAATCATGCAGTATATGAGCTTTTGAGACTGACTTTTTTCACTCAGCATAATTCCCTTGAGGTTCATTAAATATGTTGAACATTAGTTTCCTATTATACTGTAATAAATTACTACTAACTTAGTGACTTAAAACAACATAAATGTATTATCTAACAGTTCAGGAGGTCAGAAATCAAAACTGGGCTAAAATCAAGGTGTTGGTGGGGCTGCATGCCTTCTGGAGGCTCTGGAGGAGAATCTGCTCTCTTGCTTTTTTCCAGCTGGTAGAGACTGCCTGTATTCCTTGGCTCAAGGCCCCACATCACTCATGCCTCTGCTTGTGCCTCAGGCTCATCATTCAGAGGTTTCTGACTCTCCTGCCTCCTTCTTTTGAGGACCATTGTGATAACAGTGAGCCCACCAGGGTAATCCAGGATAAACTCCCCACCCTAAGATCTCTAACTCAATCACATCTGCAAAGTCCCTTTTGCCACGTCAGGCAATATACTCAAAGGTTTCGGGAATTAACATGTGGATATCTTGGGGAAGGACATAATTCTGTCTATTACACTGAGTCTTTCAATAGTCTGTTGCTTTTTATTTCTGAGTAGGAATATATAGTGCATTAGTCCATTCTTACATTGCTATAAAGCATTACCCGAGACTGGGAATTTATGAAGAAAAGAGGTTTCGTTGACTCATAGTTCTGCAGGCTGTACAGGAAGCATAGTTGAAGAGGCCTCAGGAAACTTACACTCACTACAGAAAGCAAACGAGAAGCAGACATCTTCTTCACAATGGTGAATCAGGAGAGAGAGAGAGAGAGAGATAAAGGAGAAAGTGCCATACACTTTTACACAATCAGATCTCGTGAGAACTCACTATCATGAGAACAGCAAGGGGGAAATCTGCCCCCATGATCCAGTCACCTCCCACTAGGCCTCTCCTCCAGCAATGAAGATGATAATTCAACATGAGATTTGAGTGGGGACACAGCCAAATCATATCATCATAGTATAGATATATTTATAAAACCACTCACCAGTGGAAATAGTCCCAATGTATGACTATTCCAAATAATGCTGCTATGAACAATTGTGAATAGGTTTTTGTGTGGACATAAACTTTTATTTCTCTGGGATAAATGATAGCATAATAGGTATAGGTTTACATTGTTTTGAAACTACCAAACTATTTTCTAGAGTAGCTGTGCTGTTTTATAGTCCTATCAACAACATATGAGAAATTCAGGTTTTCCACATTATTGGCAGCATTTGGTATTATCAATATTTTTTATTTTACTCTTTGAACAGGTAGGCAGTGATATCTCATCATTTCCTTAATTTACATTTCCCTGATGGCTAGTGATATCGAACATCTTTTCATGACTTGTTTGCCATCCATTTATCTTCTTTGGTGACCTTATCTTCATGTCTTTTGCCTATTTTCTGGTTGGATTATTTCTTATTTGTTTTATTATTGAGTTTTGAGAGTTCTGTATGTATTCTAGACATGAGGTCTTTATCAGATATGTGGTTTTCAAATATTTACTCCCAGTTTGTAGCTTGTCTTTTTTTCTTAACAAAGTATTTCCCAGAGCACGTTTTTAATTTTGATGAAGCATAATTTACCAGTTTTTTTTCTTTTATGATCATGCTTTTGGTATTATGTCTATGAGCTTTTCATAAAGCTCTATGTACTGAAGATTTTCTCCTTTATTTTGTTCTAAAACTTTTAAAATTTTTATGCTTTACATTTAAATCTATAATCTATTTTGAGTTAACTTTTGTATAAGGCATGAGGTTTTGTTTTTGTTTGTTTGGTCCATGGATATCCAATTGCTCCACACCATTTGTTGGAAAAGATATTCTTCCCCGCATTGACTGGCTTTTGCACTCAGCTTAACTGAGTTCACTCTGCTTATCTCTACTAGTCATTCAAGTGCATGACAGAGTTAACCTAGTCCCCATGTAACCACTTAGCACCATCTATATGTGGCCAGGAAGGAGAGTTCATTTTTTAATATCTCTCTTCTCCTAATCCATTATCCATGATAATCCATGTGTCCCCTGGGTACTTAATCATCAAAGCAACCATAAACCTCTTTTTGAAGATCAAATGGTTCTTTAATCCATTTACTTGCAGAATCCTGAGTTATAGAACATTAATCGTAAGCGGGCCACTATTCTAAGTTTCTCCTGGAGCCTTTTAACGTCACAAATCAGTAATGGCTTATGGGCCAGGTGGGTCAAAATGTGGAACAAATCCCCTTGGTTGGTTGCTTTTCCCTGCATCACCATTTGAACTTAGCTCTCACCGCCCGCCTGGCCTGCCTGCCCTCCCAGAATCCCGTCGATGAATTAACAGCCCAAGAGCTAATTAGACTTTCAACTTTCCAGTGAGGGTGCCGTTAATTCTCATCTTCCTTTCTGCACCCAGTTAGCTAAAACCATTTAGGGAAATCACCCTAGGTCTTTGAACTCTCAAAGAAGTAAGAAAGCAGTAATTTTCATTAAGCAAAAGCACCATGTTCCAAGCTAAGTTTCCCTCTATCCTTATTCACGTCCTCTTCCCTCATTACTGAGGGACTGTATCAAATTACCCCAAAATGGCCAAGGACACGGGTGGCCACTGCAAAGCCTCTTAGCCTCAAGAAAACCCCAAGGTCATTATTATATCTCCCTCTACGTTTTTCATTTACCCAGTTAAGAGAAACGATAATTATTTCTGAACCACTCAATAAAAGAAATTCAGATTCCATAATAACTAGAAATGTTATATTGGTATTATCCTTTATAAAGATTTTCTTTGCCAGAGGAGCTGGATTAACTTGAACATAGAAAAACTCCTGACTCTGATCACGAGAAGAGGCTTTTTAATTATTCATTATGCAGTAACTAAGTGTTCTTTGGTTAAGGGGGAAAAAAAAGCCTTCTTCTAAATAAAAACCCATTCATGAGATGGATGAAAAGCCTTGCATTTTCTATGTCCTTCCCAAGTGTCTACTCAACAGAGTCTCTTCATGTTAAATATATATATATATATATATATATATATATATATATATATATATATATATATGTATATAAAATGATTGAAACATCAGTCAGAAGCATGGGAGAAAGACAAAGAATAATAAAATGAACCCAGGAACCCAAGGAGAAAGAGTAGCAGCCCAAAAAGGAGGGTGCTGCAGATTGAATGATGGTAGGGGCTCCCCAGAATGAACTGGTCTCTGCAGATTGGACTGAGATGCCCATTGTTCAGCACTTCTGCTGACCACCAATGATGAGCTCAGCCTGACTTAAGATACAAGCAGGAGATGGAGAAAGAATGGATGTTTCTTCCTCTGCAAGAAAGACTGTTAGCCAAGCGCAGTAGCTCATGCCTGTAATCCCAATACTTTCGGAGGCCAAAGTGGGAGGATCATTTGAGCCCAGGAGTTCAAGACCAGCTTAGACAACAAAGTGAGACCCCATTTCTGCAAAAAAAATTTAATAAAAAATAAAATAAAACAAAGAAAAACTGTTGTGTGACCCTCCTGGGACCTTAATGAAGAACCAGGGGAAATCAATGCCCAGAGAAGGACCCAAGATAGGAAGGGACTGAGCTGAGGATCTGGATGAAGTGTTTGGCCCTTAAGAATGTCTACATCTGCTTCCTTCTCCTTGAAGCTGGATGCTGCACCTGTCTTGAAGACTTGGGCAGGCCTCCTGAGCACAGTCATAATGTGCTCGCTGGGAGTCCTTAGGATGGATAAGTGACATCCTTACACTAGATAAACAATTTTGTTGTTCCCTAAGCATGTGGCCTGAAAAAGACATTGTTGATGACTGTTATGACCTGAATGTTTGTGTCACCCCAAAATTCATACGTTGAAGCCCTACCCCTAATGTGATGGTATTTGGAGATGGACATTTAGGAGATAATCAGGATTAGACAACATTATAAAGGTGGGGCCCTCGTGATGGAATTAGTGCTCTCATAAGAAGAGACACTAGAAAGCCTGCTATTTATCTTTCTCTGCCATGTGAAGACACAGAGAGAAGGGAGATCTACAAGCCGGGAATAGAGCCCCCACCAGGAACAATCAGCCAGCACCTTTACTTTGGATTTCCCAACCTCCAGAGTTGCAAAAAATATATTGTCACTTAAGGTATACAGTCTATTGGATTTTATTATGGAAACAAGAGCCAACTAACACAATGACACATCGCTGAGAAGGGGTCAGGATATAGGGGCCACTTGTGGATGTAGCCAAGGAAGTAATCTGAAAAAGCTGAAAGGATGAGTCTGTATTTTCCCTTATACACACATTCTGGCTAAAGACAGAAAACCTTTGTATAGGCCTACTCTTCACTGGTGTAAATTTCACTCTCTATCACTCGTGACTTACAAGGATCTGATTTCTAACCCTAGTTTCTACCATTTATTGGCAATATAACCCTGGGTAAGACGCTTAATGACAATAATTTATAAGATGGGTTGCAATACCTTCCTCTTAGGCTTGTGGTGAGAATTTAATGAACTAATATGTAGAAGGCATCTGGCACAATGCTTGGCAAAATGCCATCCCAACAAGGAAGAGGAGGGGTGTGCTAGTGGGAGGTGGATCTTCCTTGCAGTGGAAAAGAAGCTCTAGAAGACAGCATTGAAGAGTAGCATGCCATCTCCTTCCTTTATGAGTGAGATTTTGGCCTTGTCATCATGGCCATTCCTTTTGAGCCACTGCAGCCTCTCCAGCTGCCTGTAACATGTCTGCTTCCACTCTTGATTAAACAACCAAGACAGGACATTCATGACAAGCAAGTATTTTCTAGTTGTTGCCTAAAAGCAACAGTTTTTTGTTATTGCTACTTGCCTTTCAATAGCTAGTGCTTTTAATGGAATTGCAGTAGTAATACTGTCCCAAGGTGATGGGCTACTATGACTGAATAATATCCCCAGATTTCATTTCTTTTATTAAACAACAGTAGGACACAGACTCATCTCATGAATGTTAATGTGATCAAGATTGTTGCCCACTGGAAAAATGTGTTCTAATTGAGTCGTGAGAAAGTGTGCCTTGCCATATAAAACAAAAGGAAATCAATAGCTTTCAAAGGATTAGAGTTCCCAGAGGCTCCATGGGACCAGGCAAGTAATGCTATTTTGTCAAAATCATGTTTTTGAAAAAAATTCCAAAAATCTCTCCTTCCATCTATGGGATGGATTCACTTAAGCATTTTATTTTTCTTGTCAATAAAGTGTCAAAGCAATTTGACTAAATGTGGAGGTGAACACGTGATTTCAGTCTTATTACACATACTCTGCCAGCTTGTTTAATGATCAGCTAGGTATTTTCCTCAAAGACTTGGCATCTTCCTAAGTGGGAATCAGGCCAGGGTATTTATTTAAGCTTTACAGAATAGTTCTCTCATATCCAACCCCTCTTCTCCGTCACCATGACCAGCTGACTGTGACATGCTTGTGTGCCCCATGGCCTTTCTCACATGTCCCTCCATAAGGAAATTCAGATTTCAGCCTCTTTCTTCTGTCCTCCTACCTTTGCATCAAGAAGAGATCCCTGCAATTTACCTTGATTACTTGTGTGAAATGAGAACAGCCATGGTCAAAATGAGTTAATAAATGCTCCCCATACAAGGCAAATGATATGGTGATACAGAAAAGTGAGGGGGCACTTTGCCAAAATATGAAGCAAGCTATTTACACTGGGTATATTGATGAGCACATCTCACCGTCCAATGGAAACCATGCAGTAGCATTGCAGCTTACAGAATCTTCGTGCATATGCTAGAGGGCTAATGTTGCATGCAAGTGAGTTGCTTTGTTAGCCTTGGCCTTGTGACCATGGGAGACAGTCAGAGAGGAAAGGACTGTGTACTTGCTGAATGAGGTATTGGTCGAGAACTGCCATGTCCTAGCTGGCAGCTGCTGGTTTTTCTAAAATAATAAAAACAGCCGGGCATGGTGGCTCACGCCTGTAATCCCAGCACTTTGGGAGGCTGAGACAGGCAGATCACATGAGGTCAGGAGTTCAAGACCAGCCTGGCCAACATGGTGAAACCCAGTCTCTACTCAAAAAACAAACAAAACAAAAAACAAAAAATTAGCCAGGTGTAGTGGTGGCACGTGCCTGTAATCCCAGCTACTCAGGAGACTGAGGCAGTAGAATCACTTGAACCCAGGAGGCGGAGGTTGCAGTGAGCCGAGATTGTGCCATTGCACTCCAGCCTGGGCAACAAGAGCAAAACTCCATCTCAAAAAAAAAAAAAAGAGAATAAAAACAAGTCATGGCCAGCCTTCATTCTAAAAGGACAGGCTTTTGTGGACAAGACTATTTATGTTCATTCCTCTTGACCACTAGACTCTAAAACACAATTTATTAAAAGTTGTATTGTCCAAATGACTGCACCCAAGATTAGAGGTAGGAATACTTTTGTGGCCACTAATATGGGTGTAACCAGATATGAAGTCTTTCTTTACACACATGCTTCAGCCAATTATTGATATCAAATTACCCGATTCTCTAATGCCACCATAAGACATCTCTGATGGTCTCTCTGCTCACAGACAAAAGAAATAATTTGAAAACTCAGCTTGAGATATATAAACAAGAGTGACAAGGTGTATGTGGAGCTCTAGAAATTACTGTGGCAGCCTCTGTAAATCAGAAACTCAAAGATCTTTCACAACCTTTTCCCCCTTGCCTTCCTCTACTTCTTCCTATGGAGGCCAGAAAAATAAAATATGTTCTTTCCTAGGGACACAGTTCTAGCCAATGTAATTGTCAACAAGAAGAGTCAAAGTCCGCAAAATATTTTAAGAGATTTATCCCAAGCCAAATATGAGTGACCATGGCCCGTGACACATCCCTCAAGAGGTCCTGAGAACATGTGTCCAAGGTGGTCAGGGTGCAACTTGGTTTTATACATTTTAGGGAGGCATGAGACATCAATTGAATACATTTAAGAAATACATTGGTTTGGTTCAGAAAGGTGGGACAACTTAAAGCAGCAGGTGGGGTGGGGAGTTGGGGGGGGAGGGTGGGGGATGGGGAGGGGGTGAGCTTCCAGGCTATAAGTGAATTTAAACATTTTCCGATTGACAATTGGTTGAGTTTTTGTCTAAAGACCTGAGATTAGCAGAAAGGAATGTTTGGGTTAAAAGATTGCGGAGACCAAGGTTCTTTCAGAAGTCTCATAGTGGCTGCCCTTAGAAACAATAGATGACAAATGTGTCCTATTCAGACCCTTTAAAAGGTGTTAGACTCTCAGTTAATCTATTCAGAATTGGATGGGCCTGGAAGGAAAAGGTCTAGCTATGTTAATAGGGATTCCTTACAGATGTGAATATTCCCCCACAAAGGATGTCTCGCAGGGCCGTTTCAAAATGTGACAAAAAACATGTTTTGGTGGTAAAATATTTTGATGTTCCTTCGTTGTCTCATAATGTTATGCCAGAATCAGGTTGGAAAATAAGTCACGATAAATAAATAAATAAAGTCCAGCTAATGAGAATATGTGGTTTGTAGAGTATGACTCCCCAGACCGTTAGATAGGAATTTGGTCAAGATAAAAAATCAGAGTTGTTGCCGGCTGCGGTGGCTCACGCCTGTAATCCCAGCACTTTGGGAGGCCGAGGTGGGTGGATCAAGAGCTCAGGAGTTCAAGACCAGCCTGGCCAGCCTGGTGAAACCCCTTCTTTACTAAAAATGCAAAAAAAGTAGCCAGGCATGGTGGTGTGCGCCTGTAGTCCCAGGTAGTCAGGAAGCTGAGGCAGAAGAATTGCTTGAACCAGGGAGGTGGAGGTAGCAGTGAGCCAAGATAGTGCCACTGCACTCCAGCCTGGGTGACAGAGCGAGACTCCGTCTCAAAAAAAAACAATCAGAGCTTAGTCCTCATAATAAAAGAAAAAGTCACTGGATAGAGCTCTCAGGAAAGTTCTTTAAAGGGATGGGCTTGGCTAGCACAGCTCCTTACCTCTGCCTTTCAGCCTCACTCCCTCCTCCATGACACCTGGGGATGCAGCAGCCATCTGGAGACCATGAAAATGAAAGCCACTTGCTATGAGAGAAGAGAAAGATAAACAGGACTTGTTCTTGATGATATTTGGAACTGGTGTTCTTGTCCAGAATCATCTACCCCCAGAATTATGTTGCATGTGACAAATAAACACTTTCCTTGTTTAGGCCTTGTCAGTTAGGTGTTCTGTTACTTGCAGCTAAATATAATCCTAATGGATGCGCTTTCTCTGAGCATCCAACATTTGCTAGCTCAGCTCTGTCATTCTACCATGTATCCTAGTGACAGGCATTTGCATCTGTCTTGACTGACAACACCCTGAGCCTGCACTACTGCTATGGTACTAGACAAAATCTGTCCTTTGCCAAACTTTCTAAAAATAGTGAATCATGATGATTATTCCAACTTTGTTGGCTATTTACATTCTGGAATCTTTATTACTATTGCATGTTTTCTTAATTTGGTGAAATATAGTTATTAGGTATAGGAGAAAAACAGTGTTGGTGTTGGTGTTTTTCTCACCCAGCACTTCTGACACCAGATGTGTGGGAGTTTTCCCCACACACCAAGTAAGCAATACTCCAGAAGACACCAACTAGGTGTCCTATAATTCAACCCAATTCTGACACTCCCACAGGTTAAGGGTTCAGTCCCATACACTGCCCCCCACTTCAGATGCCTATCACAAGCCCCAGGTTGTGTCCTGTATTTCCAGCCAACTGGCTATAAATTGGGATTCCCATGACCCCCTCCTCAAGTTCAATCAATTTGCCAGGACAGCTTACAAAACTCAGGGAAACACTTACTTAGGTTTACCAGCTTATTATGAAGGACATTACAGAGGATACAGGTGAACAGGTTTATAGGGAAGGGCATGTGGGAAGGGGTGTGGAGCTTCTATGTCCTCTCTGAGCACACCACCCTCCAGGAACCTCTGTGTGTTTAGCTATCCAGAAGCTCTCCAAAGCCAGTCTTTTTGGGTTTTTATAAAAGCTTCATTACCAAGGCATGATTGATTAAATCATTGTCGACTGGTGATCAACTTAACCTTCAGTCCCTCTTCCCTACTCTGAGGTTAGAGGCTGGGGCTAAAAGGCCCAATCTTCTAATGCCTTGGTCTTTCCAATGACCAGCCCCTGTCCTGAAGCTATTTAGGGGCCCCCAGCCATCTACATTATTGAATCAGCTCAATAACATACAAAAGACACTCTTATCACTCAGGTTTTAGGAATGTAAGTCAGGAAACCAGGACAAAGGGTTTTAGGAGCCTTATACCAGGAAACTGAGACAAAGACAAAACATATATTTCATAATATCACAACAGTGTATGATTTTTCTGGGCTTATTTAAACCTCCTTTTTTCCCTAATACTTCGTATCGCTTTTTTAAACAAAGTTATTACACTTTCTACCTGGAGGCTGCCACAGGGGCCAATCTACTCCTTCAGTTACAAAGCTAAAGTATCTGTAAAGATCATTTTCTACATAGAACCCTTCCCAAAGGCCCACCGTAGGCACTAGTTTTCAGTCAGAACTCATGTAACAGACTCCACAAGCTAGCTGAAGGACAACAGCTTTTGCTTAAGCCCATAAATATTTTATGGTCCAATCTTAACAGTTCCTAAAGATGAAAGCACTTCGTACAGTATCCAATTGCCCCCAATGACTCTTCTATCTGAATAGTTGGCTCTAATCACTTTACTTATCATTTGTGGGCTCTTACTCTCCCCTTGAATAACTGGACATAAATCAATAGGAAGCAATTTGTTAAATGCATAATATAGGGCTTGTTTGTAATTATCTTCAAACCACAGTGTGTACTTGATACATACGTGGAAGTGATTGAAAGACACCACTGCCTAAGAGTGTAAAATCTTCTCAGAAAGAAGGCAAACATTGCCCAGCTGCCATGCCCACCTCTCTAGAAATAGTAACAAAGAGAAAATGCAAAAATTAACAGTAACATGGCACTTACTATATGCCAGGCTGTACTAAGAACTTTAAATATAATAACTCATTTAATCCTCACAACCCTATAATGTAGCTAGTATTATCATCCCTGTTACACAAATGAAGAAACTGAGACAGAGATACTAAATGGTTGGACTGAGATTTGAAAGCAGACAAATAACTCCAGAGTCTATGTCTTCACCAACATATTTTGCTGCCTCAGGATCCCTACTGCTTGGTGTTCATACAACATGTGATCTTCCCCTCTTGAGTGTGGATAGGACCTATGACTTCCTTTTCACCAACAGAATATGACAAAGGAGATGCGATTTTGTTTCCATCATTACATTGCATACAGAACTGAGGGTGGCCTCTGGCCAACAATTAGCAAGGAACAGAGGCCCTCAGTCCAACAACCCTTCAGGAAGTGAATTCCGCTGACAACCATGTGATCTTGGACATAGATCCTTCCCCAGTTGAGTTTTCAGATAAGACTGCAGCTCCAGCCCACACATTAATTACACCCTTGTGAGAGTCCCTGAAACAGAGGATCCAGCTAATCCAAGCCTAGAAGGCTGACCCACAGAAACTGTGAGACAATGAATGTGTACCCTTGTAGGTTGCTAAGTGTGTGGTAATTTGCTACACAGCAATAGATAATTTATAAGTATATGCTGCCTCTTGCTGCAACACTTACTTTGGAATATAAATCTGGCCCATCAAAAGTTGTCACCAAATAAGAAAACAAGATTGCTATTGTTTCTGATTAAAAAAAAAAAAAGCCTAAGAATATGCACCCAAAGGAGTCTAGGCAGCAGTGCAGAAGCAAATCAATGTTTTTTGAGAAGAAGAAAGCTGACTGTTCTCCCATACAACACACCCCTCCTCTGACCCTTGTTAATACCTGACCTCAAGGCGATAAAGAAAGGTACTGGGAGAGAGCAGGCCAGTAAAGAGATGTACCTTACATCCTTTGAAGCAATTTTCAACATCCCCTGTAGTTTCTGAGGTCTTTGCTTTTAAGAATTCTGTTTTTGCTGTCATTTAGTATTATATACAATGAGTGAGCACCTGGGATCAGAAGACCTAAGAAAAGACTGATAACCCAGGATAAGGGAAAAGCACAGAAGTAACCCAGACCCAGGTAGGTATCAGCTGGAGCAGAAGCCAGCACCTAAGTAGGACATCAATGCCAATGTGGGGGATCTGGGTGAGGTTTAAGGGATCAGGCAGGTGTCAAAGGGTAGATTAAGTCACTGGTTCAGCATCTAGGGAGAAAGTCAGTGTGTGGGAGGCAGGAAGCTAAAAAGAATATGCAACAGAGGCTGGGCATGGTGGAGTGGCTCATGCCTGTAATCCCAGTACTTTGGGAGGCCACGGCAGGATTGCTTGAGCTCAGGAGTTCAAGACCAGCCTGAGCAGAATAACAGAACCTCATCTCTAAAAATATTAATAAAAAAATAGCTGGGTGTGGTCGCACATGCCTGTGGTCCCAGCCACTCATGAAGTTGAGGTGGGAGGATCACTTGAACCCAGGAGGTCAAGGCTGCAATAAGCATGATCATGCCACTGCACTTCTGTCTTTTAGACAGGGTCTTACTCTTAGGCAGGTCATCACCTGATGATCTTTCTGGACAGTTCCTCTCCAGGACATGCAGGAAAGGAGTAAAAGAACCAAGCATAGATTCTTTGTGCTAGAAGGGATCTTAGCAGCTGTCTCACCATATTATCTCATTTTACAGACTGAAAAACTTCTGAAACCCAGAGTGGTTGGCAACACGTCCAAGTTCACAAAGCTAGTTAATGGTGCGTCAGAAGCGGGCATTAGCCAGATGCTCTTCTAATGCCACTGCAGCCAGTTAACCAACGGGGCCTGAAGAGCCTGAGCCTTCAGCCCTATGTAGACAAGTGACTCTGTGTAGCTAAGTGCTAAATTGTACAGACAGGCTATAAATGCTAGAGGAGTTCTGGAGGTAAATGAAAGAGGACTGGGTAATTAGAAACAACTCATGAAAGCGGCTCAATCCAACCCAATCTAGACTGTGCAGAATGAGGAGAAGCTATGTATTGTTGTAAATTGACTCAGAATCTCTAAATAGGCTCAGAATCTCTAACCTCCTCCTCATCAAGACAAAGACCTTAAACACTGACATTTTCCCACATTTCCCCTATTTCCCATCTTCCAGATGTTTATCTAGTATATTATGCACAAAAGTTTGAAAATACAGGGAAAATATAGCTTGATTTTGGACACGTTTCAATGATTTCTTTGTTCACCATTGTTTTTCTGTTCCACACCTTTTGGATTCATTTTCTCCTGCAGGAAATACGTAAAGTTTAGCAGTTCTTTCAGGAAGGCACTCTGATAGCAAACCCTCCTAGCCCTGGTGTCTGGCTATGTCTGTTTCACTCTCACTCCTGAACAATACTTGGGGAAGGAATTATTCTAGCATTTACCCTCAGTGCTGAAGAGGCAGCTGCCAATCTGCTGGCCATTCTTTTGTGAGGGACAAGTCTTTTCTTACTGCTTGCTTGTAAGACTTCCCCTTTTGTTCTCCATGTTTGGCCATTTCACTTGACTTGTTCCCCACTTCATTCAGTCTTGGCTTAAATGCCACCTCTTCAGAAAGACTTTCCTTGCCCATTTGATCTAAAATACCTCCTTTTACTCTAGTTTATTTTTCCTTCATAATACTTACCTATACATGAATTTAAAGTTATATATATATAAGTATATATATAAAAAACACATATATTATATTCTAGATGCATATTATATATGTGTGTGTGTTCCCCCACTGAATACACAGTACCTAGAACAGGACCTGGCAATAAATCACTAAATCAATAGCTCCTGATAAATGAACAATTATACATAGATGTGAGGTTTCATGGTGGTTGTTGAGTTCATCCTGCTCAGCATTTGGTGCTGAACTCCTTCCATCTTAACATCCTTGGTCTAAAACATTGGCAATTTCCTATATTAAGTGGTTTAGGACTCTGTAATAGTCATGGATCTCCAGAGAACAGAACCAACAGGAGATATATAGAGAGAGAAAGAGAGATTTTAAGGAACGTGTGATTGTGGAGGGTTGGTAAACCCAAAATCTGTGGGGTAAGCCAGCAGTTTGGAGACCTAGGGATGAATTGTAGTTCGAGTCCAAAAACCATCTATAGGCAGAACTTATATAATAGAAGCATAATCTGCTATACTCAAAGTCTACTGATTTGTTTTTTAGAGATAGAGTTTCATTCTGTTGCCCAGGTTGAAGTGCAGTGGCA
Organism: Homo sapiens; assembly: GCF_000001405.40. Taxonomy (NCBI): domain Eukaryota; kingdom Metazoa; phylum Chordata; class Mammalia; order Primates; family Hominidae; genus Homo; species Homo sapiens. The sequence goes on from NC_000018.10 coordinate 61,698,463, forward strand.
AAATCATACCTCACTGTAACCTTGAATTCCTGGACTCTAGTGATCTTCCCACCACAGCCTCCTAGCTAGCTGGGACTACAAGCATATGTCACCATGCCCAGGCAATTTTTAAAATTTTTTGTGGAGATGCGCTCTTGCTATGTTGCCCAAGATGGTCTTGAACTCCTGTGCTCAAGCAGTTCTCCCACTTCAGCCTCCCAAGTAGATAGGAGTAGTGAGGATTACAAGTGCATCCCACAACACCTGATTAATTATTTTATTTTTTGTAGAAACAACGTCTTGCTGTATTGCACAGGCTGGTCTCCAACTCCTGGCTTCAAGCGATCCTCCTGCCTTGGCCAGGATTATAGGCATGAGCCACCACACCTGGCCTACTGCTGATTTAAATGTTAATCTCATCTAAAAAAATGCCTTCACAGAAATATCTAGAATAACATTTGAACAATATGTGGATATCATGACCTAGCCACATTGACACATAAAATTAACCTTCACAGACTCTCACCCTAGATGGGAAGTGCTCCATTTGTGCCACCCAATCTCACTCCTGTTTTGCTTGGTGGCCTCTGTTTCCTCCCAGAGCTGCTTACTTCCAGCTGCCACCCACCTCTGGGCTCTCTAGTGGAGTTATTTCACTCTGGGGGCTGTGGCTGCACAGAGATTCCAGTGTCCCACCATGGGCCCTGCAGACCTTCCCAGGCAGTGCTGAAGACCAGGGCCCACCACCCCTTGTCTGGCCATGAGTCCCTTGGGTCATGTGACTTCAACCCCCTCCCTCATCAATGTGAGTTTCCTCTGCACTCAGGTTCACAGAGATTTTCCTCTTGGCATTTTGGGCATTCTTAAACTGTTTTGGAATGGGTTGCATATATTTAAATTTTTTAAAGCAATATTTCACCTTACGCCAGTGGAATGGAAGGTAGGGGAGAGTGTACATGCTCCCTCTGGCACCTTGATTGGAAGTTGGTAGGAATTAAATGGGTCTGGGAGAGATGGCAAGGCATCCTGGGTGCAAGAGAGCAGAGAACAGATGGGAAGAGTGTGCTCCATGGTGAGGAAAGCCAAGAGCCCTTCTTGAGCATTCTCATACTGGAGCACCTGTTACGCGCTGGGGGCTGTGCAGGTGCTGGGGGCTGGGCAGGTGCTGGAGACAGTGATTACAAGACATGCGCATTCCTGTTCTCAGCAAGCCCAGCACGGAGACTGGAGAGAGCATGCTGGGCACAGTGGCAATCAGGGTTTGATAAGGAAGGGTCAGATTTTATTTTATTTTATTTATTTTTTCAGATTTTTTGCAAATGCCTTTAATATGAATATTCTCTTTGACAAGTTGCAACAAAGTTGAGAAAATGCAGTAGCTAGATCAAAGAGTCCCAAGACTTTGGTGCCATACAATAATGCCTTTATAATCATAACCACCTTTGTTTTTCCTCAGAAGTTTCTAATCCAGTTTAAGAATGCCTAAAATGCCAATTTTCTGACTCAAGCATCTACAAAAATATTTGCTTAATAAGGGTGTTTGCACTTAGAAAAATGTGAGTCTCACATCTGTGTCTATACACCAGCTTAGCATCATGACAATGATTTTTTTTTTTTAAAAACTTTAAGTTTTAGGGTACCTGTGCACAACGTGCAGGTTTGTTACATATGTATACATGTGCCATGTTGGTGTGCTGCACCCATCAACTCATCATTTAACATTAGGTATATCTCCTAATACTATTCCTCCCCGCTCCCCCACCCCACAACAGGCCCTGGTGTGTGATGTTCCCCTTCCTGTGTCCATGTGTTCTCATTGTTCAATTCCCACCTATGAGTGAGAACATGCAGTGTTTGGTTTTTTGTCCTTGCGATAGTTTGCTGAGAATGATGGTTTCCAGCTTCATCCATGTCCCTACAAAGGACATTAACTCATCCTTTTTTATGGCTGCATAGTATTCCATGGTGTATATGTGCCACATTTTCTTGATCTAGTCTACCATTGTTGGACATTTGGGTTGGTTCCAAGTCTTTGCTATTGTGAATAGTGCTGCAATAAACATACGTGTGCATGTGTTTTTATAGCTGCATGATTTTTAATATTTTGGGTATATACCCAGTAATGGGATGGCTGGGTCAAATGGTATTTCTAGTTCTAGATCCCTGAGGAATCGCCACACTGACTTCCACAATGGTTGAACTAGTTTACAGTCCCACCAACAGTGTAAAAGAGTTCCTATTTCTCCACATCCTCTCCAGCACCTGTTGTTTCCTGACTTTTTAATGATTGCCATTCTAACTGGTGTGAGATGGTATCTCATTGTGGTTTTGATTTGCATTTCTCTGATGGCCAGTGATGATGAGCATTTTTTCATGTGTCTTTTGGCTGCATAAATGTCTTCTTTTGAGAAGTGTCTGTTCATATTCTTTGCCCACTTTTTGATGGGGTTGTTTTTTTCTTGTAAATTTGTTTGAGTTCATTGTAGATTCTGGATATTAGCCCTTTGTCAGATGAGCAGATTGCAAAAAATTTTCTCCCATTCTGTAGGTTGTCTGTTCACTCTGATGGTAGTTTCTTTTGCTGTGCAGAAGCTCTTTAGTTTAATTACATCCCATTTGTCAATTTTGGCTTTTGTTGCCATTGCTTTTTGTGTTTTAGACATGAAGTCCCTGCCCATGCCTATGTCCTGAATGGTATTGCCTAGGTTTTCTTCTAGGGTTTTTATGGTTTTAGGTCTAACATGTAAGTCTTTAATCCATCTTGAATTAATTTTTGTGTAACATGTAAGGAAGGGATCCAGTTTCAGCTTTCTACATTATGGCTAGCCAGTTTTCCAAGCACCATTTATTCAATAGGGAATCCTTTCCCCATTTCTTGTTTTTGTCAGGTTTTTTAAAGATCAGATTTTAAAGTACCTCAGGAATCTGATAAAAGGGTTTGGCTTGACTTCCCAGAAAACAGATAGCGGCAGGCTTTTTGAGCATAAGAGATTCCATGCTGAAAGTGATGTTTAAGGAAGCAAATTTGACAGAGGAAACTAGAGGCAGGATATCAGTGTCCTCACTGATTCCTCCATAATTCCTACCAACTCCTACCAACTCCTCACACAATACCAATGTCTGTTTCTTGTCCCAGTATAGCTTCTTGTAGAACCCCTTTTCACTTTCAAAGTGTCCTATTTGAATGATAAATTACAAGGTCATCTAGCTAAAAGACTAAATGTGAATTTTTTGTTTGTTTGTTTGTTTTTGGAGACAGGGTCTTGCTCTGTCACCCAGGTTGGAGTTCTGTGGCACCATCAGAGCTCACTGCAGCCTCAACCTCCCAGGCTCAAGCAATCCTCCAGCCTCAGCCTCCTGAGTCTAGGACTATAGGCATGTGTGTTTGTTTGTGTGTTTGTTTTTTGTTTCTTTTTCTTTTTTCTTTTCTCTTCTTTTTTTTTTTTTTTTTGTAGAGATGGGGTCTTACTGTGTTGCCCAAGTTGGTCTTGAACTCCTGAGCTCAAGCAATCTTCTCCCCTGGCCTCCCAAAATGCTGGGGTTACAGGTATGAGCCACCATGCCTGGCCAAGAATGTGAGCTTCTTGAGGGTCGGGACTGTGGCCTCTTTGCCTTCATGCCTGAAGCACACTGTCCCAGACACATGTAATAAGCATTTCACTATCTGTTGAAAAAAAAAACTAATGACTCTAACAAATGAATCAGAAAGCAGTTATGAAGGTAGCAGGAAATGGAAAATGATACAGTATTTATGAAAGCAGAGTTTCAAGGAGAAGACTATGAGTAACAGAATCCTGTTCCAAGGAAAGCAAGAACACTGGGAGAACAAAAATGAGCACAGGCTTCATGGAGACATGACTGACTCCCGGTCTGGGGTGAGGAAGGTATAAGGCAAGCCTGCAACATTCAGAGCTAACAAACAAGAAAGCACTGGAAGACGAAGTAGGCCTATGTTAAAGGACACAGGAGCTGGCTTAAAGGGGCCCCCACTGGCCACATTTGTGTTGATTTGAACATCAAAAAAAGAATAATGATGGCTTTGGATTATAAAACAGAAGGAAAAGGAAAAGAAAAAGAATTCCTGAATCCATATTGATACTGAACAAAAGGGAACAGGGGAAGCTCTTTTTTTTAAACATAAGAACACCAGTGAATGAGTATAGAAGGAATTCGAAAATGTCTACTTTGCCATCATCGATGCAATAATTGGTTGAAATGAGGCTTATCGATGCATGTTAAAACCATTGAAAGAAAAGTTGTTGGAATGGGAGATTTACATGGTCTCAAAACATGACTTGCAAAGCCATCCCTGAAAACTTTATGAAACTATTCAGGAAAGAAGGGAGGGGAAGAAATGAAAGTATGCCAAGCTTGCAGCACATTCAGCATTGATCACTAAGTCAGCTAACTCTCTGACCTGCTTCCTCATAGCTGTGTGGTGCCCATTGTCCTAGAATCACATAGACCCTGTCACAAGATTATAGTTCCCCTTAATTGCTTATAGATAACAACTTGAACATTACAAAACATTAATTTTTCCCTTTGAGATATTCCTTCATGTCCTGCATATCACCGAAGCTACTCTATCAGTTGGCCTGAAGGACCCCACGAGAAACTGACTCACCAAAGAATGCAGTTTCCATATCCTGTTAATTTCATTCCCCTTACCCCAAACAATCAACAACCCCAATTCTCTAGTCCCTTGCCCTCCAGAATCCCCTTAAAAACCGTAGCCCAGCAAGGCTCAGTGGCTCATGCCTGTAATCCCAGCACTTTGGGAGGCCAACGCAAGTGGATCACTTGAGGCCAGGAGTTCAAGGCCAGCCTGGCCAACATGACGAAACCCTGTTTCTACTAAAAATACAAAAATTAGCCAAGTGTGGTTGCATGTGCCTGTAATCCCAGCTACTTGGGAGGCTGAGGCACAAGAATCACTAGAACTCGGGAGGCAGAAGTTGCAGTGAGCCAAGATCACGCCATTGCACTGTAGCTGGGGCAACAGAGCAAGACTCTGTCTCCTTGGGGAGATGGATTTGAGGATCTCCTCCCATCTCCTCACTCGGCACCCTGAGATCATTAAACTCTTTCTCAACTGCAAACCCTGCTGTCTCACTGTAATGGTTCTGTCACTGCACAGCAGGCATACAAACCTGTTGGTCTTATAACACTTGTTAGTCACAAATAGGAAAAGATAGTTTTACAGTGGAGAAACTTGGCAGACAACATAGTAGCCAAAGTTAACCTCATGAATAACAAGACAAAATTAACATCATGATGTGATGCAACTGGAAGTACATGATGTTGTATATATGAAATTCTTGCCAAGACACAAAACAACCAACCAATGTTTAACCTGAATCTAAACATGAAGAAACAATCAAATAAGTCCAGTAGGAGGGACATTCTACAAGATAATTGGCCTGAACTCTTCAAAAAGTTCAAATATTATGACATACCACAAAAGAGAATGAAGCATTCTAGAAACTGGAATCTAGACTAAGGGAGACCAAGGAAATAAAACAATCAAAGACAATGCATGAAGCGTATTTGTGTCCTGGATTAAAAATTAACAACAACAACAACAGCAAAACTTTTAGGATTTTAGGGGGATAGTTAAGGGCTTTGAATATGGACTGTTTATTAAATGATCTTATTGTTTCAACATTAAATTCCCTGGGAATAATCATGTAATTGTAGTGAGTGACATTTTTTTTTTCTTAAGAGATACATGCGTAAGTATTTAGAGTGAAGCACTTAGATTAAAAGTCATGATAAATGCAACTTTCCTTCAAATTGCTCTGTGAAAACACTCACGTGTGCACACATGGGATGTGGGCAGCAAACATGGCAAAATGTTAGCAATTTGGTAAATTAAGGTGACAGGTGGGTATTCATTGTATTATTCTTTTCGCTTTTCTATAGTTTGAAAACTTTTCAAGATAAAAAAATAAAATGTGTGTGCTGAGTGCAGCGGCTCACACCTGTAATACCACTTGGAAGGTTGAGGCAGGAGGATCACCTGAGGCTAGTAGCTCGAGACAAGCCTATACAACATAGTGAAACCCTGTTTCTAAATTCAAAAATAAAAATAGGTAAGAGTGAGTAAAGTCCATTTAGTGACATTAAGAGAGTGTGGGGGCTCAGAAAATTATACCCCAAAGTGAAGACCTCAGAAGTAAAGTTTCTCTCTCTGACCTTCTCCTACCCTCCTGTCTCTCATCCCTCATTCTCTCCTGAAGCAAGCCATAGAAATTGAATCCCTCTTCCCCGAGGTGGGTCATAAAAAACAAAAATCCCTTTTCCCCTAAGCCAGCCATAAAACCTAAAAATATTACTCTAACTTCGCCCCACATTTCTGTTTAAAAACTGGTCATAAAGAATTCTCTGACCTCCCTTGTCTGATTGTCCATCCTAAGACCCCGTTCCAGAAGGGGCTCTGCCCAATACGTGGAGGAATTGATGCTGCAAAGAGGCCAAGAAGAATCTGGACAGGCCTTGCTGAGTTTCCTCACTCAGTTTGTTAGCATTATATCATATGTTTTTTGCCCAATCAGTTCTGCACAGTCTACACAGCTGTTCATTATTCATTGACCCTAAGCATAAAAATATATATCTTTTCCTGTATATATGGGTCTTCCTTCTAAAAGCTCCCATGTCACATAAAACTATAACCAGATAATTTTTTATGCTTTTCTTTTTTAACTTGTGTCTTGTTACAAGTTGGTCATGACCTTTACAATGGGAAGGAAAGGGATCACCCCCTTTCTGCCACACAAGGGCATCTTCCAGGCTTCAAGAGTGTAGATGATTGGAAAGAAAGAGAAAAATCAATTGCCTCAAGTTGAGAAGATGACAGAGAGAAAAGAGGTAAAAGTAAAGACTATCAATAATGATGAGGTTATAGAAATACAGTAACCAAAGGAATAAGCAAGGTCAAATAAAAATTTTTTGGCTAGTTTTCTTTTTCAAATAGACTTCTGCCGGAACAGGTGAGAGAGACTTCTACAGAAATGGACTAGAGAGATTTCCACAGGAATGCATTAAAGAGACTTCTATATGTTTCACCTAATGCTGGTTTACTAATAATTCCCTTTAGAGACCACTGACTGGATTCATAGAAGGGTATGTTATGCTGTTTATACTTATACTTCTTGCTTAATTTTACTTAGTATCTGTTCATTACCTTCATTCAAACATAAGCACTTAATGATCTTATAACCACCACCCCCACGCTTAGAAACACAAAGACACACACCAAATCCACAATTTCTCCTCTTATTCTCCCAATATAGTCATATTGAAATTTCTGGTTAAACCAATATTTATCCTTTTATTTTTATTTATGGCATTACTTTAATGAACACATATAATACTTGTTATATGCCAGGCATTAAGTGCTCTATAAATATTAACTTCTTTAGTCATTATTAGAGAATATAATTATTATTTACAACTGAGCCATGAAGTTCATTGAGATGACATTTCATTTCCTGCACAATGTTTCGCTTCAAAAAAAATTCTTTAAGTATCTCTCATTTTTAAAGTCTTTGTCTTCCTATTCTACTTTCTGGGGGAATTTCTCAGCTTTATCTTTTTATCCTTCTCTTAATTATTTTAAATCACTGCCATTATATTTTTGATTTTCAAATTCTTCTCTGTTCTTATAGTATTTCAATCTTTTTTCATAAATTCAATATCTTCTTGTATATCTCTGAAGATATTAAGATTTTGCTATTGTTCTTTTAAGTTTTCTTTGCTATCTGTATTGTATTTAGTGTGTATGTATGTTTCTTGTTTGATAATTTTGGACTCTGTGTTAAAAGCTTTCCTCAAATACTTGGTGGTCTTTGTTAATATTCAAGAGTAAAGTTCTAAAAAAGTTTCTTGGAAATCCTCTGTGTACCGGAACAGCTTGACTAATAGTGGTTTTAACCAGTCATTTTCCAGCTCCCCTCTCCAATATTAGCCCCTAGATATTTCCTCTTGGGCCAGTTAGGTTCTGGGAAGATAATTCCTCCAGACTCCTGCCTGAGCAGTGTAAGCCTGCTTGCCTGGAGACCATCCAGGGGAAAGGACTTAGGATAACACCATTCAGTGTAGAGATTTTCATTAAATACCCCCGGGCCAATCCATGCTGTCTCCAACCCAGTTTCTCCTGGCAATAAACCTCCTATCTTTTGCCAGTCTATGTTTGGGGGGAGAGGGATGGTAACCTGCTGTTAGAGCGAGGCAGGATGCCTAAGTCAGTGGTGAGGGAGGTCTCTCAGAATGCATTAGAAAGACTGTCAATCAATGCTCCTGTTCTCAGCTCTACCTTGTACCTCTGCCTTCAGAGGCACCTGGTGCTTTTCAACCAGGGCTGGGTTTCTGTGGTTGTAATCACTTTGCTTCTTGTGGGCTTTTCCTCAGTCCTTCCACCTTCAGTCTTCAGAGTAGGAGATCTTAATGTTTGCCCTTTAACTCCAGGAAAGCTACTCTGAAAGTGATCAAATTCTGGAGGTGAGGGATGGTGAGAGTGAGCACGTGGTTTGAAAAATTAGTTTATTTGAGGATGAAGGGACCAAGGGCTAGCTTTATGATGTACTGAAACAGACCCAGACTTGGGAGTATCCAGATAGCCCAATATCTGGAGAATAAAGACATTCCTAATTTTTCTTTAAAGAAAATAATATCAATTCTTGCAAAATATAGTAATTAAGAAAATTAATCCTTTATTGCAAATCCTTGTAGCAGTGCACATCTCCCCAGGAGCTATTTTTATCCTATATATATAAGCACTGTACCTAGGGTGGACACATTCTTCCTCTTACTTTCAGGAATGTCCTACTCTGTCTATGGAGTAGCTGTCCTTTCACTTTACTTTCTTAATAAACTTGCTTTTACTTCACATTGCGGACTCACCCTGAATTCTTTCTTGTACTGGATCGGGACCACTTTCCGGTAACATATTTCTGGTGGACCACAGAAGGAACGATACTGAAGAGGCCAAGAGACCCCTAACCCAAAGGAAAATCTTCTGCACACACTAATTGGCTGACTTTGGGAAGCGGCGTGCATATACTAGGTAAAGAATGGGATTGGTTTGGAGGCCCAACTTGGGGGAGTTAGAGTCTCTCCTAAGACAATGTGGGTTAGAGGCCCTTCTTAATAAAAGGCAAGGATGCTTGACCAATCTTGGGTTAGAGTCCCTTCTAAGATTTAGGGGGTTAGAGGCCCCTCTCAGTAAAGTCCTTCTCAGCCGAAAACAGGTTTGGCACTGCAGGCTATGTTCTTTGTATTAATCTGCCTTGTCCTCCTTGCTGCATGAATCAATTTCATGGTTGCTTTCTCTGTTTCACTGTCACTTTCAGGAGATTATATTTAACTCGTCTTTAGGGATTTTAACTTACTCTTTTCCTATGTGCCTTCTGATTTTTGTTCATTTGCTTGAGAAACATTGGGAACAAAAAGCATTAAAGGCTTTGTCTTTAAAATTGCTGATTGAGATTTGGTATTTAACAGCTATGAGCAATAAGATTAGATAGATGTGGTTATGTTTGTTGCTGCTATGCCAGCTAGGTGTGATCAAGAAGCACTAGGATGGAAATCAGGGGACTCTTCTTGCTGTTTTGTTTCACTTTACACACTGAAAAAAAAAAAGCTTCTTTCTTTTCTTGGATTCGGGCAGGCTGGCTTTGCTTGTCCAATCCACACTGCCACTATTGCCCAGAACCTGCCTACTCTGATCATTCCCATCTAAATCCTCTTCCATTTCCTTCGCCTTATTCGACATTTTTGTTAAAGTCTAAGATTCATGGCTTAGCTCACTTATATTATTTGGATAATACAAATAAGGGAATTCAAATTTTGACAGGGATTCCCTCATTAATGCAGCTGGCCTTAGAAAGCCTCTCATCCTTTTTAGTGGAACTTGGCCAGTGACAATACAATCCCACAGGTTTGGAACTTTTCTTTCAACATTATCCGCCTCCTTCATGGGAACCACGGCATCGATTCCAAAGAACTCACCACTAGGATGTATTCTTGAACACTGGCACCAGTTTAAACTGAATGGGCTTAAGAAGAGAAAACTGGAGTTTCTATGTAATACTGTTTGGCCTTGGTATTATTTGGAAAAACAAGAGAAAAGGCCTCTTACTGGAACTATGGCCTTTAATATTATACTTCAACTCAATTTGTTTTGTAAGCAGGAGGGAAAATGGAATGAAATGCCATATGTTCAGGCATTTTTGCTGCTTAGTCAGGATAAAACCCTGCAGCAGGCATGTGCATGTTTGATGAGAGGAAAAGAAGAAAAAGAGCTAGACATAATTGAAGATCCTTTAATGCAAGCCCCCTCCAGTTCAGTGGGCAGTTTTGGGTGGAGCAGAACCTCCTTCTGTCAGCTCTGAAGATTCAGATATGTCGGTCCTTCATCCCTCTAGTTCACCTGAAAGTTTTATTGAGAACCCTTCATCCCCTCCTCTTTACCCATCTAGTCCCACTCTATACCCTACACTCCCTGAGGAACTTAGCCCAACGAGTACTACTCATAGTGGAGCCTCCTATCAACCTCCAAAGGGAAACCTCTGTCCACTTAGAGAGGTGGCAAATGGGGAAGAAGGCACTGTGAGAGCGTATGTTCTCTTTTCTATGTATCATTTGGCTATGTAAAGAGAAGTTTGGTTATTTCTCTGAAGATCCAGGGAAATTCGTAGATGAGTTTGAGAAATTAACTCTGACCTATAGTTTAACTCGGCAGGATCTGAATGTTTTGTTGTCTCTGTGTTTTACAGTGGAAGAGAAACAATGCATTTTGGGGACAGCTAGGGCCCTTGAAGATGAGGTACTGGCTTGCAACCCAAACCATTATATATATATATCTCATATCAGGCAGGAGGTATAGCAGTTCCAGATCGAGATCCAGAGTGGAACTATCAAAGGGGCAGTAAGGACATAGGGAGGAGAGATCCTAGGGTCACTTATTTGTTGGAAAAGATAAAGAAATGTATGAAAAATCCTGTTAACTATGAAAAGGCTAAGGAATTTTCTCAGGGAAAAGATGAGAATCCAGTGGGCGTTTAGTTGAGGCAATCAGGAAATATGATAACACTGATCCTGCCTCAAGAGAAGGACAAACTCTTTGGGGAGTACATTTTTTTATAACTCAGTCTGCCCCTGATATCCATAGGAAACTGCAAAAAGCAGCTATGGGTCCGCAAACTCCTATGGAGCAGCTTTTAGGTATGGCATTTTTAGTTTTTAATAACAGGGACAAAGCAGAGGAAGCAGAAAGAGCAAGATGGACCTGCCACAAGGTGCAGCTCTTGGCTGTAGGCTTAAGGTCACCTCCAACATGGGACTGCCCCCCTGGCTCTTGGCCTGAACAAGGGAAGCTCAAAGGTGGGAAGCCCAAAACTGGGCATCTGAGTCACCATGCCTTGGGCATAAATCAGTGTGCACACTGTAAGAAAACCAGCCATTGGAAGAGTGATTGCCCAGTGTTCCAAAGGGAGCCACCAGTACCTGAACCAATAATGGCTAAAATAGCCAGGCAAGCCCAAGAGTGATGGGACCTGAGACCTTCTGCCACAGCTCTCATCAGACAACTAGCCATATCACCAGAGGAGCCTCAGGTAACCCTTGATGTGGCAGATAGGAATATTAATTTTTTCCTGGATACTGGGGCTGCTTACTCTGTTTTGACCCATTATAATGGGCCTCTGTCACCCCAAAACTGTATGGTCATGGGGATAGATGGACGAGCCCACAGATGCCATTTTACCTACCCTCTAAGCTGCTCTCCAGGGACTTTGGTTTTCTCACATGTCTTTCTTATCATGCCTGAGTGCCCCACCCCTCTGTTGGGAAGGGATTTGTTGACTCAGCTGCAGACAGTGGTATCTTTTGGAAATCACAAGGCAGAAGAGGGATTACCCCTTCTCCTTTCCTGTGATAAGGAAGGAAAGTCAATAGGGGACTTATCTACTTTACCTACTGAAGTAATCTCCCAAGTAGATCCTATAGTATGGGACACTCAGGTTCCAGGCAAAGTGTTAAATGTTTCCCCACTTTACATCCAACTTAAGCCTGGTGTCCCAGATCCCTGGAAGAGACAATACCCCTTAAAGCCAGAGGCACAAAGAGAGATCCAACCATTAATAGCAAAAACTTAGCTAAGTTTTTGCAATTTGGGGTGTTAAGGCCCCGTGAGTCTCCTTGTAATATGCCAATCTTGCCAGTTAAAAAGCCAGATGGAGACTATAGATTTGTCCAAGATCTTTGAGCTGTCAATGGGGCTGTCATTCCCATACATCCTATAGTGCCCAATCCCTACATGCTGTTAGCGCAGGTCTACGGGGTTGCCAATTGGTTTACAGTCTTAAATCTTAAGGATGCCTTTTTTTTTTTTTTTTTTTTTTTTGCATTCCAATACACCCTGATTCACAATTCATTTTTTCTTTTGAATGGACTTACACTGATAGTCATCTAGTTTATCAATTAACTTGGACAGTTCTTCCCCAGGGGTTTAGGGGAAGAACTGGCTAGAGAATTAAAGATGTTACAATTAAATAAGGGCACTATTATTCAATATGTAGATGATCTGCTGATTGCTAGCCCAACCAAAGGAGAATCAGATGAAAATGTCATCAGTTTGCTAAATCTTCTGGGAGCTATAGGGTATAAGGTCTCGCCACATAAAGCCCAGACTTCAACTCAAGAGGTTAAATACGTAAGATATGTACTAACCCCTGGCACTCAGGCAATCACGCCAGAATGAAGGGAAGCTATCTTGGGCATTCCAGAACCCCAAACTAGAAAGCAGCTGTGGGCTTTCCTAGGGATGGCAGGCTTCTGTGATTTTTGGGTGCCTGGATTTGGGCATATAGCTAAGCCTTTATATTAGGCTCTGAAAGGAGCAGATGTATATCTTTTTGAATGGGATAGTAACTGTAAACAAGCTTTTAATGCCCTCAAAGAGAAATTGGGATCAGCTCCAGCCCTAGGAATCCCTAATCTTAATAAGCCATTTTTCCTCTATATGACTGAAAAACAGGGAACACCCCTAGGTGTCCTTGTATAGAAGTTGGGAGATATTCCCCAACCAGTGGCATATTTTTCTAAGCAATTAGACCATGTCGCTTTGGGATGGCCTGGATGCCTCAGGGCAGTTGCTGCAACTGCTCTCTTGGTAGATAAAGCCAATAAACTGACTTTAGGACCAGTCTGAAGGTTTTAAACCCACACCAAGTACAAGGAATCCTAGAAGCTAAAGGACACCAGTGAATGACAGGGGGACACTTATTGAAATATCAGGCTTTATTACTAGACACTCCTGATATAACACTTAAAGTATGCTGGACATTGAATCCAGCTACCTACTTGCCTGCACCCACAGGTGCCCTAGATTATTCTTGTACACAAGTTACTCCAGCCATCCAGATTTAAAGGATGAACCTCTAGAAAATCCTGAGTAGAATGGTTTACAGACGGAAGTAGCTTTGTGCACCAGGGAAATGGGAAAGCTGGGTATGCTGTTGTCAGTCAAGACAAGGTAATTGAATCTCAGGCCTACCAGCTTCTACCTCAGCTCAAAATTTGGAATTAGTGGTTTTTATTAGAGCCCTGCAATTGGAAAAGGACTGAAGAATTAGCATTTACACTGATTCTAAGTATGCTTTTCTGGAACTTCATTCTCATGCTGCTATCTGGAAGGAACGGAGACTCCTAACTGCTAAGGGTTCCCCCAATAAAACGTCACGTAGAAATTCTAAATCTATTAGATGCTGTTTTGCTGCCCAAGGAAGTAGCTGTAATCCATTGCAGAGGACATCAAAGAGGAGACTCTAGTGTGGCTAAGGGAAACGCCTTTGCAGATGCAGCTGCTAAGGCAACAGCGTTAAAGGAGCCCGCTGGACTTGTAGGTATGTTAGTGCCCTCACACACGGTAATGACAGAACCTAGGTATACTAAAGAGGAAAAAGAAAGGGCTAAAGGTTATGGTTTAATTCAAAATCCTTCTGACTGGCTTATCAATGACAACAAACTGTTAATACCAGATGCTAATCAGTGGAAAATAGTTAAGCATTTGCATAACTCTACTCATTTGGGAAGAGATTCCCTGTTTCAATTAATGTTGCAGCTTTTTATAGGAAAAGGCTTTCTTAAAACAGTAAAGCAGGTAACTCGGGCCTGTGAATTATGTACCTGGAATAAACCAGATAACCAATCTTTACCTCCTCCTCTAGTAAGGCCTGTTCAGCATAGGGGAACGTACCCTGGTGAAGATTGGCAAATAGACTATACTCAAATGCCCCCATGTAAAGTGTTTTAATATTTATTAGTATTCATTGACACCTTTACTAGTTGGATTGAGGCTTTTTCTACTCAGTCTGAAAAGGCAATTGAGGTTGCTAAACTTCTACGAAAGGAAATAATTCCTAGATTTGGGCTGCCTAAGACTTTGCAGAGTAATAATGGCCCATTTTTCACAGCGACAATTACCCAAAACATATCTTTTGCCTTAGGAATTCAGTACTGCCTTCACTCGGCGTGGAGGCCAGTTTTCAGGGAAAGTAGAAAGAGCTAATCAAACTCTAAAAAGGACTCTTGCTAAATTATGCCAAGAGGCATCAGAAACCTGGCTGTATGTATTACTTGTAGCCTTATTATGGGTTCCAGTGGCCCCCTAAGGGTTCCAGCTCAGCCCTTTTCTATGGAAGGCCTTTCTTAACTACAGACCTCCTAATAGATATAGATACTTTCAAGCTACAAATTATGTGATCAACTTAGGACAAGTGCAAAATGCACTCCTTGAATATGGAAATCAAAGACTTCCTTCCCCCACTAAGGAAGAGAATTTTGTTATAACCCAGCCTGGAAACTGGGTCCCATTAAACACTTGGAAGGAAGGATCCCCAGCAGATCAACTTCCCCAAAATGGAAGGAACCCTATTCAAATTCTTCTTAGTACCCCAACTGCAGTTAAACTTCTGGGAATAAACATCTGGGTCCACTTATCTCGAATTAAACCTGTCTCTTATGAAATCTCACAGGCCGACAGAACACAAGAGACTGATTCCTGTGAGCCAACCAGTGACCTCTGACTGCTGTTCAGAAGAAATAAAAGGGATGGGTAACATAAAGATATGGATTGGCATTCTACTTTTGGGTATAAGTTGGAATCATGCAGATAGTAACTTATTTACCAAGTGGGCACAGACTTTAGCCTCTCTACATAATCACATGAACTGTTGGGTATGTGGAGAATTGCCACTTTCCTCCACTTCCAGGTTGTTCTGGCATATTCAACTGGCCAACCCAAGTTTATAGGAATTTTATTATGATTGGGAAACTGAACATTATAAACACAGCTCCTCTTTTTCCATGTATCATAGCCACACAAGCCTTAGCCCCTTTCCCTCCTATAAAGAGACAAGAAGGCACTTTTTAAATCTAATCAAAAACAGCTAAACTCCACCCCAGCTTTAGGTTATGCTTTACATAATGAACTTGGGTGAATAACAACTGTTCAAGGGCAGGTGTCGGGCAAGGCACCTCCAGGTTTCGAAAGGCACAACAATAGTCACCACCAGACTGAAACCCAGGATACGAGATGGCTGTCATTTCAACAACGTAATCAGACCCTTCTTCTAACAGACCAGATTTGGATGGGATGGCAAAATAATTTGCCAAAAATGAGTGCCTACCCTTCTGCTTCGGGATGGTTATGGGCTTGTAGAACTCATGGCTGGCCATACTTACCTTATAACTGAACTGGAAGGTGTTCGTGGGGTTGTCCTTATCTCCCAGGACACAACCTCACCAAATTGCACTCTCTGTCATCTAACTGGGAAATTGTAAAAGCTTGCCATAAGCGACAAAAGTGGGCATCTTAGTGGTTCTATCCAATGGCTATATTTTTCCCACAGGCAGCTACAGTCAGTACGGAGTTACAAGTTGAAGACGGCCAAGCACACAGCCGTGCCCTTCAGTAATACACACCATGCCCTTACCCTCCTAACTGAGGAAACTTCTCAGGTTAGACAGGTAGCCTTACAAAACCATATGGCTTTGGACATTCTAACAGTTGCCCAAGGGGGAACTTGTGCTTTGATCCAAACCAAATGTTGTCTGTATGTTCCAGACTATTGACATAATATTACCCAGGATATGAAAAATTTACACACTCACATCTCTGCCACTGACACACTATCAGTTGACCCAATATTGGCTTGGTTCCAACAACTGCCTAGTTCTTGGAAAGCCTTTCTGTTTAGTTTAGTTTACCTGGAATTATTTTACTTATTTTGCTTTGCTGTTGTGGAATATATTGTGGTTGTACTCTTTGTGTAGAAATCCAAGACACGCTTACTCCATGCTTTCTTAAATTGGACACTTATTAACCTTCCAGATATCACCTTTTGTCGGAACTCGGAGTTATGAATGACCTTCACCATACCATTGGTAAATGTTCTCTGACTGAGCTTTGCCGTACTCTGGATGCAAGAGACCCTAATAGTTAGGCAGGAATTTCATCGCCCCTATTCAGCCTGAAGAAGTTACAGGATCCTGCAACCCTTAGGATTAAGGGTCCTCTTGTAAGTGGAGGGAGCAAGATATGTCAGAGGTGTTCAAACCAGAGCAACTCCATTTTGAGTGAGGGTTAGGAAAATTAGGCTGAGATGTGCTGGGCTGCATTCTCAGAAAATTAGGCATTCCTAGCCTCTAGATGTTTATGGTTAAGGGAACAAATTTATGATGTTTACTGAAGCAGACCCAGACTTGGGAGTATCCAAATAGCCTGATATCTGGAGAACAAGGGCATTCCTAATTTAAAGATAATAATATCAATTCTTGCAAAATATAGTAGTTAAGAAAAGTAATCCTGTGGGATCGGTGGTGATATCCCCTTTATCATTTTTTATTGTGTCTATTTGATTCTTCTCTCTCTTTTTCTTTATTAGTCTTGCTAGCGGTCTATCAATTTTGTTGATCCTTTCAAAAAACCAGCTCCTGGATTCATTGATTTTTTGAAGGGTTTTTTGTGTCTCTATTTCCTTCAGTTCTGCTCTGATTTTAGTTATTTCTTGCCTTCTGCTAGCTTTTGAATGTGTTTGCTCTTGCTTTTCTAGTTCTTTTAATTGTGATGTTAGGGTGTCAATTTTGGATCTTTCCTGCTTTCTCTTGTGGGCATTTAGAAATACAAACTACCATCAGAGAATACTACAAACACCTCTATGCAAATAAACTAGAAAATCTAGAAGAAATGGATACATTCCTCGACACATACACTCTCCCAAGACTAAACCAGGAAGAAGTTGAATCTCTGAATAGACCAACAACAGGAGCTGAAATTGTGGCAATAATCAATAGTTTACCAACCAAAAAGAGTCCAGGACCAGATGGATTCATAGCCGAATTCTACCAGAGGTACAAGGAGGAACTGGTACCATTCCTTCTGAAACTATTCCAATCAATAGAAAAAGAGAGAATCCTCCCTAACTCATTTTATGAGGCCAGCATCATTCTGATACCAAAGCTGGGCAGAGACACAACCAAAAAAGAGAATTTTAGACCAATATCCTTGATGAACATTGATGCAAAAATCCTCAATAAAATACTGGCAAACAGAATCCAGCAGCAAATCAAAAAGCTTATCCACCATGATCAAGTGGGCTTCATCCCTGGGATGCAAGGCTGGTTCAATATACACAAATCAATAAATGTAATCCAGCATATAAACAGAGCCAAAGACAAAAACCACATGATTATCTCAATAGATGCAGAAAAAGCCTTTGACAAAATTCAACAACCCTTCATGCTAAAAACTCTCAATAAATTAGGTATTGATGGGACGTATTTCAAAATAATAAGAGCTATCTATGACAAACCCACAGCCAATATCATACTGAATGGGCAAAAACTGGAAGCATTCCCTTTGAAAACTGGCACAAGACAGGGATGCCCTTTCTCACCGCTCGTATTCAACATAGTGTTGGAAGTTCTGGCCAGGGCAATCAGGCAGGAGAAGGAAATAAAGGGTATTCAATTAGGAAAAGAG
Source organism: Homo sapiens (assembly GCF_000001405.40). Taxonomy (NCBI): domain Eukaryota; kingdom Metazoa; phylum Chordata; class Mammalia; order Primates; family Hominidae; genus Homo; species Homo sapiens. The sequence goes on from NC_000018.10 coordinate 61,716,485, forward strand.
GAAGTCAAATTGTCCCTGTTTGCAGACGACATGATTGTTTATCTAGAAAACCTCATCATCGTCTCAGCCCAAAGTCTCCTTAAGCTGATAAGCAACTTCAGCAAAGTCTCAGGATACAAAATCAATGTACAAAAATCACAAGCATTCCTATACACCAACAACAGACAAACAGAGAGCCAAATCATGAGTGAACTCCCATTCACAATTGCTTCAAAGAGAATAAAATACCTAGGAATCCAACTTACAAGGGATGTGAAGGACCTCTTCAAGGAGAACTACAAACCACTGCTCAAGGAAATAAAAGAGGATACAAACAAATGGAAGAACATTCCATGCTCATGGGTAGGAAGAATCAATATCGTGAAAATGGCCATACTGCCCAAGGTAATTTACAGATTCAATGCCATCCCTATCAAGCTACCAATGACTTTCTTCACAGAATTGGAAAAAACTACTTTAAAGTTCATATGGAACCAAAAAAGAGCCCGCATCACCAAGTCAATCCTAAGCCAAAAGAACAAAGCTGGAGGCATCACACTACCTGACTTCAAACTATACTACAAGGCTACAGTAACCAAAACAGCATGGTACTGGTACCAAAACAGAGATATAGATCAATGGAACAGAACAGAGCCCTCAGAAATAACGCCGCTTACCTACAACTATCTGATCTTTGACAAACCTGAGAAAAACAAGCAATGGGGAAAGGATTCCCTATTTAATAAATGGTGCTGGGAAAACTGGCTAGCCATATGTAGAAAGCTGAAACTGGATCCCTTCCTTACACCTTATACAAAAATCAATTCAAGATGGATTAAAGATTTAAACGTTAGACCTAAAACCATAAAAACCCTAGAAGAAAACCTAGGCATTACCATTCAGGACATAGGCATGGGCAAGGACTTCATGTCCAAAACACCAAAAGCAATGGCAACAAAAGCCAAAATTGACAAATGGGATCTAATTAAACTAAAGAGCTTCTTCACAGCAAAAGACACTACCATCAGAGTGAACAGGCAACCTACAACATGGGAGAACATTTTCGCAACCTACTCATCTGACAAAGGGCTAATATCCAGAATCTACAATGAACTCAAACAAATTTACAAGAAAAAAACAAACAACCCCATCAAAAAGTGGGCGAAGGACATGAACAGACACTTCTCAAAAGAAGACATTTATGCAGCCAAAAAACACAAGAAACAATGCTCACCATCACTGGCCATCAGAGAAATGCAAATCAAAACCACTATGAGATATCATCTCACACCAGTTAGAATGGCAATCATTAAAAAGTCAGGAAACAACAGGTGCTGGAGAGGATGTGGAGAAATAGGAACACTTTTACACTGTTGGTGGGACTGTAAACTAGTTCAACCATTGTGGAAGTCAGTGTGGCGATTCCTCAGGGATCTAGAACTAGAAATACCATTTGACCCAGCCATCCCATTACTGGGTATATACCCAAATGACTATAAATCATGCTGCTATAAAGACACATGCACACGAATGTTTATTGCGGCATTATTCACAATAGCAAAGACTTGGAACCAACCCAAATGTCCAACAATGATAGACTGGATTAAGAAAATGTGGCACATATACACCATGGAATACTATGCAGCCATAAAAAATGATGAGTTCATGTCCTTTGTAGGGACATGGATGAAATTGGAAACCATCATTCTCAGTAAACTATCGCAAGAACAAAAAACCAAACACCACATATTCTCACTCATAGGTGGGAATTGAACAATGAGATCACATGGACACAGGAAGGGGAACATCACACTCTGGGGACTGTGGTGGGGAGGGGGGAGGGGGGAGGGATAGCATTGGAAGATATACCTAATGCTAGATGACGAGTTAGTGGGTGCAGCGCACCAGCATGGCACATGTATACATATGTAACTAACCTGCACAATGTGCACATGTACCCTAAAACTTAAAGTATAATTAAAAAAAAAAAAAAAGAAAGAAAAGTAATCCTTTGTCACAAACCCTGGTAGCAGACCACATCTCCCCAAGAGCTATTTTTATCCTATACATATATACACAAGCATTATACCTAGGGTGGATGCGTCCTTCCTCTTACTTTCAGGAACATCCTACTGTGTCTATGGAGTAGCTGTCCTTTCACCACTTTACTTTCTTAATAAACTTGCTTTTACTTCTCACTGTGGACTAACGCTGAATTCTTTCTTGTGTGAGACCCAAGAACCCTCTCTTGGGGTCTGGATCAGGACTCCTTTCCGGTAACAGAAACAGTGATTTTTTTTACCATCCACTTGACTGGATTGTACAGAGAGATTGAGAGGCCAGGAGACCGGCTGATAAGAAATTCTTACCCTTTTGCTGGCTGATCCATTCCCTGGATTCTCTTAACTGTGGCTTCCAGAAGAGTGAAGCTATGATCACAATGCTCCCTGTGCCAAACTGAAGGGGCCAAGACAGAGCTTCCCCCTGGCCCTCTCAAGGTTCACTGAAAATCACTGACATGAAGCAGATTGATTAAGAGAAGAAAAGAAGTATAGATTTATGTAACGTGTATACATGGGAGCCTTCACAATGAAGACTCAGCCCTCCAATAGGGTACAGGAATTTATATGCCATCTGGGGGTTCCAGAAAGAATGCAGGCTCACAGCACGGGCAAACATAGGTTTTAGTGACAAGATAGCTTAAGGGAGGGAGAAAGGAAGATGCCTGGCTAGCAAAGGTGGTCTTGTCATGTAGATGAAACCTCACAGGTAGCAGCCCTTAGAGAGAATAGATGGTAAATGTCTCTCAGATCTTTAAAATGTCGGACTCTCAGTTAATCTCTCCTAGATCTGGACAAGGGAAAGCCTGGCTGCATTAATGGAGATTCTCTACAGATGTAAATTTCCCCCACATTAATACTGCACAAAAATCCCTTTCAAATGAGAAAACCAAATTTTACCTTTGTATCAGTAAAACTTTGCAGGGCCACATCAGTCAGCTGACCCTGTGGGAGTCATCTCAAAATATGTCAAAGAAATATATTTTGGGGTAAAATATTTTGATTTCCTTCAAGGATGAACTCAAGGTGCCTTAAAGCCCAGTCCACAGAATCTTCTGGTATCTCTTCTCATGCACCATGAGGCCCTGCTGAGGAGAGGGTTGAACCTGCAGCCGGGGATCCTGGGCTAAGCCTCAGCGCAGCCTTCCAGAGGAATATTTATATCCCCAAGGAAGAATTTTCTCACTGAATATAGAAAATATCTTCTCCACTTGTTCTTCCATTAAACATGGGAGAATTTGGAGGCTTTCCTCAAATGGGTTCTTAGAAACTGAAGTCACATCACCTCCGGAAGATGGGGGCTCAGTCTGTTTCTCAACAGATACTTTACTAGGAAGCTCTGCACTGCCAGGCCATGACCTCATCCATTGTCTCCTTTTTCTCCCCTCACAACTTCCTTTTCCTCTACAAATTGGTGAAGCTGGTCAATTTTCATGTATTCAAGGTCAGGGAGGTACTAATGCAAAGACCAAAAGTGGCTTATTTGCATATTTAAAGGATGTTTATTATAGAGGTGTTTGTAATGGCAAAACAACAACAACCAAAATGCAAAGAGCCTAGACATCCAGCCAGTTATGGTATAATGACACACAAGGCAGCCTCATACAGTGAAATCAAGTGCAAGAATCAAAGCACAGAACAGAATTCAAAAGTATATACACGCAGCATATACACATTGCCTTTTATACAGAGAGAAAGGTTCTGAAATTATACAACCAAAAACTTCACAATTTTACCTCCAGGATGGTGGGCTGGGGAGGGCAAAATTAGACAGGAATAATACAGGGTGGTTGTAAAAGAGTAGAAAATTCCAAGAGCAGCTTCACTTGGCTAGCAAAAAGGGAACGACTGAAATAGCTGCATAGGCTAGGGACTGAGAGCACCATGAAAATCGTGTGGGCCAACCTGGCTAAGACCGACTGGACCCAGTGTGGTGCTGGATTTGACCTCATTATACTCTCATTAACATACTAAATCACACATCTGCCAGTACAATGACAGTTCCAGGAACACCCATATTTGGTGTAAAAATGGGTAGCACCACTATCGCAATAAATCTTCACATTTTCCCAGGAATTTTCATGAATATTCCATCCCTTGGTTAAAGAAACCTATAATGATAAAAGCCCCAAAGTCCATTGTGTGACTCTCTTAAGCCTGCACACCCCTTTCTTGCGTGTGTACTTTTCGCTATGCCATAAATCTCTGTACTTTCACTGTTTTCCGACTCGTCCTTGGATTCCTTCTTGCCTGGACACTGGCCAGGGCTGAGGTCTCACTGGCATTTGGGGACCTCCCCCAGCCCACCTGTATCAATACCAGAAGGAAGATCTACCTTTTACTTTACAGAGTTTGAAATTTTGTTTCCATAAACACATACTACTTTTGATCATTTAAAAATCATTTTTTCGTGTTTAAAAATTGTGGTAAATATACATAACATAAAATTTACTAACTTAATCATAAGTATATAGTTCAGAAGTGTTAAGCACTTTCACACTGTTGAGCAGCCATCATTGCCAAAACTATTTCATCTTTCCAAATTGAAACTCACTATCTATGAAACAAGTCCTTATTTCCACCTTTCTTCAGTCCTTGGCATTCTAGTTTCTGTCTCTATGAAGCTGGCTACTTCAAGTATCCCATATAAGTGGAAACATACAATGTTTGCCTTTTTGTGTCTAGTTTGTTTCACATAGAATAATGTCCTCAAGCCTCATCCATGTTGTAGCATGTGTCCACATTTCCTTCCTTTTATAGTCTACTCCCATTGTATGTACACATTTTTGTTTATTCATTCATCAGTGGATGGAAATAATTTTTTAAAAAGGTACCGGGCTGAGTTAATATAAGTTGAGTTCAGTAAAGAGATGAATTTACATCTAGATGTTTAAATTTCTTCTAAAGTAGCATTTGAAAGAAAATTTGGCACCACTACATACAATGATTTTTCAATAAAAAAGAAGGTAAACAAAATTGATCATAAAGTGAAGAAACAATGTAAGAAATAGACCAGAACCTGGTACCCCAAGGCTGCAAGCCTGGCACAGGTGAAAGGGTAAGCCAAGTAAAGGCAAGGACCCCAAGGGAGGTGGCACCAGTGCAGACCAGAGCACACCAATGTACCAGCTGGCGGTTTCTGTCGGCAGCACACAGTTGTACTGGGGATGTGCTTCAGGAGCTCTGTGAGAGCTGATTCAACCTTCCCTCTTGCAAGTCCAAAGACCCTGAGCCAAGTTGCCTGTGTTTAAATTGCTGTCCTGTTGCTGACTGACTGTGTGCTCTGGGGCAGACCACATAACCTTCAGAGCTTCCATTTCCTTATCTGGGATGGGGATGATATACAAATTTCATAGATTGTTATAAGAATGAAAGAATTAATATATGCTATGGGCTTAGAGCAGCATCTTCTACATAATAAACCCTCTTGAAATAACTATCAAGGGTTATAATTGTTATCATCATTACAATTACCATCATTATTATTGTTACAGGCTGTTTAAAAAAAACTATCATAAAAACATCATACATACACAACAGGGAATGTATCAAATTTAATCACCCTAACTTGCACTGACAGATTTGTCCAAGATACACACAGAAAAAAACTTTTTTTTAACCAAGAATTCTGATTAGTAGTGCAATTAAGTTAAATTTAAGGGAATAAAGTAATTTCTTTTTTACATTGGTGGGTAGACAGGTTTTTTTTAAGTTTATATTAATAGAATTGTTTAAGATGCAATGACTAACTATAGATGACAAAAATTTGATAAGGAGAGAAAATTCTAGTTTCTCTAAATCCAGAACTCTGTAGCAGAGCTATGTGGTATAAACTGTACCTGTACCGCAAGCAGTTTTTGTAGGTATTGATTTGTTAATGTGCTGTTAGCTGAGCCTATTTATCATTGAGTAGTACCACAGTTTACTTACATTTATTACAGCAAAGTCCATCCTGCCTGTTTCCCTCCCCTGCACCCCATGCTCTCTGATAATGTCTCCTTCTCCCCCGCCCACCTCCTCTGAAGACCTTTCTGTGTAAAATATATTCCATTACACAACAAACAATTATTTAAAAAATTACAAAAATCCACCAGTGGCTATTTAACAACTATAAGGAAGGTATTCCAATCTTTTAGAAACTTACATGACTATTCAGGGCATCCCAGCAGCCTATCAGTCTCAATTCTTTCTACCCAATTACCTATCAAGACTTTTTACTAGACAGTCCACTCCCAAGAAGAAAATCTATTGTCCATCCTTTAGACTACTTTTTAGCCTTGTAACATGAATAGACATCTCTATTTCAAGACAAATTCAACAAACCAGGGCTTGTAGTCACCCTCCCTGGATCCCATAGCTCAGGGTCCATAGTTCCAGGGCAGTGAAAAGATGTTATTTGTGTTTATCATATGCAGTGCCCTTGTCAACATTGGTGCATGAAGTGGGTAAACTGCAGCATCTATCTGCTTCAGAGAAATTCACTGGGAAGTGTTTATGGAAATCGACCCACCACCTGACTACTTGCTCCTCACTCAAGTAATGTCAGGTGGGAATGCAAATAGCTTGTTGCAATCTTTCGGCCAATATTAAGGGTAACATACAAGTCACTTTCCCAGTGCTTGGAGAACATCAAATCCTCTTGTTAGTGATGCAGTATACCCAAAAGGAAACTGACTGTATTGGGTTGAAGAGCTCCCCTCCCTGCGCCTCCCCACCCCCCAGATTTGTGTTCACCTGGAATCACAAATAGGACCTTACTTGGAAATAGGGTCTTTGCAGATGCAATCAAGTTAAGATGAGGTTGTACTGAATTAGGGTGGGCCCTAAATCCAATATTCATAGTATTTTTATAAGAAGGGGGAAATTTGGACACAGAGACAAATGCACACTGGGAAGAAGACCATGTGAAGATGGAAATTAGCGTGGTACATCTACAAGTCTTGCTGGCAAGGACCGTCAAGGAAGGATTCTTGATCCTAAAGCCTTTGGAGGAAGCCTAGTGCACCCCTGCTGATACTCTAATTTTAGATGTCTGACCTCCAGAGCTGTCAGAGAATACATTTCTATTGTTTTAAGTTACCTAGTTTCTGGTATTTTGTTCCAGCAGCATCAGCAAACTAATACACTGACCAAGACACATCCATTGCCAAGATAATTTCACACCCACTAGACTGTCAGTTTCAGGAGGGCAGGAACTGTCTATCCTGATCATGGTTATATCTCCACTACTTTCAGCAGCGTTTGGTACCTACTAGGTATTCAATACAGTTTAGTTGAATTCAAGAGGAATGAGTTTCCTTGATTCTCATCATAGCCCCAATTTCATATTGAGTGAGCATCAGTGCAAAGGCTCATGCAAGAGGGAAGGTCTAGGCCCAGAATCCACTCCTGCAACCCCAGTGAAGCACTGCTTTCTGTACATGTAATTGTGCACCTGGATGTCTGGGCCCACGGTTTGCTGTGCTATGCCTGAAAGTTCCCTGGTTTGCCCAAGTCTGAGGCCATCCTGTTTGTGGAGCATCTCTAGCCTGTGGGAACTTAACCTGAGATAACCTCCTTAGGTTGAGCCGCTTGGTCTTCACACCCTTCTTGGTCTGGTAGACACAATGGGAGCTCCAAATTATCATATGAGCAGAATTCCTAGGAAAAGCAAGTAAATTTGGTTTCTTATCCCTTACCCAAGAGTCCAGCTTATATATGACTTCACACAGCTCCAAGTAAATGATAGGAAAAAAAACAGTAACTACTTGAAATACTGAGCAGACCTGGTCAAGAAGACATGGCCAAGGTCACATTGTAATCACCCACAGTACCAGCCAAGACTCCTGACATGTCACTGAGACCTGTGTAAATTGCCATTTTAGACATCAAGCATCAACAACCCAGAATGATTGTCCAGGTTCTTGGCAATCATTGACAATTTAAAATGTTTCAATTTGCTACTAAAATAGAATGAAAATGCCAGTCATTATCAATAATTTCTCATCCTGAAATTGCAAATTTAGCTTTGATTTTTATAATTAGCTAGAAATGAATTTTAAAAGTCCTCCGAAAATTCAAGGATCTTGTTATACCAAAGGCGATGTCAAATTTGATAATCCTCTCGCTACCTGCCTGCCAATGCTTCGGCAGCTTGTGCCCAGAACTCCCACCCCACAGAAGAAAATGAACTCATTGTGCTGCGGATTATGCTTAGGAACAGAAAGTGAGGATTACGTCATGTGTACAGAGCCAGGAGTGTTACACTCCTAGAAAAACCTAGCATTGTATAAGAGCAGGTCCTTAAACGACACGAATGAAAAGCAAGAACTTCTGTGCCTTTCACAGCAAGAGTCCTCCAACACCCAACCCTGTGCTCCATCACTAAACACTAGCCTGAAGGAAGGAAGGAGAACACACCCTCAAGACTTTTCCTTTCCTCCAGATACATCAGTTTTGCTTCCAGAGTTCACCGTCTTCCTTGATTGCTACAATAAGGAGAATTATGTATCCTTCTGGGTCAGACACTAAAACCAAGTCCAGGCCTGAAACACTGTCCTTGGTCACAGCATTCATTGCCTTTCCTCCAGCTACCTTTCTAGAAGGGCTCTTACACGGCTCTTTTCCCTCTACTGATATCTATCCTCAGATCTTTTGCACCAACCTGAACAACAGCCCACCTTTGACCCCATGTCTTTAGCAAGTTCTCACTTCTCTTCTTCCTGTCTTCACAATCAAGTTCTATTGACTTCCTCACCTCCAGTTCTCTCTCTAAACCATGGGATTCATCATTCCCCAGTGCTGCAGTTAAATTACCTGCATTAACTTGACCACAAATTAATAGTCACCAAGGAGTACAATGGATTCTTCCTGGGCCTTTTTTTTTTTTAACCTTTATGTAACAATTTAGATTATTAATGACATCTTGCTGCGAAAATCTCTTTCCTTTTACATTTCACTGCAGTTTCTCCTACCTCCGGCCACTCATTCTGTTTCCTTTGCTGATTCTTGACCTTCCCATTTGCCTCCTGAATTTTAGGGTTCTCTTAAGTTCCATCCTTGGTCTTCTTGTTCATGTCCTCCATATACAAGTGGGTGCTATCATCTATACTCAAAGTTTTCTCTACCGTAAGACAGCTTTGCTGATGACAGACAAATCTAGATTTCCATTTAAATATTGCACCTACCCAACAAAATCTATTTAAGGCTGAATATTTCCTTTTCTCCAGTATCTACTTATTTTCTAATATTCCCTTTCCTTGTTTATAGTAATAGAGTTGAGCTTGGAACAACAATAGGAGTTAGGAGTGCCAACCGCCATCTTCCCATGCAGTCAAAACTCCACATATAACTTTTGACTCCTCCAATACTTATCTACTAATAGTCTACTGTTGACCAGAAGCATTACTAATAACAGAAATAGTTGACTAACACATATTTTGTATGTGTTATATATATTTTGGATATGTATAAGATACTATATTTTTACAATAAAGCAAACTAGAGAAAATAAAATGTTATTAAGAAAACAATAAGGAAGAGAAACTACTATCCTGCATTAGTCCATTTTCACACTGCTGATAAAGACATACCCGAGGCTGGGTAATTTACAAAAGAAAGAGGTTTAATGGACTTACAGTTCCATGTGACTGGGGAAGGCTCATAATCACAGTAGAAGGCAAGGAGGAGCAAGTCACCTCTTACATGGATGGCAGCAGGCAAAAGAGCTTGTGCAGGGAAACTCCACCTTACAAGACCAACAGATCTCATGAGACTTATTCACTATCATGAGAAGAGCATGGGAAAGCCCTGCCCCCATGATTCAATTATCTCCCTCCAGGCCCCTCCCACAACATGTGGGAATTCAGGATGAGATTTGGGTGGGCACACAGCCAAACCATATCATATTTTTTACGTGGAAATGAATCATCATAAAGGTTTTCATCCTCATCATCTTCATGTTGAGGAGGCCAAAGAGGAGGAGGAGGAAGAGGGGGGTTTCTCTTGCTGTCTCAGAGGTGGCAGAGGCAGAAGAAAATCTGCATATAAGTGGACCCACAGTTCATATCCATGTTGTTCAAGTGTCAACTGTTCTAGTGAAGCCACAATCTTTTGTACTTTTCCCCCAACTTTATCTACCTCTTGCCTATCCCAAATTGTTTACTGAATTCTACTTCATGAAGCAATGAACTTATCTCTCTTTAATTGCTTCAACTCTGGCCTTCACAATTTCTTACTAATGACAGCAATCACCGCCTAATGGTTCTCTCTAGATGCAATGCTGCCTCTTCTAGTCTATATTGCCAATAGAATTTTTATTTCTAAAAATGCACATTGGTTTATGTCACTGCTGACTTTAAATCACTCAGGGGCTTACCTATATTGTCAATATACAGCTCAAAGCTCTTAGCATGACTGTCAAGACTTTCAGGTTTTGACCCTTACTATTTCTCTGATCTCAAATTTTAACATCTCCAAATGTACCTGCATTCTACTCAGATATGCTGTTCATATGTTTGTGTCTTTCAACTTGCCCTCTATCTGCAATGTTTTTGGCCAATGTCTTCTGGCCAGTAGCTACCATCTTTCAAGACTCAGCTCAAACATCACCTCCTCCAGGAAGCCTTTCCTCTGACCCATTCTCAGGATAAGGTGGCAGCCGTTTTTATGAGCTACCAACCATCATGTCCTCACCCATATTATGAAACATTTGCCTGACATTGTAATCATTATTTGTCTTGATCTTCCTCTCCCACTAGACTATGAGCAACTTGGAATCATACTCCATTCATCTATCTGTCTGCAGAGCTTAGCTCCATGCTTGGCACAGGCTTTATTGAATACATAAGCAAAATAACAACGAAAAGAAGGAGAAGTGTCACTAGCTAAGAATATAATGACTATAGTCCTGGAGACTACAAGAAAAATAAATAACAGATTCTACAGAAGGTTGATTTAGAGAGGAGTTTAATATTCAAGCTATTAGTCATGGTGATGCAGTTCATTACATAAATAGACAATGTGTAAGACTGCAATAATATCAACATTCATTGAGCATTCATTCTATACATATTTAAACCTTAATACAAAAATCAGGCAGCACTATGGTAGCACAGGGAATAAAATAGATAATTCTGCCCTCCCTGCCACTACCCTGTTCATGTAATTTATAGCTGATTATTTCAACACCTCTTCTATATATGCCAGGCAGTATCCTAAGTGCTTTATATGCATGTCCATTTAATCTTCATAATGACCCCAGTGTACAGAGGAAAAGAAGACTCATAGAGATTAGGTAATTTGTTGAACATCATACAGTATGTGGGAGAACAATGATTTAATCCAAAGCCTGTCTGATTACTCTTTCTGCACTTAATCATCACACTCAACAACAAAACAAATTTAACTTGAAGATCACTTGTATTCTATTTAGATATTGGGTTGTTGGGGCCTCCATACAATTCTTTTTATTTATTTATTTATTTATTTATTTATTTATTTATTTATATATATTATACTTTAAGTTCTAGGGTACATGTGCACAATGTGCAGGTTTGTTACATATGTGTACATGTGCCATGTTGGTGTGCTACACCCGTTAACTCGTTATTTACATTAGGTATATCTCCTAATGCTATCCCTCCTCCCTCCTCCCGCCCTGGGGCCTCCATACAAGTCTAAAAGTTATGTAGGAAGTTTATTTCAACTATCCTGTTATAGTTAACTATCCTGTTATATTGTAACTATCCTGTATATTTTATAAATCCTGTATATTATATATATTTTATATATCCTGTGTATTTATATATATTTTTTATATCCTGTATATTTATATATATTTATATATATTTTATATATCCTGTATATTTATATATATTTTATATATCCTGTATATTTTAACTATCCTGTTAGTTTTAGTATGGGAAAGAAGATTTATAATAAAAATTGATCCAAGAAACTATGGAAGTTTTGCAAGTGAGCATTTATGTTCCAAAGCTGTGAAAATACGGATTTTAATGTGATTTATCACCCACTTCTGATGTTTGGAACATGGAGAATGGAGGGATGGAAGGGGTTTGAGAGGCAAGAACTTTACCTTCAGCAAGTGCCATGCCTCAGGATAGCTTTGTCTATTCATTCTCACAAAAGTGAGGATATTCTGAAGCTACATGAATATGATTGCTATACAAAAGGCCACTTTCTACAGGAGCAACAAGATTATCCAAAGTGTTCAGAAAAATAAATTTGTATCCCATTGAAATGTTCTTTAACAAACGAATTCTGCAGGGGGAAAGGGAATTTTGCTGCAGTATTCACTGGGAGAGTGGAGCTAGAGCCCGAGAGTGCCATAAAAGGCAATGGCAAAGTCTACAACAAAAAAGGCAGCTGCCTTTTTCTCTGTGGTTCCAGGAAGACTTTCTGGAGTCCTTAGGTAGGGAGATATATATATATATATATATTTTTTTTTTTTTTTTTTTTTTTTGAGATGGAGTCTCACTCTGTTGCCCAGGCTGGAGTGCAGTGGCATGACCTTAGCTCACTGAAACCTCTGCCTCGCGTGTGTTCAAGCAATTCTCCTGCCTCAGCCTCTGGAATAGCTGGGATTACAGGCACCTGTCACCATGCCCAGCTAATTTTTTGTATTTTTAGTAGAGACATGCTTTCACCATGTTGGCCAGGCTGGTCTCAGACTCCTGACCTCAGGTGATCTGCTGGCCTCGGCCTCCCAAAGTGCTGGAATTATATGCATGAGCCACTGCACCCAGTCAAAATTTGTGTTTCAATGGAAAAATAGACACTGTCTATAACATATCTTTCCCCATAATCTGATTCTGACTCTATGGGATCTATTCTATAACTGTGTAAAGCATAAGTGACTGACAAGAACACAGGATCATCTTTTCTGTAGACACACAAATGAATTCTGACTGGGGCAGGGAATACCCTCCCCACCATGGAAAAACCAATTTTGCCTCCATTTGCACATTCATTTCAAAATGCCTTTACTCTTTTACATTTTATTCATTATCTTATTCCATACTGAGCATAACATCTGCTGGGTTCTCTCATTATGAGTAAAGTAAACACTTTAACATGAGTTCATTTTTATATCCTTATGAGAGTCAAGAATTTATCTTTTTTTTTTGAAAATTATCTTTCAACACTTTATTCCCAGCAATGCCTCTTCCTCCTTGACCCAGCTATGAACTGAGCTGCAAAGTGTGGACGTGCCCAAGTGTTGAGCTTCAGATCATGGCTTTTGTGTTGGGAGAAGTTAATGCTCATCTTTGGCAAGCTTGGGGGTTTCTACAACCCACAAGTTGACAAATGGCTCCCTTTGATGTTCTACCCATAAGCTGAGGTTTCAAACAATTGCTCAAAAAGGCATGGCATTTTTAATCAGCTTTATTGAAGTATTACTTATATACATTAAAATTCATCGATGTTAAGCATGTTGTGTGATGAGCTTCAACAAATGCATAGTTACCTACCATCACCACAACCAAGACATAGACATTTCTATCACCCTAAAATGTTCCCTCATGCTCCTTTGCAGTCCATCCCTGCTCCCTACTCACAGCATCTGGTAATCATTGAGTCTAGAACTTCATATTGTGGGAGACCAGAATATACCACCCTCAAAATATGAAGGATTGCTGAATTGCAGTTAAGAAGAAGCAGATACGGGAAAGTTCTCTCTCCTTCCTCTATTTGCCTAAAAGCAGGACATAAACTTAGGAAGACAAAAAAGTATCTTACCTGCCTTCCCTTATACCAGGCAGAACAAAGGTTAATCACTGAAGATAACTTTAGACCCTTATGATCCTAGAGTTGGTTATCAGAGGAATCTAAATTAACATGCATTAACAACTGGCTTTTATCTGCCATTTATTTCCCTTCCCACAAGTTGCCACCCCTAAATACTCAAAGTCCTTTCTTCTGTCTTATCACTTCTTTAAAATCCTTGGGAAACACTCATTCCCTGGGTGTCTCTCATGTATATATGAAATATGCCTGTGAATAAACTTGCTTGTGTTTCTCTTGTTAATCTGTCTTTAGTTACAGGGTTCTATTTCAGCTAAGATCCTATGAGGGTTGAAGAAAAAATTATTCTTCTTCCTCTACAATATAAATAGGACTATGCAGCATTTAGTCTTTTGTGGCTGGCTTATTTCACTTAGCATAGTGCTTTTGAGATTCATTCATGTTCTTGTATGTGTCAATAGTTCATTACTTTTTATTGCTGAGTAATATTTCACTGTATGGATTTACCGCATACATTTATCCATTCATCTATTGATGGTCATTTGGATTGTTTTCAGTTTGGGGTTATTATCAGTAATAATACGTGAGATTACTGGGTCATATACAAAGTATATGTTTAACTTTGTAAGAAACTCCAACACTTTTCCAGAGTAGCTATACTATTTTATGTTCCCAGCAGCAGTACACAAGCACATAGCTCCACGTCCTCACTAGCACCTGGTATTGTCAATCACTTTAATTTTGGCTTTTCCAGTGAAAGTACACTAATAACTCATTGTAGTTTTAATTTGCATTTCCTTAATGATGAATAATATTCAGCATCTTTTCACTTGTCATCTTTTTACTTATTTGTCATCATTTGTCTAGGGTAAAATTTCCATTTAGATCTGCCCATTTTTAATCAAATTGTTTATCTTATTATTGAGTTGTAAGAGTGCTTTATACACTCTAAATACTTTATGAGATATGTGTTTTGCAAATATTTTCACCCAGTCTGTGGCAAGAGAAAGGCATTCTTATTATTTTGACAAATAATTTGCTAATTCAGACTGCCTGGAAATGCAAACCAGTATACTGTGTAATGACATCTGCCGAGCAGCAGCCAGACTCTGGTGGAGGGAAATAAACAACGTAAAGTTCCAAAATTTGGCCTGAGAAAAACTGCTGCTGGCTTTCATCATCATCTCCTGATTTTCTAGCATTTTATTTACTCCAGTTATTTTTTCTCCTGCGTTACTTGCTTCATGTAACTGTTCCCGTTTTAGGCAGAAAAATGTATATGGAACGTCTGTTTGTTTCTCTCCTGATGCAAATGAACACCCTAGCTTCTGCATTTCATAGTGAGCCCCTAATATAGTCTCAGTAGCAACAATGCAGCTCACATGAAAATTGTTTCCAATTATTTCCAATTTAACCTCTGAATGTCATACCATCACCTCTGACTTCTTCTGAGGACCATCTTCCCAGACTTCTTGGGTCTTTGGGGAGTAAAAAGGAGAAAGTTCCCATGTGAAGGTTGCCTGTGATGTTCATTGTTTTGTTAAAGCACTAATCTGCCTTAGAAAATAATTTCTTCTGGAAATACAGTCGAGGTCCTGTGGTTAGTAGGATTGGGCCAGTGGTACTCGAGCCAAGTACCACAGACGGCATGATTTGGCACATACGTTACAGCTTTTCATCACATCTGTCTCTTCTCAAATATCCAGAGGGGAAAAAAACATGGATGGTTTTCTGGGGTTCCTCTGCAGATGAGAACACTAAATGCCTACCTAGTACCCATTCTATAGTTCTTCCTTAGTAGAGAGACCTGATGTAATGCAAAGCACCCAGCTGAAGAAATTATGTTTCTCGGCCACTCTCCAAGATAAGGGTGGCCATGTGATACAGTTCCAAGGAATATAATTTAAGCAGAAGTCAGGCTGGGCTTTTGAGCCCTCGCCTTTCTCACGGCAAGTCTGCTTTCCTGCAACAGCCATCTTCTGACTGATCCTGAGGGAAAGGCCACAGAGTCACAGAGAATGTGGCCTGGCACCTTCACCACCGAACCAATGCCAGCAACTATCTACCTCTGGACCTCTCGTCATGAGAGAAAAACCAACCCCCAAGTTGTTCAAGATGTTGCTTTTCAGTTGTCTTTTTTTATGGCTGTACACAATCCCTGACTAACAACTTGGGTTCTAGTTTCTGCCTCTTTACTGAGCAGCAATGGGAACTACCCCTCTCAGATTCCCGGTTGTCTTCATTTATAAGGAAGGGTGGAAAAAACAGAAAGTGCCTCACAGCCATTCCAGCGGGAAGCATCCACAGTTCGGAGGCACCATTTCATCTTCAGTGTACCAGACAAATTTTTCCAGATCAGGTAACTCTGGTGACAGGAAGCTCAGGCCACAGTTCGGGCTTGACTGGGATATGCTGATGCCCCAGTTGTTTCTGACAGTTACAGAGGATCTGCTTCCTTACTCAGCCCCAGGTCCTACTGAATTAATTAACAGCAGATGGAGTACCATTTTTTTGTTTGTTCTGAGGACATATCTCCTCAAATTTCCAGGAGAATCCCCATCTTTAATATATTTTTCCTAGCACTCAGATGCCCATCTTCACATAAATCTTCTGTCTCTCTAACAGTATGTATGCTTGTCACATCATGTGCTGCGTTTGGCGTTTAGATATGGCCTCCTGCTCCTCATAACCCCACTCTGCTCCACTCTGAAGCCTAGGTCACTCTTGACCTCCCTGCCCCCACTCCCTGTGTGTTTCAGGCACGTCACATGCAGTATCACTTCCGGTTCCTCTTGGCCTCACCCCTGCTCTGGCCATGGCCATGGTGACCAGGTCCACTGGGGCTTTGCCAGCTTCCCACAGATATGGCCACAGAGGGTGCCTCATGCCAGGTCTTCTCTCCTTGGCTCCTGCCTCCAGCCCTGGAGCATCTCTAACAAGGAGCTGCTCAAAAGAGCCACCCAGACTGGGGTTTAGTGACAGCAGGGTTCATGGATAAATGCTTCCCCCCGGCCCCTTTAATGGCCAGTTCTTAAGGGCATTTTATGAAGCTTCTCAGAAGGTTCCAGCAGGACTGAGAACGAGATGCTTGTGTCAATGATACTAGATACTAGATACTACTAGATAATGCATTCTTGTTTTGGCTTTCCCTCCCCGTCCCTCACCCCTGCTCCTAAAGATCATGTATGCCTCCAAGTAAATTACTGGTAGGTAAGCCTTTCTTAAGCCCTTTTTCAGCAGAATTGAAGTTGAGGCAGAGGATATTAACAAACAAGTGTGTGTGTGTGTGTGTGTGTGTGTGTGTGTGTGTGTGTGTGTGTAGGATTTTTCTCCTGCCTTTCCAATTTTGGGTTTAGTCACTAATACACTGATTCATTCAATCTCAGTTCCCACCACGTAATGGAACAGTTACATCCCTGCTTATGCAATCGTTCCCTTCCACGCAGTTTTGCACAACTCAGATTTTGCGTAAGTCAAAATCTGGGTTATTGCCCTGGATATTAAAGGTGCAGAACCTGCTACACAAATATTTATGTGTATAATATCACTGAAACTTGTTTTCACTGTTGAAGCCACCAAAATATTTTCACATGTTGGTCCCCAGGGGCTTGGCATTTTATTTTTTTACTCTAAATCAATTGCCTTCAGTTTACAAATGCGCCTCCACTGTTGTTTTATCCTGGTGGCTTTTGGACAAGATTGGAAGGCTATGAGAGTAAAGACATAAACACCCTGGAAATAGGATGAGTTGGTGCAGTAAGAAACTCCACCGGAGCCCCGTAAAACTGAAAGTGAAAAGCCTGGCCTCTTGGAATTCATGGAGTCTATACTGCAGCTTAATATGTGTTTTCATACATAATGCAACCTTTCCACATCTCTTACATGCTATCAGCACCTTCCAGAACAATTTGAAAAGGGTCATATTTGCATTAGGCATAGCTTATGGGACCTGGGGGCAGCTGTCCCTGATCAGGAATCATAACAGGGAAACCTCATTTGCAATCACCATTTAGCCTCTCTCTCCCTCAGATAGTAGAAGGACTGGAAGTTGTTTGTTCCTAAGCGTTTTGTGATATTTATGAGTGGCCTTATTTTAAAAAGTCCCCATTAGTCTGTTTATTTTTAGGTATCATATTAAATGCACCAGCAGAAAAATACAAGATCAAAGCCCCCAAAGGTCAAATGCCTGCTTCTTAGCTGGAGTCACACTGTTTAGAAGCTGAAAGCAGCCAAGTCCCACGACATTAATATCCTGGGAAAGAATGGAGCACTCTCATCCCTCAGGGATCCTTTCCCGGGTTCAAAGGCATTTTGCACTCTATCAGGTGAAAGGAAACACACATTAGCCAAATACAGGCAGACTTCACAGATGCAATAAAAGATTCCCAGTAGAGCTCCTTAAAGCTCCTCTGACTGATCTTCGACTTCAAGGTTGTGCCTAAGCAAACTGCATTGGAGCTGATGTGTTCAAATGTGGCTAACAGCTCACCAGAATCAAGCCAATCTATGCCTTCAGCATATCTCTTCTACAGGCTGAGACATGTGCTTGGGCTCAAAATGTCCAAACCTCCCCCACCATGGGCTCCTTATACTCCCAGCTAGGTAGGAGGATCAGTGATGGCCTATCAAGAATAGAAGAGACTCACTCCCTCTGCTGACTGCCATTCTTGATATTATCTAAATATTTTGAGCTTAAATTTAAGTTTAAAAATCAGCATGGAGCAAAAAAGCATAGACTGGGCATGGTGGCTCAAAATGCTCTAATACCAGCATTCTGGGAGGTCAGGGAGGGAGGATCCCTGGAGTTCGGAACTTCATGACGAGCCTGGGCAACATGATGAAACCCTGTCTCTACAAAAAGTATAAAAATCAGCCAGGCATGGTGGTGCACGCCTGTAGTCCCAGCTACTCGGGAGGCTGAGGCAAGGGGATCACTTGAGCCCAGGTGGTTAAGGCTGCAGTGAGCCATGACTGCGCGGCTGTACTCCAGCCTGGGTGACAGAGCAAGACCCTGTCTCTAAAAAGACAAAAACCAAAAGGATGTGATCTTGTTCATATGCCTAGAAAGGTCATTATCAACATTTAAACTATCACAGAAAAATGCAATGCCCTGATCCTTT
The DNA here is from genome assembly GCF_000001405.40 of Homo sapiens. Lineage (NCBI taxonomy): Eukaryota > Metazoa > Chordata > Mammalia > Primates > Hominidae > Homo > Homo sapiens. The sequence continues at coordinate 61,735,389 of NC_000018.10, forward strand.
AGCTCTTTATGTGTCTACGGGCTCCCAATATCTAACACATATTCTTCCTTCACAAAGCCCTTCAAATAGAATGGAATCTGGACTCAAAATTTGCTAGCTCTGATGAGAAAGAGGACCCGGGAACAAGCCCTCCAATGGCACAAAGAAGCCCTCCTTTTCCCTTCTACTCGAGGTTAAGATGGAGAGGTGTCAGCAGTTCCTGAACACCTCTGCCCTAAGGGACTTCAGACAGGAACAAAAAAATTAAGGGACTTTGGACGATTGTTCCCAGCAGAAGCCTGGGAAATGACCAAGTCAGGTATTTGCTAAACTATTTAATGAGGCTGCATAAGCAATAAGGAGAACTTGATAGAGCTTTAGGGTCACTGAGGTTTCCAGGGTGAATTAAAGCAGTGAAGTAAGAGGAGAGGATTTAAAAATTAACCTGCGTGTGAATGTACTATGTTCGGAACAGGAATTAAAAAGCAAACAAGGATTAATTGATCCCCTCCTCCCTCCCAAGCTGCACGCTGGCATTTCAGGAGCAAAATGGATTGGTTGAGAATGCACTCTGCTGGGTAATTAAACAAGGAGGTCGATCAATACTCAGTAGCTGGGATTTAAATACCCATTGAAAAGCTAACAGAGGAACCCAGAAGGGAACAGAAGAATTGCTGGTTGGCTCAGGCAAGATTGGATCTTAAGGTTTCTGCATGTAAAAAATGAACAACAACCAAAAAAAGCACCTCGTTCTTTTCACCTCTCTAACTTTAAAAACCTCTTTGATTCAGTATTAGCCCAAACAAAAATAAGGATCTCCACTCAGAGCATTTCTCTTGGTGGCGAGTGACAGATGTAAAGGGCCCAATTTGTGATTACGTGGTTCACTTCTACAACTGCAATTAAGCTGCCCGTTAAATTCACGTAGCTAAATAAAAATTACAATCAGTTACTTATTAGCTACCTTGAACCTGCCTCCCTGAGAGCTAGAGGGTTGGTGAGAGAGCCAATTCACAGCAAAGCTAAAGTGATCTGCCTTGCTTAGTTGTTGTGGTTTTCAAATCAGATAGGTCATGAGCATCTGTGTATGCATAAACAACTGAAACTGCCCAGAGATGTCTCATGGCTAATCAGATCAGTAGGCCCACCAGCCAGCAGCCAAGACACTCAACTCCCAGTTGGATGAACGTGATCTAACTTTGCTGCAAATACGGGCCCTGGGCTCTTCTCTTCAGCACCCACCTGATGAAGAAGGGAAATAATGAGACCAAAGACAAAGGCAGGAGCAGAACAGGCTTTTCTTCAAAGCCCATGAAGGGGAAAAGACCCATTATGAAGGGAGGGTTACGGGCAGAGAACTCGCCAGGGCTGTTGATGATATTGCTGTTGTTGGTTGGTCTTAGGATTCTCTAGGGAGGAGATGAAATAGAAGGAAAATCTAGGGGTAACAGCTCACAATTGGCCCAGTGACTAAAGGCCACCTTTCAGGGGTTCATTCAGGATTTCCTCGATTCCTGGGCTCACCTGTGAGGCACCAGTTTTCTCCACTTCCTGCTTGTAAACCCATGCATTATAAGCTTTCTTGATGGGAGGACTGAGGGAGAAGATAACCCTACAGTGAAGGGTGCTTGGAGACACAAATAGCTAAAACACACCAGAGGAGGCAATTGATTTTATCCAAGAATCTACCTGAATTTACCAAGGATTACTTCTGGGTATCTTGGAGGATTTGTATCTTAAAGGATCCAAGTTATAAAATTCTAGAGTCATTCATGGAGATGAAAGTAAAACAGTGCTTATTAGGGGCTGGGGGAGTGGGGAATAGAGAGTTAGTGTTTAGTGGGTTCAGAGTTTCAGCTGGGGATGGTAACAAAGCTCTGGCAATGGGTGGTGGTGATGGTTGCATGACTATGTGAATGTACTTAATGCTACTGGAGTATGCACCTAAAATGATTAAAATAGTAAATTTTATGTTATATGCATTTTACCATAACAAAAAAAATTCTAGAGTCAGCGAAGACAATGTTATTTCCTGTATAATCCATATAAACCTACAGCCTACTACTTTTGAAACATAGAAACTTCTCCATGTTTCCAAAATTACATTACCGAGGGATGCCAAAAAGAAAAAGACTTTAAGGGATGGGAGATGCACCTGTATCCATTCTACCCAGAGCACTCACATGAAACATTTCCCAGAGAACATGGCAGCCCAGGTCCCTGTTTCGTTTGCCTCGGTGCCCTGTGCCCCGTGCCCTCCCCATATCCAGGCAAAGCTGCTGAAGACCCAGAGCGGCCTTCTGGTCACCAACCACCTGCTCTTCTGATTTTCTTTCTGAAACATCATTCTCTCTTTCTTTCCCAATTTCAGGAGAGAATCTAATATACTCATTCACACTGAGGTGTAAGGCTCTAAGAAGATGTACACTGCCTGCCCAGGGATATATCCAGTTCACCTGGAAGCTAAGCAAGAAGAATTAAAATACAGAAATGGGAATAAAGTTTGCAACCTCTCCAACCCTTTGTTCCAGGCTGCTTTTTACGCCTCAAAACTTACCAGATTTTGTCTGCACCTCCCAGACAACCTCAGAAATGTGTTTCCCAAAAATCTCTTTCCCTGGTCAGTTTCTCTGTCATGCACTACTTTCAGAAACCCAGACTATCCTCTGGCCCATCAGCCCTCATGCCCAGAGACCCATGCCAAGTTAAGTTGTTCATTGGGCACAGATATGTCTCCAAGGCACCTTCTAAATCTGTCAAGGCCAATTTAGGAACAGAAGGTTGAGGCCAGATGGAAAAGTTGGGAAAGCACCCATGGAGAACAGAGCTAGCCCAGGCCTGGAGGCACAAGATCACTAATCTGATGAGTGGCTCCAATCAAATGAGACCACATGGACATTGGCAAAGAGCATAAGGAAAGTTCTCTCTTCACTCAAGCCTGTAGCCTGTCCTAGAACAAAGGAGCAAAGGTTCTTTCAGCATAAACATTGCCGACTCTCTGGAGGAAAACAGGCTCTTTTTTATATTTACAAAATCAGAACCAGCAGAGGCCAGACCTAGGAATCTGTATTTTTAAAAGGCTCCCCAGGAGCAATGGAAACCACTGGTCTAAATTAAAAAGTGATGACAAATAAAAAAGCCAACATAGGGTGTTTTGTGTTCGCTCTCATTCTATGGTGTTGTGGACATCCATAGAGAATGTGCTATTTATCCTATTTATTTACTTGTTTTTCGAAACAGCAAAAGGATACTGAGATAGGAGACTTTGCTCAACAAGCCAGTGCTAATCACCATAAAGGGTCTGTTGTGTCACACTCTGATGAATCACCACATGTCAGCAGGGACACAGCCAACGGAAATATGTTCTATGGCTTTGGTTTCCTCTTTTCCCTTGATGCATGAAAAAATCCTTTTCCCCAAGCTAAGTTTAGGGCAAGAGGCTCTTTTTGTTTGTGAATGGAGGCAGTCTGAGGGTGAAACAGGATGCCCCAAACAGAAGGAAGGGCCCAAGGAAATCTGCCATCTGGAGAGTGAGCTGTAGGGGCACCTTGGATTCCTATGCAGAATTGTCCTTAGATTTAGGCAACAGCCTGGCGAGCCTGACTCTTGCTGAACAGAGAGGCTGTGCCTCTCTCATGTGAAGAGTGGATGTCATCCACACACGTGGGGGAAAGGACTCCTTCAGGGGCTCATTCCTCCTCCATCTGAGGGCGCTCCCACCAGTCTTTCACTATCTGCCTCCATCCACTGCTCCTCAGTACCTTGGCCTCAGCCCTCTTTGCTTCCTTCTCAGCCTCTCTATTTCTCCCAGTCACCCAGCCTTAGAATCTTTGTGGCCAGGCACAGTGGCTCATGTCTGTAATCCCAACACTTTGAGAGGCCGAGATGGGAAGATTGCTGGAGCCCAGGAGATCGATGGTGCAGTGGGCTATGATCATGCCACTTCACACCAGCCTGGGTGACAGAGCCAGGCTTGTCTCTAAAAATAATACTAGCAATAATGAAAACAAACAAACAAACAAACAAAAATAATCTTTTTCTCTATGAGACATAATGGAAAGAGAAACCGACTTGGGGTCTGAAAATCTGAGTCTGGATCCCAACACTGCCAGTTCTCCAGTTCTCGGCCGTGTGACTTTGAGCACATCCCTGACATGTTTATATAGCACTGCACCTCTGTTTTTTGTTTGTTTGTTTGTTTTGTTTGTTTGTTCGAGACGGAGTCTTGCACTGTCCCCCAGGCTGGAGTGCAGTAGTGCGACCTTGGCTCACTGCAAGCTCCACCTCCCGGGTTCACGCCATTCTCCTGCCTCAGCCTCCCGTGTAGCTGGGACCACAGGCGCCTGCCACCACGCCCGGCTAATTTTTTGTGTATTTTTAGTAGAGACGGGGTTTCACCGTGTTAGCCAGGATGGTCTTGATCTCCTGACCTTGTGATCCGCCCGCCTCAGCCTCCCAAAGTCCTGGGATTACAGGCATGAGCCACCGCGCCTGGCCACACCTCTGTTTCTAATAACTGCCCGATCCACACCTCTGCACTGTTGTGAGAATCAAATAAACTATGTGAAATACTTTGTATGCTTATTTATCTCTTCACACATACACACGTATGTCTTGTTTTTGACATACCGTCTTGGTTGCTGCCATATTGAATCAGCCCCCAAATCCTGCTGATTGTGGTCTTGTTTGTATCCCTCGCATACATTCTTGCTTTTCCATATTCATTGCTATCACTGCCCTCCAAATATATTCCTTCAAGTTGACCTTCACTGTAGGTCATTCAAGATTACAGTATTAGGTTCTTAGCCTTCTGGCAGCCATCAGTGGTTAGAGGGGTGAAGGCCACAGTCTCCTCCCCACCACCTCTCAGCCAGGTGGTCTGCTGTAATGAGATCAAGACTCAGACCAAACTCTGACACATAGAGAGACCTATCAGCCAGCAGCAACGAAAACATCAGACCACCTGGTTTGCAAGCTCAGCAAACATAGGACCACCTGGTTTATCCTAGCTCTCTGTCCTTTCATTCCAAGCAGATGTGACAAGGAGCTAGCAGCAGGGTTCAGTTAATTGGTCAAATGACACGATTCTCCTTAAGCAAATGAACACAGAATCTAGCAGAATTCTAAGACTTGGGGGACACTCCAGAGGGTGTGAGCTGCTCATGCCCTAATCACACAAAGGCAAGGACCCCTGTGCAGCCTTCCTAACCGATCCAACAAACACCACTCGTTTCACCAATAAAAAATAAAATCTAACACCCAGTATGCTAATAAACAAAAGTTCTGGTGTCCATTGGAAATAAATATAACTGAAGTGCTAGTATCACAGTCTGGAACATAACAGAACTACCCCTAATACTTCTGAAATATTAGGAAACTTCAAATACTAAATAACTGTGCTTAGAGCATTAAGCAAACTGAAATACACATCATCAACATATGTTTTAAACAGAGCTGCTTTAAAGTAAATTATAGATAATATAACAATATTGTCTTAGTCCATTGGGGCTACTATAATAAAATACCACAAGCTGGGTAGCTTATAAATGACACAGCTTTATTTCTCATAGTTCCATAAGCTGAGAAGTCTGAGATCAAGGCACCAGCAGATTAATTGTCTGGTGAGGGCCCACTTTCTCATTCATACCTGGTGCCTTCTCTCTGTGTCTTCACATGGTAGAAGGAGTGAGTTAGCTCTCTCAGGTCTCTTTTATTAGAGCACTAATCCTATTTATGAAGGCTCTGCCTAATCACCTCCCAAAGGCCCCATCTCCTAATATCATCACTTTGGGGGTTGGGATTTCAATGTATGAATATTGAGTAGACACCAACATTGAGACTATAATGAATGCCATATATGGGCTTTTACTTCTTCTTGTCAAATTGTCCTTTCTTCCTCTTTGAACATATACCACAAGCTTTAGTCCTTTTCTTCTGACCTCAAGGAAGACCTGATTATCTGTCACAATACTTTATTCCTGAAATGATGGAATATTACTTGTCCCTTCATTTATTCAGCAAACACTTGTACTCCTAACGCAATAAAAAATCACGTAAGCCAAGAGGGTAGGGGGTAAGTAAACTGGTACCTTGACTTAAAGGGGCTCTAGGTCTAAAGAAGAGGCAGACATTGGAGCTGAAAATAACAGCACCAGGCAGTGACTCTCAGGACAGATGTGCACAAGTCACAGTGGAAGCACAGAAGAGACACCCCTGAGTGTGCCTCCCAGAAAAGGGTGAGGAAAAATGACCAAAGATGCTTCATCTTAAGGAAGTATTGTCCTGGCTGAACTGAGCCTTAGAGGATGAATGGAAAGTTGGCCTGCAGTATAGGCAGCATCCCAGGCAGAGAAGACAAAAAATATATACCCAACAATAATAGCTAAAATCTATTAAACTCCTACTCTGCTCCAGGTGCTCTCCTAGGAATGCCATGTGCATAATAAATAAAATCTGAAATAATGCACATCATTTCACTTCTTCCTCAAAACAACACCCTGAGATAGAGGCTATTATTACCTCCATGTCACAGAAGAAAACTGGGGCTGAGAGCATTAAAATAACTTGCCTAAGGTCGCACTGCTAGAAACTGGCAGAGCCAGGGTTTGCACCTAGTGATTTCTGGCACTTAAGATATTACACTATATTCTGTTCGCTACAACATACAAGTATTAAATGGGGCTGAAACTGAAGTTCAAAACAGAACTGCGTGCAGTCAGTCTGGAGAGGTAAGTCAGCCGGAACATGGGTTTTGGTTCATTTTCTCATCTAGATGTGACTGCCTGAGTCTAGTACATCTTTCTGTTTCTATTACAAAGTTAAACACACAGTAGGGGTTCGATGGAATTGAGTGACTGAGTCTACAGGGAAAGAATTTCCAGAATAGATTATTGAATCACCAACTGTCTGAGTAGTGACTCGCCCCTTCTTTTTGGGTTTATTTTCTTTTAAAAATAGAGTTTTCAACATGCCCAACCAATATCAACAGATATTTGAGTGTCCTCCATGAGGCACACACAGTTAAGGGCAGTGGAGATTCAGCAGGGAATAAAATAGGCAAGGTCTCTTCTGTTAGACAGCTTAAAACAACCTTCCCCTGATGTGACCTCTCTTATTCTGAAAAATGCCAGGGAAATAACAATCAACAATGGACTCTGACAGTGGGCATCTCTAGAGGTACGCTCCACCCTTGCAGGGTGCCAGCATCTTGACACCATGCTCAGGCCCACATGACCATCACCAATGATGACTGCAAGATTCCCACCCCCAGGAGACCCAGGGCCCAGCACAGTCACTTATCTGGCCACCAAGAGCTTGCTCAGGGGACACCCTGCGACTCTTTAAGGTGGCCAAGGGCAGCCAGCACCTGCTGAATCAGCAAACCACCCAGAGCCCTGTATGTGTTGGCCTAAGAGCTCAGCCCTGGGCCAGGCAGCGGGACTTTTCCCCTCTGAAGAATGTGCCTCTATTCAAACTCCACTCTGCAGGAATGCCCACGGTGCCAAAAAGGAACAGAAAAAAACAGGATTCAAAACAAGGCACTTGAATGAAACAAGGTCCAGTTTTCAGTTCTCATTTTCTTTCTTACTCTGAATCCAAGCATGCTGTGTCTGAAGGAAGGTGGCCAGGGAAAGGAAGGGCCCTGGAGGCTGGCTGTTCTCTCTTTCTTCCAGTAGGGTGGTGGGGTAAAGCAAGGAGAGAATGGTGAGCCATGTTCTCAGGGAGAAGGCAGGGTAGAGGTCACTTGCGTGGTGTCTCATGTGATGTCTGGTAGGATCAGACTGACCCAAAACTCGAGTTTCCTTAGGGAGCAGCCCGTTCTCTCAGTGTCCCCATGGGACCAGCTTGCTGAGCTGACCAAGGCCTCGGCCCCCGGCAGCTGGCTGTCCTCAGTCCTCTCCCACCCCTGAGCCTGCTTCCCACCTCCTTCCTCCCTTACAGACAGTGACCTTGTCCTCAAGTTGCCCCACTCCTGTCCTTCCCATGGGCTAAGCCAACTGTCCACTCCAGAGGCTCCCTCATGAGGCTTCTAGGAGTAGAGGAGGTTGCATATCTGCAATGTTAAAGCCTCAGTCCTGAGACCTGGGCTGCCTCTTTTTCCTCCCTGGGCCTTGCTCTGTGGGGCCAGGATAAGTGGCCAGAATAATGTGATCTCAGCCCTTTTCTTTGACTAAATGCACTGCCAGGTTTAAACACAAGGTGCATCCCTGGGCTCCAGGCTGCTTACCATGCTTGGGACACTTCCTCCCCTACCCCTGCAGTCCCCAACTGTGGGGTCTGACCACCACCATGGCCTAAGTCAGGGCTCAGCAACTTTCTGTGAAAAGTCAGATAATAAAAATTTTAGGTTTTGTGGACCACATTCAATCTCCATCACATATTCTTTGGTTTGGTTTTTTTGTTGTTTTTAGGGGGGTTTTTTGTTTTGTTTTTTCTTTTAACAACCTTTTAAAAATGTATAAGCCATTCTTAGCAGGGCCATGGACCAGATTTGGTCCATAGTTTGTCAACGCTTTTGCCTTAGTACACTGGTCTTTCTCAAGCCCAGTGAAAGTAAAATGATGATTTCCTCAGGGAGTTTCAAACAAGCTGCTTCCAGCTGAGCGGCCCTGCCTAGGTTCCGATGATGTCATGATCCAACCAGCAGCCATCTATGATCATAATTAACTAAGAGAAACATTTACCGGGAGGCAGCAGAATTTTCCATCAAATTCTTCTTTATTAAAAAAAATAGATTCCTTTTCAAAATAGACAAGCTTGGAAATTTTAAAAATAACAGTATTCATTAACAACTCCCACACTAACTGTGGTTACCAAACCTTGAGAATCTAAGTGCCAAATTCCATGTGCTAGCATTCACATGCTTTCTACTTTGATTCCCACAGTGGCTCCCACTGTAGCTATCAATGCAATCCAGGCTCAACTGAGGTCACTCTGTCACTTGAGATTGAAATAAAATTGGCTTAACCCCCCTATCTTAAATCCATTGGGAAGACCAAGATTGTAGCACATTCCCAGGAACTGAAATTCTCAAGGCACTGCTGACTCCACAGTTTCAGGCTGTCCCTCTCAATCCCTCACTCAGCTCTTCTGCTTCCCCAGCAGCTGTGGCCCAGGACTGGGAACATGGCTCTTCTTTGTGTGTGTGTGTGTGTGTGTGTGTGTGTGTGTGTGTGTGTGTGTGTGTGTGTGTTTTCTGAACACATTTACCCAGTAGCATTGTGCTGAGGCCAACTTCACAGAAGGTTTAAGACAACGGAGAGATGAAGCCTTGCAGTGGGTCAAGGTCAAATTTACCAGTTTCTATAAAACTGGGCATTAGTCACCCCATTTCCAAGTCTTTTGGCCATGCTACCAAATATCAGGGGTTTCCACCCCTCCCTCACAGGATGGTCTTCCTTCTTCTCCATCTCTCCATCTTTTGGGCTCACCCACTCCCTGCCTCCCAAATTCAAATTAGCTCTCCACCAGGCTCTGGGATCTTCTTGTCCATCCATGAGTGTCTCCAGGTCTCGGAACTGGCATCACTTTTGAAATCTCAGTCTTTCCCTTCTTTTCTCTAGCCATGATCAGTGGAATGAAGAGGCCTAGAGTATATTTTTCCCTTTGATATGAATGCACCGTCTCCTTTACAAAGCAGAAGTGGCTACAGGCAGTTGATTACTATGCCTTCCCTCTCTGTTACATTCACACCCCCACTTTACCAAGGAGGACACTGATGCTCGGGATCATCCAGCCAAAATGTGGCAGAGCTGCTGTGACCCTCCAGGCTGGACTCACTGCTCTCACTCCCTGCATCAGTGGTTCTCAAACTGGACTGCTCCTAGGAGTCACTCAGAGGATTTGTTTAAGTGACACAGGTCACTGGGCCACCGCCCCCTCAGAGTTGCTGATTCATCAGGTCAGAGGGTGGAACCTGAGAACATGCATTTCTAACAAGTTCCCAGGGGATGCTGTAGGGCAAATGCACCCGAGAGCAATAACCTAAGCATATCCTTAGAACAACCCTGTATGGTAGATACACCTGAATGTGAGTTCCAAGCTGGAATCTGGGAGTGGCCAACCTGGAGATTCATTCCTTGTCAATGAGGAACATCTGAGCCCCTGACCTGTTCCATGGAACATAGGCTATGCAGGAAATTGAGGCTCTGAGTTTTGATTAAATAAAGGTTACAAGGCAGAGGTCATTAAAAGGAGAGTGTTAAGTGATAATGTTATATAAGCCGCATGCTGTTGGCAAGCAGTTGCAGTTTTCCTACTTAATTGGCCTCCACTGGACTGTAAGGTGGTTATCTTGTCCATCCCTCTACCACTGGACTGTTTCTGTACATAAGGTGGTTCTCCTGTCCAGCTCGCTGCCACTGGACTCTTTCCCCTGTAGGTAAGCCCTCAATAAAACCTCATGTCTTGTTCGCTGGCTCTGGATCTCTTCTTCGGCCTCTTGAACGTGGTGCAATCCCTACTGAAGTTAACAGGGGTTTGGCATGGGAAATGCTGATTCAGGGGCCGCACTTTGAGAACTACCACAGTAGATAATGCATGGTTTTATGCCAGGGTGTGGGTGTGTGGTGGAGGGAAGAAAACGGTGGGGTGGGAGCAGGCTGGGGGTGAACATGGATATAAGTGATAAACTTTGACCTTTTCTTCACAGTCCTTAAATTCTGCATTCATTATTTCATACAATCTAAACTTTATGTATATTCTTGATTACAATACACTTTTCTAAAGAATTCCCATCTTTGGGTCTTGGGATCTGGTGGCCTGAGTTGCTTCACACCAGTTTATTGTTACCTCAAAAGTTTACAGACTACCACCCAATCCAACCCACTGCCTGGTTTTGTACAACTCATGAGGTAAGAATGGCTTTAATATTTTCAAATGGTTGACAAAAAATTAAGAGACGAATATTTTGTGATACATGACAATTACATGGAATTCAAAGCTCAGTGTTTATAAATAGCTTTAGTGGAACACAAACATGCCCATTTATCGACAAAGCATCTGTGGCTGCCTTCCTGCTACCACAATAGAGATGAGTAGTTTTGACAGAGACCCTGCGACCCGCAGAGTCTAAGATATTTAGCATCATCTAGTGATACTAGAAGACACTAAATATTTTAGCATTAGGTCCCTTACAAAAAATGTATTGACCTCTGGTCTATCCTCTCCTTATTTCTATGCTCTGATTTCCCCCAGTAAGATTTAATTCTGCAGGTTTTCTCACAGTCAGTATGACTCTGTATTTTCTTACTTAACTTTCACTCTTTAGAGCAACTACTTGGTGGTCTTCTAACCGTGGTGGGAGATAGTTATTGATCCTGGAATGTTTCTCAGAGGCATCCATCTACACTTATCTACCTTGTCCTCAGTCAGAATTGCCCTGCCTGTACACATTTTAAGAAACAAACCAATCAATTTCCCTAGGAAGTCCTGGTATGCACTGAAATTGAATATGATCATTCCCTGGACAACCAGAAATGTTTAATACAGAGCCTGGAATCAGAAAATTCCCAGCTTTCACTCAGAACAGTTTCCTCAAAGCACCTGTATTTCTTCCTATGTAAAAAATTGTTAACTCATACATTTAAACATAGAGTTGACCCTTGAACAATATGGGTTTACCTTTTGCAGATTTTCTTCTGCCTCCATCACCCCTGAGACGGCAAGACCAACCCCTCCTATTCCTCCGCCTACTCAGTGTCAAGATGACAAGGATGAAGGTGTTTATGATGACCCACTTCTACTTAATATAGTGAATATATTTTCTCTTCCTTATGACTTTAACATTTTCTTTTCTCTCACTTTATTGTAAGAATAAATCATATAATACATATAACATACAAAATATGTGTTAATCGACCTTATGTCATCAGTAAGTATTCTGGTCAACAGTAGGATATTAAATTTTGGGGTAGCCAAAACTTACATATGATTTTTTTACCACACTGGTCGGGGGTGGGGGCTTCATACCCCTAACCTCTACATTGTTCAAGGATCAACTATACACACAAAAATGATTCATGTCTCTTAACAAACATTCATTATTTATTTATTTATATATTTTTTGAGACAGGATCTTAGTCTGTCACCCAGGCTGGACTGCAGCCTGGGCTCATGCAATCCTCTTACCTCAGCCTCCCAAGTAGCTGAGACCACAGGCGTGTACCACCACACCCAGCTAATTTATTTGTGTATTTATTTTTGTAGGGACAGGGTCTCACTATGTTGCCTAGCTGGTCCCAAACTCCTGGGCTCAAGCAATCCTCTCACTTCAGCCTCCCAAAGTGTTGGGATTACAGTCATGAGGCACCATGCCTGGCCCTTTAACAGACATTTAACATGATTTTCAGACAGTTCGTACCTCTTCATCTACAGCAAGGCTTAACAGAATTTCAACATAAAACTTTCTGTGAAGCTTAGAATAGGTGCAGGAAATGTTCAGAGTTCACGTTCTAGTTCCCACTGAGAAAAGCATGTGCACCAATATGTTTCCCCACCCAAGCATACACTGGGGCCCACCTGGAAGTCATACAATTCTTTGGCCTTCTGGGCTGATTATCAAATGGTCTTCCTCTAAGGCCACTTAACAGCCAGTACTAAGGCACAGATGTTGCAGAACTTTGACAATAACCAGTCATTCTTTCTGAACAAAAAACAAATTTCTTTGCTTACGTGATAATATTTTAGAGTCTGCGTGAAAGTCTTACATTCAGAGAAACGCCACAGTTCTGGCACCAGGAATGAAGGCGCCATCTGGCCCCTCTTGGGCTCCTTGGCTTGAATTCCTGGGGTCATTGTTACACTCAGCATTCTCTAGGCGAAGGAGAACAATAAGAGGCAGGTAAAGCTGGAGCCCGTAACAGGAGGAAACGTGAGCATTGAAAACCCGCCCTTTGGATGAACTGACCACAGCTGGACAACACCAGTGCCAGGGTATGTGGAAGGTGGGGACATCGGAAATCTGGTCATTGTCGTGCAGTAGGGGAACTGCAGTGTTTATATAAAGATTTCTCTGATTGTGTATGCTCTTGATGGATGATTCTTGGCCTATGTGGAAATTCTATGAGCTATACTTAAAGGGGCAACTCTTTTCCCAGTAGGGGAAGCAGAGAATAAATTTCTGGGAGAAAGAAAGAGGCAGAAAGGATATCTTTGGGAATAAATTGCTTTGCAGAAGCTAGGTCCTCAGGAACAGGGTTTCTACAAATAATTGATTTAGTGCCTCAGTAATTAGCTACTACAGAAAAAACTGCTATAGAGGATGGCATTCCACATCCCCCCACTTTCAGGTCTGGTTTTTAGGTGACACTCTATTTTCCTTGAACCCCGTAAACCCACCGTTTTCCTTGTCAGCCAGGGTTCCAAGCACTGCAGAGATGAAGCACCTTCTTCCAGGAGTTCCTGGAGTTCTCAGAAGCCAGAGTGGACTTGTTCCTCCGTTTTATTTGATGAGGTTTGTATGCTTTCCAGATCCTGCCTGAGTGGTTTCTGGTGTGGACTCAGGGGCAACAGGCAAAAGTAATAAAAAGCAGATTCCATCTGCTATTACTCTGGGGTAAGCAGCCACAGGATTAAAAGGACCCTGCTCATTCAAATGCCAGCCAGGGAATTGGGCACCATGGAGAGATGCCACCCCTGCCACCTGACATGGCTACTTCTGGAATCAAAGAATTGGCAAAAAGAAAATTCCCTATCTGAGGAAGCCAGTTCTGTAACATGGGCCACAAATTAAACGTTTCTCAGCCTTGGTGGTCTAATTTTATTTAGGAGATCATATGTGCATTTCCTTCCTCCTTGCTCCTTGACTGGGTTTATAAAACAATTGTCTCTATGCAGTCATCATCCCGGTGGGGCAGGGAGGGGAAGGCTTGCCACAGCTGTAGCAATAGTCAAGGCTGGTAAACAGGTCGGAAGAACAAAGAATGGGAATATATCCCTACGGAGCGTCCAGGATATGCGGGGCTAGCACTTCATGAGAGTGATGTTATTGAATCCTCAGCCAATCTCCCTCAAACCAGGCACAAATTCAAGGACACCCAGGAATAAGGACTGGGGATACAGAATTCCAGTTCCCTTTTTGGGTGGAAAGAAAATATACACCTTTGCCAAATTTACTGTAAAAGCAGTGGTCATTTTCTGAATTCTCAGACATCTATAATGGAGCAGGAGGTATTTAGGAGGAAAAACCAAAATTTGCAGACGTTCATGCAAAAAAATTTCCTTAAGCCTTATTTTGTGGGTGTGGGTCAAAGTACGGTGTGTTACTCTGACAATGATGACTTTTCCTGCTATTTGCTGATAGTGCTTTAAAAGCAGAAAAGGATGGCAAATACTTGTAGAGCATGAACTGAAATAAAGATAATGCATCTTAAGTGTTTAGGACGTGCCCTGCACAACCCTGAGCATGTGACATTGCTAACTCATCTAACTTTCACAACAACCCTATGAGTTAAGTACTATCAGGAATCCTATTTTATAGAGGAGGACACTGAGGCATAGAGAAGATTATCCAGCCTCCAAAGCTCATAAGGCCAATAAGTGCAATAGCCAGGATTCAAACTCAGTCTGACTCGAGGGTAACTGCTCTTAATAACTACACTATTTCTTTTCTTTTTTTAAAATTATACTTTAGGTTCTAGGGTACATGTGCACAACGTGCAGGTTTGTTACATATGTATACGTGTGCCAGGTTGGTGTGCTGCACCCATTAATTTGTCATTTACATTAGGTATATCTCCTAATGCTATCCCTCCCCCCTCACCCTACCCCATGACAGGCCCTGGTGTGTGATGTTCCCCGTCCTGTGTCTAAGTGTTCTCATTGTTCAATTCCCACCTATGAGTGAGAACATGTGGTGTTTGGTTTTCTGTCCTTGTGACAGTTTGCTCAGAATGATGGTTTCCACTTTCATCCATGTCGCTACAAAGGACATGAACTCATCCTTTTTTATGGCTGCATAGTATTCCATGGTGTATATGTGCCACATTTTCTTAATCCAGTCTATCATTGATGGACATTTGGGTTGGTTCCAAGTCTTTGCTATTGTGAATAGTGCTGCAATAACTTAAACAAATTTACAAGAAAAAAATCAAACAACCCCATCAAAAAATGGGTGAAGGATATGAACAGACACTTCTAAAAAGAAGACATTTATGCAGCCAACAGGCACATGAAAAAATGCTCATCATCACTGCATCAGAGAAACGCAAATCAAAACCTCAATGAGGTACCATCTTATACCAGTTAGAATGGCGATCATTAAATAGTCAGGAAACAACAGGTGCTGGAGAGGATGTGGAGAAATAGGAACACTTTTACACTGTTGGTGGGACTGTAAACTAGTTCAACCATTGTGGAAGACAGTGTGGTGATTCCTCAAAGATCTAGAACTAGAAATACCATTTGAACCAGCCATCCCATTACTGGGTATATACCCAAAGGATTACAAATCATGCCGCTATAAAGACAATAACTACACTATTTTGCCCCTGGACCTAAGGAATTATACCATAAAGAAATACAGAGCTCACTCTACAGGTCAAAGGGAATGAGCAAAGACAGATTCTGCCTGATTCACCTTCCCTTGTCAGGGCCAAGAAAACCTACAGTGACTGCTGTCAGCACCAGGTGACATGTGAGACATATGTCTAATTAAAACAAAACATATCTTTTAAACTCAGCACACAATTCTCTTCGCAGGTTCTAAATATAGCTGGGCAAGGCTTCGGATTTTAGTGGGAGATGGCCAGAGGCGAAGCAACTGATAAAAGTAGCTGAATAGGCAAGTGTGTGGTCTGCTTTCCATTTCTGTTGGAGTTCCTATTTTATTTATGTATTTATTTATTATGTATTATTTTTATTTTTTATTTTATTTATGCTCCTTATTTATTTATTTATTTATTTGTTTATTCTCTATTTTTTGGCTTAACAACAGGAATGAGCTTGAAGATTTCCTTTTTGAAGGAATACGGGAGATACTCCTGAGGTCACGTATTTGATTAATGTTGAGATGTTTGCTCAGCCTCCCTTATCAAGGGGAGGGCACCTGCGTGGGGTGTGGAGCATACTTTGCAGATGCCAAGTGCCCAGCAGCACCCAACGGTGTCTCTCAATACGTGATCCAGAGACAGAGGCTCATTCCCCCACCATGGCACCCCGACCCTGGGAGTCTGGGCCTGCCTGGGTGTGGGTGATAGGCAGCCAGCCACACAGAGGGACAGGCAAAGTGTTGCCAGAGCAATTTGAATGCATCCCCACTCCACCACCCTTGTAATATGGAATGATCTCCCCATCTTTCCTTCCTGAGCTGGGAGGTGGGTTCGAGTGAGCACAGCCGGATACCATGGTAGGGCATACTCAGAGAAGGCCGGTGGGGAGAGGCTGGATTTTTCATTTCTTTCTTGTCTTTCTTGTCCTAGCTCTCCCTCTCTGAGCTAGGTGCAAGCTCCTGACGTAGGAAGCGATCCCTCCTTGCCACAGATAACCCACGTAGCCAGGTGCTGCCAAGCAGCTTCCACCTGGAGGAGGGCAGCTGCTCTGCGCATGACCAGTAGCTGTGGATGGCATCGTCGAGGCATCTGGAGGAAGCTGCAGCCCCACAAGGCCCCTGACCCCTCTGCCTTTCCCTCTGCTGGCTCCTCTTCCTCCCTCTTTCCCTGCTGTCCCCTGTAGAGAACTTTCTACCAGTCCACACACCAACCTAGGTGCAGCCCCCCTGCGTGACTCCCTCCCTGACTATCATAACCATGGCCAGCAGTATCTCCACATCTCTGCCCAGATCCCCCTGGGAAGGCTTATCCCAGGCCCCAGGTTTGGGGCAATGCCCAGTGGCATCGGATGGGGTCCCCCTTGAAAGGAAGCACAGAAAGACTGAGCCATCAACGTAGTCCCCTCCATCACCTGCCACTGTCCCCAAAATCTCCCACACCGGAAGTGTTTAGATTGTCTAAGGACAATATTGTCTAGGGTTTGAGGACCACCCCACAGCAAAAACACTAGAAAGCTAGTTCCAAAATGCAAATCCCAGGCCAAGCCCCTCACCTCCTGAGGCAGCATCCCTGGGTATAGATCTCAGAAATCTGCAGTTTTAATACAAAGGCCCCCTAAACTTAAAGAAACAGCCTGAATTCACATGGGCACACCTTACCTGAGCAGGCAATACAGTGACAAGGGTGGAAACAGAGGGGACGAGACCTGACACTGGGAAGGCCTGACAGAGGGAAGGAAGGAAAGCTCTCAGGCTAAGGGCGCTGGGAACCCCACTCTTCCCTCTAGGGAGTTGCCGTTCCCTGAGGGGCCTGAGGAGCCTCCTCCTGAAGCCCCAGCTATTCAAATTACACCTTTTCTTATTAGGACATCAGGAGGTGTTGCCCCTTAGCTTTCCATTCTAACCTCCTCAATGTAGGGGCCTTGCTGGTGTCGAGGACAGAGCGGAGGCCTCAAGGGTATGTGCAGTCTAGGTGGCCTTGGTGGAGGGGCAGGATTCTACATTTGGGAGGGGACTTCTTGCTGAACTCCTTCCAGATGGGTCAAATGGGGTAGACTGAGGGAGTGGTGTGGGAGGTGGTAAAGAACCAAGTAGGGACTGGATGGATCCTGGGAGTTTACAGGGCTGCCTCGGAGAGGGAGGGTGCTGAGAGAGAGGAGACCAGGGTGGGCACCAACGCGATCCCTGCAGGCTATGAGTGTAGGATCAGAGAGGGTTAAGGGCCAGAAGCCCCTGTGTGTTTAGGACTGTGGCACCATGGGTGCATCCCCTGAGAAGCGAAGCTCAGGCAGGAGCAGCAGTGGGCAAAGAGCCTGGTGGTGCAGGTGCAGGCCCTGTAGAGGAGGCAGTGACAACACCCAGCCCAGGCCGACTCTCTCTGCCTGTCCCCTGAGTCCCCTGGCACCTCTCCACATCTGCTCAGCCCTCCCAGTTAACCTAGCACTGGTAGATGGTTGATATGATTTGGATCTGTGTCCCCAAATCTCATGTTGAATTCTAATCCCCAGTGTTGGAGGTGGGGCCTGGTGGGAGGTGATTGGATCATGGGGGTGAATCCTTCATGAATGGCTTAGCTTTATCCCCTTAATGCTGTTCTTGTGGTAGTGAGGGAATTCTTGCAATATCTGGTTGTTTAAAAGTGTGTAGCACTTCCCCCCCAACACTCTTTTGTTCCTGTTCCAACTGTGTGAAGTGCTCACTCCCCCTTTGCCTTCTGCTATGACTGTTAAGTTTCCTGAGGCCTTCCCAGAAGCTGAGCAGGTGTCAGCATCATGCTTTCTGTATAGCCTGAGGAACCATAAGCCAATTAAACCTCTTTTCTTTAAAAATTACCCAGTCTGAGATATTTCTTTTCTTTTCTTTGAGACAGGGTCTGGCTCTGTCACCCAGGCTGGAGCGTAGCTGCACCTCTGCCTCCAGGGCTCAAGTGATCCTCCCACCTCAGCCTCACAAGTCACTGGGACCACAGCACGTGCCACCACACCCAGCTAATGTTTGCTTTCTTTGTAGAGACAGGGTTTCACCATGTTGCACAGGCTGGTCTCAAACTCCTGAGCTCATGCGATTCTCCTGTCTTGGCCTCCCAAAGTGATGGGATTACAGGTTTGAGCCACTGCACTCATCCTAGGTATTTCTCTATAGCAATGCAAGAAAAACTAATACGAAGGTGAATCCATCTGCAGATCCAGACTCCACAGGAAGCCAGCAAGTGTGATTGCGGGCTCTGCTGCATTTCAGGGGCGGTTCTATACTTGGCACGTGCATGCTTTCCCCAGCCTAGCATATTAGCCTGCTGGGGCTACTATAACAAAATACCACAAACTGAGTGGCTTAATACAACTGAAATGCATTCTCTCACACTTCTAGTGGCCAAAGTCCAAGATCAAAGTTTTGGCAGGGTTGGCTCCTTCTGGACACTCAGAGGGAGAGTCTGTCCTGTGTCTCTCCCCTGGCTTCTCCTGGTTGCTGGCAACCCTTGGCATTTTTTGCTTATAAATGCATCCCTCTTATCTCAGCCTGTACTGTCACGTGACCTTCTTCCCTGTGCATCTGTCTCTTGTCCTCTTCTTCTAAGGACAGCAGTCATATTGGATTAAGGGCCCAGCCACTCCAGCATGACCTCCTCTTAACTTGATGGCATTCAAAGCCATCAGGTTTGGAAACAAGGTCACATTACCAGGGACCGGAGGCTAGGACTTGAAGATACCCTTTGGGAGGAGACACCTGCAACGTTTGGATTGGAGAAGACTCAGTGACCTTCTGGGATGTCGTTTACCCTCCCTGGGCTGCAGCTTCCTTGTTTGTAGAGGAAGAGGTTAAATTAAACAATCTCTTCCAGGTCTCATGGTCTTCGAATCTGTTTTCTCCTCTGCTGTTTTCTCAGCTTCCTTCTCCCGATGGAAATAGGGGGCCAGTGTATTTCCCCTGCCTCCCCTCCCTCTCAGCCCTGCTTTCAAGTCTTAGAGCTGGCAAGGGCTTTGTGCAATACTCCAGGTCCTACCCTCAATTTCTGGTGGAACAACAGAATAAGCGGTCTCTGCATGCACACAAATCCCTTCAGCTCCGTCTGGGCCCAGCGGCAGCTGACCAACCAGCCCATCACACACCTTTCTGCAGGCCCCTTCCCCGCCCGGCCTCTTTCTCTACTCTTTTTGTTTATTTTTATTCCCCAGTCTCTCATCTCTCACCTATACAGTCAAGTTTCCAGCCTCTCTTTCCACCCACTGTTCAGCCATCAGTCAGCCTAAACATTCTACTTTCTGCCTTTCTCCCCACAAGCAACTTTGTTTGCAGAGAACCCACAGAGTTTGACATGTTGTCTGCAGACTCTCTGTCCACAGGCTGCAGGTGTAGTGGAGCCCGCTCCAGACTGAGACAGAGGCCCAGGTTTTTACCAGGCTGTGCTGCTGCCAGCCTGGTGTGACTACCCATCCCACCCCCTTCGATACCTGTGCCTCAGTTTCTCCCATGGATAATGGAGTGGGACTCAATGGGAGTAACAGACTCCAAGAACATGAATGGGGGTGAGCAGGGACCACCAAACACGTCCTCTGCCCATCTCATGTCCGACCCACTCACCTCCCAAGTAACAGGCACAACTTCACCAAATCTGTGGCCCCCCAACTGGGTGGATAAGGCCAGGACTTGCTTCTGATTTGCACAGCACATCCCCCCAGCATTGGAATAAAAGCTGCTCAGGATGGCCCTCGAGATAAGGTTTTCAGAGCTCTAGGGATCCAGACCCAAAACTGCGGGACCTCTGAGGAAGCACAGGTTCCTGCACTGAAGGCAGAGCACTGGCCATCTATTTTGACTCTAAATATTTGGAGGAATTCTGCGAGCTGTTTTGTAAGCTGCACTGAGGTAATGCTGTGTCATGGAAACCAGTGCAGGCAAGATTTCTAGGGAGAGGCAGTGTTTACCCTTGTTACATGGACTAGAGGTCAGCAAAAGCAGAAGCCCCTCAAGAGCGTGCGCAGAGCTGCAGAGGTAAGCTGGCAGGTCCCAACCAGTCTCCAGCAAATTTGGCCATGAAATGAGGAATCCCTGGGACCTCCGTTTTTCTTGGCCATGTCCCTTGCTGGGCACCTATATGCGTGATCTTATTTCAGCTTCATGATTCTTGCAGGCATCATTATCAATGTTTTTGTTGCTGTTTTAACTGGCGGGGTGGGCGGGGAGAGAGGGGAAATCACGTTCCCAGAGACATATAGCTAAAGAGAAAGTGAAGATTTGAGCCTGACACCAGCCATGCTTTTCCTGACATTCCTGGCAGTGTGAAAGGAAGGACAGCAATATGGTTTTCTTGAAGGGGTAACAAGTTTCAGCAAATAATTTTGCTTATATCTTACGAGAGAGGCATGGATGTTTGCTGGGAGGGAAAGGAGCTAGTAGCAAGTGGAAGAGGAAAGACTCCAAAACCAAGAGGAGGGCTCTTCTCTCCCAGAGTTGAGGGGGGAAGGATGGGAGGGAGGTAAAGGTCAGAAATCTCTCTTTATTTGGAATGGTTTGCACAGCGGCTCACAATCGGAGCTTCCCTCTGCCTCAGACAGGCCTCTTCTCTAACAGGTGTAATGCAGTGATGTTTTCCTTTGGCTTCCTTGCTGAGTCATGACTAGATTTGCCTGGGAAAGCTCAGATATTACTGATTCAGTGTTCATTCCTTTTTCCTCCTTACCACCAGCCTTCAACACTCCATATGACGCCTTCAATAGGAAGGGAGGAAGATAAATAACATGGAAACAGAGAGAATCACCTGGACCAATTTTGGTATTAAAAAACCTGGAAAAAGCATTACATGTTTGTCTTTAATTTTTCTGCCCTCAGAGTGAATCTTGGTCATCGTTACAGAACTGTAGAGCTCCAAGATGATACCTTTTATTTCTAAGGATCCTGCATGCAGTGTGAGAAGCTGGCTGACGTTGCTAGCTCCACTTCAAAGGTAAAGAAACTGAGTCAGGCAGAGAGAGCACCAGATCTGTCTGAGCTCAGTGGAGGCGAACAATCAGAGACTCGACTGAATAACAGCCTCAGAAAAAGGATGCAGTTTAGTCTTCCAGCTACGGGCTAAGGTGTCTTATTTTTTCTAGAGTAATAAAAATCAGAATTTTAAAGTATATTCCCTTACTTACCCTGGAGGGCTCAAGAACTCTTTCTTCTTGCTTTTTATGACTCCGATTTTACCTGTAGAAGTAAGTG
Source organism: Homo sapiens (assembly GCF_000001405.40). Lineage (NCBI taxonomy): Eukaryota > Metazoa > Chordata > Mammalia > Primates > Hominidae > Homo > Homo sapiens. The sequence goes on from NC_000018.10 coordinate 61,757,053, forward strand.
GCACTATAAATCCCAAACAGCTTCCTACCTGCTGTTCTTCCCTAGTGAGGCTTGAAGTGATTACTAGATATGGTTTCAGGCTCTGCAAAATGATAGGAAACTTAGGGAGTTTGCTTTCTTCTCAGATTTACCAGGAAGAGAGGGTAATTTAAATGGCATTTCATTATCTCAAAAGAGATGACAATAAATATATTCTTCTGTTACTGAGAACAGACAAGTAATTTCTATTCTTGGAGATCTTTCCATGGGAATTAGAGTAAAACTTCCAAGTTCAAACATGTTGCCTTTCCTTATTAGAAAATCTTGTACTAAATTGTCACTCTTTAAAACCAGTCACAGTTGAAACTCATCTCTTCCTTAACAATGGGTGGAGGTAGAGAGGAGAGGAATTCAGAACCCTACAGACCCTAATGCCCATGAAACCCCCCTCATGCTTGACCACTTTAGAGGCTGTCTCCCCACTACCAGATGGGAAGAAACTGGTTGACAATCTGCAAGTTGTCTTAAAGAGGACAGCACCTGCTCCAGGCCCCAAGTTATTAAGAAGTACACGTTAAACCAGAATCTCATTACGGCTGTCAGAATTATAATGATTGACAGCTGGAAAATCTTATCATGCATTTCCGCAGGATTGCAGCAAAGCTTTGATTAGCATTTAGGCATTCACATTTGCAGAAGCAGCATTTTTATTTGCTCTTAAATAATTTTTTATAACACTCAGACCCAGCACTGAAATGCTATAGTGTACTGATGAGGAGGCTGGTGCCACACAAAACCAAGATGGGCTTTGTTTTGTTTCTCCTCAATATTATCCTGGCTAGCATGACCCTGGTTTCCCATCTCTTGGATAAAGAAGGAGCTGAACAGAAGTTATTCAGCTTGTGATTTGCGCCAGGAGATGACACAGACTTGCTCTTGACCTCTAAAAAGCACTTCCAAATTCTCAAGTGTAATAGAAATGAACAGCACAGAGGATGGTTTTAAGATAAATAAATCAAAGTGCCATCTTAATTTACAACCAAGAAGGGGCATGTCTATACATTAGACTAAATAAAACCCCATGGTTACAAGAAAATTAGCATATGGCCAGTAAAGGTATTTTCATATAATCTCGGCTTAATATTTAAAGTCATTGGTAACTAATGGTGAAAAATGAGATTTTTTTTCCCCAAAACTACTCCTACTGGCAGAGAATATGGTACTATTGTATCATAAAGGCTATGAGCTCCACTTATTGCCATAGTTTTTGGAAATAGTAATTGTGTTGGTTTTTAGCTATTGCTTCCCAGATCCAAATCCACTATTCCATACTGTGCTTTATGATTCTGGCATTGGGATGCCATAAATGTCATTTCTCCTTTTTCTATGCTGCTAACTGATATAGAGAGTTTTATTTTCCTGATGCCTATTGCAAATAAAGAGATTTTTAAAATCCAATATTTGGAGTGTTTTATTCCCACCAAAACTCTTCCAAATGGGGCATTTTATGGAAATGTGATGTTTGATGAAGCTTCTAGGGTCAGGGACCAAACACTGAGTAGATGAGAATGCAGCAGCTCCCTCTGGGAAAGACCTGTTCATTCTACTAATCTCATGATAGGTAGGTAATTGCAGAAAACTATTGCAAATCTCCAAGACTGCAGAAGACTATCTATTGCCTGAAATACCCTGGAAGTAAGTGGCACCACTGGGAGCTGTGGTGCTTGCAAGGCCCTGAGGTATCTCTTTGATGGTCTTAAACAACAGGGCATGATTGCTCAACTTCCCCTCAAAAGCACCACATACCAGAGCCCTAGACACCATTCCTACCCAGAGGCTGGGGCAGTGAAAGAAGTCCTGGTGGATCAAATGGCCGAGGAGATATGGCCCATTGGGAGCATCAAATCTCATCTCTAAGTCCCTGAGCTGAATTTGATATTTTCCATGTTAGCAATTTTTAATATATTGACATTCACGATGGGCAACTCCTGAGACTTTCTCGTGAAATTCCACTATTCATAAATACTATTGATAATTGGCAGGCCACTATAGGATTTTCCCTGTAAAATAAAGGAGAACATGTGGAACCAGAGCCACACTAAGATGCAGATGCTAGTAAGCTACTCTGAATGTACGTGACCAACCTCCACTCCCCAGACTCTTAGGGCCAGAGATTCAGATCATGTCTCAGAAAATTAAACTCTTAAGTTGTGGCTCTTCAAGGTCATTTGCTAGTAGTGCCCAAGAATAGTCTAGCAAATAGTCAAAGCCAGGAAAATTAAGTCTACAAATGCCAAGGGTCTAGTCTGTATATTTACATTGGTTGGTCTACTTTGATTAAAATCTAGTAACTAAAGCTCATATAAAGTGAGAATGGAGCATGATGCATTGAAAATATAATGAAATTTGGAGTTAAGTTTTACATATAAGTCCTTGGGCATAGCATTTGGCCTCCCTAAGTCTTTGTTTCTTCACCAGTAATGTAGAGCCAAGAAATATCTACTTCTCCGTATTGTTGTGAGGATAAATGCAACATTTTATGATGAAACACTCTACCACAAGGAGAATTTCAGAGCCCAGGAACCACTTTAGAGCTCTTGATAAGCCCCAAGATAACATAGTGCCTGGCATATAACAGATGTTTAATAAATGTTTGTTGAATGAATGAATAAATGAATGAATGAATTCCATGATATTGAAAAGTCCTGACAGCATTGTTGTGTTATAAGAGAGTTTATGTAGATCTTAAAAGAGCCCATGTCAAAGGAGAAGCAACCTAGACACTGAAAGGATTTGGACAATTTAAAGTCTGAGATTGTGTTGTAATTCATTTAAATATGCTCTTTCTTCTGCAAAGCTTTAAGGACTTTCCAGGAATTATATCATTAATCATGAATCCTTCTGATAAGAAAAAAAACATACCAGGTACAGCAGCTGCATGGCGGCTAAAGAAGCTGAAGAACAGCCTTCTTACGTTGATTGGCCATCCTGGACCCTGAGCCTTGTGGTGCTCAGAGATTGGCTGTTTCCAGAAATTAGGGATAAAGAATGGCAAAACGTGTCTTTTGGCTATAAATAACCTAACCACATTTCCACTGGCAGGCCATATTCTTATTTCTTCTTCCCTCTTCTGGAGAACAGAAATGGATGTTATCCAATGACTCTTGGTTATACAGTTTGGCTGTGTCCCCACCCAAATCTCATCTCCAATTGTAATCTGAATTGTAATCCCCACATGCTGAGGGAGGGACCTGAGTTTAGGTGATTGGATCATGGGGGTGGTTTCCCCCAAGCTGTTCTCCTGATAGTGAGTTCCTACAAGATCTGGTTGTTTGATAAGTGTCAGGCACTTCCCCCTTCTCTCTCTCTCCCTCTTTCTGTCTCCCCCACCTGCTGCCATGTAAGACGTGCCTGCTTCCCCTTTGCCTTCTGCCATGATTGTAAGTTTCCTGAGGCCTCCCCATCCAGGCAGAACTGTGAGTCAGTTAAACCTCTTTCCTTTATAAATGACCCAGTCTCAGATATTCTTTATGACAGTGTTAAAACGGACTAATACACTTGGTATGGTATAGCCTGATAGTAAAATTTGCTCAGTAAATATCACTGGAGGCTCTGGATTCTCTGTAAAGCAGCTTCAGTATTGAGACAAAATAGGGCAGGGAGATCATTTGACCAATACCACTCAATCCTCTTATTAACATCCATGGTCTCAGAGCTGTGTGTCTAATGAAAACAAGACCCCACTGCTTAGATTGCTACTAGGGAAAGTGATAAGGTGGGCTTGTTGCTGACTACCCCCTCTCCCCACCAGCTCTATTTCACTACCACTGTGAATTAGTTACAGGCCAGATGAATTGGCCAAACACTATCAGTGAGAATGTCATTGCTTCCAGGAATCCCAAGATGCTTTTTATGTTGCTTAGAGCACTGGGCATTTCACTTAAATATTAGGCAAAGCTGTAAATAAAAATGCCTGTTTATATGTGACATTATTCCTTCTGAATTTCCTAACTAAAAGAACAAGGATGACGACACCACTAAGTCCCTCACAGCAGCTTTATAAAGGGCAATCCAGTACCACTGCCAGCCAGAGATACTCAGGAGCATGAAATGTCACATCAAGGTGATTTCTTATTGGAAATAAAAAGTAGTAAGTAACCTGTGAAAAACTGCAGAAAAAGAGTCACATTTTTTTCTGACCAGTCAGAATGCAATCAGGGATGTGAAAAATAATAGTTTTGGGTTATATCCTGTAATCATGAGAGATTCTGCCAATGTTCAATGGTTCCTAATAATACATGAAATTATTAGGGACCATTAGGTGTGGCTGAATGCACGTTTGTAAAGCACATTACAATGAATTGTCTAGATACCTGTCCTTCCCACTCGGCCATGAGCTCCTGGAGGGCCTCACATATAGGAGATGCAGGAAGAATGAAAGGAAGGAAAGAAAGAAAAATTTAAGTAACTGCTGCAAGGGGCACAGTAGAGAAGTCCCTGGAAATCTTCATAGGAGCCCCTCTCCTGAGAATATAAAGGGCCATCTGACAGATGGAAGAAGAGGATTCTGGGAGGCGTAGAGGGGAGCAATGGGAGGCACATTATCAAAGGTAGCTACCTCTTTGGAAAAGGAGCTCAGAGATTTACACAGGCAGAGGCAATAGAAGACCAAAAATACATATTTATGTTTAACTAACATCTGCTGCACCATCTTTTCAGGGCTTGCCCATTGATAACCAATTCCCCTGGATTTTCTGGATCTGGACACTTCTCTCAGCAATTAGGCAGAGCAGTGACTGGAATCACCGGAGGTTGCCATGGAATCCCAGATCTGCCGTTTGCTAACTGTTGGCATTTCCTTGAACTTCCTTTCTTCAACTGAAAATAAAAATGATGATAACTCCCTGGGGATACTATTAATATTAAGTTTCCAAGGAAGTAACTGTTATAGTTTGTGGCACTCAGGCACTCAATTAAAAAAAAAACACTATTGAATATGTGCTATATTATAGCAACCTCCTACTGCTATGGGCTGACAGCTGTCAGATTCTGTAACACACTTGGGGTGAGTGGGAAGATGGGTGGCCCAGAAGTGTTAAAAAATAGGAATTATTATAATAGAATACTTATTAAAATACCCATGTAGCACCATAGTTATCACTCAACAGGTATTATTGTAACTTCCTCAATTACAATAAATGATTATTGTCAACTACAATTTTTTAGGATCACAGAATGGGTGACTCAATGGATCAAAAAAATCCATGGGCACACAAAAGCTCTGTCTCTCCTATAATAATTCAGACCCAAATCTCACCAGTTTCATCTAGAATGAGCAAATAAAAGAAATATGCATAAGAAGACTCTCTCATCAATAAGTTCATTACTTAATTAAATTAACTCAAAGACCTGTTTAGAAGCACTGGGAAAGTGCAGCAAGGATCTGATGAAATAATGGGAGAATAATTATGTTGAAAGCAATAAGAAGCAGTGGGTATACTGGAACTCACATGGGTACTGGAGAGCTGGAAAGGTGGGCTCCTAGTCAAGCCTTGCTCTCACTGGTTGTGTGACTGTAGGCAAGTTCCTCAACCTCACCAAGACTCAGTTTTTAATCTCTGTAGAATGGGCTCATTAATGCATACCCTGCAAAGCTGCAGGGAGAATTAAATAAAATGAGGCCCATCAAGTCCCTGGCTCATAAGTATTTGTTTTTCCTCCTCTTCAATTCCTCTTATAATAATATATCATGTTTATACCATATCATCAATGATTAGCTTATTCCATTCATTAAAATATGGACTAAAAATATGTATTCTTACTTAGGGACAATGTATATTACTATACAGCAGGTAATTCATCCAAGAGAATTAAAGAGATCTGGCAATGGCCTCAACTGCCCTTCTATGACACAAGCTTCTGGTGGGCAAGGAGCGTGTCTTACTCATCTTTATACCCCCTAAGGTTTCAAACACAGTGCTGGTCACATAGCAGGCTCGACAAGTGTTTGTGGACACTGATCCATTTGTCTCAAAATATTCACAAGTTCTGTTCTATTAGTTCTGCAGGGCATTTCCAAAGTATATCATGGAGACCCTCAATATTTATAAGACATACTATGTTCAGTTATTCCCACCTTGAGTTTTTCAACCCTTGGGTTTCCAAAAGGATCTATGGAATTGAGAAATTTGAGAACCATGATGTCATTTACTTATTTTTTTCATGTTTTATGTCCTCCCAGTTGAGCAAGGCAGTGAGTGGAGCCACCAGAAGTGTGATAGGATCCTAGATCTGCCATTTGTTATCTGTAATGTAGACAAGAAGCATCATTTCCTCAAACCTAGATTATTATGATGATGTTATCCAAACTTACTGAATCTAAACAAAAGAGCTGGATCTATTATCCCAGGGATAATTGTAGTAGTTTCTCCTTCTAATTGTATTAAGCTTCACAGAGCCATTTGTAACTATAAATGGAAAAGGTAGTGACTACAAGTATCTGAAATGTTCCCTCCAACTCAACTCACAAAAGAATACTTTTTTATTCTTGCTAGCTTTCCCAGACTTCTAAAATCCCCTGTACTACAGATTTATTCTCTTGGGGTTAAGGCATCGCCCGTCTGCCATCCTCTCATTTAATGTCAACCATCAGCTTCTTTGCTTATGAATTTAAAAATAAAAGGTTGGTTCCTCAAAAGATTAAACATAAAATTACCATATGATCCAGCAATTCCACTCTTAGGCATATACCCAAATAATTGAAAGCAAGGATGCAAAAAGATACCCTTACACTAATGTTTATAGCAGCATTACTCACAGTAGTCAAAATGTGGAAGCAACTCAAGTGTCCATTGACAAACAAATGAATAAACAAACTGGTGTAGACATACAATGGAATATTACTCGTTCATAAAAAGAAACTCTGATACGTGCTACAATGCAGATGAACCTGGAAAACATTATATTAAGTGAAATAAACCAAATGCAAAAAGACAAATATTTTATGATCCCACTTATATGAGATACATAGAATAGTCAAATTCATAGACAGAATGCAGAATGCTGTTGCCAGGGGCTAGGAGCAGGGGGGAATGGGGAGTTACTGTTTAGTGGGTACAGAGTTGAGAAGATGAAAAAGTTCTGGAAATCGTGGTGATGGTTGCAACACATTGTAAATGCATTTCATGCCACTGAATTGTATACTTTTAAATGGTTAAAACAGTAAATTTTCTATTATGTATATTTTACCAATGAAAAAAACAACAGGGGCTGGTCATGAGAACCCCCTCCACTTTCCATTGTATTCTAACTTTCTAGATAATTTATATATGGAAATTGCTCTTATGATGAAATTATTTTTGGTTGATTGGCTACAATGATTAATTTTCAAATCCTAATAGGAAAATAAAAGAAATGAATTTACTCACCAAGTTCACCTCAACCTTAAAAGGGAGGGGTGAGAAATGAAGTCAGATGACCGAGACACTGATTCTTATCCTCAGAAACCACAGCTGTCACAGAGCGCTTTAATTTATTCATTGATTGGCTGTGAAAACCACAGCTAAATGTCTGAGGTGCAACTTCTCACCCAGAAAGTTCAATTACATCATGTGAAGAAAAGTGAAGCAATTTTTTCTATTGAGGGGATAATGGCAAGGGGAATCTGTTTTAAAATGAATTTTGGAGCATAAGCAGAATGTGGGGAGTGAGACTCAGACTGAAAAACTGAGAATGCCAGTGAACAACCACCTCGTATCTGGAGGATGAAGGGGTTGTTTTATTTTGAAGGAAATTTCAGCAGACAATAGGAATGAGATCCAAGGAATTCAACTAACCATGGAACCTGAGGTTTTACTGCCTGGATAATGCAGGCAACTGGCTGCTTGGGAGACTTAACACTGAATATTTCACAAATCCCATTTCAAAACATGTGTGTTAAGGTCACAATTTTGTGAAATGTCACATCTTCACTTCTTAGCACAAAGTTAAGAAGAGGTGGTTATTGGAAATAAAATGGGCCATAAATGGAAAGGAAAGTGAAAATTGCAGACTTCTGCCAATGTTTCGTACAGAATACAGCCTGTCCAAAGGAAAAAATATTTGCAATGTTTCTCGTTAACACACTGTATCAGAAATCTCTGCTTCTTGCTGAATTCTTATGCCCTAAATCACCTCTGCTAAGCTGGTTCCATTCCGACTCACTACTGGTTTTCTTCTCAATGAGTAATGTTAATTGGCCTCCTCTGAAAGTAAGGGGGATGGCTGCATTGATGAACAGCCTTATCTGTGGAGCACAGCCTCCCAGGACAGCCAGAAGAATTTGTAGTCTGTGCATTTGCAGCGTCAGCTGGGTTTTGCCTGGGCCTGACTCCTCCACTTCACACAGGGCCATGTAAACAGCCTCACTCGCCATCACTCACCTTGAAAGTTTCCCACAGCCCATTTTTGTATGTCCACCTCCTCGATCACAGACCATGCTGCAGTCCATTTGTTTTTTTCCACAGGTTCTCTCCTTTTGGAGGCTGCACATATATTTTTGGACAGAAATGGCTCCATTTTCCTTATTCTTGTTTTCTCTCTCTCGGCAACTTTTGCAATGGCTGCAGTGACAATGTTTATCTCGGGCCTCCCTGTTCATAAAAAGAGGCCCCCATTCCAGCCTGCTAAAAGCAGAAAGAAATCTCAACTTTCCCTACCTGATTTAGCCTTTTACGAGTTTTGGAACACAAGTTTGGAGTAAAAGAGAGTTGGGGCCAGGTGCAGTGACTCACGCCTGTAATCCCAGCATCCTGGGAGGCGAAGGTGGGCCAATCATTTGAGGTCAGAGGTTCGAGACCAGCCTGGCCAACATGGCAAAACCCCATCTCTACTAAAAATACAAAATAAATTAGCCAGGTGTGGTGGTGCATGACTGTAATCTCAGCTACTTGGGAGGCTGAGGTAGGAGAATCACTTAAACCTGGGAGACAGAGGTTTCAGTGAGCTGAGATCTCGCCACTGGACTCCAGCCTGGGCAACAAGCAAGACCCTGTCTCAAAAAAAAAAAAAAAAAAAAAAGAGTTATTTGGCTTCCCATTCCATCGTTTACTACTTGCCTCTGTCAAGTTCTTTAAACTCGCTATGCTTCAATATCCCTTTCCTATGAGATTAGTAAGACCTATCTCAAATAATTGTTGTAAGAATGTAATAAAATGGCATATGTCAAACTGCCAAAACCAGCTTAATATCTAAATGGTAGTTCAACCTCCTTATCAGTGGAGGCCTGTCGGTACATTGCTTGCCTTAGCAATTATATGAAAGATTTTGTTATCATTTGGTTTTCCATTTTGTTTCATTTTTAGTTGTTTAATTAAAGCCTTACATATCTCAAAAATATGTGTATGTATAAGGTATGAAGAATAACAACACAATGACTCATTAACCAGTTTAAGGACAAGAGAGTAACTATTACCTGTGAAGCATCTTGAGTCCCCTCATTTCATCCCCTCTCAGATAAACAATTATTTTTAATTTGAGGATCAACTCCCTTGCTTCTTTGTTTATACTTTTAACTTCATATTTGTATTCCTATGCACTATGACTAAATTAGCAATTTAAAATATTACATAATTGTAATCATACTGTGAGTAGTCATCTGAAATTTGCTTTATTCATTCAGTATTAGGTGTCATCTGCATTGCTGTGTGCAACTGTGATTCATTTGTTGCCACTGCTTTATAGTATTCTATCACACGAATATACCACAATTTCTTTAACCTTTCTACTGTCAGTGGAAATGATATTTTCTCCCAGATTTTTGATCTTACAGGGCTGTTATGAACAGTGTTACATGGGTCTTCCACTACACACACACACACACACACACATTTCTCCAAGGGATATCCTCAGAATGGAATGCCTAGATTATTGGATATGCATCTTTTCAAATTCACTCTAAATATTGCTAATTATTTTCTAAGTAGTTATAAGAATTCACAAATCCACAAACTGTATACAAGCAGTATATGTTCGAGTTGTCCCACATTCTCATCAAAATTTAACCTTTGTCTTATCTAAGAAATCTTACAACAAGTTCATAAAAATATTTTCCTACTTTGTCTTCTAAAAGTTTAATGATTTTGTCTTCTACCTGTAAGTGTTTACTCCACCCAAAATGGATTGTTAGGTAGTGTGCATATATTTACGGGGTACATGAGATATTTTGATTCAGGTATACAATGCATAATAATCACACCAGGGTAAATGGGGTATCCATCACCTCAAGCACTTATCCTTTCTTTGTGTTGCAAACAATCCAATTATACTCTTTTAGTTATTCTAAAATGTACAATAAATTATTGTTGACTGTAGTCACTCTGTTGTACTATCAAATACTAGATTTTATCCATTCTATCTAATTATATTGTTGTCATTGTCATAATTCTTGATACGTTTCTGGGAGAGCAAAGCACTCGACTTGTTCTTTGGCAGTGTGTCAGCTATTCTTGGTCCTCTGCTCTTTGCCATAAATCACCAAATCAGCTCATCTAGTTGAAACAAAAAAAAATCCAAAACTTGTTGTTTTATGTAGAATTGCAATGTCAAAAGATAAATTTGGGAAGAATTGACTTCTTTGCTAACTTGTTCTTTTCCTCTCATTTAACAGTAAATTCTTCACTAACTGGCATCTTCTTAAATGTGTTTCAATCGTTTAATAATTTTGTCCATAAAGATCTTGCTCTTCCTTTAAGAATTTTCTTCCTGGGGACTTCACATATTTATACTGCTATCATAAATGATATCCTTTATTAAATTATATTTTCTGAATGTTTATGGCTGATGTATAAAAATCTGTTAAGTTTTTGTATGTTGATTTTGTATCAGGCAATCTTTCTAAGCTCCAATTAATTATAATAATTTATTATAGATTATTTTTGGGTTTTCAATATATGTAACCATAACATCTGCATAAAAAGAAAATTGTGTCGTTTCAAAATAGTGGTCTGGCTAGGGCCTCCACCATTGTTTTCTTCCTGATTTAAAGGGAATACAACTGTTGCTATTGTTCATAGACACTGTGTGTGTAAATTTACCTACTTGCTGAAACTTTTTCATGACCCAAAAATCAATACCCACAGCACTTTTGGGGTCATTTGTGGACCTGGAAGCGTGCAGAGCAAGGGAAACATTTGAGTCATCTGACACACGAGTTCCCAGCTGAAGATGAACAAGGCCACACTCTGCCTTCCTGTTTCAGCTCTGGTATGGTAACCAAGTGATATGGTTTGGCTGTGTCCCCACCCAAATCTCATCTTGAATTGTAGCTCCTATAATCCCCAAGTTCCTGGGAGGGACCCAGTGGGATGTAATTGAATCATGGGGGCAGGTATTTTTCCCATGCTGTTTTCATGATAGTGAATAAGTCTCAGGAGAACTGATGGTTTTCTAAAGGGCAGTTCCCCTGCACACACTCTATTACCTGCCACCATGTAAGACATGCCCTTGCTCCTCCTTCATCTTCCACCATGATTGTGAGGCCTCCCCAGCCATGTGGAGCTGTGAGTCCATTAGACCTCTTTTTCTTTATAAATTACCGAGTTTTGGGTATTTCTTCATAGCAGTGTAAAAATGGACTGATACACCAAGGGTCCTCCTCGAGTTCTGCTTAGTGCTGCATTTTTGGGTTTTTTGTTAGTGATTCTGCTGCTTAAAACGTTCCCCCACACGTGGTGCTGAAACACTGTCTGGTGTTCTCAGTGCAAGATACTGGGATGTGCCTCATGGAGAAAATACATGTGTTAGAGAAGCCTGGTTCAGGCTCACTTTTCTCTTTCTATTTCTGTGTAAATTATATTTTCACAGGAACATGTCTATTTTATCTAAGTTTTCAATAGAGTATAATAAAGTTTTTCATTATATTTTCTTTTCTTTTTTTTTTTTTTTTGAGATGGAGTCTCACTCTGTTGCCCAGGCCTGCATGCAGTGATGCGATCTCGGCTAACTGCAGACTCGGCCTCCCTGGTTCAAGCAATTCTCCTCCCTCAGCCTCCCAAGTAGAGTAGCTGGGACTACAGGTGCACACCACCATGCCCAGCTAATTTTTGTATTTTTAGTAGAGACAGGGTTTCACCATGTTGGCCAGGCTGGTCTTGAACTCCTGACCTCAGATGATCTGCCTGCCTCATCCTCCCAAAGTGCTGGGATTACAAGAGTGAGTTACTGCGCCCGGCCATATTTTCTGATTGATTGATTGATTGATTGAAACAGGGCTTTGCTTTGTTGCCCAGGTTGGAGTGCAATGATGCGATCTCTGCAGCCATGACCTTCTGGGCTCAAGCTATCCTCTCGCCTCAGCCTCGCACGTAGCTGGGACCGCCGGCACGTGCCACCACGCCCGGCTAATTTTTGTATTTTTCCGGCTGATTTTTGTATTTTTTGTAGAGACGGGGTTCCGCCACGTTGCCCAAGCTTATTTCCATGTATTTTAAATGTTTAAAGCATCTATCATGAGGTCTCCTTTCGTATTGCTAGCATTGTACTTGTGCCTATCTCATGTATCCTCCATCAATGTGGTGAGAGACCTTTTGGATTGTCTAATGAAGAACCCAGGAGCTCAATTTACCTGGCAATGCATGTAGCAGCGAATGAGCTGCTACTTTCTCAGTGCATGTTGCTATACCCCACCTCAGCTTCCCAGAGTACCTGGGCTCCTTCCCCAGTGGCCCAAATCCCACTTCTCCCAAGGTCAATGGATGCCAACTGCTGCTGTTCTCATATGACTCGTCATGCAGACTGCCCGCCCCTAAGTCCTCTATTTCCTGCACACTCAGTGTTTTTCTTACACTTGCAGTTACAAGACCCTAGAATAGCAGAGGTTCAGTATCTCCAGCCCAATCATCACATGATGTGCCAATTGCCTTCATCTCCCTGGCCATAACCAGTATTTCCAGCGGGTTTTCAATGATAACTCCTTTATAATCTTCTCTATTGTATGTTTTCTACTTTACTGGCATATACTCTTCTCTTTATCTTTTCCTTTCCTCTACTTTATTAGGGATTTATTCTGTTGATCTTTTCCTAATTCCTAGATTAGACACCCAGCTTACTAATTTTAGGTCTTTCTTCTAATAGAAGTGTTTAAAACTAAAAACTTTCCCTCCAAGTAACATGTTAAATGTATGACACAAGTTTTGATGTGTGGTATTATTGCCATTCAATTCTATGGATTTTCTTTTTTCAGTCAGCTGATCTTAAAATAAACAGATGATCCTGGGCTGTCTACATAGGCCAAATCACAAGGTCTTTAAAAGTGGAAGCGGGAGGTGGACGAAGAGAACCAGAGAGATGGCAGCATGGGAAAGATTCAACCTCATGTTGCTGTCTCTGAAGGAGGAGGAAGTGGGCAGGAACAGTGGAATGTGGGCAGCCTCTGGTCGCTGGAAAAGGCAAGGCAATGGATTCTCTCCCAGAACCTCCAGAAAGGCCTACAGACCTGCCAATGTCCTGAGTTTAGTTCATTTTGGACTTTTGACCTTCAGAGATAATGAATTTGTGTTGTTGTAAGCCACTGAATTTGTGATAATGTGTTACAGCAATCATAAGAAACTAAAATACCATCTTATTTGCTGCTCTGTTTTGTCTGCCTGTTTCTTTCTCTCTGCTTTCTTGCTTTTCTTTTGAATGACCGTGTTTTAATCATTCCATTTTCTTCTGTTAGTTTGGAAGTTCTATATTCATTTAAATTCTTTTAGTGATTGCCAAAGACGTCTAAATTTATCTAAAGTCTAGATTGTTCACTGTCTTTACACTTCTAAGAATAATATAAGGAACTTAAAACCACCATCTATCTATTGCCTTTCTCCTGAATTGTGTGCTACTGTTGAGCATTATTTCAGTTTTATTCTAACCCCTAAAATTAAGCATTCTGGTTTTTCTTCTATATAATTAATAATTGTTTTATCTACCCAAATATTAACAATTTGCTTTTTATTCCTTATTATACTTCAGATCACTTCCATATAAGATAAGATATATGCTTCCATATAAGATCCTTCCATGTAAGATCACTTTCCTATTGGCCAAAGTAAATTTCTTAGAACTTCCTTTAGCCAAGGACCATTGTGGCAAACTCAGATGGTGTTTTTTTGGTTTGGGTTCTGTTTTCGTTTTTGTTTAAAATGTTTGTTTTGTCTTTGTTCTTCTTTTTCTATTTACAACTTTATTAGAGTGTAATTTAAGTACAACAAATTGTATATGTGTAAGGTGTACCATTCCATGAACTTAACAGATACAAAAACGCATGGAACCACCATCACAATGAAGACACAGAACATTTCCATCACTCCAAAAGCTTCTTCATGCCTCTCTGCAATCTATCCCTCCTTCCACCACAGTGCCCAGGCAACCACCAATCTATTTACTATAACTATGGATTGGTTTCCTTTACCTAGAATTGTATATAAATTTAATAATTTAGTAAATAGCCTCTTACATCTGGCTTATTTCACTCAGTATAATTATTTTGAGATTGATTCATGTTATTGCATTTATCAACAGTTGGTTTCTTTTTACCTCTGAGTGGTATCCAATTGTATGAATCTGCCACAATGTATACATATCTTCACTTGTTGATAAAGGTTGGGTTGTATCTAGTTTTGGGGCTGTTATAAATTTGCTATGGACATTTATGCACAAGTCTTTGTGTAAGCACATGTTTTCATTTCTCTTGGATAAATACTTAAGAATGCAATGACATAGGGTAAGTATCTATTGAACTATTTAAGAACTATCAAATTGTTTTCTAGAATGTTGGTGCCATTTACATTCCCATCAATAATTCCAGTTGCCCAACATTTTTGTCAACATTGGTACTGTCTTTTCAAAAAAAGTTAGCCCTTCTAATAGCTGCGTAATGATATCTAATTTTGGTTTTAATTTGTATTACTTAGATGACTAATGTAAGCAGCCTCTAAGATGGCCCTCAGTGATTCCCACCTCCTGGTATTCATGACCTTGTATAATGAACTGCACTTAACGAGTAGAATACTGAACAACTAACAGGGTATCACTTCTGCAATTAGGTTACAAAGAGACTGTGGCTTCCATCTTGGGCTGCCTCTCTCCCTCTCTCTAGAAAGCAAACTGTCATAAAAAATTATCAAACATGACTGTTTCATTTCTTTTCTCAATTCCATTTTTTTTTCACCTCACTTTCAGGAACTCAAATGAGATGTATCTAGAATTTCTTACTCTAGCTTGTATGTATCTTAACTTTTCTTACATATTTTCAATCTCTTTGCTTCTCTGTGCTGCTTTTGGGGCAATTTCTATGAATCTTTCTTCTAGTTTACCATTCTCTCTCCAGTTGTGTTTACTCTGCTGTGAAACTCAGTGTTTTAATTATAAGGACTTTCATCTCTGTTAAAAGAAAAACCTTAGACAAATTAAATTTAACAGAGTTTAATTGAGCAGAAAACAATTCATGAATTGGGCAGCCCCCAAACCAGAATAGGTTCAGAGAGGCTCCAATCCTGCTGCATGCTCAAAGAAGATTTACGGACAGAAAAAGAGAAGTGACAGACAGAAAAAGAGAATTGACATATAGAAAATGGAAGTGAGGTACAGAAACAGCCTATTGGTTATAGTTTAGCATTTGCCTTATTTGAATATGGCTTTTAACAGTTGGCCACCTTTGATGGTTGAAACTCAGTGATTGGCATAAGAGTACGTTATGGCCTGTTTACACATCCAGTTAGGTTACAGTTCACTGTATACAGAGAAATCTTTAGGCTGAACTTTTAAACTTTAAGTTTCAAAATTTTAGATTTCTTACTCTCTGTGCATGTTTTCAATTCATTCTCTTAGTTCTTTAAACATCCAGCAAACTCATTTTCTGTATCTGATCATTCTAGTATCTGAAAAGGTTTTATATCTGCTTCTGCTGTCTGTTGTTTCTGCTGGCTTGCATTTACCTTGGTTTGTTTCCTTGTTATTTTGTAATTTTTGACTGTGTATTCATATTCTTTAGAATATGAATTTAAGATTTCCATTTATTTTGCTAAATGCCTGGGGCACCAACCATCCCTGGACTACTTTAATCTACCCTTGCCTTAAGGTTTTAGAAGTCACAAGATATTGTAAATTTTGGTAACAAATACATATGACGGTAAGCTTATAATTCTGAATTCTCAAGAAAGATTAATTTTTCCTCTATTCAGCTCCAAGATTCAAGATGGGCAGTTTCCTTGTAGTTTCCCCTCCTGCATCAACCCATGTGCAGATTTATTTTCACTTCATTGTTACCCTCAGGACATTGCCTTTTAACAATCAGCTTTACGCATGAGACCTTTAATTAGATACTCCATGGGTGGTGGGTCCTGGATTTTGTAAAAATGTCCCCATCCCCACAAGGCTTTGAAAACCAAGCTCAAATTCACTGGGTTTCAGTAAGTACACTCATGTTGAAAGGGTGATTTGGTGCTTTATTTACTTCTATAAGTTAAAGCTTTAACTTAGCTTTTGGTATCTGAGTATCTTGCTAGCCCATAGATGCATTTGAAAATAATTTTTAAATACTTTCAGAGGCAGAGTCAGTATGATATCAAGACCACTGTGTTGCCAGAAATGGAAAGGTACTTTTCATTTTCACAGGTTCCTAATGAAGTGTGAATTAATTTGACAATGTCCAACCATATGTCCAGTAAAATAATTTTTGGACCTCATCTCATGTCTATCCCTAAACAGAGTGACTATTAAAATAATTTGACGGGCTTATTTTTTCCCAGTAACTTTTATGTGGTTTGATCTTGAGCAGCTTTAAATCTAGGAGATGTGAAAGGTAAGAGGGAGGTTGGTGTCCTTTCTTGTCATCTTGAGTAAACTTTTCAGTAAGACATATGTTCTACTCCTCAACCTTGTCTCATGTTCATCCCCAGACAGAGGGAATATTAAAATATTTTCAGACATCCCCAATGTGGATGAAATGACATTGAGTCACTCTGCTTTGCTAAAGCTGAATTTTTATAGTAAAGTACAAAAATTATTAGCCTAAACTTCCATAGATAGCTTCTTAGGAAAGCTGACCATCCAAGTCGTCTTCATAAAGCCCTTCTAGGTTATAGAGTCATGAGGGTTTAGAGCTGGTGGTCATTACTCCAATATTTCATTCAATAGCTAAGGAAGTGAGGTCCAAAAACCTCAGCTGCAGCTAAGCCTGAATCTTGTACATTGCCTAGCTCATGGGAAGCAACTAGGTTTAATTGAAGTGGCCTGAACCCCAATCCAGTTCTCTTTTCACCCAGCCCCACCACTAACAGCACCATTCACACAACCCAAGTCTCGTCCTCTGAAGTGATCTCAGGGGTTTTGTAGTGCGAACATCCACCCAGAGGAACTTTTTCCATTGCCTAATAAGGCACACAAAAGTATTGTTAATTTATGATATAAAGTAAATTTCAGCTTTTATTTTAGGTCACCTCTTTGATTTGGCCACTCATAATTTTTATGTGCCATTTGTGCACTCTATGGCCCATTGGGAGCCTGTTGTATAATGTGCGCAGTACATTTATGCCTAATTTATAGGCATTATTACTTTAGTTAAATGAAGAGGTTAATCGTTTTGTATATTTGATTTTATGACACATATTTCACATAGCCATATTTATTTGATATTGCATTCTAGATCAGAAATGCAACCCCAGTTATCACACAGTTCCCATGGGAAAATATAGCTTGCTTTATGGCAGTTGCTTGATGACAACAATTTCTAGAAATGAATTATGGTCTACATATAACTTGTAGCATCAAATTTATGGGTAATGGGATTAAAATGTGTGGCTTGTGTGTTATAATTTGAGGGCCAATGTCAACAGCAGCAGAATTTTGACAATTTCCCTGGGGGGGGGAATAAAACAAGATTTTATGATAACTTGGTGGAGGAGAGGGGATTAGAAATAAAATATTTAAAGAAAGATTATGCATTAATTAATGTGATATACAATGAGCTCATCCCACTAGTCAATAATGCTGAATTTGCTATTTTATAGCAGGCTGTCTGTCTGTTGGGGCCTAGTAATATTGGTAATATATTTTTCATGATGGGACTGGAAAATTTTGTTTACTTACATGATTTGCAATGCTACTTTAGAAAAATAACAATAATGACTCAGATGTTTTAAAACAGAGATCTGTTTTAAAACAGAAAGCACATTACAGATTTAAAATGTTGGAAAATATAAAACAAATTATGAAAGAAACTATATACAAAATTAACTCAAGATGGACTAAAGACTTAACTGTAAAACCCAAAACTATAAAACTCTGGAAGACAACCTAGGCAATACCATTCTGGACATAGGAACAGGCAGAGATTTCATGATGAAGATGGAAAAAGCAATTGCAACAAAGCAAAAATTGACAAATGAGATCTAATTAAAGAGCTTCTGCACAACAAAGGAAACTACCAATGGAGTGAGTAGACAACCTACAGAATGGGAAAAAATTTGCAAACTATGCATCTGACAAAGGTCTAATATCCAGCATCTGTAAGAAACTTAAACAAATTTACAAGAGAAAAACAACCCCATTAAAAAGTGGGCAGGCCGGTCGCGGTGGCTCATGCGTATAATCCCAGCACTTTGGGAGGCTAAAGTGGGCAGGTCAACTGAGGTCAGGAGTTTGAGACCAGCCTGGACAATAGGTGAAATCCCATCTCTACTAAAAATACAAAAATTAGCTGGGCATGGTGGCAGGCACCTGTAGTCCCAGCTACTCGGGAGGCTGAGAGAAAAGAATTGCTTGAACCCGGGAGGCAGAGGTTGCAGTGAGCTGAGATCATGCCACTGCACTCCAGCCTGGGCGACAGAGCAAGACTCCACCTCAAAAAAAAAAAAAAAGGTGGGCAAAGGACATGAACAGACACTTTTCAAAAGAAGACATACATGCAGTTAACAATCATATGAAAAAAAGCTCAACATCACTGATCATTACAAAAATGCAAACCAAAACCACAATGAGATACTATCTCACACCAGTCAGAATGGCTATTAATAAAAAGTCAAAAAATAACAGATGCTGGCAAGATTGCAGAGAAAAAGGAACGCTTATACACTATTTGTGGGAGTGTAAATTAATTCAGCCATTGTAGAAGACAGTGTGGTGATTCCTCAAATACCTAAAAACAGAAATGCCATTCAACTCAGCAATTCCATTAGTGGGTAGATATCCAAAGGAATATATATTGTACTATTATAAAGACACATGAATGCATATGTTTGCTGCAGCACCATTCACAATAGCAAAGACATGGAATCAACCTAAATGCCCATCAATGATAGACTGGATAAAGAAAGTATGGTACATATACATCATGGAATACTATGCAGCCATGAAAAAGAACAAGATCATGTCCTTTGCAGGAACATGGATGGAGCTGGAGGCCATTATCCTTAGCAAACTAACACAGGGACAGAAAACCAAATACTGCATGTTTCCACTTATAAGTGGAAGCTAAATGATGAAAACACATAGACACATTAAGGGGAATAACACACACTGGGGCCTATTGGAGAGTAGAAGATGGATGTGATGGTGAATACTGAGTTTCAACTTGATTGGATTGAAGAATGCAAAGTATTGTTCCTGCACGTGTCTGTGAGGGTGTTGCCAAAGGAGATGAACATTTGGGTCAGTGGACTGGGAAAGGCAGACTCACCCTCAATCTGGATGGGCACAATCTAATCAGCTGCCAGCATGGCCAGAATAAATGCAGACTGAAGAACGTGGGAAGACTAGACTGGTTAAGTCTTCTGGCCTCCGTCTTTCTCCTGTGCTGGATGCTTCCTGCCCTCAAACATCAGACTCCAAGTTCTTTAGCTTTTGGACTCTTGGACTTACATCAGTGGTTTTTCAGGGGCCCTTCAGCTTAGCCTTTGGCCATAGACTGAAGGCTGCACTATTGGCTTCCTTACTTTTGAGGTTTGGAGATTCAAAGTGGCTTCCTGGCTCCTCAGCTGGCAGACGTCCAATTATGGGACTTCACCTTGTGTTCGTGTGAGTCAATTCTCCTAATAAACTCATATATATATATTAGGATATTAGGATAATGGGATATATATATATATATATATATATCCTATTAGTTCTGTCCCAATAGAGAACTCATAGAGTACTCTGACTAATACAGTCAGAGAAGGAAACAGACCAGGAATAATAACTAATGAGTATTAGGCTTAATACCTGGGTGGTGAAATAATGTGAACAACAAACCCCCATGACACAAGTTTACTTATATAATTCATATAACAAACCTGCACATGTACCCCTGAGCTTAAAATAAAAGTTAAATTTTTAAAAATGAAATTAAGGAGAACCATCATTAGTTCAAAGGAATTAAGTCAAATGTTGACTTAGCATTAAATACTTCCAGAAGTTTGTATTTTATTCTGTCTTTTGTTGTATCCACAATGGTGACTTCTGTCACCATTTAATGTTAACAAACCATTGAACAAACCTAGTGACCTGTTGTGGTAAAGCCAAGTTTGTTCTTTCACTGCAAACTCCTTCACATGCAGCGCCTCCAAGAATAAGTGGTTATGGAGGAGCTATGTTCCATGAGAAATGACTTGGCTTCAAACAGTGATCAGCTTAATCTGGTAACATTGGCAACTGGTATTCACCTCAAGATGGATGACTAAAACCCATTCTGATTATATAATAATCACTTAATCTGATTATCACCACTCACCACATTCTGGAAACAAGTCCCATGAGACTTTCTAATTTAAACCCATTGGTAGCTAACTTAACATTATTAATAGAGTGGCCATGTAATTCACCTGCCTCCTTGAGACCATGAGCTTCCCAGTGATGGAGGTATTCAAGAAGGAGCTGGAGGATCTCTAGGGACACTTTGAAGACGGTGCTTCCCATTCCCTGAAGGAAGATGTACATGACAATGAGCTAGAGTCAGAGACGCTCAAATGTCTGGAGAACATAGAGCACGAAAAGCAATCAGAGTTAACTACCACTTCAAGTTGAAGCAAATTCTGCCTGAGAGTTCTGATATTATCAGCAAAACCTGAGGGAATCCATGTGGTATAAGGAGAAAAATATTTGTCCAAAAGTCTGAAGTTCTGAGTTCAAGTCCTAGCTCTGTCACTAAATAATTGTATGACTTAAGCAAGTTTCTTCACTTTTCTGGGCTGACATGAGATTCAATCTTCTTTCCACCCTCATCAGTTTGCCTATTCCTGTTTGGACTAAACTAACCTATTTCCCATTTCTCAAGGGACTATTTATGCACATCAAGGGTCATCTCTCTCAGCTGTTCTAGGTATGGCAGAGAACGCAGGGATGGTATCAAGAGTGATGGGACGTGCCCTCAAGGACTTTATAACCTCACTGTAGATCAGATGGTTCTTATCCATAGGAAAGGAAGAACTTACCTGTATGGTGCTACATGTGACAGATGACCAGAGAGGAGAATGTGGGAATGTGGTTCGATGGCTGGGGACAACTCCATCAAAGCACAGAAGAAACAGGGCTTGATTGACACTTTAGTTGGGCCATCTAGGATGGGCAGGGGTTTTGGGGTGCTGGGAACACAGGGCAGGTTATTTCAATGTAGGAAAACAGCAGGAGTGGAGTCAGGGAGATAAGGACGAGGAGGGCTTCTGGAGGGATCAGTGATTCACTTGTGTGGAGAGAAATGTGAACGTTGGCATGTAAGACTGACTGAAAATATATAAGTTAGCAATTAATGTGATGATGAGGATGTTGAAAATAACCCAGAGTTCATTCTTGTTGTGGGAAGTAGGCAGTAGGCAGGTATTCTTAGGAATGCTTGAGTAGGTGGTGGGTATGCTGAGCCCTGTTTGGGGCAACTTAGACAGGTATCTCTTTGTATAACTGGAGTTCCTTATAGATGGGGAGGGGAATCATAAGAAAATAACAGAATCAGGACAGACGTGAGGAGGGAAGAAAGGGAAGGGAAGGAGAGAAGGAGAAAGCCTCTTTGCAAACACCTAGGCATTTCAGGAAGTGAGGCTAACAGAGCAGGAGAGTTGTCAGGCTGAGCCTGAATATGAGAAACATCTTTTACAGAAAAAAAGAGGTGCTTCCCCTGGTCCAGGCCTCTGGATTCCAGCATCTCCTGCCTTCTCAGGGATGTCATTCCATTTATCATTCCATCTCTTTCTCTCTCCCCTAGACCTTCGAGACCCCCTTTTCTCCTGGTTTTCTCCCAGGTACACATAAATGTGCTTAAGCCTTACCCACCTTAAAGAAAAACAAAATTCCATGTTCACTTCCAGCTACTGCTCTCTCACTCTCTCTCACCCCTTTCCAGCCAATTTTCTTCAAATAATTTTCTATACTTTGTATAATCTAATTTTTCATTCCCCAACTGCTACCTTCAGACTCACATCCTTTCCACTCTACCAAGCACCTTATTCTCCTAAAATTAAACAGATGCTTTTTAGTCCGTATCTGGCTGGACAGCTGAGCAACAGTTTATCCTGGTAATCACCAGCTCCTTCTTCAAACAGCTCATAGTTTCTGTCCCTCTCCTGTCACAACAGACTCCCTATTTGTCTCTCACCTCTTGTTCTCATGCCCCTTACCCACCCCCCCGCCGCCGTGGTCCCATCCTGCAGGCTCCCCTTGGCGCTCATCCTCCTTGCATAAGTGCTGGTGGCCACCCCAACCCCCAGCTCCATCCCAGCTTCAATTTCATTCTCACTCTGCACACCCTTTGGCCCAGTTACCACCATAAGCTGATGATGCCTAAGTCAACATCTACAGGACAGACCTCACTTCAGAACTTCAGACCCACAGAGCCCCTGAACTTCCAGACGGCTCCACTTGAATGCCCCATAATACATTTCAAACTTAACCTGTTCAGACTTGAATTCATTGTAGCCCCTCCCCACTTGTGAATATATATATACACACATATATATATACACCTACATATATATATATATATATATATATATATATATATATATATATATACCATATATATACACACATATAATAGTATACACACACACACACACACACACAAGTTTTCCTTCAGGGTTCCTGGCTTCTAACTCTCATCACCCTTGTTATTTCCTAAGTAACCAAAACAATAAATAAGCATATCTTTTGTTCAAGTATTTGGCCTTTCATCCTTGGTTCCAAAGCAACTTCAGAACGATAAAGGTGAAAGACAGTCTTTTACCATAATGTTGGGGTGCTTTAGGCCTCAGAAGCAGGCCTTGAAAAGCCGACTCTCTTTCTCTCCCTGATTTTTTTCCTGCCCTCCTTTCACCTGCCTTTTTATTCCTCCCCAAGGCAGGCCATAGAATCTAAAAATACGCTCTAATCTTCCCCTGCGGTTTTATCTTGGAATTGGTCATAAATTCTCTGACCTACCTGGTCTGAGTGTAGGTCATGAGACCCTCATTTCAAAAGAGGTCCTGCCCCATCCCCTGGAGGAGGAACACTGCACAAAGAGGCCAAGAAGAATCTGAGCAGGCCTTGCTGGGTTTCCCTGACACTGTCCATTAGTATTAGCTCCTACCCTCTCCGTCCAATAACAGTTGTTCCATCTTCAATCATGCCTATCCAGTGAAATCTCCATAAAAGGCCCAAGTGGACGGGTTACATAGAGAGAGCATCTGGACCGCTGAACATCTGGAGGTTCCCAGAAGGTGGTATCCCCAGAGGGCATGGAAGCTCTTAGTCCCTTCGCCATACCTTGCCCTATGTGCCTCTCCATGTGTGTTCTCTGTAACATCCTTTATAATAAGCCAGTAACTGTGTTTCCCTGTGTTCTGTGAGTTGCTCTGGCAAATTAATCAACCCCAAAAAGGAGATTTTAGGAATCTCGATTTACAGTTGGTTGGTAAGAAGCACCTGGGATTTGTGATAGGCATTGGAAGTTGGGGGCAGTCTCGTGGGACTGAGCCCTCAACTTGTGGGATTTGACACTATCTCCAGATAGACAGTGTCGGAATTGAATTGGAGGACACCCATCTGGTATTCCCTGCAGAGCTGATTGCTTGCAATCATAACCACAATGCGATACCACCTTACTCCTGCAAGAATGGCCATAATCAAAAAATAAAGAAACAGTAGATGTTGGCGTGGATGCGGTGAACAGGGAACACTGTACACTGCTGGTGGGAATGTAAACTAGTACAACCGCTGTGGAAAACAGTGTGGAGATTCCTTAAAACACTAAAAGTAGAACTACCATGTGATCCAGCAATCCCACTACTGGGTATCTACCCAGAGGAAAAGAAGTCATCATATGAAAAAGATACTTGCACACACATATTTATAGCAGCACAATTCACAATTTCAGAATCGTGGAACCAACCCAAATGCCCATCAATCAATGAGTGGATAAAGAAACTATGATGGAATACTACTCAGTCATAAAAATGAATGAATTAACAGCATTTGCAGTGACCTGGGTGAGATTGGAGACTATTATTCTAAGTGAAGCAACTCAGGAATGGAAAACCGAACATTGTATGTTCTCACTGAAGTGTGGGAGCTAAGCTATGAGGATGCAAAGGCTTAAGAACGATACAGCGGACTTTGGGGACTTGGGAAGAGCGGGAGGGGGGTGAGGGATAAAAGACTACAAATATGGGCTGGGCACAGTGGCTCACGCCTGTAATTCCAACACTTTGGGAGGCCAAGGCGGGTGGATCATGAGGTCAGGAGATCGAGACCATGCTGGCTAACATGGTGAAACCCCATCTCTACTAAAAATGCAATAAACAATTAGCCAGGTGTGGTGGCACGCTCCTGTAGTCCCAGCTACTCAGGAGGCTGAGGCAGGAGAATCACTTGAACCCGGAAGGCGGAGGTTGCAGTGAGCCGAGATCACGCCACTGCACTCCAGCCTGGGAAACAGAGCGAAACTCCTTCTTAAAAAAAAAAAAAAGACTACAAATATGATGCAGTGTGTACTGCTCAGGTGATGAGTTCACCAAAATCTCACAAATCACCACCAAAGAACTTACTCATGTAACCAAATACCACCTGTACCCCAATAACTTATGGAAAAATAAAATAAAATAATAAAAATAGAAAAAAAAAAGAATTGATTGCTTGCTTGGTGTGTTGGGAAACTCCCCCTCCCCACACTTTGGCATGAGAGCAGAGGAAAAACTGTTTTTTCAATACACCTCCACACGCATACCAACTCCTCCTCCAACATGCCATCTGTTGAAATGGCAAATATACCTTAAATTACCCAAACCAGAAAGTTCACCTCATCTTTTACTTCACCCCCTCTCTCGTGCCCACTTCCTGTCAGTTATAATCACATTGATTATACCTCTCCTGAGGCATTAAAGAATCCTCAGGTAGGCCAGTGTCCCTGGGAAGAAAATGTATAAGCTCTGCCTATCTGGTAGGCCATTGATAAGCTGAATTGTATGTAAAAAGCAAATGTTTTAATGGTGGTCAGGTCTGTGTTTTAAGAAACAGGACTTGAATATTCAAAAGAGTTGACATGTATTGGTAATAAAGAAATGTTTAGAGGTAATGTAGTAATCCTGCTGTTGTGTATGTTCTTGGAAGTCTGCTTTTGAAGCATTTGAATTGTGTTTGTTGTAAAAGTGTATGTTTAATATTGGTGAATGTGATAAGTTACTTCGAGAAGCCCCAGGAATAACATCTGCTGTTAGGCGATAAGGCATCAGTTTTAATGCCCCAAAGCCCTGATAAAGTAGCAAAGAGCTGTTGGCTGATGCTTGCCTGTGAGAGCTGGTTAAGGGAGTCCCCTGTTGCCTCCTGCAAAGCCTGTGAGAGGCTGATCCAAGTTTCCAGAGTCTCTTCGATGCTCAAACACTTGGGGCTCACCCAGAGGGAGTCTACACCCAAGGAGGGTGGCATCATCCTATCTGCCAAGACCCTCCTTCCCAGCCTACCTGGGGCAAAGGAGGCATCTAGCAGGTGATGGAAGTACAATTCATGAAAGCAAAACCATGCCATTGGCTACTGAATTGTTTTTGCTGTGACTGGCATTCTTCTTTTCTTTTCTTTTTTTTTTTTTTTGAGTCAGGTTTGCTCTTGTTGCCCACGATGGTGCGATCCCAGCTCATCGCAGCCTCCACCTCCCGGGTTCAAGTGATTCTCCTGCCTCAGCCTCCCAAGTAGCTGGGATTACAGGAATGCGCCACCAGGCCCAGCTAATTTTTACATTTTTTAAGTAGAAATGGGGTTTCTCCATGTTGGTCAGGCTGGTCTCAAACTCCCGACCTCAGGTGATCCGCCCACCTCAGCCTCCCAAAGTGCTGAGATTATAGGCATGAGCCACCATGCCCGGCCATGACTGGCATTCTTAAAAGGTATTGTGGGCAGGTTGAGCTGTGCCCCTCAAAAACATGTTCAAGTCCTAATCCCTAAGTCCTGTAAATGTAACCTTACTTGGAGAGAGGGTCTTGCCGATATAATCAAATTAAGATGAGGTTATGCTGGAGTAGGGTAAGTCTAACCCAATGACGGGTGTCTTTATAAATTTGGACTAATTTATATACATTTTTATAGAAATTTAGACCCAGAGGCACACAGGAAAGGTGACCATGTGAAGACAGAGGCAGAGATTGGAGGAATACAGCTCCAATCCAAGGAATGTAAGGATTGTCAGAAGCTACCAGAAGCAAGAAGAGAAGTATGGGACAGATTCTTTCCTGGAATCCTAGAGGGAGGCTTGATTTCAGACTTCTGGCCTCCAGAGCTGTGAGGCCACAAACTTCTATTGTTCTAAGCTCCCTAGTCTGCGGTTACAGCAGCCTTAGGAAAGAAATACAATGGGGATTCCCTAGAAAGGACAGAATCAGAAGCCCAAAGGAAGACCCTGAAGCCTCAACCATGGATGAAATGGTAGCCTAACCAATGCTCTGTATCTCACATAGCTCTCAGATCTGCCCACTTCTCCAAACTAGGCCTCCATGCCATCTTGCCTGGATTCTGTAATGGTCTCCTAATGGTCTCCCTAACCCTGTCATAAGCCAAGGATAAGAAGAAACCTTAGCAGCAATAACAGTCACATTTATGGAGAACTATGTTCCTGACAGTGTCTAAAACAGTTTGCACAGAGTTTAAGGCACAGGCAGAATCCTAACCCTCCTTTACCTTAATCTTCACAACAGCCCTGTGTGATGGGTTGTAGGATAAACCTCATTTGGGGGTGTGGTGTGGAGGGGGGTCTGCAGCCCAGACAAGTTGAGTCATTAGCCCAAGGCCACAGAGCTAGAACCTGAACCCAGTCAGACTAACTCTCACACTCCTCACTGATACTGGATTGCCTGGGAGGAAACCACATTTAAGGGCTTGAAGGAGCAAGAGGACCCCCTAAGAGAGGCAGAGTCCCCACCTTGAGACAATCCCTTTAAACTGGGAAGAGACATCATCCTGTTTCTCAGTGGAGATGCTGAAGTCTGAGATTTGCCAATGTTGAGTCAGAACATGGACCAGAATTACCACTTTCCACGCTTTCTCTTTTGCTACCAAGCACTGCTCATTCCTTCCTCTTGCCTCCCCCAGGCTGGGCTGTGAGCAGCGCCTGAAGGATCTGGAGCAGTAGCAGCCAGATCTCCTGGGGTGACCCAAGGCTAGGGCTTTCCCCCATTATCAGTAACTTTCCTAAGAGTGCAGTGAGAGTTAATGTTTATAAAGTGCTCTGAGAGCCACTGATAAAAGATGTTAAATGGCATGAATAGAACACATTCTGTGGGCCCCAAGCCTCACTCAGACTTGATGGATACGCGTCTCTCTTGTGAAGTACGTGGACTTTTTGCTTCAGATGAAATGAGCTCATTAGTTAGAATCTTGCCTGCAGTTTATCTTGAAGGATGCTCAGATATTACCATAATTAGGACCCTAAGCCAACCCTTAGGCTATCTCACTGTAAACATATGGGAACAGAGGGCTGTCCCCTTGAACACACTGTGCACACAGTTGCTAAATTCAGGCCCATTGTCTTGCACAGACAGGCAGCAGAGGCTGTCACACAGTAAGGAGACCTCTGATTTCAACGGTGCTCCTTCTTAGAAGATTCCGTGTAAGCACAGTTGTGATTGATGATTTGCTGAGTAGTGCTTCCCTATTTTCAGACATTAGCACAATTCTAGGCCTGTAACACTTCTATCCATCATTTCCATTCAACATCCAATAGACATTTTAAAGCAAAATCAAACTCCTTTACCCATTTGCCATCAAGGGGCTACTCCATTAGCCAGAAAAGCTACAGTACCTTTAAGGCAATCCTTCACAAACCTAGCTGCATATTAGAAACCTCTAGCGAGCATTAAAAAAATTCTGATGCACAGACCCCAGCCTCTGAAATTATGATTCATTTGGTTTGGAGTGGGAACCAGGAATCAGCATTTGCATGTGTGTATGTGTGTGTGTGTTGGCATCTTTTTTTTTTAATTAGTAGACTTCATTCTTTATAGCAGATTTAGATTTACAAAACAATTGAGCAAAGAGTACAGAGAGTTCCTATATACTCATACCAATATACCATATAGAATATTTTTTAAAAACACTGAGTGATTCCAATCAGGCAGGCAGGACTAAGAACTCAGTTTCAGTTCAATCATTGCCTACACAGCTGGAATCCAATAGCCTTTTAAAAAATATCTGATTAAACCACAGCCCAAATGCTTCTTTGTTTTCTCAATACTCTTTCTTAATAGAGCAGCCCATGCTTGAGAACACGATTGGCATTCATTCAGACAAAAATGACTCTGCTTACCATTGTGGTTGGTGCCTTCAGATTGCATAATTAATGGTCTTATCAATTATTACAGGTCTTGGAGAGGTCGCTTCCTTGTTAGATTAAAGGGAATGTAAATAGAGATAATACAAGTAGTGACAGTGTAGAGCTCTTTTGGAATGGTTGACGATTTGCAGAACTTAAGGAAAATTAACATGTTACTTCTAAAAAAGCATTATATGAATATTTTAACCCTAGTAATCATGCTGAAAAGATAACTAAGCAGTGTGAAGACAGTGATCCATACATTTGATAAATAATAAAAAAAGTTTTAAAATGTTCTATAGTACCCTAAAGGAGCTACACACTTAACCAAGTCATTTGGGTCCATAATCATGCATTTATTCATTAAACAAATACTTACTGAGCATCTACTTTGCTACAGATTCTAGGTTCTGTGGATAAGCAATGACTCAAACAGGCAAGAGGGCTGCTCTTATAAAACTTTTATTCTGATAACATATTAGAATATATATTTGTATCTATTTATCAAAATACTGTTAGAATTGTCTAACAGCAGTTGGGTATTTTTGGAAATGTAAATATTATCTAAATTGTAAATGTCATCAATACTGACATTGCTATGTCCTTTTATCATACCAACATCAAGATACAAAAGAAACTCCAAAATTTACTATGAAATATTCTTATCTGTTGAATTTTTACTTTGGAAAAAGTTAGTATGCTTTAGTATTGGTGTGCTGTAACAATTGGATTAAGTATAAATCATAAATTATATAAAGTATAGAAAGGAAATAAATTCAAGTTCCTTTCTTAAGGTTAACAGCTTGTGGGTATCTTGGGTCTATTTAAGTTGATAGACACCTGTTTTAGAAACTTGCTGGGAGGAAATGGTATCTTTATTTAATGAAGGGTGGTGTTATCTATCAGTTAGCTTTTGCTGCATAACAAATACCTCTTAAACGAAGAAAATAAACAACATTTTATTTAGCTTGAAATTCTGTGGGTCGGCAGGGATTTTCTTCTGGAATGGCTAAGCTAAATCTGTCCAGCACTCTCATGCACTATGGCCAACTGGTGAGATGGCCTCACTCAGATTATTGGCAATTGGCAGGCTGATTGGTCCAGGGTCCTCAACTGAGATGAATCATCTCTGCTCCAGATGGCATCTTTTAAAAATTTTTTTGATTTTTAATTTTTGTGGGCACATAGTATGTGTACATATTTATGGGGTACATGAGAAGTTTTGATACAGGCATGCAATGCATAATAATCACATCATGGAAAATGGGTTATTCATCCTCTCAAGCATTTATCCTTTGTGTTACAAACAACTCAGTTATACTCTTTTAGTTATTTTTAAATGTACAATTAAGTTATTATTCACTATAGTTACCCTGTTGTGCTATCAAATAGTAGGTCTTATTCATTCTTTCTATTTTTGTGTGTGCCCTTTAACTATCTCCACGTTTCCCCAACCACCCACTACCCTTCCCAGCCTCTGGTAACCATTCTTCTACTCTCTATGTCCATGAGTTCAATTGTTTTGATTTTTAGATCCCACAAATAAGTGAGAACATGTGATGTTTTTCTTTCTGTGCCTGGCTTATTTCACTTAACAGAATGATCTCCAGTTCCATCCATGTTGTGGCAAATGACAGGATGTTCTTTTTATGGCTGAATAGTACTCCATTGTATACATGTACCACATTTTCTTTATCCATTCATCTGTTGATGAATGCCTAGTTTGCTTCCAAATCTTGGCTATTGTGAATAGTTTGCTCTAACAAACATGGGAATGTAGATATCTCTTCCATATACTGATTATTTTCTTTTAGATATATACTCAGCAATGGTATTGTTGGATCTTGTGGTAGCTCTATTTTTAGGTTTTTGAGACACCTCCAACTGTCTCCATAGTGGTTATACTACTTTACATTTCCACCAACAGTGTACGAGGGTTCCCTTTTTTTCACATCTTCACCAGCATTTGTTATTGCCCGTCTTTTGGACATAAGCCATTTTAACTGGGGTGAGATGCTATGTCATTGCAGTTTTGATTTGCATTTCTCTAATGATCAGTGATGTTGATCACCTTTTCAAATGCCTGTTTCCTGTTTGTATGTCTTTTGAGTAATGTCTATTCAAATCTTTTGCCCATTTTTTGATCAGATTATTAGTTTTTCCCTGTAGAGTTGTTTGAGTTCCTTATATGTTCTGGTTAATCCCTGGTCAGATGGGTAGTTTGCAAATATTTTCTCCTATTCTGTGGGTTGTCGCCTCACTTTATCGATTGGTTCATTTACTGTGCAGTAGCTTTTTAACTTGATGTGATCCCATTTGTCCATTTTTCCTTTGGCTGCCCATGCTTGTGGGGTATTACTCAGGAAATATTTGCCCAGACCAATGTCCTGGAGATCTTCTCCAATGTTTTCTTGCAGTAGTTTCACAGTATGAAATCTTAGATTTAACTCTATAATCCATTTTGATTTGATTTTTCTATATGCCAAGAGATAGTGGTCTACTTTCATTCTTCTGCGTATGGATATCCAGTTTTCCCAGCACCATTTATTGAAGAGACTGTCTTTTCCCCAGTGTATGTTCTTGGCACCTTTGTTGAAAATGAGTTCACTGTAGGTGTATGAATTTGTTTCTAGGTTCTCTATTCTGTTCCATTGGCCTATGTATCTGTTTTTATGCCAGTACCATGCTGTTTTGGTTATTATAGCTCTGTAGTATAATTTGAAATCAAGTAGTACGATTCTTCCAGTTTTGTTCTTTTTGCTTAGGATATTTTTGGCTATACAGAATAGAGAATGCAGAAACAAATCCTAAATTTTGGGATTTTTTTTCTAGTTCTGTGAAGAATGTCATTGGTATTTTGATAGGGACTGCATTGGATCTGTAGTTTGCTTTGAGTAGTGTGGACATTTTAACAGTATTGATTCTTCCAATTCATGAACATGAAATATTTTTCCATTTTTTGGTGTCCTCTTTAATTTCTTTCATTGGCATTTTACAGTTTTCATTATAGAGATCTAGATGTTTAATTTTTGTAGCTATTGTAAATGGGATTACTTTTAAAATTTCTTTTTCACATTGTTCACTGTTGGCATATAGAAATGCTAATACCTTTTGTATGTTGATTTTGTATCCTGCTATTTTACTAATTTTTTAATCAGTCATATTAGTTTTTTTGTAGAGTCTTTAGATTTTTCTAAGTATCAGATTATATCATCTGCAAACAAGTGTAATTTGATGTCTCCCTTCCCATGTGGATGCCTTTTCTTTCTTTCTCTTGTCTGATTGCTCTAGCTAGGACTTGCAGTACTATGCTGAATAACAGCAGTGGAAGTAAGCATCCTTGTTTTGTTCTAGATCTTAGAGAAAAGGCTTTCAGTTTCTCCCCATTCAGTGTAATATTAGCTGTGGGTCTGTCATATATGGCTTTTATTATTTTGAGGTATGTACCTTCTATACCCAGTTTTTTTTTAAGGTTTTTATCATGAAGGTCCATGTGGCCTGTTATCCTCCAGTAAGCTAGCCTGGGATTCTTCACATAGTAGTCTAAGAGTTCCAAAAAAAACAGAAAGAAAGAGCAGGTCCTAACATTCAGTGGGACTACTTTTCTAGTTTCCAATTGTGTCATGTTTGCTACTGTACCATCAGTCAAAGCAACTCACGTGGCCAAACCCAGAGTTAGTGTGGGAGGGTGCTACCCAAGGACAGAAAAGGAAATTATCGTGGCCAGATGCACAAACAATCTACTCCAGAATCCCATTGCTAGGGTATAGATTTTTTAGGGGAGAATTCCCCAGAAATTGCTCTTTTATAGAAGTTCCCAGTTTGGTCCTGGGCCCCATATACACTCAGTTCTCATTGTTCCTGGTGAATATAGTCCAGGGAAGATGGCACCTTTCAGCATCACCATCCTTCATGCAGTTCCAGGATCTGGAGGGGCATACCCCCTGCATACCCTAGACCATACTAGTTCCACCTCAGAAGCCTAGGCTTTCCTATATTAAAATGGCTTTATAAATTGTATATATACCCCTAATCTCCAAAGAGACTAAGCCACTATGTTTTTAAAAGAAGAGAAATATATTTGTGATACTATTGTGAATGTCCCTATCCCAGGACTCAAACACAAACTGTCTTCTTCTTTCTCCAGCCAAAAGTATGAGTGAGTCACTGTTAGAACCATTTGTAGGGAACTGGAGATGCAGAATCCATGGGAACTGGGTCAAATAAAGAGCTCAGGAAAAAGAGGCAACTAAACCTCCTGGGCAGAGTCAGATTGGTGCTCCTGCCTCAAAGACAAGAGGAGGCGTAATCAGGTGAAGAAGGCCAGCAGAGTCTCTTCTAGTATCTACATCTCCTCCTTTGGAATTTAAAATTCATTTAATAAATTTTCCTTATCTGGGCTTTGGATATAGAATATAATTGCCACTAATCACTCTCTATCCATGTGCAGGAGGTAGCTTAGTCTAGCTGTTAGGAGACTAGGCTCTTGCAAACAGAATCCCTTCAAGTACTGCTTCTGCCATTTTTTACCTGCGTTTCCTTGAACAAAATGGCCTGTGCAGGCCTCAGTTTCTCCATCTGTATTAGTCAGGGATCTACAGAGAAACAGAACTAATAGTAGATAGACAGATAAGTAGGTAGATAGAGATACAGATAGCTCTAGAGAGAAAAAAAGAGACAAAGAGAGAAAGAGAGATTGATGTCTTTTAAGAAATTGGCTCACACAGTTGTGGGATTTGGCAAGTCTGAAATCTGCAGGACAGTCTAGCAGGTGAGAAGTGAGGATAAGAGTTGATGTTGCAAGTCTTGAGTTTGAGTTCTACAGGGCAGCATGCTAGAAACTCAAGGCAGGGTTTGTATGTTACAGTATTGAGGAAAGTTTCTGCTTCCTCAAGGAACCTCAATCTTTGCTCTCAAGATTCAATTCAACTGGTTGGATGAGGCCCACCCACATGATGGAGAGTAATTTGCTTTACTCAAAGTGTACTAATTTAAATGTCAATCACATCCACAAAATACCTTCTCAGTGATATCTAGACTGCATTTGACAAAACAACTGGGTACCATAGTCTAGCCAAGTCAACACATAAAATTAACTGTCACACTATCGTTAAGGGGAAGAAAAATAGTACCTGTATCATAAAATTAGGAAGCCACAATGCACACAAAGCAATGAAGACGGCTCCCAGCATTAATCCTAGTCATTATCACTGTTGCCCATCCCCTATAGTTACAGTAAAGGATGCTTGTCCATGAAAATTTGGGGTGAACGGAAGGTTTGGTGGATCTACAGCAGGCAAGCTGTCTTATTCCGTGTACAACTCAAGCAGAGCATTTGGGGTTAGTTTTAAATTGATGTTTGTTTTCAAAAGAAAAGGAACTTAAAAACAGCCCTGTTCCTTTAAGACTGAGCTATTGCTTCAGAGACCCATCACCTAGCAACAGGAAGATAATCTCTCTCTCTTCCAACAGGTAAACCTCCAGCTTATCTAATTGAAATTTCAGGCTACCTGCCACACTCCTAAAAAACTATCACTTTAAGGGGATCAAATCGTACAAGCCAAACAAAGTCAGATTTGAATATGCTCCTTTTCAAATGGTAGGCTAATGAGATTTTCATTGGGAAAAGAGATATGAAGCTTTACAGCTCATAATTTAAGGAGCTTTGTTCCATTGGCATTCACTGAATCTCACAAAAGAAGTCTGCAACAAAATTCCGATTTGACTTCTGTCTGGGGATCAAAGATAAATGTTAAAGCGGAAACAAAGTGTAAATTGGAAGAAAATAATGAATTATCTAGATTTTTCACCAGGTTATCTTTTATTCCTCCCTCCCTCTTCCCAGACCCTCCCCTGCCACAGTCATCACAAATGCCATCCATTCTGCCTCTCATTTCATGCCTTTCCATTTCACTGCCACTGCACTTTTCAGGGCTCCTAATTGGTCTGTCTGACCAGACTGTCCTGATCTAATCCACCCTTCACATAGTTGGCCAGTGTATTCCTTGCAAGACACAGCCTTTCCTCATTCCACCTCTCTGTTCAAAAGTTTCAATAGCTACTATTGCTTGATTTTAACAAAGTTCAAACTCTTTCGCCTGGCATTTAAGCCTTCTTGTGTGATCTTATCCCAATTTTTCCTTCTCAGCTTATTTGTACCTTTTTTTATCCTCCAATTCCAGACAAGCACAAACTTCTTGTCCTCCCTAATTGTATTCTTAAGTTTTTTTTTTTTAACACCCTGCCTCTGTTTATACTAAGACCTCTTTGAATGTCCTCTCCCTGAATCCAAGTAATTCTGCATACAGTAAAATTAGAGTCAAATGCCACTAGTGAGGCCACTTCCTCCAAGAAGCCTCCCTTAATTTGCCTTCTCCTAAGTAGAAGCAGACTCTTGCCTTCCAGTTACACCTCTGTCGTGATATTTATCAGATTTAGACAAGTCAACAGGGCACAATGGTTAGCAGCACAGTTTCTAGCTGTGTTACCTTGGACAAATCATTTACCATCTTTAAGTCACATCTTATGTTTGTTTGTTTTGAAAAAGGAGGTACCCAGTGGTTGTGAAAGTTAAATAAGTTAAATCGTGGAAAGTATTTAGCCCAGAGCCTGGCAAGTAGCTGACAGTAAATTTTAATTCTTATCATTAAAGAAAATCATATTTAACTTGTATTATAGTCCCTTTGTATATTCCCCATCTCCTTTCTTCATTCTAAAATTCCTTCCTTTGGGGGCAAAATTTATACCATAATCCCATCTTGTCTCACTCCCCACAGTGCCTTCCACACATGAGGACTAAAACACATTTTAAGTGAAAAAAAAATTTATTCAAAATCACACTAATTGGGGCCATGCAAAGCAAGGACTTCCTGTATTTGACTTTACTAGAAAGTATTAAACTACACAGGGTCAAGACATTGAAACTCAATTTTTGCAACATTTTATTTAGTTTCACATTTTTTCTTTAAATTTCAAGAATGTTTTTCCTATTAATATAAATTACTGTGACTTCTCAATAACAATGAACTTCATTTACCCTGTCTTAAAATTTCTGTTTGTCATAGCCTCCCTTCTTCATCTCTGAGCCACCATTCTTCTTAACACATAAGTCATTATCAGTTACAGTTATAATCATAATTAAACATTGATTCACTGAAAATGCTATAGCATGAACTTACACAGCTGCTATCTTCTTTTGGTAAAAATGCCTTTATCATCTTAGGAAAAGCCTCCTTGTGCAAAAATAATCAAGCCAATCCAGAAGCCATGAATTCCTCCCCCAGGACTGAAGGATGAATTTGCATGAGTCCATCACACTTTCTGCCCTTTAAACAAGGACAAGGATTGGCAAAAGGATGAGACATGATAATTTAATGCCATCGGATATGGAAAATGCCTTGACTTCCCGAGAGATGAAGTCCATTTCTTCATCTATGCTCTAGCCATTGATAATCTAGCCAGTCTGCACTCATGAGTTATCTTTGTTCTTAAAGGCAATCCCAAACCTATTGATTTATTATGGACAACAGCTCAATCTATGCTTGTGCAAAACAAAACAAAACAAAAAAAAACAAAAAAACCCACAACATCTTAAGGTATGGTCTATGCACTTGAGGGTCTTACAATCTAGCTGGGGTCATGAGACAGATATATTCATTGACTATGTCTTCAGAAACAGAAATAGAGAGTGAGGCAAAATAATTAAATTTTCTTTTTTAGAAAATATGGAACTTTCTGGCATGCCTACATTACATTATAAAAAATAATATGTGATAAGAACCAAGTGGTATAGACATAATAACTACTACAGGAATGAAGAGATACTAAGGAAGGAAGTTGAAAGACGGAAAAGTTTTACTAAGGAGGTGAGATAAAGGAAAGGTAAGGCCAGGCGCAGGGGCTCATGCCTGTAATCCTAACACTTTGGGAGGCCAAGGCAGGAGGATTGCTTGAGGCCAGGAGTTCGAGACCAGCCTGAGCAGCAAAGTGAGAACTCCATCTCTACAAAAAATGTATTAAAACAAAAACGGAAAGGTTAGACTTAAATCTGATATGGGGAACTCAAATGGCCACAGAGGCCAACCAGAGAACATAAATGAATGAGACTAAGTATAGGATAGAAATATTAATTCTGCACGTCCAGGGAATATGGGGAAGAACCACTACCCACTCTATGATACTCATAACACACATCTTCTGATTTTTCAAGAAAAGTTAGAAATCCAGATATTTGTAAGAAATAGCCAGATTTTAAAATATTGGCAACTAAGAGAAACATGTTTGTAGGTCAAATAAAACACAGTTTCTGGCTGGATGGGACTACCGCTTTGCAGCTCTGACCCAGGTCAGCTAAATGAGCAGCTTTTCCTCTCACACAACACTTTGCATTTCAAATGACTTCAGTTTTAGTGCATGCAGAATATATTTAACCCCGGTTACCCTGATATAGACACAGTGCATTTACTCTGGATAATTCCCTAATTTTAAAGAGGAAACTTAAGATGTTTTTCTCCCTGCCACATGATTTTGCTGTCAACAGTAATTGTTCTGAGCCTCTGGTGCACTGGTAAGAGCTGGTGAAAAAGGCCTTGTCCTGACTAATTAAACTCTGTTTGCTGAGAGCAAGTGTCAGAGTCTCTATTACGCTTCCCACCTCTTTGGCTGCCTCAGGAGGAAGCTTTGGTCTTACAAAACTGCTAGCATTCCTCCTCATTTGCTTTTTATCTTAATTTTTTTTTTTTTTTTTTTTTTGAGATGGAGTCTCGCTCTGTCGCCCAGCCTGGAGTGCAGTGGCACAATCTCAGCTCACTGCAACCTCTGCCTCCCAGGTTCCAGCTATTCTCCCACCTCAGCCTCTGGAATAGCTGGGATTACAGGCATATGCCACCACACCTGGCTAATTTTTGTATTTTTAGTAGAAATGGGGTTTTACCATGTTGGCCAGGCTGGTCTCAAACTCCTGACCTCAGGTGATCCACCCGTGTCAACCTCCGAAAGTGCTGGGATTACAGGCGTGAGCCACTGCGCTCGGCCTATTTTCATTTTTTTTATTGTGGAAAAATAGAAATAATATTTCTCCATTTTTGAGAGTTAGTGCCAAGTCAGCGGCATTAAGTGCATTCACAGTGTTGTGCAACCATCACTACCATCAATTTCCAGAACTTTTTCATCATTCCAAACAAAAACTTGGTACCCACTACACAATAACTTCCTATTTCCCCTCCCCTAGTCCCTGGTAACCTCTATTCTACTTTCTATCTCTACGAATTTGCCTACACTAGAAACATCATAGAAGGGTAATCATTCAATATTTGTCCTTCTGTGCCTCACCTATTTCACTCAGCATGTTTTCAAGGTCATCCATGTTGCAGCATGTATCCCACTTCTAAAAAATATTGTTCTTTTCTCCCATATTTCCTTCACCATTTTCTCTATTTTAGTTGTAAATACATACAAAAGGAATAATGCTTTTGGCATTAAAATGGCCTAATTATACATCGTTCAAAGCTTTAATTCTCTGAAAAGGAAAGGATATTGATTTATCCAAATCTATGGTTTTCAGACAGCTTGGATTTTAACCTTGCCACCATTAGCTACCTATAAGGCCCTAGGAAAATTATTTAACCTTTTTGTGACTTAGCACCCTCATCTGAAAAACCAGGATAATAATAATTCTAATAGCCAATGTCATACATAACATGCATATACATGTACACGGTAGCATGCATTTATTCAGAAAACTTATAGTAATTTCATTCCATTTCAGGGACTGGTTATAGGATAGAGAACTGTTGATCTTTATAAATATGTAAGTATATTTCAGTACTCTGTATAATTTATTTAAATTAGTCCTTATTAGTTAATCCAGACAATTTGCTAACCAGAGACTGATGATTGATAAAGGATTATTAATGGTAAGGATAAGAGCTACCCAAGTCAGGGCACATTTCCCCGTAAGACATACAGTGGCCTCATCTTCAGCCTTCACACTGAAAGTTGGAAACAGAGGACACTACAGAGCAGGCTCACAGGGACAACTCTCAGTAGGGAAGTTGACAAAAATATTTGGAAAGAAAGAAGGAAAAGAGGCAGGGAAGAACAGAAGAAGGAAGGTTGGGAAGGAAGAATCCAGCCTGGTGTGGTGGCCCACACCTGTAATCCCAACACTTTGGGAGGCCGAGGTGGGAGGATCACTTGAACCCCTGAGTTCGAGACCAGCCTGTGCAACATAGTGAGACTCTGTCTCTACAAAAAATCTAAAAATTATCTAGGCATGGTGGTGGGGGCCTATGATCCCATCTACTCATGAGGCTGAGGCAGGAGGATCACTTGAGCCCAGGGGTCGAGGCTGTGATGAGCCATGTTTGCACCACTGCACTCCAGCCTTGGCAACAGAATCAGACCTTGTCTCAAACAAACAAACAAACAAACAAACAAACAAAAAGGAATCCAAGCAGAACAAGCTGCACCATTCAATGTAGGTGCAGAAATCCTGACTTGCCTTTCAATGGCCCCTGAGAGCATCAACTTTTCTGATAGCCAAGGACTAAACAAGGTGGTGTGGACAGAAGGAAAAAATGTGTAAGTAAGATCCTATCCCTCTTTACAGGCAGATCACAATCTAGTAGTGGACAGAGACACATAAGCCAATGAATGCTAAGATGATAAACACAAGAATACAAATCCTTAACGTACCAGGGAACCACAGAGGAGGGACAGCTGAGGTCTCTCTTGTAGGGTCAAGAAAGCTTCCTGGTGCATATGACGTCTGTGCTGGATTTTGAAAATTGAAAGAGAGTTTCCCAGTCAGACCAGACTGACAGGCAGGGAGAAACAGCATATGGACAAATGCATCCAGGGAACATTTAAAATAGTTTAACACTGCTGGAGCTTAGAAATAGACTGGAGGGGTATGTAGGTAGGAGGAGTTTCATAAGGAACCTGTGTGTCGTTATGCTAAGCTACCTGGACCCTCGTCTTATTGATGACAGGGAGCCAGAAAAAGGTTTAATGAGGAGAAGGGCACGCTCCGAGATCTGTGGTCTCATTTGAAGGAACGCACAGCTTTAGTAAAGAGTCGGTGGTAGAGACAGAGCAGAAGACAGGGCCATTAGGAGGAGATTGGAAATTCCTGATGAACATCTAAATCAGGGCAGCGGCCATAAAGAAATAAAAGAAAAATGAACAAATACAGTGTTTCTTTTATTAGTCTTTATAGTCATTCATTTAACAGGCATTTAATGAGCACTCACTGTTAAGGGAAGCATTTCATTAATATATGTTATACTTTTCAGCTTTTTGAAGCATTTTTGCAAGCTTCATTATATTTCTTGATGCCAGAGTAATTATGTCAGGCAAGAATAGGTTTTTTCATCCCCATTTTGCAGATGAAGAAACTGAGGTTCAGAGGGATGAACTCATTTTTCCCAAGGTTAATACAGATAGCAAACTGAAAAGTATGAGTTAGATCCAAATCTGCTTACTGTGGTCCAGGTTTCCTTCCACCATCACACCATGGAATTATCAGCTCAAAACAATTTCCTGGCCAGGTGTGGTGGAGCTCACACCTGTAATCCCAGCACACTGGAAGGCCAAGGCAGGAGGATCATTTGTGGTCAGGAGTTTGAGAACAGTCTGGTCAACACTCACAGTGAGACTTTGTCTCTACAAAAAATAAAAAAAATTAGCCAGGTGTGGTGGCACACACCTGTAGTCCCAGCTACTCAGGAGGCTGAGGTGGGAGGATTACTGGAGCCCATGGATTGATGAGCTGTGTTTGCACCACTGCACTCCAGCCTGGGTGACAGAGCAAGACCCTGTGTCAGAAAAACGAACAAATCTCCCCTCCCCATAATTTTCCTACTTATGCATCCCCAGAAAATAAAAGTTTGCTCAACAATATGCTATCAGTCATGAGAATGAAAAATTTTTAAAAATGTTGAAAGTTTTAGCAGACTGTAGGAGTCTCAGAGTTATTGATCTAGACACAAATGGCCTGGCAAATGGGAAGAAATGCAGGAGTGCCTCTGGTTTGCTTTTTAAATAAACAGTGAATCCACTTGCACAGACACATGACTCTGGCACAGTGAATGAGGATTTATGAGGTGCTTGACAGGATGCCCTTACCTCCTCTCTGCTGCCTGGGTAAAATTTCTGCTTTAGATGGAAAGGCAAATAGGGCTGTGAAGATCTGTCTCCGTCACTAAGAAAACCAAAAAGCATCTGGTGACCTATTTAGGCTTAATTTGCCTTTAGGCTTCTCTGATATCATGAGAAGTGCGCTGTTGTTCGGCACATTAATATACACTAATTTTGTTTGGTGTCTCCATTCTCCTGCATCCCAAATATGAGTGCATTCAAAAGGCCAAGGTCACATCTTCCCCCTCTTGCTAAGCACATCATTTATTTGTTGCTGCCAGACCTACTTGTTGAAAAACATTTTCTATTCAGAGTTAAATCTGGCTGATTCTGCCAATGTATTTACATGACTGGGTCTGCGTTTATTGCTATAAAAAGGGATTAGTCCTGCTGTAATAATATTTTCCATTTAGAGAGCACTTTGGGCTGAGAGGCCCATTCAAAGCCTCATTGTTCTGAGGCTGCCTTTTTAAAAATCAGCCGCTTTATCCCATCGAACTTTGACTGTGAAGAAAACAAAAGGCCTTTGACCCACCTGGTAGAGGGAATGAACTTAAAGAAGGGTATGTTGGCAGTTTGTTTCCAGAATCCTTTTGAGAGAAGCTGCCCAATTCCACATTTGGATCCAAACTAGTTAACCAAATTTGTGAGAAAAGACTGGCTAGAGAAAAAGCATAGTAGAACTGGAAAGCACCTTAGAAATCACCAAGAGGAGTGATTTTCACATTTCCTTTTTCCAGCAGAACTCCTTTTCCCAGACAAAATGTATGCTGGATTGGTTGGAGTGGCTACAGCCTTCCCTAGTCATTCCCTGGTGGCTCCTAGGGCTCTCAGGGAACATCCTTTGAAAAATTCTACTGCAGGGTGACCTTGTCATCTTTCATACAAGAAAAGGGAGGTCCAGAGAGCTAGGTGGCTTGCTCAAAGACTGACAGCAAGTGACAGGAACAGCGTGGTATCCCCAAGGTCTCCTCAGCCCAGGAAGGACTTAAAAGGAGGACCAACAACAGCATCCTGGTTTTCTTTCTATTGTTTCAATATTAGTGCTTTTCTCCCAAATGGGAATCTTCAGATGATCTTCAACTCTGGTTCCCTTCAACAAAGGAAGAGTTTTGTCCCTTCCTGGCCTCTCTTTAGTGTGGACTAGCGTCTTTCCCTTTTTCTCCTTGAATCCAGGTTGAAACTACTAGAGACCTTTGGAGGACACATAATCATCTGCCCCAGAGCCTTTCCCTTATTGAATCACAAAACAAATAGCCCTCCAGGGGAAGAGCCCAGGCCTTTGCAAGGCGGGTGGCAGGTGCCCTTGGCCTCCCGTTGCCCTCACACTGCCCCATGAGGCTCCTCTCTGATTACTCCTCTCTTACCCTGGGGCTTAGCAACACTTCTCTTGTGCATGTCAGCAAAAAGACAAGCAGTGTGAGCCTAAAATGCCCAGATCCAAGAAAACTGTAAGACCAACTTGCTTAACCAAGCATTTCTAGAAGGGAAGAGTCCTTTTGACTAATGTTTTCAGACTGTTTGCTTACTCTTCATCTATCACCAGTTCTTGTTTGCCAGTCTCAAGCAGATCATTTATATGTGCCCAGAATCCCTGGGTAGTGGGCAAACTGTAAGAATCAATGGAATAAATAAATTAGTTCCTAAGCTTCTCAAATAAATCCAGTTGAATTAGATGTATCTAAAATCACACAGTCTTGAAGAGTAAAGTGGAGATGGTAATGAAATGAGAAACAGGCTCTTTATTTGAGGAAAAAGTAAGAAAAGGGGAAAAAGCTCTCCAAAGGCATGAAAAATTCAAGGAAGTCATATGTGCACAGAGAATCCGTCATTGTTATTTTGGGGGCTTTGTCTCCCAACTGCCTTTTCCTCAGCCTCAATTCAGCTTATCTCTCTAGAACCTCCCATTGAGATTTGAATGCAGGTCTTCTCAAGTAGAGTCAGTTGGTTACTTGATAAATACTGTATATTCCCAGAGAAAAGGGAAGGTTGTTTTCCCTCAAGATCTCGCCCTCAGAAAGGAAGAGGTAGCCCTCATTTACATCGTCATTGTCCTTTCTAGTATGAGGTTCATATGCTTTGGACAACAAAGTTCTACCTGGGTTAGACACATGGGCTAGAAACACCTACACGTGTGAGCGCACACACACGTAGCAATGCTTTGCTGAGACCT
Source organism: Homo sapiens (assembly GCF_000001405.40). NCBI lineage: Eukaryota > Metazoa > Chordata > Mammalia > Primates > Hominidae > Homo > Homo sapiens. The sequence continues at coordinate 61,800,093 of NC_000018.10, forward strand.
CCCAATATGCCAGGAACTGTCCTAAGTCTTTTATTTGCCTTAATTATTTTAATCCTCACAACAACCCTCTAAATCAGCTACTATTACTATCCTGATTGTAATATGAGGAAACTGCTAGCTTTATTTTACTTTATTTATTTTTATTTTTTGAGACAGAGTCTCATTCTGTCACCCAGGCTGGCGTGCAGTGGTGCCATCTCAGCTCACTACAACCTCCGCCTTCCAGGTTCAAGTGTTTCTCCTGCCTCAGCCTCCTGAATAGCTGAGATTACAAGCACCCACCATCATGCCCAGCTAATTTTTGTATTTTTAGTGGAGACGGGGTTTCGCCACGTTGGCCAGGCTGGTCTCGAATTCCTGACCTCAGGTGATCGGCCTGCCTTGGCCTCCCAAAGTGCTAGGATCACAGGTGTGAGGCACCACGCCAGGCCAGAAACTGCTAGGTTTAGATCCTTATACAGGTCACCTGATATAATTGGTATTTTAAAAAGGCAAATAGAAAAACATAAGATTTAAAACCTGTTGTACAATGAAGGTGAATTATATTTAAAGTGAACATTTCACAACTACATCTACAAAAGTTTACACCTTCAAGCTGGCCTAAATCATATTTTGCTTTGTTTGTTAGGTCTTCTCACTGGGAAGATAAAGTATCACCTCGTAATTTGGATTATTTTACGCTTTGGCATATGCCGTATTTACTGAGCACCTACTATGTAGAGAAGACTATGTAGAGAAGACTGCTTTGGCAACTGTTGGGAAAACCAGTGATATATATCTGATCTTGCTTTTGATCTAGTTACAGTCAAGACTAACACATGCTCACACACACTCAAATCTTTCCCCTCCCAGTGCCAAGATGGGGTGAGGCAAGGGAGACCCCTGAAGGAGTGAGAGCCCCCTAAAATGTTCCACCCTAGGCGCCTTGCCTGCCTCACCCCAGCCCTGCCCCCTGCCTCTTAAACCCGTACCAAGCAAGCACCATCATTGATACAACAGAATGGAGTATAATCATGTATTCAAATTAATGGACTATGGGGAAAATGCACAGCATCTGTAGATGGTCAAAGTAATAGGGCGGATAGAGCCTTGACATTAGTTAATTCTGATTAACAACCCAGTTGCCAAGCTAGTCAGCCTTGAGCACGAACATTTTGAGGAAGAGGAAATGATTTTATTTCAGGAAGACAGCCGAACAGAAACAGCTCATTAAAATGGGTTTGATGGGCGGGAAAGAGAAAGCGAACTATTCCCCACAGCAATTGCAAGACGCTAAGTGCAGAAAATGATGAGATCTGCCAAGAAAAAAGACCCAACCACGCCGAATATTCCAAAACCGTTGGTGCATCTGAAGCCTAATGTTACTAAATTGTCTCAGCAGACAATATGACTTAGACACTCATTCATCCAGCAAATATTTACTGAGCAGCTATTACTCTCCTAGGTGCCGTGGGATGCAGTGGTGAGTGGCAAGAATGGATAGATGAAGTCTATCAGTGACATTCCAGGCAGGAGCAGGGGGCTCTCTGCTGCCAGTGGTGCCGACTTCAAAATATCTCATAGGAAGTCTTCCCCATTTCACCCCACATTCACTAATTCTGCTTCTCTGCAAAATTTACTATTTAGTCCATCCTATATTTTATAAGCAAAACATCACTTACATAAACAGAAGTCATTGTAAGATTAATAACCATTTCCATATAAATATACAAAACTATCAATATCTTCTTTGTGAAGGACTGGAGAAGCTGGACTGAAACTTAAGGAGGTACAAACATTTTACATAGGAATGAAGTTTACCTTTCCAAATGTGGGTGATGAGGCAACAATATGGGATTTTTAAAAAAGTAGACAGTTTCTTGGTTGTCTGACATAAAGCTAGAAAGAAGGTGTGATTTGTCCTAAATGGTTGGGGCAGGGGGTATAATTTAATAGGAAACTTAACCAATGCACATTGGGATCTCATGTGTTTAAAGTACATAAAAACTGATAGAAATTTATAGAACATGGATAGTTCTTGTCTTCACTATATCCTGAGCATATTTGAAAGTAAATATTATAACTATTGATTTTATTCCATGAAATTGTATTTCTATTAAAATGATGTTTTATGAAATGGAAAATTGCTTTGTTTCTCATTTATATGTATTGCCCATGTTCATAAATTCCTGTTTTTGTTTGCCTCATCTTCTAGGGAGTGGTTCTGAATGCATGGCCCTCTGCCCACTTGGGAGGGCCAATAGGTTTTACTAACAGGTTGCCCACCAATCCCAAAACTTCTTAAATGCCTGAATGAGACCAACTCATTAATAACTGCCTACAGATGATTTGCTAAATTTTGCAGTTTTTGAACCAAACGAGTGGTTTTCAGAGCTTAGAGAGTTTAGCAATTGCTCCAATTCTGTATTTTGCTAATTCAATATTTTCCCAACATTGCTAGGCTCCTACTGCATGTGCAAATAGTTGAAATTCCTACAATTTGTGGGAAGGATACTTATTATCAGTACTGTCTTGAATTGATCATGTTTTTCTTAATTGCTGTTCTTCTTGCTTAATAGCAAATTATTGTTGGTTTTGCTCATCATTATCAGTTTAGTTTGTTGTGGGTTATTTTTAGCCCCATAATATGTAGTAATGAATATTTATAAATTTTTAGACTATAATTTTCTAAAACTAGACTCTGATATGTATGCACTGCATTTAAGTATGATTCATCCATACCCTTATTGCTAAAGCAGATGTATACATATTTCCCCCATAATTTGCTCATGTGAGAAAATTTCATTGGTAATGCGTGCAGTACATTTTAGCTTGCGAATTACTTACAATATACCATCAAGGTAAATCTAATATAAGTATTGGGTTATTTTATGTTTACATGATATTGTTTTAAAATAAAAAACAAACCATGAGCTAATAGTTCAATCTTCTTATGTAAATATGAGCACTTAATTTATAGGCTGGTTGGTTGGTTTGCTTTGGGCCAGCCTTTGATTATCACTTCAAACCAGAAACGAAAGGAGTAAGTCAAAATAGTGAATTATCATTCAAGGCCAGTATTCCCCCAACTGTGTTCTGCTAGACATCAATAGACATTCTGCAAATGATGGATTCTTTACTCAAATAAATTGGGAGAAAGTGATACATATTATGTTCCCATTTTAGAGATTTCCAGGGCCCCTTAGCATATTGTGATGGTTAGTTTTATGTGTCAATTTGGTTAGACCATAATACTAAAATATTTGGTTAAACACCTTTCTGAATGTTGCTGTGAAGACATTTTTTAGATACGATTAACATTTAAATCAGTAGACTTTGAGTAAAGCAGACTGCCCTCCATTATGTGTGTGGGCCTCATGCAATCAATTGACGACCTTAAGAGAAAAAAGACTGACCTCCCCCAAAGAAAGGGTAATTCTCCCAACAGGCTGCCTTCGGGCTCAAGCTGCAGCATTATTTTTCCCCTGGGTCTCCAGCTTGATGACCTACCCTGCAGATTTTAGACTTGCCACAGTCCACAATCCTGTGAGCCAACTCCTTAAAATCTCTCTTTCTCCCCTTCCCCACCCCCACCCCCAACACACACAATTGGTTCTGTTTCTCTAAAGAACCCTGACTAATCTACATATTAAAGGCTCTGAAAAGTTATGCAATTAAAAAAAAAACAAACCTGTTTAACCTAGTATTTTCCCAGCTTATTTAATCACAAAACATTTTTCATAAAATACCTACTGTTAATAATATCTCAAAACACAGCTTGGAAAATGCCCTTTTCCAGACTATACCTTAGACAGAGGTTTATTTGCAGCCTGTGTCAGCAATATTGGAGTCTGAATCTGTCTAATTCAGAAACTAGTGGCACAAATATTGGAATAAAAGATTCTACGCATTGTTTTCTTCTGCACAGAGCATAGGCAGAAGAAAATAATTACATGTTATATGAACATGATGAAGTAAATGTCCATTGCAGAGCCAGTTTCCCACGTATTATGTCTTATGAAAAAGTATCTACCTATAAAATCAACCCTATAGTTGTGCTTTTGTAAAATGCTCTTCTTTGGGTATCTTAGTCTGTTTGGGCTGCTATAACAAAATACTACAAACTGGGTGACTTATAAGCAAAAATTTATTTCTCATGGTTCTGGCAGCTGGGAAGTCCAAGATCAAAGTGCTGAGAGATGTGGTGTCTGGTGAGGGCCCGTTTCCTGGTTCACACATGGTGACGTCTAGCTGTGTGTTCACATGGCGGAAGGGGCAAAGCAGCTCCCTTAGGTCCCTTTTATAAGGTCATCATTCCCATTCATGACAGCCCTACCCTCATGACCTAATCACCTCACCAAAGGCCTCACCTTCTAATCACATTATCTTGGGGTTTAGCATTTCAACAAATGAATTTGGAGGGGGACACAGCATACAGACCATCGCAATGGATATTCCTGGGGACTGGGATGTCACACTGAAACATCATCAGTTGCAGTGTAATTGGCACAAGACAATGTACAAACAGCAGGGAGGCTAACAAGAGAAGTCAACTTACCCCAGAGAGAAGTCTCCATGCCCTATGCCTCCTTTTTCTCTTGTGATCCCTTCTTGAGTGTGTTTCCAGAAATGTTCCTCACTGATCCCAATTCATCCCTTAGCTCTTATCCTAGAAGCCACTTTTTCCAAAACGCCTTTTCTGACTCTGCTCCTACCCCAAACCCATCAGGCAAGCCCATCAGGCAAGCCTTCCATCTGTCTTCCTTGTTACATGCATTCAAATCCCCTGCACCTCTGCACTGGACCTGGACATTGTTTATTACCAATGCCTGTCTTTCCTACAAGACTCTAAGGTCCACGTGAAGTCAGGGTTCAGAACATGATACCGCAATGTGTGGCAACTTGGCATACTGAGTATTTTAAGCTGAAGGAAATTGAGAAAGCTTCAAAAGCAGGAAGGTCTCTCTGACCTTCTCCACCCTCTTTCTCTTGAACTGGGCCATAGAAACTAGAATTCCACCTGCCCCTTCTTCTCTGAAGCGGACCTTAAAACCTAGGAAGCTCACTCTCTGATCTTCTTCCTCCTTTCTCCCCTGAAGATCCCCATGTGACAGATGTGTCACCCTATAACCAGAGAAAAGAAATGGCATGCAGGGATGCCAGGAGGAATCTGAACAAACAGGTCCTACTAAGTTCCCCCCAACCCCCAGTTTATTACCATAAGATCAGATCCTTTTGTCCTCCAATTATACTTCTGCATGACTGTCCATAAAAATAATTTCTTCTCAGTCTTTGGGTCTTATTTCTGAAGGCTCCCATGTCACATAAAACTTATATTAAATAAATGTGTTATGCATTTCTCTTATTAATGGGTGTCAGCCATGAACCTTGTGATGGGTGAGAAAAGAAGTTTCTCTTTCTCCCCTACACGGTCAGGGACTGTTCCCACTTTGCTCATCTCAGCAGCCATAGTGACTGGCCATCATGGAAACCCTCAGTGAAGTAACAAAAGGTTGAAGGGGCTTTCCTTCTCCCTAATTTTCCTCATGATTCCATAGAAATAATCCTTTCTTAGCTGGGTGCAGTGGCTCACGCCTGCAATCCCAGCACGTTGGGAGGCCAAGATGGGTGGATCACCTGACGTCAGGAGTTTGAGACCAGCCTGACGAACATGGAGAAATCCCCTCCCTACTAAGAAAAATACAAAATTAGCCAGGTGTGGTGGTGCATGCCTGTAATCCCAGCTACTTGGGAGGCTGAGTCAGGAGAATCACTTGAACCCAGGAGGCGGAGGTTGCAGTCAGCTGAGATTGCACCATTGCACTCCAGCCTGGACAACAAGAGTGAAACTCCATCTCAAAAAAAAAAAAAAAAAGAAGAAGAAGTAATCCCAAACCAGAGTGTTTTCCTGACCCCTCTTTTAAGATCTTCACCCTCTTAACCTTGAAAAAAACCTATGCCAAGAGTCCATGAAATGTTCACATATGCATGTGTATACACACACATCCCCACGCACGTCTGTACCTTCACTTACTCTTGCAAATAATAAAAACAAATAGGCGTGTGCCAACACAATAGTGTAAAGAGGGGATTCAAGGAGCAGTAGTTCTGGGGAGTGAGAGAGACTGAATCCAGTTACAGCTGTGTCATTATATGGGTCAAGTAAAATTGTGCAAAAGTTTTCAAATCTATAAAAAGAAAAGCAGATATTCAGTCTTGATTCTAGAAACCCTTCCCCTTCTCCCCTGCCATTTACGCAGCCTAGTGCTATATTGTGTACACTGAAAATGGGTTTCTCTTCCAAGAATTATCTCTGAAAACAAAAGCATTAAGAAAAATAATGTATTGGCAGGTAGACGGGCTTTCATTTCAGGAAATTTGGCGGAGTGTTGGAGGGCTGTGTTTGTGGAAGGCCTGAGGGTGAGGATGGCATGCAGTGAATGCCAGACCTGGTTACCCTCTCTCTCTGCACCTTCATATCCCTCTGCCTGATCTTCAGCTACTCACACACATTCCTCCTCTGCAGGGATCCTGGAGCTGGCATGGCCTCATCCTCTCCTTCCAGGCCCACATCCAGAGGCATAAAACCTGTGCCACCACCAGTAGTGTCATCTGAAGAGGTTGCCAGTGTGTCTATTCCCAGGCAAGATGCACCTATAGGGCTTTCCCAAGACCCCCTCTCCTTCGCTGTGTCCCCATCAAGTCTACAGGTGAGTCTTGATAACATAAGACTATAGATACATTGGCTCCTGGCATGAAGGAGTTAAGACCTGGAGAAGTCAGGGTATCTAAATGCCTTCCTTAAATGCCTCTCTGCCTTCTTCCAATCAAGTCCTTCTGTAGCTGATAGAGAGGTTCAAGCATGAGTAACCAACTCTAACAAAGAAATTCCTACCCACCCACCCACCTCTGCCCCATGCTACTTGAAACCAGGGAAATTCACAGATCAGAAAAGTTTAAATATGCCAAAAAAATTTTGCACATTTAAAAATACAGACTAATACAATACTCCTTGCTTTTTTGGTATAAGAAGTGGGTATTGAATCACAATAATGCCTCTTATTTATTTAGGAGACAAGGTCTCACTCTGTCACACAGGCTGGAGTGCAGTGGTGCAATCAGGCTCACTGTAGCCTCAAACTCCTAGGTGCAAGCGACTTCCAGGCTCAGCCTCATGATTAAACTAGGACTACAGGTGTGCACCACCATGCCTGGCTAATTTCCTCATTAATTTTTGTAGAGACAGGGGTCCCACTGAGTTGCCTAGGCTGGTCTCAAACTCCTGGCCTCAAGTGATCCTCCAGCCTTGGCCTTCCAAAAAGCTGGGATTACAGGCATGAACCACTGTGCCTGGCCACATCTCACTTTTAAAACTGTGGGGATTACTTTATAATTTCCCAGAAAGCCAGAGCATGCTTACACCTGCACCCATGCATATCAGGTCATTGATAGCCCTTAATTAGGAGTAGGGTACCTGCTAAACTAAATTGAAATTCATTGATATGATCCAGTTATCAAAAGACAGGATGCTTTTTATCAAAAAAGTCTCTCCAAAATACCCTATTCATGAGAACATTAATTGAAGGACACCTTTCCAGGCTCAGGGCCAAGAGGCCAAGTCACTCTACCCTACTTCACAGGGGCTGCATGAAGTTGTTCTGTATACGGTGCAACAAGTTGTTCTGTATATGGTTCACTTGGGACCTGGGGCATGCAGCACAATTTCTAAACACTGGAGGATAAAGGAAGGGCCACCAGAAGAAAACCCAAGTTGCAAAGACAAGCTTGGGCTTACTCATTAAAGATGTGTTCTTTGGCCTCTCGGAGGAGCTACTTGAAAGTCACCTCCACTTAAAATCCTTGGCTCAGGATCTTCTTACTGCTTTATCACCCAAGTCTACTAAAATCCTTAGAATAACTGATGATGAAAATCTCAGCCAATTTTTTTTCTTTTCCTGGGGTTAGGAGGGGGGAAAAAACCAATACGTGAGTCTATTTGAAATCATTTTATGAACTTTAATCATAGCAAATGTGTTTTTACGGTAGTCATAAAATCAACATTACCACATATACAAAGGACAAGACACCAGTTTGGCATACAAAAATACCATATATTAAAATTGGGTTCATTGGAAAACTCAGGACTGGCTAAGACACCATCTATAACAGAGAGAGCAAGCAAGAATGCTTTTAAGACATTCAGATTTATAAACAGCAGCTTGATATCCCCTTTACGAAGTCAATATTTGGCAACATTTGGACAATATTTTCTACACAGCCCAGCAGCTCATTTATCTGTAGGGCTATTTGGCCCTTAAAAAAAAAAAAAAAAAAAAAAAAAGCTCCTAAAATAAATAATCCACATAATTGTAAATGAAACACATCAAGGATTTGAGTTAATAGCCTCTGAGCAGCATTAATATAGCCATTAGACTGGAGTATTTGTTATCAAGAGGGCCAGAGAACCCACCGCTAAAGCCGTAGGGTGGGAGGAACCCTGGATTGCAGCTACATGGCTTATGTAGGGAGTTTGTAACAGCCCCAAGCTGAAACCAGCTTCTACACCCATGACTGTTGAGTGAGGCAAACACAAACAAGTGGTGAAATGAAAAAATATATGACGGCAACCAGGATATATAAACTGAAATATTCTTGAACTCATTTTCCCAACAGTACTGACATACTCAAGTCAGGATAGATCCACAGGAACAGGCCTTGCATTCCATGGTTAAGAGGATTCTAGAGTCTGTCTGCACTGACGTGGCAACCAACTCTAGAGCGGACTCTGAAATTGCCTAGTGTGCTAACAATCCAAACCACGAGCATAGGATAGGGTGATAGGGAAAATGGGGACTCCTTGGACCCTCATGAGCTGAGCACATTACCCCACATGTCTTCAACTGAAGCATCCTGAATTGAACTTGGTAGTCCGTACTGGAATGACAGATTGTGCTTGACTAAGTTGTCCTAGTTGTCCTGTGCTTCTTTCTCCAGCTGGTTTCTGCCATATCTGGCCTTCAGCTCCTATATGTCTTGTTTTGCAGCTATACTCTTCCTTTATTAAGTATTTTCTCCCTCTTTGGGTATATCTGCCTGTCCCTTCACATAGACCCAGTGCTTCATGTCTCCCTTTCCCTCTCCCTCTCCCTCTACTTAATAGTTGCATTGTCCCTCAACCCAGAAAATCCTATGAGGATTTGTAAATGAAATCCTCATAGGATTTTCCTAAAGCACAGTGTAAGGTACCAGCTACTGTGTTCTCCCACTATTTAACAGAGGTATCAACTAGATCCCCTTTAAGAGGCATTTGTCATCTCTATTTCCTTCTGCTTACAGCCCATGCTCTTCCACCACTATTATATCCAACTGTCTACTTCTGGATTTTCAAAAAGCAAATGTTGAATTAAAAATGGGCCATCCCTTTGGAAAACTCCTGTTAGAATAACCCAATAACTCACACCCCAAGGAGATTACAGAAGACTTTCACATGGGCTACTAGCCCTACATCCCATGGAAATAAATTTGGAGCAGTGTTCTAGAACAAAGACAGCTACAGGGAAGCACTCCCACAAAAACAAAGAAAATGCATGCTGTTGCAGACTTCAAGAGGTCCCTCAGTACTCTGCCCCAAATATTACTGATTGTCCCTAAAAATATCATAGTATGAATAATATAAAAAACCTTAGATTAGAATAATAAAATCGAGCTAATGAGATGAGTATTTCAAGCACCACTACATCATAGGTGAGATATATATAGTGGGATACCCCAGGCAGTGAATCCTGAAAAAAAAAAAAAAAAAAAAAGTCATTGGCTCGACTGAGCAAGAAAATTTGTGCAGAAAAATGGGAACCAAATTGCAGGGATTCGGGAATAATGGTGCACTCGCCCTAACCACTTGAGCAGATCCAAAAAATAAGGTATTTGGAAGAAATTAAATGCCCCACCTGCTTAAGTTCTTCAATGATTAATGGCTTTCCAATAAAATGTATACAGTAGAACCTACCTCTTCATATATTTGAAAAGTTTCAAGTGTTTATATAGACACTCCCAAAGGTAGTTAGTTTGACATAATGTATGCAGCCCATAGCAACAGTTAAGAAATTAGCATCTAATCCAATATTGTATAACTCACAAATTGGAAAACATGACTAATAACAGTTTTTTACTGAATTTTAACTCCAATTACAGCTAAATCGTGGTGTGTGTGTGTGTGTGTGTGTAGTAAGTCAGTTGTGTCAGAAAAATCAATGGCTTGAATTTCCACTTATCTTTTAGAAGTGTTTCATGTTGGCTGGGTGCAGTGGCCCATGCCTGTAATCCCAGCACTTTGGGAGGCCGAGGCGGGTGGATCGCCTGAAGTCAGAAGTTGGAGACCAGCCTGACCAACATGGAGAAACCCCGTCTCTACTTTAAAAAATACAAAATTAGCTGGGCATGGAGGCGCATGCCTATAATCCCAGCTACTCAGGAGGCTGAGGCAGGAGAATAGCTTGAACCTGGGAGGCGGAGGTTGCAGTGAGCTGAGATCATGCCATTGCACTCTGGCCTGGGCACCAAGAGCAAAACTCCATCTCATAAATAAATAAATAAATAAATAAGTGTCTCATGTTGAACAAAATCCAGCAACTGAACATCGTTGCTTTTTAAATAGACTACTACTTTCAAAACAGCTACTGAATTATCTCGACTATCTTATTATTCTCAATAGTTTCTGTTTTGGTAAGAATTACCTTGTAGGTGACAATTTACTGAGAATGATGGAAATGTCAAGGAACAGCTTCTCTATCTAAGTCAGGGATGACAGACTGACTACCTGACACTTCTTATGTGGAAACAAAATGCTGACTGGTGGGCAGCATCACTTTTCTGAGAAAAGATAGAAATTGAAGTCTTTTGTGTATCACTCCTTTTGCACCGATAACTTTTGAACTTCTATCTTCCTATTAAGGCTAAAGAAAGATTAGTATCTTGGCAAAAAAAAAAAAATTAAATGATTTTTAAAGGCAAGCTAAGAAGGAAAGTCTTGCACATTGATGAGTTCTAGAAAAAAAAAATCAACCCATTTCTGCTAAAATGAAGTAAATGTATTTTGTATATATTCCATTTGGAAAACAATGAAAAGCAGACTAACCAATTTTGAAACAACATAAGTTTTCAAATAAAGGGATGGGAACTCTTAAAATCAAAATCTAGACTGGAATAAATACCAGATTATCAGTAAGAATCTGGTCTTTATAGGAAATATATCTCAAACTGAATTTTCTGCTTCCTTTTATTTAGCTAAAAAGTAATTATTGTAGCTTTAGTAAACTTCAAGTCTTTAAATTTCATGGGCAGTATTTTTTACTGTTAAAAAAAGTGCTTTTGTGCAAAGCTTCAAATCTTCAACTCTTTCAGGGATAACTGAAATTTTTGCTTAAAAAAGAAAGACACTAAAACAATGTCAAATCTCATTCTAAAAATACTACCTACATTTTAGTTTGGCATCTGAAAAATGATGCCCACATATGCCCACACCAAATACAACGACAAGCTGGCCAACTTCAAGGGCAAACAAAACCAGTCTGAACACTGCAAAACATGCTTGCTCTTATATTTGCACCTTACTAATACAGCAATGAAGTTTGGATAGGATACTGGAAGTGAACAGGGATTTCATTAGGCTTTTTTTTTCCTGTAACATTTACTTTTTGGCCACAAGACCCTAGACACAATTTCACAGTACAGATCATGCATAGCTTGCAAGTCAAACGTTTTACAGGTACTGTCTAACTACTATTTTTGGACAATAGGTTAACATGCAGCTAATGATCCCAGAAAAGGGGCTTAATAAAGCATTCTTTAAGCTTCACTGATCATTCCTTGGCCTAAAATCTATAAGCAACAGTTCCAAAGGGCAACAATGAATTTTTACTGTCATACTTGAGATCACATACTTTTTAAGCCCAGAAAGGAATGTTTTGCCTTTTGCCAACTGCATGTCACTAGCCCACAAACTCTCACCTTAGCCTCACTGTTACTCCATTAATACCTTGATGCTGGATCCCCAAGCGCTATCACCCAGAACTGCATCGTTCAATATGGCAGCCACTAGACACATAGGGCTATTTAAATTTAAGCTAATTAAAATTAAATAAAATTTGAAATCCAGTTCTTCCCTTGTAGTAACCCCATTTTAACTGCCTAAAAGTCAATGTGCCTGGTGGCTACCGTACCAGACGGCACAGGTTTTCGAGCATTTCCATCATCACAGAAAGCCCTATTGAACAGTGCCAATCTAGAAGATCTCACAGGTTATACCATCACATGGTTTAACCTTCAAGGGACCCAATCTGTAAGCCATGCAAAAAATTAAACTTAATTCTATTTTTAAAGAAAACATCTTAGAGCTTTCTGATCATTAAGTATGACTGGAACCAAAAACCAAGTTGCCTTTTCATCACAACTTATGCCCCAAGTCATTATACAAAATTTTTCCAAAGACAATGCTTCTTAGTAGCATTCTTGGCTCTACTTAACATATTAAGCATTCTCTTCCTTATTTCAAGATCATTAATAAAGATGAAAATTCATGCTTCTTATAGTTTACTATTTATACAACACTCACTGTCCTTTACATACAAGTGGGGTGGGAGGTTTGGACACCAATGTTTTACAATTTTAAAAATTCAAACCACATGGTTTGATAGTTGTCTTTCAACATCTATACTCATCCCTAAGTCAACCCTCCTTTCATTTTCCCAGAGAGGTAGATGCTAACTAAAATGAGTACATAAACCTACAAAAAAAATTCTTTAAAGCAATAGTTGACTCAGTAAAGGGTATTCATCAACCCTAGAAAGGATCATAGCCAGATAGAGATATAGACAGACCTAGGATGGAGCAAGAAGACACTGCAGTGCGAAGTTCATATCCCCCCCTTTCTGCAGAATTACAAAACGGACTCATCTACAAAATGAAGCCACCGGAGGCTGCTTTCAGCTCTTTCTGTGCTTTCCAGTTGTGACTTTTCATTAATGTGCAAGTATGAATCCTGGCCTCTTGTGTCAGTGGACTTTGGTCACATGGGTAGATGTGTTTGTTAAGGGTCATTGGTAAATGCCAGAAGAGGCCAGAGCAATGGGATGCCAAGCAACATTAAAACATCATTAAGCCTATAAAATTCTATCTGGGAGACTGAGATTCTCTCTCTCTCTCTCTCTCTCACACACACACACACACACACACACACACACACACACATACACAAGAATGCACACCCCAACAAACAGGTACACAAATAACTGCAAGCAGATCCATTTAAACAATTTAAACAATGTTTCTTAGGTCAGTAAGACTCACAAAAAAAATCTGATTTTGGTTGTTGTTGTTAAATTTAAGGTCAAGAATCTACCATACAGCCGATTAATTTTGCACTGCTTAATGGCAACTCTAGCATGGGATTGTTTTTAAGTAAAAGTTCTATGGACATTTTTACTCTACAGATTTGCACTAAGAAACACAGGACACTATCATCACACACATTAGTGTCTATATCTAACCTACTTTAACAAGTAGAACTCTATCACGTACTATACTACAGGGTCAGTCATTTCACACTGTACAGAAACATATGCAGATATCACTCACAAAATTAATCTGAATATGGCATAGCTTAAAATTGCAAGGGCAAAGTCTATTCGAAATGTAGCATTCTTAATGCAACACTTCTGTGGTGTGTGTGTGTGTGTATTTTCCTCCAAGAGAAATAGAAATTAGGTCAGACATGCATTATGGCAGCCTGGGAGAGTTTGAGAAATTGACACTAACCCAACAGTATATTATGTTATGTAATAGAGGATAGTATTCAGCTAATATGACACCTAAATTATTAATACCAAATAAATCCTAGATTATTTGTTGTATAATGCCCAAGAGCTTACACAATAAAATGGCATTTTAACCTAATTTCTATTTTGAGCTTTCAAATACATTTCCTAAAGGTTTTATGATCAATTTGAAAAATCAGAGCTCACAATTTTATGTTGAATTCTCATGCCAATTAGCAGTATTAGCTTTGTATTCTAGCCATTATATTTTTGTTTTATTTCACATTAATTCCATCACTTTTATATGCATATTTTGTGCTGCTTGAAGATAACAGACAGCATGTAAATAAATTAAATTGTCTTGACCTCACAGGGCTATTTTCTAGCCTTGCTTTTTGGAATTAGCCCTGCTTGTCTTTCCTTCACTTCCCCCCACCCTCCTCACCATTTTCAGGGATTCAGTGGAACATAAAAACAGTTATATTTATAAGTGGAGTCCTTGTCACATACCACTTGCTTCATGAATTCCATAAAAGAAGTTAGATGAGAGCTGTAAAGCTCACAGCTATTTCTGAATGCACATGCACCCAGGGATAGGAATTTATCACGTACTTGTAGCAGATCTTTCTTCATGAGCATCTATAGATCATTACACATTTAAGAACATTTGACAGTTTATGAGGAACTGGTCCACTTATATTGGGAATTTGAGCTGTTAGTTTACCTTGCCACCTTTCTTGGTAAAAACGTGTTAAAATACAGGAGATCTTCTCTCATATCAACAAGAGGAAACAGGAATTCTAACTGGCTTAACTCTTGTGGAAGAGCATCTTTCAAAAAAGAATCACAGGCCATTTATTAAAATGCCCGCCTGGGTTGACCATCAGTCACAACACTCATGGCCAGTGCAAGACTCCAAAACCAGGAGAAAAGACACTCTTCTGTTACTCTCCATTTGCCTCTTACAAAATGCAGGACTTAAATACACAGAAGAGGAGCGAGTGTTGCAGGTGACGTGTAGGAGACCACTCGCTGGGTCAAGATGTCCAAGAAGTGGCCACCGCTTCAGAGACTTGACTCATTCATGCCCAATGAAGTCTTCATCCCAGGATTCTTCAGCAAAGACTCAAACACCTGAGGTAAATCAAATTAGACACACACACATACACACACAAATACACAATATTTACATTTGAAATTCTTATTTTGTGAGATGGCTTGAGGAAAATCGGCATACAGGTTTTCCCATGGGATTAGACATTTCTCATGATTTCTCGGTTTATTGCTCCCCTGTTGAGCTTTCAGTTCCATAAACACGTAGCAAGCTCTAATTACAAGTGAAGAAAATGAAGGTTCATGACAAAACACAACACATTGGAGACACTTGTTCAAATATTTCCTCCAAATAAAATGACTGTCCATTTTGACTTATTTTGTTTTGGTGCCATTCAAAATGTATTAAAAGCCTTAGCAACTAAATGAAGACTGGGTTTCAATAAAAAGAAAAAAAAAATAAAGAAGCCAGCAGTGCATGTCTTCACTGAATTTTTACACGGATTCGCAGGTTTAATTCTACTTGTCTACAGAGCATCTTTGTTTGAATCTACCGCATTTAGAGAAGGTCACATTGTACGCACTTGTACAGTTTAACGTCTAAGTAGAATATGTCTATCTTGTAACATGATTTTGAAAAATCATAAATTACAGTCCATTGAATACATGATTATGAGGATGCATGCAATCATCTTCCAAGCTGTTGCCATCAACACTCAGAACAATTCACCTGGTATCTTGTTGAGACCGCACCTTCTGCCCTTTGTGTCTGTCTTGGGGTAATCAAGAGGCAACCCAGAGGCCAGCGCTCAGCACCAAATGGTCAGTGTTGCCCCCCATCTTCTCACTGGGATCTCATCATCAACCTGCTCAACCCCTAAGTTGGCACCCACAAGAGACTTCCCTGCAGCCCTCTTCAGCCACAGGATATCACAGTGAAGCGCTTAGAAATGCAAGACATGTTGTGAAGCACGATGCCGAGGAGGAAGACCAAGACGCAAGCCACCAAGATGACAGTGCACACCCCCGACCAGGTGGAGCTTTTCACCACGCCCCGCCTGTCCTGCTCCTCCTCCACCGCCTCCTGGGGAGCCCCACCTTGCAGAGGCTGCTGTTCAGCAGGGATGGTCACCACGGTGACGGACTTCTGCTGGCTCCCGGGCAGCAGGCGGCAGCCCATGTCTCCGGGCAGCAGCGCACGCTCCTTGGAGATGGGCAGGGGCAGCATGTAGCACCCATTGCTGGGAAGTTTGATGAAGACCGGGGTGTGTTCGGAAGTGTGTGGAATGGCGATGACAGCCAGGACCTCCGGGTCGTCCGGGAGCTGCGACACGGAGAAGCCGGGAGGCAGCTTGGTGACACCGCGGCACCAGGGGCACCGCACATCCTTCTGGCTGGTCCTCATCTGCTGCAGGCACACTGAACAGCAGGTGTGCTTGCAGTCCAGCAACTTGGGCCTGCGCCGGGGGCTGTAGTAATTGAAACAGATCTGACATTCCAGCAGAGAGTCCTGGGACAGCGTCTCCATGGTGGACCGTGAGCAGGAAGGGCAAGGCCAAGGTGAAGGGGAAGGAGCTGCTTCTCAGAGGCCACCGCCCTGTGTCTTTGCAGTGCAGGTAATGGCAAGCTCACAGGCATCCAGTACTCACAGGTGTGTTCATTTCTGAGAGAGACAAATAATGCAAACAATCTTAATTATTTCAAAGAAGTTGAGATGTCAACATATCTAATGGATTTATACCATTGCTCAAAAGTCTTGACACTGGGCCAAAAGCCTAAAAATTTACCAGTCTTGAGACTACAGGATTCCCATAACGCCCAGTGAAAGGCGAATGAAAGTTGTCTCAGAGAGCATGTCATGGCAAATACTTAGTTCATTTCTAAAAAAATGAACAACTCCAATAGTTGTAGACGATGCATCTGTATTTCATAAAGAGGGCGTCTTTTGTTTCTGTTTTGTACATTTAAGCAAGCTCTGGGTCATCCTTCTAAAATATACTAGAGAAACTTTCCTGCTTCCAATAAGTTCATAGTATTTCCTAGAAGTAAATTTCTCTCCTTAGATCCTCTGACCTTTTTTCCTGACTCTACTTACCCACTTGTAAGTCTTAATTGCAAGATTTAGGCAACTTCACAAACCTAGGTACTTCCTATAACTAACTCGCTCAGTTTACATATATGGGTTAGGATTGTTCCTCTTCACAGAGAAGTAAAGTGACACTGCAGAAGAAGCACACGAAGGCATCTTTCATCTTTCCCAACAAATCATTTGAAGAGAACAAAACAAAAAACCCCAAACAGCAACAAAACCAAAAGCAGCAGTGAAGCTTAAGGCAGTGTGGATCACAAAGGCACACTCATCACAAAGGCATCACTGACATTTTCCAGTCAGTTCTTTTTGTTTCATTACTACTTAGGCTTGTACCAAGTAACACAACTAAAAGCAAGTACGATTGACCCATGAACAACACAGGTTTGAACCACATGGATCCACTTAAGTACGAATTTTTTGAATAGATACGGTCAGCCCTTTCTATGAGTGGGTTCTGCATCTGCGACCAAATGACATCAAAAATACAGCGTTCTCAGGATGCAAAGCCCCTGTATACCGAGGGCCATCTTTTCATATTCTTGGGTTTTATAGCACCAACTGTGGGCCTTGAGTATTCACAGGTTTTGGTATACATGGGGGTCCTGGAACCAATGCCCTCAGATAGAGAGATGACTGAACCATTAATTCACTAATTGAAATCAAATATTCTATAGTTAAAGGTTGACAGGGAAGTCTGGCAAGCATTCCTCATTGTAAAAAAAAAAAAAAAGTGTTAGCATCCTGGTATGGAGGGGAGGCAGAGAAACTTAGTTCAACTTCACTGAAGTTTGGGAATGTCCTCTAACGCTCCACTGGCATTTCAGTAAGGGCTGCCTGACTCAGTTTCCCATTGAAAGCATCCAAATTATGTGTCCCTGGATGGAGCCATGATGACTCTAGAAAGAATTACTCAACCACTATTGCAGAAAAAATTGCTAGTCCTAGAACCCCACCAACACCTAGAGATGGGAGCTATAACACTCCTTCACATTTGTCTTAAAAGTGACCCTTCTTTTTCCTTTCCAATTTCCTTTGTGAAATTAAGAAAGCACTCCCCCATCATGATATATAATGTGTTAACAATCAAAATTAAGAATGCACCAAAAACCAACCTGGCCGGCGTGGGGGCTCACACCTGCAATCCCAGCACTTTGGGAGGCCGAGGAGGGGGAATCGTTTGAGCTCAGGAGTTTGAGACCAGCCTGGGCAACATGGTGAAACCCTATCTCTACAAAAAATACAAAAACTAGCCAGGCATGGTGGCAAGCACCTCTAGTCCCGGCTACTCAGTAGGCTGAGGTGGGAGGACCACCTGAGCCTGGGAGGTTGAGGCTGCAGTGAGCCGTGTTTGCACCACTGCACTCCAGCCTGGATGACAGAATGAGACCCTGTCTCAAATTAAAAAAAAAACAAAAAACAAAAAACAAGAAAAAGCAAACCAGTTCAAAGACAAAAATAACCACTGTTAAAAACTAGTAACAATGAAAAGATCAACATACTTTAAAATACATTAGCTATATTAGAAACACTTAAGTTACTGAAAGTGAAATACAGTAATGTAGCATTCAGGAAGTTCATATCAGGATCAACTACATAGCTATCCACTAATTCAAAAAATATTTATGGAATATCTATTATGCACAAAGCACAAAGCTAAATACTGTAGGATATAAATCAGACCCAGATTCTACCCGAAAACAACTTAAACCTAGGTAAGAAGGAACACACGAATATATTTTTTCTTTCATTCATTTATTCATTCAAATTTTCATTGCATATCTACTATGTGTCAAGCGTGATGTTCCTTTTTGTCCCTTGTAACTAAGATCTTGTCATTGCCCATAAGAAAGTCCTGGCCTAGAGATGGGAGCGCTAAGTACTTAGACAATTGTAACGTAAATACAAGGTACCCTAAGGGAGCCGAAGGAATCAGGGGGAATTTAGTGAAAAATCTGGATTATCGAATTAGACACAAAAAATCAGGGGACAGGCTATTTTCAGGTTATGGAATCAGCATGAGCAAAGGAAAGAAGGTAAGCGATTACAGAATTATTTTCTATTCTACCTGGGACACTGGCTAGAGGATTGTTTCTAATACTAGAGCAACTTACAGAAGTCTTCTCTAAGAGTTTGATCGTTTTAGCCCTTACAGTCTCTGATACAGATGTCTTTTAAAGAAATAAAACTCTCAGAGAACCTGCAAGCACTCTCCCCAGACCCAACCAGGGATAGCAGATCCCACAGGGAGGGGAGAAATGAGCTTAGTCAGGCACAGGCCAGAGACTGTGGACCGTGGGCAGCCCCCAGTGCCAGGCCAAGGATTCAGGAGTTTAGAGTGAGCAATGGGAAAACACCAGAAAGGTTAAGAGTAGCAGAACAATTCATTCAAGGGTAGACTGGAAAGACCTATTGGGAGGCTATTACATTAGGCAAGAGTTAAATGAGTAGCTGAAGTGAATAGTGATGATTAGGACAGAATGATGAGATGTGAGAAGAGGTTCACAGAATTCCAGCAGGATCTTGCAGGGTATTGCAATGAGGTTGTACAGTGAAAGAAGCCAAAAATGAAGCCTTTAGAGGAAGGTAATATCATTATGAGAAATAGGGATCATGAAGAGAAATACAATGAGTTCTGTTCAGGCCATATTCCACTGGAGGTGCTGGGGAAGGTATTTAAGTTATTTAGGAAGATATTAAAGAGTCAAAGAGAAGGTCAGGCACAGTGGCTCACGCCTGTAATCTCAGCACTTTGGGAGGCCAAGGCAGGTGGATCACTTGAGGCCAGGAGTTTGAGACCAGCCTAGTCAACATAACGAGACTCTGTCTCTACTAAAAATAAAAAAATTAGCTGGGTGTGGTGGTGGACACCTGTAATCCCAGCTACTCAGGAGGCTGAGGCAGGATAATCACTTAAACCCGGGAGGCGGAGATTGCAGTGAGGCAACATCGCACCACTGCACTCCAGCCTGAATGACAGAGTGGGACACTATCTCAAAAAAAAAAAAAAAAAAAAAGAATCCGGCCGGGCATGGTGGCTCACGCCTGTAATCCTAGCACTTTGGGAGGCTGAGGCAGGCGGATCACGAGGTCAGGAGATCGAGACCATCCTGGCTAATATGGTGAAACCCCGTCTCTACTAAAAATACAAAAAATTAGCCAGGCATGGTGGCGGACGCCTGTAGTCCCAGCTACTCGGGAGGCTGAGGCAGGAGAATGGTGTGAACCCAGGGGGCGGAGCTTGCAATGAGCAGAGATCGCACCACTGCACTCCAGCCTGGGTGACAGAGAGAGACTCCGTCTCACCAAAAAAAAAAAAAAAAAAAAAAAAAAAAGAGTAGGATAAAATTCTTCTATAATTTTATATCCAAGGTAATACATTTTTTTTTCTTAAAACAAAACAAAATACAGGGTTCGTTGGTGAATCCTGCTCTATCTGTCTCCAGGTGAAAGTGCACAGACAGCAATCAGGTGAGACTATGATTGACTCTACTGAGATGTAGCTGTGCCTGCGGGGAAGGATTGCTCACGTTGAGCTACGGGTGGGTAGGAACAATAAAATTGAGGCAGGGTACAAAATTTTACAGACTCCTGCAATTTTATGAATTTGGAGAGACTTTTCCTTAACAGGAAAACCCTCAATTGCAAATGAGGCTGGGGACAAAAATGTTTCATGACATCATATCAAAACAGTGACCACCGATTTATGTATAAACCTTCTTTCTTTCCATACTATTTACCTTAACTTCTACATCACAATGTGGGAAGTAGCTCAGCAGAGTGGGAAGACTGGAGGTTTGGGACTCAAAGAACCTTGGGCTCAAAGCCTAGCTCTGTCACTAACCAGCTGTGATACCAGGCCAAAGTCATTTACCTTCTCTGAGCCTGCTTTCTCCCTGGCCAAGCAGGGATGATGGAGTTGTGGCTGAAGGTCAAGTGAGCTCATGGGATCCACATACTTCCACACAGTGAAAGGTTCAGAGAGGACAGTGCTTGTTCTCCACTTCCTCTCCACTCAGTCTAGTGCTCTGCACTGAGGCACATATCTGCCCAGAGGCACTTCCTGGCTATCAAAGAGCTGCCACTTGGAACAGCTTGGGAGGAGGCATGCAAGTGTTCTTCCTGGCCCTGCCCCAAGACCTGCGTACCATCATTGGTCAACAAAACCAATATGCAATTTTATTCATGAATTTATGTTCCAAGTAATGTTCCCTTAATTTGTGTTAAGCTCCCTTAAAATTAGATTATCCTATTCCATTTCCAACTCTATCCAAGTAAGTTCTAGGCCTTACAAGCCATTTTGACAGCAGCCTCTCTGATTTATGCACTGATTTGTTCTACATGAAGCCAGCCTGTACTGCATTCCAGTTTATTTTCTGGAGCGTAATTAGTAATGATGATGATTCGTTAGGTAAAGAGAAGGAAATTTATGAGGCTATGGAGTGAAGCTAATGATGGATCATTCTTTCCCCCTTTCATCATGAAGTCTAAAGATGTGCATCAACTATAGAAGAAAGAATGGAAACAAAGTCCATGTAGACCAGAAAAGAAATTCAGAGTTCCCTGTCAAGCGTGTTATAATAAACACATATCAGTGATTACTTTAGAGCAAGGGTCTCCAACCCCCAGGCCACCAACCAGTACCAGTCTACAACCTGTAAGGAACCAGGCTACATAGCAGAAGGTCAGCAGCTGGTGACAGACAATTACCGCCTGAGCTCCACCTCCCGTCAGATCAGCGATGGCATTAGATTCTCATAGGAGCACAAACCCTACTGTGAACTTCACATGCAAGGGATCTAGACTGCACACTCTTTATGAGGATCTAACTAATGCCTGATGATCTGAGGTGGAACAGTTTCATCCTGAAACCATCGGTCCCTACCCATCCGTCCTGTGGAAAAATTGTCTTCCACAAAACCCATCCCTGGTGCCAAAAATGTTGGGGACTGCTGCTTCAGAGACCTGTTTGGCCTTGTTTTCCTTACAGGAAGAGCAAGATGTGATACTCCAATAAAATACTCATTAAGATTTAAAGGGAAAGAGTACTTCAGTAGAATGCATAAGAACAAGTATATAAGAAAATATATGAGAACAATTTTTAAATGTCACCACAATTTATTTGAGAAAAACTTAAAGTCAAGATCAAAGTGAAAAACAGACCACAAAGAGAAGAACAGTGGCTCGGGGAGGGCATTCTTAAAAAATAGATGGCTCCCAAGATAGAACTTATTTCAAACATAACCTCATAAAACAGTACATAGTTACATAAATAATATTAATTGAACAATATATAGATAAACAAAAGGGGTCTTTGTGTTGTTGTTGCTGTTGTTATTTTGAGGCCCTAGATATTTTGTGCTTTTGAAAGTCCTTTACAATAACAATTTACTTTCACAAAATAAAATTTCTTTTTAAAAACTATACATAATTTTATGCATCTTTTGAAAAGGTACAGGTGTGACAAAGTGCGCGCATTCATTTGGTAGGTGGTAAAATAGCAAAGATCTCCAACATTGAATTTTTATAATCCCAGTTGCTTTTAGAAGTCTAGGCATATGAGCCCAAGGATAAAAAAAGCCAGTGAAGTAGATAATCCAGATAGTTTTACTCTGCTTACACTCTTAAGAATCTTCATACATTCTGTGACAGTGGGGTTAATTATGAAGTCTCTCTGTGGAGTTGTGGCCTGAGCTGATATTGATTACATCGGGCTGACCTTGAAGTGTTCCATTTAATAGTCTCTATGAGGACCTTAAATTCAATGGTTGTGTTGAGAAAAAAACTCAAATGCAGAGATTAAACTAGGCACTACATTGCTTTTCTTTTCCTATTGAAATAGCACATCTTTCTGATACAGGCCATCTACTTAAATCTTCAACAAAATATAAATATTTGAAATGGGATTAAACAAAATAATCACAATTCCATTTCATCTGGTATTTCAGCTGGCTTGCCAGCCACTTAGTTATATTGGATCTTAGCAAACACTCCAATTAGTGGCAAGAATGGGAATGCCCGGTGACAGATGTGTCATTGACTTTTTGTCCTCTGGTAGCAAAGAGCAATCCTTCCAGGACACAACTGCTGCATACATGCGTAGTCCAATTGACGTAACTACAGTCATTGTTTTAATGGAGCAGGACTTTGACAAACCTCAACTGAGAATTCCATTGGCTCGAGCTCTAATATTTGCACAGTTTCCTCCTATGAGCATCCTGGTTTGCTGTATTTGATGAAGCAAAGAATCCAGAAAGTGAAAATTGTCGTTTAAACATGTTTTTTGTTTTTTTGAGATGGACTCTCACTCACCCAGGCTGGAATGCAGTGGTGCAATCTTGGCTCACCGCAACCTCCGCTTCTTGGGTCCAGGCTATTCTCCTGCCTCAGCCTCCTGAGTAGCTGGGATTACAGGTGTGCACCACCACACCCAGCTAATTTTTTTTGTATTTTTAGTAGAGATAGGGTTTCGCCATATTGGCCAGGCTGGTCTCGAACTCCTGACTTCAACTGATCTGCCCGTCTCAGCCTCTCAAAGTGCTGGGATCACAGGCGTGAGCCACCACGCCCAGCCTTTTGGTTATTTAAGATGTTTACATATTTAAACAGGGAATAGGGCAGGCGATGCTGACAGTGCTGGAGGCCAACTGGCCCAGGTGGCAGAGGCAGGCAGGATGGGACAGAGAGAATAATACTGGTTGAACCAGACAAAAGCAGCACACCATCCAGAAGGCCAAGGTCACCCCAGGGACTCACCACACAACTGAAGGCCTGGCCCTGCCAGCACAGCCCACTAGGTCAACTGTGGGCCCAATTGGCCTGGCTGCAGCCTAGGTGCTGTCCCTGTCTGGATGTGCCGTGGAGCCAAGGGCATCCTGTGCCAGGGGACTCTGCTAGGGCATGTGCCAATTCTGTCGCTACAAAACTCAACTAACCAAGCACCATGGTCACCAGAGAGGTATTTACCCAGCCCCAGGTGCATTTTGTTTATGTCAAATTAACAAACAATGAATGAATTTGACCCCTCCATGGTTTGATGATGCATATTTAAAAATCAAAGTATATTGGAATCTAGACATTTTTAGGAATTAAAGCCACATGTCAGTATTGCAGTGAGTGATGATAACTACTGGTTTTTGTTTGTATATCTGCCAATCATTACTATTAGGAATCAGGAGATAAGGATTCTAGCTCTTATTCTGTCGTTACATAGATAGGTTACCTTAAGCAAATAACCTCTAGATGAGCCTCCTATTTCCTCCCCTGACAAATGAGGACTCTGGATTAGATGGTCCCCTAAAGCACCTTCTAGTAAAAATATTCTATGACCTAAATAATTGCTGAAAACACTGCTGGGTTTCCAACCGCATGGCAGTACTGCCAGGCCACTTATTCTATGCTTCTCATCCCTGACAGATCATTTACAAATATTATCTGTTAGTGATCTGGCAAGAATGCGCATTTATGTGAGATGGGGGAGTGGGCATATAAACTACTTAGAAATTTCTCCCTTGATGCCTTCAGCTTAATGAGTGCATCTAGCTAGAGCCCATATCCTAACAGAAAATGCTACAACTTCAATTTTTTAGCAACTATCAAAAGAAAAACTCCTTCAAGTCTGATCAGTAGCCTTCCCAGATGAAGAAAGATATTCCTATTACCCAAACTTGTTACCAGATGAAGGGGGTCCCAACAACGCTACCTTGAAAAGAAGCTGCACAGTTTTCTGGCTTGTGCAGGAAGCCAAGGTTAGCGCTGGCATTCATCAAACACATGGCTTTATCTTCATTTGCTCTAATCACTCAGTGACAGTCAAGAAAAAGTTGCTCATGGTCATTAAAGCAGGAAAGAGCTATAAAAGACTGTCAGGAGATCCCCAGGCTCCCTGGAAAGAGGGAGTGATAAAAGATGCTGACAGATAGACAGACAGGCAGGCAGGTAGAGCAAATAAAGATGATCAATTACCCTGACTGCCAGAATTCTGAATAGAGTTGAAATAACTGACAAATCAAGCACACAGGGAAAGCCAAAGAGATGAAAAAACAAAAATCCTACTAAGTCTTACCAGCTGCTGAACAGCTACAAAGAACATAGCAGTGAGTAAGCAGATATTTATTGTGAACTCACCTTGTGTACTATTCAAGGAACCGGCGTTGCCATGGTAAACAAGAGTCCTACCCTCAAGGAGCCTGGATGTACAACCAGAAGAAAAGAACCATATAAAGAGAACCATGAGAAAGAGAGAAGGGTAGACAGAGCACTGGAAGGAGACTCTTCTTCAACTGAGCATGTATGTCCAATTGATCATATATATATAGGGATTAAACAGAACCTTTAAACAGAACTATCATTGCCTGTCAGAGCCAGAAAGGACATTTGGAATTTAAGGAGCCTACAAGCTGGCCCACTGTTCTTTCCACTCCAGAGATACTGGAGAGAGAAGAAAACTCAGGGGAAGGACAGTGGCATTTCCTCTATTTGATTAAACATCACAACTGACCCTGTCAGCATCATACAGGGAGACTCCAACCACAAACCTCAAGAGATGCAAGATATTAAGATGGTAACTTAAGGTCTGGAGGCAGCTGCAGACCAGGGAAGCATGCAGTCATCACTGGAGGTGAAGGGAGGGTTTGAGGGCTGAGAGTTGTGCCTTAGGGACTGCAAGGGCCTCCAAGTAGCCAGGCTCCCTTGGAGAGCAAAGGTCTCTCTCTGCTATAGCCCTCCAGTGCCCCTACTCTTCATGTCCAATATCTACAGGACCCCCAAAGGCCCAAAGTTCCCATGTACAAATTTACATTTTAATAAAATGAACTACACATGTTCCCTACTCCTAATTTTTTTTTTACTAACCACAAATTCCAGAACAAATTGAAACCTTAAGTCAATTTGTTGGCTTTTTAAAATATTTTCCCATTATATTTTATCTATGTCAGGGACCCACAACCTTTTCCCAGAAAGGGGCAGGTAGTATATCCAGCTTCTAGGCTTTGCGGATCCTACAGTCTCTTTCACAGATACTCAACTCTGCCATCAAAATGTGAAAGCAGTCATAGTATCTCAAGGAATGAGCAAGGCTATGTTCTGTGGGGACCCACTGGAAACCCCAGAGTTGGTATAAAGACTATTTTAAGCTGGAGGCATTTGAGACTCAATAGATGCAGAAAGAAGACTTGTGGGGCATCCCTTACCTGACCAAAAGCAGAAACTTCTCAGAAATGAGAACTGCCATAAATACCTTCTTTAGAGCAGGTCTATTTCCAGGAGAGAAACAAAGAGAAACCCACCATAAATCCCCTCTTCAGGGTAGTTTCATGGCCACAAAGAAGACAGAAAGACCACTCACACATGCAAACACACATCTTATCACAAAAACATTCTTATCTCCCGTTTGAACTCCTAAAAACCCATTTGTCTTTCCTAAAGATACCTATTTGTTCTTCCCATACAGGCCTTTCTCACCTTCCTCCCTTTCCCCTACTAAGTTAGGTATGTAATCCTTACATTCATCTGGGCACATGTTGTATGCATATATAAACTTTTTTTCCTCTTTACATGTTTTTGGTTACTTTCATTTGCACGTCCATGATACTGAACCTAAGGAAGAACTTTCCCTCCGCAACAGTTCTAATAAAACTGCATTTACAAAAACAGGCTATTATTTGTTGACCTCAGATCTACATCATTTTCCATTAGCCCTTCCCTGATTCTCTTAAATTTAGTATATTACTCTGGAGACACCTACCTCGAAATCAGCTTGTTGCTCTAACAGTGGTTACCTTACCTGAGTTTTCTGTCAAGCTCCAGAATGCAAACTGTTTTCAAAATTATTGTGCATTCTATTTTGGAGATAATAAGGCTTACAGATGCAACTTTGTTTTTAAATAACTGTTTCCAGACAACCAGAAAGAGCTGAGCAAAGAACATAAACAATGGCCATCATTTACCATTATTGAGAACATACAGGAAGGGGTCAAATCTTTCTTCATTCTTTGAAATATGGATCTATTATTTCAACAATATGGGCAATGGCACCAAAAGTCATAATGATAGCTCCGGATTAAAGGTAATTCCTTATTTGATGAAACTTCACAAAGACATGATGATAAATTCCTCCTTATAGTCTGAACTTTGGCCATAATTCCCGTGTTCCTTTGCATAGCTATAGCAGGCCACAAAGTAGCTGAATAAATTTCGATTTGGCCAGGTTAATCTCACTCTACACAGCAGTATCATACGGTGGGTCACCTTGACCATCAAGAAGGAACATTGAATAAATTGCCCAAACACATTCAGTATTCCTTCAAAATACTAAAGAACATGTATGATTTCAGACGAGTAGAACTTCATTAATTTGAGGTACCCTAAGGCTGGAAGGAGGTGTAAGGAGGGAAAATCTTGGCTCAATGAAAAAACAAACAACAACAACAAAAACCTACCTAACTGTTAAGACTCATTTACTTTCACACATTAAAAAATATATATTTCTTTAAATTTCCTCAAATTACCCAGAGAACATTCTATATTAACACTTGGAAAGAATGGTAAAGTAAAAGGCCAGTGGGTTTTATAGATATCTCTTTAAGTAAGTCTATTCGAAAGCCATTCATAACATTATTTTCTTTGAGCACAGAGTGTTTATTGCTGCAGTTTCTCTACCTACCCTCAATATTGATGATTCATGGCACGAGTTAAGCCTTACACTGAAGTTGCAAAGAATTCCTAAAGGCATTGGTACTAAAATTAAGCACTGCAGGGAGTCAGCTGTCAGTCTGCTCATTACTTCTGCTTTTTCTTACTTCCAGCTGCAGTAACTCAATGAGGGTTGATTTTCCATTTAGGCAAGGTAAGAAGGAAAGAAAAAAGTACAAACCTTGAAACTAGATATGGAACAGCGGTGCAACCCAACACCATCCATCATTAATCCACCTTTTCTAACCTAACAAAAAATCCAGATTTCTCCTCTTGCTTTCTTAAATTTATTTTGTAGTCAACTTTAAGGCAAAGTTTATCAGCAATAAAATGCACATATGTTCAGTGTACAGTTCAACCAGTTTTGACAAATGTACTCACCTGTGTAACCACTACACCAATCAAGATATTTCCGCCACCCCGAAAGGTCCCCTTGTGCCTCATGCAGTTCATACATCTGCCCCTATCTCTGCCACTAATAGCCACTGCTCTGCTTTTCAGAGAATTTGAGTTTGCGTTTTTTCTTCCTTCCTTTCTTTTTTAAGAGACGGGGTCTTGCTATGTTGCCCAAGCTAGTATGGTGACTATTCACAAGCATGATCATAGCTCATTGCATCCTTGAACTCCTTGCCTCAAGCAATCTTCCTGCCTTAGCCCCCCGAGTAGCTGGGACTACAGATGCACACCACCATGCCCAGCTACTTTTCCAAAAAACATTTTTTTGTAGAGACGGGATCTTGCCATGTTGCCCAGGCTGAAGTGCAGTGACACAATCATAGCTCACTGCAGCCACCAACTCATGGCCTCAAGTGGTCCTTCCATCCCAGCCTCCAGAGTAGCTGGGACTACAGGTGTACACCATTGCACTGGCAAATTTATGTATTTAAAACCCAATCCATAGGTATTGGTTTAGAAAAAAATGTGATAATATTCTCAGTGTACTTTAGTGTGTTTTTAGAAACAAAGTTTTTCATCCAACTTCTTATTCGTATTTCCCAGAGAAAGCCATAGAGTAACAAATACTACTATTAATGTAGGCACATTCAAATGCATATTGAGTATAAGGCACTACTCTAGGTTTGGGGAATCTGAAGAGAAAAAGATAGGGCCCTCTCCTGCTAAGGCCGGTGGGGAATACAGGCAGCCATGCTTGATGTGAAGAAACTACAGTCATGTGATTGATACTTCACGCGGGAGTATCAGGTTGAACTGGAAGAAGGAGCACCTATGTCTGTCTGGGGCATCCAGGAAGGATTTTTCAAGAAAAAGTACCATTTCAATGTCAAGGGTGAGGACTCAGCAGACACAAAGGCACAGAGACCAAGACGAGGGGAGGCAGTGCCCAGGGTGGTTACGGGTAGG
Source organism: Homo sapiens (assembly GCF_000001405.40). Lineage (NCBI taxonomy): Eukaryota > Metazoa > Chordata > Mammalia > Primates > Hominidae > Homo > Homo sapiens. Next base: position 61,829,079 of record NC_000018.10, read on the forward strand.
GACCAGAGCCTGGGACCTCCAGTAAGTCAAATACCCCTGCAATAGAGTTGTTAAGATTAACATGCATTCATACATGTTGAGCATGTAGGGCAGCACACGGCAGGTGGTTTAGCTCTTCTCCTAGCGAATATCACTGTAAGGGGAGGCAGGAAGGAGACGCAGGGCACAGCCTGGACGACTGGCCTGCCCAGTGGTGTGCAGTGTGACAGTTCTCAGGATGACTAATCAGCCCGGCCAGAGGAGGCACAGACCCAGAGACAGATGGGGGTTAAGGTCCACTCTGCCAGCCCCAGCGCTCTAAAGCAGGGGGTGGTCCCAAGGACCAGAGCGGCTGTCCCTGCAGCTGGGATGGGCCAGGTCACTAAGGGGCAGCAGAAGCAGAGAGCAAAACAAGGCCCAGGGAGAGAGGAGAGAGGGGAGAGAGAGATATATATATATCAGGGGAGGGAGAGAGAGAGAGAGAGATACTGGGAGAGGGAGAGAGAGAGATTGGGGGAAGGAGAGAGAGAGAGAGATAAGGAGAGAGAGAGAGAGAGACATCCTAGGGCGGTTGAAGGGGAGTGAAGAGGGGAGGACCAGGAGGTGAGGGGAGAAGGAGCAGGATGCGGTCCAAACCTTTCCCCTCCTCTTCCAATCCAAAGCAAGGGGTGCTGAGAAAGGCCAAGCCTCCAGGAGTAGCTGGAAGCGGAAGTTCTTATGTTGTGAGAAGAAGTGAGAATATGAAGAATGGAAGAGAAAGACCAGTCCCCTCCTATTCTGTAATCTGGGTTTTGTCTTGTAGGCTGTGGGGCTTGTGAAGACTTCAGGGGGGCAAGTGTAACCATTATAATGGCGTTATTATTGCTATTAATATTCTTACTATTTTAGCCATTTGAAAGTGTACAATTCAGTGGCTTTAAGTCACCATCATGTGTAGCCATCGTCCCCATCTATTTCCAGAGAGCTTCTTTTTTTTTTTTTTGAGACAGAGTCTCACTCTGTCGCCCAGGCTGGAGTGCAGTGGTGCGATCTTGGCTCACTGCAACCTTCACTTCACGGGTTCCAGGGATTCTCCTGCCTCAGACTCCCGGGTAGCTGGGACTACAGGCACACACCACTGTAGTCTGGCTAATTTTTTGTATATTTAGTAGAGATGGGGGTGTCTTGGTATTTGGCCAGGCTGGTCTTGAACTCCTCACCTCAAGTGATCCACCCACCTCGTCCTCCCAAAGTGCTGGGATTACAGGCATGAGCCACAGTGCCCAGCCCTTTCCAGAGCTTTTTTATCATCCCAAACAGAACTCCATACTCATTCAACAACCGCTCCCCATTTCTCCTGCCCCCAGCCCCTGCTAACCGGTCACCTTTCTGGCACTATGAATTTGCCTGTTCCAGGTACCTCATAAGAGTGGGATTGTACACTATTTGTCCTTCAACCATTGTCCTAATATTTGTCTGGCTTATTTCACTAAGCATGTCTTCAAGGTCCACCCACATTGTAACACGTATCAGAATTCCTTCTTATGGCTGAGTAATATTCAATTGTGTATTATTTTTTCTTTTTAAGCCACTCTGGCAGCAGAGTGAGATATGAATTGGCAGAGGCTGAACTAAAGGAAAGAGGGGCAAGGCTGGAATGAAGGTAGGGATGAAGGAGGAGGAAGAAGGCATGGAGATTGGCTGGAAGTACAAAGAGCTGAGAGTGAAGGAGTATAGAAAAGATCCCTGATTTCTCAGTGAGGCAGCTGGATGGAGGAAGCATTTTTGAGGGGTACAGCTGTGACAAAGGTCAGTGAAGAGAGTGGCATCTGAAGGTTAGAGATAGCCAATACTCTCTGAATCTTGAGATTTTGTACCTAGCAAAGTCCTGACTTGTATGTGTAATTTAGACAACTATTGGGAAACTAGCTTTACCCTGTAATTTTATTTATATGAAGTTATATTTCACCAAGTCTATTATTAGACAATAAAGAAATAGGTATTTCCATTAACAGGCCTTCTAGAAAGAAACAAAGGATGTGGAAGAGACTATGAATCACAAATATTTATGTTTATAGAGATTAAACCTTAACAGCACTCAAATTCTTCTCATCTGTGAAAAGCTGCAGCTAAGTACTTAGAAGCGGTTCTGTGCACCAGGCTGGAGCTGGTCCTTAGGTCCTCAGATCACCACTGTCGCTAGTCCACAGCCACTTCTCGTCTTGTAAATCCCTCCCACTCTAAACCCTGGGCTGTGATTACAGAATCAGCTCGGGGAAATGCTCGGATTCATCATCTTTCCCTTTGCTGCTTATTTAGCTTGAGCTCCTTCCTGCTCTCTAAGTGGACACATTTTACAAACTAATGAAAGCTTGCCCAGCACAGTAGATGGCACACACTGGGCACTAATTTATTCAATAACGCCAGGATGAAAATGCTTCCTGCTCTTACTGTCTCCCTTATTATCTCCATAATAAGAATATTCAACTTTCTAAGGAGCCAGGAACTGAAATGTGAGGTTATGGATTATTCATACTTTTATATCCAAGACTACGCACAAAGTATTTAAGATGTAAGATAAAAAAAATAAGCAATTTAGAACACAATGCTCACTTCCTACTGTCACTAGCTACCCTCAAAGCAGAACAAACAAACAAACAAACAAAAACCACTGTAAATACAATTTCTATGTCAGATAGAAAGCAATAATTCATTTAATTAAAAATTTTACATGTTAATTACTTCTATTTTAAAAAGTGTCCTGTCAAATGGTAAAAACTTAAAGTCCTGTCATCAATAAGAAACAATTTACTTCCAGAACATTTTAAAAAATTATGTAACCTATTTAAAATGTAAATAATATTATAAATATAGTATTATGTGTGTGGGGGGGTGTGGGTGTGTATAGGGGTGTGTGTCTTGATCTGTAATCATACTCACACATATACCAAATAAAATCCAATTCATTTTCTTGAAACTAAGAGACACAGTTCCTAAGCCTTGAACTGGTTTTGTTGGAGTCGTTGCAATTGTCCTTCATAACATCAAATGTATTCAGTTTTAGGGGAAGTCAAACATTCAAGTCACATTTGTAAACTGTTGAGAGCCACTAAACATATTAATCGATAATAATCAACACTTAATAGTAATTTCTACCAGTGCAAAAGGATATATTTTTGATTGGGGTGAATTCATTCTAAAGCATTTCAGATGTGCACAAGTAGGAAAGTCTGTACTGCTGTTATTCACAGTATATGGATTTTTGTTTTTGTTTTAAGCGCACATGTATATATGTACTACTTAACTAAAACTACTTTAAAAGTAAAAATGTCTATTTTTACAATATAAAATATTTATTTGTCCTAAGCTAGTCATTTTAGTTACAGTAATTAAGTTTCATTTGGTAAAAACTGCTATCCTAATTCAGTAAGACAAAAATATTTCCCAAATAGCTACGCATACCCTGTAGAATTAAGCCTGTTTAATCCACAAATAACTGCTTGAGTTTCAGTTTTCATTTCCTTTGTGAAAAAAATTCTCAATAACTTATCTTTCTCAGGATAGTCATGAAAAGTATCTAACATCAATAAGTTAATATTTTTTAATTACCCAAATTCTACCTGTGAACTAAAAAAACAGCCCGATTTAACAGGCATGCATTTTGTAAGCAGAAAATCATTACAAGAGTCTTCTGGGCCAGCAAATAAAATCGACAGGATTTTAAAAGCCACCCTGTGTTTAGAGCCCACCATATTATTAGGTCTTGCCAGATACAAAGAACATGGTTTCAATCACCAAATAGTAATTAGATGACAATACATCTTGCCAGTTGGCATATCATGACCTTCACTCCACACAGGGATATTGCTATAGCTCTTGTTAGTTAGTCTGTTCCCATTTTATAAGTACCTATAACATGGAAAATCTGTATCTGCTTAATTCAAGATGTTTGTCAAAGCAGAAGAAACAGTAAGGCATACATTAATTCAGTCACTGTGCCAGTTAAGGGATGGCAGCGTGCTTTCTTCCATTCCTCAGCTGTATCTACTAAAATTCACTGACTTCTACCAACAGGAAATTACTATTTCCTTGCTTTATGCATATTCTGACACCTTTCCTGAAGATGTAGCAATACTAGGAGTAAAACAACAAATACAGATTTAAATGAAGATAGATTTCTCACAAACCATTAGCTGATGTAGGTCGCAAGAATCAGATTAAATTGGTTTATTGAGACAGCCAGTCTATTTCAGAAAATAATTCTCTAACTAATACTCTCAAGTTATTGAGTAACTTAAAATAAAACAAGGTCAAATTTAACCTACATTAGAAAGAAGGTGGAGGTAGCAAAGCCTCAAAGAATCCAAATTTCAGGTGATTCACAATGCCCCACTGCTACAGCTGCAAATCCAATTCCAGCTTCTACCAAGAACTCCTGTCCTTCAAATGATGGTTTTAATTGTCGAAACTCCTCTGCGTTTCCCTCTAATGGAATATCAATGAAACCACAGAACCACAGACACACACAAACATGATTTCCTGAGGAAGTGATTCTAGGGCTAACATAACTGAACACGAGGGCCGTCTGTTAGTCTCGTCTGTTTGTTTTTCTTTAGCTGATGGGAAACATTACAAGAGCTCTCAGGGCCAAAGGGACTATGCATTTTAAAAATGTCATCCATCCCTGAAGCTGGATTATAATAAGCAGATAAAGAGACAAAAGCATTCTGACAACAATTTGAAGAGATTTTTCTTTCTGTCCATAGATCTAGAATGGGGTGATACATCACCTAAGGTGACCTCTCTCAATTATAGCTACTTTCATAACCTGGTTGCCATTTGAGCTTTAAAAAAAAAAGTTTCATCCACAAGATAAAATATCAGATGCGCTAAGAATACCAACTCCTTTAATTATGTGTGGTTAGCAAAAGCTAATGCAAAACTGCTCTTTTCCACAAATCAGCAAGTCGTCATTCACTCAATCAACCATCCAATGCTTTATTAAGCACCTACTATGTACCAGACACTGGAGCAAAAGATGTGACCCCTGGGTAGTTGTCCAATCTTATTTTTGTTACGTCCTGGCTTGAATCCCACACTCCAGCCACTCTGAGTCACTTGCACATCTCTAAAAGCAACATGCCTTTCTCATCTCTAAGCCGTTCTTTCTCTTATCTCATCTCTTGGGATGCTGTCCTTTTGGTCTGGAACCAAAAAAGAGAAGGACAGCATCCCAAGCTAAGAGAAAGAATGGCTTACAGATGAGGCACACTGCTTTCAGCCCAAATGTCTATCACCTCCTCCAAGAAGCTTTCCCGTTCCCCTCCAGCTGGCTTAGACACCACTTCTATGTTCTCCTAGGAACCTTTCTAGAATGATCATATTTTGTGTCCTTTTAGTCTCCCACACTGAAAAGTGAGTTCCTTAGAGGGAAGGCACCTACACACACACCCAGCATCTAGCCAACTGATGGACTCTATTGACCTTTATTTACCTTCATCTGCCTCGGCTACAAAGAAGACCCCAAGGACAGGGATCTGGTCTGTCTTGTATTCTTTCTGCAGTACCTAGGCAATGACTGGCACTCAGTAAGTGCTCAATAAATGCTTGTAGAAGGGGTGAAAACTAACTGAAATTAGGCCATTTTTAAAAAAAATTAAGCATATCTGGCTACCAGTATTTGCAGGCAATTCAGAAATCATGAGTATAGTAAGATTCATACATTATCAGTATGCTTTTATGATATCTCCTCGCAGAATGGTAAGTTACTTAAAAGAAAGAGTTACTAGGTAGGTAACTAAACTTAGATGTTAAACTAGTACTTCTACAAAATAATCTGAATCCATGCTTCATAATGTCCACTGAAAACCTGATAAATCAGCGTCTGGGGGTAGGGTCCCACTGCAAAGATCTGCAAAAAGGCAACGTTCCCTGGGTGATTCCAATGTCAATTGAGGGTTGAGAGTCACTGATAATTTCTCACTCCAACTAAAAAGGGCTCTAACAATTTGCCCCAAAATAGGCACTCTCAAACACTGCTAAATGGGAGAAGAAAATGGTAGCAAGGAAATGTGGCATTATCTAATAAAGCTACATATGATTTAACTTTTGACCCAGCAAAAGTATTTGCAAGTATTCATTCTGAAAATACAGCTCCACAGTACAAAATAGCATATTTACAAGGTAATTCATTTCACCATTATTTGCAATAGGAAAAAAATCTAAATTCCTATCCATAGGAATCTGACTAGACTACGTCTCTCCACCTGATGGAGTGGTATGTGTTTGTAAAACAAGAATGAGAAAGAAGTTTATGAATGGCTTTGGAATAGGAGCCAGGTTATATTGTTACGTGAAAGAGTTCACCTTATTTCAAGGTGAAAGAGTGAGAATATATATTTGTTTATTTTTACAAAAATAAACCCAGAAAGGACAAATCAATTAAGGGAAAGGTTCATGAATAAGGAGGCAGGTGGGAACAGAGAGGAAAGGCATGGGAGACCTCCTCAATATGACTTTTTTGAATTTTTGACTTTTGATCCATGTAAATATATTACATATCAAAAATAATAAATTAAAAAGGATAAACAAAATCAAACCCTAAAATTAAATACAAACAGAAACAAGTAAACTGGATTCAATTCAACAACAGAACCACATTCAAATCCCTTTTGAATACAAGCACTCCATACGCCTTTAGTGGGGTACATCCTTTAATAATAATAACTGTAAAGCAGTCTTGAACTTTACCTATTTGGTTAGTTGTTGGTATTGGTATTGATACTAGTATAGTAGTAATTCTGAAACTAGTTTGTATAGACCATATGCTAAAACAAATAAGCAACCAGATTGATATTGTCAGAAAACAAGGCCAAGGCTTTCTCACTGTGGAAGGAGAGACAAAAATTTTAGAATGGGAGAAGGTGAGAAGGAACATAGTTGTACTGAATTTAAATTGGAACCATCAGATTACACCCATGATTTAAAATAATACATAAATTTCTAAGCCTTGTCAACTGAAAGGCCTAGAAACAGTGACAGTCTAGTAACAATGAGCACACTTAGTTCCTAGATCTTGGTATCTAAGTAGCATTTCTCACTAAAAAGAAGCTGACATCTTTGGAGAAATGGTTGATTCCAGGTCTGGGGCAGGGAAAATACAAAGTGAGCCTGGAATGTCCTTTTGTGCCATCACGTGGGGACATGGGGACATGTCAAAAGGCCCCAGGAGCCAGCTCACAGTGGAGTGGCCAAATTTGGAAACATTTGAATATTGAAAAAAAAAAGTGCTATAGGCCGAATGTCTGTGTCCCCCCAAAATTCGTATGTTGAAACCCTAATCCCCAATGTGATGACATTTGGAGGTAGGGCCTTCAGGAGGTAATTAGGTTTAGATGAGGTCATGAGGGTAAGGCCCTAAGATGGGATTAGTGCCCTTATAAGAAGAAGAAAAGATCAGTGCCCTCTCTCTCTCCTGCCAAGTGAGGATACAGCAAGAAAGCGGCTCTCTGCAAACCAGAAAGAAGGTTCCCACCCGAATCTGACCATGTTCAGCACCTTGATCTTAGACTTCCCAGCTTGCAGAACTATGAGAAATAAATGCTTGTTCAACCCACCCAGTCAATGTTGTTTTGTTATGGCAGCCCAAGCTAGCTAAGACAGATGGTAATGTTTTATAAGACACTGAATTTAAAAAAAAAATCCTTGACTCCATAGTAACACTCAAAGGGGGAAACATACAGAAAAAGAAGGGGAAAGAAAGGCAGGAATAGAAGGGGGATTACAATTAACTAAACTTTTTGAAAGCCACCATTTTACCATCTCCAATGTAATGACCAATTTAGGCATAAATCATCAATAGATGCTAAAATCATTGGATTACAGGCTTTGACAGACAGGATATTTACATGTCTCAAAATATCAGCTCACAGATTGCTTACTAAATGATAAAGAGAGTTATCTTTACAGATATCACCTTAACCAAAGATCAACTTTAGCACCCTCAATAATGGAAGAGCTGACATCATGCTTCCCAAGGTGATGCAATGGGAAGAAGGCAACATCCCTTATGAAGTATCACGCCTAAATGTTCGTCTTGCATCCAGTCAGTCATGACAGGGATGATGAGACATGTAGGACTAGTACTGGCTCCTCAAAACTCTCAATGTCATGGAAAGGAAAACAAAAAGCAACGAGATTGTTCTAGATTTTAAGAGACTACGGAGATGAGGAAACCAAATTTAATTCATGAACCACAATGAGATCCAGGATTGAGTGGGGAAAATGCCCAAAGTGATACAAGGCATTTTAAAATATGAACTGCATATTAGATGATATTGAATTAATGTGAATTTCTTAGGTGTGATAATGGTGCGATTATGTAAGAGAATGTCCTTATTATCAGGAGATATTTACTGGAAGTATTCCAGGGTAAAACGTCATGATGTCTGCCAATAAGATGAAATGTTAAGACTGCTGACTTTGTACCAGTCTCTCCACATTTCTGTGTATTTTACATTTTTCAAAGTATTTTTTTAATTACTATGGACTTATCTGCATCCCCATATAACAAAATCCCTCATACAGATCTCCATTCCACTTGCTCAGTTGTTCTTTTTATTTCTAAGATACTTGATAGAAGAAAGCCTCAAAAAAGGGATAGCAAGCCTCTTGTGCTTCTAGAAAAGCTGCCAATAGCCCTTTAAACAACTTGTGTGAGGATCCACAAAAATAACGCTTCCTAACTTAGTGCTGTTCTTGATATAATTTCTATTTTGCACAGACAAAGTGTCTAGCAGAGTTCCTGGCTCACAGCAGCCAAATGCATTCTTTCCTTCAGACTTTGCAGGGATAGCCCACAAGATCCTGGGGATCTGGATCCAACAAAATCCAGGCCTCATCTCCTGCCCTCCTGTCTTCACCAAGGGTCCACACACTCTTCAACCTCTGATTTCTCACCTCTGTGCCAGTCTTTTGAAGAAACACACACATGGTTCCTCTGACTTAAAGGCTTCCCGTCCCCACATACAAAGGTAGAGGTTCTTTCCCTCCCAAACCCTCAGCCCTTTATCAGTCCCTATGAAACAATTCCCAAGCTGCATTATAATTACTTTTTCACTCACCATTCTCACCCCCATCAGACTTTGTTTCCTCTAGAGCAAGAAACACATGTTCATTATCTTTGCAAACAGCAGCATCCAAAGCACATACTAGGCATTCATATCCTTCAGTGAATTGAATTAATATGAAACACAAACAATCCTAATTCAATTTCAGACTCCTCTTTTGGCTTTTCATTTGCTTTGGTGTGTTCAAGGGACCAAAGTAGCAATCACAAAAGACTCCAGAGATCAGCCCTGTAACCAGAGACGGAGGAGTCATACTTACATCCTCCCATTTTGGATCTGCACTTCCAGCCAGCCAAATTTTCATTAACATTAGCAGAAATGAATCTCAAAGAACCAAGATTCAATGAAATGGACCTCAGTGTGAGCTTAAACCAACCCCCTTTTCTAGAATGAACAGTCTTCATTCCTCTGAAGTCCCCGGCAATCCTCCAACTTGGTCCCAAAGCATCTATAGATAGCCACAGACGGTCCCCAGACAGCACTAACATTCACGGCCAGGAAGACAAGGAAGAGCTGCTTTTATCAGGATGGCACTAGAGGGCCAACAAAGATTGATGCACCTCCCTCTGCTGTTCAAAGTGCGACTGCAGGCCCAGCTTTCACCTCCACGTTCAGATCTATCAAAGTCTTCACCCAGCCTTTTCTCATGACTTGACTCCTTGACTCCCTCCTTTTGTCAGCTGATGCTTCTTGACCCTAAACTGGCTACAGCACATCCCACCTGCCCTCTCATCCTCCTTGTCCCTGGAGAACCTGCTTCTCTGCTGACAATATTAGAAACTGCCCATTCACTCTCACCTTCCTTACACTTCTCCAATCCAAGCTGAACTTGGCCGTCATCTTCTACAACTTCAGTAAACATAATGTTCATCAGATCCCACTCTGTGGCCAAAAAAAAAAAAAAAAAGTACTAATAACTTTCCCTCCTTGAATGATTTGATAGTAAGCTGCAGGCCTGAGGTCCCGTTATCCCCATATGCTCCAAGTATTTTCTACATAACTGCAGTACAGTCATTAAAATCGGGAAATCTACTTTGGTACACTACCTCAGATCTCATCCACATTTCACCCAGTGTTCCTCTAATAATGCAAAAGGATAGACCCTAAGAAAACAGGTTGCATTTACTTGTCATAATCCTTTAGTCTTCCTCAATCTTCAAAAGTCCCTAGTCTTTCCTTGACTTTCATAACGTTCACAGTTTTAAAGATTTCCAGAAGTTATTAATATTTCATAGAACATCCCTCAGTTTGGGTTTGTGTGATGTTTTCTCATGAATGGATTCAGGTTTACCTTGGTTTTTACTTTTATTTTAGAGAGGATGAGCTATTACAGAAGCAATGCTATAATGTTCCCACTCCGTCCTAGCAGGTGGTTGTGTTGTAGTAACTTTGATCACCTGTCCCTCCTTGGATTCTCCTCCTCTTTTTACATTTAAGAAGTATTTTGTGGGCTGGGCACGGTGGCTCACCCCTGTAATCCCAGCACTTTGGGAGGCTGAGGCGGGCGGATCACAAGGTCGGGAGATCGAGATCATCCTGGCTAACACAGCGACACCCTGTCTCTACTAAAAATACAAAAAAATTGCTGGGCGTGGTGGTGGGTGCCTGTAGTCCCAGCTACTCGGGAGGCTGAGGCAGGAGAATGGCATGAACCCGGGAGGCAGAGCTTGCAGTGGGCCGAGATCGTGCCTGTGTGCTTTTGATATGTCCCCATCATTCTTTGAGCACTGCCTTACTTTGTGACAGGAAAAAATATTTCAGGCTCAACTTGTATTTCCCCATCCCCAGGCCCAGATTCAGCCATTTCTCCAGGGAGCCCTGGCTCCTTTTAGTGAAAAATGTCAGTTAGAAACCAAGGCCTGGGTAACAGGTGGGCTCACTGCCATTGGGTATCACTGCTCCCATGCATGCCCATGGGCACAGCTAGAAAATAAATGTAACCTAAAGGCCCAAGGGAGCTTATTTGCTCTTTCCCTCATGTGAGAACACAGCAAGAAAATACTGTGTGTGACCAGGAAATGGGCTCTTACCAGACACTGAATCTGCCAGCACCTTGATCTTGGATTTCCCAGCCCCCAGAACTGTGAGAAATAAGTTTCTGTTGTTTATAAGCCACCCAGTCTATGGTATTTTGCTATAGCAGCCTGAATGGACCACAGTGTCCAAAGTCTTGCTCTCACGAAGTAGGCAAGCCTCAACATCTGTAAAATCTCCTAGGATCCTGGTCTATCTTTTCTTTATAACCCAGAACCCCAAGGGGCTGTGGCACAGGGCAGAGGATGGGGGTGGGGTGGGTATTCTGTCTCTAAGTGGTCCTTCTTCTCTTCACATTTTAGTCTGGAAACTCCTAGTTCTATCTGATTGCATCATCCTTGCCATACTCTGTGCATATGCTTCTAGCTTGTGGCTTCATAGATGGATTTTCAGAGTCCCTGGGTCCCAGGGAGCCTGAGAACTAGTCCTGCACCTTGCACAATTCCCTTCCAGCTCCCAGAACCCAGCTTCTAGAATGGGGGCCTAGCACCCAGGGACCTATTTGTTCTAGAGAATTCTCCCATTGAAAAATCCAAAAAGGATGTATATTTTTAATAGCAATAGTCCATCTTTCCCTACATTAATCTCTAATGGATAGACAGTGTAGCATGTACCTTTCTAGGTTTGTGGAAGTGACAAGGTCTGTTCTCTCCAGCTAGTTTTGCATTTCAGAGCCTTTTCCCCTTCCCTACCCATGAAACCACAGCTTTCTAAAAGCACCATTGTTATTCTTCCCTTGACTGCTCTTCCCAGCTTCCATCTCCAGAAGCACCTGTCCAACTGGGTAACACAAAACCACATATAAATTATCTGGTTCCTACCACCTACTGCAGGAGGCTGGCATGGGGTGAGAAAGACCCATGGGGCACATGGAGCAGCAGTTCATGGGGAAGCTGATCAGAAGTCAGGCTCGGTCCATTTCAGATTTCATCTTCTGCTTTTTAGAAATTCCTGCAGGGTTCCATACATGATAGAAGTTTAATAACACTGTCAAGCTAACTAGCAGTGATTTCCAGTTTCCCATTAAAAGTCACTACAAAGGCCTAAAATTCTGGACATTAGAAAGCTTTCACTTTATCAAGGTGGGAGAGGCATGTAATAAATATCTCCAGACCCGCAACATAACATGACACTAGTTATTAAGGCACAAGGAACCAATATTCATGAAATAGTCCCTTCTCCATTAATAATAGTTACAAAATGACATAGCCCACCTCTGTGCTGTGCTGCAAATTTATACTCTTTATTTAAGAATAATGAATAAATGAACTTGAGCTGGATCTATTTTTGGTGTAGAGGAGTAAGATCTTTCCAACCATCATTTCAGACATGAACCCATACTGAGTCAAGGCCACTCTTTCTAGTCTAGGGATTCTTAACTTTGGGGGGTTACAAGTCATTCTGAGAAAGTGATAAGGCTCACAAACCCCTCTACCTCTGAGTGGGTAGAGATGCAGAAAAATACACATTTGTACAAAAACAGAATTGTGCGTATAATTTCATGGAGTGCAATCACTTAAGCCTCTCCATGAAACCGCAAGTGAAGAACTGGTCTTAGACTAGTGCTTCTCAATCTCCAACACGGCAGTAAATCACTAATCCTGCTTTCAGTGGCAAGGCTGTAGAACATGGGTCAATACATTCTTTGCACAGGGACAGATGGTAATATTTTAGGCTTTGTGTGCCACACAGCATCTGTTACAACTGCTCAACTCTACCACTGTAACAGAAAGCAGCCATTGACAATACGTAACAAATGGACATGACTGTGTTCCAATAAAACTTTATTTACAAAAACATGAGGTGGGTTGCATTTGACCCCAGGGCTATACTAAAAGGTATCACTTTAAAGCCAGCACAAGGAATCTAATAGCAAATCACAAAACTAAATTCAGCTCTGAGTTTTATTAAGGGTTCACATGTATTTTTACCACAAGTTGATCATATTCACTTTGTTATTTTCTTAACCAGCAATTCTGCTTATGACATTTTTTCCTACTGAACAATTTGTCGTGAACAAGCCATTGTTCCATTTTCTAGCCAACACAGTGAGTGTCAGATTAATTCCACATTATAAACATTTCCTGAAAGCCCCTTTGTGGCCTAGTTTTCTAACTCACAGCACAGTTCTATTAATTGACAGCTGACCACACACCAGACATAAAAGCAAAACACATTCTTTCACATTCCCCAGTGGCCCATTTCTCTTCTGGAGGCTGCTGTCATTGCTGGAACAAGGCTGGCAGCTGTCACACCCAAGCGAGTTGTCACAGGGGCTTTGTTTCCCTGGAGACTTGTTTTCACAAAAGTTAGGACCTGCAAGAGACTCTTCTCTGGCCTCTCTCTTCCTTCATGGCAAAAAGTCAAATGCTTGACTATTGAGCACCTTCATGAGTGAGTTTCTGTCTCTTCCTGTGTATTAGTCTATTTTTGCGCTGCTGATAAAGACACACCTGAGACTGGGCAATTTACAAAAGAAAGAGGTTTAATGGACTCACAGTTCCACATGGCTGGGGAGGCCTCACAATCATGGTGGAAGGCAAGGAGGAGCAAGTCACATCTTATGTGGACAGCAGTAGGCAAAGGGAGAGCTGGTGCAGAGAAACTCCCATTTTTAAAACCATCAGATCTCAGGAAACCCATTCACTATCACAAGAACAGCACGGGAAAGACCCGCCCTCATAATTCAATCATCTCCTATCAGGTCCCTCTGACAACATGTGGAAATTATGGGAGCTACAAGATGAGATTTGGGTGGGGACACAGAGCCAAACCATATCACCCTGTTTCATGACTGGTTCTGGTAACCTCTCCATTCACAGCAACCTGACTCTACAGAATGGAAGTGGTTTAAATGTGTTTTCCTTCTAAATGTCTTGCATTTTAAAGTTCAGAGCTAGCCGGGTATTTGACAACCTGCTCTGTGGGAAGGATTTTAGAATGCCAGGTAAGTGCCAAGAGCACCTGAACAACTGTTGCTGAATGACTGAGAAAACTATTTTCTTTTCAACTCGTGCACACCCTACAGAAAAGCCATCTCTCAGTAGAAATGACTATGGTCAATGGTGTGTTTCTAGCCAGTTTCACTGGTTTCTCAACTTAGGCCTCACTAAATTAGATATTAACATCCTTCAGGATTGTTGGCTATTGTTTAAAAATCTATAGCAATAACTGTTGTTTTAAAACAGTATGTCAGTTCCTCAAAAAATTAAAAATAAAATCACCCTATCATCCAGCAATTCCACCTCTGAGTATTTACCCTAAAAAATTGAAAGCAGGGTCTTGATGAGATATTTCTACATCCATGTTCATAGCAACATTATTTACAATAGCTAAAACATGGGAAAATACCCAAATGCCCACAGACAGATGAATGGCAAAGCAAAATATGGTATGGCCATACAATGGAATATTATTCAGCCTTAAAACAGCAGGAAATTCTGACACGTTACGACATGGGTGAATTTTGAGGACATTATGTTCAGTGAAATAAGCCAGTCACAAAAAGACAAATACTATGTGATTCCACTTACATGAGGTACTTACAGTAGTCAAAATTATAAAGACAGAAAGAATTAATAGAATCATGGTTGCCAGGGAATGGGGAAAGAGGACTTATTATTTAATGGACATAGAGTTTAAGTTTTACAAGATGAAAAGAGTTACGAAGATGGATGGAAGTTATGGTTGTACAACATTGTGAATGTATTTACCACCACTGAACTGTATACTTAAAAATGATAGAAATGCTCAATTTTATGTTATGTGTATTTTACCACAGTAAAAATAAATAAATAATAAGCAGATAAGGAGAATGAGAGAAAAGAAAGAGAGAGAGAAAGAAAAAGAAAAAAGAAAGAGAGAAAGACAGAAAGAAAGGAAAGAAAGAAAGAAAGAAAGAAAGAAAGAAAGAAAGAAAGAAAGAAAGAAAGAAAGAAAGAAATTAAGAGAAAAGGAAGGAAGGGAGGAAGGGAGGAAGAGAGGAAGGAAGGAAGGGAAGGAGGGAGGGAAGGAGGGAGGGAAGGAGGGAGACGGGAGGGGAGGGGAGGGCAGGCCCCATAGTATCTAGGAATCTAAAAAGCTCAAAGTTTAAAACTCTACAGAGCACAAATGATACTAATCATTTTGTATGAAAGCCAAAGTCAAATTCATGAGCAAATATCTTTTATAAAATCTCACACAACAAACCTGAGAGGAGTTATGAGTAACAGACTATTGGAAAATCATAAAAACAATACCTTACCACTATGCTTCACCTTGGCAAAAGAAAACCATCCATTATGTCGATCTGGTGGAAAAAGCCACACTGGCTCTGGTGGGTTTTATGTGCTTGTTGGTATTATTGTTTGTGTGTAAGAAACATGTTCAGGACTGCAGAATATTTACAGTAGCATTTTTTTTATCTAAAAGCTAAGCTTCCTTTTTGAAATCACTAGCACAAACAGGCCAACAAATTATTCATCTTGTGTCTACCCAATGACTGGGGTTTAGGAGAGAATAAGTGTAACCATAGCACGGGTCGGTAGGTCATATGTGCTTAAAACCTGTACCTCTAATGAGGGCAGTAAGATGCAATGAAACTTGATTTATCAAGGGAAGGTGCAAAATGCATTTTAACCTAGTTTTAAAAGGCTCTGATGACCTTTAGATATTCGCAATGGCCTTTTAAAACAAAAAAAAAAAAGCATTTATTCACCTACTCGCCCCAGTGATTTACGATTTATAGAGGGCAACTAACAAAGAGCCTATTTCATTCATTTTATTCCTTCCATTCCTCCTGAGGGCCATAAGTGGACACGAGTGCTGAAAACATTGGTGCCACTGTAGGATTGTTATACAAGTGCAGAGGCTGAGTTGAGATGATTTTATTTTGTTGGTGGGTGGTGGGTTTTTTGTTTGTTTTCACAGACAGGATCTCACTCTGTTGCCCAGGCTGGAGTGCAGTGGCCTGATCATAGCTCATTGCAGCCTTAAACTCCTGGACTCAAGCTATCCTCCCCCATCAGCCTCCCAAAGCAATGGGATAATAGGCGTAAGCCACTGCACCCACCCAAGATGATTTTCTTATTCACTTGTGGAGGTGACAGTTTTGGCTGTGCTGTGTAAGAAGAGCAATGCTAGGGATCTCAAATAAAACCTCATTAAACAATGAAGTCCGCTCAGAGTGCCAGAACTCTCGCCAAGCCCACACATCAGCCCCAGCCAGCTGGGCACGCAGAGCAAACCACTCAGGCCGCCGCTGCTCAAACTGACTCAGCCACCTGGGAGCTTTTGTGCTGGGAGAACATCAATCTCTCTCCTAGTTAGGTGCAGAAGTTTGAAATTTATAGTCAAAACAGTTGCTTCCCTTAAAGCAGGTTTGGAAAGTTTTTATAACGTTTCATTTTAAAATGGTAGATACATTTGTACTTTAAGACATCGAAGGGTTTATGTGAAGTCAATTTTCCTCCAAAACAAGGCTATAGATTACTGCCCTATAATGCACTTGCAATCTTCATTCTTCAAGGAACTGACCTCCCGTAGCAGAGGCAGCCCGAATAATAGTACTCCTCATTGAAACCCTCCTCTCAGGAATCACTTTTGTTTGATGAACCTGACCATAAGTCTGTTCAAAAATGTAGTCAATGCACACTGCTACAGTCTCAATGTTTGTGTCTCCCCAAAATGCATATGTTGAAACCTAATCACCAATGTGAAGGTATTAACAGGTGGGGCTTTGTGTGGGGGGGCGTGGTGATGAGGACTCAGCCCTCCTGAGTGGGGTTAGTGCCCCTTATAAAATAAGTCCAAGGGAGCTCACTTATCTCGTTCCACCATGTGAGGACACAGCAGATGCCCTTTATGAACCAGAAAATGGGCTCTCACAAGACACCAAATCTGCCTTGATCTTGGACTTCCCAGCCTCCAGAACTGTGAGTAATAAATTTCTGTTGTTATAAGCCACCCAGTCTATGGTATTATATTATAGCACCTGAAAGGACAAAGATACACACTTCATAATTCTCAACCCAAACACTCTCTCTTGTTCTTGCCTTTTCCTCAATCTTTTCTTTCTTTTTTAATAAAAAACAATCCCAAAAAACTGTCTTTGGGGAGCTTCCATGGTGTCATGTAATAAAAACTCAAAGGTACAACAGTCTCTTATTACCAAATAATAGGCCCCCTTCTCATCTCCCTCTACCCACTGTGCCTATGCAATCTCATCTCATTCAATCTCATCGCTACATTGAGCCTCTGTTCATGTTGCTTCTGCTGCCAAGAGTTTCTTCTCTACCTCCCTGACCTGGACAATTCATTGTCTTACAGGTTGAGGTAAGGGGAAAAGTGGTCCCCAACTCACAGATGCACATTCGTTGAGCACTTACTCCTTCCTTTCCCCGCAACACTCTTCTCCTGAGTGATTCCTTACTAAATATTTGCTAGGGTGTAAGCTCCACGAGTACTTGCTGCCACCAACTCAACACTGGGCAAACACCTGGCACCAGAAAGGTATTCTGTACATTCTGGGAAATTCATAGAAACATTTAGGAAAGAAGCACCAGACATAGAATTATTAATACTGCTCTCCTCACCTTCATTAGTAACAAAGCCAGACAATGCAATGCACTGATATCTAGAAGCACTAAACTGCCTGCAGAGAAAGCTTTGCTTGAGCTATGGAGACTCCAGAGCTTGGAAATCCACTAGTCTGGATTTGAGTCCCAACTCTTGTCACCAATTAATAATGTAGCCTTATGCAAGTTAACCTTACTGAGTATCTGCTTCTTCATGTGTAACTCAGGGACAATCACACCTCCATCAAAATATTGTTATGAGGATTAAATGGGGGTAAGTAGCAAGGTATCCAGCCCAGTAGTGCACATAGTAGCTGCTCAGCAAACACCGGTACTCCTCCCCCATACTTAGTCTCACCTCACCATTCAGAGCAACTGTGACATTGCCACCAAGAAAACAGAACTTTCAGAAATAAATAAAAAGCAAGAAGTGGAGAGAACAACACAAAAAAAGAGGTATCAGAGTAACATTTAAAAGCAAAAATACATCTAACAGGGCAGCAAGCTTTAACATACAAGCAAATTGGGGCTTTGAGAAATGTGCTATTTCTATTTGCATGGGGTCTGCTTTTGTGGGCGACTTGAAACTTTCATTGCATAATGCCATAAAACACAGCTCTGCTCTAAAAAGAGGTTTGGTATTGTTACAGTCAGAGCTGGTCAAACAGTGGCAAAACTCTCTCAACTCAGAAAAAATTCCCGCAAGTGTCCTTGAATCTGTTAACTATGCAAAGGTGGTTTTTGAATCAAGGGAAAATATAGGCATTGCATATTCTGCCCCTAGGCTTACTCTCAAAATCACTACCAAAACCATGGTGTAAACATTTATTTTTCTTAAAACACACCTCAGAGAAAGCAAGACACCAATGGTGATACGATTTGAAACTGAAAACTACTAAACACTGACAACAGTCATGCGTTTGAGATCATTCCTCGGGTTTCTCATAGGCGTCTCAAAGCTAAGATTTCCAAAATGGAATTCCCGGTCTCCCTCCCACCCACTTCCCAAACCTGCTCTACCCACAGTCTTCCCCTTCAGTCAATGGCCTGGCCTTCACACCTACTCTTCCCTCTGCTTGGAATCTCTGCTCTCAAATGCTGATGTATTTTTCCTTTTCACCTCCTTCAAGTCTGAGCTCAAATATCACTTTCTTCAGAAGGTCTTCCTTGACTGCCTTTTTACACATTGCAAGCTCTCACCACACTCACGCTTCCCTTCGTGTGATTATTTTTCTCCAGATGCAGATCATCTTCTAACACCTTATGTAATCTACCCATCTGATTTTACTTGGAATCACCTGCTATCTCCCCAGAACATAAGCCCCACTGTGTGTTTCATTTGGGGCTGCATTCCCAGCATCTAGAACTGTGCCTGGCACACAGTAGACACCTGATTTCAAAAGCGCCTCTGGGCTCCTCTCACATCAGCTAACTAAAACCCTATGAGGTAGCAGGAAGAGCGGGCTCTTACTAACTCTGCCCTGTCTCTCCCTCTCCCTCTCTCTCTGACCCACCACAACAGCTAAAGTTTTCTAGCTTTCTCAATATTTTTGCAAGATATCAGTGCTTCCACAATTTTTCTAACCATTAGTAATTATGCCACATTTTTTGAATGATTCCATAGCCTCAAAGAGAAGCTCTAGGTTTATATGTCAAATATAATCAAAGAAAAAAAAATCAATACCACCCTGCTACCATCACCTTCCCCCAGATAAAACCAGAAGTCAGTAACAGAATAGCAAGCAACATCCGTAAACTTACTACACACAGCCCCCCAGGCTGTACGTGGCCTCAGCCTAACACAGTTACCTTCTTAGTAGTATTTGCAGAGAGGCTTCGGAAGGAACTGTACGTAGGTCTATGCAGGGTTAAGGGTCCTACAAGGCCCCCAGAGACCAGCACCTGTGGAAAGCCCCTACTGACCTCAGGGTGGAGGGGGCAAGACAGCAGCTGTCACCAGAAGCAGTGAAAGTTTGGAGCCACGGAAGAGGCCTGCCCGGCAGGAGCTGATGTACAGATGGGGACAAGGGGCTAAGGCAGGGAGGAGGAAAGTACTCAGAATTCTCCATCTTGTCCCTCAGTCTCCTGCCAGTGGCCTAACCCAACATGAAGCCAGAGGGCAAGAGAGCCAGGACACAGCCCACAGAGGTCTCAAAAGACTGGAGAATGATCCACAGGGATGCAGAATCTCCAGCACAAACCAATAGCCCGTGGAGATCCTGGACTCTGCACCAGCCCAGGGGAGAACAGGGAAGGGGAGCCTGGAGAGGGCCTTCGAGCATTCCTACTTTCCCGTCATTGTCAGCTGTGAATCCCCCGGGGTTTGGGAGCCAAGTCTGTGTCAACCCGTACTATGACTCCCTGCCTCCTCTCTCTCGCTCCACTGAGGGGAGATGGGTGGAGAAACAGGGGAGTACTGCCCTGCGGGGGCTTCACCAGCTCACAACCTGAGTACTAAATCCTTTGTCTGGGGCAAATGGTCTCCAGTACATAACACATAAAAACCAAGACCCAATCACTATGTGACATGGCCAGAAATTTTCCTTTTTAGAAAATCTACATTTTTGCTACCTTGAAGTTAACCCTGAGGAATTTCCCTGGACCCATAATTACTTTTGAGAACTTGGCTCCCTTTTCTAAAATTATGTCAAAAGTGTCACAGGTGGCCAATCCCTGAGCAATTACAACGAATAACTACAAAGCTTTAGGTGTCATTAGCACCTCTTTCCCCCAACAGCCACACGAAGGGGATTGAAGTAACCTGCCCAAAGTGGCCACTGAGCTAATGCCAAACCCTGTGCACTGTTCCAAAATATGCAGAAAGAAATTTCAAAATTTAACCCAAATGGAAAGTTCTTAAAACTATGGTTTTAGATTATCCAAAACAAAATGGATCTCTCCTCTACCAATTAGTTTGAAAGCATGTAATTGTATGGACTGAATCCTCATTGAATGAGTGTTGTTGCTGTTGTTTTGGTTTGGCTTGGGTTTTCTTTAAGAGAAGTGGTCTCACTATGTTGCCCAGGCTGGTCTTGAACTCCTGGCCTCAAACCATCCTCCCGCCTCAGCCTCCCAAATTGCTGGGACTACAGGTTTGAGCCACCATGCCCTGACATCATCAAATGAGTTTGAGGAGCACCTGGCTTCTGGGTAAGTTCTATCAAGTACTGTGTGACCTGAGGCAATTCTCATTCTCAGTGCTTACTGCCTATCTCTAAGATGTCTAAATATGGTTCCTCTTCATCCAAACCTGGCAGGGACATATTGGGGTGAATTAGCCAATATTTTCTTCCTGTCTCTTTTAGAGCTTCTTCTTTCTCAATCCACCTAACTGTGGATTCTACCTAAGGCAATAATACGGTAGTGTTGAAAAGACACGAGTCTGGAATCAAATGGAAGACCTTCCACTGACAAGCTGCTTGAACGTGGGCAAGTTATCTAACCTTGTTATTCTTCAATGCCCCTTGTCAGTAAAGTGTGAACACTAAGAAAGCACGACCTCATACAGTTTCTGGCTGATAAAATGAGAAATGTGTGCAAAGCCCTTGACATATCATCTGGCACAGAATAACTCCTTGAATGCAGAATGCTATCATTATCACTATTACAGTCCTCTCATTTTTCATATGTGGTTTTTAAGTGAAATAGGTGACAAAACAAAATTTCTTTGAGCACTTGCTAGAATTATTCTATACCCTTAAAATAATTCTTTTCTACTCTTGAAAAGCAGAGTTAAAAATAACACATCACTATTATGATCACCATCAAACTTGGTTAACAGTTCTAATCACTGATAAATTTCAAGTTACTGAGAGGCAGACTCAAGCTCCATATACTTGATTAGAGCACAATAAATATTTACTAAGGGAATCTTGGAAAAAGGAGGCTTTCAGTTTGGATCATTTGCTATGAAAAAAATATAAATTCAGGACAACAAAGTAAACCTGTATGTGAATGCTACCCTAAAAACAGAGAGGTTAAAATATAGACAATTTTATGGTTTATCCAAACCGCTTGTTTGAGCTCAGGGAACTGATGAGAGCTTACTCACCTCCTACCTTGCAGCCTCCCCCTGAGCACTTCACCCTTAGGCTGTGAGGTACACACGTACTCAGGAAGCTCCATCCAGGCAGACAGCATGCACCCCTGAATGGCTAGTGCAGCTCTGGGCACACGGAAATGCCCAGTCATCATGTTTGCTTTCATACATGATTGGCTGTGTAGCCAATCAAATTAGAGAATCATGGCCACTCCCCAGGGTACATACCACCAGGTGCATCAGCCAGTGACCTTTCTCTGTTTGGTCCTCAAGACCATCTGCTGATATCCACAATGATTAAAAAAAAAAAAAAAAAACTTATGATCTGACTGTGGTTGGTGCAAATAAACCATTTCAGGTCTTACCTTTCTGACCCATCAGAAACAGACAGGCTGTACTCACCCCATCCCTCCCTCCCATCACTACTTTGTGTCAATATTTTAAATCAAACTTTATTTTTTATTTTCATTTTTAAAATCAAACTTTAAATCACTGAAGTCCTTCACAAGGGTGTCCACTCTGCATAAACACTGCATCTATACCATATTCCTACCAGTAGTAGGTGTCCAATAAGTGCTTATTGAAGAGGGGAGGGAGGACGGAAAAGAGGAGAAAACACTTACCCAAGCGCCTGAGCTGCCCCAGCTTCAGGGGTGAGGCTACAGTGAGACACTCAGGAACTGTGCCCAGTTTTCTCCGTGCCTTATCTCATCCTTACAACAGCCCTATGGGAGGGTATCTTATTTGCCCATTTTCTACAGATGAGGAAATGGAGGTACACTTAAGTTAAGTAACTACCTGAGTATCCCCCACACAGTAAGTTTCAGAGCCAAGGTTTAAACTGAGACAATATAATCCAGACTGTCTGGACACCCAAATTCACCCAGGGCAATCTTAAAAGAGCCAAGCATTAATATTTCCATTTATAGTTGAGAAAATTAAACTCAATTGCTGAAATAACCACTAAGAAGTTACATGGCACTAGAGCCTCTACTTGGTCAATACCATAGGATACTAGAAAATAACAACCCCTATCTGTTCTTATACAGCAGTACATGAATATAATAAACTTATTCTACAGGCTTTCTATCATCTTTCTAACCTCAACCTAGAAGTCTCATTGAAAATATAACGACATCTGCACAGTACCTTGTGGCTCATTAAAATAATTTTATCTATAATATCCTCCCTATGACATATATGAGGCAAATGACGTCACCTACTGTCAAAGGCCAGGGTGCTCTCAGTGACAGGCAGCTCAGAGCCAGCCAGGGGGCACATGTGCTCTCAAAACACCCAGGAATATGACGAGGCCAGCAGCAATGGCAATTTTCAAAAACCGTGGCTTCTGGAAACAGTGGTTCCAAAGGAAAACATTCCAATATGATTATTTCTCCTCCAAACTGGAAACATAAGGACATAAGACAGAAGTAAAAACAATATTCCTCAAGTCTCAAGGGACTTTCCCATTTGAGGAAAAGGCCTAGACATCTTCCTTTTCTCCCCTCACTACTGCTTTTTTAAAAACCTCTGGGCAACAAGAGGAGAAAAATGTTGGCTGATTGAAAATGTGTTTGCCACCAGGACATACCAATCTGTGGTGCTGAACATACTCAAGAGTGTTGGGTAATAAATACTTTTGTATTTCCTGCCACAATTACAGCATCGCTCATACACTGATCTGTGTATATCATTGAAAGATGTAAGACAGAGTCCTCAACAGACCACCCACTTCTCTCAAAACTCAAAAGAACATCTAGATTGTCAGTCTTCAAAGAGAAACTGATTTATAATCTTATTCAGCAAACACAATACCTCTGCAGTGAGTCTCACCTTAGCTGCAAACTTCCATCACCTGGAGAGATTTAAAAAATTCCAGTGCTGTGGTTTGGCTTCCTGAGGTTCTGATTCAATTGTCTTGGGGGTGCTGCCTGGACATCAGGACTTTTAAAAGCTCTCCAGGTGACTCACTGAGCATACAAGGTTGAGACTCACAGCTACAGAACATAAGGCACACACCTGCCTGCTCCCCTAAAAAGTGCCTCACAGGTACTAATGGCCACGAATAATTTCACAATGAAGAAGTATTCAATAACATGGATTTAACATTTTCAGACACAATCTGTTCACTGCCTAATTAAGAAGCCCTTTTTATTGTTCTCCTGGTCTTCCTGACTTATTCTAATCACAACCTGGAAACCTAGATGAATATAAAAAGATCCATTTAAAAAGTGGTAACATCTATGTAGCACTTTGAAATTGTATAAATATGTAAGATACAATGTCACATTTAACTACTACAAGAACTGGGATAGGCAAGTTTATTAGTTTCCTACTGCCACTGTAACAAATTACCACAAACTTAGCAGCTTAAAGCAACATGAATTGATTATCTTATAGGTCTGGAGCCCAGATGTCTGAATTGGTCTCCTCATGCTAAAGCGAAGGTGTTGGCAGAGCTGTTTCTTTCTGGGGGCTCTAACGGGAGAATCTGGTTCCTTGCCCTTTTTTTTTTTTTTTTTTTGGAGACAGGTTACCCAGGCTGGAGTGTAATGGCACACGATCACAGCTCACTGCAACCTCTGCCTCCCAGGTTCAAGCAATTCTCCTGCCTCAGCCTCCTGAGTAGCTGAGACTACAGGCACATGCCACCAGGCCCAGCTAATTTTTTTGTATTTTTAGTAGAGATGGGGTTTCACCATGTTGGCCAGACTGGTCTTGAACTCCTGACCTCAGGTGATCTGCCAGCCTTGGCCTCCCAAAGTGCCGGGATTACAGGCTGAGCCATCGCACCTCACCGGTTCCTTACCTTTTTTAGCTGCCAGTGGCTGCCTGCATTCCCCAGCTCATGAGCCCTTTCCTCACATTACTGTTGTTCTGTCACTATATCTCCTACCACTAACTTTGACTATTCTACCTCTTTTTCATAAAAACCCCTGTGATTACATTGGGCTCAACCAGATATTTCAGGATACACTCACCATTTCAACATCCTTAACCTAATCACTTCCTTGAAGTCCCTTTTGCCATGTAGGTAACATATTCACAAGTTCCAAGGATGAGGTTCCAAGGATGAGGACAAGGACTTCTCTGGGGTCCATTATTCACCACAGAGTAAGGCAAACATCGCCACCCCTGTTGTGCCCATCCTCCCTGCCCACCTGCCCATTTTTCAACTGAGAAAACTCAGGCTCAAGGTTGCCTGAGGTCCAGGGTTGACTTGCCCAGGTCCACACCTGGAAATGAGCCAAGCTGATACCTAATCTTACAACTCCAAGCCCCACGTTCTTTCTGCCACTGCTTATTGACTCCCCGTGACAAGGTGATGTTTGCAATATTTTTTTCTTTTCCAAGCTTCCACTATACAGTTAACAAGAAGTGTTTTTCCTTTCACTCAGTTATCTCTGCTTCTCAGCCAATGCACAGCAAATGGAAACTAACCAAGCCTTTCCCTAAGGTTCAAAGGAACCAGAAAGCCCACCAAGGCAGGAATTCATTATACAGACTACAATGTCACAACCATCTAAGAGACTGGTCATGTAAGAAAGTATATGGGGGAAAAAAGCAAGCTCTCAGTTTTGAGAGTGCAAAATAATCTGAATTTGCTAAGACATACACACAGCAACAGCCTTAAAGGAAACGCACAATAGGTAACACCGGTGTCTTCCATGTTCAACACAATCTATTCAAAATTACACAGGAAACCATCCTCTCAATGATTTTCCATAGTTTCTTCCCCTCTTCCTCTTTCTCAACTGAGCGAATTAAAGAGGGCTGGGAGGTGGTATTTGGAGCCTCAATTAGTCATCTTTTGAACGAGGTATTATTTAAGCTGGGGTAATCAGAAGGTAGTGACTACAATTTTCAGTTTTCTACTATGATGGTCATACTGCTATTGGTAACCTGGAATTTCCTCTCTCTCTCCTTTCACTAGCACATCAGGGAGAAAAGAACCCAGTGCTGAATCATGGCCACTTCAACAATGAGAGAAGTAAACAAGCCAAGCAAAGCTCGCTGCCAAGCTTATATTTCGCCTATGTCTGTGTTCAACCTGACGTGAAAATAGCAGGCGGAAAAAAATCAATGTCACATCAAAATGCAACTGGTATAATAGCAGCAAGTTACATGATTTTCCTGAACTACAGATAACTCACAGACTGTCTCAAATGCTACAAAATACCAGCAATAGGGCTTTTAAAGGTCATGTGGAAGAATTCAAACAACCTAAATATTATATTTTAAATAAGCTAATGGTGGTGGGGAGAGGGAACTGCTGGCTTGTGTTCATGCCAAAGCTGTGCTCTGAAGCTATTATCTTACACAATTATAACCAGTGGGAAGAAGGATTTGAAGGACAGCAAGATTCCCCAGTATCTAAGAAAGAGTCAATTGTGGTCACTAATTCAGAAAAGTAAAACAATGCATTTTGTAAAGCTTTTCAATAAGGATGTCATTGTAAGAGAATTCTGGTTTACCAGGAGTCAACCTTAAAAGTTTAATAAAATCAGGAAGTTCTGGTTCATGTAATTCATTATTTTGATGATATCATAGTGATGGCAGAAGCGGCCTGTTTGGAGCAGCCACTGCAGGGACGCCAGCTGTAGTGGGGGAGGCGCAGCCAGGACTGTGCGTTCCATAGCCCTTACCTAGGGGCTCCTCGAGCCAGGGCTGTGACACCCCCTTTGGGGCTCTGCAATTCCTCGCATCTCCAACTTTCTGGGTGCCACCGTGTTCTCATCCAGATGTGGATGCCCGCAGTAGAAGCCACGTGCAGTGCATCTGGTGCAGCTGCAGCTTCGCATGGAGCCAGCACCTGTGCCAGCGCCTGGAGCTGCCTGCCCCGCTGCAGCCCCTGGTGTGCCTGGCTGTGCACAGTGGCTGGACCCCACACTCGCTCACCACACAATCTCATCACTCCACGTCTGGCTCGCCCTTGGCAGGTGTGGAATCTGGGCTGGTAGCATGAACTGAGCGCAGCTAGCCAGGCCAAGTGGACAGAATGAGCCCAGCAGGTACGAGCAATACCCAGGCAGAAGGTGCCATTGGCCACAGAGGTTTCCGGCTGGTGACTCCCAGAGGATCCCGTGACAAAAGCCTCAAAAATAAACTGAGTAAACTGAAAGAGAGTACACCTGCTAAGTATTCACTACTCCACATACTTTAATCTGACCACGCCATGTTTCCCTACAACCAGGTACTTAAAGAACTCTGTGTTCTAGTCCTGACTCTGACACTAACTCACTATCCTAGTCACATGAGTTCTCTGGGTGTCAGGGTTCTCATCTGCAAGGGGAGAGGGCTG
Source organism: Homo sapiens (assembly GCF_000001405.40). Classification (NCBI taxonomy): domain Eukaryota; kingdom Metazoa; phylum Chordata; class Mammalia; order Primates; family Hominidae; genus Homo; species Homo sapiens. The sequence continues at coordinate 61,856,094 of NC_000018.10, forward strand.
GATGAGATGACCTTCCAAGTTCTTTTCCAATTCTGACTCTAAAAGCTTCTAAAAGCTCCATTAACAAAATTCACTGGCTGATTTCTATCTGAAATGAGATTCTAATTGAGTTGGTGAGTAAAGCGATGACAATGAAGCCAATGTCAAAGACTCTTGAAAACTAAATGCTGGAGAACAAACATAAGCTGGAAAATGACACGGGGAAATACACGATGGGTTCCTGTCCTGGGAACACTACAAGGCTGGGGGTCCCAAGAGTTAATTTTAAAGATGCCTGTTGGGAACTCATCTGCCACAGCGCCTACTTCTTTCATGGCAGCTCTAGCACTCAGCACTAGCCCTGAGTACAGGCACAGAAAGGAAGGGAGGGGATGGGAAGACAGTCTTGAGATGCAAATCCCATATAAAGGGTCATAGCTAGGACCCTTCTAGCCACCAAGGACCCAGCATCACCTTCCAGGTCACTCAGATCCAAGGATGGCTATTCCTGGGAGTTGATAACTGGAGTGTTTAGATTTGATACCCCTTCTTTCTGCTGTCCTTACTCATTCCACATCCTTACTAGAGGTGAGGGGTTGGGGGAGGGGTGGTCGAGCAATCTTTTGTACTTTTGAGGGTCTGCAAACTTAGGCACAGAAAATGAAAAGTGGATTCACAGAGCTGCTGACATCTCTGGGGATTCAGTTCCCCGAACAGCTAGCTCCATGTAACAAATGTGCTCACTGAAGTGGGAGAGCCCAGGAAAAAAGCGACAGGAAAATTGAGGACTAGCTATAAAGCTCATCTTCAAAAAGCCATAATTATCACAATAGTGTCACCTAAGCGTTATTTACAAGCATCTGTACACACAATCCCTCCTCTTCTAATAGCCCTCATTTAGATACAGAGCTATTACCCAGGGCAACATTTTAAATTAATTAAGTAGTAAAACAAGGAGAAACCAGCATTATTCAGTCAAAACTCTAGAGTGAATATAATTAAAATACAGGCAGGGGAACAGGCATAAAAGACACAGAATCTCACTTTTTACTTTGTGCTGATAATTCCTACCCTGACTTGCATTATACGTCAGGGTTCAAGCTCTGTCTCCATTATCCCCAACACTGTAACAGGGAGAAAGTGCAGACACTTTTCTATTTTGCAGATGAGAAAACTGAGACTTAAGGAAATTAAATGATTTGTCCAAAGTCAATTCATGTCAAAAGCCCAGATCTTCAACGCCTGCTCTGGAAACCACACACTATGTCCACATGATTTTATTTTCATGGTGAAACTGAAACAATTTTTATACTAAAAGCTATCAAATATTTTGCCTTGGAACTGCTTTAGAACCTTTAGGGCCTCAGAATAGTCTAGTTTGAATCCTGGCAGAATGAAGCAAATTTTCAAAAGCCATAAAAATGGCTTTTTCTCTTCAAACAGCAACAGGCAAGAGAATGTTCCCCACAATCTGTTGTTATTGCTATAATTTTTCTTCAAACCTACTGTTACTTCCTTTAAATGACCACATCTTCCATCTCATCGCCATGTTCTGACGATACAGGGACACAAAAGTAGCAGATAACACAAGTTCCATATCCTCCAGGGACTCACCAGTCATTAAACAAACAAACAAACAAACAAACAAACAAAAACTGTGGGCTTTTGGTCATTCTAGTTTTGGATAATAGCCTATCACAAAACATCTTTCAGCCTCAGTCCTGTTAATCAATAGTCATTTAAAGTAAATTTGTCATTGGCGTGTATAAACATCTACATTCAAGAGCATTTTCCAAAATAACACATTTGCCTTGTGATTATATAAATAATCAGACAACTAAAACAATAACAACAGGAGCAAAAAACAACTCTAGTCAATCTGAGGTAGTGGGGATGGGTTTAGCTTTACGTTTGGGTCTCCTCTGCTATAATCTATTAAAATAAATGAAGCAGAGCCACCCCAGCAGGGGCTGAAAAAGACAATTGTCTGTCCTTCTGAAATCTCCCTCTGCAGCCACATGCAAACCCTCTACCCCAATTTCCAGGACCAGCCCTAAACTTAGTAGAGACATTTAGGTAGTTTGGTATAACTCTCTGGGACTCCACCCAGGTCCCACTGACTGTGGGCTCGGCTGTGACCTCCTGCCCAGAGCTCTGTGACATTGAGTGCTTTCTTGATTCCTTAGCTCTTTGAATCTGACACTTGTTAGATTCCTGCCAGCCCCTCCCTCCCCCAAGCCCTCTGGAACTATCTCCCCTGGAACCATATACCCTAGGATGAGGAATCTGTCCCTGAGATCCAGCCACTTGTTAGATTCCTGCCAGCCCTTCCCTCCCCCAAGCTCTCTGGACCTATCTCCCCTGCAACCGTATACCCTAGGATGAGGAATCTGCCCCTAAGATCCAGCCACCTCTAGAAATATTTCCCCCGATACCTTCTCCCTAGACTTCACATTCCAACCTATCACCCTGAAGGATGCCCTGGGCCCCAACTCTACTGCAGCCCCTCCACTTCCCCCAGTGGTCGACTTCCACTCAGGGTTCCCACCAAGCCAGTCCGCAGTACTCATTCCTAGGTCTGGCCTTGTTCTTACTGAAATCCTGCATCCTAGCCTAAAACTTCTATATTCCATGGAGAAGAAGCTGGAGAGTGGCCATCCCCATCATCACCCCTGGCTATTTACTTGAGGTCTGCCAGCAGTTTGCATTCAGCAACCTATTAATTGCCTTGCAGACATCATGATGCAGCAAATTTCACTATTTTCACAAAAACAGAGATCCCGTTTTAATAGGAGATGTGCTTAAGTTTGGTCAGCAAGCCTGAGACAAAACAAAAACTAAATTTGGGGTCCCCTGGCTTTGTTCTTACTGTATAAATCATATTTGGGGAAACTCCATGTTTCTTACGCGCCGGGTGATGTCAATATCCAATTACAGGAGGGTGAAGGAGGCCCTTTCTAACCCACATGGGCCCATCTGATGTCCCTCAGCCACGACCCTGTATTATAGACGAGGGCTGGTGGCTCCTACAAGTCATCACCACCATTCAGATGCCACTATGCACTTGTTCCACCTCGCAGACTGGGACAAGTATGTACTTGCTCAAATTCCCACCTCAGTACTTCTGACCAAACCAATTGTTTCAAATAAAACTGGAAGGACTTTTGTCCTTCCCACGGGTACCATCAAAGCCCCTCAGTTTCAGGCTTAGTTGACTGAAGTGAAACAGGCAACAGAGCGTGAGAGGGCTGTTGTGGCGCAAATTCAAACTTGACGTGCTTCAGAAACGTCGCATCAGTTTCACACACTGTTCCCAGGGCTCCCAACACATGCGTCAGAGACATAATTGCAAGGCTAAGGGTTCCGGAGAGTCAGGGAGCTGCATTCCCATGCAGAGCAGGAGATGCTGCCCTTGAAGAAGGGCCTGGAAGCTGCAGAGAAAAGGAGCATCACCCACCTGTGTGGGGCAGGGGAATGGGTTGAGTTGTGTCTCCCAAAAAGATAGTTTGAAATCCTGACACCTAGGCCGGGCACGGTGGCTCATGCCTGCAATCCTAGCAGTTTGGGAGGCCGAGGCGGGCAGATCACTTGAAGTCAGGAGTTCAAGACCAGACTGGCCAACATGGCGAAATCCCATCTCTACTAAAAGTACAAAAATTAGCCAGGCGTGGTGGCAGGCGCCTGTAATCCCAGCTACTTAGGAGGCTGAGGCAGAAGAATGGCTTGAATCCAGGAGGTGGAGGTTGCAGTGAGCCGAGATTACACTATTGCACTCCAGCCTGGACAACAGAGACTCCACCTCAAAGAAAAAAGAAAAGAAAAGAAAAGAAAAGAAATCCTGACCCCTAGTATCTCAGAATGTAGCCTTATTTGGAAAACGGGTCACTGCAGATGTCATTAGTTAAGATGAGGTTATATTGGAGCAGGGTGGGCCCTTAATCCAACATGACTAGTGTCCTTTAATACAGAAAAGACTCAGAAAAGACTCACAAGGAGAGACAGCCATGTGATGACAGGAGCCAAAAGCCAGGAATGCCAAGGACTGCCGACAGCACGAGAAGCTGGGGAAGGGAGGAAGGGTTCTCCCCATGGGTCTCAGAAGTGCATGGGCCTGCCGACACCATGCCTGTGGACTTCCAGCCTCCAAAAATGTGACAGAGTTTCTGTTGTTTGAAGCCACCTACTTGGTTAAGGCAGCCCTAGAAAACTCATCTAAGGGGGAAGCAAGCAACTGAGGAATCATAAAACCCTCCCGATTCAGAAGCAGCACCAAATAGCAAAGAGAAAATGCAGTCACGCACCACATAACGTTTCGGTCAATAACAGATCACATAGAAGATGCTGGTCCCATAAGATTATAATGGAGCTGGAAAATTCCTATTGCCTGGTGATACAGCCATCAGAGCATTGTTGCACTGCAACGCATTACTCACATGTTGATAGTGAGGCTGGTGTAAAGAAACCTACCATGCTGCCGGTTGCATAAGAGTCTAGCACACACAATCATGTACAGTACACAATACTTGATAATGATAATTAACAACTATGTTACTGGTTTCTGCATTTACTGTACTATATTTTTATCAGTATTTTAGAGTGTACTCCTACTTATTTCTTTTAAGTTAACTGTAAAATGCCCCAGGCAAGTGGTTCAGGAGGTATCCAGAAGAAGGCACTGCTGTCACAGGAAATAACAGCTCCATGCGTGTATTACCCTGAAGACCTTCCAATGGGACAAGATGTGGAGGTGGAAGGCAGTAATATTGACAATCCTGACCCTGTGTAACCCTAGGCTAATGTGTGTATTTGTGTTTTAGTTTTTAACAAAAAATGTTTAAAAGGTAAAAGAAAAAAATTAATTTTACAAATAAAAAAAGCTTACAGAAGAAGGATATAAAGAAAAATATTTTGGTACAGTTGTATAATATTTGTGATTTAATCTAAGTGTTATTAAAAAAGAGTCAAAAAGTTAAACAAAATTTAGACATTTATAAAGTTAAAAAGTTACAGTAAGCTAAGATTATTATTGAAGAAAACTATTTGTTATAAATTGAGTGTAGTCTAAGTGTACTGTGTTTGTAAAGTCTACAGTAGTGTACAGAAATGTCCTAGGCCATCACATCCACTCACCACTCACATCCTGAATCACTCAGAGCAACTTCCAGTCCTGCAAGCTCCATTCATGCTAAGTGTCCTATACAGGTGTACCTTTTTTATCTTTTATACAATATTTTTATTGTATCTCTTCCATGTTTGCATAAACAAATACTTATTGTGTGTGTTACAATTGCTTGCAGTATTCAGTATAATAATATGCTGTACAGGTTTGCAGCCTTGGAGCAATGGCTGTACTGTATAGCCTATATGTGTACTGGGCTACACCACCTAGGCTTGTGTAAGTGTACTCACTCCATAATGTTCACATAACAAAATCACCCAAAGATGCATTCCTAAAAATATATCCCTGTCATCAAGTGAGGCATGACTGTACATGTTACGCTTAGTGTCTTAGTCCATTTAGTGTTGCTAGATAGGAATACATGAGGTTGGGTAATTTATAAAGAAAACAGGTTTATGTAGCTCACAGTTCCACTGGCCAGAAGGTTCAAGACTCGGCATTTGGCGAGGGCCTCAAGCTGCTTCCACTTATGGCAGCAGGTGAAGGGAAGCTGGCATGTGCAGAGATCACATGGTGAGAGAGGAAGCAAGGGTGAGGAGGCAGGCTCTTTGTAACAACCAGCCCTCATGGAAACTAATAGAGTGAGAACTCACTCACCAACCCACAGAACATTCATCTACTCAAGTGGGATCTGCTCCTGTGACCTAAACATCTCCTATTAGGCCCCGACCTCCAACATTGGGCATTAAATTTCAACATGAGATTTGGAGGGCTCAGACACCCAAACTATACCACTAAGGAACACAGTGGCTTGGTTAAATTGGAAAAATGAATACAACTCCCTGAGGCCCTCAGAAGAACCTTCCTTCCCAGAAGAAGCTGGACATTCTAATTCAGGTCCTAAGCTGGGGAAGGACCATGAGTGGGAAAAGGTAGGAATTGAGGCTTTTTTCTCCCTTTTTACATGTTAATACAAAGCCCTGCCTCCTCCATCCTGACCCCCCTATCTCCTCTCTGCCTCCTATGCTTACAGAAAGGCACTAGATGCAGTACTTTCATGTCTACCACCTCATTTAATCTTCATGACAATGTGTGTGGCAGAGGAGGCGGCAAAAATTCTCATTCCCATTTCACACACGAGGAAACTAAGGCTCAGTTGGATCAGGGACTGCCCAGAGAGGAGATGACCATCCTGAAAAGAACTTCAGCTGACAAAGCAAGAGCAAGAGGTGAAGAGCAAGAGGCTTTCAAAAAGGTGGGAGGGAAGATTTCTGACTGAGGGGCTTAAGACCCTCCATGAGGGGATCCCACCCTGTGCCCTGGGGACAGGAATGCTAGTGTCATGAAGCTTCGGTAAAAAAACCCAAGCGGACAGGGTTCAAGGAGCTTCCAGACAGCTGAACATGCTGAGGTTCCTGGAGGGTGGCACCCACGGAGGGCATAGAAGCTCCACACCCTGTCCCCCACCCCTCACCCCACGTGTCTCTTCATCGGTATCCTTTGCAATATCTTTTACAATAAACCAGTAAACATAAGTAGGGGTTTCACCAAGTTCTGTGAGCCGCTCCAGCAAATTCATCAAAGCCAAAGCGGGGGTTCTGGGGACCCCAACTTGAAGCTGGTGGGTCAGAAGTTCCGAGGAGGCCCAGACTTATCATTGGTGTGTGGGTAGGGGCAGTCTTGGGGACTGAGCCCTCAATCAGTGGGCTCTGACATTATCTCTGGGTAGACACTGTTGGAACTGAATTAGAGGATACTCAGCTGGTGTCTCTACTTGTGTGCTGATGATTGTTGTGGTGTGAGAACAAAGAAAAAACAGAGAGTTTTCCCTACACACAGCCCAAAATACTATCTTAAAAAAATTTTGAAGACAGGTTAACCAAAGGTTCTGGCAGCCATCCATGTCCAAAACAAACCAAATGTGTTGCCCGTAAAACATTTGCTCTTGAAAAGTAGTCCCTTAGCCAGGCGCGGTGGCTCACACCTGCAATCCCAGCATTTGGAAGGCCGAGGCAGGTGGATCAGCAGGTCAGGAGATCAAGACCATCCTGGCTAACACAGTGAAATCCCATCTCTACTAAAAATACAAAAAAATTAGCCAGGCGTGGTGACACACGCCTGTAGTCCCAGCTACTCGGGAGGCTGACGCAGGAGAATCACTTGAACCTGGGAAGTGGAGGTTGCAGTGAGCGGCGATCGTGCCACCGCACTCCAGCCTGGCAACAGAGTGAGACTCCGTCTCAAAAAAAAAAAAAAAAAAAAAGTAGCCCCTTGACTTTTTTCAGTTGTTCAGGTAACATCACTGTAGACACAATCTGTAGATTCTTCTACTGACTTTTTACATGGAAATAGTTAATATCTTTGGGGAAAAAACTAAGCACATTTTCCAGGCTGGAAAAGCCAAGGCTTCAGCTTTTGCATTCTGTCTCCTTTTGTGCTTCTCAATCTTCAAGCAATCCTGTGTAACCGTATGGCCTGTCCTCAACTAGCATGCTGTACAAAGTGCGTTTTCCTGATTCTGGGCTTCGAAGAGTGCTTGAGAGGTGGGGGCATTACACACTAATGTCCGAGGACATCTGATGACTGGACAAATCTCTTCCCCAAAGCAACACCTGACAAGAGTAAGGAAGTCAGAGCCAGGGCGGAGTGGCAGGTGTCCAAGGTAAGGACAGGACTGAAAGGGTTAAGCTGAACAGCACTGATGATAAGGAACTTGGGTGGTGAGCTCCCGCTCTAATCGGCTGCCTTTTCCATGTATTTTAATCTTTCTCTTTCTGAAAAACACCCAGTCATTGGACATCAGGAGAACCTGACTTCATCTTTCCTGCCCCTTACAGCCACAATCTGTTTCTACCCATAGAACATTTCTGACATCAAACACATGGGTGTCTTCCACCTCAACAACCAAGTCTCCAACTCTCCAACAACAATCGGGTGTCCCAGAATTCAATTCCATTTTGACCCTAACTACCCGGAGTCACAGACCCCACAGGTCAGGGGCTCAGCCCCACAAGTCTGCCCCCATTTCAGACACCAAGCATAAGTCCCAGGCCTCCTGTGCTTCTGACTGACTGGCTATCAGTGGGGTTTCTCACAACCCCCTCTCCGGTTTAGTAACTTGTGAGAACGGCTAGCAGAACTCTGTGAGAATGGCTGGCAGAACTCAGGAACAGTTTATGGCTATTACTGGTTTATGATAACAGATACAACTCAGATCAGCCAAATGGAAGAAATACACAGGGCAAGATTGGGTGCACAGAGCTTCCATGACCTCTTGGGAGGCGTCACCCTCCCCCAGCTCCTCAAAGTGTTCACCGACCAGAACCCTGTCACTTAGGGGTTTGATGGAGGCTTCGCTGTGTAGACATGGTCGATTAAATCATTGCCCACTGGGGACTAACTCCCTCTTTCGCCCTTCTTCCCTACCAGGAGGTCTGGGATGAGGCTGAAAGTCACAACCCTCTAATCACAGAGTTGGTTCCTCTGGCGACCAGCTGGCACTCTGAGGCCAGCTAAGAGCCCACCAAGAGTCATCTCATTAGCATAAGCCAAGGTATGGTTGAAAGGAGTTTATGGTCGGGCACAGTGCTCACGCCTGCCGAGGCAGGTGGATCACCTGAGGTCTGAGACCAGCCTGGCTAACATGGTGAAACCCCGTTTCTACTAAAAATACAAAAAATTAGCCAGGCGTGGTGGCGCGTGCCTGTAATCCCAGCTACTCAGGAGGCTGAGGCAGGAGAATCGCTTGAACCCAGGAGGCGGAGGTTGCAGTGAGCTGAGCTCGTGCCATTGCACTCCAGCTTGGGCAACAAGAGGGAAACTCCATCTCAAAAAAAAAAGGAGTTTATGATGAAAAACAAAAGATATTCCTCTAACCTCTATCACCCAGGAAATTACAAGGGTTTTAGGAGCTCAGTACCAGGAAATGGAGGATGAAAACCAAATATATATATTTCTTATTATATCACAATATCATACCCCTAGAACCTGCAGCCAAATTGTCCGGCACATATACTTGGATACCTACCAATAATCATTCTGGGGAAACCATATCTACAAAATGCCATGCCACATTTTGTCAGCTTGAAAATATTAAACCCTACTGAAAAAATGTAAGGTTTCTTCTTCAGATTTAAATGTCTACTTATTTCAAAATGAATTAGTAGTTCTCTGGGTTTCATAATGTTTAATTCATTAATAACTACAGCTTGAGAATTTGAAAGGAGATTGCTTCCAGGATAAAATTAAATATAAAACTCTAAGCAGTGATTCATGGCTGTTCCTATCTAAATTACTAATCCATGTGACAAACCTGGTTGGCAGCACAAAAAACGCAATACTATTTGTCCCCCATTGCCTTTATAGACTTTGTTGAATTGTTTTTGCAAACTTCCTAAATCCAAGTACTAGATAATCCCCTGCTAGCAGCTTCCATCCCGTTGTGGAATTTAGTTTAGAGTCTCTGTTGCCACAGAGAGTTTCACAATGGACTAATACTTTGTACCTCAGAAAAGAATTTTCTGAACATTAGAGTTTAGACATAGAGCCCAATGGACTTCCAAGGAAACTCACTTTAAGTTGAAGGCAAATATTCCCATGACAGCTGTCCCAATCCCCAAAGAAACCTACAAAAAATCTGCTCAAAAACATTTTTTTAAATGCCTATTTTCTTTTAGTTTGCAAGGAAGGCTAGTCAGCTGAGTGTCAATTACATATCTCCCTGTTAGAACAATCAGGCACTAGAGTCATCATGTTGTCCAACAGATGATATAAGGCTTCTTAAATTTCACCAAGCCCTGGTTATTCTGCCTCCTAAAATTTCTCTCAGGTCTATTCCTCCCACTGCCTGGGTTCATTCTTATGTCTGCGTGGAGGAACAGGCAGGAATATTCCTGGCCATATACTCCCACCTCCAAGGGAATTTGGAGGGCTGAGTGGCACAGGGCCCCACCCCCTGTGGTAACCCCTGCCCAAATCATCACAAAGCCCAGCAAACTAGGTTCTCCCTGCCTCTCATCTCTCCCCAATACCAACCATCCAACCTACTGCTTCTAGACAGCGAGTCGGGCCCAGGTAGCCCCACGGATGGCTACTCCCCACCAGATGCCTTATACACGGGGACTCGTTTATCCTCAGGACAACTTGAGGAAGTCACCCTCATTGTCTTCTTATTACACACCAGGAGCTGGCAGCAAAGATGTTCAAACACTACCCCAAGCTACAGAGTGAGAATCTGCGAGGACAAGATTCACATCCACACTCTCGCCCGCGTTTCTGTGCTTTGAGCCACCTGATCATGCCATCCCATGGCTCCTTAGTACCAAGAGTGAGGCCACACACCCCAGCAGGGCCTACGCATCCTTTGGTGACTTGGCTACATTTCCAGCCTCATCCAACCTATGCCCTCCATCTGCCCTCTATCTCCATCAGTTACTTGCACATGGTATTCCCTGTGCTTCTCCTCCATGTCTCCTCTCCCTGCTGTGTGCTCCTACAGTGACATGTTCATCCCTTCATCAACCATTCACTACTTCCTCCCAACATTGGTGGTGACACCGGGGGTGTGACCTCAAAGCAGCAGCTCTGGCTTTCCCCTACTTGCCCGCTGTCCCCACCGCTGAGCAGCACATGACAAGACAGCCCATAGCTTTGGCACCAAGGAATGCATTAAGGCAAATCATCAGTGAAACTTTAAAAAGCAAAACAACACAAAAAAAACAGACTTAGGGGCTTGTCCCAAAATGACTGTTAGATCCCTTATAAGCTGGGGTGGAGGGATGGGAAGGGCCTTATGTGGGCTTATTAAACACTGCACATCAGGAATTTTTTTTTCTCACCAAACATCAAACATTGCAATCAAGTGAGAGGAGAACACCTAGATGCTCGCCAGCTGAAGTAGGAAGAAAGCCTGTGGCAGATTTTAAATCAGCAAGAGGTGGGAACTCAAGAGTTACCCATGCATGGCAAATACAAAGAGATTGGGGACCGGGTGCGGTGGCTCACACCTGTAATCCCAACACTTCGGGAGGCAGGTGGATCAATTGAGGTCAGGAGTTCAAGACCAGCCTGGCCAACATGGCGAGGCCCCATCTCTACTAAAAATACAGAAAATTAGTTGGGTATGGTGGCATGCTCCTGTAGTCTCAGCTACTCGGGAGGCTGAGGCAGGAGAATCACTTGAACCTGGGAGGCAGAGGTTGCAGTGAGAGGAGACTGCGCCATTGCACTCCAGCCTGGGCGACAGAGTGAGACACCATCTCAAAAAAAAAAAAGAGATGACAAACTGAATCTTCAGCTCAGTCTGGTTTTTATAGTTGTTTCCTGGGAGGAGGGGGAGCAGGGGCAAAGAGATATTTGAAAGGAGTTTGGTTGTTTTGTTTTTTATTTTTTTCATTTTAAGGAGGGAGAGCACCCACTATTGATGAAACTGTTATGGCAACCCCCAACCCAGGGTGAACCGTATGTAAACCAGGCTGAACTCTCCACATCGCCGGCCTCACCATCCTGGGATACAATTCTGACTATAAACTCAGCATCAGATAAACCTAGATATTACCAGCAATGCAGCAGGAAAAATAAAAATAACAACTGAATTCACAGTAATCATTTAAAATGTAAAATACTGCTCTTAAATCCTATAAAATGGCCACGAATGTCCAGTGCACACTAATTCTATAAGGAACCCCCACTGTACTATAAAAATACACAAAACGCACATAAAAATACAACTTTACTATTATGTAAATTTAACCTTAAACAAATATGCTAGCTAACACAAACAATATATTAAATCAATTTTGCTCACCTTCTTAGAACTTAACGAGCCTCCTAGGGGCAATTCAGATACCCCAGCTCCTCACTTAGAAAGCTGTCTGAGGAGATTCATGGTAATGTGTGCAGCTGGGCTTTTCCTGGCTCCTCTCTCCAGTCATTTTCCTCGTAGCCAGCACAGGCATTCAGAACAAGTTACCCACTGTAGAGGTTGGCCTTCGGGTGTTGCTGTAGACTTACAGCATATATCTGTGTTATGTTTCAGGGATGTTTAAAAGCATGTTAAAAATATGTCCCAATATTTCTCTTTTCCTCCTAGCTTATTCCAAGTCTCAAGAGCAGCTACACTGCTCAGTATCAGTTCAGAGACCACAGGACAGAGGTAAACCCAGCCCAGCCACCCCCAGCTGATCCTGCAGGGCACTGGGAAGCCACCAAGGTCATTAGAATAAGTACAGGTTTTAGGTCGGGTGCAGTGGCTCGTGCCTGTAATCCCAGCACTTTGAGAGGCCAAGGCGGGTGGATTACCCAAGAGTTTGAGACCAGCCTGGCCAACGTGGTAAAATCCCGTCTCTACTAAAACTACAAAAATTAGCCGGGCGTCATGGCAGGCACCTGTAATCCCAGCTACTCAGGAGTCTGAGGCAGGAGAATCTCATGAACCCGGGAAGCAGAGGTTGCAGTGAGCCAAGATCACCCATTGCACTCCTGCCTGGGCAACAAAAGCAAGACTCCGTCTCAAAAAATAAAAATAAAAAAAAATAAGTACAGGTTTTAGAAGGAACTTCAAAGTAAATGAATGTCCAGGAAATGAATGAAAAGCATAAATCAGTAGTGTGCCTTGTAGTTATGTGGCAGAAAGACAGAGCAGGGAAGCATGTAGTCAAGTCAGGAGCAGGCATTACAAAGGCAACAGTGCAAAAAGACCAGCAGCATCCACACATCTTCATAGATGACTTAAAATCAGATGGACAATAAATTGCCTATACTTGAGGTTCTTAGGGTTCCCAGTTTCATGATGAGAGTAACTAAAAAGCATTCACCATTTGTAAGAACACAGGTTTTTATAAGCATTTGAGGTTATCAGAAGAGATTCTGAGAATATTCTAACATCTCAGAGGTAATCTCGATTGTTATATAAAATTTCCTAAGTTCACCATGTCTCTCTAAGTAGGATGAGCTAAAGGAAAGCCCAGTCTTAATCATTTCACTGACCACAAAACCCTAATTAGTAAAATCCAAAGAAATAGGGAATGTCTATCCTCAAATTTCAACTGCTAACTCCACAAAATCACTAGGTGGGGTCAAAAGCTGTCAGGGGTCTTCTTCCAATCATACTTCCAAGCAACTCAAGTGTTCAAAGAAAACTGGTCTCCAAGATTCATCTTTTAGGATACATAAAAACAACCCCTACTTCCAAATAAACATGGGCCATGGAGGTATTGTCTCCTGCACCTGACAAGAGATTCTGTTACTGGAAAAGAACTAAATGTGGAATGCCCTGTCACCTCACCACAGACGGCACTAAAGGTGAACACCCAGAGACCCACTTGATAAAGGAACACAAACTTTTGTGTTATTTCCATTTGTTTAGGTTTACTTTACACTCACACCTTCAATAAAGGATGTAGCAAAGTTTGGCATCAAGAACTTAGCTGATCCAGGAGGGTGCCAGGAAGACACCACAGATCATTAGAATAAGTACAGGTTTTAGAAGGAACTTCAAAGTAAATGAATGTCCAGTAAATGAATGAAAAGGAAAACTCATGTAACTGAGTGGGCACACACACACGCACGCACACACATGCACACACCCGGAAGCTTATCATCTTCATAAACTCAGACAAGCCACTTACCCACCAACTTCCTCAGCTTTTATGCATCCATGAACTTGGCACAACAATGATGTAAACAAAAATGAGAAAGTTTATAAGCAGATGTACTTTGGACAGGAAACCATGAAAGAAACAGTGTCACTAGGATTTGCTAGAAGCATTTGTATTCCTTGACAGAGGCTTTTACGTTGGGCTTGTTGACTCTGATTTTTATCCATGAAGGAAAAGACAGGCAAGTCACCATATAACTTGTTATACCATAAAAAAGTATTTCCATTTATTCCAAACCTCACGCTCTCTTGGAAAGAAATAATTTGAAAACATGGAAATATTACGTTCCTGCACCCACATTTATCACGAATACCCTGCTTTTAGGATTATAAAGAAGCTGTGTCGGGATGGGGGTGTGGAAAGCACAGCAGGGAGCTTTTGGTGGTCAAATCCAATTGCAGCTGTGACGTGGCCTCCGCACTCCAAAGAGAAACAGGCTCTCCTGATCCCAGCCTCTGAGGGTGGGATTGATTACTGTAAACACACACAGGCATGGAAATCTTCATGTCTGATGCATTTCCTGTCCTCATCTCCCACGTGGTATTTTCTTACTCTGGGCTGTCCCCTGCTCCAGTTTTTTTCCACCCCAGGAAGAAAGAGGAGACCACGCCTGTCACCTTACCTACTAGCTTGCTGTCCCTCGAGAGAAGGCTTCAAACCCCTGCCGACTCTGTGGTTCCAAAGCCTGCTATGCTGTTTGCCTCTTGGCCAAGCATGAACTCTGAAAGCTACCCCCTGTAGGTTTTCCACCAGGGCATTCTTCCTCTTCTTTTTTTGGATGCAGGGAGAAAGGGAGTTCTTTCAAGGTTAACCAAGAAAGAAAAAGGATCGAGGTCCTATTTTCCTACTATGGTTTATGGACCTCATTTCTTTGGGCCCAGGAAGAAATGAAGTGAAACCCACATAAGGCTCCAGCTCCAGTCCAGGCAAAACAGTTCAGGGGAAACAGCATCCCTGTTTCTCTCTGTTCCCCTAACTCCTTCTCAACCTCTGATGCCCACCTGACTCCTAACCCATCACACACATTGCACCCATGATTCCATCCCCCAAATCAGTTCAGCCCAGCTGTCTAGATAATGTGCTACCTTAGTCTTTTCCATATTCCCTCCATCAGACATCCCCGACCCCATCCTGATAATGGCACCCCAAGGCCCTGCACCTGCTTCCCAGAGAGGCTGTTACTAGAATTCACTAGAAGCATTTGTATTTTCTGATAGAGGCTTTTACCTTAGGCTTCGATTCACACCATTGGCTACTACAACCTCTCGGAGGTGTGTACATGTTACCTTCACAAGGGCACTGCCAGTTTAGGAAAGGACTCACAGAAAGTGAACCACCTCCCACCCCCACCCACCTCCCCCCACCCCAAAAAAAAACAGAAGGGAATTGATTCACCCTGAATTGTCCACCTACCAGCTTCTGGACTCAGACACATCATTTCATTCCTCTGGGCCTGCCTCTGGATTCCCACCTTAGACTACTATTCTGAGAATTAGGTAACACATATACAATACTTAAAACAGCACCAGATACCTTGCAAGTGCTCCAACACATCAAGTTACCAGGATTCATCATCTCCATGACCTCTCGAGATAGATATTACTGGTCTCATCTTAAACCAGAACACAGAGGGTCAGCAAGGATGAGTAATTTACTTAGGATCACAGGGCTGATAATAAACAGAAGGGTTACTGCCCTCAGCCGACCAAATGAACAAAATTCATGCTGTTTTCACCATATCATTAAGAAATGACTCTCTAATGGTAAAACCAGGCTATTCTGCAGGTTGTGGGATTGTATGGCAGTGGTTCATGGTATCCCGATGCCGAGCCTTCAGAAGGTAAGGCTGGGCTTTGGACCATGAACAGCCTGGCTTGTTCTGGTAGGGACAACTCATGGCCCACCTTGGAGCTGCAGAGCCCTTGGTCTATCAAGTTACCTCTTTTAGTCTCAGGTTTTACAACTATAAAATAAGAGCAATTTACTTGAGAGGTAGTAAGCCTCTGATAGGTACATATCTTCATGGCAACAACTAAAACTACTTGTGAGGGAGCCTCCAAGAAAGGATCCTATATTAAGGGCAGTATATGGGTCAATTCTCACATTGCTATAAAGAAACACTTAAGACTGGGTAATTTATAAAGAAAAGAGGCTTAATTGGCTCACGGTTCTGCAGGCTGTACAGTAAGCATGATGTTGGCATCTGCTCGGCTCTGGGGAGGCCTCAGGAAACTTACAAACATGGTGGAAGGCAAAATGGGAACAGGCATCTTACATGGCAGGACCAAGGGTTGGAGGAGGTGCTATACACTTTTAAACAACTAGGTCTCGTGAGAACTCTATCAGGAGAACAGCACCAAAAGGATAGTGCTAAACCATCATGAAGGATCCACCCCCATGATCCAATCACCTTTCACCAGGCCCCACCTCCAACACTGGGGGTTACAATTCAACATGAGATTTGGGTGGGGACATAGATCCAAACCACATCAGGTAGCAAACCTGATCGCTGAAGTTCCTTCCAGTCCTAGAGGTGGAAACTTCATAGAGCAACAGGCTAGAGACTAACAATGCTTGTTTAAAAATCTTACTATCAGAGCCAAAACTATTGCTAACAAGCTTGAAAATGTCTGGTTAAAAATTCAAAATTAACTCCTTGCAGTCCAATTTTTAATCACCAAATATTCATGAAATCATGCCCCTCTCCCAACCCCCAATTTTCATGATATATTATAAACCCAAAGTTAGGCCTCTTTCCCTTCTGGTTTGCCCTACATTTGAAAAGCATTTGCCATTCTACTGTAGTGGACTTCCCTCAAAATAACCTCATTATTCTCTTCTTCCACAACTATGTCATTGATATAATGACTATCATCATGATTTTCGCAGCTATTTGTTGTGCTATAATTTCCAGATGAATTTCTGGTATAGAAACAAAACAGCCATAATAAGATTTTACAACTCTATTATTACTAAAGTACACCATGACTGAAATTAAAACTCTAAAATTTTTAGTATTTCATTTTTAATGCCATGCTCATTTTTGTAGTGAGCAAATAATTACTCTAAAGATGTTTATTATTAGTTTATTTTGTTTCTGATAATAGCTTCCTTTGGTTGGTACTTTTCAATAACTTACTGCAAAATTTTGAAAGATTAATATATTTTAATGGACTACAACATATGAATGCTTCTACGTACCAGATTTGGGGTTCTGTCCCGGTTCTGCCACTTGCTAGCACAATCTTGAGCAAGCTACTAAAGTTCACTGTGCTTTCTGTCTGCCCATCAAAAAATACAGGGCAAAGACAGAACCTACTCCTAATTATTATGAGAATGAAATTGGGTAACTTCTGCAGAATTTCACAAAATGCTTAAAAGTTAATTATTGCCAAGTATATTAGCAATTTTTTTAACTGACACAAGTACAAATATCAGAGATATTTAATATTTAAAATTGTACTCAAAAATTCTGCAGTCTCCTTTCTTTTTGTTTGTTTGTTTTTTGAGACAGAGTTTCGCTCTGTTGCCCAAGCTGGGGTGCAATGGCGCTATCTCGGCTCACCGCAACCTCTGCCTCCTGGGTTCAAGCGATTCTCCTGCCTCAGCCTCCCAAGTAGCTGGGATTACAGGCACGCCACCACGCCTGGCTAATTTTGTATTTCTAGTAGAGATAGGGTTTCACCATGTTGGTCAGGCTGGTCTTGAACTCCTGACCTCAGGTGATCCACCCACCTCAGCTGCCAAAGTGCTGGGATTACAGGCATGAGCCACCACGCCCAGCCTCAGTCTCCATTCTTAAACACGGGCAGGCCTCACATCTTACAGCAGTGGGGTTACCACCACCATTTGTTTCTTTTTCTGCCCACATAGTGAACTCTAATTGTTCAAAAGTCCGTTATGAACATCAGTTTACCTGACATATTTTCTGAGGAAATAACACTTCTTTCCCCACAACCCAAGGAAAGTGGACTTGTTTTCCGAGAAAATGGAACAGTCCAAGTCCAGGGTAGCAGATCTTAGCTAATCGGTACTAATTACTGGGCATTTGTTGAGGCTGATGGAGATGAAATTTTATTAGTAAACAAATCTCATAAAAGGAAAAGTAAACCCCTTGCATCCTCTAAAGTATTTTCCTAATCTATCTTAATAAGCATAGTTTCAATCTCTTTATTCATGATCATTCTTCATACTATAATAAGTGTACTTTGTCTAATTAATTTAATTTTAGAAATATAAAAACTAATTTCATACTTTACTACTGTTTTACTTGTTTAGGCTTGAGTATATTTCAGTTCCTGAAAAGCTACCCTGACATCTTAGGTAAAACCAAAGGCAAAATGACATAATAATTTCCCCTAATATTACCTCCTCGCTGCCGCAGTTTAACAGCGCATGAACTGACCAAAGAGAAGAATCCATCAAGGTAGTTAATGTCTTTTGAAGAGCAGACAAATATAAACCAAGTCATTGGTGATAGCCAACATATTGTATTTCCGATTACAGATACAGGATTCAGCTACCAAAGTGTAGTTAGCATGCACAGAGTGGAAAGAACGTTTCTTGATGAAAGAGCCCTCAATCAACCAACCAGGACCACTGAAGAAATCACATTCAAAATAATGTGCAACTATTTTAAAAAGCATTAGATCACCACAGTCCTTAAGGAGGCAGAACTAGTAAGAGACATAACAGTTCTCATGGTTACTTTAAGGCCTTTTTAGGGTTTGCTGAAGGTGGCAGTACATAGGCTGAGTGGCAAGAGATGGTGAGGTATATCGGAGTTTATCAATTATAGAACAGGTTCCTCTAGAAGGATATAAAGCACCGCCAAGTAGTTTTAAGCTGTGGCTTGTAGTTCTCTGGTGAATAGTTTTGTTAATTTAACTACTTGGGTTTAGGGCTAAGCATAGTGGGGTATCTAATCCCAGTCTGGTTCTTAGCTATTGTGTTTTCAGGATATTGAAGTCATTTCCATAGTGTATTTTATTTCAGCTGGGGTTTTTTACAACTTAGATGAAGTTTAGCTTTATTGGGTACAGACCTTAAACACTCTTTATGCTGACCTGGTGAAAAAAAAATAAGTAAGATGCTTGAGATGCAAAGATGAACAAGCCCAGCCCTCAAAGACCCACCTGCATCACCGGCCAGCACCTGGCCATCCCCTGGGATATGCCATGGTCTGCAAGATGTTGGAGGCAGCAAAGGCCATTTCCAGTTGGAATCAGGGATTCAGAGATGGGATCTGAACAGGGTATTGAAGGAAGAGTTAGAGTTTGAATAGAAGGATAGAGGAAGAAAGGGAAGGCAGGCATTCTAAATGAGGCAACAACTTGGGTAACACCTGGAGGCTAATGAGTTAACCAATTTGTATGAGAAGGGATCTTCCAACCAGATTCCCAATATTCCAGACAGGGTCCTATATGGAACAGTCCTTAAGCACCGTCTGTAAAATCTTTTCAATATTTTAAATCCAGTTGAAATCATAACCAATTTGGGAATAATAAATATAAGTTAAGCTACATCCTAACTTTAAATAAGACATCAAATTTAATTGTCAGTGCATGCAAGTGTCCTCTGTTCCAGAAAACAAATTTTTTTTCTTTGTTCCTACAACCCTTCAGACCTATGCCTTTACATGGTCAGCTCTCTAGAGAGCTTCTCTCCCTGGTGGCAAGGTGTTTAAGCCTCACATTCATAATGACCATCTGGGCGTGGATTACCCACGAAGGTCAGCTCTGACCTGTCCACTCAATGCTGCTTCTAAAGCAAACTCTTAATTTCTCCCAAATCTGTTTTTTTCCCTGCAATTTTATATCCGTTACCATTATTTACCCAATACCTCAGACTTGAATACCTGTGTATGTCTCACCACTCATTCAATTAATCTCCAAACTGCTACTAGCTCTGTCTCTGAAATGTCTCTTGCATTGATTCACCCTCCCATTCCTGCCACCCTCCCCAAGGGCTCAGGTCTTCATTACATCTCTGGACCTCCCCCACCCACCTCCATGGTCTCCCCACCTTCGTCCCTTCCTGCCCCAATCCATATTGATGACTGCCAGATTAAGCTTCTAAAAACACAGCTTTATGACCACATCCTCCTCCAGTCCCCAAACCATCAATGGCTTCCTGTCAAATAAATCCCTAAGTCCCCCTCCCACCAACCTTTCCAATCCTTTTTCATACTATTCCTACTCCCATACTCCCATACTACCAGTCCCAGTCATAAAGCATTACTCACTGTCTGGAAGACAGGAGCCACTTACCCCCATGCTGTCACCAATGCCATTCCTCACTGCCATGTGTCCAGACAATTACTGTCTACCCTTCACGGGCATTGTCAAATACTACATTTTTTGTGAAGGCATTCTGAATCCTCTGAATTCCACTACCATTTCATTCCTATACCACCTGGCAATTGCATCCCTTTGTACGCATGTTCTTACTCCTGCAGGGTAACCTTCTAAAGGAGCATCTTGGTATAAAAATAACCAAATCAACATGCTAATGAACTACTTTCTGACATGGAAGCATTATGCCAAGAGTTAGGGAAGATATAAGAGCATTAGCTGACAATGAAGTTGAGAAAGTACACTCAGCCCACAAAAAAAAATAAGCAATAATATCAACAACTCTTTTTAAGCATCATATACAGATGTTAGTCGAAGTCATGAAAATACAGGAGATCTCAGAGAAAGCACATCTCCTTAACAGAATGACAAGGCTGTGGCAGCATACTGCAGTGGCTTACAGCATCAATGCTGGAGACGTCTTGACTGGGTTCTAATCCCAGCTCTGGCTTTTACTTGCTTTGTGACCTCAGGAAAGTCATTTAGGCTCTCTGTGCTTCAATTTCCTCACCCATATAATAGAGACATTAATAGAACCGTCTACTCTACCCCGTAGGATTGCTGTGAGGAGTAGGCACGCACTGTAAGCAAAACCCTTAGAGCCTGGCACACAATTCATGGCGTAAGTGTCAGTCTTATGCTCATTATTATGCAAATGCTTTATATGGGGGAACAAAACACTAGACTCAGATATTTGGAAGTTAAGACACCTAGCAGGATATTTACTGGAAAAAGAGACTTGACCATTGTATCCTCAAGCCAGATTTGCTGTATTTCCTGGAGACAGGGATTTTGACTGACAGGTATGGTGAAACTCAGTTGGGGTGGCTCTTTGTACAAAGGATTGAATCCTGTGCAAATAGAACAGGCACACAGACCACTGAACCAAACACAAAGCTTCCAGCCATCGAAAGACTCATCCACAAACAGCCATTGTCTCCCACAAACAACTCGGCTGTTGTCATCCACATGGGCACCAAATGAAACCATTTGACTTACGTATTTTGGTCAGGGGTTCTGCGTAGACACAATGACAAATACAATTGATTGCAGCAGAATAAATTTAGAATGGTGCACTGAATTTAGTCTGATAAGCAAGTTCTTGGGTTCAGCATTTTACAGGACACTAATCCATGGCATTCAGCTGGACTAAGCATATAAGAGTCCATTTCAAAGACTGTCATATTATACAGTGATTTATTTATTAATGGTGTGGGAAACAGCTGTGACTGCAGGGTATCCACATCTGTCACTGTTCCCAAAAAATGTTAAAATGCATTATACATAAATTGCCACAAATATCTCAACTCGAACTTGTGTTGCAGACACATATACATACACAGTGAAATGAAAACTGCCAGTACACTTGAGGTTTTATTACTTTCTACTGAAAGTATTTATAGCTCAAAGCTGCTTGTTAATCACACGTCAAAATTATTAGGGTGGTAGGAATAACAAATATTATCATCATCTCATTTTCTGATAAAATACAGAAATTACAAGAATTATTGCAATAAGGCTGATGCTGCACAAGAAAAAACAAACAAAATCTGTCCCTTTTTTTGTGTTTGGAATCTCTATTTTTACTCACTACCAGGAATACTGGCACGGCTGCTTCAGCAAAGTCTCTTCATCCCAAATGTCAGGGAAAGTCAGACAGTAGACTGCCAAAATGAACACCCCCAAATCTGAGTGGCCAAATGCAGTAATGGTTTCTCTCTTCTTCACAGTGTATTCCAATGACACTTGGCAAGGGAGCATCTGCTCCACAAGGTCTCTTAGGAACCCAGGTTCTTTCTGCCATATCCTAGGACTTCAGACTTCTCCCCTGGACTCTTGAAACTGACCAGCAGATTAGAAAGAGAACGAGGGTAGAAAAGGCATCCCACTCTGAACTGCATCTCATTTCCATATACATCCCATTGGTGAGAACCAGTCACATGGCCCCACCTAGGTACAGAAAGTAGTATAGTCGAGTGATTGTCAACTAGGGGTAATTTTGTCCCCTAGAGGACATTTGGCAATGTCTGGAGACATCTTTGATTGAACTGGGACAACTGATACCTAGTGGGTAGAATCCAGGGATGCTACTAAACATCCCACACTGCACAGGACGGTCTTCCCACAATAAAGAATTATCCAGCCCCAGAGGTCAAAATGCTGAGATTCTGGTGAGCATCTAGCCAGCCTCTGCAGCAGTCACAGGTCCATGCTCAGGTCTAACATCATTGTCCACTAACATATACCCTAAGCAATCCCAACAAACTCACGTGTTAATCACTTGTTTGTTCATTTGCTTGTTTGAGCCTCCATTCATTCATCCAAACTCCTGAACAGACAAGATTTCTGTCTTAGTCTGTTTGTGCTGCTACAACAAAATACTTGTGATTGGGTGATTTATAAATAATAAATATTTATTTCTCACAGTTCTGGAAGTTGAGAAATCCAAGACCACGGCACCAGTGGATTCAGTGTCTAGTGAGAGGCCTCTGTTTCCAAGATGACACCTTATTGTTGTGTCCTCACGTGGCAGAAGAAATGGAAGGGCCTGGCAGTTCTCTGAAGCCTCTTCGGGCATTAATCCCATTCACAAGGGCAGAGCCTTCATGGCCTAATCAACTCCTAAAGGCCCAGCTCTTAATACCATCATCTTGGGGTTTAAATTCCAACATGAATTTTGGAGGGACACATACATTCAAATGATAGCAGTTCCTACAGCTAAAGAACTTACACTAGAGCTGGAGAGGCAACCATATGCAGAATTTTCACGCACAGGGTAAGTGGGATTAGAAAGAACAAATGGAAAGGAAAGTAAGTCTGCCTGAGGGAGCTGGAGGAGGATCAACAGGACAAGTAAAATGGGAACAAAGTATCGAAGAAAGTACAGTCTGCCCTCCATATCTGGGTCGCATATCTGTGGATTCAACCAACCATGGATCAAAAATATTCAGGAAAAATAATACTAAATGGTTACCTCCACTCCGAATGTGCACAGACTTCTTCATTTTGTCATTACTTGCTAAACGATACAGTATAACAACAACTTACATTTATATTGTGTTTACATTTACATCATGTTTACATTACATTTGCATAGCATTTACATTGTATTAGGCTTTATAAGTAATCTAGTGACGATTTAAAGTATACACGAGGAAGTGCATAGGTTATATGCAAAAACTATGGCATATCATATCAGGGACTTGAGCATGCATGGATCTTGGTTTCTAAGGGGGTTCCTGGAATCAGTGCCCCATAGATACTGAGTGACGACTGTATATATGGTACTTATAGCTTTCCATCACTATGCTGTGTTTTGCGGGAGGGCAGAGAGGAAGGATAGGGAGAAAGCGTGTTCCGGGGAAAGGGAACTACACAAAGGAATGGGAATACAAAAGGGTATGATTTATTCCACTTTCTGGTATGGGGTCAGGAAGAAACAGTAACTAGAGAGGGAGGATTGTAAAAACATTTTTTTGAGGCCAGGCACGATGGCTCACACCTGTAATCCCAGCACTTTGGGAGGCTGAGGCAGGCGAATCACCTGAGGTCAGGAGTTCGAGACCAGCCTGACCAACACGGAGAAACCCCATCTCTACTGAAAAAATACAAAATTAGCCAGGTGTGGTGGCGCACGCCTGTAACCCCAGCTACTCAGGAGGCTGAGGCAGGAGAATCGCTTGAACCCAGGAGGCAGAGGTTGCAGTGAGCCGAGATCCCGCCATTGCACTCCAGCCAGGGCAACAAGAGCGAAACTCCATCTCAAAAAAAAAAAAAAAATTTTTTTTGTGCACAGCTTTTTAGTAGTGTATTCCGAAAAATCCTAAGCTCCCAGACTCTGACAGAATCTCTCACATAACTATATACACTGGTGTTCAATTAAGTGGCCCTTCTAGAAACAATTCACACCACCTGACTTCACAGAAACCTGAATTAGCACAGGACAAAACTCAGGTAATAGCCAGAAATCTTGCTGCAAATTTCCCAACAAAACTTGACACCCAAGCTTTCAAACAACCCATTCTCTAAGTCAACATCAAACACATTCAACAGATGGGTGGCCAAAATTGTCCATCTTTGTTCCCAAAGACAGGTCCGCAAAGAATTCAGATCTCTTCCTAAATTACGTTACACTGAACCAGTTTTCAAAATGCTTTTGAACCCTAATCCCAGTTGTGAGTGTGGCTCACAGGCAGTTAAGAGGAAGGACTCAAGCCAGACTGCCCAGGGTCACATATCCCAGTTCCAGCTCCAGCACAAACTCGCCACGTAACCTTGGACAAGTCACCAGGCTTTTCCAAGTTCCACTGCCTCCCAGATAACGTGATTAAAGCACTTTAAACTGAAAGCACCCAAGCGTCTAATAAACACTATCTACTACTATATTTCTACTACAGTTATCTCCCCCACTCTCCCAAATTGTCTTTTGGTTGTCATGAAATACATTGCGGAATCCAAGATAGTTAGGAAAGGGAAATATCTGATAAATTTCCATGTCATTTTGTAAAACATTATTAATAATAACTTCAATTTGCATCAGGCAAAATGTTTTTAATTATGAAGCCAACACCACCATATAAACAACAGTTGTTCTTCATTTTGACTAAAACTGAATTTTGAAAATACCATACACCTACACAATTCTTTACCCTTATTCTTCTCTTTACTCACTCCTCCTCCCTCAAACTGTTGTCTTTCTCTCTCTAGTTTTCTTTTTTTTTTTTTTTTTGAGACGGAGTTTTGCTCTTGTTACCCAGGCTGGAGTGCAGTGATGCAATCTCAGCTCACTGCAACCTCCGCCTCTGGGGTTCAAGCGATTCTCCCATCTCAGCCTCCCAAGTAGCTGGGATTACAGGCGCATGCCACCACGCCCAACTAATTTTTGTATTTTTAGTAGAGATAGGGTTTCCTCATATTAGTCAGGCTGGTCTCAAACATCTGACCTCAGAGGATCCACCCACCTCAGCCTCCCAAAGTGCTGGGATTAGGTGTGATCCACCGCACCCGGCCTTCTCTCTCTCGTTTTCTTATTTTCACTGTAATCAGCTTGGGGAAAACAAAATGTATTTAGCTGTTAAGTACTATAGATTATAGCGAACGACACCAGTCACCTGGCACTAAAAAGCCTCATAAAAGGAAGAAATTTGTTTCTTTACAAGTCAGAATCTCAAGGGAGAAATAAAAATGAGGGATGCAGACTCCAGAACCCAGAGGACAATGAGTCTGTTCAGAACTGCTTCCTCTGATGGGAAGAGGAGAAGTGCAGATGGCAGGCAAACAACCCATTTCTAGGGTTTCTGTCTCAGTAAAATCACATTCACCTTTACTAAAAGCGGTAACAGAAGCTAATACTGTTGCCCTTTGCCATAGTCAAAGACATGAAATCAAATGAATGCTGAAGCAACTAGAACTAGGCTG
The DNA here is from genome assembly GCF_000001405.40 of Homo sapiens. Classification (NCBI taxonomy): domain Eukaryota; kingdom Metazoa; phylum Chordata; class Mammalia; order Primates; family Hominidae; genus Homo; species Homo sapiens. The sequence goes on from NC_000018.10 coordinate 61,881,620, forward strand.
ACTCAGGTTTAGAATCCAAAATTGATTATCACTGTCTTCCTAATTTATAAGGAATTCTAAATTATCTAGATGGCATCTATTTTTCAATCTTCATTGCAAACTAGATTTGCCCCCAAGAGAATGTTATTTTAAGGAGCACAAAGAGAGGGTTTAGCATCTCCACGCACAAGTTCTACAAATAAGATGAAATAAATTTGGGGTGAAATCTGACATATTCTTATTTCCTTCTCAGAGAAGACATTTTTCCTTGTTAATTAACAGTCTTCTTATAGGACAGTGTGGACTGCCTTGAGATGCAATTCTTAAATAACTTATTGTTTTGTTATAAGATGTAGGGTGTATGAACAATTAATTTTTAATAGATCTGACACCTCTGTTGGAAAAAAGAAAAGTAAACTACAGTTGAGCATTCAAATTCAAACATCCGAAATCCGAAATGCTCCAAAATCAGAAACTTTTTGAGTGCAAACATGACACTCAAAGGAAATTCTCATTGGAGAATTTTGGATTTTGGATTTTCAGATGTGGAATGCTCAACCAGTAAATATAATGTTTGAATATTAAGTGTAATGCAAATATTACAAAATCCAAAATCCAAAACATAGATTAGCCTGTACTTAATCTGCAGAGAAACGAACTCTTTGTACTAATATTTAGCACTGTGTGTGTAAAAATAAAGGCAATTTATTAGATGCATTCTGTTTGCCTATAAAATTCCCCTTCCAAAAACAAGTCATTTGCCTTTTTATTCGGTGAAGTAATAGACTATGAAGAAATCTGGCTTGCCAGGAACACAGTGAACACAGTATCTTGGTGTGCATGATGATTACATGGGAAAGAGGCACGCAAGTGTCTGGCAATTGCCTTCAGGTGCTCTGTGCATGAGGTTACAGAACTGGCAACCAACAAACTAATCACTGTTGCTGGCAATTTGCTAAGGTTCCAAGGAGAAAGAGAGCACAAAGGGTTTTCATTTGAGGCATCAGCTAAATACTAGAAGAACTGGTGGCTTGGCTAAGGGCCTTATCAGTCTCCATCAATCCCACATGTTAGTAATGGAGACTCAGAGAGAGAGGAAATGCTGGCAAATTGGAGCCCAGCTCCTGAGATCTCTAAGATCTCTGCTATAGGGTGGAGCCAGGCCTGGTTCCCTTCCCAACCCCCACTTGGTATTACAGACTCATCACGAAAACCCTCTGGAATCTTTGGAAAGTAAACACTGGGTGCTGAGTACACAATGCCCCCCTCCACCCAACCCACACTACCATCATGCATACAACATAGGAATGTTCCAGAGGCATCCTAGCTTCAAACAAAAGACAAAGCAACTTGTCTGCTAGCATCATGCGGTTCCACCAGAAAGAAAAAAAACACAGTCATGAAGAGCATCAGCTCATACATAAACACACTCAGATACCAGCACAGGAAACCCAGAGCATATCTAGATGCATGCATTTTCAAATGAGTGATGGAAGGGCCCAGAAGAGTGAGGCGCAGACTGGTTCAAAGCCCACAGTGTTCAGCCCCTCAACCTGTCCTGGAATGCATGTCTCAGAGGCCTCTTGCACTTCTCTATGCAGCTTTCAAAAATATTTCTGAAGAATAAATTGATGCCACCATTTCAATAAGTCTTTACTGAGTGTCTACTGTGTACCGGGCCCCAAGCGGCTACCCCTTTTTAAGAAGAATTTCTAAAAGGTTTCATTAACTTTATATTTATATTGTATAGCCTAGATTCCTTGCCTTTATTAAACAGTTCTCTTCTTTTTAATAATAATAAATATCCCATTCCAAAAAGCAGATTCCTAAATAAAGGGGTTGACAAGGCTACAATGTTTTTTCCCATTTTATTCTGCCCCGCTTGCTCCTCTCTTGTAGGATGGTTGTATCTCTACTAACAATGTTAGATCTCTACAAAGCCTGCTTCAGGATGTCAAACAACAATCACAGAACAAGACTGGAGGGTGACCAGCTCATCCCAATTTTTCTGGGACTGTTTTAAAACGGAAAGTTCCATGACCCAGGTATGCTCTTAGTCATGGGCAAGTCTGGGGGTCACTCTACTCCCAAGAAAGCAGACCCTGAGAAAGAGGATGTCCTTCATTTCACTTGGGAAGAGTGAGGCCACAGGAGAAAGGCGACTCATCTCCTTTAAGGAAGACTCAGGTTGCCTGGGGGCTAGCTCAGAACCCTTTCTCAGACTCCTCTCCTCCAGTTGCTTCCAGCTTTTTCCCCACTTCCTCCTGAGAAGGCCTATCATTTTAAACTCAGAGCCACTGAAAGCTTTACAGACTTTCAAACCAAAGACTCTGACAATAATGACAGGTAAAAGAAACTCCCATGTAAACGCTGAAGGCTGTAGTTACTTGGATGCCATCACCTCCTTGGCTAGCTTAAGGGCTTCTTCAGGTTAGACCATGCCTATTCATCCCGATATTTCCAGAACTGAGCCCAATGATTGGTGGATGGTAGATGCTGGATATAAGGACGTTAGCAACAGCTGCCATTTATTTAGTCTTACATTGTGGAGGGCAACACACTAAGCACTTTATATGTAAGTCTCTCCTGTTCTTACACTAACTCAATGAGGTCGGTTCTCCCCCATTTTGCAGCTGAAGAACAAACTCAGTCAGACCTTGTGCACTCAGGTCACGTGGCAGACGTGAAATTTAAACCCAAACCCATCTTACTTTTTAAAATTCCAGTTCATAATGACTTACCTGAATTAGAGCCATGTAAGGCAGGCATATATGCTAAGGTATCAAGAATTGAGAGAATATCAGATACATTTCTTTTATTCTCTACCCTTTTAGCTTTGCCATTACAAAAAAAAAAAAAAGCAGAAAACCAAATTAATTATGAGTTAAATACCTACAGGAAGCTAGAAGGCAGGGATTTTTTTAGAATTATGCCTGGTAAAACATAGGCATTCAACATTCTTTTGTTTGTTTGTTTGTTTGAGACAGTCTCATTCTGTCGCCCAGGCTGGAGTGCAGTGGCACAATCTCAGCTCACTGCAACCTCCACCTCTCAGGTTCAAGCAATTCTTCCTGCCTCAGCCTCCAGAGTAGCTAGGATTACAGGTGCCCACCACCATGCCTGCCTAATTTGTATCTTTTAGTAGAGACGGGGTTTCTCCATGTTGGCCAGGCTGGTCTTGAACTCCTGACTTCAGGTGATCTGCCTGCCTCAGCCTCCCAAAGTGCTGGGATTACAGGCGTGAGTCACCATGCCTGGCCATTCAAAATACATTTAATGAATGCAATTGTTTGCCTAATAAGTGGTTTAAATACCTGATGCTCAGTGTTTCAAATGCTATTTTACACACCACCATAGGTGAATGGATGGATCTGTACCTTCAGTTTCTGAAGTACCAATGTAAAGGAGTGGAGTGGATGGACTATTTATCCCAGTTAAGGACACCTCTTTACCTGCATGGTTGAATTAACTATTACTCACTTAAAATGGCAGTAATCTTATGTCTCATGCAACAAAAGGGGTAAATTCTCCAAAGTACACAAATTTGTCCATGTGCTCACCAACCACTTCTAATCTCATATTATTAATCTTCGAGGAAGCAATTTGCAAACCTACCCCAGAACAACACAACTGCAAAAGAATATCACAACAAATACTTGGTTCCTGAGACACTTATCTCAGCCCTATTCACTACCTTTCAAACTGAGAGTGTTTTGTTTGTTTGTTTGAGACAGAGCCTCGGTCTTTTGCCCAGGCTGGAGTGCAGTGGTGCGATCTCAACTCACTGCAACTTCTGCCTCCCAGGTTCAGGCAATTCTCCTGCCTCAGCCTCCCAAGTAGCTGGGATTACAGGTGCACACCATCATGCTTGGATAATTTTTGTATTTTTAGTAGAGATGGGATTTCACCATGTTGGCCAGGCTGGTCTCAAACTCCTGACCTCAAGTAATCCACCCGCCTCAGCCTCCCAAAGTGCTGGAATTACAGGCGTGAGCCACCACGCCCAGCCGAGAGCGTTATTTTAATATTAATGTATTTCTGGTCATTTTCTTCAAGCAGCTGAACATATTTCCCTCTTTCATAATAACACTCTCATAATGATCAAGCATTTTGAGTATCAAAGAAGAGTTTCTATCATGTGAATGAGTATTCCAAAATCAAAAAAAGGGAGGTAAAACAGATGTATATCACAAAGGTATTGAAGCCTTTAATTATAAACGCAGGTGGGGCAGTCAGCGGTGGGCAACTACACCCAGTCATCACAAATCCAGGCATCAATGCCTGCTCCGTTAGATTGTGGGGTGGTCTGGTAGGCTGTAAAGTCCTAAAGCTGCTTGTTGTATGTCACCAAGTAGAGGTTTTTTTTCTTTTGCTTTCTTTTGCTTTCTTTTTTTTTTTTTTTTTTTTTTTTTTTTGTGGGCAAAGTAGGAGGCAAATGGAAGTTGAAAAACAGGCTTTGAGTAACAACTAATTTTGTTAGAATCATGACCCTCATTGAGAACATTCACCTCCCAAACATTGGTATACGTACTGCAGCCTGGTCATTCTAATTTGATTCAACATTTAATCATTATTAATGCAAGTAGGGGAAGCTCTTAAAAATAAGTTTCTATCTTCTTAACTTCCTTTAAGACTTCAAGCTAAAAGGGTCTAAAATTCCTTTAAATCACTGTAAGTCAAAATCGTTTTCTGTGTTGTCAAAGAGTCACCAATGATTTGTTTATTGAGCCCTTCCTGTGTACAAACACGGTGGCAAACACACAATGGTGTAAAGCCTCATCCAGTCATCTTTAAGGAGCTTGCAAGAGAACTGAGATCTCTTTGAGTGCCTATACAACCAATCTGTTTTTCACTTTCAATACAGTATTCAATAAACTACATGAGATATTTGATGCTTTAATACAAAATAGGCTTTTTGTTACATGATTTTGCCCCCATTGTAGGCTAATTGCAGGTCACAACTGCTACATCAGCCAGCCACAGGCCCCCTTGGAAGGAACTGTGCCCCCAACCCTCTCCTGCACTAAGCAGGTCCAGGGTGAATGATAACTGGAAGGGTCCCATTCACTGGAACTCTTGGGAAATGTGGCTTGATGACAAGACATCCTGGGACATCTCTTCAATTCACCTCCCTTTATGCAAACAAGCTTGAGTGAATTTCTATTCTTTGCAATTAAACAGAAAGAAAAAGACACTTCAATCGTAGGTGATAATACAAGACAATCTATGACAAGTGGCCTTTGTAGAATGAATGAATGAATGTTGAATGAAATGAGAGATGGAGGCAATTTTGCCAGAGAACTTTGGATTATAAAGAATTTCTAAAGGCTAATGTGATCAAGTTAAATTTTTCAGAAGAGTTGAGAGCTGAACTGAGGCTTCGATGATAGGATAGAGGCAGAGGAAGGAAGAGGACATTTTAGGCCACAGAATGTGCTAGAATAAGAAAGAGGCAATGAAAAACATTTTGGGCAACAGTGGATTAACCATCCCAGCTAATGTTCAGTTTTAAAGTCAGGCGGAGCAAAAGTCGAGGTTGGAAAGGAAGTTTGGGGTCAACCTGGGGAAAACTTGAAAAGCAAAACTGAAGAATATGAGCTTCCTCCCACAAGGGCAACTAAAAGTTATTAAGTGAGGGGATGAAGGATTAATTGGCCTAATGGTCTAAGAGTGACAGCATTTTCCAAACTGGAGTGGGGTGGGAAAGCCAGAAAGTGAGCAAGACCATTGTCATAGCCCAGAGAGAAACAAGGTTCTTGACTAAGATGCGGCAGTGGCAACTGTCACTAAGTGAATCTGTCAAGGAGCAGAAACAGCAATAGTAAGAAGAATGCTCCTGGCTAGGTGCGGTGGCTCACGCCTGTAATTCCAGCATTTTGGGAGCCCAAGGCGGGTGGATCACGAGGTCAGGAGTTCAAGACCAGCCTGGCCAACATGATGAAACCCTGTCTCTACTAAAAATAGAAAAAATTATCCCAGTAATCCCAGCTACTCGAGAGGCTGAGGCAGGAGAATAGTTTGAACCCAGGAGGCAGAGGTTACAGTGAGCTGAGATCATGCCCCACTGCACTCCAGCCTGGGTGACAGAGTGAGACTCCATCTCAAAAAAAAAAAAAAAAAAAAGAATGCTCCCTATTTCTACAGTATCTGTCAAAGCTTTTACCAAAATCTCTTCAATTCTTGTCAAACCTCAGTGAGGAGTGCACCAAGTGTGATTATCTGGATGTCTAGATCAGAACTGAGCCGGGAAAGTTACACTTCCTTGGTAGGTGGGAATGCGATAGTGGCAGGGGAGAGGAGGTTGTAGAAAGAGAAAATACAAGCACAGAACACAGCATTTGGAGATTCTACTTCCTCATAACTTTGCTCCCACCAGCAGCACATCTTCATTTGCTCAGCCCCTCCTTTGCATGAAAGGCAGGTAACCAGGAAGTCTATGTGATGTTTGAGTAAGTTTCATCATGCAGGATGTTTGCAATGAGTTTTATTTATGCAGGCATTAGTATATCAAGGGGTAAATAAGGCATCCTCTCCACTCCTAGGCGATCACAAGCAGCCCCCTCACAACTCCACGAAGAACGTAGTCCAGGCCTTAGCAGCCAAACGTGATCTAGGCCAAGAAATCATGGACATCAAGAACCACCCAAAGGAGATGCAGGTCACAGATACACTATTTGAGGTCTCCCTCTTTAAATCCTACAATGACAGTGAGTCAATTAGAAATTGAAAATCCCTAAGCATGTAACAAGCACAGACGGTTCCCTACTTACAACTGTTTGACCTATGACCTTTGATTTTTTGACTTTACAATGGTGTGAAAACAATACACATTCAGTAGAAACCGTACTTTGAGTGCCTATACGACCAATCTGTTTTTCACTTTCAATACAGTATTCAATAAACTACATGAGATATTTGATGCTTTAATACAAAATAGGCTTCTTGTTACATGATTTTGCCCCCATTGTAGGCTAATGCGCATTTCTGGGCACAGTTAAGGCAGACAAGGCTGAGCTATGATGTCAGTAGGTGTATTAAATGCATTTTCCACTTACAATATTTTTAACTTATGAGGGGTTTATGAGGATATAACCCCACTGTAAATTAAGAAGCATCTCTACCAACTTTATCCCAATTGTGATTTCAATCATGGAGTCAGACTGCTGGATCACACAGTGTAACTCTCGAAGCCATGGGAAAAGAAGCAGGAAAACCAACACCTTCTTCCTTTCCGGTTTCCATGACGTCACAATGGGCAGTGCCAGAAACCACTTTCATGCCACAAGAGTCCTCTACCTGACCAGCCGACTTGGGTATGAAATTAAAGTGGTAGGGACCCAGAGGCCAGAGAAAATATAGAAATGCATTTTGGGGCTTCCCAAATATAGTTCAAGACTAGTCCCTCGGGGCTTTCATTTTCCTTCTCCCTCAGTCTGTGCCTGGCCCTCAGCCCAACCCCAGGCACCCTGAATGGGTTTTTGGATGGTCTATATCTGGTTCTTCCTGCTGGTCTCCAAGCTGCTCATCTCCCAATTCAGAAACGCTTTGGGTGCTACATCTTATCACTTGAATGAAGCCGGGTGGTCTCAACCTCCCTAGGTTGATACTGATATCCCCTCAGTCACTGTGACTTGGAGACTAACATAGTTTACCACACCACTTCCTTATTTGGAGAGCTATCTTTATAAAAATGACTTTGCCAAGGTGATTACTGAACCAAAAGCAATATTATTTTGTTAAATTCTACACTTATGCTTAAGGTATTTATCAAATCTTTAAAATGGCTCACCCGTGCATGCCGTTATCACAATGTGAACAAAGATATATGAGTGAACAGCTCTTCCCAAAGCAAAATCTCTGCAAGCCACCAACTGCTGAATCCAGAGCACCTTGCAATGCCTATTCCATAGCATCCAACTCTTTTTAGGGAGAGTGAGGCAAGGAAGGCTTTAGAACTCACCACCCTCCTAGTCAATACAGTTGCTGATGGAAGCACAAATGTCCCTAAACTCTCTGGGTGTTCTACTAGTCCTGTGACCAGAAAAAGCCTCTTGCCCAAATTGCTTTTTCTAAACATCAAAGTAACAAAAGGGTGACCCAAGGTTACCCTAAACACATTCCTGCCCCCTTCAGATCTTATCTGTTGCCCTGTGGTCTCTGCTGCAGGAGGCCACCTCCTGGGTGGCCCTAGGCCCATTGCCACTCTTTTTCTACCCTGGGCGGTTCCAAACAAACTCAGGAAGCCTTAAACAAGAGGCAGATGGTGAGGAAGAGAAAGTCTGTAAGTAACACCTCTCTATTACATAATGCTAAGCTCACAACCTCCTAGAATCAGCCTTGAAAATACCTAATGGCCTTTCACTTCAGAGTAAACATGCACTTGAAATAGGCAAAGAGAGGATTATAATTATTTTATTTGATGACCAGTGTACAACCATGTTAGTAAATACCATATCAACATATTAGTAGTACATTACAGGTGGGGGTAGGACCATATATTAGTAAATTACAGGTTGGAATAGTAAATATACAGGTTGTAAATTACAGGTTGTTGATTCAATCAATACTCTTGTGACATCCAATACCCACCAAGCACTGAGCTAGGTCCCATAGGACACACTTTCTAACCTCACCTAGACCAGATCCCTGTGGAAGTCACTAGTGCTACTCACCCATATCCACTTCTCCCTTTTTCAGCACAAGAAATATTGAATTGTGATTAAATAGGGTCATATGCCCAGTTCTGGCCAAAGTGATGGAACTCACCTCTGGGTAGGATCACATAATTGCTAGAGCAAGACCCTGCAGCATTTCCTTCCCGATGCTGCAATGATCTTGCAAGCTCACATCAAGACCAAGACTCCATCAGTTTGAGTCCTTGAGTGACTACGATGAGCAGGGTCCACCTGCCAACCACACTGGATGCAGCATGGGAAGGAAAGAAACTGTATTTAGCTATGGAGACTTGGAGGTATTTGTTACTGCAGCATAACCTCACCTATCTTGCTGGTACGTCACTGTTTAAAAAAGAGAAAAATCTGCAAAAGCATCCCATCAATCTGTTTTCTAAATCAGATAATATGGAAAAGCAACATTTGTTTCAAAATTCAACTTCATCAGGAACTGAACACTACCTTGAAAAGCAGAGGGTGCTGACAGCATAGGTGGGTTCAAACAACTCTGAGGGAATTAGAAATGAAAACAGAATGACCCTCAACAATGTAAGGACCGAACTGTATGGAATTCAGCTAAAAAGACTACAATGAAAATGCCACCTTCTGACAACAGCAACAGCCATTTATGAAGCAGTGAGCTCCTCAATGAAAGAGGCATTAAAGTTGAGGCTGGATGACCATATTTTCTCTCCCCAGAAGTCCAATCCTACCTCTCTTGAGCTTCCATTGAAGTTAATTAGAATCAGGTCTTCCTATAGGGAGTTCAATTTTGTGTCTCCCCCTACACCCAACCCCAACCCCTTGAGTCCATTATCTATCACAGAGTCCATTATCTATCAGGTGCCAATAAACATCTGCTAAATGAATAAATGAGCATTGTAGAAAGGAAGCAGGCATTGGAGGCAGAGATCAGCCTAATAGCCTCTAGGGATCCTCCAGCCTAAAGCTAAACACATCTGAGGGTGGGGAGCCTCCTTCTTATATAAAAAAAATTAAGCATCAATGGACACTTTATTATGATTTATTACTGTACACAATTTAAAACCACAATGAAACCTAACACTGCACTGTGGCTATCTTTGTTCTTGGACGTGCATTTACATGGGCAGGCTACTGTTTTGCCATGTGGAATTTTGTGTGCGAAGTGTTTATTCTTTCTATTAAAAAAAAAACCACACCCTTGTTTCTATTGCATTATTACATTCCCTATTATCCCATCACATGTTTTTTCTTCTTGCAGCAACACAGTACACACCCTGTACTATTGCTGACATAAAAATTACTTGTCAAAAATACCTCTATCTTAGCACCACATTACTCATCTGATCTTTGCAAAGCACTGGCCTTTGTTTCACCTGGGACTAGATAACTCAACTGCTTTTACTAGTGACTCCTGAATGCTTGTAGTAGAAGGATAAATGCTAGTGTCACCTATGTTTTTAAAGTCACCTTCCAAAACAAAACTACATTGGAGGTGAATAATAAATCTTTCAAGTTTTTAACTTCATTTTTCAAGGGATTTGGAGGAAAATGGTGAAGAGAGAATCTGTCACAGATACCAAGGTGTTACTGCAATGTAAAAGAGAGTAGACCAGGAGCCTTTGGCCCTCAGCAATCTGTCTTCCTACAAGAAAAATCGAAAGCCCATTTCCATAACCATTCTTATTCCCTGCTACTAGTGTAGGATGCGCAGGACTCTGCCCTCTAGCAGAAAATGCTAATGCCGGAGTGTCCTGCTAAGTCTGAAGGTTACGTTTTTTCATTGCACTCTTATCAAGATAACCCCAGATCTGGCTAGGCTGACATCAAAACAGAACTATCCTTGGAAAGAAAAGAACAGGCCAGAGTTTTTGGAAAAGCCCCAATAACCTAAAGATAAAATCCAGAATGAGAGTCTACTGGTTCATGGCTATCTAAATGGAAACTTCACTCAAGCTGTTTTCTCTGTTCTCTTTCTGCTGCCCCCAACAGCCCTCCCTTCCACCTCCCAGTACTCACTGCTAGCATGTCTCTCTTAATATTGCAAACACTATTACAATGAAGGAACAGAAGAAAGACAGTATTTCATACGAAGGTCACTGCATTTGACCGGTGCTCAATTAGAGCACTGGGCAAAAGTACAATCAGCCTTCCAATGATACCTTTTCAACAAAGGATACCCCACCTCTAGACTGAAGCCTAAATCTATTACTACAGATAAGAAAGCAGGCATCTATGGAAACCTAACATTCAGATACAACTGCCTGTGTATGAATTATATCAAAATTCCCATGAAAGGAAACCAGGTGGGATTTCTACAATCCCAAATTCACCCTGCACCTACCTCCAATGGCTTCTTCAAAGGGAAGGTATAAAGTCATTTGCAATTTATTTCTTTGAACCAGGAGTTTTAGCAGCCCCCACACCTTCTCACAGATAGGAACGATGTTGATGCAGAAACCACCCAAACAGCCCTGTGCCAGCACTGTCGGCCCAAATGACCCAGAGACACCCAGGCGCTACCCAGATCGTGGGGGGTTACCTGTATCTGTCACCGAGTCTCTTTCACCCCTTCTGCGTGATGACATCAAGTGGAAATGGTACACGTTTAGGAGGCAAGAGGCTGACAGGCAGGAAACACAATTGAGACTGAGCTTTCTTCAGCCTGCAGTGAAATACATGCAGGAAGGGTTAGATACGCGCCGCGGAGAAGGAAATCCAAGCGCCCTCCTGGGCAGACGGGGCTGGAGCGGGTGCACTAGGGAGGTGGAGCAAGGCAGATGAGGTGTGGAGGGCTGGCGGCCGAGAAGGGGGCGTCACGGCTCCTAATTGTCTCTACAGGATAAATAACCACCTCCCCCCTCCTCCGCAGTCTCCCCCGCCCACGAGTTCCCCTCTGGTGGCAGAGCGCCTACTAGCAACAGTAAGCCCTAGGAAAGAAAGAAATCGGAGCAGGTGGGGAATAACATCTTGGGGCAAAGACACACTGGCAAAATCTACCAGGTAACCCGGTCATATGGGAATGCGGGGCGCCTAGTCAGCCGCGCAGACAGGCACACAGCGCGGCAATCCCGAGCATCTTTCTTTCGTTTGCCCCTGTCCGCCACCTCATCAAGTCACCGCCACCTCATCAAGTCACCGTCACCTCATCAAGTCACCGTCACTCTGCTTTGGCGATTTCTCTACTCTCTCCAGACCCAGGCAGCGCTCCCCAAGCCATGCCCCGACCCCAGGCGGGATTGGGGACCGCCGCTTCCCGAGCAGCGCCCCACGAGTCCAGCTGGCTTTGTCCTGCCGCTGTCCTTCCAGGAGCAAGCGCCCCAGGCGCGTGTGTCTGCACAAAAGACCCCCAACATCTGGCCCTTCACAGCGCTCTCTAATCCCGGGAGGGGCCCTGGGGCAACTTCTAGGGCTGGAGAAGGCGCGAGACAAGGGGACCGGGAGAAGATGAGCCGGGGTGTGTGCGGGCCGGGGGCGCAACTGGGGCGGGCGCGCGCGCACGTGCACACCCAGGGGCGCGCGCGGCGCGGGCACGAGGAAAGCTCCCTCGGACCGGAGCTCCAGGGGGCATCCGAGGACTCGGCCGAGCAGCCGACAGCGCCGCTCCCCGCCGCGGCCGCCCGCCCAACTCCGCCAGCTCTCAGGAGACACGCAACTCCCGGGACCACCTCCCCCGTGCCCCGCCAGACCCCGCGCTCCCCTCCCCGGGACCCTGCGGCCCCGCCACCCCCTCCGCGGTCCAGAAGATCTCCCCAGTTACAGCAGGCGGCAGCTGCCCTTTCCCGCTTCCACGGCTTCGGCGCGGCCGCCGTAGGGGCGCAGACATCCCTGCGCACCCCTCTGTCCGCCCCCGATCCGGAGCCGGCAGAGCAGAGAAACAAACCGAAACTCACTGACCTTTCTCCGCGGCGGGCTCGGGTGCTCGCTACAGAGGCGGCGGCGGCGGCGACAGCATCGCCGGGTGGTCCCGGCGCGCCCGCTCCTTTCAGCCAGACTCGCGCCCCGGGCCGGCGGCCGCCGCTCCTCCGGCCGAGAGCCACGGGGCGGACGCTGACAGCGCGGCGGCGGCGCCTGCAGCCCCAGCACCCGGCCCGGCCCTTCGGGCGGCACCCCCACCTGCCCGGCCGCCCTCCGCGTTCGCGGTCGGACACCGCCGCCAGGCGCTCGGCACCGAGCGAGAGCTTTTTGTGTCACTGAGACTCCGGCACCAAAGGGGGTGGGGGGAGAGGCTGGGCTCCGCTCCCCGCGGCACCGCCCTCCCCGGCGGCTCCACCCCCTCCTCCCCGCCCACAGCCCGGCGGGCCCGGGACTTCTCTCCGTCAGTCCCGAATCGCCCACCTCCCCCGGGGTGAGGGGCTGCCTACCCTCTCTCGCGCGCTCCCTCGGCTTTGCCCCCAGTGCCTACCCTCGGCCAGGACCTCGACGCCGTCTCTCTACCGTGCAAAAGCGGGACCTGAGCTGGCGGCAGGTGTGAAAGGAGGCCTGGGCAGCCGGGAGGAGGGGCAGGGCCGGGAAGGGGGCCGGGGCCGCGGTGGGTGGGTTGGGGGGTGCCCAGTCTGTGCCTAGGACCCGGACAGCGAGAGGGAGGAGCTGAGATCATCAGGTTTCCAGAAGCTGCCCTGCATCCTCGTCACCGGATACTTTTTGGCTGCCCCTAAAAGTTCACGTAGTCCAGCCAGGGTGGGGCCCCGCTTTCCAAAGAGGCCCGAATGGACACCCCACTACTTGAATCCCTCGAATGGGGGACAAGAAGCAGGGGAGTAAAGAGATGCAAGTCCTAGGGGTTATATGGAAGCGCGAACCCCACGGAACCTCGGGGCCCACCCTATTCCACACCTTAAAACCTAACTTCGACCTAGGGAGGTGCTTAGAATGTCTTGTTCCCCGGAGAAAATCTCCCGCCTCTTGAGTTAACTGCGAAATAGGAGAATGGAGGAGAAAGGTCCTTGGTAGAAGATAGTTCCATGCCCTTTGGTGCCTTTTTAAAGGATTTCTCTGCAGCATGAAAACCTAAAACTCTCTTCTTGAGATGAAGTTCAGCCTGCGGACGTTACCCGGTCCCCAGCAGCAGGGCTCAGTTGAGTGTGATCCCCACGGATTCCAGCGGCACTTGCTGCCTTTCCCCACTGCTGGAGTGGAGCCGTCTTTGTCTTAAGGTCCGTAGTATCCGCAAGGAAAGAGTCCCCATTTTCACTCCCCCAAGTAGCTTATTGAAATGCTTCTGCCAAGATTTCTTTTTTTACTTTTTCTGTTTTTTTTTTTTTGAAGATGGACTCTCGCTCTGTCACCCAGGCTGGAGTGCAGTGGCGCGATCTCAGCTCACTGAAACCTCCAACTTCCGGGTTCAAGCGATTCTCCTGCCTCAGCCTTCCAAGTAGCTGGGATTACAGGCCCGCACCACCACGTCCTGCTAATTTTTGTATTTTTGGTAGAGATGGGGTTTCGCCATGTTGGCCAGGCTGGTCTCGAACTCCTGACCTCAGGTGATCCGCCCGCCTCGGCCTCCCAAAGTGCTGGGATTGCAGGCATGAGCCACCGCGCCTTTTTTTTTTTTTTTTTTTTTTTTTTTTTTTTTTTTTAGAGGAAGCCCTGTGAGCCAGTGGGGACTCTAGGTAACCTACTATAAAACTCACAATGTACTGAGAGCACTCTTGTCATGTCCCACAATTACGACCTGTTGATGGGGTTTCCAAAAGTGCTGTCCTTAAGCACATACATAAAACTGGTCATCTAGAAACAGATAAAGCTTCATGGGTATCAGTTGTCCCTGGGATCCCAATTAAAACGTTGCCTCCTATGGTCATCTGACTGATCCTTATCCCTTTGTTCACCCAAGCTAAAACCTCCTTCGTACACCTGAAAAGAGTAAAAGCTGTATCCATGTTTTAGAAGCCTAAGGTAATCCTGAAGTAGAAGACTTCAAGAGTCTTTATTTTAAGCCCCAACTTCAGGGCAGGAAGGAGAATTTTTTTTTTTTTTTTTTTTTTTTTGAGACAGGGTCTCACTGTGTTGCCCAGGCTGGAGTGTAGTGGCCAAAATCCTGGCTCACCACAACCTCAATCTCCCAGGCTCAAGCATCCCCCTGCCTCAGCCTCCCAAGTAGCTGGGAGACTTCAGGAGTGCCACCATGCCCAGTTAATTTTTGTATTTTTTTATTTTTGTAGAGATAGGGGTCTCTCTTTGTTGCTCTGGTTTGGTCTTGATCCTGGCCTCAAGTGATCTTCCTGCCTCAGCCTCCCAAAGTGCTGGAATTGCAGGCGTAAGCCACCAAGCCCAGCTCCAGAAATTCACTTTAAGGAGAAGTTAATGAGGGTCTTGAAAACTCTGATGTTGGCAAGGAGTTGGAATAAGGAAGATGAGTTATAACATCCCAAATTTTACTAGGAAAGTTCAGCCTAGAAATGTTATGATTATACAAGAATGACTTTAAAGACTACTCTTCAGAAGCTAATTTCAGGGATCAGTAATTGTTCCAAAATTTTTCAACTCTTTTATTCAGCTGCTTTTGGAACTATTGTTTGGGGGATTCAAGCATTCAACTCGATGTGGAATAACCACCCCCATCCTGACTCTTTCACTTCCACTGGCTGGGATTTTAATTCACAGAGCATCATGGGTGTTCTGCCTTCTGTCCAGTCTTGTAAAGCTGTCACACAGAGAAGGTTAATTAACTAGGGCAGACTGGGATAGGCCAGTTCTTAAGGCTGGTCGTAGGCCAGCACTGGGGCGGGCAAAAACAGTTTGAGTCAGAGGAAGAACAGGCAACAACACGTCCCAGCAGAGTCTTCGGTGAGAAATTCCAGGATCAAGGCTGTTAGGACCAGGTAGTGTTTAGAGCTGCAAGCCAGCAAGCAGCATGGTCAGAGAATCTGGCATTGCCCTGGAGACTGGGCACTGCCCATGTGTGGGAGAGAGAGAGGGAATCAAGGCTGAATCCCAGGTCTTGAAGGACTAGGGCTGTCAGGATGGGACCCCAGCACTGGGGACTGAGATAAAGATCCAAATATTCATGAATTCATACAACAAATATTCATTGAGTATGGACTATGTACTGGGAACCTGGTCCTAGGGTTAGGATAGAGAAAACGCCCCCAAATTCCTGCCCTCACAGAACTTACATTCTAATGGAGGAATCAGACAATACCAAAAATATTGATGAAAAGAGTTGAACTCTGTAAAATATTTGAAGAGATTTATTCTGAGCCAAATATGAGTGACCATGGCCCATGACACAGCCCTCAGGAGGTCCCGAGAACATGTGCCCAAGGTGGTCAGGGTACAGCTTGGTTTTATACATTTTAGGGAGGCATGAGACACCAATCAGATACATTTAAGAAATACTGGTCCAGAAAGGCGGAACAACTCAAAGCAGGGGCTTCCAGGCTATAGGTGAATTTAAACATTTTCTGGTTGACAATTGGTTGAGTTTGTCTAAAGACCTGAAATAGAAAGGGAATGTTCAGGTTAAGATCAAGATTATGGAGACCAAAGTTCTTTTGAAATCTTATAGCGGCTGCCCTTAGAGACAGTAGGTGACAAATGTTTCCTATTCAGATCTTAGTTAATCTCTTTAGGATTGAGAGCGTCTGGAAGAAAAATATCTAGCTATGTTAATAGAGATTCTTTACAGATGCCAATTTTCCTCCACAAAGAACAGCTTTGCAGAGTCATTTCAAAATATGGAAAGAAACATGTTTTGGGGTAAAATATTTTGATATTCTTTTTTGCCTTATAATGTTATGCCAGAGTCAGGTTGGAAAGTAAATCATGATATATAGGGTTAAATAAAACCCATCTGATGAGAATTTATGATTTGTAGGGCATGACTCCCCAGACCCCTTAGATAGGAATTTGGGCAAGATGAAAAAAAAAAAATCAGAGTTTAGTCCCATGATAAATAAATAAATCGTATGTTGGAGAGTGAAAAAGGTAAGGGAGAAAACAAAGTGGGGGCCGGGCGCGGTGGCTCACGCCTGTAATCCCAGCACTTTGGGAGGCCGAGGCGGGCGGATCACGAGGTCAGGAGATCGAGACCATCCCGGCTAACACGGTGAAACCCCGTCTCTACTAAAAATACAAAAAATTAGCCGGGCGAGGTGGCGGGCGCCTGCAGTCCCAGCTACTCGGGAGGCTGAGGCGGGAGAATGGCGTGAACCCGGGAGGCGGAGCTTGCAGTGAGCGGAGCTCACACCACTGCACTCCAGCCTGGGCGACAGAGCGAGACTCTGTCTCAAAAAAAAAAAAAAAGAAAAGAAAAAAGAAAAAAAAAGAATAGAAAAAAGAAAAAGAAAAAGAAAAAGTGGGGGTGGGGCATTATGAAGTCTGTGTGTTGGGGGGGAAATTTTAGATCAGTGGCCAGGGAGGGCCTCCCTGAGGAGGCATTTTCTGAGCTGAAAACTGCAGGAAGAAAAGCACAGTGTCATGCCAGTAAATAGGGAAAGCCTGTTGCCATCATCAGAGGGAACAAGTGGGGGGTGTCTGCACTTCCCCGCGGGCAAAGGTCGAGATGCTGGAACTGGGTTACAGGGACAGTCAGATCTATAACATTGATTGATGCTGAGTCACCTGAGGTTGTATTAGAGTTGCTTACATTGGGGCAGGGATGAGTTCTTCATCTTTGTACCTGCAGCATGGAGCACAGGTGCCCAATAAATGTTTATTGAGCTGAGCCCTTAAATCTCCCAGAACCTGGCATGGAGCTGAGATTAATGTGATCCCATAATACCCAGGGCAGCCCTTCTGTCGGGGATGACACTTTCACAAAAGAATGTGATGATCTCTTCAGTCGCTTTTCATTACTGTCTTCCTGATCTGGGAGGGCAGAGATCATCTTTCAACTTGTATCCTCAGCACCTAACACGCTAAGAAGAAGGCGGACAGTGGGGCAAGAAGGCAGAGAGAGAGAGAAATCGGGAGGAGGAAACAAGCAAACCCTATTCAGTGCTTGATTATCACTACAGATCCTAATCCAGTCCAATACTGAGAGTGACTTTTCTACTCAACGTGTTTGAATTTTACATGTTAAAATTGCACCTTGAAACTGAATTAGGGTGGTAGTTGCACAACCCAGTAAATCTACTAAAAATCATTGAATTCTACACTTAACACGAGTGGATTTTATGGTATGTAAATTATACCTCAATAAACTGTTTAAAAGCATTGAAGTGGGATCCCATGTTTAGACAATTTTCACAAGCTGTCAATAATAAGCCACAAAGTCGTCTTTAACCGAACACGTTATCATCCTTCCTAATAGATGTTTAAAATTTGCAGACCAAATTGATCTGCCAATTTACTTTTCCCTTATGTGATATTAGCCACCTTAAAGTATATATAGTCTTAAAAAGTCTAAGAAGTCTTAAAGTTAGGCCAGGCATGGTGGCTCACACCTGTAATCCTATCACATTGGGAGGCCAAGGCAGGTGGATCACCTGAGACCAGGAGTTCGAGACCAGCCTGGCCAACATGGTAAAACCCCGTCTCTACTGAAAATGTAAAAATTAGCCAGGTGTGGTGGCATGTGCCTGTAATCCCAGCTACCAGGGAGGCTGAGGCAGGAGAATGGCTGGAACCTGGGAGGCTAAGGCTGCAGTGAGCCGAGATCACACCACTGCACTCCAGCCTGGGCAACAGAGCGAGACTCCATCTCAAAAAAAAAAAAAACAAAAAAAAGTCTTAAAGTTTATTTAGCCTCAAAAAGTTTACTAGTAATGATTGCTTAATATAGTGCACACTTCAAAACTGTTCTTATTTTGGGGCCCTATATAAACCAATCCCACAGACTTCTTATTCTGGTAAGATGTTCTGGATGCAAAAGGTATTAATTTGACATATTGTCTAATCTCTTTCCTATTTAGAGCCCAGTGCTACTTAGGACAATGAAACTTCATCTAGAACAAAATACTGAAGTATTTTGGAAACCTCAAAAGATTTGAATAGGAAATAATCCAAATTGCTTTTCTAAAAGTAGTGGTGGATTGAACAAAGCCATCTCTATTTTCTTTCTTTCTTTTTTTTTTTTTTTTTTTTGGGTTTTGAGATGGAGTCTCCCTCTGTCGCCCAGGCTGGAGTGCAGTGGCGCAATCTTGGCCTTCTGGGTTCAAGCAATTCTCCTGCCTTAGCTTCCTGAGTAGCTGGGATTACAGGCATGTGCCACGACGCCGGGCTAATTTTTGTGTTTTTAATAGAGATGGGGTTTCACCAGTTGACCAGGCTGGTCTCGAACTCCTGACCTCAAGTGACCCACCCACCTCAAGTGATCCTAAAGTGCTAGGATTACAGGCGTGAGTCAACACACCCCGCCTCTCTATTTTTTTAACCTCATCTTCGATATGCACAACACACATTCCAAAACAGTTGGCTAGAATGATGTGACCATTGCCAAGGGCGATGGTCGGTCACCATGCAACATGTTTAACAACCTGCAGGCGCAGACCTCCACCTATCATTTTGGGCAATGACCATACACAATCAGTATGGCCTTTATGGTGTGTGTCCTGGCTAAACATCAGCTCAGACTATGATGCCAAAGTCCTCTGGACACCCTCCTAAGCAGCAGGTATCTGCTGTGTTCTTATCATGTTTGTGCAGTTCGGGGTTGAGTAAGATCCTCACATCCACTAGCAAATTGCTGGTGTCTTTGCTATAAGTACGATAGAGGAGAATCATCATACACTGAGCTCCATTCCTTGTACAATCAACACAAGACAGTGTTCGCCCTCCCTAATGGATTGGAGTGACCACATGTGATCAGCCAGGGAAGGGTTGGATGTGGAGCTCCCCTCTCACCCCACTGTCTGCCACCTCCACCATCTGTCCTACTCACCTTCCCTCCAGGTCACCTTCTGTCACCCATGCGGTTCCAACTGTCCTCCTTATCTTTCCTTTCCATTGGCTATCAGGTTCCTGGCATCCACTTGGCCCCTCCCCTCCTGCTGCTCCAGCTGCCAGATCATGGAATGGTGCCACTTTGAGAAAGGAGAAAAGGAACAAAAGAGCCAGGAGGTCCCACCACTGTTTTTTGAGACCCCCAAGTCTGAATCCAATGTCTTGCCCTCTGCTGGTCTGCAGAATCTGGCTCCAGTTTCTCCAGGATCTATTCTTCTGTAATCCACCTGCACCTCATCCAAGTGGACCTAGCACCCCTGTACCTGCCCCAGGTCCAGACCTAGCTTCACGCAGTTCTTCCTCCCCACTGTCTCTGCTTTCAGCCACTGCGCCTGCCCTCATCATTCAAACTCAAGGAATCCAAACGTCTGTTTCTGCTGCACCTGGATCTAGGGGCTCAAGTCAGTCCACCCTCTAGTGGTCAAGAAGAGAAGTGGCAGCCTCTGCACATCAGCCAGGTCAGACCTTGAGGAGGTCAGCACAGGGAAATGCCAAGTAAGACGTGTCTCCACAAACCCACCTCCTCTGATTCTAACTGCAGTGTTTCTCCTCTGCTGTTCCTTCCCTGCCTTCCCAGTGGGTGAAGTGTGCTGGGAGAGGGCATGGAGTAAAGACCCCTTGCTCATTTCTCAACCCTTTTCCTTCTATCTCCACAACTCCTTAAATGTTCACAGCAGATTTGATTGTTTTAAAGGACACAAATTATTCTGCTACAGGACAAGGGAACTTCAGGATAGCAACCATATCCAAAATTAATAGATTACTATAATTTCTTTTTTATTGGCAAACATTTATTGAGTGTATGTACCAGATTGTGTGTGTGTTTCCATACGTGTCCTTGCAAGAACACTAGAAGTAATATGATTATCCTCACGTTACAGATGAGAAAACAAATGCCTAGAGAATTTAAGCATCTTTCCCAATATGATGTAACCAGTAAATGGTGAACGTGGACTTGACTCAGGTCTGCCGAACCCAAAGCTATTTCCCCTAATTGCTGCACTGCTTCCTCCCATAGACCAAAGTATACAGGCAATTGCACTTGATTTGCCTTAAAATGCATCTCAGTCTCTTCCAAGCCATTCCTATTTTAGCTCAGGGTGCCTGACACTGCGGCTCACAGTACTTTAGGACCCCATATCTCCCCCATGATTTCAAGTCAATCTGCTCCTCCTTATCCTCACTCTCACAGCTCCTTTGTACCTTTCCTTATGCAGCAGCGCAACCCACATTTGTACTTGTCAATCCCAAAAGATACAGTAATTTCAAAGTTTCTGGGGCATTTATGTCTCTGCCTCTCACCTTGACCTTCTCCCCTTCAAAGCTCACTCAAATTTCCCCAACCAGATTCATTTTTACCTTCTTTGCACTCTTATAACACATTGTTTGTTGTTTTATTTTGCACTTGCATTCTGCTTTATCTCATAGTTAGCTGTTCACACATTTGTAATGGTCAGTAGATCCTGAGCTGTTATTTTTCCATCTCATCCACCCATGCACACCCACACCCCACAGCATCATGCAGAATAAAGTGTTCATGCTCTGCATGCATTCAGTGCTTAATAAATGTTCATTTAAAATGGTCCGGGCACAGTGGCTCCTGCCTGTAATCCCAGCACTTTGGGAGGCAGAGGTAGGTGGACCACCTAAGGTCAGGAGTTCAAGACCAGCCTGGCCAACATATAAAAATACGCAAATTAGCTGGGTGTGGTGTTGAGTGCCTATAATCCCAGCTACTTGGGAGGCTGAGGTGGGAGCATCACTTGAGCCCGGGAGGTAGAGGTTGCAGTGAGCCGAGATCACGTCACTGCACTCTAGCCTGGGGAAGAGAGTGAGACTCCGTCGTAAAAAAAAAAAAAAAAAAAAAAAAAGTTCATTTAAAAATGACCAGTCAGTACTTTCTATTTTCTCTTCCAGAGTCATGTTTCCTATAGCCCCTCTAGGAGAATTATCCCTAAATTGTCTCTTCACAAATCTGTTACAACTCAGTTGCTCCAGGCTCCATGTAATTCCAGCTCCTTGGGAGCCTGAGGTGGGAGAATCGCTTGAGCCCAGGAGGTAGAGGTTGCAGTGACCCACTGTGCTCTAGTCTGGGCTGGGCAACAGAGTGAGACTTTGTCTTAAAAAAAAAATCATTTAAATTTTCTCCCATGTTGTAGGTTGCCTGTTCACTCTGATGGTAGTTTCTTTTGCTGTGCAGAAGCTCTTTAGTTTAATTACATCCCATTTGTCAATTTTGGCTTTTGTTGCCATTGCTTTTGGTGTTTTGGACATGAAGTCCTTGCCCACGCCTATGTCCTGAATGGTAATGCCTAGGTTTTCTTCTAGGGTTTTTATGGTTTTAGGTCTAACGTTTAAATCTTTAATCCATCTTGAATTGATTTTTGTATAAGGTGTAAGGAAGGGACATGGATGAAATTGGAAACCATCATTCTCAGTAAACTATCGCAAGAACAAAAAACCAAACACCGCATATTCTCACTCATAGGTGGGAATTGAACAATGAGATCACATGGACACAGGAAGGGGAATATCACACTCTGGGGACTGTGGTGGGGTCGGGGGAGGGGGGAGGGATAGCATTGGGAGATATACCTAATGCTAGATGACACGTTAGTGGGTGCAGCGCACCAGCATGGCACATGTATACATATGTAACTAACCTGCACAATGTGCACATGTACCCTAAAACTTAGAGTATAATAAAAAAAAAAAAAATTAAAAAAAAAAATCATTTAAAATGACCAGTTGGGACTTTCTATTCTCTCTTTCAGAGTCGTGTTTCCTGTAGCCCCTCTAGGGAAATTCTCTCTAAATTGTCTCTTCACAAGTCTATTACAACCCAGTTGATCCAGCTCTGTCAGTGTGAGATTTAGGATTATTTTCCAAATTCATTTAAAACAGAGATTAGAGAAGGGGATGGGTGTGGGTAGGGTAAATGGTTATGACATGTCATGAGAGTTCTCACTCTTGGTTTTAAGGAATATAGACTTCCCAATGCCAATCTTCACCTTATGTTACAAGTTGAATTATTTCCTCTAAAATTCAGATGTTGAAGTTCTAACCCCCAGTACCTCAGAATGTTTGGAGATTAGGGTCTTTACAGAGATCATCGAATTAAGATCAGGTCAGTAAGGTGGGCTCTAATCCTGTAGGACTGATGTTCATATAAGTAGAGGAAATTGGCTGGGCATGGTGGCAGGTGCCTGTAATCCCAGCTACTTGGGAGGCTGAGGCAGGAGATTCACTTGAACCCGCAAGGCAGAGGTTACGGTGAGCCGAGATCATGCCACTGTACTCCAGCCTGGGTGAAAGAGTGAGATTCTGTCTCAAAATAAAATAAATAAATAAGTAGAGGAAATTACGGGCGTAGACAAATACAGAGGGGAGATGATGTGAAGACAGGGAGCAGGCAGCAGTCTGTAAGCCAAGGAGACAGGCCTGGAACAGATCCTTCCCTCACAGCCCTCAGAAGAAACCAATCCTTTTGACACCTTGATTTCAAGGTTCTGGCCTCCAGAACTGTGAGACAATAAATTTCTGCTGTTTAAACTACCCAGTCTGTGGCATTTTATCATGGTAGCCCTACAAGCGAATATGTCCTAGGACGCTTGTTGACACAGAATTGGATTCCACAACCTGCAGCGGTTCTTTATCTAGATGCCATTTATTTTCTGAGTGTTTACCTCCATGGGTAAGCTAAAAAGATAACCAAGAAATTGTGTGTTCTCCCTTTTGGGAGAAGAAAAACAGTAATGATAGCTATTATTATGAAGCATTATTGTGTATGTCAGCAATGAGATGATATTCAGTACAGTAATGTGTATAAATCACTATATTAGGTGCTTTGCAAACATTCTCTCAATTCTCCCAGCCACCTAATTGGGTGCAGGGGGTATTGTTATCCTCAGTTCACAGTTGTGGAAATTGAGGCTCAGAGATATTAATGCAAGTCACCCAGGATTATGCTTCCAGTGAACTTCAAGGCCTGGCTGTGTCCCGTTGGTCGTCTATGTTGCCTTTCCCCATGTGGCATATTCCTTTTTCTGTTCCAGTGTCCTCCCCAACCCAAGTGCCTCAGATGATCCTAACTAGTTATGCAGTAACCTGTGGTGGTCCCATTTCTTGTGCTCATGATTGGTTTAAGGATCGGGATGTGACCAGTATTGGACAATGAGAGATGAGAGGAAGTCGGCTGGAAGGCTTCTAGAAAAAGCATTCCTCACTATCAAAAAGAGATGCGCAAAGCGGCAGCTTCTCTTCTGCTGCTGGATGTTACCGAATCTGCATATGATAGTAGGATGACGGCAGCCACCTTGTAGCAAAGAGCAGAGTTTCCTCCAAGAGAACATTCTACGGGGAGAAGAGGAAACAGCACCAATGACATCACTTTGCCTGAGTTCACAAACCCTACAGGTGCTCCCACCCCCTACATTTTTCCTTGTGTGAGATAATAAATTCCTTATTATTTAAGCCATTTTGTGTTGCCTTCTGCTATTTGCTGCTGAAATCATCTCGATATGCCTTTTCTACCAATATGCTTTGATTTTCCACAGTAAGACCAGTTTTTAGACATCGTATTATTAGAAATAACCTCAGATTCACTGCTATACAGAGTTTCAAAGTTCCAACAGAGAGAAACAACATTTTGCGTGTTTTCTTAAGCTGGTTAAAAAATACATATGATTGGCCATTTTAACCACTTTTAAGTGTCAGTTCAGTGGCATTAAGTATATCTACATTATCATGCAACCATCACCACTATTCATTTCCAGAACTTTTTTTTTTTTTTTTTTTTTTTTTTTGAGATGGAGTTTCACTCTTGTTGCCCAGGCTGGAGTGCAATGGTGCGATCTTGGCTCACTGCAACCTCCCCCTCCCGGGTTCAAGCAATTCTCCCTGTCTCATTCTCCTGAGTACCTGGGGTTACAGGCATGGGCCACCATGCCTGGCTAATTTTTATATTTTTAGTACAGACAGGGTTTTGCCATGTTGGCCAGGCTGGTCTCGAACTCCTGGCCTCAGGTGATCTGCCTGCCTTGGCCTCCCAAAGTACTGGGATTACAGGCATGAGCCACCACGCCTGGCCTCCAGAAATTTTTCATCATCCCAAACTGGAACTCTGTATTCATTAAACAGTAACTCCCTACTTGCCTCCTCCAACCCCTGGCAACCACCATTTCCCCTTCTGTCTCTATGAATTTGACTTCTCTGGGTATCTCATATAAGTGTACTCATAACAATATTTTTCTTTTATGTGTGGTTCATTTTTTTCCTCTAATGCTTTCAAGATTCATTCATGCCTTAGCACATATCAGAATTCCCTTCTTTTTAAGACTTATATATAGTCCATGGTATGCATATATTGCATTTTGTTTATCCATTCATCTGTCAGTGGACATCTGGCTTGTTTCCACCTTTCAGCTATTGCAAATAATGTTGCTATGAACATCGGTGTACAAATACCTGGCTGAGTCCCTGCTTTCAATTCTTTCAAGCATATACCCATAAGTGGAATTACCAGATCATATGGTAGTTTTACTTTTAAATGTATGAGCAAGCTTCCTACTGTTTTCCATGGCGGCAATGCTGTTTTACATTTCCACCAACAGTGCACAAGGGTCCTAATTTCTCCACATCCCTGCCAACACTTGCTCATTTCATTTTTTTAATAATAGCCATCCTAATGGATACGGCACGGCGTCTCACAGTGGTTTTGATTTGCATTTCTCTAATGATTAGTGATGTTGAGCATTTTTTCATGTGTTTACTGGCCATTCATATCTTTTCTGGAGAAACGTCTACTCAAGTCCTTTGCCCATTTTTGAATTGTTTGTTTTTGTTGATGTTGAGTTTTAGACATTCTTTACACATTCTGGATTACTATTCCTTATCAGATATGTGATTTGCAAACATTTTCTCCCATTCTGCAGGGTGCATAGTATCCCTTGAAACACAAAAAAGAATCAGCGTTTCTCTTTGGAGGATTCTCTAAAGAATATGGAGCCCATCCATTCTTCAAATACTGTAAAATCTATCCCTGAATTAAGTCAGATCACCAGAGACAGACACCTACTTTGCTTCGTGTACCCCATCATATTTTTTCATTCATTCACTCACTGGGCACATATGTGCTGAGCCCCCGCCACGGGCAAAGCTATGCTAAGCAATTTTACTAAATTGTGTGTTGCCTCTAGTGTGAGGAAAATCAAAAGAACTGACCCTGTGCCACTTGTTGCTGGGTTCACGGTATGGATGTTGCCAGTCATGTTGTCCCTAAAGAGTATTTTAGCATATCCCAATTATGAAGACTGATGAGAGAAATTTCCCTCTGGTCTCCTATCAGGGATATTTGTGCTTCTTCCTTAGTCACTGATCATGTTTAATGCACGTCTTATAACTGGTCATTCCTTCCTTCTCACCATGGCTGCTGGGATTGCCATGGGCCATCCTGACATGCTTTTCAAGGGAATGAACTCAGTCCCCACTCCATCTTAACTTCCTAATCTTGTTTTTCCTTTGCCTTCTTAAAGAGCTACTTTTAAATTTTATTTTATCTTCCTTCATTTTAGCCATTTTTAATACTGCCTTAAATCCTTTTTAAAACAATAAAAAAGAAAACCAATGAATCATCAAACATTATCACTCACTATCATTGTGTAGGCCCCAATACAAAATGGAAATGGAGGGTGCCTTTCCAAAAGTTATTAAGAATTTCAAGATGATAACAGCAGTGCATTAAACCACACGTTGGACCCTTCTGAGTATGGGACCTTGTGTGATTGTACAGGTCACATGCCCATGAAGCCAGGTCTGCCAACTATTGTCATCTGGGGAACAGACACAAGTTATTTTTCCATTTAGTAATTGAACATTGTGTCTGTTCATCTTTTAAAGCGTTTTCAAGAGCTATTCATAGCTGGTGAGCATTGGGCACACCTTGGTGTTAGAGAATACAGAGGCAGAGAGATGGGAAAATTAAAATGACTTCAGGGATTGTATTGATCTAAAATTGATCATTTCTATGAGCTTCTGATGGTCAACTTCTTGGTTCATGTACCTCTGGTTCATCTTTGCATTTTCCCACAGTTCTAGCACAATGCTGTCACATAATAGGAACTCAAACCCTGGTTGTGTGGTTGGCTAGCTGGGTGGTGACGGTTGGACATACATGAGCCATATTTAGGAAATAGAAAATAAGGTTAAAAAAGTTCTTTGGGTTTCAACTTAAGGAGGTGTAGAGTGGTGGACTTAAGTTTGGTAGAAATGAAAAGGAGGATTGTTCTTGAGCAAAAGGATGATTTAGAAAAGCTGACCTGGCCCTGGTATGAAAGATGAGTTGGAGAGCAGCTACTAGAGGCAAAGCATGCAGCTAGAAAGTCATTACCCCAGTTCCCATGAGGTGATTAGACTAGAATTAGACTGGGTAGCAGTAACAGTGTGATCATCACAATAGTAGTACCTACTTCTTTACATTTTCACATCTTTTCACATCGCTGTTTCATTTGCTCTTTTGATAATCCTGCTTGGAAAGTATTATTGCATTTTATAGAATTGCAAATTGATTCTCGGAAAGTGCGAATGATTTCCCAGGTGGGAGTAATTAACGAGCACAGCCAGGTCAGGTCTGCATGGGCAAGTCTTTTTCTCCTCCACCCTGACCGCACATTCCAGTTGCTGGATGAACTTTCAAACAATGAGGTGTCTAGACGTCACCCCCAGATATTCTGATTTAATTGGTCTTGGGTGAAATCCAGGTAAGGGAGTTTTTCAAAACTTCCTGGGACTCTCAACTGCAGCCAGGTGGAGAACCTGTGGGCTGTGGCACAGCCTGGCTGTAAGGCAGGGCCTGAAAGCCAGAGACCATGGGAAGGCAGAATTGATGAGACTTGACATTGAACTGCGGAGAGACGCCAAGACAATGAGGTTTTTAGCCTCAGGGACTAACTACCTCTTTAACCTCATCTTTAACGAGACCAGGATGGAAACACATATGACTGGGAGCAGCTGCATTCGGGATTGGAATAAAAGGAAAATTGCTGCTTTCAATGTGATCAAAAACAGGCATCCATCCCACAGTTGGTAAACAGTGTGGGTATGTGTACGACAAATGTGTGTTCTTCAGTGGGGGCTGGAGGTGGCAAACCCTAAAGGTAGTGATATGGACAATGCTTCCCCTGAAGTGTCCCACAGACTTCTATCCAGTGGTGCTAAATTCTGTCCTTGGAAACATTCCATGAGATTGTTTGCCTCTTGGATTTCCACATCTACACCCAGATTCATGGCCCATGGGGAAAAAACCTGGGTGATGTCAACCACAGCAGGGCCGTTCTTGAGATTGAAGGCAGGATGGCTGGAAGGGAAGATGGATTTAAGAGACAAAGTATTTTAGTTGCTGGTAGCATATGCAGGTGCAGAAGACCAGCAAACCATTGGCGGTGTGAGACTGAATCACTGGGTTGCATCTTAAACAATTCAGTAGAAATTGATTAACATCTTAGATATGGGGGAGATCAATAAGCAACTCAGTAATGAAAGAGAAGAGGTTCAAGGACCAAACAGGAGAGACGGCTGTCCTTAGGGGTTTGAGTGAGAAAGAGGATGCACACAGGGTACTTTACTTTTGAGTACCACCACCTTTCCTGATCATCTCCCACTGATTTCTTACTTGTACCATTGAGGTAAATCACTGAGACTGTCCCTAGGCCCTGAGCATGATCTTCACTTTTCCATCTCCTTGTTCTTTTTCCTGAAATGTTACTTCTCTTCTCCATATGCACATGTGGGGTCAGTCCTCTGGAAGACCCATCTCCAATGCCCCCCTCTTCTTTGGAGAAATTTCTGCTGTCTATCCCCCTGTGTGGATATTTCACCTGTTCCTTCTTTAACCCTCATTGTACTTCTCTGTGAAGATCTTACACACTGCAACAGTTGTCTATTGCTGTATAACAAATTAGTTCCAAATTTACCAGCTTAAAAGAGTCAAACATTTATCATCTCTCACAGTTCCTTGGGGGTTAGGAAGCAGGGAGTGGCTTAGCTAGGTGGTTCTGGCTCAGGGCCTTTCATGAGGTTGCTTAGGTGTCAGCTGAGGCCACCCTCTTCTGAAGGCTTGACTGGGACTGGGTGACCTGCTCTCAAGATTGTTCACTCACATGGCTGCTGGAAGGATGCCACTGCTCCTCACTGGCCTGACCAGAAGGCTTCAGCTCTTTGCCACATGAGCCCCTCCACAGGTTTGCCTGAATATCCTCACAGCATGGCAGCTGGCTTCCCCCTGAGAATCTGATGAGAGACAGAGACAAAAAAAAGAGACAGAGAGAGAGAGAGAGAGAGAGACAGCAGGAAGCCATTTGTCTTTTATGATCTAGTCTCCAAAGTTGCCAAAGTTGCACATCAATATTTCCTCTTTATTCTATTTGTTAGAAGTGTGTCACTAAGAGTGGCCCACATTCAAGAAAAAGGGAATTGTCTCCAGCTTTGGAAGGGAAGGTATTAAAGAATTTGTGCACATATAAATGATCCGCAATTTATTATTGTTCCATTTATGATTTTTTTGACCTCACAATGAGTTTACGGGGTATTAAATGCATTTTGACTTATAATATTTTTGACTTAAAGTGGATTTATTGGGGCATAACCCCTTTTAAGTTGAGGAACATCTGTATTTAAAACCACCACATTCACTTGCCATAATCTTCCCTACATTCAAACTCTTGTCTTTTAATTCAAGACAAGGCTTATTTGGTAAGCCTTTATGGAGCACCTGTCAGGTGCATTGCATTGTGATAGATAAAAATAACAGGGAGAACCTTCACTTAATTCTACAAATAGCAAAGAGAGACAAGTAAGTAGGTATTGCTATACAATGCAGTAAGTACTGTAAGAGGGAAATAAGAAAGCACAATGGGAGAACAGAGATAGAAGTAGCTAAATATAAGGGAGTCAGGAAAGGTTTTGTGTGGAATGTTTCACCTTTGTTGTTTCTGCATACTCAGCACCCTTTCCCCTGTCTTCTGGTAATACAGTGCCTCTTTTTATATCATTTGAAGGAGCCCTTCCAATTACACATATGCCCTGGACATAGTGTCTCTCTGCCATAGACACTGGTTCAAGGATGGGTACATGACACAAGCTAGGCGAATGCAAACCATTCCCCAGAGACTTCTGCTGGAACTCATGGAAGAGTTCCTCTCTTCTTCTGAGATAGGGGCAAGCCTGGCGGAGCTGCCAGCAAGCATCCTTACTGTGACCTGGAGAGACTGACATCCACATGGAGGGAAGTAGAGCTGGAGAAGCCTGCCCTGATGACCTTACCAGCTCTGGGATTCTCTGAAGCCACAGCACCTCTGCATTTAGTTATTCTTATTTGCTAAAGGCTACTTTGAGATCAATGACTGTCAGTGTTATTCAACAGAGGCCTGACTCCTAGAGGAGGTTGTATGGAGCTGGGTCTTGCAGACCAAGCAGAAGTTTGTCAGATATAAGTAAAAACAGGCTTCAGAGGCATGTCAGAAAGAAAAGAAGGTGCAAAAACATAGAGTCATGTGATCTAGAGCCCAGGAGAAGTCCTGCACAGCTAGTGCAGGGGCTGCCTGGCTGGACAGTGAGAGGGAAGAGCAGAGGAACCTGGATGGCGAAGGAGCCTTGAACCCCAAACACTGGAAAGGTCAGGTGTCTGAGTCAGGGTCAGAGGGGATGCCTCTTTTTCTAGCCACAATATTCTATAACATTCAATCTCTGCTTCAGGAGGGCAGGATAAATAAATGTTGTATATTTAGATTGTTGTGTTTGCTTATTTTAAATTAGAAAGCACTTTGGATTATATATAGCAGAGTAGTGCAGTGGCTTAAAAATTTGGGGGTCACACAAGGGATGAGACGGTGCCCAGAAAAACATGATCTGTAACATTAGATCAGAATCATCTGTTAAGGTGGGCATCCCAGAGTACATTAAAAAGGGTATTGCATTCCTATAAGTAGAAGGAGAGGAAATAGGACCCCCACTCTGAGTGGAAGACCTGACAGCTACAAATTATCAGCCAAACCTCTGGATATCCTTCTCTGGGTCCCACTGACCCCTTGCTAAAGAGACAAAAGCTCTTGGCAGCCTGGTCATGGCACCCACCTTCCAGATTCATGGAGAGTGGTCCTGCTCTCCGTGTTTCTGACCTCAAAGCCAGAGTTTGAGGTCTCAGCCTGCCCTTTCCTCTCGCCAATCTTAACCTCTCTGGCTAGGGTAAGAAGAGGAAAGCACAATGAAGCCATTGCTCAGAGAAGCCACTGTTCTGCCTTTGTTCTCCCTTCTTCCTAACTAGCTTCAGAATAAGGCTGTCTCCTACCAAGCAAAATCAGAGGTCCTTGATGTGAGCCTTGGAATTCAAACCCAGTGCAAGCTCTTTCAGATCACAGATCTCATCACATGTTTACTGCCTACCTCAAGTAGATTCTCAATGAATGCTTAAAGTTTCGAATTTTAAGAATTCAAACCTTTTGCTTCAAGGGAGCAAGTAATGAGGTCCTGGTATGTGAAGGTGTGGCCAACACTTCTAAATACAGTGCAGGTAAGGGGAGAGCCAGCACTGCCTCAAAGAAATACCAGCATTGAGAGAAGATTTTCTAAGGTCAAATATGTTTATATACTGAGAAGCGGGGAGATACTGTAAAGTTACGAAAGAAGCCTAGGAATATTTGACCAATATATTTAATTTAATACCTGTCTGTATTCATTTAAGAATTTACATTTACAGCAGGGCACGGTGGCTCATGCCTGTAATCCCAGCACTTTGGGAGGCCAAGGCAGGTGGATCACCTGAGGTCAGGAATTCGACACCAGCGTGGCCAACATGGCAAAAACCCCTCTCTACTAAAAATACAAAAAAATTAGCCGGGTGTGGTGGTGGGTGTCTGTAATCCCAGCTACTCGGGAGGCTGAGGCCGGAGGATTGCTTGAATCCAGGAGGTGGAGATTGCATTGAGCCAAGATCATGCCATTGCACTCCAGCCTGGGTAACAAGAGTGAAACTCCATCTCAAAATAAATAAATAAATAAATAAGAATATATATTTACAAAGGGAGGAAAAAAAACTACCTATTGGGTACCATGTTCACTATTTGGGTGATGGGTTCAATTGAAACCCAAACCTCAGCAACATGCAATACAGGCACATAATAAACTCACACATGTGCCCCCGAAGCTAAAATTTTAAAAATATATATATGCTTATAAATGTCCATTGGAGATTTATAATATATAGACACACAAATACATGTGTATTTGTATATGTATGTTTAATATACATCCTACCGTGCTACTATAAAAATGCATACTATTTAGAAGAAATCGGAATTAGAACTGTATATATTAAAACTTAAGGAATTTGCTCAAAATTGTACCCAGAAACATATTCAA
This sequence comes from Homo sapiens, assembly GCF_000001405.40. Lineage (NCBI taxonomy): Eukaryota > Metazoa > Chordata > Mammalia > Primates > Hominidae > Homo > Homo sapiens. Next base: position 61,913,551 of record NC_000018.10, read on the forward strand.
AGTTTTAAAAGCTTTCACTGTAATTCAAGAAAGGCTGAAAAAAGAAAAACTAATTATTGAACTCTAGAAGCTATAAAAACATCATATATACCTAAAATAAAGAGAAAAAAGAAAATAATAGAGGTAGAAATCCCAAAACAATAAGATTAGGAATTGGCCAACAAATTCAAGAGCTTTATACTTAAGAAAAAATAAGCAAAATAAACCATGTCTGAAGGATTAAATGAAGACAAATAATAGTGATAATACAGATTTAGAAATGGTAGAGTATGCAACAATTAATATAAAGGGAATTTATCTAAATAGATTAGTATAAGCTTGTATATGCAATTCTTGTACCATGTTTAACCCTATGCTAATACATTCCAGAATCTGGACATTATCTGAGAAATACAAATTTCCAAAACTGAAACCAGAAACAGTAAAATATGCTACAGCAGTAACAATAAAATAAACTGAAAAAATAATCTAAGAACTAGTTCTCAAAAAAGGATCTGGAACCAGATCATTTTGCTAGTAGATTTTTTTCAAATTCTCAAGGAATAAAAATTTATATCTTCTATAATTTGTTTTAGGGCATGTAAGAAATGAAAATTACTCCATTTATTCTGTAATTTTTCCTTTCACTTTCTTTTGTTCCTATCTTTCATCATTTTATTTATTTTATTGGTCTTTTACACTCAGTTAACCCCATATTCCATCAAACTTGTTGCCTGACCAAAATGGTTTAAAAAGGTTTTTGCTTCTAAGGAGCTTTTAATAGGTTATGAAACATGTTTATAGACAAGAAGTAAGCAGAAAAATGTTTTTCTTATCCTCTTCAGAATCCAACATTTCAACAATAAATATGTTTAATATGGGTGACTTCTATCTTGCTTTTTAAACAAAGACAAATGGTTTGTAATTATCATCCTTCCTTTTTGTATTTTAACTTTAATATATATATTTTTTGCTTAGTTTAGTCTATTTAATGTCCTTCCCCTTTAAAAACTCTGCTAATCCTCTTAAGGATCTACGTCCAAATCTTCACTTTCTTTTTTTTTGAGACTGAGTTTTGTCTTGTAGCCCAGGCTGGAGTGCAATGGCATGATCTCGGCTCACTGCAACCTCCGCCTCCCAGGTTCAAGCAATTTTCCTGCCTCAGCCTCCGGAGTAGCTGGTATTAGAGGCGCCCACCACCATGCCCACCTAATTATTGTATTTTCAGTAGAGATGGAGTTTCACCACATTGGCCAGGGTGGTCTCAAACTCCTGACATCAGGCAATCCACCCGCCTTGGCCTCCCCAATGTGCTGGGATTACAGGCATGAGCCACCACGCCCAGCCCAAATCTTGATTTGCTAATTCTTACATTTTCAGTGACTCCACACTCATAAGCCCTGTTCCTTACCAATGATTTTCTCTAGAATACCAACTGTTTAATATTCAGGATTAATTCCTCAGTAAACAAGCCAGAGTTATGAGCAATTGAAGAAAACTTCCTAACTCCAGGAAGAAGTCTGCCATCACCATTGGCACACTTGCTGGAAATTTGAACAGTGTGGAAACCTCAGAAATATTTCCAATTTGCAGAAGTGTGTTCATCAAGTTCAAGGGCAAAACTAGTGAAAGGAAAGTTTTGCTACCATAGTTTTCTCTTGCACCTCTTCTTTAGGGGTGGAGAAGAGGAGAACTTTCTCCATCTGTCCACAAAGATTTGAATCCTTTCACAAAAGAAACGATGCAGTTTTGCTGAAAGCATTCATAGTTAATTCAATGTAACCAAAATCATTTACCTTTAACCTCTTCAGCACCAGGAACAATGATAAATGTCCCCTCCCCACTGCCTCCCTTAATTTTGTTCCTACCATGGAACTAATTGCATTAAAGTTCACACACACAAAAAAAATGCTTGTTGGAGGGTATGATTCAATGTTTTGTTCTTCAAGGCCTAGCACAGTACCTAGAACATAGTTTACACTTAATAAGTGTTATATGAAATGAAATGAAATCGAATGAAATTGAATCTAACTAAAATGAAGGTATAAAGAAAAATCTATGGGAGTAACAGAGGAAAGCAATTTCTAATTCGCCTGGGGTGCACTAGGAAAAGATGAAACAAAAATAATACTAAATTTGTTTTGAGTTATGCAAACCATTTGGACAATACAATTTAATTGCATGGAGCAAACATGTATTTAATTGTAATAATAAATATTTACACATTTTTACACAGCATTTTAATCTTCAAAACCCTTCCAGGCACTAAATAATTGAATTTTCTAGACTATATTCTTCAAAAAATCATCCACATTGATTTAATGGTCCCAACAGAGTAGTTAAATGAAAATATCAACAAATTAAATTAGCACAAAGCTCAAAATTTCTCTCCACATTATTCAGACCACCCACCTTCTCCCCCAGAGGTGGTACCAAGAGAAAATAGATGATCCCAACTCTATTTCCAACAAATGGGGACCACCGTGTCAATATGGACACCAGCATCATCTTACCACGTGCATGACAGACACAATCTAACAAGACACACAGATCGTCTAGGCCCTAAAGCGAAAAGCAGCAGTTTCCCAAGCTCCATATTGGCTATTCTTTTCTACTCACTAGAGTAGAGTCCCTTCTTCCCTAGTAAACTAAAGAACTTCTAGAACTAATGTTTGTCTCTAAAAAGACAAGCCTCTGATTATATAAAGAGAAGTTTCTACACTGGCATATATCTGTGCTGTGATATATGCATCTGTAAAAAGATGTTTAATGGGACTTTTCTTGTCACATATTTTGAGTACAGCCCCAATGCTGAGAACCATCAGAGAAAAATTCCTGAAGTCCACCTTCAGCTTATGTAAGAAAGGCCAGTGATAGAAAAGAGCAATTAGAGAATGTTATCAAGCACCCAGTTTGAGAGCTTCTTCCTCCTACCCTGAGCCGGAAGTGGGAGGCCCCAAGAGACCCCTTCCCAGAGGCCAGAGAGGGCATTTTGAAGAAGACGTCGGAAGGACAAGAAAAGGGAGAAGAAGAGTGAAGGAAGTGGCCCCTCCCACTGTGTCTCTGAGCCAAGGTGAGGCCAGGGGTGGGGAGGGAAGAAGCTCTGGATGGAATGAGAGATTGAAGTTTTGATTTAGACTCGAGGAGACATTTTAGCTCCTGAAAGTGAATCACAGCACCTCAGATTGTTCTTACAACTGAGAGCCATTCAAAAGCAATGAGACCTTCCTAAAGTGCTATCCTGGGTCAGGGAACACAGATTGGACAAAGCCATGAAGAGAAAAATAAATAATTCTGTATCACTTTTGTATCCACTGAGATCATCCCACTTAATTAGCCAGTTACATTTCCTTAAAATATAGCCTCATTTGTCCTAACATGGCCAAAATAAATATAACAGAATAGTCTATTATCTTAGCAGTCATAATGACCGAATTGGCTTAACCACATAGCAATCCAAATAATTGTGCAAAAATCAACCTTAATTATTGTTGAAAAGTCTAAACAACCACACCGCACAAAGACTGACTGGATGAATGGCTATGTATACCTGCAGCTTTAAACTTGTCTCCTTTTTTTTTCATAATATAACCACCAATAAAACTGAATTATGAAATTTAGATCATGCTGTTACTAACATGACAGACATTATTACTTGTCTGGGTAATCAAAACCTGGCAGACATTCAGCGTCATTGTTGTTTTAAACAAATACTTTGAATTTTCTACTCAGAAACAGGCTAAGGGTCTAATCTGGAAGATTAATAAGGACAAAGTTTAGCTGGGGAAACAAATTTAGGCTAACACTTCAAATGTCCCAAGCTTAAACTACTTTTTGAGAGGACAAGCTTCTTAAGTGATGTATTCCAATCCCTCAGGTTACTGTGAGAATGACCTCTTGATTTTGAATCACTGAGAGACCCAGGATTCATTCATCACCCACAAAGAACCTGGAAGCCCTTTTTTTCACTAGGAACTACTTTCATTTTTACCTTTTGGAAAGGTCTGTAACCCTGACCGAAAGAAAATAAATAAACTGATCAGGAGATGACTACCTAGATTAATAAAATTTGGAATGTTTTGCAATTGTATGATAATGACGGTATTTGCAATAATAAAATGGCTCGCAATTTGAGTTTACAATCCCTAGTTACTCCACAAAGCATTAGTGTTTTAGATGCAAGATTGGCTATTAACAAGGCTTCTGCCCAGCTCCTGTATGAGGATTCTGTTATGGGTAAACTGGAGACAAAATGGGAGTTTTAATATGATTATGGGTCAGTGGTTTTTGAATTGTTAATGTGCAGAAGACCCCAGAGGAATATGCTGAATATATAGTCGATGAAAGACACAATTAAATAAACAAAAAGCAATTTACAAGCTGGAAAACATTTTTAGTTCTCATGGAGCATTATAACACATGTCCTCTAGCAACCAAATTAACAGGGCTGAGCTGACACCACAGAAAACAGGCAAGTAAATTAATTTCGCTTCATAGGCCCAGAACCTGAAAGAAAATGGCTTGTGGGAAAGCATTTCAAAATGGAAAATATGAATCATGAGGTGAGACACATGATTTCTGGGGGCATGGAAACTCCTTAGAACAAGACTCATCCTAGTGACATTAACATGAAGATGAAATTTATTTATGTGTTTATTCATATGTCTACTGCACCTTGTCCATTACCAAAAAAGATTCACAATGAATGAGAAAATCCTAGTGGCTGAGGGGGATATTTTCAGTCTGGATTGGGCAGTGTTTTGCACCTATCTGAAAATCCTTCGTACTAAGCACAGCACCTGTGGTCATGTGAGGTGGCTTACCTGCAGCTTCATGTTTGCAGTTCAAGGGTGACCTTGGCAATGGGAACCAACCTCCCTATTTTCTTGACTGTTAGCTCTATCGTTGCTCATCTAGACCACTAATTTGTCACCCTAAGACGCCCATCTGGTAGCAGCAATCCAGAAGAGAAAGACAGCCCCCCATCAATGCAATTGCACACACACTGTGGAGACCCCAAGAAGAAACACACACACCTCCCCCTGGTCCCAGCTGAGATGTAATGGGTTACAAAACTTGGCAGAAATGAACCTCAGAGGTTCTCAGATTCTCTGACTTTTCAATACCAAGTTGGTGTCCAAAAGTCATATTCAATTCTGACACAAACCACCCAGAGTCAGCATCAGACTCCGCAGGTTTAAGGATTCAGTCCCAAAAGACTGTCCTCACCTCAAATACCAATCACAAATGGAATGTTGTGGCTTTGCTACAGTTCTGTCTGGCTTTGCTACAAATGTGCAGGGTTTTAGGTGGCCCCTGCTTTCAGGTTCCATAATTTGTGAGAATGACTCACAGAACTCAGGAAAATGCTAACCTTACCAATATAGTTTCTTATAAGGATAAAATGAACAGCCAGATGAACAGGTGCACAGGGTGAGGTCTGAAAGGGTCCCTAGCTGGGGAGCCTCTGTCCCCATGGAGTCAGGATGCAACACCTCCTTGGAGGCTGGGGAATAGGGCTGAAAGTTCCAACTTCTAATCAAGGCTTAGCCTTTCTGGCAGCCAGTTCCCATCTAGGAGCCACCAAGAATTATGTCATCAGCATAAACTCAGGTATGGTTGAAAGAGGCTCCTTATGAATAACACAAGAGATTCCTATCACCACTGTCACCCAGTAAATCCCAAGGGTTTTAAGAGCTCAGTGCCAGGAACCCAGAGCAAAGACCAAATATCTATTTCTTGTTATACCACACAGGCTCATCTAGCATTAAACCTAAAGGGGCTCTGTGAGGTCATCTCACCTGAACCAACTATCACATCTCCTTTTACCTCCATGAACCCTCCAGCATATATAATGGTGACTCAGTTTTGTTCAATAAACATTTTCTAAGCCAGTTATGAGTGCTAGACACTGCCAGGGATAGAAGAGCAAGACCTGGTGCTGGCCTATCTCACTGGCTAACATTTCTACAGGGCACTAAAGAGTGCTTCCCGGATTTATCTCATTTAATCCTGTTAACTATCCTATGAAGTTGGACACATTTTACAGATAAGAAACATGAGCCTTTGCAAGGTTAAGGAAGGCCAAGGTTATGTCCTAGGAAGCCATGGAGAGAGCACTTGGAGTCAGGTCTGTTTGACTCCAGGGTGCAAGTTCGTTAGGCTGCACCACTCTACTGCCCAGCTATCGGGAGGGAGTGGACTGCTCTGGAACAAACTACAAACTTGAGATTAAAGTAACCCACAAGAATCACAAATAATATGAGCAGGGCATGTCTTTAAAAACTATGCCCCTGATATTACGATCCTTGGGGTAATTTCTTTGATTACTATGAGTAAGCACTTTCAGTTAGGGGAGACATCCTGAATGCAACCAAAATAATTAATATAATCAAAACAAATTTTTTCAAAAATAAAGTTTCACTGAAAATTAAACCTCATTAATTCAGATGCCCCAGTTCATAATCAGTGTTAAATTAATAGGAGCCATGCTGAAGTTTACCTTTCCAAACCCTTTCCTAATAAATCAAGAAATTAATTACACAGTTGTGAGATTTACTCATTATTTGATTCCAGAGCATTTTATCATTCTCGATTAAAATTCTACGTTTCTATTTTGACTATGATTATATTAAGCCACACTTGTAAAACTTAATAGAAAGGCAAAATAGAGTTCTTACTCTATGTAATACAGCATATAGTTACTAGAAATATTGATACAGCAAAGCCTTTTGATTTGGTTATTTTTAAAATTTTGCATAATCAATTTGTTATAAGTTTATGTTGTGTAATGTCTCTATGCAGAAAAATCTACACTTTTGTGTTGTATTCAATGTAATTCTTACAAAGAATGTGATTCTGGTGGTTATTTCCTAGGTAATAACATAATTCATAATAAAAACTGCAACTTCTAAGACTTCAATAGCATTGGGATTTAAAAGTTATTTAACAATAAAGCTTTAGGGAGACCCTAAGGGTTCTTCCAGGCTATAAAATATGTTCAATTGCCTTATAAGTTTGAAACAAATATTTTTCTTTATGGAGTGTTTGCTAGACTAAAGGATTTTTTCCCCTTATTTCAGGTTCACATGAGATATGAATCTCTGAGTCCATTTTTAGCCAGTGAACCACATGGACATCAGTGTTACCCCCAGAAGAGTTGGGCTTCAAAAGACTTAGAATGAACACAGACACATTTGAAGTTCCTGTGTGAGCTTTTCTGTTTTGTTTTGTTTTTTAAGCGGTGTGTTTTATCCTGGCTCTTAATAGTATTCAAAAGTTGCCAATAGGCTGGGCACAGCGGCTCACACCTATAATCCCAGCACCTTGGGAGGCTGAGGCAGGAGGATCACTTGAGCTTAGGAGTTTTGGACCAGACTGGGAAACATAGCAAGAACTTGTCTCTACTAAAAAAAAAAAAAAAAAAAAAAAAAAAAAATAGCCAGGCATGGTGGTGTACACCTGTAGTCCCAGCTACTCTGGAGGCTGAGGTGGGAGGATGGCTTGAACTGGGGAGCTCAAGCCTGCAGTGAGCTATGATTGCACCACTGCACTCCAACTTGGGCAACAGAATGAGACCCTGTCCAAAAAAAAAAATAGTTGCCAGTAGTAGTGATTGAAACAAAGCTGGACCCTGTATCAATCTACTAAAATGGAGGCAGGTTTTGTAAAAATAAAATACGTTCTAATTTCAGTGCTTTAGGAATGAAAGGAAGAAATAGAGAACGCGTTTCGTTGTGAAAAGGGCCTCCACCGTTGTCAGACTGCTATCAGGGAGCTGTTCCCGGGATACCGGGCAGGTGAGCACAGCAAGTGAAGGCACCCTGGCTGATCCTGCCTCTGCACGCCAGACGCAGTGCTTTCTTCAGTAGTCAGGCTCCGATTACAGAGAAACCTCATGAATTCAGGTTCAGCATATACGGAATTTGAGATCGTTCATGGAATCACCACGTATTAAAGCGGAGGGATCCGGGCAAGCACATTATCTGATTAGCCAGCATTTCACAGCTGGTACAGATGAGGAAACAGGGCTAAAGCTGTTTGAAGGATGCGTCTAAGGTAATACTGCAAGTCCCTGGGGAGAATCTTCTCCTCCCTGCCACCTCCCTACACCATATTCATGATCACTGACTGCTGTGGGTTAAACTGTGTCCCCTACAAAGATACGTTCAAGTTCTAACCTTTGGTATCTGTGACTGTGACCTTATTTGGAAACAGGGAACTAAATCAAGTTAAGATAAGGTCATACTGCAGGACAGGCCCTAATCGAATGACTGATGTTTTTGTAACAGAAGGGAAGTTTAGACACAGATATAGAGGAAAGAAGACCGTGTGGTGACAAAGGCAGAGATTAGAGTGACTCAGCTATGAGCCAAGCATTGCTGGCAACCGTCAGATGCTGAAACAGACAAGGGAGGATTCTCCTCTAGAGCAGGGGTCCCCAACCCCGGGGGCCACGGACATAATGGACCGCACAGCAGGAGGGTTGCACCGCAGCGGGTGAGCAAGCAAAGCTTCACCTGTATTTACAGCCGCTCCCCTTTACTCGCATTATAGCCCGAGCTCCGCCTCCTGTCAGATGAGCGGGGACATTAGAGTCTCATAGGAGCACGAACCCTATTGTGAACTAGGCATGTGAGGGATCTAGGTTGCAGCTCCTTATGAGAATCTAATGCCTCACGATCCGGCACTGTCTCCATCACCCCCAAATGGGACCATCTAGTTGCAGGAAAACAAGCTCGGGGCTCCCACTGTTTCTACATTATGGTGAGTTGTATAATTATTTCATTATATATTACAATGTAATCATAATATAAATGAAGCGCACAGTAAACGGAACGCACTTGAATCATCCTGAAACCATCCCCTGCTCAACCGCCATTAGAGAAATTGTCTTACATGAAACCAGTCCCTGGTGCCAAAAAGGTTGGGGACTGCTGGTTTAAGCCCCTAGTCTGTGGTAATTTGTTACAGCAGCTCTAGGAAGCTAATACAGTGACACTCACATACAATAGCATCAAAACCCTATCTATTCTAAGATCCTTTAGAGTAGCAAATGTCTCTAGTGAAGAGTCACAGCTAACCACAAACACATGCCACGAAAAGCAGGTTTGTTAAGCATTTGTCATTGCCTTGGGTGTCATACCTTACCTCACTGAATCCTCATAACAACACGATGATGTCTAATTCTCCCAGTTTTCGAGATGAAGAAATAGAGGTCTGAAGAACTTCAAGGAACTTTATAGAACTGATAAACTAGCACATGCTAAAGCTGGGAATCCAATCTGGGAAAGTGTACCCTGCAACCTATGCACTTAGCACTAGCTCAGGCCGGCTGCACATGGCAGGTCAGCCTGTGCACAGAATGTACATGGCAGGTCAGCCTGTGCACAGAATGTACCTGATTGTGCAAGATAGCAGCCCTGTACTGGCTGATGAGGATGCAGTGATGACAAACAAGCTAAGAGAAATTGTCAGACATGTCAGAGTCATTTAATATGCCACTAAAATGTCAGGCAGCAATCTGTATTAGTCTGTTTTCTGTTGCTTATAATAGAATACCCACATTTTATTAGTCTGTTTGGAGTCTCCTATGAATTTTATTTTTATTTTATTTTTATTTTTATTTTTTTTGAGACAGAGTCTTGCTCTGTCACCCAGGCTGGAGTGTAGTGGCTCGATCTCGGCTCATTGCAACCTCTGCTGCCTGGGGGTTCAAGCAGGTCTCCTGCCTCAGCCTCCTGAGTACTTGGGATTACAGGCGTACACCACCACGCCTGGCTAATGTTTGTATTTTTAGTAGAGATGGGGTTTCAGCATCTTGGCCAGGCTGGTCTTGAACTCCTGACCTCGTGATCCACCCGTCTCAGCCTCCCAAAGTGCTGGGATTACAGGCATGAGCCACCACACCCAGCCTTCTCTTGTGTCATTTTATAAAGGAATCAAATTTATTTATTACTGTTCTGGAGGCTGGGAAGTCCAGGGTCAAGGGGGTGCTTCTGGTGAGAGTCTTCTGGCTGGTGGGGACTCTGTGTAGAGTCCCGAGGTGGGTCAGAACATCACGTGGTGAGGGCTGAGCATGCTCAGGTACTAGTTCAGACCTCTGTTCCTCTTCTTGTAAATCCACCAGTCCCACTCCCATGATAATCCAGCAATCCATTGCTCCATGACTTGATTAATCCCTTCATGAGGGCAGAGCTCTCACGACCCAATCACCTCTTAAAGGCCCCACCCCTCAACACTGCCACACTGGGATTAAGTTTGAGCATGAGTTTCTGAGGGGACAAGCATTGAAGCCATACCACACTCTAAATATAATAGCTCACCTTCCTACCAAGTATTCCTCTGTATCCATCCTTCATGTTCATTCATTCTTTCTTATAATAAACACATGTAACATGCCTTCCTGTGCAAGCCACTCCCTCGGGGGCTTCAGTGGCCACTCAAAGAATAAAACAGTAACTTTGCCCTGATAAAGCTTATAGTGAAGTTATAGTCGAAGAGGTTAAAAAGACATTACTTCTTGCCTGCAAACGAGTCAGAAAACTTCCCTGTAGTTGCAGACTCTAGCCCTTGGATTTAGAATTTAGAATTTTTCTCTAAGTATTAAAAATGTAGTTTAGAAGGCCCAGGTACCAGAGGCCCACTAATTGAATGCTTTGAATTTCTTCTCACTCACTCAAAGGCATGCAGAAAGCAAGCTCAGAAACAGCAGACTCAAACAGAAGAGCGCATTTCTCAAACATGCTCCAAGGAAGATAAAATAAATGTGGCTTAATGATCTCCACAACCAGATTTTTGGGGCGAATGAGTGGAGTTTCAATAGGCACAAGAGGCACAAAAATCAGAAAAATAAAGATGCAGAAGACATGAAAGTTCATGGGATATTTGTTACAGCAGCTCTACGAAGCTAGTACAGTGACGTTCACATATAATAGCGTCAGAGAGCTCTGAAGTTCATGCAGTCAAAGTCCAGTGCATGCATGCATGTGGGTGTGTGTGTCTGTGTGTGTATGTGCACACACACATACTTGCACAGATGTGCACTCATTCATGGGGTCGTAGGGAGGAGTGTTTGTTGCTGACACTGGAAAGGTAGATGGATGAGCTGAGCTCAAGTGTTTACCAAAAAGGCATGTAGGCAGGACCTAAGCTTGTGGAGGAACAGCTTATGAGGTGGCCCCGGAGTCCTCATACAGAAAGTAGTTCTGCACTTTCAGCAGCACCCCCAGCCCTGGGTGAGGAGGGTAAGTTCATTCTATCTTAACCGCAGTTTCAGTAAAGAGGTGTGCAAAGAATATAAATGCCTTATTTTTAAACCACAGTTCTTTCTCCACTCCTGCTGCCGTCATCACTAATAGTCTGACCCGAACATAGAGAAGCTTCATGACTTTCACTGCCAAAAACATTTTTTTTTAAATTTTCAAAATTCCTCTAACTGGAGCAACAGTAGTTTCATTGAGTTCCATATGGAATTAAGATTCTCATGAAATTTTTTAATATAAAAAGGATTTTCTCTTTTCATATATACTTATTACAAACTTCCACAGAGACCTACCCAGCCCAAAGTTTACCTCTAAACTAGGAATTGGCCAATTTTTTCTGTGAAAAGTCAGACAGTCAGTATTTTAGGCTTTGCCAGCCATGCAGTCTCTGTCATACCAACTCTGCAGCTGCAGTATGAAAGCAGCCATTGACAATACATAAATAAATGAGTATGGCTGTGTTTTAATAAAACTTTATTTACAAAACAAGGCAGGGGCAGATTTAACCCCATAGTTTGCTGACTCTCTCTCTAGACCAACATAACCTTAGCCCTTTGCATTCAGAGAATGTATAATGCATTTTTGTAACTGGTCAATTTTAATTTTGTCTTACTGTTCAGTTTTCTCCTCATGCTGATTAATATTCAGATTAATAAATTATCATATGTTTTCGTATTATCATCAAATGCCTTGCATCCCTGGGGCAGTATTATATAAATTTGAATGCATTCAAAAGAATAGTTTTACCATTTAATTTTATTGCTTTTAATAATACACTTACAGTGTCTCTTTAGTTTAGAAAATTCTTTGTGGAGAATGTGGGTAGGCACCCAAAATGATTCCCCTAGCAACCCCCCAGGAGGACAAGAGAATAAAGACAGAGAGAGATAGCAGAGGGTCTCTTCGGCCTTGGCATTGTATTCTAAGATTGTATTTAAAGATTACTGGGAATTTTCTCTGCATTTTGAGCTAGAGGGTCACACATCTCATTATTCCACCCCACAAAATAATCCTAATCAGATACATCAAGAGCATGGTTACTATGCAGCTCCTAGAATCAAGATTCATGACTCAGAATCTCAGAACCAAAACATACCTCAGATAGAGGTGGCTCCAGTTAAATGTGAGCCCCTGTAAATAAAAGAAACAGAGAAGAAATATCATGCATGCAAAATTATGAATGCAAAATTAGGTATAAAACTGAATATTTATTTCTAAAGAGAAGAGAGATCTCAACAGATTATAAATGTTCGAAAGCTGAGGAATACTACAGCCATTTTCTTTCAAGTTACACTCTGGGTTTCCGCTAAGATACTTCCTTCCTGTCATGTTTAAATTTTTGATTGGTTCATAAGTATGAAAAAAAATTAACAATCTAAAATTAAAGAATGCACTAAATCAGAATACTTTTGTAATTGCTGTTACATTGTATAGAGTGACATAATTGTGTTATCAAGTTACTCTTAGTGCATGAGTTTTGTCACTGAAACTTCTTTTCTGATATTGTCCCTTGTTTTTTTCCGCTATTTTGCTGTGTTAGTGGCAATTTTGCATGCTGTTTCATCTGGAACCACTATGCTTTGTCAGGACAAGCTGTGTCAGATACACTAAAATTCAATCTGATATGTTGAAATGCATAAGAACATGCAACTTCACAAAAGGTTGTATCCATTTCCAGCACTGCTGCACACATGTTACCTACAAGCCCCAGAATTCTGATCAATTTTGTTTCAAAAGAGTCACGGAATAAAACTAAGTTGAAGTAGAAACAGACAGTGGTCTTCATAAATTGTGATTCAAAGATCTGCAAATTTACAGAAATGATTGTCCAATAAACACCTTGCTAGGGACTTACAAGGATCCTTTGCACGAGTGGGAGGTGGAAGTTTCCGTTTCATTTGCTTGACAGGAAACCTCCCTCTGACCTTAGAAGTTCTTTGGTTTGGGCTCCATATCAATCACAGATCTCTGGTGGCTAACCGACCTCTGTGATACTGAGTATATTACCTTCCAATGCAAGGCAGTCCATCTGTAGACATATTGAGTTACTACAGAATAATAGTATGTGCTAAATAGCAAATAGTAATAGTACATGCTACAATAAGGATATAATAATAATAGTATATCCTTATGCTAAACTAAACCCACCTTCTAATAACTATTAATATTATCTGGTGGTCCTAAGTCTCCTCTTTGACTGATAGATCTAATCACTCTTCCACAAGACAGTCATCCAAACATTTGAAGACAGTGGTCATGTCATTCACTGTCTTAATTTGGGTTCCCTAAAAAGCAGACTCTGTCTCAAGGAGCTGTTCAAATGCAAGTAGTTTGTGTGATAGGTGGTTCTAGGAAACATAGTAAAAGAAGGAGGGCATGGAGAGAAAAGAGAAGGCAGCTGATGAAGTGTGCGTGGTCAAGCCAGTTACCGATGCGGGCAACTGGAGCTCCATCCCACTGGGAAGTGCTGAGAAGCCACTGTAAAACGCATGCCTCTGAGTCATCCCACCTGAGGGACAAGGGAGCTGGGGATTTATGCACCAGCTCTCATTAGGTATTAGTTGAGGGCTGCTGTTGAGAAGCATTAATATAAGCTGGCAGATCGGGCTCCAGCTTCTAGAGAAAGCCCTCAAACAAAGACAGGCAGAGGTGACTGTTGGAAATCAGCCAGCCTGCACTGCAGTGGTAAGGTCCGAGGGGACATGGGCAGCACATTCTCCATCTGCCCTGGGGTCTTCTGGGGAATCTGCACATGGCACAGCCACAGGTCTCCATCCACGTCCATCAGATGGGCTTGGCTTTGTTTGTTTTGTTATTGTTTTTTTCCTCAGCACTGAACATGACACTCCATGTCTGGCCATGCCTTCCCAGTTCCCAAATTTCTGGTCCCAGAAAGTACATACACAACACAGAACAGACACCATTACTGATCAAGGGTAGAAGCAAACACAATCAGGTTCCACCACCAAGTGGCCAAGAGAATTTAATCAAACTGTGTGGGCATGGTGTGGCTCTGATGCAGCTTCTCTACTGGGACTCCTGAATGGCTTTTGCTAGAACCTTGCCCAGATAAGTCAATTGGGAAATTCCAATTTTTGTTTTAAACAAGCCAGACACATTCACTCTTTCCTAGTCGCCTTTCACCTAAAAGGAGGTTCTTCTTTAGTACCTTTATCAATCTGTTCTCACATTGCTATAAAGGAATACCTGAAATTGGGTAATATATAAAGAAAAAAAGGTTTAACTGGCTCATGGTTCTGCCTGTACAGGAAGCATGATGCTGGCATCTGCTCAGCTTCTGGGGAGGCCTCAGGAAACTTACAATCATGGCAGAAGGCAAAGGGGGAACAAGCGCTTCACATGGCTGGAACAGGAGGAAGGTGGGGGAGGTGCCACACACTTTTAAACAACCAGATCTAGTGATAACTCACTCACTCGCTATCACGAGAATAGCACCAAGGAGATGGTGCTGAGTCATTCATGAGAAACTGCCCCCATGATCCAACCACCTCCCACCAGGCCCCACCTCCAACACTGGGGATTACAATTTGACATGAGATTTGGGTGGGGACACAGATCCAAACCATATCAGTACCCTATTACATAAGCAAAGGGAGATCAATCCAAGGTTAAATGATGGAGAATAAATGAACACTTTTTCACATTAAATAATCAAAAATAGCTTTTTGCTACACAAGGATAGAATCTTTACTTTGATTCGTTACTGTAGTAGTTTTAAAATATGCCCACAAGTTCCTTGCTACTCCTGCCTTCAAAAGGTGGGGCTTAATTTCCCTCCCCTTGAGCATGGTTGTCCTTCAACAGAAGTGAGCATGTGAGATTCCTGAGAGGTCATAAAAGGCATTGTGACTTCCTTCTCACTCACTCTCTTGAATCACTCTCTTTCAGGAAAGCTGGCTGCCATGTTGTGAGACACTACAGCAATCCCATGGAGAAGTTCACATAGCAAGAAGCTCACATAGGTGAGGGCTTCAGCCAAGAGCAGTGTGAGTCAGGCACCATGAAGTCAGGTCCTCCCATCCCAACCTCCTCCTGAGAGATCCTAACCCAGAACCACTAAACCATCTGTGGATTCCTGACCTTCAAAACTGTGTGAGATAACAGATGTTTGGAGTTGTATGTGTGTGTGTGTGTGTGCGTTTTTAAGACACTATGTTTTGTAGTAATTTTTCTCACAGTAATAGATAACTAATACATTAAAAATGCATGCATGTGCAATCCCAGCACTGGGAGGCTGAGGTGGCCAGATCATGAGGTCAGGAGTTTGAGACCAGCCTGGCCAACATAGTGAAACCCCATCTCTACTAAAAATACAAAAAATTAGTTGGGCATGGCAGTGGGTGCCTGTAATCCCAGCTACTTGGGAGGTTGAGGCAGGAGAATGGCATGAACCCGGGAGGCGAAGGCTGCAGGAGCTGAGATGGCACCACTGCCCTCCAGCGCAGGTGATAGTGTGAGACTCTGTCTCAAAAGAAAATAAAAATAAAAATAAAAAAATAAAGCTTGCATGGCCAGTTGGCCTTGTGAGATCATCAAACATTATCAGCTCTTTACCTCAACATGGAAGAATTCTTTCTTGTGATTCTTTGACCCCAAACCTGTTTTCCTCTAGTTCTTAATGAAATTCTAAATTGTCTTGCGATAACTTTCCATTACCATTTCTTTAATTGCTTATGTTTTTGCGTAGCTCACGCCACCACAAATCTCAGCAATGTAAATGCCATCTAAGCCTTCTTATAGCTGTGCTACCAGGACTTAAATTCTATCAATGGATGGCTCTGCCACCTTTCCCTAAGAGGTCCAGAAGAAATCTTTTACTTGGAATGGGAGGCAGAGGCATTGGATGTCAGGGCAGGGCTTTATCTGGTTATGTTTTCATGAATTATCCGCTCTAGCTTTCTTTTCCCAGCCCCTTTCCCAAATGATTCTGTAACAACAATATGCAAAACCTACCTGATTTGGCCCCATGAGAGAATGCCTTTCTGTCTTTGGTGCCTTTTCAGCAAAACAGTCAGGAACAGCCCCAGCCAATCCCATTGACTCTGGCCAATTAGTGTTTCAGCAGAGAAGTATTGTTGACATAAGACATGGGTTCCTGTGCCTTCCAGACTACTATGGGGAAGTCATTAAACAGTAAATTAGGGCTCGGTGAAGAATTACCTTTTGGTCCATGATCTTGCTTTACTGACAACAGCCAATAGGCTTCCTGTTGTGGTGGACTGAACTTGCATTGTCTTCTTTTATCCGCAAACAATGGGAACAGCTGCAGTTGCAAGTTACTGCTTGCCAGAACTTATTTCTCTCATACCTGTTCAAACATCTATGAGCAGCAAAAAAGCTGATGGAAGGGAAAGGTTACTTTGCTGTCTTCAAATTATAGGTGACTAAAGAATTGAATTCGTGCTGACACCAGGATGGAATTAAGTATATTTTCTCCTACACTTATGTCAGAACTAGAGAGTAAAACACTGGTGGTCAATGTAAATATATTTGCTCCATGTTCTTAATTTTTTTTCTGCATTATTTGGAACTTCCACACAAATTAGAATGTGGCCCATCATAGTCATTGTACTGTAATCATCCTTCAAAAGAAATGCATGTTTTACCTGGTAATACAAGTTCTCAGAGTGAGTCAGTGAGTCCATGAGTATCTCAGCTGGTGAATCTCCATCTCTGATCCTGGCCACTTAGCTGCCCAAAGGTTGATAAATCATCTGACAGCTTACAAAGCTCCACACACTCCCCTACACCAGCACCCAGTTTGATCCTTTTCCATTTGGATGCTTATCTGTGGGTCTTTCTTGCCTTCTCAATTCACATTTTAATTGAGATTTTATAAGCAAAGCCAAATTGATGCTTTTATTCCCATCTCTTCCATTGTTCTGTAATTATGAGTTGGGTCCAAGACAATTCAGAATCTTGTGCCAATCCCCAAATTATTCCAAATTGCTTATTTTGGGGATAAGTATTAGAAAGTCTGGCACACAGTAGGCATTCAATAAGTGTGTATAGAATCCTAGTACATATGCATGGCTTTTTTATTCAGGCAATTTTTATTTTCAGTAGAAATAGAAGCAAGATGGCATGTGATACATGGACTCGAGATCTCTTTGATAACAGGGGGCACTAAACGGAATTTCTAGAAGGTGCAGAGTTCTCCCGGCTTCCTGATTAACACATCTTCTCCCACTCTTAGTTGATATCTCCAAATATCCATAGATCATGGAATAAACATGCTGGAGCTCACAATTATTTGATCAATGAGGATATACAATTCCATAATCTATCTAAGACTTGTTACTCCCAGAGCTATGAAGGCCTTTATAATTACACATTCTGATACGGACATGGTACTAGTGTGATAGGTTGGCCCTAGGGGTTTTCTTTCTTATTTTTTTGGGACAGAGTCTCACTCTGTTGCCCAGGCTGGAGTGAAGTGGCGTGATCTCAGCTCACTGCAAGCTCCGCCTCCCGGGCTCTAACGATTCTCCTGCCTCAGCCTCCCGAGCAGCTGGGACTACAGGCACATGCCACCACGCCCAGCTAATTTTTTGTATTTTTAGTAGAGATGGGGTTTCACCGTGTTAGCCAGGATGGTCTCGATCTCCTGACCTCGTGATCTGCCTGCCTCGGCCTCCCAAAGTGCTAGGATTACAGGCATGAGCCACTGCGCCCGGCCAGGGTTTTCTTTTACAAAAATGAAAGAAAAAGGAGAAGGAGAAAAAAGAGAGGAGGGGGGCCCTTCAACCCCCAAAGCCAGCATATTCGTATGAGCATGTAGGAACAAAAAGATGAGGTGCACAAACTAAACTTTTAAAAATTCCATCCTGGGAGTGGTCATTTTTTCATGAAATGAATCCTTCCCATCTCCTTATTCCGGTGAAGAAATGAGAAGATTGATGAAAGCACCTTTCTTTCAAAAGTTCTCCCTGTCAGTTCAGAGCAAGGAAAATTAAAATACCAAACAAATTCATCCATCATGATATGCCTCTTGTCTCCTTTTCATCTTTCTTCTTCTCAGATTACTCATCACTCAGTCACCTTGTTTTCACTCCCCATCTGATGGTGGGCCCGATTATAATACTTAACACTTGCTATATCTAAAGATACTGGTGTTTTAGTACTTAATATTTGCTGTATGCGTAGGATCTCAAAGAACTTCATGAATATTAATCAGGGGCCTCAAGCTATTTCAGAAATTAGAATAGGTAAGGAAAGTGAGCTTTAGAAAATCAAGCAGGCAACTGCTACCTGCTAGCAAAAACTCAAGGGTTTCGTCTGGACACTGGGGCTCCCCATGACATCTAGCTATTGGCTGCATGACCCTAGCAAGGGTATCAGTCAGTATAAGTTAGGCTATGCTGTGGTAACAAAATACTCCCAGACCTCACTGGTTTATAACTACAACAGGTTATTTCTCACTCACGCCACGTGTCTGTCACAGGGTAGCAGTGGCTTTGCACCCCATCATCCTCACCCTCAGACCTAGGCTGTTGGAGAAGTCTCTGTCCCAGACCTGCCTAGTTGTGTGGCAGAGGGAAGAGAACACACAGAAAATAACATGCCGACTCTTCAAGCTTCTTCCCAGAAGAAGCCCACGTTATTCCACTCAGTCTGTGGGCCAGAGCAAGTCCAATGGCCCTGTCAATGAGACACATCATCCTCTCACAAGGATAGGCAGCAACTACTGGGAGTGTTATACAACCTATCATAAGAGAACTCCATTTTCCCCACTTGTGAAAAAGTTTGGCTTATGTTACTTCTTATATAAAGCCTGTGATGTAATAATTCCAAAAGCTACTTGGCAGTGAAGTAGAGCAGTATTATTATAATTATAGTTCATACCTGCCGGCTATAAGCACCATAAATTCAGTGTTCCCTTGTAAAAGCAACAGGCAGTGTTAGAAAAGCTTTCTTGTTCAAGTCATGGTCAATCTAGATTTTCTGAAAGATGCCTACCAGCAGTGACCAATATGCCTTCCACCTCAAAATTCTATGATACTATAACACAAAAGAGGTCAGCAAAATCTGAGAACTCTGTGAACATATTCTAGCCACGTTTTTCTTTAAAATGTATCTACTTCATAATTATCTTAAAATTTCAAAATACTAACATTGTAACTCTTTTAATTCTCTAGCCAGAAGTCTTTGCCCCTGAAATCACCCTATCTAGAAGGAAGTCTTAAAACCATAGCCAATATTGGCTTGTGCAAGGAAAATCCATGGGTTTCTGGTTCTCACTTAAATTGTATTGTGAGAATCATATTTATCTGGTTATGCTACTATAAAATGGGACACTGAGCATTAAGGTCATAATCCTTTACAAAAAATTGCTGGGGAAAGAAAGGTGATTAAAAGTTACCGATGAAAGATTTATGTATTACAGGTTCAGAATGCCTTATCTGAACTCCTGGGAGCCAGATAAATTTCAGAACTCATAACCTGCAGGTTTCTGAAAGGTAATACAATGCACATACCATTATTATTTAACACCTCCATTGAGGTATGAGGCTGGGCCCATAAGCGAATATATTAAATACCCCAGCATCAAAAATGTGTCAATGTGCACATAAGCATAAAAAATAAGACAATACACAACTTTATTCGTGTTTAGATTTGATTTTTTTTTCCGAATGAATTTGCTGCAAGCTTATAATGAAATTCTGGGTTTTAAAAGCTTTGAGGATTTTGAAACTATGGATAAGGGACTGTGGACTTTTGTTTTATTTAGTACTTAAAATATTCCTATGAAGTAGTTCTCAGCATGTATTAAGTGAAAAGAAGCAAGGTGGAGAGAAGTATGGATCATATCTTAGAAGAGGAGGAGAAATAAATATTTGTTTATATTTTAAAAATTTGCTTATACTGAAAAAATTGAAAGATAAACCAAAAACTGAAACAATGGGAGCACAGGGAATAGGGTGGAGAAGGCTGAGATAAAAGCTGGCTTTTTCTGAATACACCTTGACTGCACCCCACACTTTAATTTTAAAAAACACGCAACCCTTAAAAATCTAAAGCAAAGTACAGAAAGTGAATGGGCTCATTGGGAGAATCAAGCCAGCAGTGTGCCCATACAGAAAGGGATGACTTCAATGAGTCCGAAACACCAAATCCAAATGGACATCCTTACAAAATACAACCTAAACACAAGAAGAACTATTACAAAATTAAAACGTTTTTGGTTATCACATCATTGGTGGTAATGCCGCAATCATTATTCCCCTAGTGTTTTCTGTATTTTTTTAGATAAAGCAAATGAGTAAATATATTGGTTTGAGATGGGTGCCAGAATTTTTTGCAACAAAAAAGGTGATGCAGAGGTATTATTGGAAAAGTTTTTAAAAGCCTGAGAACCTGAATTTGTGTTGGAAGTATCAGTATGAAGTTAACCAAATTGAAAGGAGAATATTCCTAAGTAAAAAAGAAAAAAGGAGAGGGGAAACCTATGGTCAAAAGAGAAGTAATAAACATGTAAGCCAATTATCTATACACGGATTTTCTTGCTTTGTCCATTGAGAAAGCCTTTGAAACAAGAACCAACTTCAAAGCAATGAGCACTGGAAAACAATGTAATGATAGCCTCTAAATGCACCTTCCATCAATAACAGCATGGATCATTGGTGATACAGCTGATTCCAAGTGTGGGATGGGAAGTGTTTAACATCAGCCTGGAACTCTTCTCATTCCAAAAGACAGGCAGTTATCAAAGACCACTGGTGTTATGTCAAAGGGAGTCAAGAGGCAGCTTGCAGAAGCTCCCAGTGGCCAAAAATAGAACAATTTCAATATCAATAAGAAAAATAATTACAATGGATTGAAACAAATGGCATATGTTTAAACCTATGAAACGAACCCACTGGTCACTTTCAGAGAATGCTAACACCAACACAATAGTTTTGAAAACAGGTAAATAAAAGGAAAGAATTAAGTATTTAGCCTACCTTTCCTGTACAGACTGTCTCTCTGAGATACCAAATAGTAGATGAGGAGACATTTCTCTTTACAGAAAAAATTATCAAGCTAATAAATGAAGAAGGAATGGTAGAATTAGAATACCATTTTCTTGCAATCCCTAATTAAATAATAAATGTAGCTATTGCTCATCAAATGCTACTACCATAAGAAAAAAGAAGATAATTGAATATTGCCTTCTTTGTGGTGGAAGTCACAAAAAATAGAACTTGAATCCACACAAGCCTCTATATTTTATTACCAATTTATAGCAAATATAGGACCAGAGAAAGATACAAAATGACATCATAGGGATGCAATAGGCCACAACTTGTGTATTAAGCATGTATTTTTCTATTCTGATGGTTTGATACCCGGGGCCTTACTGACCAAGAGGGATTGCCTGTTCCAGGGCCACACAGTTCCTAGAGATAATAAACCACCTGTTCTCAAGCATGCATCATGCATTTCGTATGCAAAGCAACAATCCAAAGCCATACCTACCTCCTCCCACAACACGCCTACAACCCCTGTTGAGCTTTTACACTCCAGACCAATACTCTCCTGCCCTAATAACCCCAAGCCCAGATACCAGACCACCGGAGACAGTCCTTATACTGCAGGACCCGGTGAAATTATTCCAATTATCTGACTCTAAATTTGTTTACCCTATCTTGCCTTTCCCATGGAAACCACAGTAAAAACTCTTGCCCCGTTTTTTTCACACTGTCTGCCTTCTGACTGACCCTGACACTTCCCTATAAGCCCCTCAGTGGCATTGTGTGGCCACTTCCTCTTGGGAACTGTGAGTAACAGACTATCTTCAAAACCCATCCTCTCCTGATCTGTTGCCTAACCATCCCTGAATAATAATATCACCTACATTTTTAAATCCCCTGGGCTCTTACTGACCAAGGAAGACTGCCTGTCTCAGGACTACCCAATTCCTAGAGATCATAAGCAACTCTTGACTGACTGTGGGAAACTCTACAAGACAAACAACAAATTGCAAGGGAATTTACCTCAATAAAAAGGAAGAAATAGCAAGGTGATAGAATGAGAGGGAGGGAGAATCTGTGATTAAAAGAGCCATGCAAAGCCGGGCATGGTGGTTCACCCAACCATATAATCCCAACACTTTGGGAGGCAGAGGTGGGAGGATCGCTTGAGTCCAGTTCAAGGCCAGCCTGGGCAACATAGTGAGACTTCGTCCCTATAAATAATTTTTAAATAATTAGCCAGGCATGGTTGCACACATCTGTGGTCCCAGCTACTTGGGAGGCTGATGTGAGAGGATTACTTGAGCCCAGAAGGTCAAGCTTACAGTGACCCATGATTGTACCACCTGCACTCCAGCCTGGGTGTCAGAGCAAGACCCTGTCTCAGTCATAGTAAGAAACATATTGGCCAGTTGCAATGTAGAGACTTTATTTTACTGCTGATTTGAACCAACTATTAAAACTATTATGACACTGTTGGGGAAATTTGAACACTGACTTGATAGCTTATATTTGATATTATGGAATTACTAATCATTTTTTTAGGTGTGACAAAGGCACTGTGGTTACAGTTTTTAAAAACAGACCTTATCTTTTAGAGGTTCCAACTAAAATAATTATTAATTAAATGACACGATACCTGTAATTTACTTTGCAATAATCTGGGGTTGGGAGATGAGTTAAAGTGGAGAAAAGATAAGATGGGCTGAAAGTAATAGGTGTTAACCCAGGGTTATGAATACACAGGTGCTTACGATATATACTATTATATATACTATTCTGATGAATTTTTTAGATTTCTGAAAATTTTCATAACAAAAAATAAAAACAAAATCAGAAACTTCTTTGAAGATTGTGTTACCTGCCCCAATTTTTTAGAAAAGATAAGTGAACTCAGAATGACTACCGAATCTGCCCAACTGCTAGGAAGTGGTGGAGCCAGAATTCAAATCCAGGTATGTCTGACCACCCAAACTCCTTGCATCATGAAGTCAAAAGGGAGGCCACCTCTGGAGGCTGTTCCTCTGGGCTTGTTCACAAGAGATAATTGCATCTTCTTTATTCCCAGAAGGCACTAGACAGGAGCAAGGTGAACCTTTGGGCTTGTTGCAACCACAACCTAAGCAACAGAGACTTCCCTGATGGGTTTCAAACTCCCCGTAAACACCCAATGCTGCCCTGCAGAAAGCACACCGGGAAGTATACATACAAATGAACCCTGATACCTTGAGCATGCACAGACGTGCTCCAAGATATTTTCGAAACTTTCTCTTTTCTAGTAGCTTTGAGCGAAACCTAACTTTTAACTTTCAGCTTATGAACCACATAAATCGCACCATTTTTGCCTGCATTTTGGATTCCAAATACCACATCTTGGCCTGACCGCACACCCGCCTCTCCTTATTCATCAGACTTTCCCCTAAATGGCTTTTCACTGCTTGCAAAAACTCAAATCTAATATTAATAATAGCCGAAATAAAAAACCCACAATGCCTTCCACTTATTTAGGGCTAGGAATTGCATGAAGCACTTTAGAAATACTATCCCCTTTAATCCTCAGAATAACCCTTCAAAGGATGAAGATTTGCCGGTATTGAGACTGTTCAAAGAGAGAGCTCTGGGAAAGGGATTAAGGTGGTCCCAAGATTTGAATTAACCTTAGCCTTGACAAAAGATTTAGTAGCCTGGACACTAAGAGTCTTCGAACAATTTACAAACCAATTCTTTAAGTATCACTTTGTCCTGTCATCTGTGACTTTTGAGAGCATCGTCAAAGAGAAAGACTAGGAAATATAAACAATCTGTTCTTTCCAATCTGCTCCCCAACAATGATCAAGGGGCAGCCAATAATTATTTTCTTTTTCTGAATCCTCCATTTTTCACAGAGGATTGCATAGAATTTGTTTAGTATCTCACAGTATCTAAAATGACTTAGGAAAACCAATATACTCAGAGCGTGCAAGCCCTTCCTGAATTTGTCTTTTGGATTTCTTCTGCATGGAACAGAATTGTGAAGACATGAAGATGCAATTCTTTATATCTCCTAATTTATCTTCTTTTCTCCTAATTTTTCTTCCCCTCAGCTCTCATATCAGGCCCGCTTATGGTGTTTGCCACTAATTTTAACTCCAACATCAAATTTCCACCTGAACATATGGACTATAAACATCTCAGCAGCCACAGGGCAGAGTGAGCACTGCTCTCTGCTACAAGAATTTCACCTTCTGCAGACTAAATTTAGAAAGTGATCAAAATCTTGAAAGGGTTAGGGAGTGCTCAGATTCAATTTCCTCATTATAGTCTTTAAACTGCTTCCTAGTTCTGGTGCATTAAATCCTGGGTCTGGAGAAAAATATTTGCCTCCATTGTGAGTTTCAGAAAGAAATACAGATTTGGGCTACATATTGCTGTTTTGGGGCCAGTGCTTTATTTCTTCCTCTTAGTCAATAAGACAGGAACTATGATCTTAAATGGTTTTAACCCTTCCACTTAATCATTTTTCATTCCCGATTGGACCTCAGTGATGGCAGCACTAGGTGTCACATTCCTAAGACCCTAATCCCCTCTCACTTACATTCCCACTTCAAAAATTAAAGGCATAAGCAAATCTTTGAAAAATAACATTTTTTGTTTGTTTGATGTATAAGTGCTGTTCTAAATAATTCATTAAATAGATATATTAGAGGTTTATTTTCCTTACCTGTAAATGCCACCATTTCTCCTTTAAAACTCATTGTCTCCATGTTTTCTGATTAATTCATCCCCTCTTGACCCCTTCTTTGGTCTCCACACTTTAAGTGCAAATGTGTCATTTAGCCTCAATCAGTTACTTTTGAGTTGCTTTTGCATACATTTATTGCTTCTGTTCAAAGTCATCTTGTTAACTAGATTAGAAACAGTCCAAGGGCAGGAATCGTTTTGCCCATTATTTTATCTTCTAGTGTAGGGCTTGGCTCTCAGGAGGCACTCAACAAATGCATAGTGACTAGTTAACTCACGGCAATTAATTATTGTGGCCAATATCAAAAGTATTCAGATGGTCATTTAATAATGATCACCTACAGTAATGATAATACTTATAATAGCATTTCTTTAAGTTCTGGTCGCTGCTAACTTCTTCCAGGCAACACTTATGAATTTTGCATAAGGTTGCTGTCGTCTTGACATTACTGCTTTCTGAGATTTATCATCTTGCAAATCGTTTGTCACTGAAACAATGTGGAAGATAAAAGTAATTTCAATAATATGTTGAAAATGTATACTGTAGAAATGTTAATACGAACATCCTGTAAAATGAGGAGAGACATGTTTCATAATCATCCAAAGCTGGTAACAAGATCTGATATAGAAAGAAGTACCATCAGGCCCTGTACAAGGAAATATTTAAGTTATAATGAGCCAATTTTGGGAAGTCCCAGTGGAAGATTAACTGGGGCACAAGCAGGACAGAGTCCCGCCTGGCCTCTCTTTCTCAGATTCTCTGGGGAGACTGGGTTATGACTAGTCTCCAGCAAAGAATAACTCTGCTTCAACCAGGCCCCTTGCTACATATTAATCTCTTCGAACAAGTGAGACACATTCAATTCCTGGGCCTAGAAATTTAGGATGGTGGAGAGGAA
Organism: Homo sapiens; assembly: GCF_000001405.40. Taxonomy (NCBI): domain Eukaryota; kingdom Metazoa; phylum Chordata; class Mammalia; order Primates; family Hominidae; genus Homo; species Homo sapiens. The sequence continues at coordinate 61,939,387 of NC_000018.10, forward strand.
CATGACCCTGCTCAGGTGCTCACTACAGCAGAAGCACAGTCTTATCTTCTTGTGTAGGGCTTGGCTCTCAGGAGGCACTCAATAAATGCCAAATGAATGAATCATTCATTCAACACAGGTACACATCACACCCTTCAGTATCACACAGGCTAGTGGCAGAGATGGCCACAAACACATCACAGTGCCACAGAACACACACCAAAATGGAGGCCTTGGATAATCACCTCCATTGACAGCACCTCCAGCCATGGCTCCTGGCTAAACCCCCTAAATCGAGCTGGAGGCTTTAAAAATGCTTTAGTATGAAGCATTTATTTCTCACACAAATTGGAGATTTATTTCCCACTACCTCCCCCTTCCACCAAAAAAAAATTGGAGATAAAATCCTGTAATAAAGCATTGCCCAAAGTGTATTTCATGGACCACTAATTCTGCAGGATGATAATGGCTGTTACCTGAAGGACAAAAAAAAAAAAAAAGAAAGGGAGATAATTCCTAGTCACTGAAATCTGGAAACCGCTCATTTAATTAGTGTAGAATTTCTTAGATCCCTTAAAATGTTAATGTGCATTATGAATCACGAGGAGGAGAACAATACGCCGTATCTCCTAGAGTTAGCTAAATGCAAATTTCTTTTTTCCCTGAACATTTATGTCACTGTGCATACTTGAGAAATATTGTTCTAGAGCTTCCTCAAGACTCATTCACCTCCATATCCTCTTCTACGAGGAAAACAGCAGGCTTCAAACAAGCATGGAATAGAGTGAATAATAAATATGTTTGTTGATCTGAATGATCAAACACTAAAGTCCCACAGAAGAGTGTAAATTCATTTCAAAGACCAAAACCTGATGGTTGATGGACTTTTTAAAATGATTTCTTCCCAGTTCAAATACTTGTAACCAAACTATTTTTCCCAGCTCCTGGGATCAGACTCTGTCTCCTGCCCTTAGGGTGCCCTACTTTAGGTTTACAAATTGGAACACAAGCTTGGTTTCCTGTTTCTCCAGCAGGATTTGGAAAATATGTTGATGCAGCTTTAAAAGCATACAAGAAGGCTCAGAAGCTTGGTAGACTCTCTTTGGGTAGATTCAAGCAGCTTCTGGAAAACTGGGGGCTGTAGATGTTGGTTCTCAACTCTGGTTGCGTATAGAATCACCTGGCGAGCTTTAAAAAAGCAAACCAATATCCAGGCCTCACCCCAGGAGAACTAAATCAGATCTCTAAGGGTGAGACATGAGGACTGTTATTTTTTTAAAAGCTCCCTAGATGTTTCTAATGTATACCCAGGATTGGGAAGCCCTGCCCCACAAAGTCCAGCTGTAGGTCACAACAGCCAGCTGCCACCATGCCATCATTTTCAGGACTTCTTCATTTTTTTTAAATCCAGTTTTGGCACCTTTCTCTTGCAAGGACCTTGTGTCAGTCCATTTTGCCTTGCTATAAAGGGAATACATGAGACTGGGTAATTTATAAAGAAAAGAGGTTTATTTGGCTCATGGTTTTGCAGGCTGTACGAGCATGGTGCCAGCATCTGCTAGGCTTCTGGTGAGGCCTCAGGAAGCTGTTACTCATGGTGGGAAGGCAAAGGGGGAGCAGGAGTGTCATGTGGTGAGAGAGAGAGAGGAAGGGGTGCCACATTCTTTTACATAACCAGCTCTCGTGTGAACTAGTGGAGTGAGAATCCACTCATTACGGGGAGGACAGCAACAAGCCATTCATGAAGGTTCCACCCCATGACCCAAACACCGCCCACTGGGCCAACCTCCAACATTGGAGGTCATGTTTCAACATGAAATTTGGAGGAGACAAGCATCCAAACCATACCAGACTTGTTCATTCTTCGGAGAACTTGCAAGGTGTGATTAGAGATCCCAAAGACTCCAGAAAACACTTCACATTGTCATATCCCCCAAAACTAACTGTCCCCTGCTGCCATCTTAAATACATGACATAAAATAGGAAAAAAGAAGACCAGCTGCACCTTGAGATAAACCCAAAATAACACAGTCCTTCTGCCTAGTTATGGCCCTCAAGAAAAACTTGAGCAGGTCCTATAAACCTTAGTTTTGTTAAAAAAAATTTTTGTTTGTTTGTTTGTTTTACCCTCACCCTTAACTGCTTGAGCCGACTAAACTATTTTACCAAAGAGCCACATTTACCACATGTGCCGTTAAACCAGGACAAGTCTTCTGGTTTCTAAAATGAATCTCACACAAGAATAAAGTTTTACCATCACTGCCTTTTTTTTTTTTCTTTCCTAACTGTAGTTTTCTGGAGTTGTTTCTATTTTCATTTCTAGATCAAGTCTGGTTCCATTTCTGGTTTGAGGAAGGGCAGTAATTAATTCCCTATTAATGGCTGAAAGACATTAACAGGGGCAATGGGGCAAGTAACAGAAGGGGTTTACCCATCTTTTTTGTTTGTTTCTTTGGGTGGGGAGTCTGACATCTTTTGTTGTTGAAATGTTAGTACAAACATTCTACAAATTGAAGAGACATGTTTTAGAAATAGTCTAAGCTGGCAACAAGATTTGATATGGAAAGAACCATCAGGCCATGTACAAGTATGTACCTAACTTACAGTAAACTAATCTTCATGAGCTTCAGTTGAAATTAACTGGGGCAAAAGCCTTGGCTATCTTCTCCCTCTCAGATTCTCTGGAAACTGTGCTGATGGCTACTTACCAGCAAAGCAAACTTTTCTTCTATGAGCTTCCATCACTCAAGAAACTTTCCTGCGCCTACTGAAAAGGCAAACAGCCTTTTGAGATCTGGAAAGGCTGGATCCATGAGTTTTGTATTCTGTGTTTATTTTTTACCTCCAGCTGAAGTTAGAAAAGTCATGAAGCTACTAGTTCTTTTCCTGTGTGAAAAAAAGAATTGCTTTCTCTTCTGGCAAAATGAAAGTGATTAACCTCCCTTTATATAGTTTGTTTACTACATTTTGTATTTGTGGCTACCCCTCCCTTCTCTTCTCCCACCTCTCCTTTTCTTTTTCTCTCTCCTCATCTCTCAAAAAACTTTCAGTGATTAGTGGGTTATAAAGCTCTTTTATTTTGTGTGTGGTCTATGGCTAACTGGTTCAGTCAGATCTAACATCAAAGAGGAGAAAATGAGCTACTTACATGATAAAGTTGCTTATGTTTAGCAGAAGACTTGTCTCGATTGGCATAGAGAACCAAAGAAACAATTACCAATTTCAAATAATAATTTTAAAGGTTTAAAATAAGTGTAAAATTAATTGCAGAAAGAATGTGGAAAATCAAATTTAATGCTTTCAATATGAAAGTTCTTTAAGAAAAAACTGCAAAAGCTTGCTAAATCTATACTTCAGAGGAACAAAAAAGTTTAACTCTTAGATAAATTAGTGGCTTTGGTTATAGGTTACAAGATAAAAAACAAAGGAATGCTAAGGGACGGAAACACAATTTAAAGAGTTTTTAATATTTGGTTTGTAAATCTAGAGGTGTATAAAGTATAAATCTATCTAAAAGTTTAAAATATAGTCTTGTGTCAGGTAAAAATTTTCATTCAAAATGATTATATTCTACTTGTTTTTTCATCACAATACAAAAAATAATACTCTAGCTTATACTAAACTTGGATTTATTTTCTCAAGGAAAGCCTAATTAATCTGAATGCTTTAACGTTTTATGAGTCAAGAAAGTTATAGTTATTACAAAAATGTAAAATTATTTGTCCAACTAAATAATTTATATTAACTTATGTTCAAAAGGGTTTATTCTTATTAAAATTTATAATTCTAAATATCATATATATATTTGTATATATACATAGAAACATAGAAAATCCCTGCTTTTTAATTGAAATTCACATAAGAATAATCATTTTAAAGTATATAATTCAATAGCATTTAGTACATTCACAATGTTGTACAACTTCCACCTCTATATCTAGTTTCAAAACTAGATGTGGTTTTCATCACCCCCAGAAAACCTCGTATACATTAAACAGCCACTCCCTAATCCTCCCTACCCCCAGCCACTGGCAACCACCAGTCTTCTGTCTCTATGGACTTTTCCGTTCTGGGTATTTCTGATAAATGGAATCATACAATATGTGGCCTTTTGTGTCTGGCTTCCTTTACTTAACATAATGTTTTTGAGGTTCATCCATGCTGTAGTGTATTTCAGTATTTCATTCTTTTTTATGACTGAATAATATTGCATTGTATGTATATACCACATTTTGTTTTTGTTTCCTTTTTCTTTTTCTTTTTTAATTTTTCTTAATTTTATGAAGCAGGTTCTCACTGTGTTGCCCAGGCTGGTCTCAAATTCCTGACCTCATGCAATCCTCCTCCTCAGCCTCCTGAATAGCTGGAATTATTGGCTTATGCCACCACATCTGGCTAGACCACATTTTGTTTATTCATTCATCCTTTGATAAACATTCGGGTGGTTTCTACCTTTTGGCTATTGTGAATAGTGCTGCTATGAACATTCATGTACAAGTATTTGTTTGAGTACTTCTGTTCAATTCTTTTGAGTATATACCCAGGAGTAGAATTGCTGGATCATATAGTAATTTTATGTTTAACTTTTTCAGAAACCACAAAATTGTTTTCCACAATGGCTGCACCATTTTACATTCTCACCAGCACTGTGCAAGGATTCCAATTTCTCTGCATCCTGGCCAATATTTATTATTTTATGTTTTTTTTCTTTTACTTAGCTATTGTAGTGACTGTAAGGTCATATCTCATTGTGGTTTTGATTTGCACTTTGCTAATAACCAATGTTGTTGAGCATCTTTTCATGTGTATTTTGGCCATTTGCATATATTTGGAGAAGTCTATTTCAAGTTCTTTGCCCATTTTAAAATTGGGTTTTTTGTCTTTTTGCTGTTGAGTTGTAAAAGTTCTTTATTCTGGACACTAGGCCCATAACAGATATACGATTGCAAATATTTTCTCCCATTCTACAGGTTATCTTTTCACTTTCTTGATGATGTCTTTTGACATTCAAAAGTTTTCAATTTTGGTGAAGTGCAATGTGTTTTTTTCTTTTGTTGCTGTGCTTTTGGTGTCATATCTAAGAATCCATTACTAAATTCAGAATCCTAAATGTTTATTCCTAAGTTTTCTTTTAAGAGTTTTACAGTTTAGCTTTTGTATTTAGGTTGTTGATCAATTTTGAGTTCATTTTTGCATATGGTGTGAGGTAAGAGTCCAACTTAATTCTTTTACATGTGGATACCAGTTGTCCCATGTCCATTTGTTTTATTGTTTTGGTTTTGGTTTTGGTTTGGTTTGGTTTCTTTTTTGAGGCAGGGTCTCACTCTATCATGCAGGTTGGAGTGCAGTGGTCTCACTCATGATCTCAGCTCACAGCAGCCTCCACCTCCCAAGTTCAAGCGATTCTCCCACTTCAGCTCTCCAGTAGCTGGGACTACAAGCACGTGCTGCCACACCTGGCTAATTTTTCTGTAGAGACAAGGTTTCACTATGTTGCCCAGGCTGGTCTCAAACTCCCGAACTCAAGCCATCCACCTGACTCAGCTTCCCAAAGGACTGGGATTACAGGCATTAGCCACTACAGCCAGCCTCTACCTCCATATTTTTTAAAGAAATAATTTCTCTCACTAAATGGCTGTCTGACAGACCTTTGTTTCTCCTCAATACATTGGTTCAAATTGTATTTTCAGAATCATTAACTTTAAAACTTCAAACTAATAGAAAATCAAACTTAGTACCTATCTTGTATTCCTAAAAACACTAGTTTTACTGTACTCTTGTCATCAGTTAGCAGGTTAAAATGCATGTATAAACTTGTCCCTTTAAGATTTGTTAAAGATGTATTGCACTGTGTGCGTGTTTGTTTTGTTTTAAATAAAATTGTCTGCTTGTGCCAAAACAAGACAATGATAGAAGACAATCTGAGGGGGTATACCACAAGTGCAGAAAGGAACAAAATGTAAACTTACTAGCCTGAATATAGTGAGTTTGAAAGAGGCCAAGAAATAAGTCAACATTTTTTCAAAATTGGCCCAGTGATAATTCGTTTGTCCATAGGGTGCAAAGGGCTTATGTATCATTTACTGCAGATCACGATATCTATGGTAATCAGAAAGCATAAAATTAGAATTTGGGTTTCCTTCTGTTAAAATGAAAAATTGAAAGAATGAAAAAGATAAGTGTTAAATAGTTTAACATGTCCAGGTATCAGTGGTTCCCTTTATTACTAAAATACTCTGTAACTCATTGTTTTTTGTTATACTTTTGAATCCATTTTAATAGATCTTCAGTTTTGAAATGCTACCATTCTTAATAATCATTTTTACCTATTGCTGTGTTTATTTAAAATATTACCTAAAACTATTTCTTGTCTTCATGCCTCTGTGACTAATGCTCATGTTACCTCTGACAACTCTTTTTGATATTAACTTTCCCAAATTCAGGACCAAAGTTGAATACCAATCCTATCAAGATATCTGTTATACCTAAAGTATCTTCAGAGTTTTTTAGTTGTCCATTGGCCGTGACAAAGATTTTATCTCTTGCCTTGTAAGAAAACAGATAATATGGAGAGTAAAAAAACAGGTAATTGAAATAATCTGGCATTCTCTAGTTTTAAAATATTCAACACTCTTATGTCCACAATATGAAAAACCGGCAATTAAAAATAGAAGCTAAACGTCTCTGTATTAATTACATATAAGTTAAATGTAATTAATATAAATATTTCAGTACTTATGAAATTTTGTATCAAAAACACATGTTAATGTTCAAAGGTTGGCATGGTAACTGCAAATAAATAGATTAATTTCAAAAAGAGATATCTTGGTTTTCTACATAAACACTCTTGTCAATTGATGACAATCAGAATACATAGGGATAAATTAGAGACCCTGAAGATTTCACAATGTCCTCACTGTTTATGTGTTCTTAACCTCAGAACAAGCATCAGCAAACTCCTAACAAATTGATTGCTTATTGCATCTCAAGAGAGAATTTTTCTTTACATTCTGATATTAGGATTATTTTAATAAATTGAGCAAAGCCTTTGAATCTTATCATTCAGAAGTATTTTCTGCTTTTCCCCCCCACTTACTGAAATACAAAAACAAATCAGAAATTGATGCCGAAAGAAATATCAAAGGAGCCTAAGTAAAGGACTGAACCAGATCCTCAGACAGTTGAACCTACAGGGAATAGACTCATAGGTACAGGCTTCTCATTGTGAGCCAACTTCTTCACCCCAGACTGCAAGACTGTACCAAGAGACTGAATCAGGATCCTGGAACTTTTCCCCTCCCGAAGCAAATGACTTCATGGAAACAGACTGTTTAGTCTAAGATCAACAAAATACAAATGAATTCCCTAGGACGAGGTGAATGAAATGCAGTGATTTAATTGCAGTCAGGATTCTATTTTAAATGGGCATGGCAAGAAACCCCTTTTCTTCTTAATCTAGCACTGACCCTCAATTTGACAGATTATGCTTGTTCAAATTGGTGTGAAATCTTCTTTAAATGGTATCTTGTTCCAACTGAGCCCTTGGAATTCAGGGAAAAAAAGTCTTAATAACATAGACTATAAATTAATATAGGAATAATGATTTTATAAAAAATAATGAGATGGAACACTAATAACGATTAAATATTATGCAAAGTGCCTTCACTAAATTCCTCTACTCTCTGTAACTGTAAATTATTTGCATAAGTTCAACAAGAATATGTTCCTTTTCCAGCCAGGGTATAATTGGATAAATCAAATCTATAACCACGATCATGCCAGAAACCTCATCTAATTAGGTAAGACAAGCCCAGGGACTATGCCTCCACATGTGGGGAGTAAGGCCCTCGAGGTCCTCCCATGAAATTGATCTACAGTCTGCTCTGTGACTTATGGGACCCCTGCCTCAAAGGCAGGCAGGGAATATTGACAACAAAAAGATATCAGGGAAAGATGAGACTCTAATACTTTTAAAAGTTAGAGGCACTTTGGGCAAAGGCTGGGCAAAGGCTGGTAGATGTGAATTGGATGGTTCTTGGTTCCTGATCTCAGTGGACCAACTGAGAAGGAAAACAAAATACTTCTGAAATATAAAGGTAAATTATACCCTTAGGGGTTTAACAAGGCCTCCAGCACTAACTTTTAAGTGTTAATATCATGTTGCTCTAGCTTTATTAAAACTAAAAAAAAAGGGGGGGTCCTTGTGTAATGTGTAACACTCATTGCTCCTATGAAAATAAAAATCATCAAATAAAGCAAAATATCAAATTAATGATACTGAGTCGGAAAATCACTAGGCATCTTATGTGACCAAACTGCACCTTAGGGACGGGGAACTTGAACAAAAGAGGGATCTCCCTAGGCAAAACTGATCCTTTGCTCTGCTTCACTGTGATTAAGAATATGACATAGTACAGTTAGGAAAAAAGGGGAAAGAGTTTGCACTCTGAGATAAACCAAAAATAATAGGGTCGCTCTGTTGATGTCTGTTCCCCCAGATAATAAAAACTTGAACAATTCCAACAACCCTGCCTGACTCTCTAAACCAAAAACAAACAAACAAACAAAAAATGGCTTTATCCCTGACTTTCACAATGCCAACACGTGTGAGTATGATGATCGTGTGAAAAAGTTATTGTATTCCACCAAGAACGAAGTAATATAAATTTGACCAACTTGTAAGGCTATGGTTTTCTTCCTGTATTTGGTTCTTTCTAAGGAGGATCAGTCCTTTTGAAATCTGACTCCCTTCACGTCTTTGTAAATTAACTTTTCTTCATTTCTTCTTTCTAAATGCTTTTGTCTGTTGCTTTCTGTGCAGAAAATCACCACCCTTCAGTATTAATCAGACACTCGCATAGGGGAGGGTTACTCACTCTTTTGGGACATTTTTCACACAAGCCTATCTGGCAATTTCCTGCCATGAAAAGGGACCACCCTGGCTGCCCTCTTTCTCCCTCCCCAGGGGCTTCAAAGCCACAGGCCTGAGTGTTCACTGTCAAGGGAGCGCATAGACACTGTCACCATGGCTGAGGACCAATTAGCTTTTCAGGGCTGCTGTTCTGCAGAGACAGAACTATAAAAAGGAGATCTGTTTCTGTTACAGTTACCAAAGGTAAAGGGACCCTTGGTGCCACTTGCTTAGTTAGGGACGCGGCATTGCTCATTGTGCAGCATGTGTGAATTTCACTCTGTACATCCTTGGTCTCATTCCATTTCCATAAGCTCATGTCCCGGTTATATTCAGGAAGCTCAGCCTCTGATCCCCTGGAATGTGCTAAAGCAGAAAAGGAAAAAGCTGCACTGCTATTCTTGGTCAGCTTCATAATGAGGAGCTTCAGATTTTCTATAAAATGAAAGAGATTCAATTGGGTGAGGTCACCAGGTCACAATCTCCCTGAGAACACTGCTATTCAGAGCAAACCTCCTTCCCAGAGGGGTCCTTAAAGTTTAATAACATCAGTCAACTGCAGCAAGACCCTGTGAGAACACAATCTAAAAATGAGCTTCTGTGTGCCATCTATTATGGGGAGATCCGGTTTACCTTGTGTGCAATTTTAGATCATCAAAGGTGACATTGAGTGCTGGCTCCTAAATTTCAATCACAGCCTTAAACACCCTGTGATTTAGCCAGTAGCAGTTCTGTGGCTCTTTGAAAACAAAAGGCCACCTTCACAAGCCTGGGGGAAGGGTTTACCCCGCAGTGGAAGGCAGAGAAGCACACACAGTAAAAACCACGCAACAAAAACATGTCTGCTGAGTTGCTACAGCAGGACACGGGATTGTGATGTCCCTGGTAGCATGCTGTCAGATATTTTTTATGTGGGACTTCTCTTTTGGTTTAGAATTTACATAGTATGACATCTAGCTTCTTAACACTTAACATCAAACTCAGTGAAAGAGAAAGTAGCACCCAAGGAAGGAAAAAGTGTGCCCTTCACATTGCTACCCACCGATGCATCCAAAAACAAGGGCACATCTCCAATAAATCTTGTTGAGTGAAAAGGGCAGACACAATGAGTATACATTGTTACGATTCCATGGAGATGAAGCCTAAGGACAGGTAAAATGAATCTGTGATGATAGAAATCAGGAAGTGGTTGCCTCTGAATGATGGTCTTGATTGGGAAGGGGGATGAAGGAGTCTGGGGTAATAGATATAGTTGTTTACATGGGTATATGCATATGCAAACATTCCTCAAGCTTGACTGTATATAAGTTACATCTTGATTCTAAAAATTAGCCCTAAAGTTGGGACTTCTAAGACCACTCATTAAAGGCAAGTGGCAGATCCCCATTCCCTGCCCTACCCTCACTCCCCCCGTGCCTGAATAGGCCCAATACTGCCCAGGGCTGCTTGTTGTCCCTCATGAGCGGTGGTGGTCCCACTGCTCATCTGGCCCATGGTTCCCCCGTATGGAAATTCTGGGACACAGCCAGGGTGCCCACTTCTCTCTGTGCTCACCCAGCTCATCCAGTCTGTGTTTTTCCCTCCTTTTGACCAAAATACTGCAGTGAGATTGCCATCAAGATGAGACGGATGTGTTCTGGCATCTCCCGACCACCTCTGTCCCCCTCACCATTCCCCTTCGGAAATACACGTCCCCAGCCTGATGCAGTCTGACCTGCAGTCACTCCCTGCTTCTGACTCCGCAGCAACCCCGGGAACGTTTCCCACCCACTTTGCTGTCTGCTTTGTTCCATTCCTTTTTCTTGGTTAATCACAACATCCATGCTCGTTTGTGCCCTGTTTATGAGTCACTATACGTGCTGGAACCTGAATTGAAACTGGAATGCAAAACCCTTGAGCCAAATCATGACGGGAGTCTGACCTCGGCTCTCCTAGCTCATCCCTGGGCAGCCCCAAAGCCTGTCCTTCTCCCTGTCTCTCTCACCCGTGAGGGCAGCTCTCTGATTTGATATGGGCTTTCAGTTATTAGGTTTCACTCTGGGTGTGTCTAACAATACTAGGATGCTATCGGTTTATTAGGCATTGGAATTGGGATGCTTAAGCAAAACAGGGAGAAACGTGGAGACATCTTTGGCCAAGCTCAGATGCAAAACTGTATTGAGAGATAAGCACTATTACGGGTTTCCTCTTCAGTGTGGTGACATTTTTAAATGGGAGCAGAGGAATTTTTTCCATTTGTTTCCTTCTATTAACAACATCCCTTATAACATTCCTGAGATCTCAGGGAAACGGTCACCCATGTTTTAGTTTTGTCTCATACTATATAAATTAGAAGCAAAGTAAATTTCTGCATGTGTACTCCCCTGAGACCAGACAATGTTCCCTGAAACCTGGCATGCACCTTCAGAGCCCTGGCACTGGGTGTGAATTTCAAAACCATATTTTTCTCTCCAAATAATTGTCCTTGTCCATGCTCAGTCAGGTGTTTCCTCACATAAATCCCTAGGCTTCAATTAAAATCCAAACAGAAAGGAACTGCTACTCATTTTTTAACCATTTAAATAGAATAGCTTTCTGCATCCACATTAATTCTTTTTATAGGCTATGAAGGGTCTATATGTACTATGATTTCTTTATTTGTATTAGAGTTTTATATTTGCAAAAATAATTTATGTTGTTTAATTCATCAGCCCTTATGGTACCTTTGAAAGAGCAGAATTATACTCCCATTTCAGAGGCAAAAAAGTACAAATCAAGGTCATGTCTGAGAAAGCCTTTAAGAACTCAAGGATTACGTTTCCAGTTTGTGTCTTCGTTTGTAAGTTTTTCCAAATCCTTTGGTTCCATGACCACTGTCTTCCCATCAGCCACCCAAAACATTGTTGGGAATGTCCTTCACTGTGACTCCGTGGATGCCAAAGGAGCAGTGATCCTACAGAAAGTCCAGTGTTCCTTCATGTGGCCCTTGAGGTTCCTGGAGAGAAAACCCTGGAATGCTTCAGGGTTTCAACTGTTGGAAACTCTTCCTGCTTTTCATTCCTCTAATTGCTTACAGTCCCTAAAACCTCAAACGCTTATTTCTTTTTGTCCCCTAATGGTTCTCATAACAGCAGCAGTGGACCAGAGCTGTCTAGTTGTAAGAATAAAAATTTTCTGGATCCAGGGCTGGAATTGTTAGGGAGGACTGTGGTGACGCATTCTGCATTTCCTTTTTTGGAAACAGAGTCTAGCTCTGTCTCCCAGGCTAGAGTGCAGTGGCGCGATCTTGGCTTACTGAAGCCTCCACCTCCCGGGTTCAAGCGATTCTCCTGCCTCAGCCTCCAGAGTAGCTGGGATTACAGGAGCTCACCACCATGCCCAGCTAGTTGGTTCAGGGTTTTCCATGGTGATTGGCCCCATCTCCGGCACTACCCCAATGTAGTTACACTGCTGTCAGCAACACATTCAGTAGGTCAGAGTTTTAGGGCCTCCTTCAATGTCAAAAGCCAATTCTTTTTGCCACTTACCTATTACCCAGGAAAATGAAAGGATTCATGCTGCTTACTGTTTCTTCTGTATGGTTAAATGTAAGAGACATGGGGCATTTGCTTGGAGACACATGGACATTTATTTCAACTTCAGGATGTCGCTGAGTTCCACTGAAAACATTCTCTTGGGGTGAATTAAAAAAAAAAAAACCCTTCCAGGGTTGTTGATGCTAACATTACAATGGCCTTAAACATGCTACAGTTCCTGGACTAAGGAGGATCTTACCAATGCTACTCAGGCATGACATTGCCTTAGACAGCCAATCACCTTGTTTCCTAATTAGATAAGGGCCTACACATTATTTTGTGAGAGAGAGACCAAAATTCTATCAGCCATAAAGTAGGCTGGAGAAATCCCAAATCCTTTTTCTACCTTGTCACTTCGTTGCAAGACATTACCTACCGCTATTCCAATCACTAATTGGTGCTTTCTGCTATACAACAAATGAGCTAAAACTTCTGAGTTGGTTTCATTTCCTTTAAATTCTGCTCATTACTAAGAAGTACCAAACCTCAAGCTTATTAAAACCAGAGTGTGGGCTGCTTATCACCAGGGGCTATGTCCTTTCACTGTAAGAGAACTCAATTTGCATCTTCTGGGATTTTCCCTCACCTCCTCCGGGGAGCTTAAGCGAGTCTCCGCAAGCCTCACTGGAGGCCTTGTTACAGTCAGCTCACCAGAGACAGGGAGCAGACAGCATTTTTACCCACGGATCCATGAATCATCACCACCACACATTCTCAGCAGCAAAACTGGGCTTTCCACTACCTGAGGCTGTCTCTTAAATACAAACAATTCTCCACTCATAAACAGTGCCTTTTCAAGCAATTGTTAGAAATGCGGAATGTGGCTGAGCTAGGTGGCTCATGCCTGTAATCCCAGCACTTTGGGAGGCTGAGGCGGGTGGATCACCCGAGGTCAGGCATTCGAGATCAGCCTGGCCAACATAACAAAACCCCATCTCTACTAAAAATACAAAAATTAACCGGGCGTGGTAGCAGATGCCTGTAATCCCAGCTACTCGGGAGGCTGAGGCAGAAGAATTGCTTGAACCTGGGAGGCGGAGCTTGCAGTGAGCCAAGATCGTGCCACTGCACTCCAGCCTGGGAGACAGAGTGAGACTCCACCTCAAAAAAAGAAAAGAAAGGAAGGAAGGAAGGAAGGAAGGAAGGAAGGAAGGAAGGAAGGAAGGAAGGAAGGAAGAGGGAAGGAAGGAAGGAAGGAAAGAGAGAGAGAGAAAGAAAGAAAGAAAGAAAGAAAGAAAGAAAGAAAGAAAGAAAGAAAGAAAGAAAGAAAGAAAGAAAGAGAAAGAAATGCAGAATGCATCACCACAGTCCTCCCTAACAATTCTGGCTCTGGATCCAGAAAATTCTTATTCTTACAACTAGACAGCTCTGGTCCACTGCTGCTGTTGTGAGAACCATTAGGGGACAAAAACATAAATAAGCATTTGAGGTTTTGGAGACTGTAAGCAATTAGAGGAATGAAAAGCAGGAAGAGTTTCCGGCAGTTGAAACCAGGAGAGAAGCAGCAGTGAGAAATATTCTGCCTGCACACTGAATGACTGGATGGGCCAACATGATCCTCTCTCACTCTGCCTAGAAATATTCACGCTCTGTTGTTAACCTGTTGTAAAGAAGCTGCTCCCCCTCGCACCTGGGACACCCTGCACATGTCCACATAAGTCCTGCAGGCAGAGGAGACTTGAGTCGCAGCTCCTCTGAGCCTGCAGAGCTACTTACGGCCCTCCCTGGAAGGCCCTCTCCCCTTCCCTGCCTGTCTCTTCTGGGAGGCTGTTAGAAGGTTAATTCCCATCATATCCCAGGTTGTGAAGAAGAATGAGGTTTCCTTCCTTGCCCTCTTGAGAAAAAAAAACTGCAGATGATGAACCTGCTTAGCTGCCGTCTAAGACTGGGCTCTTGGCAACAGGGTTCCTCCCAACTCAAGCTGCTGTCATGGTTCCTCCTGCCTTGGTGTCCTGCTCTGTCACATGTGGGAAAAGGACCGTGGGGAACTGGCACTTTGGTGGGTCTTTCCTTTCTCTCTAGGTAAGCAATACACTGAGAGTGTCTCATTGCACTTTTACCGTCCAATCAGTCAGAACTTGGCCTTAACGGCTCCTGTGCCTGACACATGTTGGTTATTTAAGATCCATTTCGGTAAGAGGTAATTCTTTTGAAAATCCAAATAATTATAGGACCACCATGGTTAACTTTTTGGCAGGAAGAGGAGCAGTTCATAGAGCCCTCTGTGCACACTTTCCCTCAGAAAAACATAACTGCACAAATATTTGTATACATTTTGTAGAAGGGTATATACATACTCCATGGACCTCAGGCAGAAACCTCTGCTGTCAAGGGATTTAGGTCCAACCAATTACTCAAGCCATGAAATAAAATAGTATTATCAGATTGATGTTCTCTTATTTATGAGGCACCATGCTAAGCAGTTGAGTTGCAGCAATGGACAAAGACTGCCTGTCCTCATGGAACATATGACTGGCCTTCCCAGTGCAAAAGGCAGACACTAATCATACAGTCGCAGACATCAACACAAAGTGCAGCTGCAGGAAGTCAACAGGAGGGGTGCATGGTACCATGAGGGCTTACAGGAGGATCTGAACCAGCCAGAGAGACCAGAAAAGCATGCCCTAAGAAAATGTGATTGAGCTGAAAGCGGGAGGGTGGCAAAAGCAGAGAGGGCCACATGTGCCAAGGTCCTGTGGCAGATGGCACCAGGGAATCTGCTGGAAGGGGGCCCATGTGGCTGGGTTTCAGGGAGCAAGGGACAGTGTGGATGAGAAAAGGCAGGAGAGGTGTGTGAGGGGCAGCCACACAGGGCCTTCCGAGCCTCAGTAAAGGATTCTCCATGCTGCGAGAAAAAATGAGAGGACTTTCAGCTAGAGGCAGGTGGGTGGGCGTGCTGACCTGATTTGATTTGTGTTTGAAGCTGGGACTGCAGCACGGAGGATGAGCTAGATGGGGCTGGAGCAGACATGGGAGAGCCCCATGGTGCCCTATGCTGGGAGATCAGGTGTGAGATTAGGGAACTGTTAGAGTTGGAGGGAAGGGACAGATTTAAGAGCTATTTCTAAATATTTAAAAATTTTTAATTACTGTGGATACATAGTAGTTGTACATATTCATGGGGTGCATGTGATATTTTGCTACAAGCATACAAGGTATAATGATCAAATGTGGGTAAGTGGGGTATCTACCACCTCAAGCATTTATCACTTCTTTGTGTTAGTAACATTCCAATTCCACTTTTTCAGTTACTTTAAAATACATAATAAATTATTGTTAACTCCAGTTGCCCTATTGTGCAACTAAACACTAGATTTATTCCTTCTATCTAACTGTATTTTTGTACCTACTAACCATCCTCTCGCTATCCCCTCCTCCAGACTGCCCTTTCCAGCCTCTGGTAACCAGCATTCTGCTCTCTATCTCCATGAGTTCAGCTTTTTTTAGCTCTCACATATGAGTGAGAAGATGCAGTATTTGTCTTTCTGTGCCTCGCTTATTTCACTTAATATAATGTCCTCCAGTTTCATCCATGTTGTTGCAAATGACAGGATTTCATTCTTCTTAAGGCTGAATAGTATTCCATTATGTATATGTACCACACTTTCTTTATCCATTCATCCACTGATGGACACTTAAGCTGATTCCATATCTTGGCTATTGTGAATAGTGCTGCAGCAGACATGGGAGGTGCAGATATTTCTTAAATATATGGATGTCTTTTTGTTTGGATATATACCCAGCAGTGGTGTTGCTAGATCACATACTAGTTCTATTTGAGAGCTGATACGGTTTGGATCTATGTCCCCACCCAAATCTCATGCTCAGTTGTAACCCTCAGTGTTGGAAGTGGGGCCCGGTGGGAGGTGAATGTACCATGGGTGTGGTTTCTGATGGTTTAGCTCCATCTACCTAGTGCTAGTCTCATGATAGTGAGTGAGTTCTCATGAGATATGGTTGCTTAAAAGTAGGTAGTATCTCCCCCATATTTTTCCTCCTGCTCTGGCCATATGAAACGTCTCACTTCCCCTTTTGCCTTCTGCCATGACTGTAAATTTCCTGAGGCCTCCTCAGAGGCCAAGCAGTTGCCAGCATCATGCTTCCTGTACAGCCTGCAGAATCATGAGCCAATTAAACCTCTTTTCTGTATAAATTAACCAGTCTCAGGTATTTCTTTATAGCAATGTGAGAACAGGCTAATACAAGAGCCATTTAGGAGATAAAACTTGTAGGACTTAACAGAGACATGCTGGGCAGGTCTGTGAATTGTCAGTGGAGAGGAAAAGTTAGTAACTGCAGCATGGGGTGCTCTGAGCTGTGGGTCCCACAGCTGTGGAATGAGGAGTGCAGGAGGAAATGCATTCCCCTCCTGTTTTTCAGAGTCACTTGGCATTGGGAGGATTTCATAATGCTGACTTTTGCCTTTGCTGCCTTTCCTACCTCCTTCCATTGCCCCATCAATCTTCATTCAGATGGTACCTGCTTGCATTTCTTATGGGTATAGATTCCAGAATTAGAAAGAAAACAGATGGCCCAACTAACACCACCTTTTCACCTGAAGTTCGGAGGTGAAAATACTGCCCAAGATTTTAGATGTCGACGTTTCAAATAAACAAGAATTTATTCGTCGAAAATGTATCCTGTTGACCACTAATCCCCTGAGATGCCCTTCAAATGTTTGCTAAAATAAACTTGTTACACACTTTATATTGCAGTCTTTTTTGGATATGCATGATGCTCATTAGCATATTAAAGTCTCAGAGGAGTCCTGCAGCAAAGAAACACTAAATTCTGATTTCCTAAAGTGAACTCTTTTACCCTAACTCCCACTACTATTCCAAGCGCACAACTCAGGAAACCCATCCTCAGACCTCACTATGATTTCTCTTTTTTTATCTTTATTAAAAAACCCTGAATACTTTAATAGTAAAAATACATATTTATATTTCTCTCTTTTAAAAGATATTTAATAACAGGCTGGGCACAGTGGCTCACACCTGTAATCCCAGCACTACGGAAAGCCAAGGCGGGCAGATCACTTCGGGTCAGGAGCTCGAGACCAGCCTGGTCAACATGGCAAAACCCTGTCTCTACGAAAAATACAAAAATTAGCTGGGAATGGTGGTGGGCACCTGTAATCCCAGCTATTTGGAAGGCTGAGGCACGAGAATTGCTTGAACCCAGGAAACGGAGGCTGCAGTGAGCCAAGATCACGCCACTGCACTCCAGCCTGGGTGACAGAGCAAGACCCTATCTCAAAAAAAAAAAGATACTTAATAACAATACTTCAGAAGACTGGATTTAACTGCCCTGCCTTCTCCCTTCTGCCAGTTGTCCACCCTGGCACAGACACATGAAGGCAAAGGCCCCTGGAAAGAAACATCCCCCTTGGCTGTGACCTGTGGTTCGAGGGTGAAGACACTCTGCTGCTTGCAAGGTCAACAGAAAGGCTGTTCCCTCCTGTTCACTGAGCCATCCTGCATCCTGAAGTAGGCTCTCTCAGCCATGTGGATGAACAGGCCTGTGTCCACCACACGTGGGACCATTCTGGCAGCTCTGTTCACTTCACCCCATTTATGTACCTGGTCAAACTTCCAGTCCAAGATAAAATTCCCATTATCTGTCACCACTGGACCTGCCTTGTTGACAGCCATTTGGAATTCAACCACACCTGTAAACTTCTGGCTCATAGCTCAGCTCACTGGGACGAAGGCCACTGGGATTCCCTTGTGCCACTGATCCCCAGGGTTCTTTGAATCTTTCCTGATGACGGGAAAGAAGCTGACAGGCCTGGAGGGAAGTGGGAACGCAGACCAGGTCAGAATCTCCTGCTTCACCTTTCAGCTACTCGCTGCACAGCATGGACACTTGTAGAATCACTTCCAGTTCCCAGCACTTGGTTATTCCTCATGTGGTTCTCCACCACCCCGTGTCCCGCCAGTTCTTAGCCTCCTTGGCCTTGGACATCATGGAGGGGGCCAGGCAGACGCTGTTGGAGTTCCCATAGCTGGTGCTTGTGCTGCCAGCATTGCAGCAGGTCCTGGACTGTGTATGCCCTGAGAGCTGCACGTGGGAGCCCTGGAGGTTCCAGCTGTTCCCACCTCCGCTGGAGGATGCACCCCCAGCCCACCCCAGAGCAGCACCAGCAGCCGCCTGTAGAGGTTGCTGAAGGGCCCAGGGCACTGCCTCCTGATGACTCACTCTGGTGTCTGCTCTGTGATTTCTGTCGTCCCATTACATTAGGGCCTGAAGAAGTTTCTCGGGCTGTTCTTTTTGGCCTGCTCCCTCAATTCTTAGTCTCCACGGTTGGGAGCTGCTCTCTAGCTCCCACTGAAGCATCCCACCCCTTCTCATCCCTTCAAAATGCTCCATGCTCCACAATCACCCAATTGCTCCTCAGTTGCTTTCAAATCAAACATCCGTTGCCTCAGTACAACCACTATCAGCTCTCATAGAGGAAACAGTCTGCACCAGCCGATCCACGCTGATGATGAATGACTAATAGCCCACGACATCCTGCCCCTAGAAGACACGTCTTATCCCAAACAATCCCTGCTGTTGTGATTTTTCATAAACCAACACCAGGGGCAGAGGTTTTGGGGGCAAAGGAACCACCATAAAAAGCCGACCAGCCCTGGTCACTTCCTCTAAGTGATTTCTCCTCTTCAAAAATCTACTTTCTCTACTCTTGAAATCACAGGATCTATAAAATATTTCCATCGTCTAGTCATCTGCTACCCCAGGAGCACCAATTGGTGTGAGCAGCAGAGAGAGAGCTGTTCACTTTTCTCGAGGCTGCGGAGGGAAGCAGGCAGGGGACGAGGCCTGTGATGCTGGATGGATTATGCATGAGGTGCTCACTAACTCTCATCTGTTTGTGACAAGCTTACCACTATGAAGTCCTCCAAACCCTATGGGAAGACAAGAATGATGCTCATGTACTAGTTATGTAACCATACAAACACTTATGTCTTCATGCGCCATATTTTTTCATCTAAGATGAGGCAGGTATTGTCTTTATGAGCACTGGCGGCACCCATTGGCTTACGTGAATGGTTCCATCAGACATCCCTGGATCTTTTCCCTTTTCTTAGCTTTTCTTTGTTCATTCCTCCAGCCCGTCATAAATGTGACTCAACTTTTTCCTTTTCTCTTTTTCTTTTTGAAACGAGATATCTCTCTGTTGCTCAGGCTAGAGTGCATTGGCACAATCCTGGCTCAAAGCAGCCTTGACCTCCTGGGCTCCAGCAATCCTCCCACCTCAGCCTCCTGAGTAGCTGGGATCACAGGCATGCACTACCATGCACATACATGATTATAATCAATATTTGTTTTTGTTTTGTTTTTATAGAGATGGGGTCTCCCTATGTTGCCCAGGCTGCTCTCAAACACTCCCACTGAAGTAATCCTCCTGCCTCGGCCTCCCAAAGTGCTGGGATTACAGGCATGAGCCACTGTATCCTGCTGTGACTCAGCTTAATCAGCTCTTCTAGGTTTCTCAGGGATTCCTTGTGTTCCCCTAAGTTAGAGAGAAGCTACGAGTTGTTTCTTGAGATCACAGTGCATCCTCTACTACAAAGAAACTTTTTGGTTGTTCTCTTCCAATTGGCTGGGCAGGGGCCACATCCTTCAGAAGAACTTGGGAGGTTCCTTCTATGCTAATCCAATGGTCTCTTTTCTGAGAAGTGTACATTCTTCTATTTCTTGGTGTCAGAAATTCTTGATCATCAAGCAGATTGTCTAAGACCTCTATTCTTTTCTTTAAATTATCTTTCCTTCCCTTTATTCTATGACAATATTCCTTCACCTCTTAATGTGAA
Source organism: Homo sapiens (assembly GCF_000001405.40). Lineage (NCBI taxonomy): Eukaryota > Metazoa > Chordata > Mammalia > Primates > Hominidae > Homo > Homo sapiens. The sequence continues at coordinate 61,959,651 of NC_000018.10, forward strand.
TGACTGCTTTCTGTCCTTACAACCTTCTCTGACATTTCATTCAGCCTTCACCTAATTCTCCCACTCCAATTTCTGATGCTCCGACAATAGTGTCAGTTGCTTCTAAGAACTCCTTCAGGAGCTGCAGTCAAGAGTGAGGACTCTATCTCTGCCTCTCTGTCTCTTTTTGTCTCTTTTTCTCCATCTTTCTGTCTCTTTCTGTCTCTGTATCTTCCTCTGTCTCATACACACACACACACACACACACACACACACACACACACACACAAACAATCCTTAGACCCCATGTTAGGAAATACTCTTAGAAATATGGCTAGTACCTGGTATAATTTAAGCAGAACAACAAGACCTAAAAGCCTGAGAGTGTTCCTGGAAACAGAAGATCCTATTATTGCCAACAGTTTGAAATCGTCAAGTACTCACATTTTTCAAGCCACTTTGCCAAACAGCTAAACATGATGCAAGTCTGCACTATTTCAAGTCATAGTTCCAAAGTTCTTTATGAGAGGGGTTATCTCTGGCATGTGTCCAGATGGATGGGAAAATGCCAGCAAACCACGGCAAAAAATACTTGGCTAGCTTAGATGTAGAAGAGGAAACAAATTTAATGAGTTCCAGGTATAAATCATCCATGCTAGCTATTTTATTGCTCTTCCCCTGGAACAACAGTGTCTTAAACTTCTCTGGGATTGGCCCAGATAGAACATACATAGGGAGAATCATCACTCCATAGGCTAGAGCCACAATTAGAAGAGCTGTGGTTTTTTTCTATGAAGCGAGCAAGGCTGCCTGCATTGGACACTGTGTTCACAAAGTATAGACTGAGGAGATCAATCAAGCATCATTTTAAGGAAAGAAAACCTCAAAGGCCTGCCTTAATTCTGATACTTTGCTAGAGTCCCATCCCTCAAAAAAATACAGTTGTTTACCCTTTAGTTTTTCATGCCTTATTTGTTTCACCCCTAAGGAAATGACTTCTGTTTCGGTTCAGTTGACCTTGCCGGAAGTTATGCACACGTGGACAGCCATGAGGACTAAGGAGCAGTGAATCCTATGGACCCTTTTTCTTTTATTTATTTGAGACAGAGTCTTACTTTGCCACCCAGGCCAGAGTGAAGTGGTGCAATTATGGCTCACTGCAGCCTTGACTTCTCTGGCTCAAGTGATCCTCCCATCTCAGCCTCCCGAGTAGCCAGGACTATAGGTGCACATCACCAGACTCAGCTAATTTTTTTATTTTTTTTGTAGAGATGGGGTCTTCCTATGTTGCCCAGGCTGGTCTCAAACTCCTGGGCTCAAGACATCCTCCTGCCTCGGCCTCCCAAAGTGTTGGGATAACAGGTGTGAGCCACCATGCCCAGTCTATGGACCCTTTCTGGAAAAGATGGTTGGTTTGGAAATTTGACAGTGAAGCCCAAGGAAGGGAGGATTTGAGTAAGAGAGGTTTGGTCCACTTATTCCTCCAGTCTCTGGCGTAACCCACATCCCTGCCAAATTAGTGGGAGGAGCATATACTGGGACAAACCTCTCTTCAGTGCTTCCCCTTCTCCACACTCCTGGCATCAAAGGTCTTCAGCAATTTTCCCATCTCCTTATTGAAAATCAATTATCTGTTCATTCATTCATACAATGACAAGGGTCTAGGTGTACAGGGGAGTACGCAGTATTAAAATAAGGACAGAAGGAGTATAAGGGTAACTCTTCAACTCTCAACCCTCTGGATCTTAGTAGCCCAAATCACGAAGGGAAATTTCCAGACCCCTCACTTTTGAGCCACAGGTAATAGGTTATTACAGGTGATCTGTCTAAGAACTATCTTAGATTGACCTTGTAAATAATGATAGTTCCTTATAATAGAAGAAGGGAATCAGACCACTGTTGACCTTTCCATCTCTGCAATGTGCTGATTCTGGGGACCTTTAAGGTTGAAGTCCAGCCATAGGATAAATTTCTTTTTTCTTTTCTTTCTTTCTTTTTTTTTTTCCTATGGAGTGTCGCTCTGTCACCCAGGCTGGAGTGCAGTGGCATGATCTCAGCTCACTGCAACCTCCACCTCCTGGGTTCAAGCGATTCTCCCACCTCAGCCTCCCGAGTAGCTAGGATAACTGGTGTGTGCCACCATGCCCAGCTAATTTTTGTAGTTTTAATAGAGACTGGATTTCACCATGTTGGCCAGGCTGGTCTCAAACTCCTGACCTCAGGTGATCCACCTACCTTGGCCTCCCACAGTGCTGGGATTACAGGCATCAGCCACCATGCCCAACCCATAGGAGAAATTTCTAAAGGCTTGGAAACAAAGCAGACAGCCAGCCAGGGAGACCTCACTAGGGAGAGGCCTAGGAAGCAGGCAAGACTGTAGTCCACAAAGAAGCCACAAAAAACAGATGCCTTCCTAGCTCCCCAAGACTCCACCTGGTCCAAGGTATCATGGCAGAGTAATTCTAGGTGTGGTAGGCAGTCTCCAAGACGGCACTCAATGATTCTTTCTCCTGGCATGTCCTCCTCTCCCACATTGAATAGGGCTGGCCTGCGGAGCAAAAGGATGTGCAGAATTGATGGTCCGTGGCATCCATGCTCATAAAAGACATTGTGTCCTCTGTTTCTCTTCCATCACTCACTCTGGGAGAACCCAGTTACCATGTCACAAAGACACTCAAGTACCCCATGGAGAATTCTGCATGGTGAGCAAGTGAGGCTTTCTGCCAAAAAGCAGCATCAATTTACCAACCCTGTGAGTGAGCTTTCTTAGAAGTGGGTTTTCCACAGGCCAGGCACAGTGGCTCATGCCTGTAATCACAGCACTTTGGTAGGCTGAGACGGGCAGATCACTTGAGGCCCAGAGTTCGAGATCAGCCTGGCCAACGTGGTGAAACCCCATCTCTACTAAAAATACAAAAAATTAGCCGGGCGTGGTGGCGGGCACCTGTAGTCCCAGCTACTCAGGAGGCTGAGGCAGGAGAATGGTGTGAACCCGGGAGGCAGAGCTTGCAGTGAGCCTAGATAGAGCCACTGCACTCCAGCCTGGGCGACAGAGCAAGACACCGTCTCAAAACAAACAAACAAAAAAATACAAAAATTAGCTAGGCATTGTGGCCAGCGCCTGTAATCCCATCTACTTGGGAGGCTGAGGCAAGAGAACTGCTTGAACCTTGGGGGTGAAGGTTGCAGTGAGCTGAGCAGTGAGCCGAGCTCACACCACTGAACTCCAGCCTGGGCAACAGAGCAAGACTCCATCTTGAAAAAAAAAAAAAAGAAGTGGATCTTCTTCCAACCTCACTCAAGCCTTCAGATGCCTGTAGCCCTGGCCAACAATATAAGAGACCGTGAGCCAGAACCACCTCGCTCCTGACTCTCAAAAACTATGACATAATGGATGGTTGCTGTTGTTTGCAGCTGTTAAGTTTGGGGACAATTTGTTATGCAGCAAAAGATAAATACTATACTAGGTCTATTACTAAATACAAAATCATGGTGATCACAGCTCAGAAACATGGAGAAATCTTTATACATATGGACTTTCCCTGAATACCCGGTAGTAACCATACCAATTCTGTCATTGCCCTTCATGGAGTCTAAGAGCTATTTTATCCTCTCAAGATTTAACAGTGTCAAAGATTTGGAGTGTGAGGAACAGTAGCAGTACCAATCTACATTACAGAGTGCAGATGGGTGAAACAAATATAAGACAAATAGAGGGCCTGGTTAAACAGATGAAAAAAGGGTGGTGCATTCGATCTTTTCTCTGTTACCAATGTCATGGGTTAATTTCCTCAACAGGTTGTCAAAGTAATGTCTTAGGCACCTGGAAAAGGAGCTGAACTTCCCCTAATAAGTCATCCTCATGTATCAGCCCCACCACACCCCTTGGCAATATCGGATATTTAGCCTTACAAAAAATTCCACAAAACTTTCCAAACTATTATCCCTCAGTTTGACTCCTAAAATCTCCTAAAATGATGTTGATAGAAGATTTAAAAGTAATGACTTCTGTCACCTCTTTAGCCCATGTTATTTTGGAAATGTAAAGGCATATTTACAAATGTTCATCCATTCCAGAGTCATCAAAATCAGGTTGATTTTATCTGTGCAATATTGTTGAGTTAATTTATTCATTGGAATCAATCTAATTTCCAAAGTTTCCCTGGGCCTGCCCAGAGGCACCCAATGCAACAGACACTTACACAAATAGCAGCAAAAGGGCTATGACCATGTTTAGTTTGGTGCTGTCTGGACTTCAAAGTCACCCAGAGGTCTGGCAACAGCCCCAAAAGTAATTTTCCCAAACACTGACCAAGGAACTTCCCCCTGAGATTAAGCTTCAGAATGGAAAAATAAATATTGAAAATAAGAAGTGGAAAAAATGTAGTCCCTACCCCCAAAGAAGATTTCTAAAAATCGATGTCAAGTAGTTAATAAAAACCCAGCAAACCAAAATGTTAGGAAATGACAGAGGCGTGTTCTAAGTCTCATTGAAAGGATAAGGATCCTGAAAAGGCCTCTGGCAACTATATTTGCACACTTACTTTGCTGATATTTCTTGCAGATTCCATTAGTTTGCATTTAAAACACGAGAAAATTAGGAGCAAAGTGTAGGCCTAAATATTTTCCCTCCAACTTCTCATTCTATGGTGCGTGGTTGGTACTTGAATGGGCAGTGCAAGCTGAAGTCCCTGAGAGGCGCCCAAGAATGGACAGAGCATCAGTGACATCTTCAGCTGACCAGCAGTTAACAACCACTTGTGAATTGGATCATCTGACACTGATAACACCTTGTGTTCCTAGAAAGTGGGGACTCTGATAGGTACATGGTAATAACAAACAACTTGGAAGTGTTCCCCATTTCCTTGAAAATGGATAGTATTGAATGATTTTGAAGTCGCAAAAAGAGGTTGGCCAGCCAAGTGAGGTGCTAAATCTGTATTACCTGCAAGTACAGAGATACGTTTTTCTAATTATAGTTTAGCTCTCCATCACCTGGTGGCCCCTCTTGTGATCTCAATAAGCAGGGATAATGTGAGAGCATATTACAGGAGGGTATTATAGATGTTGGAAAGAGAATATAGAAATGACTCATAAACTCCTTGAAGGTAAAATGTTTTTTTGAGTTAAATGGACCTAATGCAAATTGCACCATTGAGTCAACTGGTCCTTTGATCCTTTTTAGGCATAGAAACCCAGCAATTTGCCTCTGGGCAAAGTTAAAGCTAGAACCTTAATCACTTTTGTAGATCTGTATTTTTCTACAATTCAATCTATTTAGTCAGTTTACCAGCTAGGGTACCCTGACTACTACTACTTCTCTTTGGTACCTAGACTTCATATTTGACAGTGATCTGCAATAGTGAATTACTCCAGTGTGCCTTCCTGGAACACACCAGGCAGATCACCAGATGGACTGAGGGTCCTGACAATGCTCAGCAACCCTGTGAAAATATCTGGGGCTCACGACGAAGTGGACATATCTTCAACAATGTTAGTAGGAGGTGCTTACGTAAAATTCATTCTCAGGGAGAAATGATGTCACCTTTCTAAATACTGGTATAGATGGAAGAATAAAAGGAGAGGTAGAGGGGTAGAAGCTCTGTCCAGGTGCTTGGAGCCTAGAAGCCAGGGTCCCAGAGAGGGTCAAAGGATACAGAAAAGAGTGAGCTAAGAGCAGCCCAGACAAATTTTACGTTGCTTCATAATTCTGCCAACAGCACGATCAAATCTGAATGCAACAGCCTCCAGAGGACGTGGCAATCTGTAACCTATGTTCGAGGCTCCTCTGAGCTTTTTCTCCTGGTTGGGTGGATGACATCATTTGACAAGTCATTTTCCATTATGTCAGGAGTTTCAGGGACATGGAGAGATATCAACAGAATTTAGAAGAGACTGCAAGGTAATGCTCCTCGGGATCCATTCCCAGTCCTCTCACTGACTCACAGGATGACTTTATTCTTCCCATTGTTATTAGGGCTGTTTTACTGAAGACTGATTCAATACTTAACAAGATTTGGAGGTCAACCCAGGACCAATCCGTGGGGCTTAGTATCTAAATTAAATGTGAAACTTTCTCTGAGACACAATTTAGGAGAAAGGCCAATGTGAAGGTTATGAAATCTAAAAGAAGTGGAATTGGAAGTTTTGACACATCTTTCTCCCCTTCATAAATTTTTTTAACTTTACTGAGATGAAATTTATATAATATAAAATTCACCATTTTAGAGCCAACAATTTTATGACATTTAATGCCTCTACAATGCTGTACAACCACCATCTCTATCTAGTTCCAAAACATTTCTAACACTCCAAAGTAAAGCCCATACCCATATCCTATCTCCTCCTACCCCAACCTCCACACCCCATCCCTGGCAACCCCAATTTGCCTTCTGTCTTTATGGATACATCTATTCTGGATATTTATTATAAATGGAATCATAAAATATGTAGCATTCTGTGTCTGGTTTCTTTCACTTAGCATAACATTTTGGGGTTCGTCTATATTATGACATGTATCAGCACTTCATTCCTTTTCATGGCTGAGTAATATTCTGTTGTATGTATATGCCACATTTTGTTTATCCATTTATCTGTTGTTGGAAGTTTGGGCTGTTTCCACTTTGGGGCTATTGTACGCCCCCTCTTTTAATTTCTGTCTCTGCCCCCTCGCACTCTAAATTTTCTCTTTTTCTTTCTTGAATGTATATCCTTCCCTTTAGAAGAAACATGTTATTCTTAGCTTATCTCCAGGGGGTTTCTGGAGGGCTGAGAAATGAAGAGAGGGTTGTGGGTCAGAAGATAAGGAGGGAGAGGAGTCTGGGAAAGAAGGGATGGCATGAAAGAACCATGAGCAGGAACACCCACCTGGAGCAGAAGGCATAGGAAACAGACAAAGGAGAGAGGTTTTCTGTAAGTGGTCACTCTGTGTAGAGGACTCACAGGACATTTCCTCAACCGGCTTTAGAATGCTGGTTGAAAGCTCAACTATGCTGTTGCTTCTGCCGCCCTCAGGAGAACATTACTCCAAAGCTTAAAGCAGGTATTGGGACATTTTTTCCCCTAGGTTTCTCTAAGTATTGTTAGCCCAGATATTTTCTTTTCTTTTCTTTTTCTTTCTTTTTTTTTTTTTTTTTGAGACAGAATCTTGCTCTGTCACCCCGGCTGAAGTGCAGTGGTGCAAGCTCAGCTCACTGCAACCTCTGCCTCTCAGGTTCAAGCAATTCTCCTGCCTCAGCTTCCCGAGTAGCTGGGATTATAGGTGCACACCACCACACCCAGCTAATTTGTATATTTTTAATAGAGAGGGGATTTTGTCATGTTGGCTAGGCTAGTCTCGAACTCCTGACCTCAAGTGATCTGCCTGTCTCGGCCTCCCAAAGTGCTGGGATTACAGGCATGAGCCACCACGCCCAGCCTAGCCCAGATGTTTTAATAAAAGAATATCAGTTTAAATCCACTGAATCCCAAGACTGTCTTCTATTTTTAAATTTTTATTTTGTTTTTAATTGACATATATATTCATGGTGCACAAAGTGATGTTATGATACATCATAACATGTATATATGCATGTTATGATGTATGTATATATTGTGGGATAAGTAACTAATTAACATATCTTTCACCCTACATATTTACCATTTTTTTGTATTGAGAACATTTAAAATCTACTCTTTTAGCAATTTCGAAATAAACAATACATCACTGTTAACTGTACTCTCCAAGCTGGGTAAAACTTATGCCTCCTGTGGAACTGAAACTTTGTACCCTTTGAACAACATGTCACCTTCCCCAGCCTGTCACCCTAGCCCTGGTAACCTCCACTCTACCCTCTACTTCTATGACTTCAACTTTTTTAGAGTCCACATTAAGTGAGATCATGTGGTATTGGCTAAGACAGTCTTTAAGAAGGAGAACTGAACTTCAGGAAAGGATTTCAATAATCAAGTATAGAAATCACTGGTGTGTGTCTGTTACAGGTAGTGAGATAGGCATGAGCCGGTTAGGAGACGGCCCTTCTCCCCGACCCACTAGGCATGTCAGGCGATGGTTCGACAGCTGTCACACTGCCTCTCTAAAAGTGATAATGCAGCCAGTGCCAGGGTGCCAGGGAGAGACAATCTCTTGATAATCCACAGCTGTGAATGTTAAAGTGTTCATTGAATGCAGGCATCAAGGGAAGCAACTTTCCAGGCATGCGCAGTAAGAGACGAAATGGCAAAATATGCCCTTCTAGAGGCACTCCATCGGAAAGGGGAAGAAAGCTTCGGATGGGGGTCGGGCGCAGAGGCTCACGCCTTTAATCCCAGCACTTTGGGAGGCCAAGGCAGGCGGATCACCTGAGGTCAGGATTCGAGACCAGCCTGACTAACATGGAGAAACCCCGTCTCTACTAAAAACACAAAATTAGCTGGGCACGGTGGTGCATGCCTGTAATCCCAGCTACCGGGGAGGCTGAGGCAGGAGGATCACTTGAGCCCAGGAGGCAGAGGTTGCAGTGAGCCGAAACGGCGCCATTATACTCCAGCCTGGGTGACAGAGCGAAACTCCATCTCAAAAGAAAAAAAAAAAAGCCTTAGATGGGCATGCATGCAGCTTCCTACACACACTGCTCGTGCTCACCTCCCAAGGGTAAGGAGGGCACTGCGCATGCGGGCAGCCCACCCTCAGGGAAGAATCATGGGAAAGAGGCAAGCCTATACAGTCCTAAAATCAAGGTTAAACACGGCACTTGACCTTCAGGTGCCCACTTGGGTCTCTTCCAAGTGAATTTTCCTCTTTCCTGTTCTAAAACCTTTTTAAATAAATTTCCATTCCTGCTCTGAATCTCGCCTCAATCTCTTCTGCTTTATGTCCCTCAGTCAAATTCTTTCTTCTGAAGAGGCAAGAATTGAAGTTGCTGCAGACCTGCACGGATACTCCACTGGTAACTCGGACACCTTCCGCTCATAACGTATCTATTTTCTTGGAGGTTTCCCTGTTGGGAGAATTGTTCACTTAGAGGGAAACTAATGCCCACCTATTCCTGCCATAGGGAGGAAAGCTCTAATTCATCTTTTTAAAAAAGGAAATGTTAACAAAAGACTTTTTAAAAGAGTTTTAACTTTTGTAAGGTTAAAAAAGACTTTTGACTTTTAAAAAAGAGTCCACTCATAAAGAAATTACAGACCTCCGTGAATGTCACCTGCATGTTTTCCTAATTAACATTGAAGGAGGTTGGGTGTGGTGGCTCATGCCTGTAATCCTAGCACTTTGGGAGGCCAAGGCGAGCACATCACCTGAGGTCAGGAGTTCAAGACCAGCCTGGCCAACATGGTGAAACCCCGTCTCTACTAAAAATACAAAAATTATCTGGGGATGGCGGTGGCCACCTGCCATCCCAGCTACTTGGGAGGCTGAAGCAGGAGAATCACTTGAACCTGGGAGGCAGGGGTTGCAGTGAGCCAAGATCGTGCCATTGCACTCCAGCCTATACAAACAGAGTGAAACTCTGTCTCAAATATATAATAATATATGATATATAAGATATAATATATATTATATATTATACAATATATGATATATATAAGATATAATATATATTATATATTATACAATATATAATATATTATACAATATACAATATATAATATATTATACAATATACAATATATTATATATTATACAATAATATAATGTATTATATATTATACAATAATACAATGTATTACATATTATACAATAATACAATGTATTACATATTATACAATAATATAATGTATTACATATTATACAATAATATAATGTATTACATATTATACAATAATGTATTATATATTATACAATAATGTATTATATATTATACAATAATATATATTATACAATATGTTATATATTATACAATATATTATATATTATACAACAATATATTATATATTATACAACAATATATTATGTATTATACAACAATATATTATATATTATACAACAATATATTATATATTATACAACAATATATAATATATTATTCAATAATATATAATATATTATACAATAATATATAATATATTGTTGAATAATATGTTATATATTTGAGACAGAGTTTCACTCTGTTTGTATAGGCTGGAGTGCAATGGCACGATCTTGGCTCACTGCAACCCCTGCCTCCCAGGTTCAAGTGATTCTCCTGCTTCAGCCTCCCAAGTAGCTGGGATGGCAGGTGGCCACCGCCATCCCCAGATAATTTTTGTATTTTTAGTAGAGACGGGGTTTCACCATGTTGGCCAGGCTGGTCTTGAACTCCTGACCTCAGGTGATGTGCTCGCCTTGGCCTCCCAAAGTGCTAGGATTACAGGCATGAGCCACCACACCCAACCTCCTTCAATATTAATATATTCAATATATATAATATATTATACTATAATATATTATATATTATAGTATAATATATTACATATTATACTATAATATATAATATATTATAGTATAATATACATTATACAATAATATATATTATACAATAATATATATTATACAATAATATATAAAATATTATACAATAATATATAATATATTATACAATAATATAATATATTATATATTATACAGTAATATAATATATTATACAATAATATATTATATATTATACAATAATATATTATATATTGTACAATAATATATTATATATTATACAAAATATATTATATATTATACAAAATATAATATATTATATTATACAATAATATAATATATATGTTATACAATAATATATTATACAATAATATAATATATTACACAATAATATAATATATTATACAATAATATAATATATAATATATTATACAATAATATAATATATAATATATTATATATTATACAATAATATAATATATTATATATTATACAATAATATAATATATTATATATTATACAATAATATAATATATTATATATTATACAATAATATAATATATTATATATTATACAATAACATAATATATTATATATTATACAATAACATAATATATTATATATTATACAATAACATAATATATTATATATTATACAATAACATAATATATTATATATTATACAATAACATAATATATTATATATTATACTATAACATAATATATTATATATTATACTATAACATAATATATTATATATTATACAATAACATAATATATTATATATTATACTATAACATAATATATTATATATTATACAATAATATAATGTAATATATTATACAATAATATAATGTAATATATTATACAATAATATAATGTAATATATTATACAATAATATATAATATATTATACTATAATATAATATATTATACAATAATATATTATATATTATACAATAATATATTATATATTATACAATAATATATTATATATTATATAATAATATAATTTATATATTATACAATAACAATATATAATATATTATACTATAATATATAATATATTATACAATATATACAATATTATACAATTATACAATAATATAATATATTATATATTATGCAAAATATATAATATATTATACAATATAATATATTATATTATATAATAATTATTATTTTCATAATTATAAATTATCTTATATATATAAATTATAAATTATATATATAAATTATAATTTATATATATTATATAATAATTATTATTGTATAATAATAATTATATTATACAATAACATAATATATTATATTATACAATAACATAATATATTATATTATACAATAACATAATATATTATACAATAACATAATATATTATATTATACAATAACATAATATATTATACAATAACATAATATATTATATTATACAATAACATAATATATTATACAATAACATAATATATTATATTATACAATAACATAATATATTATACAATAACATAATATATTATATTATACAATAACATAATATATTATATTATACAATAACATAATATATTATATTATACAATAACATAATATATATTATACAATAACATAATATATATTATACAATAACATAATATATATTATACAATAACATAATATATATTATACAATAACATAATATATATTATACAATAATATAATATATAATACAATAATATAATATATATTATACAATAATATAATATATTATACAATAATATAATATATAATACAATAATATAATATATATTATACAATAATATAATATATAGCATATATCATATATATCATATCATAATATATTAATATATGATATATAAAAGTGGATTCTTTTCATCTATATATAAAAAGATGGGAGGGGATAAATCACAAAGGAGGGAGCCAATTGCATGCTCTCCTTTCTTTCTACTGACATATAAATTACTGAACCCACTCCAGTGTCTCCCAGTTGTTGAAAATATCTGTGAACACTGCCTCAGTGTTATAAGATCAGCAGGCCCAGCGTTTTTAAGCAATTCATCCTGTCAGCCTGTTGGAAAAGCTTTAAGTATGACACCTCCTGAAGCCCATAATTCCTTTTCTCTTATCAAACATACTCCTTTTATTTTTCCTTTAAGGTCTTAAGAGATCAAAAAGCAAGGTGAGGGTGAAACTGGTCACCAAATAAAGATGGGTACCAGAGGTAATAGTGTTCAAACAGGAGCCTCCACTTGATGGAATAAAATCCAAAATACAAGTCAGAAATGAAACCAGACAGAAAATCAGATATGAATTATGATCTACTTCCCTGGAACTCCACTCTACCCCTGAGCAGCATTTTCTTTTCCATTGTCAGAATGTGTGTGTGTATACATGATTTTATGTAACATAAAAATTACCACTGGGTGCATGTCTACATAAGAAACCCAAATTTTCTACTGTAGATCAGAAAAAAAGAGAGTGGCAATCTCTCTTGCTTTCATTGGTTACTCTGTGTCTTAACAACCTGACACCAAAATTCTATGGGCTCTTCTCCCAGCACCCCAGGAGAAGGAGGCAAGAGACAGAAGGATGTCTTTTCAAAGGACACAGCATGAGGAGCAAACAACAGGGTCTGTTGGTTCTTAAGCCCAAGATTAGCATTTAAATTCCAAAAGGATAAAATACAACAGGTCATAAAGAAAGGCATCTGGATTACAACTCCAGTCTATCACATGGCTGATGACCAGCAAGAGGTGAAGCAGTGGTTCTCAAAGTGTGGGCCCTGGAGCAACCACATAAGCAGCAGCCTCACCTGGGAAGCTGTTACAAATGTGGACTCTCAGACTACAGCCCAGGCCACTGTATTCCTCGGCTCAGGCTGCCACAACAGAATACCACACACTGGTTGGCTTAAACAACAGAATTCATTTTCTCACAGTTATGGAGGCGAGAAGTCCAAGATCAAGTTGACATCAGAGTTGGATTCTGGTAAGGGCTCTCTTCCGGGCTTGTAAACAGCTGCCTTCTCATTGTGGCCTCACATGGCCTTTGTTCTGTATGCACTTGAAGAGAGAGAGCTCTGTGGTTTCTCTTCCTCTTTTTATAAGGACAGGAATCCTATTGGATTAGGGCTTACCCTTATGGCCTCATCTGACTTTAATCACCTCCCTACAGACTCTACCTCCAGATAGCATCATATTGGGTGGTAAGAGCTTCAACATATGAATTCTGGGGGTCACATTCGGTCCATAGCACCTGCCGAATCAGAGATGCTGAGGGTGGTGCCCAGTTAAAACTGTGCTTCAGGGGATTCTGACACACCCTAAAATTTGAGAACCGCTGACCTAAAAATGAATAGATTGTTCTTGCTTTGATACCGGAGTTCTGAAGGACTGGGTTCAGTAATACGTATGTTAGTGGGAAGAAAGAAAAGCCTGCAGTCACCCACCTCCTCTGTGTTCTGCCCCACCCCAGCTCTGTCAATATTAATTAAATAAGAACACATACAGGTCATGTTCATGGAGGTTCCCATTTCTTTTTGAGTTCATTATTTTTTAGCACTTAAACCTCTTTGAGTATTTGGACTTTAAAAGTAGGCCTATAGAACCTGCCAAAATGATCAATTGTGTTGACTTTTTTGTTGCCATGATTAAGAGTGTTTTCATAAGGATTTTTGGAAGTGTAAAAGTAATCCACACACAGTGAGAAGGGAAGAAGCCAAACCACTTAATGGAGCTAAGAAGGGCTTTTCTGCTGGGACAACTGCCATTAGAGGGGTGACCTGCAGCGTTTGCATATTAAATATGGCCATTTTGTCCCTGGCCCAGCAGTGTGAGAGAAACAGAAGTTTGGAGAGAAATACCCTGGGCCAGAGAAAAGGGCTTCTTGTTCCCAGCAGGGAAGTTTTTATGGCAGCACTTTGGCTATAAGCTATCGCTTTCTGCCTACAGCAATAGAAGCAGAATAAATAGCCTCTGCCAGCCTGGAGAACAAAACAGGAGACAAAACAAAAGAAAACAAAACTAGAAAAGAATAGAGAATATATTCCTGAAGATGGGCTAGATGAAAACAGAGAGGAGCTGTGCTCATGCATTTGAACTTGCGGTCAAGAATCCAGGGTCCAGTCCATTAGGCAACCACAAAGCCTGGACTTACCCCTGGAACACAGAGAGACAAATTAAAGGGGTGACATGAGCAGTACAAGGCAGGAACCCAGTTCAGCCCAATTCAATGGAAAGTGAAATAAAAGAAAACTGAGATACAACGCATTGTGAATTTTTAAAAAATCTTTTCTCCAATTGGATAATGCACAGAGATACCTGGGGAAAAAAATAAATAAAGAAGAACAGCAGAAACAACAACAGCATCAGCTAAAGCAGCTTGACAAGGGTAGGGGGAGAAAATCTTGACCGCCCCATGGGGACATTTGGCAATGCTTAGAGATATTTTCGGTTGTCACAACTCACTAGGGGAAGCAGGGGTGCTACTGGCATCTAGTGGGTAAGGCCAGGGCTGCTGCTTATCATGGGACAATGCACAGGACAGCCCCCCTCAACAAAGACATAGTTGGCCCCCAATGGCAATAGTGCCAAGGCTGAGAAATCGTAAGTCAAAGTATTGGAAACAGCTTTTCACATGCAAATATGGTAACACTCTGGGCCTCGCCACACAATTTTTGCTCATTCTACAAGAACCCACTCAGTTATTTCAATCTCTGGAGGACCTTCTACGGCTGTCAAAGCACTTTGCTCCCACAGTTCTCATAGCAGTTAATGTCTTGTGTTGCAATGATTCATCCATGTGCTTTTCTTTCCCACTCACATGACTCTGAGCTTCTTAAAATTAGGGCCCAAATATACTTCGTTGTAATCTTTATCATGTCGTAAATATTCAATGATGATGGGTTGAATGGGCGAGTGAATGAATGAGTGGGAATGAATAACTGGATAGAGACCTTTTTTTGGGAGAAGTCCATCAGTGTTAACATCCGTGATCAGCATCTTTATAGAGACTGTGTGTAGTTAGCAAGACAGGCCTACAGAAGCAACAAAATCACACTCCATGATCCAGTTCAGTTCAGGGGTTTCTACTCCAATCATGACTAAATGGGATTCTAACCACACCCTAACTCCAAGCTTTAGAATTAAGGGAAGTAACTGAAAATGAATATTATAGGTGACATACAGATTCATCAAGTCTTTACAATATGTGCAAATATCATCCATAATTTCAGCATGTTTTACATCCATGATTTCTTATTTAATTACAAAATGTCTCTTCATGATGAGTTGACAGAAACCTCCAGCCACCAGGATAAACAGTTGTCTTGGACCTGGTTATGGCTCTGAATGTATTTATCCTAGAAGACTGTCTCCTTGAATTCTGCAGCAACAGAACCTCCCCCTTTTCTAGTGGGTGGTTGTTCCTTTTGAGCAATAATATCAATAAAATCATGCCTCTGAAGGGGTTTCTCATATGCCATCTGCATTCATGTAACTCCACACATCTCTTTACACATGATGTTGCTGTGAACATTCTAGTTCTTGTGTCCCTGCGCACATCTCCAACTTTATTAGTCAGTCCCAAATTGCTCTCAATAGTAGTTGTAACAATTAATGTTCCTACCAGCAGTACATGAGAGTCCACATTGCTCCACCCCCTCACTAATACAGTCATGCCCATGCTTTGGTTAACAGCAGGGATGCAGGGATCCATTCTGAGACATGCATCCTTAGGTGATTTCGCTATTGTGTGAACATCACAGAGTACACTTACACAGACCTAGATGGTGTCGCTACTACAGTCTTCGGCTAAATGGATAGTCTATTTCTCCTAGGCTACAAACCTGTACAGCATGTCACTGTACTGAATACTGCAGGCAACTGTAACACAATGCTAACTATCTGTGTATCTCACAACTGTAACACAATACTATCTGTGTATCTAAACATATCCAAACATAGAAAAGGTACCGTAAAAATACACTATTATTTTCTTGTGGGACCACCATCATACAAATGGCCTGTCGTTGACCAAAATGTCCTTATGTGACACATGACTGTACTTAGCATCATCACACTTTAAAAATGTTTGCCTTTTTGATGTGGATGAAGTGACGTCACAAGGTTGCTTTCATTTTCATTTTTCTGGTAGCAGGTTGGGGGAAGCACCTTTTCATGATCCTCAGCCATTCTGATTTCCTTCTTTCTGTATTGCCAGGTTGTTAGGCTTTGCCCATTTTTCTATTGGAGGATCATTCTCTTTTCGATGTTTAGGATCGCTCTATAAATTCCAGCTGTTTATCTTTTATAACTATCTTCCCCTACTTTGGACTTGTTCTTTAACTTTGTGATGATGTCTTTCGTTAAACAAAAGTTTTTAGCTTTAGCATTGTAAGTCTCACTAATGTTTTTTTCTTAAGTTTGTATTTTTTATGTCTTAAGAAATTCTTTGCCATATTGAGGTCATAAAGATACTCCCCTGTATTTTCTTTTAGAAGTTTATGGATTAATTCAGGAAAAATTGCTAGCTTTATAATATTGGTTCTTTCCTTCAATAACAAGAATGTCAGTCTATTTGTGTCTTATTTTAAATCCTTCAGACATGTTTTTCGATTTTTACATCAAAGGTCCTATACATCATTAGTTGGGTTTACCCCTAAGTATCTTATGTATTTGTGGCTATTGTGAATAGAGTTTTCTGGCATTTTCTGTTTGATTATTACTAATGATTTTTATATATAGATGTAGTATCTAGATGTCTTGATGAATTCTGTTATTACTTCTTCAGCTTTAACTTTAGATATTTGATTTACTGTAGAAACAATCACATCTGAAGATAATGTTCATCTCTTCCTTTCTGAAACTTATATTCTTATTTGTTTTTCTTAGTTTATTCCATTGGCTAAACATTGAATAGGTACAATGATAGAACCCTTTTATTTATTTTAATGGGAATGCTTCCAATTTTTACTATTAAACCTGATGTTTGATGTAGGTTTATGGAAAGGCATACTTTATCAGGTCAAGGAAGTTCCCTTCTAGTACAAATTTGCTAATAATTTTTATCATGAAAGAATGTTTTATCAAACACCATTCCTGCATCTATCTAGATTATCATGTATTTTTTCTCCTTTATTGTGTTCATGGACAAATTACATTGTTAATTTTTGATAAAACCAACCATGCAATCATGGAATAACCCCTACTTGGTCATGATGTGTTACTCTTTTATATGTTGCTAGACTTGGTTAGCTAATATTTTATTTGTGATATTTGATTTTATGTTCATAAATGAAATTGGTCTATAATTTTCCTTTTTCATTATCTGTAAAATTTTGATATCAAGGTTGTACTTGCCTCATAAAATATATTGATGGTTGTTCCGATTTTTTCTATTTTCTAGAAAAACTTAAGATTATTATTATTTCTTACTTAATAGTTGATAGAAATCTCAAGTAAATCCACTTGAACCTGATGTTTTCTTCATGGTAAGATTTTCATAACTAATTCAATTTCCTCAATATTCAGAAATTTTCAGGCTCTCTATATCATCATGTCAGTTTCTGTAAGTTGTATATTTCCTGGAATTTCTCCACTTGATCTAAACTTTCAAGTTTATTATATATAATTGTTCATAATTTTGTCTTATCATTTTAATGCTTACTTCATAGGTAATGGTGACCCTTTTTTCATTCCAAAGGACATTTGTGTGTTCCTTCTCTTTTTAAAATAGATTTCTAGCACTAGGGGATTTCAATTTTATGAGCCTTTTCAAAGCATCAACACTTGGCTTTGCTGATCTCGTTTATTATATATTTGTTTTCTATTTCATTGATTTCTGCTTTATTGCTTTTATTCTGATTATTTTCTACTTTCTACTTTCCTTGGGTTTTCTAACTTCTTGAGATGGATGATTAGCTCTTCAATTTCAGCCTGGCTTCTTTTCTCATCCATGCTTTTAATGTTATGAATTTCATTGTAAGTATTTAGATCTTCAGCTGCATCCTGCAAGTTTTGATGTGTCATATTTTCATTATCATGCTGATCAAAATCTTTCTTCTCTGACCCATTGTTTATTTAGAAGTGTATTGTCTTATTTCTAAACATGTGGGGATGTTCTGGTAACCTTTTGATTAATCCTATTGTGGTCAGAGAACATATTCTATAAGATTTAATCCTTTGACATTTCTTTAGCTTGGCTTTATGGCTGAATATGTGTTCGTTTTTATAAATGCTCTACATCCTTGAAAAGAGTGTACATTGTATAGTTGTTAGGAGAAATTTACTATATATGTTCATTAGATTAAACTTAATAATGCATTTTAAATATTCTACATATTTAGTTATTATAGTTATTGATTGTCATTTGGGTTTTATTTTTGCTCTGTTTATGCTATCAGTTACTGAAAAATGTAAATTTAAAGCAACCACTACAATTATAGATTTGTCTATGATTTTTTAGTTTTTTCAAATTTTACTTTGTATATTGATACCATATTAACAGTTATACACAAATTTAGAATGATCATATCCTTGAGATGTATTAAACCATTATCATTATGAAGCATCCCTCTATTTCTCCAGTATTATTTTTTGCTTTAAAATTTACTTTGTATGATATGAACATAGTTATGCCAGGATTTAAAATTTAGCATTTGATTGATTTATTTTTCCATCTGTATTCTCTTGGGTCTCTTGAAAGCAGCTAATAGTTGGTTTTCATTTTTATGCCCCATTTGCTAAACTTTCTCTTAGTGAAAACATTTAGTCCAGTCTATGTACTGATTACAGATATAAAACTTTAAACCTTATTATGGGCTATGATTGATTCTGCCTCTCCCACATTTCTATTTTACCTTTTCTTGCTTTCTTAATTGATTTTTAAAAAATTTATTATGGTAAAATGTACATCACATAAAATGTACCATATTCACTATTTTTAAGTGCACATTTCAGTGGCATTAAGTGCATGCACAATGTTGCACAACCATCACCATGATCTATTTCCAGAACCTTCTTATAATCCCAAACAGAAACTATGAGCCCACTGATTATTTTTTATTTCACTTTTTTTCTACTTTGGAAACCGTACACTCTCTTACTAATCTATTGAAAGTATCATAGATCGCAGCATGTATCTTTTTTAACTTTTATCTTAAGTTCAGGGGCACATGGGCAGGTTTGTTATATAGGTAAACTCATGTCACAGGGATTGTTATATAGACTATTTCATCACCCAGGAATTAAGCATAGCAGCCATTAGTTATTTTTCCTGATCTTCTTCCTCCTCCCACCCTCCACCCTTCTGTAAGCCCCAGTGTGTGTTGTTCCCCTCTAAGTGTCCACGTGCTTTCATCACTTAGCTCCCACTCGTAAGTGAGAACATGGGGTATTTGGTTTTCTGTTCCTGCATTAGTTTGCTAAGGATAATGGAGCATGCATCCTTAATCTATCAAAAATAGAATGTTAATTCGTACTCATATTTTATTCCTGGACAATGCAAAGACCTTACAACACTTTAGCTACACTTAACCATATTTGCTTCCTATGCTTATTGTTTTGCATTTTAATTCTATATATATTTGAAACCTTTTAAATGGCATCATTATTATATACAGTCAACACTCATTTAGCTTTACCTATATATTTGCCTTTTTATTGCTTTTTATTCAGCCCTGCATCTCTGAGCTGTGATCTGGGATCATATTCATTCATTCATTCATTCATTTACTTTTTGAGATGGAGTTCACTCTGTCACCCAGGCTGGAGTGCCGTGGTGCGATCTCGGCTCACTGCAAGCTCCGCCTCCCAGGTTCAAGCAATTCTGCCTCAGCCTCCCAAGTAGCTGGGACTACAGGTGTGTGCCACCACGGCCGGCTAATTTTTTGTATTTTTAGTAGAGACAGGGTTTCACCGTGTTAGCCAGGATTATCTCGATCTCCTGACCTCATGATCTGCCTGCCTCAGTCTCCCAAAGTGCTGGGATTACAGGTGTGAGCCACCGCACCCGGCCCATATTCCTATATTTAAAAAATACTTTTTAATACTTGCATTAGTGTGGTTTCATTGGTAACAAATTCACTCACTTTGTGTTTGCCTGAAAATGTCTTTATCGCATTCATTGCTAAAGGATATTTTTCCTGTGTATAGAATACTAGGTTGGAGATTATTTTCTTTCAACACATTGAAGATATTTCATTATCTTCTGGCTTTGGTTATTTCTGCTGAGAAATCTCTTGTTTTATTTTGCATCTTTGAAGCTAATTTGTAGTTTCTTTCCCCAACCCCACCACCCCCAGCTGCTTTTAAGACTCTCCTGCTGTCTTCAGTTTCTTTGAGTTTTCTGCTTACCAACATGTTTCTCTGCTTCATTTTCTGTTCTTTCCCACCTTTTGTCAGATTTTGTTTTCTCACATGGAAGGCCATGCACAGGCCTGACCATGGAAAACCCTGAAACTGACATGCATGGGAATGAACTAGGTCCTGCCTCACAGGGACTGATACAGTAGGTTGCAAAATCTGTGGTGTAGATTCAAGAAGAGAGAGAGAGAGAGAGAGAGAGCGCAATTGCATAAGTACAACTCAGCAAGTTTTCAGTTTCCAAATCTTTCCGTCAAACCTGAGTGATGTGGTTGCTGAACAGCAGCATCAGGGCCTACCTACAGAAGAAAATAAACAAATAAATAAAACCTGGCATTTACTCAGCCAAAGCTTCTAAAACCTGATAAATTCTGCACTTCCTGAGGACTGCATACCATCTTCATCACTCTCAGTGCTTCTCTGTTAGGGAAAAACAGAAAGACTGGGGAAGCCCCATTCACAGAGGCATATCCTGCAGCTATTTTCTTCCCATAAAACTGCTGTGATAGAATATAAAATTGATCAGCTTCACCTTCATCTTTAAACCCCGCCCCAGTGTTCTTGGACCTGAGTTTTTTCTATACAATTCGCTAATATACAATTTCTTAAATGTAAACATTTTACATAACATTAATATTAACAATATTCTAAACGTACAATTTTTTCCAACATGCATTTTTTTCCCATACAATTTTTTCTTTTTCTTTTTTGAGACACAGTCTTGCTCTGTCGCCCAGGCTGGATTGCAATGGCGCAATCTTGGTTTACTGCAACCTCTGCCTCCCAGGCTCAAGCGATCCTCCCCGCTCAGCCTCTGGAGTAGCTGGGACCACAGATGCACACCACCATGTCTGGCTAATGTTTTGTATTTTTGGTAGAGATGGGGTTTCATCATGTTGCCCAGGCTGCTCTCTAACTTCTAATCTCAAGCGATCTACCTGCCTTGGCCTCCCAAAGTGCTGGGATTACAGGAGTGAGCCACTGTGCCTGGCCTCCCACACAATTTTCTAACATAGCTCAAAGATAATCAATGTTTTCATCACCCTCCCAAGTACAAGAACTTTAGCACACTTTGTAATTGAACACCCTTTCTCATTATGTAATTGTTTACTAGTTTTACAATTTTGCTTTTTTTTTAGTATTTTAAGTTAATTTTAGACAAGAGTTAAATTTGATGATACATTTTAACCATTTCCAGACTCCCCATTATTTCCTTTTCTTAAATGTTTAAATTTTTGTGGGTACATAGTAGGTGTATATGTTCATGGGGTGCATGAGATGTTTTGATATGGGCATGCAATGCATAATAATCACATCATCGAGAATGGGGTATTCATCCCCTCAAGCAGTTATTTGTCCTTTGTGTTACAAACAATCTAATTATACTCTTTTAGTTATTTAAAAATGTACAATTAAGTTATTATTGGCAACGCACAGTGGCTCATGCCTGTAATCTCATCACTTTGGGAGGCCAAGGTGGGCAGATCACTTGAGGTCAGGAGTTCGAGACCAGCCTGGCCAACATGGTGAAACCCCATCTCTACTGAAAATACAAAAATTAGCAGGGCATGGTGGCATCTCAGCTACTCAGGAGGCGAGGCAGGAGAATCACTCGAACTGGGAGGCAGAGGTTGCATTGAGCCAAGATCGTGCCACTGCACTTCATTCTGGGTGACAGAACAAGACCCCGTATCAAAAAAAAAAAAAAAAGTTGTTATTGACTATAGTCATCCCATTGTGCTATCGAATCGTAGGTCTTATTCGTTCTTCCTCAGTATTTTTTTGCACCCATTAACCATCCTCACCTAACCCTAGCCCCCCATACCCTTCCCAGGCTCTGAAAACCATCCTTTTCCTCATTATTTCCTTCATCCCTGATTTCCCTGGGAGTTCTAATTTCTTCTTGCTGAGTACTTATTTTAATAGTTATTTTATTGAGAAATTATAAGTAGGAAGTTATAAACTTTTATGTCAGAAAATGTCTTTATTTGACCCTTACTCTTAGAAGATAAGTGATCTGGCTTAAAATTTCTAGTTGCAAGTATTTTTCCTTAACACTTTGCTTCTGGGTTCTATTGTGGCTAATGAGAAGTCAGCTGTCAGCCTGAGAGTCATTTCCTCTTAGACACAATATTGGTTCATTTTGTGTTGCTATAAAAGAATACCTGAGACTAGGTAATTTATAAAGAAAAGATGTTTATTTAGCTCATGGTTATGTAGACTGGGAAGTTCAAGGGCTCTGGCTTCTGGTTAGGATTTCATGTTGTCATAAAGTGGCGAAGGTCAAAGGGGGAAGCAGACACGTTTGAAGAGGGAAAACCCCATGGGCATCCTGGCTTTATAACAACTTACTCTCAAGGGAACTAAGCCATCTCCCTGACAACTAATCCAGTCTTGCCAGAGTGAAAACTCACTTTTTACTGCAAGAACAGCACCAAGTCATTCATGAAGGATCTGCCCCCATCACTGAAACACTTCCTACCAGGCCCCACCTCCCAACACTGACACACTGGAGAGCAAATTCCAACATGAGTTTTGGTGGAAACAAACCAAACCATAGCAGGTACTCAGTCTTCTCTCACCGAAGATTTTTAAGATTTCCCTTATTCTCGATCCTCTATAGTCTCACTGGGTGAGGATTTATCATTATCTTACAGCTTGGTGTTGAGAGTGCACTTTGAATTATCCCTGCTTTTCTTTAGCGTCCTAGTAATTACTTGCTCCTTCTTCCCCTAGAAAGGGGGTTCTGCAAATTTTTTCTCTAAAGGGTTAGATAGTAAATATTAGGCTTTATAGTCCATATACAGTCCCAGACACATATCCTTCATTTTCTTTTTTTTAACAACTTTTTAAAAGTGAGAAAAAATAATTAGCTCACAGGTTGTAAAAAGTTTGCTAACTCTCACCGTAGAATTCTGGCCACTACTTCCCAGTCTCTATCACACATTGTGGCTAGCCTTTATCTCCTTCCTAGTCAACCCAGCTTTCAGCTTTCCACTCAAGATACCCACACACACACAATGCACATGCATATATGTGCTACCAAGCACATTATGCTTCATAGGAGTTTGTTCAAATCATTTGAAACTCAAAGTATCTGCAGTAATGTAACCCTGACACCTATACCTGTGATTTTGGAAGAGTCCTACAGGGGGATATTTTCCTTGGTGGAAACAGTCTTGGCCTATTGCAATATTTCTCATATACACTCATATCTGAAACAGAAGTTCCATAAAACAGTACTCACTCTTTTGAACCCTAAATGTTCAAACAGGGAAAACCTAAGGGGCATCCTGGCTTTATGAGAAACAAATTTATTTCTCAAAGTACTGAAGACTGGGAGTCAAAGAACAGGGCACTGAAAGATTTGGTGTCTGGTAAGGACCTGCTTCGTGGTTCATAGACGGCATCTTCTAGTCGTATCCTCACATGGCGAAAGGGGTGAGGGAGCTCTCTAGGATGTTTTTTATAAGACCCCTGTATTCGTCTGTTTTCACACTGCTATAGAGAAATACCTGAGACTGGGTAATTTATAAAGGAAAGAAGTTTAATTGACTTACAGTTCCACATAGCTGAGGAGGCCTCAGGAAACATACAATCATGGTAGAAGGTGAAGGGGAAGGAAAATACATCTTACATGGCAGCAGGAGGTGGGGGAGGAGGAAGTGCCACACTTTTAAACCATCAGATCTTGTGAGAACTCACTCACTATCACCAGAACATCATGGGGGGAACCGCCGCCATGATCCAATCACCACCCACCAGGTCCCTCCCTAGCACATGGGGATTACAACTCGAGATGAGATTTGGGTGGGAACATACAGCCAAACCATATCAGCCCCTAACCCCACTCATGACCTCAGAATCTCCCAAAGGCCCCACCTCCAAATACGATCACACTGGGGAGTAGGTTTTAACATATGAATTTTGGGGGGACATAAACATTCAGTCTATAGCAGTGGTCCACTAATCAGTAGTTGTTTTCATTTAAAAAACACTGGTCTATGGTATTCTTTTTAGAACATTGAGAGTTAAGAAGAGTTTTGTGTGCTGGTCTGGGACTCTAGCCATCATTTACAACACTGTTTCATTGGGAAAATACATTCTTATGTCCAAACAGCTAGATTAGAATTCAATTTGCAGAACTCAATCCGTCTGTAAACTGGGGACTGCCAAGGTCTAAATCAGGAACATTTTTATATTAGGAGTTCACTTAGAAGAAAAACAAGGAAAAGCTGACAACCAGCTTTCCTAAAGTAATTCCAATACACTTGCCTACTTGGGAATAGAGCTTACTGGGAAGTAGTCAACCTTAGCATTTATGTAACTTCTTTTCCCTTTGCAAAAGGGCTTAATTTGAATTTCTGAAGACAGCACACTGGCAATTCATTTTCTCCATAACACATGGATTGGAAGCTACTTTAATGTAATTGCTACAAAATATAATTCTGCAGTTGCCTGAAGGGCTTTCTAAAATCCACCAGTTTTTGTTCCTACAGTTCCAGATGTGTTTTAGACAAAACCTTTCCCATTCTTCCCAGTCATGATGGAAAGAGTCAGGCATTTGAGGAAATATTTCCTCATGCACCCACGTTCATCACAGTGACCTTCAGGAACTTTTAGAATGTTATTAGGAATGACAGAGCCTGGCCTTATTTTTAGGGATTTTAAAACATTTTAAATCTATTTTATGACAACAGTTTGAACAACAGTCTAACCCAGTGAACTCTAAACCATGCCCATATCAGTAGTTATCCCCAGACTTATTTCAGAGACCCATAAATTAATCACTTAATACAATTATTTCAGAAAATATTTAGGTTTGAAAGTACATGGGTGTACCCTACTGATACATTTTGGCTGTGTCCCCACCCAAGTCTCATCTTGAATTGTAGCTCCCATAATCCCCATGTGTCATGGGAAGGACCCTATGGGAGATAATTGAATCATGGGGGCGGTTACCTCCATGGTGTTCTTGTGATAGTGAGTGAGTTCTTATGTGATCTGATGGTTTTATAAGGGGCCTTCCCCGACTTTACTCTACACCTCTCTTTGCTGCCACCAGTTGGTGGCAGCAACTGGGGAGTGCTGGCTGGCCTGGTGAAGAAGGACGTGTTTGCCTCCCTTTCCAACATGATTGTAAGTTTCCTGAGGCCTCCCCAGCCCTGCGGAACTATGAGTCAAGTAAACCTCTTTCCTTTATAAATTACCCAGTCTTGGGTATCTCTTCATAGCAGCGTGAGAACGGACTAATACACCTACCAATTTGTATTACTTTTTAAATGGTGAAATGGTACTGTCATCATTTACTTTTTTCTACCCCTCAAAAATAAAAAATAAATATCTCTTTAAGATAGTAAATGCAAGGATATATATATATTCTCTGTTTGGGGTTGCAACACTGAGAGATGCAAATCTACTGCTTGCCCATGAGCTGATGGATAATCCAGAAGGCTCTAAGCAAAATCCAAGGCCTTGCCTCAAGGAGTCCATATGCTTTAAATGTCCAAAAACTATATTTATTTCTGTCTTCTGTCCCAAGTCACTCTTGTGAGAAAGCAGTGAAAGATCCATGTATGATATGAGTGGTGCAAAGGAAATGTTCCAAGCATCTAAAATCCTCCTCTTGTTACTTTGCTAGACTTTTAGCATTTTAGACTGTGACTTTCTGTGAGTTTCCTAACTTGTCTATAAGCCTCGGTTTCATCATCTATAAATTAGAAATCAATGTATTCATATACGATGCATTTATATCTGATGGGGCTCTAAGAGGATTCAACTAGCTGATATCTGGGAAGTGCTTATAATAGTGTCTGGCACACTCTAAGCCACTCAATAAATGTTAATTTATTCCCTTAATATTTTGTTGTTGTTGTTCCAGATTCTAATTTTAAAATAAAATTTCGAAAAAGAATTTTTGGGGGCATCTAGTTCCAGATGGGGGACTGAGCACTGGTATTGGCTCACCATCCCTCACTCTGACCCTTTCTACCCCACTTCCCACTACATTAGAGATCCCAATCACATGGGAGCAAATCCATAGGAGCAAAGAGAATGGGAGAGAGACCCTTACTGGACACTGTGGTGAAGGAAAGACTGCTCTGACTAGTGAAGAGCCTCACCAGACCCCAGGATCACAAGAAGGTGAACTGGGCATCAACCAAGAGCATACAAAGGGAAGCATTGGCTAGGAACAGTCTTCTATGATTGGCAAAAAGAGTCATGACTTTGCATCTGCATTAAAGGATGATTATCCTAGCACACAGTGTAAAAACAGATTATTGACCAGGCACAGTGTGGCTCCTGCCTATAATTCCAGCACTTTGGGAGGTTGAGATGGGCAGATTGCTTGAGCCCAGGAGTTTAAGACCAGCCTGGGCAATATGGCAAGACTTCATCTCTACCCAAAGTACAAAAATTAGCCGGGCGTGGTGGCAAAGGCTTATAGTCCCAGGTACCCAGGTGGCTGAGGCTGAAGGATCACCTAAGCCTGGGAGGTCATTGCATCACTATGCTCCAGCCTGGGAGACAGAGTGAAACCTGTCTCAAAAGAAAAGAAAAAAAGATTATTGATGTCCAAACTTTAAGAATTCACCCATGAAAGATTTCAATATAATTTTAGAACAAAATGCAGTGTTACAAATCTTGACTTGCAGGTTATGTAGTACATTAAATAGAGTGGGGGCTGTGGTGCTAGGCAGTCTACATTTAAATCCCATCTCTATCTCACTGAGAGGACCCTGAAGACTGGAGGAAGTGAGGCATGTGCACATCTGGAGAAAATGTATTCCAGGCAGTGGGAACAAGAAGTACCAGGGACTTAAGGCAGGAGTAAACCTGGTGTGTTTGAGGAGCAGGCCTGTTTCTCAGCGGGAGAGAGGGATAATTTCTAAGGTCAGAGAGTGCCATGATTTACATGATTGTCCCCCTCCAAAACTAATGTTGAAGCTTAATTCCTAACGTGGCAGTATTGACAAGTGAGGCCTTTAAGTGGTAATTGAATCACGAGGGCTCTGCCCTTGTGAACGGAATCCATTCATGGAATAGTGGGTTAATGGATTAATGGGTTGCCACAGGAATGGGATTGGTATTTCTATAAGAAGGGGAAGAGACACGTGAGCTAGCGTGCTCAGCCTCCGCATCATCTGATGCTTTGTGTGGCCTCAGGACTTTGCAAAGAGTCTCCACCTGTAAGAAGGCTCTCACCTGATACACCCCTCAACCCTGGACTTCTCAGCCTCCATAACTATAAGAAATAAATCCCTTTTCTTTATAAATTACCTAGCTTCAGGTATTTTGTTATAAGCAACAGAAAATGGACTAATACAGAGAATATCTAGTAAAGAATCTAACCCTGCCCAAAAAAGAGACCTGGCCTTTGCCTTTGACTTCTGAGAGGTCATTCCTAAGCCTTTGGAATGTCATGCCTGATAGTAGTGTCTTTCTTTGTCTATGGTCTTGGGCCAAGGAACAATGTGGTTGGGCGTTGGGGATGCTTTGGGTCATGTGGTATTAGCTTGACCTCCTGAAGGGCTGGAACCAGATCAGCCACATGGGCAGTCAACTGTGCCTATGTGGTGGAGACCCAATAAACACACTGAACACCAAGGCTAATGTGAGCATCCCTGCTGGCAATACTTTGTGCATATTGTCACATATCGGGAGGATAAGGCTGTCCAGACTTTATTAGGAGAGGACAACACGAAGCTCTGCGTTTGGGACCCTCCAGTATTTCTGCCCTGTGTCTCTCTTCCTTTGGCTGATTTTAATCTGTATCCTTCCCTGTAATAAACTGTAACTCTGAATGTATCAGTTTTCAGTGAGTTTCGTGAGTCCTTCTAGTGAATTATCCAAACTGAGGGTGGTTTTGGAAAGTTTCCAAATTTGCAATTTGGTGTCAGAGTGAGACTGGACTTATATGGCCTGGCTTCCTCTAACTGTAGAATTATCTAAACTCCCGCAGAGAGGCAACAAGAAACCAGGTCATGTGGGGCCTTGCAGGGCATAATAAAGATTTTGTCTATTATTTTAAGAAAGATGAACCACTAGAAGTATCTGGGAAGTATCTGGGAAGAGGAAGGACTTGATATAACTAGAAGTGAACCACTAGAAGTATCTGGGAAGAGGAAGGACTTGATATAACTGAGATGTTAACAGGTCATTCTGGCTGCTGCATTGAGAAGATATTGAAAGTAATTAAGGTGATAACTGAAGGCAACTGAAGCAAAAAGCTATTTAGGAGGCCCTTGCAATGATCGGAGGGAGAGATGATGGTGGCTGGGACCCACGGGTAGAGATGAGGAATGGAAAGAAGAAGTCAAATGCTGGATATAAAGGTAGACCCAAAAGGCCTTGCTTTCAGATAGTCAAGGATAATGACAAGACTTTTGGCCTAAGTAACAGTAAGGACGGAGTTTCCATCATCTGAGATGAAGTAGACTGAGGGAAGAGCCAGTTTTCCGCGACGTCAAGATCTCAGGTTAGGATATGTTAAGTTTGAGATGTTTATTATATATACAGTTGGAGATGGCAGGTAGGTAATAGGATAATTGAGTCTGAAATACAGGGGAGAGACAGGCTGGCAATATTAACTTGGCAGGCATCAATCTACAGGTGATATTTAAAGCTGTGGAACTGTAGGAGGCCACCTATGCAGAAAGTACAGAATTAAAAAGAAAAGGCCTGAGAACTGAGTCCCTGGGCATGTCAATATCCAGAGGTCAGAAAGTTGAGAAGCAATCATCAATCAAAGTCATATTCACTTCCTAAGGTGTACTTGTAGCCATTAGAAAAACTAAAATAACATCAACACGAGACAGAGATAAGTAAATAAGCAATATTATTGATACATCAAGAAGTAGTATATTATTTAAACACATTCAAGGAGCCACCAGAATAACTAAAAATGAGAACTGTTAGAAGTGTTCGACTCTAGGAAATTGGCCTGGATGTGGAGTGGAAGGACTTTCACACTTTATTGTGAAATCTTCTGCATAACAACAACAAAATCCATGTGTGTGTAATTTTACTATGGTAAAAGGGAAATGAAATTAAACATTCTCCAGGTAGGAAAAATGGGTTTTCTGTGATGAAAGTAATCGTTACATAATTTGTGTAATCTATATGCCGCTGAAGTAATTCAACAGCAAATATTCCCCAGGTGGAATCTTCACCTTTGAAATTTTACATAACCCTGAAAATGCTTCTCCATACTTCTGCTATGTCCCTGGGAAACAGATTATACAAAGTAGAAACAATTATGGAACAACTCTGCAATTGCCACATTTTCTGCTCCAAAGGACTTAGTCTCTCCAGACTTCCAGAAACCACAGATTTTGGTCTCAGTACAGCTGACCCAGACACTCGAGCAAAAAAAGTTAAAGAGGTGCAAATTAAGAATGGGAGAAGAGGAAAGGGTTTTTTAAGTCTTTTGGGTTCATAGTGCCTATATAAGATCATAAGAAGAAAACAACCATATTAGCTATGATTAACTATAAGGCATTGGCCAGGCACAGTCAGTGGCTCACACCTGTAATCCCAGCACTTTGGGAGGCTGAGGCAGGAGAATCGCTTGAGCCCAGGATTTTAAGACCAGCCTGGGCAACCTAGACTCTGTCTCTACAGTAACTTAAAAAAAAAAAAAAAAATGAGCTGGGTGTGGTGGCACACACCTGTGGTCCCAGTGACCAGGGAGGCTGAGATAAGAGGATCACTTGAGCCCAGGAGGTCGAGGCTGTGGTGAGTTGCGAACTTGCCACTGTGCTTCAGCCTGGGCAACAGAGCGAGACCCTGTCTCAAAAAATCAAACAAACAAACAATGAGACATTGTCACACAAACCCAGCAGCACTCAAGAAGTCAGTGTGGCTTCTAGAGGCTGCTCATCACACAAGTGTAATACTTTTATAGAATATACAAAAAAGCAGGTGCATTAATATGCTAACAACCAGAAAATCCCTTTAGCATTAGCTAGGAGTCAGGCTAGGTTTTCCCTTTCGATTCAGATCTGAAGATCTAGTTGTCAAATAAGCAAGAAAATGCCAAACACCAAGTTCAGAATCGTGGTTAGAAAAGATCAGATAGAAATCTTCCAGATAGAGATAGAAAAGGCAAGAAGGTTGATGCAATGATATGGTCAATATTCCAGCTCTTAGGTAGCGGGTTCACAGGAATATATATTACTATATATGTCATAATTTTATATATAATATGTATTATTTTGTATTTATCACGTTACATAAAAATATTTTAATTTTGATTTTTATTATAAATTGATAATTTATAATTGTATGTATGTACAAAATGAGTAAAAAGTGATATTATGATTAATGAATACAATGTGGAATAATTAAATCAAGCTTGTTAATGTATCAATCATCTCAAATATGTAACATTTTTTAAAGTGAGAACATTTGAAATTTACTCCCTTGGCAATTCTGAAATGTACAATAAATATTATTAATGTATGAAAACATTTTTAAGGAAAGAAAATCAAATGACCTGAGCAAGACAAACTATTGTATTACCCTGCAATATTACTTCATTTCCTCAATAACCTTAAGTTATATCTTCCTTTTTTATCCATCTTCCAAGTTCTTCCACAAAGATTTCAATGCTTCAAAAAATACTGTGCAGGGGAAAAGCAAAGATTTAGAATCAAATCAACTCAAGTTCAGTTCCTGTGACTTCTAAATCTCTTGAGTCCAGTCTCAGCTACTAATTTGTGTTATTATAGCTACTTCTACTTCTTCCCTCATTTCACTTGTTCATGTGCATTGCCTTGATTGTGTCAACAGTTACCTTTGTTATCTTTCTCAGAAAGGCACCATCATCCTGCTAACCTGAGTTTGGAGAACTGTATATACTGTGGTCAGCACTGACCTCACAGGAACAATAATTGTTTCCACAAGGAATGCCACATTATCTTCCCAATGGGCAACTGCACGCACTCCCATGCCAAATCCTAGATGCTGGAAGCTCAGCATGGGCTGCCTTCTGGACCACCACGTGGCCAGCTGGCAGGGCTGACATGAAGGAGTGGGCTGGCTGACACTCAAAGACATGACTTGGAAGTCCAGAAGACTGTCAGAGAAAGAAGTCTATATGGTGACTCACACTGAGAGGCTCTATAAGGCAGTAAAATGCCCTTTCAAACTCAGGTCTCCATGATCCTTCCTGGAGGCTGACTCCAAAGATGAACACCAACAATTCCTCTCGACCCTGTAGATGCCTTTTGTGCCTCCATCAATAGGTGGACTCGATTTCCTCCTCCTGATTGGAGCTGGCCCTGTAATTTGCCTTAACTAACAGAACATGAGAGAAGTAACCTAGTGATAGCTCTGAGCTGAACCCATAAGGGGCCTGGAAGCTTCAGGTTTCACTCTCTCGGAACCTCGAGCCTTTATGTCAAGAGGTCCAGGTAGCCTGGTAGAGAGACCACATGGAGAGAGATTCTAGAAGTCTGAAAACTCAGGCTTCAGATCCTCCAGCCATCCCTGCTAGGAAGCTAGACACATGGCCACTCTAATCCAGCATGACCTCGTCTTAACTCATTACATCTGCAAAGACCCTCTTTCCAAATAAAAGGAGTTTTATTTGGAAAATTAAACCTCTGAGGTCACATTCTGAGGTTCTGCATAAACATAAACTTTGGGGAGACATTATCTAACCTAGTTCAAATGCTATCTTCAATGTTCCTGTCCCATTCAAGCCCCCAGGCCACTCCAGCTGCATGGGAAACTACACAAAGATGACTAGAACCACTCACACTGCAAAATCACAAGCAAATACATGGCTGTAGTTTTAAGCCACTAAACTTTGAGATGATTTGTTACAAAGTGGAAATAACCCAAACAGTCTTTTTGAGACATTAGAGAGATTTGACCAATCATCAACTTTAATTACTAATAAAATGCTAAAATACATAAATGAAACTACAGTAAAAGTATGAGAACGCTGAGGCCTTTGCAAAAAGTTGTTGGCACTTTCATAAGATGTCCTACATATTATTCATTACATTGTTTTTCTTCACCCAAGGGTTTCTGAGGGGTGATTTCCTGTCTAAAATGAGAAGGAAAATGGGGAGGGGAGAAGGCACATACAGGTCTGTGCCTCAAAATGACTGTAGAAGGCTGAGTAATATGGAAGGAATGTGAAATGCTCTGAACCAGGGAAAGAAAGTGTTGTTTGTTGTGAAGGACACTGGATTTTACCATAGTCAATAGCCCCTGAAAAAGAAAAAGGAAGGGACTGAATTGACATCTTAGTCTGCAACAATTAGAAGGTGAACAGACTTAAGGTGTAGGGAAAAAAGGGGGGATCTGGTCCTGACCATGGGTTCAATAATTCCACCCTCAACTCCTTTAGACAGAAGAGTTCAAGTCTCAGCCTTCAGCAAGTCTTAGATCAAATGGATGAAGAGTGTTGTCAATTTTCTGTAACAGCCTCCAAAAAATGTGCAGGATGAGAAATGGTAAATATTTGTCTCTTGTGACCCCAGAAACAGCGTGGGCTGACACAAAACTGTTGAGAGAGAAAATATAAAATGAGAAAACAAAATAGTCTCCCAAAAAAAGAGGTGACTAGAAAAATCTAAATTTTCTTTTCCATTTAATAACCATGAACATTGGGTAAGTTCCTTATGCAATTTGTGGTTTCAGATTCCTCATTTTTAAAAAGGGAATAATAATACCCTACTTCCCTCTGAAGGTCATTCTGAAAAGCAAATGCAATTATAAATGTGAAACCACTTTGAACAGTCCAAAAGTACATGCCAAAGATAAGGTTTCACTATTATTAGTCAGCATATATCGAAGCATGTTCACTGGGAAAACATTTTCTGCAGTGACAATTTCAAACGTGACTGATTAAAAGGAATTGCTAAAGAAATTTGCAGAACAGTAGCAATGAGGCAGCCATGATCTCCTTAACAGGATACTAAGCTCTAGTACTTCTGAATTCTCATTTCAATCCTGTCCAGGAATTTCAGAACTTTATTCTCCAAAATGCTTCCTCTCTCCCCTACCCTCATGTATTTACAACAATGATCATTATTTGCAATCTATAAACTTCCAGTTAACGTCCTCCAGGAAAACCACCTTCCTGAATCTCCACACCAGATTCAGCTGTCATCTCCTATTTACTCTCAAGTCCAACTGAGACCACTGCCAAGATGAAGCTGGTGTCTGGAGCGTATGTTTTCTCCTGGGGTCTTGATTACCAGTCAGTTTGGCATCTTACGAGATGATGGAAAGAGAAAAGACTGAATTTATTTTTCTGTGCCACTACAAAATCTCTTGACATTTGGCTTTCCAAGCAAACCTAAAAGAAATGAATTAAGTAATTAAATCCTGCTAACTACGTACAAGACAACTTCCAAACATTATTTCATGTCATCCTTACAAATGTCTCCTAATATTGATAATATTTTTTCCCATTTATATATAAAAGTTAAGGTCAAAGATCTTCAGTTACTTGCCTAAAGCTACAGAGCTAACATGCAATCAAGCCAGAACATGAACCCAGGTGGTCTGAATTCAGAATTCAACCTCTTGCTATTACACAATACAGTATCTTCCCTGGAACTTTCATGTAGAAATATAGAATTAATGGTGAAGCTTACTGGTTCCTCCCAAATTTAGTTTGTTGGCAGCCACATCACAATAGATAAGCATGCAAGCTGTGGCACATCTGTTGTTCTTTTGGTGGAAATTTAGTCATTCAGTTTTTACTTTAGCTATGTTATATAGGGCAGTTCTCCTTCTCCTCTCCTGCTTACCAAATTCATACTATTAGTTCTGTATTCAGTAATGAATTCTACAGTCATGGTTACGGTGAAAGTCTAAATTCTTAAGTGTGACATTCAAGACCCTCTATGAGCTGGCCCTCATACTTTCCTACCATCTCTCTCATTTTTCCTCATTTGCTGAAAGCGCTGGGTAAGTGTATTCATAATCACAACTTGTAGGTCCCCTGTCTACATATTTTCTTACGATGCACTTCTCATGTAGTATGGTGGTTCCCATCTAGAATTAATTATTGTCAATATTTCAAAAATCCTAATAGGAATTAAACAGTCACCTAGAATAATAATCTCATAGACTAACTAAAATATGAAGTTTCTTGACTTTTGGCCAAAAATGCTAACTCACTGTGAAATACTGATTATCTCATCTGATTAGAAACTCTGATTAACAGTAATGCATGGGTTTTTCTATCAAATTGAAAAGTGAAGTACCTCTTGATAAATGCAAATTTACTTATAATGACAAATCTTTTAAACAACAACATGGGGTGGAGGAGGGAATAGGTAATTTAAAAATTGTCCCTTGGTGATAGAAAGTTTAGGAACCAATTGACCTACTGTGGTCTTTATTCTAGCTTCAATTTTTAAATTAAAATTCTTTACGTTTTTTGGCATCTCAAATAAATTCTTCCTCCATGAAGTCTTCCCCTATATTATCAAGAAGAAGTCATCTCTCCTTGCTTTTTGATCCTATATTATGGTATATATGCTGTTCTCATAGCAATCTGCTTTCCTGTTTTGTTGGCTTTAAGATACTATCAATTATAATCTGTATCGTTATTTTATATACAACAAAGAAAGAGGAAACACTAACTACCAACTAAACTACAGCATATCATCTTGAATTTAAAATGTAAAAAAGTGCAAAAAATGTTACAGAATTGATGAGAAGCAACATGATGAGTAGTTTGCATTTCATTTCCCTTACTACATCTTTGAGAGCCTCATTTATTTCTGTTTCCTCAGGACCTTATACTATGCCTTACATGTGGTGTATATTCAATATGTGTATTATGTTGAATTATTAGCTTAGAACTGCCCCAAAAGACTTTCAAAACTCGGTGACATTAAGGCCCTTAATTTGTTTCTGTCTTTTGCATTCACTTATAGACAAGTCCCATCTATAAATTGGACTATAAAAAAGAAAGCATGGAATCCTAACAGACTCCTCATCTACATATCAGAAGTAAACATTTAAAAAATTTGTTAGTTTTCTCTTGTGCTTTTTATTCGGATAACTTGAAGTGCTATACAGAATATTCCCTATTTGCAACTCTTGAACAATTTATTTTAAAAAATTGGGGCAAGCAGGGAAGAGCATACAGGAGCAAAAAGAGAGAAGGAAAAGTCAATTCAAAACTGAAATCTCTTCTTTTTGTCCCTGGAAAACACCATGGGCTTAGTGGACCAATGGATGTTTGATTGGCTGGATGGGTGGAGGTTTGGATGGATGATTTGATTAACTATTACTACAATAGTGCTATGTAACCAACAACAACAAAACCTCAGTGCCATACAACAATTCACATTTATTTACTTCACATGGTTCAACTGGGCCCTCTGCTGATCTTGGCTGGACTCAGCCACATACATATATACAGGCCAGCTGGGAGGCTGCTGGTCTAGGTGGGGCTAAGCTAGGGCATCTAGGCTGAAGTCATTCTGCTCCACATGCCTTTCCTCTTCCTGGGAACAGAGATCTGGCCTGGACATGTTCTCATGGTAATTGGCAGAGCGTAGAAGAGCAAGCAGAAACATACTGGTCTTCATAAGACTGAGGCTAGGCTCAGAGCTGTGTGCACTGTCACTTTTGCCACATTCTATTGGCTGAAGCAAGTAACATAACCAAACTCAAGTCAAGAAGCAGGGAAATACATCCTGCCTCTTCAGAGGAGGACTTGCAAAGTCACATGGCAAAGGGCATATAGTTACAGGAAGGAGCAAAGAATTGGGGTCAATGATGCCATTCTACCCTGTATGGCAATGACGGTATCCTACACATAAATATTGATCTAGAGTTGACAAAGTATATTCACAAGTATTTTCTCATTTAATTTGAACAACTAAATGAGAAGGGCAGAGTAGATATAATTATTACAACTTTACTAAACAAAAAGCAGCGGAGAGGAGGTGGGAAAACTTAGAGAACTTAAGAAACTTGTCCAAGATATACACTATTAAGTGGACACGATGGAATTAAAATCCACATTACAGTAGTCATTTTGGGTTATCACTTACAGTTTCACTGTAGGCATAGAGTTTGTGTGCTTTTGGTAAAGGACTATGTCAATTCAGAACAATTCCTGATATTGGCCTTTATCTTTGGGAACAACCAACCACACCCAAAGTTCCTTGGATGTCAGCTCTGGCTGGCTTCTAGGCTACATATATAAGCACAAGTTGCTGCTTGTTTTTAGATAAATACATTAATTTGTGAAGAGATTGGGCTGGGTGTACCAAGAATGATGAAAAACCACATTGATGGCTGCACTGAAATGTAAACAGCATCACACACTGATAAACTGCTTATGGATTTTCTGTCTTCAACTGATTGGAAAATAGACTAGTTTGAGGTGATGAACTGTTAACATGTTGGAAGTAATTGGTTTAGTAAGAAAAAAGGTGTTAGTTTAGAAATATCAATATTGCTGCCCTCCTGGTAGATTAATATATAGTATAAACAGAACAAAATCAGAGCTCCCCAATGATCTGATAATTTATTATTTCATTTACCACCACATCCAGCTCACAAACATGACTCTCAGAGTATGTAGGTTTTTTCATCTCTACCAGAAACACTGTCACCTTGCTATTCAATTGCTGCCGTTTACATACAGAGTGTCAAAAAACACAATTACAACAAATTTAGCTTAAATATCTCAATTGGCTTTATTGTGATTCTAGAACAGGGCAACACTTCATTCCATAAAATAAAATAAGTGTTCCAGTGAACTGAACAGGGGAGGTTGGCTTTATATACATAAAAGGGGATGAAGAAAGGAAAAACAAAGAACGAAAATGAATTGGCCATTTCAAAGTTAATTTCCTTGCAAGGCAGGGATAGGGAGACAGAACAATCTGAGGGGTTAACAGCAGGTTACTTCGGGTCAGTCTGTTGTAAGGATTAAAACAGAGGGAATATCATTTTCATGCTGATTGAAGATTGAAACTCGTCTCTTTGGGAAATTGGGCTATCTCTCTCTTCTGATTTCTTGGAAGGCCAGATAACAACAACTCAGGGTGGGTTTGGTGAGCATGGGTGATTCCATCTTGATTTTTAGTCTGGTCTGTTGGAACCCAGTGCAGGAGTTTAGTCCAAAACAATGGCCTCGCATAGTTTTTATTTAATAAGAGGGAGGAAGCATGAAGGTCAAGGTCACCTAATGAAATAAAGATTGGGAGTAGAAATAGGAGGGATAATTGAAGTTCCCAGTAACTTTCTAATAATTATACCAATAACTCTTAGTCAACCTAGTCTTCAGTGGGAACCATCCTTGAGCCTCCTGCCAAACACACGCAAAGTTAGGACCCCTGTTAGGATCTCAGAGCATCCTACACTGTTCTTTTGTAGCACTGTGTCATTTGCAATGCACTGTTTATTCATATGACTATGATTATGAATTGTCACATCCTACTTAGACTGTTAGACTTATGAGGAGAAATCAGGACATTTCTGGTTCATCTCTTACATCCTAGGACCTAGAACAATGCCTCCTACATATTAGGCACTCTTCACATTCGCCAGATGAAAGACTGATTTAATGTCACCAGTTTTTATCACTTCTGCCTCCTTACAGCATGTTCTCCGTGACTCAGAATGGAGAGGGTATAGGAGAAAGCATGCTCTTGATCAGGTGCCCTGTCCCACTTTCTGAGGGTTTCTCCTCGTGAATAAAACACAGCTCTTTCTATTCTTTCCCATCTCTTGACACCAGCCTTCATGCTCTGTACTCCAGATGCATTGCCCTCCATTGCCCTTCTTTCAGTTCCTGAACCTGCAAGCCCACCAGCCCCTGGGTCACTGCACAAATAGCCCATCTGCCCTGAACACCAACTATGCACCCCCTCCTACCATTTAAATGACTCATCTCCCACCTGCAGGTCAAGCATTGCCTTAGGGAAGCCTTTATTGACTCCCCAGACTAGGTCAGGTGTCCCATGTCCCATCACAGTCTCTCACAGAATCACCTACTGCTCTCTTTGGTCGCAGAAACCACAGTTGCTATTTTTCATTTGTTTGTGCTCCATGAAGGCAGCAACCATCACAATTTTGCTTACCACCTAAACCCCTGAGTTTTGCTCACCATTTAACACTCAGAGTTTGACATTGTACCTGACATTTGTTCAGAACTAAATAAATATTTATTGAATGAATCAATCGATGAAGGAAACGCACACGCACACATCTCTTACATCTCTTCCTCTCTTCCCGTAGGCATGAGAACCCAGACGCAATAAATCTGACTCTACAATTAACTTTCTTTGATATATCGATACATTTGAATTCAAGTGACCCAGGTTTTAGCCAAGAAACAAGTCCCAACAAATTGTCCACAGATTCTTTGCCTAATTCAGGCAAGATGTTTCTTTCACCTCAGGCTACCTATTAGGAATCGTTTAATTAAAAAAAAAAAAAAAAGATGCAAAAATACCTGTCTCCTTAGAGAGAGAGTTTATCTCACCATCAAACCAATCATTAGTGAGCTTTCTCTTTATAACTGTTTTCTGATTTATCACAGTTTATCACTCATATTTTAAAAACTCCTTCTATACCCACCCTGCCACATATGGCCACAGCTTGTTTGCAAAGAATGCTGATCATGCTTTCAAACAAAACTGTTCCCATATGCTTGTGATTCATTTCCCCCTTCCTGCCTTTGCTTCATTTGTTTTAGAATTGGAGTTTAATTTTGAAACCATTGCTGTGACAGGAAGTGACTAGGGAGAGGAAGAATTAGAAGAGAGGGACCTCAGAGCTGAGAGGGATGAATGAAATGGTATGTTGCTTATTCAACCCACAGATGGGATCAAAGACTGTTAGATTGAAAAAGCCCTTTAAAGTAATACCATATTCCCACTTGATC
Organism: Homo sapiens; assembly: GCF_000001405.40. Taxonomy (NCBI): domain Eukaryota; kingdom Metazoa; phylum Chordata; class Mammalia; order Primates; family Hominidae; genus Homo; species Homo sapiens. The sequence continues at coordinate 61,999,259 of NC_000018.10, forward strand.
CTTTCCTTCCAGCTTAAAGCAGAGGGCTGGGAAAAACATGATCTTATCTCCATTTCTGGAATGCATGACAGTCCCATTATATACCTTACAACAGAATAGCAGCATAGGGCTCAGTTGCTGACCAGAGTGACATTTTGAAAAGTGCAAGCATCCTGTCTCCAAGGAATATTAATAAAATCATGAAATGAGTTGGCTGATATTTTCTGCTGCCTATTGCAACTCAACACATGACCTTTTAATGGAGCAAAATATTTGTAATATAAAACTAGCCTGGCATTCTTAGATAATTTATTCATTCAACAAATATTATTCAGCATCCATTATGTGTCATAGCCCTTTCTAGGCATAGGATTCAAGAGTGAAAAAAAACAAAGAAATATCCTGCCCTCACAGAGCTTATATGCTAAAGGGAGAGGACAAACAACCAAGCAAGAATATATATATGTACTATAAAGGAAGAAGAAGGGAAAAGGACAGAAATGCAGGGGAGTGAGGTTGGGGGGTTGTTATTTTGAAAAGGATGGTCAGAAAAAGGTCTTATCTATCAGGTAAAGAGGTAAACCACATGGCCATGGAGGGGACAATGTGTTAGGCCATTTCTGCATTACTATAAAGGAATACCTGAGACTGGGTAATTTATAAAGAAAAGGGGTTTAATTGGTTCATGGTTTTGCAGGCTATATAAGCATGGCACCAACATCTGGTCAGCTTCTAGTTCAGGCCTCAGGAAGCTTACAATCATGGCAGAAGGTGAAGCAGGAGCAGGCATATCACATGGTGAGAGCAGGGGCAAGAAAGAGAAGGAAGAGGTTTCAGACTTAAACAACCAGATATTATGTGAACTCAGTGAGAACTCACTCATCACCAAATGGATGGTGCTAAGCCATTTGATATGGTTTGGCTGTGTCCCCACCCAAATCTCATCTTGAATTCCCACATGTTGTGGGAAAGACCTGCTGGGAGGTAACTGAATCATGGGGGCAGGTCTTTCCCATGCTGTTCTCATGATAGTGAATAAATCTCACAAGATCTGATGGTTTTAAAAAGAGGAGTACCACTGCACAAGCTCTCTCTCTTTGCCTACTGCCATCCATGTAAAATGTGACTTGCTCCTCCTTGCTTTCCACCAAGATTGTGAGGCCTCTCCAGCATGTGGAACTGTAAGTTCATTAAACCTCTTTCTATTGTAAATTGCCCAGTCTTATGTATGCCTTTATCAGCAGCATGAAAATGGACTAATACATTGTTCATGAGGGATCTGCCCCCATGATCCAATCACCTCCCACTAGGACCCACCTTCAACATTGGGAATCACATTTCAATAAGAGATTTTGAGGGGACATACATCCAAACCATATCATTCCACCCTTGGCCCTCCCAATTTCATGTCCTTCTCACATTTCAAAATACAATCGTGCCTTTGCAATAGTCCCCCAGAGTCTTAACTTGTCCTCACCTTAACTCAAAAGTCCCAAAGTCCAAAGTCTTATCTAGAGATGGGTTCCTTCCACCTATGAGGCTGTGATATCAAAAGCAAATTATTTACTTTCAAGATGCAATGGTAGTATAGGCATTGAGGATACAGTCCCATCCCAAAAGGGAGAAATCAGCCAAAGAAAGGGGTAATAGGCCTCAAACAAGTCTGAAACCCAGTTGGGCAGTCATTTAATCTTAAAATTCTAAAATAATCTTTGACTCTATATCCCACATCCTGGGCACAATTGTGAAAGGGGTGGGCTCTCAAAGCTTTGGGCAGCTCTGTCTCTGTGGCTTTGCAGGGTGCAGCCCATGTGGCTGTTCTCATGGGTTGGAATTGAGTGCTTGTGGCTTTTCCAGACAGAGGATGCAAGCTGCCAATGAATCAACCATTCTCAGGTCTGGAGGGTGGTGGCCTCCTTCCCACCACTCCACTAGGCAGTCCCTTGGTAGGCACTCTGCATGAAGTCTCCAACCCCACGTTTCTCCTTTGCACCACCCTAGTAGAGTTTCTCTGGTGGGGGCTCCACCTCTGCAGAAGGCTTCTGCCTGGGCACCCAGGCTTTTCCACCCATCCTCTGAAATCCAGCTGGAATCCTCCAAGCCTCCTTCACACTTAACACCATGTGGAAACTGCCAAGGCTTGTGGCTTGCACCCTCAAGAGCTGTGGCTCAAGCTTTACCTGGACTCCTTTGAGCTGCAGCTGCAGCTGGAGTTGGAGCAGTTGGAATGCAGGGAGCAGTGTCCTGAGGCTGCACAGGGAAGCAGAGCCCAGGGCTTGACCCCTGAAACCATTCTTTTCTTCTAGGCCTCTGGGTCCATGATGGAAGGGGCTGCCTCAGAAATCTCTGAAATGCCTTCCAGGACTTTTCCCATTGTCTTGGATATTAGCACTTGGCTTCCTTTTAGTCATGCTAATCTAGCAAGTGGTTGCTCCACAGCCCACTTGAATTCCTCTCCTGAAAATGCTCTTTTTTCCTCTATCACATGGCCAGGTTGTGACTTTTCCAAATTTTTACACTCTGCTTCCCTTTTAAATATAGGTTCCAACTTTAAATCATTCTTTTGCTCCTACATCTGATCCTGGCTATTGGAAGGAGCCAGGCCACAACTTGAATGCTTTACTATTTAGAAATTTCTTCCACCAGATACCCTAAGTCATCACTGTTAAGTTCAAACTTCCAGAGCCCTAGGACATGGACACAATGCAGCTAAGTTCTTTGCTAAAACATAAAATGGGTGACCTTTGCTCCAGTTCGCAATAACTTCCTCATTTCCATCTGAGACTTCATCAGTCTGGACTTCACTGTCCATATCTCTATCAGCATTTTGGTCACAACCACCTAACCAGCCTCTAAGAAGTTCCAAACCTTCCTTTGTCTTCCTGTCTTCTTTTGAGCCCCCCAAACTCTTCTACCCTCTGCCTGATACCCAGCTCCAAAGCCACTACCACATTTTCAGGTATCTTTATATCAATGTCCCATGCTTCAGTATCAATTTTCTGTATTAGTGCATCCTTGTGTTACTATAAAGGAATATCTGAGACCAGATAATTTAAAAAGAAAAGAGGTTTAATTGGCTCACGGTTTTGCAGGCTATACAAGCATGGTATCAACATCTGCTAGGCTTCTGGTGAGAGCTTCAGGAAGCTTACAATCATGGTGGAAGACAAAGTGGAACCAAGAACAACATGTGGCTAGAGCAGGAGCAAGAGAGAGAAGGGGGAGGTCCCAGACTCTTTTAAACAATCAGATCTTGCACGAACTAACTGAGCAAGAATTCATTCATCACCAAGGGGATGGTGCTAAGCCACTCATGAGGGATTCTCCCCCATAACCCCCGACCAGACCCCACCTCCAACACTGGGCATCACATTTCAACATGAGATTTGGAGGGGACAAACATCTAAACCATATCAGACAGGGAGTGCACTCTATACAGATGAAGAAGCAAGTGCCAAAGTTCTGAGGCAGGAACACGTGTAGCATACTTGAGAAGCACCAAGGAAGCTGATGCTACTAATATGAAGCATCAGAGATAAAGTGAGCCAGTCAGAAGCAAGCCAATCCCATAGGCCTGTGTAGACTATTACTATTTGAGAAATTGAGGTTTTACTCTACATGAGACAGGAGATAACTGATGGTTTTCGAATAAGGAGTGACATGATCTGACTTCTATTTTCAAATATTCATCTGACTGCTGTGTTGAACTAGACTATAGGGGGTGGAACAAGGACAGACACAGAGAGACCCATTAGACCGGAGGCTAGGTGATACTCCACACAAGAGATGAGGGTACTCTGAAACAGGGTTATCGGAGAGAAAATGGTAAGAAGGTATATTCATTTCTTATAACAAAGTACTGCAAACTTGGTGATATAAAGCAACAGACATTTATTCTCTCACAGTTCTGGAGGGCAGAAGTCCCAAATCAGCATTGTTGAGCCAATATTTAGGTGTCAGCAAGGTGCATGCCCTTCAGAAGCTTAGTGGGGAATCTGTTCTTTGGCTCCTGCAGCCTCTGGTGGATGTTGGCTTGTGGTTGCATCACTCCAGTCTTCAAGGCCAGCATCTTCTCATCTCTTTTCTCTCTCTTGCCTCTCTCTTCCTCTCTCTCTCTGCTCCATCATCCCCTTCTCCTCTGTATCTATCAAGACTCCCTCCACCTCCTTTTTGTAAGGATACATGTCATTGTATTTAGGTCCCACCTGAATAATCCAGGATCATCCCCTCATCTCAATATCCTTAATCACATCTGCAAAGACGTTCCCCCCTCCCTTTTAAGTAGCTATATAAAATAACATTTACAGATTCCAGAGATTAGGATATGAAAGTCTTTTGGAGAGCATTTTTTCAGCTTATTATAGAAGGGATCAGAAAATGAATTTTTTTAAAGGAATAACCTGTAGGATTTTTAGATTACTTTTTGAGTGGGAGAGAAAGAAATAAGGTGACCCCAAAGCTTTTGGTCTTTGCACTATTTCTCAGAGGCAGATTCTGGAAAAATAGGTTCAGATAAGAGGACGAACTCAGTTTTGGAGATGTTAAATGTGAAAACCCTATAAAATATACAAATCGTGCTTTAATAGGGAGTTAGACTTAAGTCTGGATTTCAGAGAAGGTCAGACAGGGCCTATACAGTTGTGAATCATTGGTATACAGGTAGAATGTAAAGCCATAAGACAAAGTGAGGCTACACAGTGTGGCAGTCTGAAACTGTGTTAAGTTGGCTAAACTGTAATTACATGTCCAGAACTTCTTTCCTTGTACGGTTATACATTAGCATTGACCAAGAAAGAACTTCTCATAAGACTGGAAGGTAGAAGTGAAGCAGCTGCCATTGTTCTTCCAGGGGTGTCTGATTAGATACTGAGGGAGACAGACAGAGAGGGGCGGGGGACTCCAGCCTCTCGGTCTTCCCCACACTGCATCCAGCTTCTCCTGTGACAACAGCAGCCCCAGGCCCACCAGCCAGCTTGGCGGCAACAGCCTTCCCCGGACATCTATGTCTCTCCTTCCCAGTCCCACTTTTGCAGCTGGGTGTGCCTTTGGAAGCACAAACTCGTCCGCCCACCCCAGTGCTTCAGGAGGGCTGGTAGTGACTTTTCTCTCATCTCTTCAACTCCCCCTTTCAGACCCTTCCTTCCCTAGCTTCTTACACAATTGTATGAGGTCTTACTCCAATAACAAGCCCCATTCAGTAATACTCATCATGATTCTGCTTCCCTGATTAAACCCTGACTACCTGTATCTATGGAGTGAATCTAGATGGTGACAAGTCTGAGAACCGAATCCTGGGACACCCCAAAGTTTGGAAATGAGAGAGAAAAGGAAGAATCGAGGAAGAAAACTAAGCAGGAATGATCAGTGGGCAGAAGAGCCTGAAGCTTATACAATTTTGGCATCCATCTTAAAGAAAAAGTATATAAAATTAAAATTAAATACAAATATGAATATACATTTAGAATGGGAAAAATCACATCAAATTGCAGTTTTTAAAAGCTGACAAATATAATAAATAATGTGAAGGTCCTTTAGGTCCCACCTGGATAATCCAGGACAATATCCTCATGTCAAGATCCTTATTTTAATCACATCTGCAAAACTCCTCCCCTCTTTAAAAATAGCTATTTAAGGTAACATTCATAAATTCCATAATATTTTTGATTATTTAACTGCCTGATACACTCCTACATTTGTATCTTTACGTATTTGGGCTGCATACTTTTAAAATAACTCTTTATATTTCAGTTGTTTTTTACCGTTATTTTCTATAAGGAAAGTAGAAAAATAATCACTTTTCCTTCTGGCATGATTGAGCACAGTTTTTAAATTATTCTTAGCTTGTAAGCATAAAATGCATAAAATCAGTGTCTTCACACACAAACTTCCTTGGTGTCTATAGTCCTGATAGAGTTTAAGCAATCCTTAATTAAAACAACCTGATTCAAAAGTAAGCAAAGGACTTAAATAGACATGCATTAGTCCCTTTTCATGCTGCTGATAAAGACATACCCAAAACTGGGAAGAAAAAAAAGAGGTTTAATTGGACTCACAGTTCCACATGGCTGGGGAGGCTGCAGAATCATGATAGGAGGCAAAAGGCACTTCTTACATGGTGACGGCAAAAGAAAATGAGAAAGAAGCAAAAGAAGAAACCCCAATAAACCCATCAGGTCTTGTGAGACTTATTCACCATCATGAGAACAGCGTGGGAAAGACTGGCCCCCATGATTCAATTACCCGCCTGGGTCCTTACCACAACATGGGGGAATTCTGGGAGATACAATTCAAGTTGAGATTTGGGTGGGGACACAGCTAAACCACATCATTCCACCCCAGCCCCTCCAAATCTCATGTCCTCACATTTCAAAACCATGATGATCCAGGATCATCCCCTCATCTCAATATCCTTAGTCACATCTGCAAAGAGGTAGTCCCAGTAGGGATTCTGTGTGGGAGCTTCGACCCCACATTTCCCTTCCACACTGCCCTAGCAGAGGTTCTCCATGAGGCCTCCACTCTTGCAGCAAACTTTTGCCTGGACATCCAGGCATTTCCACACATCTTCTGAAATCTAGGCAGAGGTTCCCAAACCTCACTTCCTGACTTCTGTGTACCTGCAGGCTCAACACCACATGGAAGCTGCCAAGGCTTGGGGCTTCCACCCTCTGAAGACACACAGCCTGAGCTGTACATTGGCCTCTTTCAGCCATGGCTGGAGTGGCTGGGACACAGGGCACCAAGTCTGTAGGCTGCACACAGCACGTGGACCCAGGGCCTGGCCCACAAAACCACTTTTTCCTCCTGGGCCTCCAGTCCTGTTATGGGAGGGGCTGCCATGAAGTTTTCTGACATGGCCTGGAGACATTTTCCCCATGGTCTTGTGGATTAACATTAGGCTCCTTGCTACTTATGCAAATTTTTGCAGCTGGCTTCTGTTTCTCCCCAGAAAATGGGTTTTTCTTTTATATTGCATAGTCAGGCTGCAAATTTCCCAAACTTTTATGCTCTTCTTCCCTTATAAAACAGAATGCCTTTAACAGCACCCAAGTCACCTCTTGAATGCTTTGCTGCTTATAAATTTCTTCCATCAGATAACCTAAATCATCTCTCTCAAGTTCAAAGTTCCACAAATCTCTAGGGAAGAGGCAAAATACCACCAGTCTCTTTGCTAAAGCATAACAAGAGTCACCTTTGCTCCAATTCCCAAAAAGTTCCTCATCTCCGTCTGAGACCACTTCAGCCTGGATTTTATTGTACATATCACTATCAGCATTTTGATCAAAGCTGTTCATCAAGTCTCTAGGAGGTTCCACACTTTTTCACATTTTCCTGACTTCTTCTGAGCCCTCCAAACTGTTTCAACCTCTGCCTGTTACCCAGTTCCAAAGTTGCTTCCACACTTTCAGGTATCTTTTCAGTAACTCCCCACTCTACTGGTACCAATCTAATGTATTAGTTCATTTTAATGCTGCTGATAAAGACATACCCAAAACTGGGGAGAAAAAGAGGTTTAATTGGAATTACAGTTCCACATGGCTGGGCTGGGAGGCAAAAGGCACTTCTTACATGGTGGCAGCAAGAGAAAATGAGGAAGACACAAAAGCAGAAACCCCTAATAAACCCATCAGATCTCATGACACTTATTCACTATCATGAGAACAGCACAGAAAAGACCAGCCCCCATGATTCATCTACCTCCCCCGGGTCCCTCCCACAACATGGGGGAATTCTGGGAGATACAATTCAAGTTGAGATTTGGGTGGGGACACAGCCAAACCATAACCATATCAAGACATGTCTCCAAAGAAGATATACAAATAACCAGTATGCACATGAGAAGATGCTCAACATTACTAATCATTAGGGAAATGCAAATCAAAACCACAATGAGATATCATTCACCCCCATTGGGGTGGCTATTATTTTTTTTAAAAATCAGAAAATAACAAGTGTTTGCAAGGATGTAAGAAATTGAAACTCTTGCGCGTTGTTGGTGAAAATGTAAAATGGAATAGCCAATGTGAAAAATAGTATGGCAGTTCCTCAAAAAATTAAAAATAGAATTACCATATGATCCAGCAATTCCACTTCAGGGTATATACCCCAAGGAATTGAAAGCAGGATCTCAAGGAGATATTTCACACCCATGTTATTTACAATAGCTAAAATGTGGAAGCAAGATAAGCAATATGTGATGTATGCATACAATGGAATATTATTCAGCCTTTAATAGAAAGGAAATTCTGACATATGCTATGTGGATAAAACTTGGGGACATTATGCTAAGTGAAATAAGCCAGTCCCAGAAAGACAAATACTGAATGATTCCACTTATATGAGGTACTTAGAGTCATTAAAATCATAGAGACAAAAAGTAGAATGGTGGTTGCCAGAGGTTTGGGGGAGGGGAGAATTGAGAGTTATTGTTTAATAGGTATGGAGTTTCCATTTCACAAGACGAAAGAGTTATGGAGTTAAGATGAAGGAGTTATGGTGGTGATGGTTGCACAACATTATGAATTTACTTATTTATTTTTAATTCTTTATTTTATTTATCTATTTTTTTGAGACAGAGTCTCACTCTGTCGCCCAGGATGGAGTGCAGTGGCACCATCTCGGCTCACCGCAACCTCCGTCTCCTGGGTTCAAGCAATTCTCCTACCTCAGCCTCCCAAGTAGCTGGGATTACAGGCACCCGCCAACACGCTCAGCTAATTTTTTGCATTTTTAGTAGAGACGGGGTTTCACCACATCAGCCAGGATGGTCTCAAACTCCTGACCTCAGGCAATCTGCCCACCTTGACCTCCCAAAGTGCTGGGATTACAGGTGTGAGCCACCATGCCCGGTCTTTAATTCTTTTTTAAAAGATTTTTAAAATTCTTTTTGTAGAGATGAGGGTCTCACAATGTTCCCCAGGCTGCTCTTGATCTCCTGGACTCAAGTGATTCTGCCACCTCAGCCTCTCAAAGTACTGGGATTACAGGCATGAGCCACTGCACCCGGCTCCTGAATATATTTAATACCACTGAACAAAACACCTAAAAATGGTTAAGATGGTAAATTTTATGTTCTGTGTGTTTCACCACAATTTTTAAAATTAGACAGAAGTATATAGTACATATTTAATTGTATTCCTTTGTACTCCTGATAAGAGAGAACTTCCATTCGGATGAAGCATCAAATAATTGAATTTTACAAAAAGAGCTTATAATTTCACATATCTGATGCTAAGAAGAATTGTCTACAACTACTTTTCAAACCTTGTTTCCCTTTCACTCTCACACACTTCCAGTGCTGCGTACTATACGCCACATTGATAGCAGGTTTTCATTTCTGCCCTCCCACCTTTGCCTCAATTCCAGTTAAGCCAGTACCCTGGGCAGTAGGAGAACTCCTCCAAGCACTCCTATTCCAGAGGGATAGAAAAAACTCAGCCACCCACAGGAGAAACCGCAAACCACATAAATACATCCCACTAAACCCAAACTAAACATATCTCCAACTCAACTCAATCTCCAAAATACAGTCATCCTAATATTCCAATACCATCTCACACAAGGGCAAGTTTTTAAGTTTCTAATATGGAAACTTTCAAATTATACAAAAGTAGACAGAATAGTATAGTATATTCCCAGGAACCCCTGCACCCAGTTTCAACAATGATGGATTCATGGCCAGTCTTGTTTCCACTGTACTCCACCCGCTTTCTCCTTTCCTCTGCAGCTTTACAGCAATTTCTACATATTACAGTATTTTGTCTATCAATATTTCCATATGTATTTCTAAAATATAAGAATTCTTTAAAAATAACAATGCCCTAAACATACTTCAGCAAACATGATTAATAATGTCCTAATATTCTCAGATATTGTATCCAAATCTCTAATGATCTCATGAGATGCCATACATTTATTTTTATGGTTTGTTTGAATCAGAATTTAAAGTTGTGATTAATTGATATGTCTCCAGTTTTTTAAAAATCCATAGATTTCTTATCTCTTTTTTGTAATTAATTTGTTTAAGGAATCAGGTTGTTTTCTCTGTAGAGTTTCCCACAGTCTGTATTTTTCTAATCAAATCCCTATGCGTCATGTATTTTTTGTGTTCTCTGACTGCTGAATTTCCTCTAAATTGGTCATTGCATTTAGAAGCTTGATAAGATTCTGGTTTGACATTTTTGGCAAGGTTGGGTGCACTTACTGTCTGGCTGTGTCTCTGTTTGATGTTAGAGGATGTTGATGATCAATATGGCCTTAGGTTGACATCCCCAAAATAGACCCAGAGACAAGGATCACTGTGAACGTGACCATGTAGCACCTCAGGAGACCAGGAAGGTGGTGCAGGAAGCAAAATAGGCAGGAGAGGACACCCAGCAAGAGCATGATCTCAGGCAAAATCCCAGAGGGCAGTTTCTTTCCGATCCACAGGGAAACTCAGCCGTGTAGGTTACACTTCAGAACTGCACTGACTCAAGGCAAGGGATCTAGGTTTTAGCATGCCTGTACTTTTCAGTGATTGCTCAAGAGTTTCTGCAGAGGTGGGCACTGTTCAGCACTAGCAGCTCTGTGTATGTCTGGAGCAGGTTGCACAAAACAGTAATGAGAGATCAGAAGGGTCAGAGTGGAGCTTCCAGATCATCTGCATATGAGGGGAAGTTTGACCAATTATGTTAAAATATCTTACTTTGCAAATACTCCAAAAAGATATGAGCATGTAAGCATATTCCTAGATGGGCCTTAGAAAGGGCCCATAACAGTGAGGGTCCCTGACACTTACGCTTCTTTAGCTTCAAGATAAATCCACCTTTGTAGTGAGGAAGAAAGAAAACAAGAGATTGTGGTGTCCTGGACGATAAGAAGAGAGTGTGTTTGAAAAAGAGAGTGATGATGTGTTTTAAGATCCTGCGACTCATCAGATCTGTTGGTCTTATTGCCTTTTCATTGTCCTTTGCCTACTTTGTGTCTTCACATTCCCCACAGTCCAGCTTAGAGTTCATGATCCAGAATTAAAAGCACTCTCAACTCCTTCGCCTCTGTTGATGGGTCAGGAAGATGAAGACCTTTGGATTTGGCTATGTGGAGATTATTAGAGACCTTCAGAAAAGTAGTAAAGGTGGAGTATTAAGAACAAAAGCCTAATCAGAGTGACTTCGTATAGAAATTGTAGGAGGAGAGAGATTGGAGAGAAGCAGAGATATCCCTCAGTGTCCATGGGGGATTGGTTCTAGAACCCTCTTCAGATGCCAAAATCTGTGGATGCTCAAGTCGCTGACATAAAATGGTGTAGTATCTACAAACAACCTACATATACTGCTGATATACTTTAAATCATCTCTAGATTATTTGTAATACCTCATAGAAGCTTAGTGCTAGTGAATACTTGCCATACTATATTTTTTTATTCATGCTATTTTTTATTGTTGTATTAAAAAAATTTTAGACTCAGGGTCTTGCTCTGTCACCCAGGCTGGAATGCAGTGGTACAATCATAGCTTACTGCAGCCTCAAACTCCTGCACTCAAGCAATCCTCCCATCTTGGCCTCCCAAAATGTTGGGATTACAGGTGTGAGCCACTGCACCCAACCTGGTTTTTGTTTTTTTGTTTTGTTTTGTTTTCTCTGCTTTTCAAATATTTTTGGTTCTCAGTTGGTTGAATCTGCAAATACAGAACCCTCGGGTATGGAGGGCCAAATGTATAGCACATTTTTTCATGGGGTTTTGTTGAAATGGATGACAAAGTAATGAAGCGATTGCTGGACAGAAATGTGGAGTTAAAGGTTTGTTTATTAGAAGATGGGGAAAGTAATATATTTGTCTGCTGAAGGGAATGATCCTATAGAAAGGGGTACAGAGGGTAGAATGGCTAGATATTTACTCCCGATTAAGTGAGAGCAGACAGAACCTATCGGGCAAGTGGAAGGGTTGACCTGAGATAGGAACATTTAAGGTTCATCCCCAACAACAGGAGGGACGCCAGATGGAGGTGAGTAGGTGGTAGATTTGGGAATGAGAGCAGAAGAAAGTTAAATAATGTCTTCACCTGAGCTTGTAGAGAAGCAGGTGTGGGAGGCTTGAGGAAAGTGAGAACAGGTGTCTAGGAGAGCTAGACAGTGAATTAACTAGCGAAATGTAGCAGGATTTCCATGCAGCTCTCAGGGCCCACATGAAGCTGTCAGTTATGAATTTAGAGTGAGGCCAACCAGCATGGCTGGGTGTTGTTCTTCAACCATGATCAGCTGTGGGCTGTAGGAGTGAATAGGCAAAGAAGTGGCTAGCCAAAGTTGAAGTTTTTCTAGGCAGGTTGGAGACAGAGGCAAAGGAGATGAGAGTGCTTGTAATTCTGGGTCATGGACTCTAAGCTGGATAATGGGGTGTGTGAAAACATGAAGTGATAAGGGACAGTAAAAAGGCAATAAGACCAAGAGATGTGATAAGTTGCGAGATTACTAGGCTTCCAGGAAGAGTGTGCTGGAAGGTGAACAATGAGTTCACTTCTACTTGAGATCGTGGAAATTGCGGAGTTAACGGTTATAACAAAGTCTAAGGTTTGGCCACGGCAGTGGACGGCTGAAAGAGAGTGGGGAACACATTACTGACACAGAGAAGAAACCAGGCTCATCCATATGGCTATTGTAATTATTGAATCACAAATTAATATCTTGTGGCCAATTACTAAGGAAGCTCATTCCTATAGCATCCGTGTCCCTCCCATCTTGCACAATTATCAAAAAGACCATCGTTTCTCAGTTAGTTTTAGCTGAAGCAGATCTTACAGGATGCTTTGTGAACAGTTTGCTCAATCAATGCAAATAAGACAACGTTGCAGGACACTGAGGCCCCGTACCAGGCAACTTGTGTCCTTTACATTATGCCTTTTGGAAATGAATGTCCTCAAGCTGTATAAATTTTAGTTTTGCCATTTACCTCCTAAAATATTACCACCTATAAATACTGAGACATTTTCAGTTTTTCATAGACGAGTTCATCCATCTGGTGCTGAGCTTTTCTCTACAGAAAGCTAAAATCCCTGTGGTCATCTACTGGCATTTGTGCCCATAGACTGGCTCTCCTTTCTTGTAACTATGGATGAACTCTGTATGCTCCTAAGGTCAGAATGTGCTCAGAACAAAGCCATTTATGACAGGAGGGAGCTACCAAGGGCCCTGGTACTTGATCCAGGGTCCTGGTGCAAGGGTCCAGCTTCTCACAGAGAAACCTCTAGGTCATTTAGACTCACCTGTCTCTCACCAAGTCCTGGCTTTTGCCAAATTCTCACTGTTTTCCTGTCACATTTTTCAACTCTGCCCCACCTCTCTCCCTGTACTTTTTTGAAGCCATGGTTCTTCCAAAGAAATAAAAAATGTGGTTAAAACAAACATCTAGACAGACTCTAAGAATGATAAGCCTAAGACTCTAAGAAAGATAAGCCAAGTCTCAAAAACAACCAGAGCCTAGACAGGAAGGAGTGAAGGAAGAATGGTGAGCTTTGCTTTGGATGGTGGGAGTATCAGGTCCTAGGATGGAGAAGGTTGAGCTGGTGCGTGGATGGATATGACCTCAGATTTTTTGTTTGTTAGTTTTGAGGTTTTTTTTGCAAGATCATCTCACTGCCAGCATCTTCCAAATCACACTGGCAGGGGAAAGGAAAAATCTCAGGGAACCAAGATTCCCTGCTCTCTCCATAACCACAGCTCACATCATGACCTTATTGCAACTTTCTTCTTTATGGCACCTTCAACTGGCATCCATACCAGTTATGGCTGCGTTAGTTTGAAATGTTGCAGCCAAGATTGTCTCTTTCCCCATTCCTTGTCAGACTCTGACTTAGAATTAGTTTCTTTGGGATAGGACCTTACCAAATACTTCCAGGTCCTTATGGAGCACCCTGGGATAATCGTGCTTCCTTTGAGTACATTCAAACTCCTCTGCTTACCTCAGAAACCAAGTGCCCAGCATCCCTCTTCCATCTCAGAACATTTCTCTAGAGCTCACCTTCTTGCAAGGAACTGATTACCCATCCCTACTCCCCAAGGTCTCTAGTCATCATTTATAAATCTCAAACTCATGGAGGAAGTCTCTTGCCCGCAGACCGAACGATGACATTGATTTCCAAGTACCTATCTCTATGACATTCTTGCTTGCCACCCAACCAAAGTGCTTTCCCTTTTCCTTGCATGGCTCTTTCCCTGTTGGCCTTTGGCTCTCTGGAAGGGCAACAAGAAGTGGCTTCGCTACTTCACATTCCAGAAGATTGAGGACCCAGTCTATGAAGTCAATCCTAACATGAGCCTGAGGTTAAATATGGAGATGACCCTGACATCCAGAAACAGAATTTTCACCCGAAAATTTGTCTTTGAGGTACAGTGAGCCACTGGATGAGACACAAACAGCAGGACTGAAAACAGCTGTCTGTTGTTGTGTACCTAAAGTACAGTTTTCAGTTCGCATTTGGAAATTGTGGCAATATACAATTTTTCTCTGATTTTTTTCTTGTAACAGTAACATTGTTTTAGTAAAATTATTGTAGAAAAATTGAAAAACAAAAAAGTTTACAAAAGAAAATGAAACTACCTTTAATCCCACTAAACAGAAATAATTGCTCTTATTATTTTAGTGTATTTCTGCCTATGTGGAATATATTATTTAGGTTAATTTATATACACATGATATGAATTGTTTACTATTATAAATAATTTCAATTATTTTGCTGAGTTACTCTGTGTCCCTGAGAATCCTAAAGAACAGTGTTATGCTTCACTATGTAAACTCTTATATTAAAAAAAAATTAGTGAACTGTTATCTGACTACTCCTACAGAAAAGTTATGGCAGATTCTGAGAGCAACTGAGCTGAGTACTGATCTACTCTCTACCACTTAGCAGCCCTATGACTTTGGTCAAGTTTCTTAAATCTTCTGTGCCTCAGTTTCCTTTTATTTAACATGGGGATAATAACATACCTACTTTAAAGAGTTGATGTGGCAGTTAAAGGAGAAATGGCATGTAAATTGTGTAGACCAGTATCTGGTATGCAGTAAGTAGTAAATAAAAATTATTAGCATTATTTTATATACATATATATATATATATATATATATATTTTTTTTTTTTTGAGATGGAGTCTTGCTCTGTCACCCAGGCTGGAGCCCAGTGGCATGATCTCTGCTCACTGCAACCTCCACCTCCCGGGTTCAAGCAGTTCTCTGCCTCAGCCTCCTGAGCAGCTGGGATTACAGGTGCCCGCCACCACGCCTGGCTAATTTTTGTATTTTTAGTAAAGACGTGGTTTCACCATCTTGGCCAGGCTGGTGTTGAACTCCTGGCCTCGTGATCCACCCGCCTTGGCCTCCCAAAGTGCTACATGAGCCACCACACCCAGCTGGCATTATTATCTTTATCCTACCGCAAGGTTTCTTTAAAAATGAGTGAGTGGATTTATAATAAAGCACTGATCCTGTAATACAACTTATATAAAGGTTGATAAGAGTTGAGGCTGAACAGCAAATTATTCAAGGTTTTAGTGAATTGAGAACTGAACAGCAAAAATTTCCTGAAGGCCGTATAGTGTAATGGTCAAAAGCATGAGTTTTGGATGAAAACAAAGATTTGTTTTCCCAATTCTTAATAATAAAAATAAAAATGTATGTAGTCAAAACAAAGGGCTAGGCATTATTCTCAGAGCTTTGCTTGTATTATCTCACTTTAGCCTTGCAATAACCGTAATATATAAGTGCTATCACTAGTAGGAAACAGGAACAGAGAGAGGTTAAGAAATTCATAGCAGACAACAAGGCTAGTAAAAGGCAGAGCTAGGATTTGAACTCAGATGACCTTATTCTAGAGCCTCTGCTTTTAATTATTGTTATGTTGTTGTATATTTGAAAAAGTTATTTAATATCAGTGAGTCTCTCATTCGATTGTAGTCTTTTTCTTATGGATTTGACAGAATTATTTGTATATTCTTGATAAAAGCCCTTTGCTAATTATATGTATTGTGAATATCTTATCTTACTCTTCTGCTCACCTTTTGACTATCTTAATAGGTCTTTTGATGAATCAAGTTTTTTATTTTAATGTAAGAACACACATCAATATTTTCCTATACAATTGGTGTATTTTGTACCTATGTTATCTTCTAGAAATATGCATCTTTATCCCTACCTCATACCATATCAAAAACTAAATTCCAAGTAAATTGTGATGTTGGTAGAAGATAAACCATCACAGGCTGGGCATGGTGGCTCATACCTGTAATCCCAGCACTTTGGGAGGCCAAAGCAGGCAGATCGCTTGAGGTCAGGAGTTTGAGACCAGCCTAGCCAGCATGGTGAAACTCTGTCTCTACTAAAAATACAAAAATTAACTGGGCATGGTGGCACATGCCTGTAATCCCAGCTACTCAGGAGGCTGAGGCAGGAAAATCACTTGAACCCAGGAGGCAGAGGTTTCAGTGAGCCAAGATCATGCCATTGCACTCCAGCCTAGGTGACAGAGCAAGACTGCATCTCAAAACAACAACAATAACAACAAAACCATCACAATAATTGTGGTTTAAGAATAAGTTTACAAGCTTTGTTCTTCTTTAGGCTGTCTTCCCTATTGTTGAGTCTTTGCATTTTCAAATAAAGTTTAGAATCAGTTTACCAATTTCCACAAAATGATCTACCAGGATTTTGATTAGAATTGCATTGAACCAACAAATTAATTTGGAAAGAATTACAATTTTACAATATTGTCTCTTATAATATTAGCTCTTCCAATCCATGAACATAGTAAATCCTTCCATTTTTAAAAGATATTCTTTAATTTATTTTAATGACACAATATAGTTTTTTTGTATGGCAGTCTTTAAAATCTTTTACTAGATTTATCCCTAGACATTGATGTTTTAAGTTGCTTTCGAAAATGGTGTTATTTTATGTTTTATTGTACATTCAATACAATGTTGAGTAGAAGTAGAGATATCAATAGTAGGCATTCTTGTCTTATTTCCAATCACAGGCAGGAAGTTTACAATATTTCACTATTAAATATGATGTTGGTTGTAGGTTGTAGGCACTCATTTTTACCTTTTTTTCCCTAATTTTTCTACTATTTTCACATCCATTCTCTATCTTCTGTAAATTTCTTAAAAGTTCTTGTCTGCTCTTCTTATCTCTTACATTCTCTTCATTTCCTTGGGCTTATCCATTTTTCATATCTTTAATTTTAATGAGGTTTTAAGAAGGAACAAAGATAAGCATGTGTTCAAGCTACCATGTTTAATTAGGAGTCCCAGAAGGCTACACATGAAACAATCTTTTCTATAGTTGAGAAAGTTTGACTTTTTTAATTATTAGTTTCTTAATTGACAAATAAAAATTGTATATATTTATAGTGTACAACATGATGTTTTGCTGTATGTATACATTGTGAAATAACTAAATCGAGCCAATTAACATATCTATTACCTCACATACTTATCTCTTTGTGTGTGTGCTGAGAACATTTAAAATCTATTCTGAGCAACTTTCAAGTATACAATACATTGTTATTAACTATAATCCCATGTTGTACAATAGATCTGCAGAACAGATTCCTCCTAACTGAAGTTTTGTATCCTTCTACCAACTTCCCAGTCTCCTCTCCTCAACCCTGAACCTTGGTAACCACCATTCTACTCTCTGCTTCTGTGAGTTCCACATTTAAGATTCCACATATGAGTGAGATCATATAGTATTTGTCTTTCTGTGCTTGGCTTTTTCACTTAGCATAGTGTCCTCCAGTTTCATCCAGGCTGTCATAAATGATAACGATTTTTAAAATCAACTTTTTAATTAAGGTGAACTTGATTCACTGAATGAAAATTCTGCTGTGTTTCCTAAAATCCTGCAGATTTTAAAAATGTTTTCTTAATCCTCATAGATTTGAAAAAAATGTAGGAAACAGGAATATGTTATACACATAGAATTGTAGCTTCCTTAAGTGCTAAAATAATAAAGAAATTTTATTTTACAGTAATTGAAATTTAACTTTGAGGTGCCATAAGCCACTTTTATCCCAAATGGTTTTTCTTTAATAAACATTCTGCTTTTCTGCCAAGTTCAACTTTCCACTTAATGCAAGAATCCCTTTAAACACCCCTGAGTGATGTCTATCTAACCTTTGCTTAAATTCATTCTATGCTGGTGAGTTTATTACTTCTCCCATGGACACAGACAAATACTTATCTTATTTTCACACAAAAAGTAGTATCACTTAGGTTTGCATTATACTGCAAATAACAGAAGAAACAACTAAACATTACCTTAAATGAAACAGGAGTTCCATTCTTTTCATGTCAAAAAGGATTCCAGAGTTAGGTCATCCAAGGTTGGTTTGGCAGCTCCATGGTGCCAGGGGTAACTCACCCTATTTTGAGCTCTGTCCTCTTTCATCCGAGACCATGGCCTTCAGCTCCATTTTTGTGAGATGTTTCCTACACCTCCAGGCAGTGCTTCTGCAGTCAGGCCCAGTGAAGTGCCTGGTGAAGTGGAGAAAAAAAAAAAAGCATGACCTTTGAGATAGCTCCTTTATAAAGAGCTTTCCCAACAGCCCCACTCGGCAACTTCCTCTTACATCTTATCGGCCAGACTACTCCACTTGGCCACCCCTAGCTGCGAGGGTTGAAGTCAACATTTTATCGGGCATATTACCACCCTGAACAAAACTGAGGTTCCACTAGCAAAAGAGACAGGGACAATGAATTTGAGTTGGCAACGAACAGTGTGCACCACAAAAGCTTATTCTGTTTCCCCATATTCCCATATGCATTCCTTCCCACCTTGAGAGAAGAACAGTCAGAGGCTTTGGCGATAGCTAAAAGCTCAAAAGACCAATTCAGAACTGCATGGGAACTAACAGGCACAGGAGGTCAAGTGAAAACTAGAGGAATCATAGCAAACATACAGGGAAAGCAGGGCTGGCTCCGGCCTGCCCTGGGAAGGGAAGCTTCACAAAAGAATCTGTGAGGACTTCCAGCTGCTCTGGTAGAGCTGGGAGGCTGGGAATGGGCGAGATCAAGTTGAAGAATTAAATAGAAACAGCTGTTGGCTGCCTTCACCAGCACTGAGGCGAGGGCTCATGCACATTCAGTGGAACGATTCCGTTTGATCCGTACACATGTAAAAATCATTGCCTCCTTCACTTTCTAAGTGCTTGGAATTATTCTTTTCCTATTAAGATTTACATTCACTAGGGCAACACATGCTTAGCAGCCAGGACTTGCAGAAGCATCGAATGCAGTACAGATAGGCATACTGTGCTAACTTACCACCCATTACTTTAGGAGGTTCATTTTTTTGGTGGCCTGTTACATACCTTTACCTTGTGCTGGGCTCTGAGCTGAGCACATGGTTTGTTACATCATTTGTCCTCATGATAACCTTAACATTAGTTATTCCAGTTTTAAAGAGAAACCTGGGGCTCCAGAGGAAGCAGTACATTTTCCAAGGCCTCCCAGACTGTGGGTGGCAAGCCCGAGGTTCAATTACAGGTCTGATTCTGAAACCACATGCATGTAACAAAAGGCCTCTACTTGCTGCCTTGAAGCCAGAAAGGAGCTAACCTCACTTCCTCATCTACAGAAGAAAACACACGCACACACATACACACACACACACAGCCCAGAGGTGTCAAAGGACCTGCCCAAGGTTGGCAGTTAGAAAAAGCATTGGAGGCTGGGCACAGTGGCTCACACCTGTAATCTCAGTACTTTCGGAGGCCAGGGCTGGAGGATCATTTGAGGCCAGGAGTTTGAAACCAACATAGTGAGACCCTGGCTCTACTGAAAATTAAAAAACTTAGCCAGGTATGGTGGAACATGCCTGTAGTCCCAGACACTCAGGAGGCTGAGATGGGAGGATCCCTCAAGTCTAGGAGTTTCAGGCTGCAGTGAGCTATGATTGTACCACTGCACTCCAAACAAACAAAAAAAAGCAAAGCAAAAATTTAAACCCAGTCTCCCACGTCCCTTCATTCCACCTCTTTGATACAAACTTGTAGCCTTCATAACTGATACCTGTAGTATTTTGGGAGGGCTAAGTTCCACTATTTGCCAGAGATGGACATTATTTCCAAACTTTAATGTTTCTTCAAGACATTTCGTTAGTTACATTAGCATGTTTACTTCTTAGACTAACAAAACAAATAGCTTTAAAAAGTTCACTTTGTGAATCTGTGATTAACTTGTGAAGAGTTAGGGGAAATTACCTGGGACTAGCTCTAGACACATTTTAGTTTTGCTAGTTAGCTGAAAACCAGAAATAAGACAAAACTTCTTTAAATCCACCTTAATAACCCTTTTACCTAAAAATCTCAGAGGAACTAGTGGGGAGGCAAAAGGTGGACACTTCAGGAGACCAGGTGAGCCACTTCTCCATGGCTTTTCATTTCAATCATTATTTGTTCCTCAGGGAAGCCTTCCAATGAAATTTCCCAATATAGCACACTTAGGATTCTGCTTCTGGCCACAACAGATTAACTGATACTGGCCTAGCCCTCCCGCAGTAAGCAACAATAACACTGGACAAAATATATGAAATTACAGTTTTCAGACATTGGGTAAAAGGAGGCACAAGACTGTGGTCCCTGACAGTCCCTTCATAACCCTTTCTGACTTTAGGCACTTTCCAGACTGTGGCACAGGGAGGAAGCCCAGCATAGCACAGCGTTGCTGCTGAACTGAGGAGACAGAAATTGGAACTCTGGATTATGGAGACAGTCAGAATGTGCAGGGCACGGTCCCATTGGGAGAGTGCTTGCAGAGGAGGAGTTGCAGATATCTGCATAGGGGTGTCCTGGAGGCTGTGGCTAAATACCAAGCTACTCCTTTGTAGGACAAAAAAGACTCCATGCAACTGAGCAAAGAACACTAGGGAGCTGAGAGTTGAACTACCGGAGCCTGAACGGGTCTGGAGATGCTCAAGTACTGATCAGCCAGAGTGGAGAAATCCCCAGAAAGGCTGCTCTAGATCTACCTAACAGGGCTTTAAACCAACACTGGGAACTACCAAGATGATCTGTAAGGAAACGAACTGCCGGGCAGCACAAAATCCAACACTCTAGTACAGAACATAACAAATGTAGACATTCAACTCTGTAGCATTCATAATTTATAGCATACAATACATAACCTCTAGACATGTGAAGAAGCAGCAAGATACGATCTGGAACCAGGAGAAAAGTAGTCAACAGAAAGACCTTGAAATGACAGAGATGATGGGATTAGCAGATAAAGACTTTAAAACAGTTTTTTTTTTTTAATGGACTAAAGATTTGAATAGACTCTTCACCAAAGAACATTAATAGACATTCGCATATTAGCAAATTAGTAATTAGGAAAATACAAATTAAAACTACAATGAGATACTCCTACCTACCCATTAGAATGGTTAAAATTTTTAAAGACTGGCCGGGCGCGGTGGCTCATGCCTGTAATCCCAGCACTTTGGGAGGCCGAGGTGGGCAGATCACGAGGTCAGGAGATCCCAGACCATCCTGGCTAACATGGTGAAACCCCGTCTCTGCTAAAAATATTAAAAAAAAAAAAAAAATTAGCCGGGCGTGGTAGCAGGCGCCTGTAGTCCCAGCTACTCGGGAGACTGAGGCAGGAGAATGGCGTGAACCTGGCAGGCGGAGCTTGCAGTGAGCCGAGATCGCGCCATTGCACACTAGCCTGGGCGACTGAGCGAGACTCTGTCTCAAAAAAAAAAAAAAAAAAATTTAAAGACTGAGCATATCAAGGGCTGACAGGGATGTGGAGGAACTGGGACTCTCATATTCTTTCGGGGTGAATAAAAAATGGTACCACCACTTTGGAATATAGTTTGGAAATTTCTTTTTAAAAATAAACATACACCTACTAAATGATCCAGGCATTTCACACCTAGGTATTTACCCAAGAGAAAAGGAAATACATGTTCATACAAAGACTTATGCATGGATGTTTAAGCAGCTTTACTTATTAAAAACCGCCAAACAGAGAACAAACCAAATGCCCATTAACAGATGGATAGATACACAAATTGTTGTGTATGTCAAGCCAGGAGCTGTGTGTGAAAGGGCTTGAGATTTTATTCTGCTAGCAAGGCAACAAGGTATCTTGTCACAGTTTTATAGATACAGCCAGAAGACACAGGCTTTCTGGGTCAGAGACAAAAGACAGTTTATTACTCACAGCAATAGCAGTAGCCAGAGAAACATAATTGCATCATTTCTCTGAGCTGCAGTCCCACTGGGTGACATGAAAAGGGCCAAGTGTTGCTGCACATGCAGTGGGGTGCATTGTAGGAGAGGAAACCTTGAGATTCAGAAACCCTGACTTTGCACAGGGGCTGCTGGCAAACATGCTGCTACTCCTCTCTGGAGACAGGTGCCCCCACCAGGATTTCTGTGAAGAAAACTAAGTCAACGTTTTATTGGCTCTGGTTGTCAAGTGTACACCTTTCCTATTGCAGCATAACACATGATCACAGATTTAGCCATGTAAAACAACACCCGGTTATTATCTCACAGTTTCTATAGGTCAGAAGTTTGGGCATGGCAAGTGGGACTATTTGGGGTCTCACAAAGCTGAAATCAGGGTCTCGGCTGAGCTACATTCTTATCTGGAGCTTTAAGTTCTCTTCCAAGTTCATTTGAGGTGTTGGCAGATTTAGTTCCTGTGGCTACAGGATTGAGTCCCACTTTCTTGCTGGCTATTAGCCATTATTATTAGTAGTAGCTATTATTATTATTATTATTAAACTATTAGCTCTTAGTCCTTGAGGCTGCCGTCAGGCCCTGGCCATGTGGCCCTTCCACAACATAGCAGTTCACGTCTTCAAAGGCAGCAGAAGATCCCCCCTCCAGTCTGCTATGATGGCATCTTAGATAACATAGCCTAAGGGAGAGAGTATCCTATAATATTCACTGGTACTAACCCCACTCAAGGTGGGGGGATCATATACAGTCTTTACACTATGGGGCAAAAATATTGGGGGCCATCTTATGATTCTGCCTGTCAAGGAGAGGTAACTTGGAAGTCATAATTAAGCTTGAATATTTGCTTCACTGATTGGATTTGTTTTAACCTTAGTTAATAAACAGATAAGGATTCAAACTGAAAGCATTAATTTTCACTATACCCTCACAGACAATACTAGTAAAAGCCATTTTTGTCAAGCCACACCTATAATTAAAGAAACTGGACAATAAGGTTAAGCCCTGAATTGCTAGAGAATTTTCTGCTAAGCTGGTCTAGAAATTCTAGGCAATCCTCCATTGCATGGTAGTGCAGGACTATAAAAATGACTGCAAGCTGAAACTGTATTAAACACTCTTAATAGTCAAGGGGAAAAATTATGGTTGCTCTGTGACCTTTAAAATTTCTTGTAAGAATATTAAAATCTCTCTTACTGTTGGTTTTAAGTGTATAGGAAAATGAAAAAATAATGAAACTAGTATTTATTTAGTACCTTGCATTTCATTAGTAACAGCTTTATTGATATATAATTCACATACCATAAAACCCAAAGTACATAATTCATTACTTGTTAGTACAGTCATCCCTTGGTATCTGTGGGGAATTTGTTTCAAGACCCTCTGTGGATACCAGAATCTGCAGGTGCTCAAGTCCTTGATATAAAATGACATAGTCTTTGCAAATAACCTATGCATATCCTCCCATATATTTTAAATAATTTCTAAATTACTTATAATGACTTATACAATGTAAGTGCTATGTAAATAGATGTTCTACTGTATTGTTCAGGGAATAATGACAAGAAAAGTTGTCTGTGCATGTTTGGAAAAGATGCAATTTTTTTTTTCTGAATATTTTTGATCCGCTATTGGTTGAATCCACAGATGTGGAACCTACGGATATGAAGGATTGAGTGTATAGTCACAGAGTTGTGCAACCATCACCATGATGGAATTTCAAAACATTTTCATCACCCCTAAAAGAAATCCCATACCCATTAGCAGTCACTCCTTATTCCCCACTTCCAAAGCCCCAGGCAACAATTCATCTACTTTCTGTCTCTGTGGATCTGCCAATTCAGGATATTTTATAAAATCATACAATCTATGTGGTCTTTTGTGATTGCTTCTTTCACTTAGCATAATGTTTTCAAGGTCACCCATGTGGTAGCATGTACCAGCACTTCAGTCCTTTTTATCAGTGAATACAATTCCATTGTATGGGTATACCACATTTTGCTCATCCATTCAATGGACATTTGGGTCACAATCACTTTCCTCATTTCTGTCAATAAATTCACCTTCAGCACGTTTTTGTGGCTGCTTATCTGAAGCCTCTCAATGGTGGCTGTATCAACAGTTCCACCATGAACTATTTCTTCTGTAACTCAATTTACATTTGATTCAAGTTTCACTTACAGCATCACCACTTTTGGGCTTTTTTGCTGCAATTTCATCTTCGTTGGTCAGTTCCCTCTTTTGATTATCCATTGTGATGAAATGTCACATGGGAGACAAGAAGGCAACACAACTGCACACTTTGCTGTCTGTGCATGAACTGAGTAACAGATACACAGTGACCAGTCACTGATAGACTGAAAGTTGTATGATTGGTCACTGATCATGATGTGCATCTCTTATTTGCATAGTGATTTGTGGACTGAAGAGCTAGCAGTGAATTGTGTACTTTATGCAGTTACTTAGAGCTAATATACCATGGTAATTTGAATGTGCTGTTGAGGGAAGGTGTTATTTAACTAAAGCATAGCGGCTGAAATTCATGCATATCAGAACTGTGGGAAGTAAGGATGCCCTATTTTCTACTGGAATACAGAGGGCAGCTAAAAGTAGGTTTTGTCTAAGAAATTAGGATACAAAGAGTTTGGCATCTAGGTAACTAGAAACCACTTGAATAGGCTGATGCATGTTAATTAATTCCTTTATTTTGGATATACATTGGATTTTTGAAACCCTACGAACAAGTAAATCAAAAGCATTTAAGTCCACCATTGAAATACTTATGAAGGTGGCAGAGAAAGATTGAGGTTAAACAAAGAAGTCAAGTTCTCTCACAAAGAAGAAAACATCTCAGTTTCCATAGCTGCTGGGAGACATTGGAAAGAGACACGGTGCACAGTCAAGCTCCTCCCCCAGCCCCTTCCCTGTTCTCATGAGGGCTTCACCGATTTCCTCTAGCAGTAGAAACTCCAGACCACATCTCACTTGGCTGCTCTGGGATATCTGATATCATTTATACAATCTTCTAGAAATTCTCTCCCCCTTAACCCTGGTTCTCCTCTTTTTCCTCCTCTCTATAGTCCTTCTCAGTCCTTTTCACAATTTTCTTTTGCTCTATAACTCCAACCTTAGCCCCACATTTTGGTACTTGTCAGGGCCCCCCTTGTTTCTTTCTACCTTTATATGCATCCCTTAGAAGAACTCACTAGCTCCTGTGGCTCAACTATCACTTGTCTTCAAATATTACTGACTGGGTACAGTGGCTCACGTCTGTAATCCAAGCACTTTAGGAGGCAGAAGTGGGAGGATCACTTGAACCCAGGAGTTCAAGACCAACCTGGGCAACATAGCAACACCTGGTTTCTCTATAAAACAAAACAAAATAAAAACAAATACTGATTATGATCATATATGTGCTCCACCCTGGTGAAGAGTTGGAAATGTCACCATGAATAAGACATTGTCCTTATTCTCAAAGAGGCCATTGAAACATGAAGAAGGAAACCTCAACCACTCTTATGGGTACAAGTAGGAGAAACCCTAGCAGAGGAAGAAACATTGATCTGTGTCTATAATGGATGAATAAGAGAAAGATTGGGAATGGATAATAAAATTGCACAAGATTTCTAGGCAAAAATGTTATATCTCTATTGAAGGCTATAAAAATAGGCCTGAATAAATGGAGACACATCATGTTCATCATGTTCAAACTTGTCAATTCTTTTACTCATATATGTATTTGCTACACCTGTATGGTATTTGATACCATAAAAATGGTATCATGCTGTACATAGCCAGTTCAACTTGGTTTGTTTTCAGTCAACATTAGGTTTTTGTGTTCTAAATGAAAAGCCAGTATATTTGTTAGTTCTTCACTGAGACAGTTATTTTGTTTCCTCTTGTTTTTTGGTCTTTTTTTCCCCACTTAGAGATAATAGGTGTTTCAGGCACAATTAAGGGTATATGTAAAGACCAGAAGTGAGAGAGGATACAACTGCATGTGGTTGGATAAGCTTAGCAAACATAATGAGAGAGGCAAATAGCAAGAGATGAAGCTGGAAGCACAGCCAGGGACTATTTCACAAAAGACGTTACATGCCATGCTTAGCACTCCCATATGTGTCTGTTCAGCACAGAGCTTGTTTCTAAGTCTTGCTTATGCAAACCTCCATTGGACATTCCCTCCAGGTTGCATCTGGACACCTCACACTGACCATGTCTAGAATAAAATTTATTATCATGCCCTAAATGTCTTCTCCTCCCGGGTTTCCTACCTAAGCCAAAGTACCCATATTCACTCAGTGTCTAAGCAGGAATATCCACCACCTGTGACTTCTCCATCCCCCTCAGCCCCTACATCCAGTCAATTCAACAAGCCTCCAGAAAGTTTCATATATGCCTCCTGCCACTGCCCCTGTCTTAATTCAAGTTCCATTCGTCTTTTACTTAGATTGTTGCTACCCATGCGTCTGGTCCTAAATTCCTCCAAGTTAATAATAACTGTCACAACAAGACCTACATCCAGTATCAGAGCTGTGAAATCTACCCAATCCCTGCACCTTGTCGGAAGTTATTGGTGTCCCTCCTGAGCCTCCATAGCACCCGGGACACATTTATTTGTAATATCACTCACATTGTGATAGCTCAGTTATTCCTTTATAAATCCCGTTCATTCATTGCAGTATGAGTGGCACCCATAAGAACTCAGTAATTTATCTCTGTTAAAGGAAAAACAAAAAGGATTACATAGAATGCTTAGGCGCTAAGGAAGCATTCTAGCTTCTTGAAATGTGAATTTTGATGTTTAAACAAAAAGATACAGTTAATGCTATTATGTCCATTTTCAACAGATAATCTGAAAGTTGGCAGAAAAAAAAAAGAACGGAGCAACCAATTTGAACAAGACTCAGCATTATAAATTCTAAAGAGTGACATACATTTAAGCAATCTTAGCCCACCTTGAATTTCAAGAACAGGTGAAAATTTCATTCTGTATTTGATTACCACCAATTCCACAGCCCCAAGAACCAACTGATGACAAATTATACTGATACTGGCACAAGAACAAAGATAAATAGCAGCCTACAGGCCTCTCTGAAAAAACCAAACCTTTCAAGTTGGAGAGTAATCTACTTAAAAACTGTCTGGGGTAACAATTTTATAAAGTTTGATATCTGTTATTACTTCAAAATGTACCCAGTGTACTTTCTTCACACGGAGAACCCCAACAGCCTTCCTGACTCTGCCTCTGCTACTGCCACTCTTGTCAAAAGACATTCCAGAATGAATTTGTCTTGGGAACTTGACAGACATATCAGAAGTTCCCAGGGAAGTAGGAAGGAGGCAACACCTTAGTCATCACAGAACAATGTGGAGCCATGACTACTGCAAATGTGCAAATCAGTGTGGCCTGAGAAGGATGTTTCCTTTGAGGGACAAGCTTTTAAAGGAGGCTGACGGGGGGCCAAGGCGCGGTGGCTCACGCCTGTAATTCCAGCACTTTAAGAGGCCGAGGCAGGTGGATCACCTGAGGTCAGGAGTTCGAGACCAGCCTGGCCAACATGGTGAAACCCCCTCTCTACTAAAAATACAAAAATTAGCTGGGTGTGGTGGCAGGCACCTGTAACCCCAGCTACTCAGGAGGCAGAGGCAGGAGAATCACTTGAATCCGGGAGGCAGAGGTTGCAGTGAGCCCAGATCATGCCACTGCACTCCAGCCTGGTGACAGAGTGAGACTCCATTTCAAATTAATAAATAAATAAAGGAGGCCGAGAGGAGAAGATCCCTTGAGCCCAGGAGTTCAAGACCAACCTGGGCAACATAGTTTGAACCCCAAATATCTGAGACAGGTCTCAGTTAACTTAGAAAGTTTATTTTGTCAAGGTTGAGGACACGTGCCCATGACACAGCCTCAGGAGGTCCTGACGACATGTGCCCAAGGTGGTCAAAACACAGTTTGGTTTTATACATTTTAGGGAGACATGAGACACCAATCAAGATATGTAAGATGAACATTGGTTCAGTCCAGAAAGGCGGGACAACGCGAAGCAAAAGCGGGACAACTCAAAGCAGGGAGTGGGCTTCCAGGTTGTAGGTAGATAACAGACACGGTTGCATTCTTTTGAGTTTCTGACGAACCTCTCCAAAGGAGGCAACCAGATATGCATTTATCTCAGTGAGCAGAGGGGTGACTTTGAATAGAATGGGAGACAGGTTTGCCCTGAACAGGTCCTAGTTTGACATTTAGCTTAGCAATTTTGGGTCGCCAAGATTTATTTTCCTTTCACAATAGTGAGAACTTTAGCTGGGTGTGGTGGCACACACTTGTTATCCCAGCTACTAGGAAGGCTGAGGTGGGAGGATTGCTTGAGCCTGGGAGGTCAAGGCAGCAGTGAGCCGTGATCACGCCACTGCACTTCAGCCTGAGTGATAGAATGAGACCCTGTCTCAATAAAAAAAGAAAAAAAGAAAGAAAGAAAAGAAAAGAAAAAGAAAAAGGCAATAAGGTGATCAATCCTTATTTCTATGTAAATGTGCCTTTTCCCTATCAGCATACAGTGCATTCCAATATCACCACTTACACTGTGCTCCCCTGTGGCAAGGCTGCTGCAAGCACTGGGTTCCACAATACATGGAATACCCTGCCGAATGGAGGGCAAATCCACTTCCAGCTCTTTCCCCTAGCTTCTCGTGACAATGACAGCGGAGATGATAAGAACAGCTGACAGTTTTCAGGTGCTTCACGCCTTTATATACCTGAGCCTCCTGGGAAAGTGTCTCTGCCAGTTGTGACAACAAAAATCTGCAACAGCACTGATAGAGTAGAGCAATTCAGCTGACTTTATTCTCCTGAGCCATCCAGCTGTTTACACTTCCAAGGTGTCAGCACCTCCGAAAGAATGAATCAAACCCTCTTGGCGTAGGCTTTGGTCATTTAGACCATCTGCTCTAAAAAGAAATAGAAGAAATTTAAACAAGAAGCCTTTAAAAATATTTTAGTTGAAAGAAATGCCATTATTTGGTATGGCAGTAGCTGGCAAGAATCATCTTCTCAACAAAGCTTCAGACATTTTCTGCTTAAAATTTTTAGAAGCAAGTTTCTACTCCTTCTTGTCTCCATTATGATTCTAATTACTTAAATTGAAAAGCATTGTGCTGTAAAAAATTAACAGTTCTGAGCAAGATGCCATTGTGAAATGATCTACATTTTCACGTAGATCCAAGTCGCAGGAGTTTTCTCGAATAAGAGATGGCATTGTTCCTTTGATAGCAGCATCCCAGTTCTGTTTTCTTAGCTTCTTAGAATATGGAGCTAACAAGGATAAGGTTTTGGGTTTGCTTCCCAAGTAAGGAAATTATCATCAGAGGAAGAAAGGGCAACAGTTTTCACTGATAGCAACACTGCTAGAATTCCCAAAAAGCAATTCAACATGCTTGTCCTTTGCAGCAGTAGATCAGCGCTGTCAACTCTCCATATGAAAAACAGCACAGATGTTGTGCAGCTATTATGTAAAATGGTCCCCAGAGTCAAAGGCCATGGAGAGTTCTAGCACAAAACAGACAGGGACAAGCCACTGGACTGCGGACATGGAGGCCAGTGGTGCCTGGTGAGAGTCACTTCCATGTGCCTTCCATCTCTTTGTCTTCCTCCCATGGAATCCTGTGCAGCCATACAGTTTTGAAGGGACAGGAAAGAGTGGGAGGAAGATGCTTTGGATGAAGAAGAAGGACTGTTCCATCTTTTGATAACTTTAAACCACTTTTCGTTTTTCTCTGTCCTTTGGATAAACTGATCCAGAGAACCATTTGGATCTTCCCCCTCTCTCTTCTTTTTTCTCATATTCCCACCAGCCTTTCTCACCACCTGCAAAGCCTGAGAAGCACCTGATTGTAAGGTCATTATAACGGTCTCTAACCATTTCGGTTTCCCTAATCCAACCTCACAGCTGAGTCACAAGGGCTCAGGTAGGTAAAGATAGAAAGGGGATGGAAGGATGGTTGGGTAGATGGGTGCATGAAAGGACATTAAACTTCTTTTCTTTCTTGAAGATATATTTGCATTGTCAACAGCCAGTTAAACTGGCTTAATCTGAAAATTTAATGAGGAAGGGAAGAGGGTATTTAGTACCGGTGACTGCTATGCTCCAGGATATATTCAGGAGTAAAGCCAGAACTTCCAATGGCCACTCAGAAAAGCAACGACATAAGTGGGGAGGCGGAGGGGAGAAGGGAGACTAGGAATAGGAACAGAGAGAGCAGAACAGAACTCTTAGCAGGAGAAGATACTGGCCTTTCATTAAACTTCATCTAATTCCTCGGCAGGAGTGACATGCATCTGCAGCTCACATTAAAGCATTCATTGCATTGGGTCAAACTCATAAAACCAGATCCAGGACTCATCAACTTTGTTCCCGTATTAGTAGCATCCTGAAGGAGCAGGTCTACCAGATAAACTAAGAGGTCCCTTGAGTGAGCCTCTCGCCACACAAGCTCTCAAATGCAGAGAAGATCCAGGGGATGGATTGCAGAGAAGACCCAGGGGATGGATAACAGGTCCTCCTCTCATTATTCTCCGGTCTCAGACTCCAGTGAGTTTGGTCAGCCTCCGAGGCCCTGGAAGCATTTAGAACAGCAGCTCCAGCCATCAGACTGACATGAGATAAGATCTTATAAGCCAGAATGTCGGTTAGCATTACATAAGACTCAGGGGCTTAACAAGTGAAATGCCACTAGAAGGCTTCACTCTGAGATGCAGAGAATGTTCTTGTGATGGTGTCAGGCCCTGTTGCAGAGGCCTGTGGTGGTATGTCTAACTTACGCCAAATCTGGATCAGGACTCAGAGGACTTGCACACAGAGATCCTGGGGGGACATTCTCTTCTACATCCTGGATCAGGTCATGGATGTCACAGAATTACTGAGAATGAGGCACTTCTCAAGTAAGCCCCTGAGGGCAACAGTTAAAAGGACAACCGGGTTTATCATAAACTTTCAACTTCCTGGTTTCAATTGGATCCAGACACATAAATACCAGAAATATCAAAGGGAAAAGGAAAGTCACAGAGCTCTATACATGTCCAGAAAAATATGGCAGGAATGTTCCAGAAAAGCCAAACCATTAGCAATCTTGACATTAAAGAGTAGTGAACTCCACCTTTAGGTTTATGTGCTGATATTTTTATCTTCACATTGTGCTGATATTTTTATATTCACATTTCATGTTGAACTCTGATACTCAAACTTGTGGCCCAGTAAATTGCTTGTGCTATTATCTGCACTTTCAAAATGAGGAAAAAAAGATCATGATCTTCTCACCACTGTGTGGCACTGCATGTGCCTTTGGGGATTTCTAAGTACTAACTTATATATGACTCTTGCCGGGTACAGTGTCATGCACCTACTCAAGTGCTGAGGTGGGAGGATGGCTTGAGGATGGTCCCAGCTACTCGAGGCTGAGGTGGGAGGATGGCTTGAGCCCAGGAGTTTGAGTACAGCCTGGGGAACACAGTGAGACCCTGTCTCTAAATTAAATTAAATATATAACTCTTAAAAAGTGTACACATATTGGTATGGTTTTGCTGTGTCTTCACCCAAATCTCACCTTGAATTATAATAATCCCCACATGTCAAGGGCAAGGCCAGGTGGAGATAATTGAATCATGGGAGTGGTTTCCCCCATACAGTTCTCATGGTAATGAATAAGTCTCACAAGTTCTGATGGTTTTATAAATGGCAGTTTCCCTGCACAAGCTCTCTTGCCTGCTGCCATGTAAGACATGACTGCTCCTCATTCGCCTTCCACCATGATTGTGAGGCCTCCCCAGCCATGTGGAACTGTGAGCTCTTTCCTTTATAAATTACCCAGTCTTGGGTATGTCTTTATTAGCAGCATGAGAACAGACTAATACACATATGTTAGGCATATCTCATAAACCAAGACTGAGGAAACATCATGGAACAAATTTGTCTGAAACTATTTATGGGAACCCTTGGAATAAAAAGTAGGGATGAACCTTCTGAGTCCACTGAAATGGATTTCAGTAGATGGAAATTTCTTTGAAGGGAAATGAAAAGTTGAGTGATGCTCTGCCCCAAGGAAGAAGCACAGTATTCCTAAAATCTACACTATCCCCAGATGCAGCCAAGGGGTCAGGGACCATCCTCCCCAAACATGCAGGCACAGCCCGGATTTTGCCTCAAAAATGAATATTCAAAAGAAACAGGGCAAATGATTTCTTTGGGACCATTTTTTTTCTTTTCTGTTTTCATGTTTCTGTAGCTAACCTCTTATGGTAAGGATTTGAGTGATATGTGTCAAAGTACTAAACAATCAGAGAAGTGAAAAATTTACCTCCCCAAGTGTACTCATTTCCTGTGGCTGCCATAGCAAATTATCACAAACAGAGTGGCTTGACCAATGGAAATTTATTTTTTCACAGTTCCAAAGTCCTATATCCAGGTACCAGTAGAGTGCTGCTCCCTCTTAAGGCTCTCGGGGTGGATCCTTCCTTGCCTCTTCCAGCTTCTGGTGACTCCAGGTGTTCCTTGGCTTGTGGCTGCATCACTCTCAGCCTCCAGCTTCACATGGCCTAATCCTTCTTGTGACTTCTCTTCTGTTCCTTTTAAGGACTTTTGCCATTGGGTTTAGGGACCACCTGGATAATCCAGGATGAGCTCATCTTAGCATCCTTCATTGTATCTGCAGCGACTCCTTTTTTCCTAATAAGGTCACATTCACAGATGCTGGGGGCTAGGATGTGGAGAGATCTTTTGGGGCACCCATAATTCACACCACTATACTAAGTATACTGTGAACTTCCATGTCTTTGCAAACTTCAATTGCTTAAAAATAGACAACCAATATTTACTTCCATCCTTTAATGCTGATTAAAAGAAAACTGAGGAAAGCTCTTCATCCTTCTGCTTCACATGCCATCTGGAACGCAGCTGGCATATGCTTCAAAGGTGAATGTCAAGAATCTGGTGCAAGTGTGCCCCAAGCCAACTGCACACACGTAGTCAACTTCAGGAGCATGTTTTCCTAAGTATACTGTTCATACTTGATTATCTATATGCAATGGAAAAAGTCTAGTTTCCACACCACCTGGTTAGCTGCAGTGATTGCATTTTCAGAAACAAAAATCTACAGATGCTCTTATGCTGATGACAAGACAAAATGTTTGGGAAAACTATGCATTTAAAATTTTTTTTAAAAGTCTCATTGTTTACTAGCTGTGAGATCTTGGGCAAGTTATTTATAATTATCCAGTGTTTCAGTTTTCCCATCTGTAAAATAGTATAATAATACCTACCTCACAGGGTTCTTATAAGAATTAAAGAGGTTAGTATTTGTAAAGCATTTAAAACAGCGTCTGGCACATTGTAAGGACTACACAAGAGTTCATGAAAATTTTGTTAAAAGCCACAGTGAGAAATCACACTAAATGCTGAAGAGATACAAACACATTCAATGTATGCATATCAATTAAAGGTTTTGGTCACAAGTAACAGAGATGCAGACAAAAGTTTTTAGGATACAAATGGCTTGTAGAGTAACTAGGCAGGCTTAACAAATGGTTGGGGACCAAGGGAAGCTGGGCCACAGAGGACGCAGCCAAGGGGACCTGCAAGGAACATCATTGCAGTTTCCTTGGATGCCATAGCTAGTGTCTGCCCCAGCTGGGCTGCTAAGAACCACTATATGGGGCCACCTTCAGCTTCTATAGTGGGAGGCAGAGCACTGCATCCCCCCAAGACCCCTTTAATAGAAATCCACGCAAATAAGAAGGTAGAACGCTGACAATCAAAATAACACCTCCACAGTATGGCTTGTCTACATAAAATCACTGGATTTGTAAAGTTGGATTGAGAGGAAAGCATACCGATAAGAGGCTGCCTCATACTGAACTGTATGAAATAAAAAAACTGCACCACTTCCTGGCTGTTTGACTTGGGTGAGTTAACCTGAATCTTAGTTTCCTTTGATAAACGTGACTGATAGTAGATTATATCTGTTACTTCTTCTAAAGTGTTTAGTTCAGTGCCTTACACATGCTGATGGTTCATTAAGCACGAATGCCTACAAACATGTGATCAATGGAATTAAATCTTTTACTTCTGAATATAAATTGAGTTCTGTATTTCATTGTAGAACTATGCTTATTTGAACTCTTCCCTCAAGCCCCTTCTCAATTGCTGGCCTTCTTGGCACATCAGTTTTCCTGAGCTTTCTCTCTCGGAGTCTCTGAGTACTTGTTGCACGTATTGCTCGTAAGGCAAATATCACATGCTGCCTTTATTCACCAGCTGTATCATCTATACCCATACTTTAAGTATGCAGTGCACTAAGAAGCTAATGTTCTTATTCAGAGGTGAAGCCTGTAAACAAATTTAATACAATTTAATGTTTCAATCTAATCTAAGTCATAAGTGCATTGAGACCAATAAACATGTCATGGGGCAGGCAGTATTATCACAGTATTACAGATGAATCAGTTGAGACTCAGAGGGGTTTGTCTAAGGTCACACAACTAATAAGAAGCAGAGCCCAGATGGGTCTGTGTGATTCTAGAGTGCATAAATTCTGCCTCCTAAACTGCATTATCAGTTTCTTGAGGGCAAGAATTAGGTTGAATATGCCTTTGTGTTTCCCTTATAACCTGGTAAAGTCTTGAAAGAGGCAGGGCTCTAGCTTTGAGGACCAATAGATAAAATAGCAAACATTTTAAAACCATACAACCCATTGGTGAATGGCTAGAAAGCCAATGTGTTCCTTGTTTTGTTCTGTTTTCTGAATCTAATAAGTGAGACGTGGTCTCACTATGTTGCCCAGGCTGTCCTTGAACTCCTGGACTTAAGCAATCCTCTTGCCTCAGCCTCCTGTGTTGGAGCTCCCACACAGAGTCTCCACTGGTGTACTGCCTAGTGGAGCTGTAAGAGGCCACTGTCCTCCAGACCCCAGAATGGTAGATCCACCAACAGCTTGCACCGTGCACCTGAAAAAGCCA
This sequence comes from Homo sapiens, assembly GCF_000001405.40. Classification (NCBI taxonomy): domain Eukaryota; kingdom Metazoa; phylum Chordata; class Mammalia; order Primates; family Hominidae; genus Homo; species Homo sapiens. Next base: position 62,034,464 of record NC_000018.10, read on the forward strand.
CAGACACTCAATGCCAGCCCATGAAAGCAGACAGGACTGGGGCTGTACCCTGCAAAACCACAGGGGTGGAGCTGCCCAAGGCCGTGGGAGCCTAACTCTTGCATCAGTGTGACCTGGATGTGAGACATGGAGTCAAAGGAGATTATTTTGAAGCTTTAAGATTTAATTGCTGCCTTCTTGGATTCTGGACTTGCATGGGGCCTGTAGCTCCTTCGTTTTGGCCAACTTCTCCCATTTGAAACAGGTGTATTTACCCAATATCTGTACCCCTACTGTATTTAGGAAGTAATTTTGATTTTACAGGCTCATGTAAAGGAAGGGGACTTGCCTTGTCTCAGATGAGACTTTGGACTGTGGACTTCTGAGTTAATACTGAAATGAATTAAGACTTTGGGGGACTGTTGGGATGGCATGATTGGTTTTGAAATGTGAGGACATAAGATTTGGGAGGGGCCGGGGGAGAATGCTATGGTTTGGCTCTGTGTCCCCACCCAAACCACCTTGAATTGTAATAATCCCCACTTGTCATGGGAGGGACCTTGTGGGAGGTAATTAAACCATGGGGGTGGGTTTCTCCTGTGCTGTTCTCATGATAGTGAATAAATCTCATGAGATCTGATGGTTTTATAAAGGGGAGCTCCCCTGCACATGCTTTTTTTGCCTGCCACCATGTGAGACATGACTTTGCTCCTCATTCACCTTCCACCATGATTGTGAGGCCTCCCCAGCCATGTGGAACTGTAAGTCCATTAAATCTCTCTCCTTTTGTAAATTACCCAGTCTTGGGTATGTCTTTATTAGCAGAATGAGAACGAACTGATACAAAAATGCACCCCAAAGAAAAGCAATGGCAAATTAATCTACTGATTTTTGTATAGTTATATGTAAAGTTCAACTAAGACCTTGAACCAATGCCTTGATTATGGCCATCTCTGAACAAAACATTGTAACTCAATATCATAATGTTTAAATTCCCGCAGCTGTGGAGTTCCCCTGGGAAACCAGACAGTTCAATCTTGTTTTTTCAGAAGGCCTTATTTAAGAAACCTAACTTATTACTTTTTTATCTTTTTTTTATTGTACTTTAAGTTCTAGGGTACATGTGCACAACCTGCAGGTTTGTTACATATGTATACATGTGCCATGTTGGTGTGCTGCACCCATTAACTCATCATTTACATTAGGTATATCTCCTAATGCTATCCCTCCCCCTTCCCCCCACCCCACAACAGGCCCCGGTGTGTGATGTTCCCCATCCTGTGTCCAAGTGTTCTCATTGTTCGATTCCCACCTATGAGTGAGAACATGCGGTGTTTGAAAACCTATTTTTAACAAGTACTTATATTTCTAATTTCATCAAGTATGTCAGGAACATAATCAGATTTAGAGTGCTTAACCAAAAAAGGCTTTACTTTTCTCATGTATCCAGAAGCTGGAGGTGAGCTTTTCTAGGGTGGTATGGTGAGCAGCTAAGGGATTCTACCATGGACTCAGTCATCATCCATCTTCCAGCTAAGCCTTCCTTTCCAGGTAGTTTCATTTTCAAATGCATTATTCCTAGGTTGCAAAACTGCTCCACCTCCAGCAGCATGCCTACATTTCAGATACAGGAGGAAAAGGCAACAGGCAGGAAGGAACATCAGCTCCACTGAGGTTTCCAGAAGCTCTACCCAGAGACTTCTGTGTGTACATAATTGGCAAGAGCTGCACTGCATTGGCATGCATCATTGCAAGGGAAGATGAGTTTTTTTTCTTTTTTTTTCTTTTTAATTGTTGTTGTTGTTTTTTAAATCCCAGTATACTTTTTTTTTTAAAGATTTTTTTAGAGATGTGGTCTCACTATGTTGCCCAGGCTGTCCTTGAACTCCTGGGCTTAAGCAATCCTCTTGCCTCAGCCTCCTGAGTAGCTGGGACTATAGGTGTATGCCACCCTGCCTGGCTCTGGGCATATTTCTGACAAACAAATCAAGGTTCTGATGGTAAAAAAGGAGAGTGGATACTGGGTAGGTAACTAGCAATGCTTGCCACAAGTAAAACACATGTGAACCGTGGATTATGTTGTTTTTCCTCTGGATATTTTAGTACTTGAATTTCTTACATAACAAATTGTTTATGGAGCAAGGAAACTATGGAGAGATCCTAAACTAGGGGCTACAAAGCTGTCCACAGGGCTGGTTTCATTCCACTGGTTCTCAATGGCCATATTATGCCCTTCTTTTTTGTCAACTGCTAGTTAGGACATTGCATTTCAGGAGGAGCATATTACTGCCATAGGCCCTGAAAGAATCCTTATCTTAGCAGATGCTAACTGGTATGTTAACCTGCCATCATGTCTGGCCACTCAGCATTCAACTGCCCATAACTTTCATTGCTGGTCTTCCTTGACCTGGGACACGTGAGGGATTTGAGGTCAACCAGCTGGTGCAGAGGAAGCACTCAGTAAATATGATCTGCCAGTTTCATTATTATTACCTCCTCAATTACAACACAAGCTCTTCAAGGGCAGGACTGATGTCTTATACTTTGTATCCCCACTCTGCTTGACTAGGAGAGGATATTGAATTATCTGCTGATTAATGCAATGTCTTACTTTAACTCATGCCACTGACCTGCACATTAAGGCTACTGCTGTCATCATCTATGTAATTCCACTCATGTGACCTAAGCAAAGGATAAATGTATTTTGTTTCCAAGTGTTATCGTCTGTGTGGACTATTTTTCTGGCATCCCCAAGGAAGCAGTTGTATACCCCTAAGGGAGTCTGGTGATTAAAAGTTTTCGCTTTAGACTTAGACTGAAATTAGCTCTGAGTTGACTAGCAAATCAACTTGCCAAAGGGAGGACTCTGGAACATTCATTTAGTCTCTTGGAACTTCAGTTTTCTTATCTGGAAAATAAGGCTGATATCTACCTTGGTTGGTGTTGTATGGGCCATGGCCGGGCCTGTCCACATGAAAGCCCCTCAGTGGGCATGGGTGGAACAGCCCAGGGCCCCATCGTGCAGACAAAGCAGGGACGTAAAGGCCTAGTGAAGCTGGCCCTCCTGAGCAGCACAACCACTGCCT